>NC_000011.10:85209199-86593700 GCF_000001405.40 Homo sapiens
TCTAAAATGCAGTACCTTAGCACTGAATACAAATACTTAGTTAAGTTCAATTTCTCCCACTCTGTTTCCAAGCTAATATCAATGTTGATTTTTTTTAGATTTTTAGCAACCTGCCCCAGTATAGATTCTTCTTGTACTAGGGCTGGTACAAGAAGGCATCAAAGACCATGGAGCAGAATTGTTTACACAATTCTGATTTAATGCCTCCAGCTCTTCTCTGAACTTATGGGCACAAAGAAATCAGTCTTTTTTTTTTTTTTTTTTTTTTGAGACAGAGACTTTCTCCCTGCCCTGTCCCCAGGCCTGCAACCTCTGCCTCCCAGGTTCAAGCAATTCTCCTGCCTTAGCCTCCTGAGTAGCTGGAATTACAGGAGCACACTACCACACCCAGCTAACTTTTTTTTTTTTTTTTGTATGTTCAGTAGAAACAGGGTTTCACCATGTTGGCTAGGCTGATCTTGAACTCCTGACCTCAAGTAATCCACCCGCCTCGGCCTCCCAAAGTTCTGGGATTATAGGCATGAGCCACCATAACCAGCCTAGAAAGCAGTCTCTTCACCGAAATTCATTTATATAATCCAAAAATTTCTTTATAATCTGACCTTCCAATACTCCTCTGATTTCATCTCCTATTTCCAATCATGGACTCCTCTTCAGCTGCCTCCTTGCTGGTCCTCTGTCACACCAAGCAGACTCCTGCCCTCAGAGGCTTTGTACCTTTTATTCTCCCTACCTAGAATATCTCCCTTTTTCATAACTGCCTAGTTTGAGCTCTCACTTTCTTCAGGTTTTCATTAATAAGTCACTTTTTCAATAACACCTGCCCTCATCATCCTTTCTGCCCACTCACCATTTCATATCCTCCATCCCTACTTTATTCTGTCCTGAACTTTGATCATAATCTAATTAATTATTTATCTTGTTGATCATCTGTCTTCCCCATTAGAATGTAAACCCAGTAAAGACATATTTTTTTGGGTCAGTTTAATTCCCTTCAATATTCCAAGTACCTAGAGTAGTGCTTAGGATATAGGAGGCAGGTAATAAATATTTGTTGAACAGATGAATAAGCCCTCATGTCTCACCACTCTCCCCCTAATTCACTGTGCTCCAGACACACTTGTCTTCTCCTTCCCTTATCATGCACACCAAACATCCTCTCCCTCAGAGCCTTTGTATTGTACTTCCTTCTGCCTCGGATCTCCTTTCAAAGATATCCATATGGGGTTTTTTCCCACATTTTATTCAGACCTATATCCAAATGTTGTCATGTCCAAGAAGCCTTCTCAGGTCAAATTATCTAAAATGGCAGTCTCATTTTTCATACACTTTTCTTATACTTTTTTTTTCCTTTATAACCGTGGCAGTGGTGGAACTAAGCCACTCAGATCTCTTTCAAAAGAACTTTCTTGGGGAGCAAATTGACTGACAGTCCCAACTGTCTGTATTCACCTCTGCATGCTCTGAGGCCAAGCCTTCCCCAAGATGGTCCCAGCCAGTATTTCAGCACAGCAGGAATAATACTTTAAGACTATTCCTAATGACTCGGGACTCCTCTAATAGGCAACTTGGGCTCAGGAACTACCCATCAACTTAGCTGAAACTTCTTTAAAACTGCTACAATCTGAGATTCTTCTTCCCTAAACCTTCTTCCTTCTCCCTTCCATTTCACAGGCTTCAGACCTGCATAATAGCCTGAAGGCTCTCCTGTCTAATCTTATTCCCTCCCCTTCATCTTTCACAGGTATCTCCCCCTTTAAATCTCATTCTTATACCATCTAATTCTGTCTTGGTGTTTGCTTCTTGGAGTACCTGAAATAATACAATAAAACTTATAGCATATTCAATATTAATTTGTTTATTTGTAGTTGCTCATCTCTACCTCATGAAGGTTGAGACTTGGTCTGTTTTATTAACTACTAGATCTACAGCATGTAGAATGATGCTTGCAAAGACCAAATATCTTTGGTAGACAAATATTACTGCTACATATTATTTCATTTATTTGTGAAAGAAAATAATGAGTGTCTAGTATGTTTTAGGCACTATGTTAAGTACTCAGTAGATCAAGGGTCTAGTGGAAGAGATAAATATATAAACGAGTAATTATAACTCACTATCTCAAGGATTTATTAAAAGTATTCACAATGTATGGAGCACAAATAACTTCATAAACAGTTAATAATTTAAATCCTATACATGTTTAAGGTATTGTTAATATCCCATGAACTATAGAAAGGGTAATTCAACCCCAACAACTAAGTTCCCTTGTCTCAGCCAAGACCTCCTCAGAAGTAAGGTGTCCCTTGTGAAAATTTTCTTCAGGTATATAAAGTGAAGTGAAGGCTATCCCTTGCTGTATAAGAGTACCCTGCTCAAGATTACACTGATTGGCTAGGTAAAAAAGGTAAATAAGTTTGTGGTTCTATGCCCTAGGAAAACAATCTGTGAACCAGATAAATTATTGGAACTTTTCTAGCTCAAGCTTCAAAAAATGGTCCCATGCAAATATCACCTATTCTATGAACATTTATGATACCCTCACTACTCGTCGAGGTCACTCCTTTTATATGTTGAAGCACTCTGTGCTTCTCCTTCCTAGCAGTTACCAAAAGTGTAATTTATTAGTCATTTGGGAGCTATCTCATTAGTAGATAATAAGCTCCATGAGAAAACTACATCTATTATATTAACTGCTATATCTCCATTGCCTGGCAAGGAAAAAGGTCTCTATATTTCTTGAATGGCTGTATAAAATAATGACTGATTAATTAAATGAAAAGTTTCTGCTTATCTACCTAATTGTAAAAATTATCTCCCTCATCAAAATTCCCATTGCATTTTATCTATTATCTTACACTCCCCCTCTATCCATCATATATCCATATATCCCACCTTATATCCATATATCCCCTATATCCATTCATGATGTAGATATAAACTTTACAAATAAAGAAGAGTAGTACACCTCGACCCCACTAGTCACAGAAAAATTGTCAGTCTTTGGATTCAGTTGCTCTTGAGATCATTCATCCTTCCCAGATGTTGACACCCCGAATCGAGATTTGAAGGTGACAAGTAATAGTCCTCTGATTTCCACTCACTCCCTCTCCTCTCCCCTTTCTTTCTCCGTCTTTCTCTCTCTCTCTGTCTTCCTCTCTCTTTATAAGAAGCTATGAAGGCAGAAGCATAGTAAAAAATGAATGGGTTTGAGTTAGAAATTCTACTTGGTCTGAGTTCCATTTCTGTCTTTTCCATCACAACTGATTTGCTGATCATTGAGGACTGACTGTGCTGACTTACAGGAAAACAACCATTAATATTAGGAAAAGCCTAGAGAGATGAGGACCAACAAAATCTCTAGTTGAGTAATGTAATCTAACCTGAAAATCTGTAGCAATCAGGCCTACAAGAGTAACAAAAACTAATGCTCAGCATTTCTGCATCTGCTATCAAAAAATATCAAAGCACTCTCACATCTACTATCTCCTTATTTTCCCTCACTATAATCTTTAAGTGCTAGGCAACTAAGGCATTGAGAAGTTAAATGACCTGCCCAAGGTCACACAGCAAACTGATGACTCATATCTCAATGTTCTTTCTATTAAGCAACAGGGAGGTAAGTTGAACATCTGATCAAATAAAAGACCTTTCTCATCCTATTACCTCAACTGTCTCTCTATGTCTTTAAGGCATGAAATTAAGAAGTAACCAGATAAAAGTAAGATGAAAACTGCTACTGCCTTTGCTACAAAATGTGAGTAGGTAGGCTTTGCTGTAATTATGGAGAATACATATCTGATTTAACTCCCTTATTTCTTTACTGTCTGGATATTTGGTAATATTTGATAGGACCACAAAGGCATAAAATGAAGAAAGAGGGAAAGAAAAAAAACCATATAGATAAATGTAGAAACATTAGAATTTGCCATAATGATTCCAAAGGGTCTCTCAGAGTTAAGGTAGATGCTGTTGATGAAAAGAGTAAAATTCTCTAAAATATTTGAAGAGATTTATTCTGAGCCAAATATGAGTGATCAATGGCCGCTGACATAGCCCTCAGGAGATACAGAGAACATGTGCCCAAAGTGGTCAGGCTACAACTTGGTTTTATACATTTTAGGGAGACATAAGGCATCAATTAATACATGTAAGATGTACATTGGTTTAGTCCAGAAAGGCAGGACAACTGGAAGCTGAGTGGGGGTGGGGGTGGAACACTTCCAGTTCATAGGTGGATTCAAAGATTTTCTCACTGGCACTTAGCTAAAAGAGTTATTATCTAAAGACCTGGAATCAGTAGAGAGGAATGTCTGGGGTATGAGAAGCAGTTGTGAAAACCAAGGTTTTATTATCCAGATGAAGCCTACAGGTAGCAGGCTTCAAAAAGAATAAATTGTAAATGTTTCTTATCAGACTTAGTCTATTTTATCAGCCTAAGTTCTCTGTTGATGTTAATGCTGGTCAGCTGTGAGGCATGTCTGACCCATCCCCCTGCAGTTCTGAACTACCAGTTGATTTCTAGGAGATTCTACTATGCTGTCTTAATTAGAACCTTTCTATGTCTCAACTTTGGAATGCCCTTGGTGGACAGGAAGGGTATGTTCAGGTGGCTGGGGGACTTAGAATTGTATTGGTTTACAATGCACTAAGAGGACTTTAGGGTCCTGCCTTAAGAGGAACCTTAGACAGAAGGTGATAGTACAATGGAAAAACAGGGAAGAAAGTGGGAGCAGGTCACATTGCCACAGGCCTCAGTTCATATTTCTAACCCAAACCCCAAAGTAAAGAAGATAAGCTCTGCATCTTACCTGCTCCTTTTGAATCTCCTCCTTCTCATTATAGTAGGTTAGTTCCAGGGCTCCGCTAAACTTCAGGGTAGAACAAGAAAATTACCTCAGCCCATGCTGTTCACTCCTACCATGTCCCGTTGTGAGCCCCATAAAAGCTGAATATGGAGATTTCTCATCTTCCCAGTCTCTACGGTCTACCCTCTCCTTTCAGCTGCTACTTTTTTCTCTATAGCTCAACTCCTTTTTAGCTCTCGTCTTGATTATTAGGACAACCTTCTGGTTCTTTTTACTTCCTCCAGTGTCAGCCACTCAAGTCATTGCTTGACACTATTTCAAAACTCACATTCCTGAAGTAGATAGCTGATCTCTACAACACCTCGCAAAAATCTTTGAAAATTTCTCAACTAAATAAAGAATACAGTTGAAATTCCTCAACTTCATATGCAATTCTTACCCATCTCTCCCTACACGTCCCTGCCCACTACCAATATATACTCCACTGTGGCCAATTAAATTCACAAACCTGACTTGCATTTACTCATCTGACACTACTCTCACACTTTTCCCAGAGCCTAGGATATCCTCCCACAAGTATCTACATCTCTTTTTGCAGTATATGTTTCCCCTCTCATCTGAATTTCATCTTGATTTTAAAATATCCTAAGCTGGTCTCCAAGACTACTTAGCTTCAGGTGATAAGGCTTAGCTCAACACTTTGGATATCCACATAAAACTACTTTAAACTTTTGTTAAATTTATCTTCTTAAATTAGGAAACTTGATTTTTTTATATACATACAAGACCAATAAATACTCTGTAATAAATATTCAGTTTCTAAGAGACCAGTAACTAAGACTTTTCCATTTATTTGCCTGGGTGCTCTGAATGATAAATCTTTTATCAAAAATAGAGAGATTTGTGGGTAAGACAAATTGCTCCATAATACTTTCACAATGAAAACTTATCCAAGTCAGATCTGGCCCCAAATATCAATTCCCTGTGCATTTGTATTCTGACGAACCTATCACAGTGACCTATTTTCATACCAGTGACTAAGTTAAGAACGTGATTGCTTTTGAAAGAAACTGAAATAAAAATTCCAAGAATGGTATTAGGAGAAATGAATAAATCAAACATGATTTTCTACAAACACAAGTTCATAATTTAAGCCTGCTAAAACATGTGTGTATTTTCAGAATGAGAGGAGGTGTTTGATGTTATAAGTCCATTGTGACTGAATAAAAAATTACAGACCAGTTCAGTTTTTTAATGGCATTATGGGTGCTTACTAATTTTTTGCTAATGGTTACTGATAAAACAAAATTTAAAACATAAACGTTTGCTGAATCCTGTGAAAATCTCTTTTTCTCAAATACTTTCATTTAATTTATTTAACAATTATATATGAAGAACACATTCTGTGTGCTGAAGGAATTCAGAATATGCCACCTCAAAATATTCCACTTTGACCTAAGGATTATTTTGAGCTGAAAGCAATTGAGAAAAAGTAGACAAAGAGCAAACTCTCTGCCCTCACCTTTTCTACAAGGAAGGGCAAGATGATTTTTAATTATAGGAGACGATTCTAGACTCTTAACCCAAAGATGTTCCAGAAGAATCTACATAACAAAATCTTACTAAAACAACCCTTATCTTCCATTAGTTTCCTCATATATTTACAGTTTGCTACCCCTAAAAGCCTATTTTTCTTTGTCTTGTCCCTTCTCTACAAATTTACTCTTCTTTGTTAAAATGCTACATAAACCCAAGTTCCTACCACCCCTTTGAATTACACAATGCATGCATTAATAAACTTGTTTGTTTTTCTCTTGTAATATGTCTTTTGTCAATTTAATTTACAGGGAATGAACCTAAGGAAGTAGAGAGAAAAAGGTTTCTTATCCCTCATTTACAGTTTCAAGAACTTAAAATATACACAATGCTTGTCTTCAAGGATCCTAAATTCTAGTGAAGAAGGACAATTAAACAGATCATTAGGATATAAAAATAATTTGGAAGTTAAAAAAAAAAAAAGGAAGCACAGACTGGCACAATGATGTGCATTTGTAGTCCCAGCTACTCCAGAGGCTGAGGAGAGAGGATCCCTGAATGCAGGAGTTCAGATCCACCCTGGGCAATACAGTAGAAACCTCATCTCAAAAAATAATAGTAATGGTAAGGAAAGAAAGTTTTTTAAAAGGCAGGCAATTAAATTAGATTTAAAACGACAAGAAAGTCAGTGGGCTAACACAGGATCATACAAATAGCCAGTCTTGACCCCTCCAGACTTTACGTTCCTACTTATTTATAGCAAAAGCAGAAAATAGGCCATTTTTTTCATGGAAATAAGTAAAGTACCTAAAAAAATTCAACAGGATTAAAATCCAATAATAAGACTACAGAAATATTTAATGTCATTAATTTATCTTTTGTGTTTGTTGTTCATTTATTCATATCTTTGACAAAAGCTTTTGACAAGCATTTTTGCACCAGGTTTGTATGCAGTTATGGGAGATTCCTAGGAAAGTTATACAGGTTCCATACTGCAAGTTATTTAAAGTCCTGTAGAACTTCATCAGTTTTCATGACATTAGCATGTTTGAAAAATGGGAACAATTTGATTTAGGTAGGTACCTGAATATAAATGTGAATCACAGAATCTTAGGGTCGGTCACCTAGTTGAGAAGCACCCTTATGGTTAAAATACCTTTTTTTTTTCTTGGAGACAGAGTCTCACTCTGTCACCCAGGCTGGAGTGCAGTGGCTGAATCTTGGCTCACGGCAACCTCCACCTCCCGGGTTCAAGCAATTCTCTGCCTCAGCCTCCCGAATAGCTGGGATTACAGGCACCTGCCACCACGCCCAGCTAATTTTTGTGTTTTTATTAGAGACGGGGTTTCACTATCTTGGCCAGGCTGGTCTTGAACTCCTGACCTCATGATCTACCCACCTAGGCCTCCCAAAGTGCTGTGATTACAGGTGTGAGCCGCCGCGCCTGGCCTACAATATCTCTTATAATAATTCACATTTGTATAGTACTTCATAAGAGTTGAAAACTCATAAGACTTTTAAATATTTTATTTCATTTTATCCCCAAAACAATATTGTGATATTGGTAAAACAAATATTAACTCACAAAGAGGGAGAGTAAGACTCCAAAAGATAAAATTATAATTTTTTTAAAAAAAGGAACAGAACTATGATATGAACTCAAACTCAAGATTTTAATCCAATATGTGTTCTATTACCACTCAATCCTTTAAAGGTCACACTTTTAAAATGGATATACCGCAGATCCCACCATCACCTAGATTCTCTCTCTCTCTCACACACACACACACACACACACACACAGAGTTTCAATCATGCACACAGAGTCAATTATACACAATTGCTAAAACATGAAATTCTGAATTGCAAGTCTTTGCAATGACTCCCACCTTAAAATACAATACATCATTTTATAAGGAAGCCTCCCTCCTTTTCTATCCTTGTCCAAAACCAATCAATTAAACACCAGAGTCAAGATAACTTTGGAAATTCCAGGCAATTCTGAACTACCAGTTGATTTCTAGGAGATTCTACTATGCTGTCTTAGTTAGAGCCTTTCTATGTCTCACCTGAATTATCCCAGCTTATTCCTATGCAACATACTCCAGTTGAAACCACTCAATCACAAGTACAGCTGAACTCAATTCAAGCATTTTCTAAATTACACCACAGTCTCTCCTGATTCCGTCCCTTTGCACATGCTTTCCTCTGCCTGCAATGCTATTCCCTTCCCTATGTATCTGGTTTATTTAAAAGTTACCTCTTCGGTTGCTTTTGTGGACTTTGTCAAAAATTCTTACCAAGGCCAATGTCAGGAAGAGTATTTCCTAGATTGTCTTCTAGGATTTTTAAAGTCTTACTTTTTTTTGAAGGCTTACATTTGAATATTTTATTCCCTTTGGATTAATGTCTGTACATTGTGAAAGGCGGGGGTCAAGCTTCAGTTTTCAGCATATGGCTAGCCAGTTATCCAAGCACCATTTATTGAATAGGGATTCCTTTCTCCATTGCTTGTTTTTGTCCACCTTGTCAAAGATCATACAATTGTAGGCATATGGCTTTATTTCTGAGTTTTCTATCCTGTTCCATTGCTCTACGTGTCTGTTTTTGTACCAGTACCAAGGAATTGCAACAAAAACAAAAATAGTTAAGTAGGACCTTATTAAACTAAAAAGGTTCTGCACAGCAAAATAAACTGTCAACAGAGTAAACAGCCTACAGAATGGAAGAAAATATTCACAAACTATGCATTAAACAAATCCAGAATTTGTCCTATGCAAGAACAAATATCTAGAATCTGTAGGGAACTTAAATAAATCAACAAACAGAAAGCAAATAACTCCATTAGACAATGAGCAAAGGATATCAACAGACACTTCTGAAAAGAAGATATACAAGAAGCCAAAAAACATCTGAAAAAATGCTCATTATCACCAATCATCAGAGAGATACAAATCAAAACCACAATGAGATATGATCTCACACCAGTCAGAATGGCTATTATTAAAAAGTCAAAAAACAACAGATGATGATGAGGCTGTGGAGAAAAGGGAACACTTATACACTATTGTTGAGAATGTAAATTAGTCCAACCATTGTGGGAAATTGTCTGAAGATTTCTCAAAGAACTTAAAACAGAGCTACCATTTGGCCTAGTAATCCCATTACTAGGTATATACCTAAAAGAAAATAAGTCATTCTACCAAAAAGACACATGAACTCATATGTTCCTGGATGCACTATTTACAATAGCAAAAATACGAAATCAACCCAGGTGCCCATCCATGGGAGATTAGATAAAGAAAATGTAGTATATATATACCATGGAATACTATGCAGCCATAAAAAGAATGAAATCATGTCCTTTGCAGCAACGTGGATGCATTTGGAGGCCATAGTCCTAAGCAAATTAACACAACAAAACCAAATAGCAGAAAACCAAATACCACATGTTCTTACTTATAGGGGGAAGCTAAACACTGAGCACACATTAACATAAATATGAGAACAATAGATGCTTAAGACTACTAGAGAGGGAGGCAAGGAGCAGGCATGGGTTGAAAAACTACCTATCAGGTACCATGCTCATTACCTGGGTGATGGAATCTGTACCCCAAACCTCAGCATCACACAATATCCACATGTAACAAACCTGCACATGTACCCCCTGTATCTAAAATAAAAGTTGAAATTTTAAGAAATAAAAGTTACCTCTTCATAAAAGCTTTTTCTGACACCTCTGGTCTCTAGGCTAGATTATATACTCCACTTCTGTGTTCTCTGAGTTTAATTCTCTTATAACACTTTCATTACAATATTTTTCCATATATTAGTACTTCTTTAGTCTCTGTCACTAGGGTATAAACTCCTTGAAGACAGAGAGAACTAGGTCATTTATCACAACTCCAGTGCCTAACATACTGCATGATGGTCAAAATAGAATCCCAAAATCAGGACATCAGCATGGCCGTGTTCTCCCTGAGGGTTCTAGAGGAGGATATTTTCTTGCATTTCCTAGCTTCTGGTGGTTGCTAACAATCCTGATGTTCCTTTCCTTGGAGATGCATCACTCTAATCTCTGACACTGTTATCAGGTGGCATTCTCCCTGTGTATCTATATCTAAATTCCCATCTCCTTATAAATAGTAGCCATTAAGTTAGGGCCCACTCTAATCTAGTATGACCTCACTTAACTAGATTATATCTGCAAAGACCTTACTTCCAAATAAGGTCACATTCACAGATTTTTGGGTGGTCATGCACTTCAGGGAAATGCGATTTCACCTAGTACACTGTGTTTCAACTGGAGAGAGGAGAATCTGAAATTCTGCATTTGGAGAACAGTACTCAAGCAACCAACCCAGCTATATTTGATTTGACATCCCAGGTCACTGCCTTATTTATGAAACCGAAACTTCCCACAAGAAATTACAACTGCTTTTTGTCTTAATTTGGAGAGTTTATTCATTCATTCATTCCTCCACTCATCCATCACATATTTATGAAGTACCTTTAACATACTAGTGGTATGGATATAACAATAAACAAAGCATACAAAAATCTCTGCCCTTGTGAAGCTTACCTGTGAGCAGTGGGGGGAGACAGATAAAGAAATATGTAAAACTCTGCACATGATATCAAATTTTGGTAACTTCAGTGGAAACATACTAAGCAGGAAATGGAGATAGGAAAGTTGAATGGGGTTGGAAATGTTGCACTGTTTAACGTGGTGACTAAAGAAGGCTCCACCAAGAAGGTGCTATTTAAGCATCTAAAGAGGTAAAGGAGTTAGCCTTGTGGATATTTGGGAGAATATAGTTTTTAGGTAGTAGAAACAAATGCAAAGGCCCTAGAGTAAGAGTGTGCCTGGGGAGTTAGAGATAAGCAAGGAGGCCAGGGTGATGACTACAAAGATAAGAGAGCAGTAGGAAATAGGGCCTGGGGGGTAATGGAGGATAGTACAGAGATCAGGATGTTCTTCCTCTCTCCACTACCAACTAAATAGTCATTGCAAGATGCCATGTTCCTAGTTTCTACATAGGGTACATTTTGAGCTCCTAAGAGACAAGTTTATTATATCAAATAGAAAAAAAAATATATATATATATATAACTTTATTTCACAAAAATGAAATGCTATGCTCATTAAACATTAAAATTCAAGTAATTTTAGTGTCCTTCATCTGTCTGCCTTATAATCAGGAAACTAGAAACAATGTGGGTATCTAGATTATAATAAATAAATATTTATTTTTAGATAAGTTATACTTCTCATGTTAAAAAATACTTTCTATTTTACCATATCACTCTATATATGACACTTGATTTATCACAATTTGTCTTGGCAAAATAACTATCAAACTATTTTATTTAAACAAAAAGTTGATTCCCTAGTTCCCTTCAGTCTTGTCTAGATTTTCAGGATACAGTTAGTTTCTCATTTGGTGCTACCTTATGAGAGAATTTGATAGAAAATGGCCTACTCAATAAAAAGTCAAACTTTCTTTTTTTTTTTTTTGAGACAGAGTCTCACTCTGTCGCCCAGGCTGGAGTACAGTGGTGTGATCCCAGCTCACTGCAAGCTCTGCCCCCTGGGTTCATGCCATTCTCCTGACTCAGCCTCTCGAGTAGCTGGGACTACAGGTGCCCGCCACCACACCCGGCTAATTTTTTGTATTTTTAGTAGAGATGGGGTTTCACCGCCAGGATGGTCTCAATCTCCTGACCTCGTGATCCATCCTCCTGACCTCGTGATCCATCCGCCTCAGCCTCCCAAAGTGCTGGGATTACAGACATGAGCCACCGCTCCCGGCCTCAAACTTTCTTTTCTAAAAACTCATTCAATCAGAGAATATTAGACAGATAGACATAGAGTATTAGACAGATAGAATATTAGACAGAACTTCCTCATAGGAAGACACTCTCTGTTGAACATTGTGACCTCTACATGTCTGCACTATAACTCAGCATCTTGTGCAAAATTATCACATCTTTTCAATTAATGTTTTGTTTAAATCCAATAATTTACATTTTTATGGTGATCTCAAGTTTACAAAGTTCTTTGCCAAGGTAACAAACTATTTTTAAGAGAACAGTGTTCAATGTCAAAGCACATGCGTGTCTTATTTAATATTCACATCAACTTTATAAGAATTATGATCTTTATTTTGCAGTTGAGGAAACTGAAGCTCAAAGAGGAGTAGTGGTTTATCCAAGGTCATATCTGATGGCAAAATAAGATTCAAGACCATTTGTGCCTGACTTGAAAGCCTTTGCTCTGAAACTCTGGACTCTAGCACCTATTTCACATTTTTATTTTGTGTAATTTTCCCAAAAACCCTGTGAAGTACATATTATATCCAAAATACCCAGAATACATTTTCTTTCTTTCTTTCTTTCTTTTTTTTTTTCTTGAGACAGAGTCTCACTCTGCCAGCCAGGCTGGAATGCAGTGGCACAATCTCAGGTCACCACAAGCTCCACCTCCCGGGTTCAAGCTATTCTCCCACCTCAGCCTCCCCAAGTAGATGGGACTACAGGTGTGCTCCACCACACCGAGCTAACATTTCGGTTTTTTGTTTGTTTGTTTGTTTGTTTGTTTTTAGTAGAGATGAGATTTTACCACGTTGGCCAGGCTGGTCTCTAACTCCTGACCTCAAGTGATCCGCCTGTCTTGGCCTCCCAAAGTTCTGGTATTACAGGCATGAGCCACTGTGCCTGGCCCCAGAATACATTTTCAAAGAGGATAAATAATATATCCTAAGTCATAGACCCATTTAGTGGTAGATCCATTAATTTATTCATTCATTCATTCAACAAACATTTAGGAAGTACCTACTCCACTAAGCAATGAGCATTAATGGTGAAAAAACACCCACTCTTCTGGAACTTAAACAGTCTAAAAAGAGGGAATTTTAAAATAACTAACAATTATTAAGTGCTTATTATGAGCCAGTTACTATTCTAAGCATTTCACTGGTATTCCCTCATTGGAAATTCAGAACAGCCCTCATATGATAGTATTTTAGATAAGGAAAGTGAGTCCCCAAAGAGGTTAATTGGACCAAGGTCCACAGATTGTAAAGACTGATTCAGGCTTTGAATCCAGGCAATCTAGACCCAGAGACTGTGCTTTTAACTACTCTGCTATGTTTGTTCTTGAGATAGAAAATAAATAAATACATTAAATAATTAAAGTTGTAATATGGATTCCTTGCTGAATTGCAGCTTTCATTGTACCACATTGCCTTCTGAGATTTTTTTTTCCCGGCTAGTCCTATGGTAGCTTCCCTGGTGTCCCAGTTGTCAGCTAACAAATGGGTCAAGTTAGCTTGGCAGTGACATAAGCAGACACTACCTTTATCACTTCCCTTCTTCCACTCAACAGTTTGTAAGAACCCAGAATGCCTGGCATTAGTGGGCATTTCAGATTTCTCAGTGCTGGCACAGACAAGCAACCATTCCAAACCTGGAACCTAAAGCAGCAGTCCAGGAAGGCAAGAGGACAAAGAAGGCAGGATTGAGTGTGCCAAGCAAATCAAATGCCAAGAAAGAAACTTTGTTTGTTACTAATTTTAATAACAAATCGGAATTTATTACCTATAAGGTATAATCTATTAAAAGTAGCTCAAGAACCATTTAGGGTTTTTAAGGACATAGGAGTAAACATCAATGCCATGAGAATTTCCAAACTTGGAAATGCAAGACGCACCTGCAATAGATTGGTCCTTTCCTAGAAGAAGAGATGAGAAGATTGCAGTGATATCCAAAACAAAAACAACAAACAAAAACCATAATAGAAGTCTAGAAGGATGAGCATGGTGGCTTACACCTGTAAATCTCAGCACTCTGGGAGACTGAGCTGTGCAGATGGCTTGAGTCCAGGAGTTCCAGACAAGCCTGGGAAACATGGTGAAACCCATCTCTATTAAAAAAAATTTATATATATATAGCGAGGCGTGCTGGTGCGTGCTTGTGGTCCGGGCTACTCAGAAGTCTACCTGGGAGGATCACTTAAGCCTGGGAGAAAGAGGTTGCAGTGAACTGAAATAATGCCACTGCACTCCAGTTTGGGCAATAGAAGGAGACCTGCTGTTTTTTTGTTGTTGTTTTTGTTTTTTTAAAAGAAAGTCTAGAATACAGGAGAAAATGCACTACAAGCCTTACTAAAACATCTGGACCACCTCACTTTGGCCATCAAGAAAATTTAGGAAGCAGTTGTAATACCAAGTTTGGATGTTTGGATTAGGGTAAGGGTGAGAATTAAGAGGACTTAACCAACCCTCAAGTCACACCAAATAAACATTCTAAGTAAAATGTGTGCTTACAATACCAACTCAAGATAAATCTCTCTGCTACCCTTCCAACTGGATATTGTGCAGGGGTTATAAAGAGGATTCTGGGACAGACTGCTTGGGTTCAAAACACATTTCTACTTTAAAAAAAAGGTGACCTTGGTAAATTATAGAATCTCTTTGTACCTTAGTTTTTACATCTTCAAAGTGGGAATAATTTTATTACCTACCACTTAGTTTTATTCTGATTATTAAATAAAATTAATCTATATAAAACATTTAGAATAACATCTGACACATGCACAGTGCTACATCAGTGTCTGAGATTATTATGCTGCTAAAAACCTCTCCCATATGAATTTCTAGAGCTACAACTGCTTGAAGGACATAATAATTGACAGAAATCAGGTGTAGGGTAAGAAGCAACAGGGGAGGAGAAAGAATAATTTTTGAGTTCATGATAAGAGTAGGTCTCATGCTGCTTATAAGTGCACTTTAGACTTTTTCAGAGACATGGAAACATATTTTGTTTAATACAAGTTGACAATACTTTCTCCTTCTCTCCTCATTCTGTTCTTAAGTCCTTATCTCTGCCATTGAGGTGTAGGGGACTGAGCTGTTTCTCCTGGCTGTACTGATTAGTGATTCTCCAGATAAAACACTGTTACTGTCCAGGCTGTTTAAACTTAGTGAAGAAGAGCTAAAATCAAATATTAGCAGAAATGTTGCTGGAAAGTATTTTCTGAAGTGTGACATGAAAGCTTTCATCAAAACTCTTAGTAATAAGTCATTATCTATGGTTGATAGGGTTATGAATGATTTATATTTTCATCTTCTTTTTTTGTATTTTCAAAATTGTATAATAAATCAAAATTTCTTTTATGATTAGGAAAATAAACAATTACAAATCTTAAAGAGTTTAAAAGAGCAAGACATGAAGTCAAATCTTAAAGAGTTTAAAAGAGCAGTTTATATGTGGTTAACATAATCGTGTAAAATAAGCAAGCAGACAAAACTGTGTTTAGAGAAAGTACTGAAAGGAAAACAGTATAAACAACAATTTCTCATTGGATAATGTTACCCTACCTTTTATTTTTCTTTATTTTATAAGTTTTCAACAAATAACATGTGGTACTTTGATTAGAGAAGAGTGCCAACTAATTTCAATTAAAACATAAAACCTCAAGCAGGTTTATCTTAGGTGTTTGAAATATAAGTCTTTGTTTTTCTTCTTGCCTAAATTAGGCTTTAAATTTAGTGGAAAATTATTTCCTGATCAGACTATAAATGAAAATAAATCGAGCGGGAGAGGAAACAGGGGCTGTCATGGAATGATGGAGTAAGAAAAAAAAAGCACAAGTTATTTATGGTTTCCAACCTCTTCTAGGCTTTCAGCACTGCCCAGCAATCCTTTCAGTTGTCTCTCCTCAGCTATTTCTCCTAGACCCTAAAGTGGCTATTATAAACCTCCATCATGCTCATGAAGATCCTGTCCCAGCCCACTCATCTCTCCGCAGATGACCTTGCTACCTACTTGGTCAAGAAAATAGAGGTCATAAACCACAAACTTCCCGATCTTTCCTTCTCCAGCTTCTATCTTCAAGGTCACACATACATTAAAATCTTAACCTAAGTTTATCTCCTCTTCTCCAGGGAAAGAGGTAGCTATCCCTCTTTCTTTCCAAAGTTAACTTTCTTCTCTTATGCTTCTGGTCCCAGTTTCTTTTGTACTTTCCCTTTGCTGTTACTTTATTTCTTTCTCTCCACTGACTTCTGCCCTCCATACTATCTCTGAGTTCTGTCTCCTCCTTATGGCATTGCCTCCTCTTTCCTTTTCTCTTCTCTCTGTTTATTTTTCAACCCAAAGCATTCCAATGTTGACTTGGGGCAGATATTCTGCTGCCACTCCAGAGGTAGTCTCAAACATCCCTATAGCTTCTTCAGCATCACCTCTAAATTTCTGACTACCATTTCTCCATCTCAAATCACAACCACTCTTCTTAGCTCCCAAACCATATTCCTAAACATTTACATCTGAATGTCATACAGATACTTGTTAATATGTCCAATATTGAGCTCATCCCTACTACCATGGAACTTGTTCCTTCTCTGTATTACCTAGCTCCCCAATGCCATCACCAACCAGACACTTATTGTAGAAACCTCTGAATTATCTCTGATTCCTTCCTTATCTCCTTCCTTTAATCAAAATTGAATTTCCAAATTTCAATCTCCAAAAATATTTCTTGAGTTCAATCATTGCTCTGCATATCCATAGTGACATAATTGTTATATTAACAATATATGTGTTATAATTTTTATAATAAAAATAATATAATTGCATATTCTAATATAATAATATAATTGTTATATTTAACAATATATGTAGAGCACATTTATTAGACATGTGGGTGGATGGATGGATGGATGGATGGATGGATGCATAGATGGATGCATGGATGGATAGATAAATGTAAAAAATAGGGAGAAAGCTATAAGACAAACCAGGATGTTGTGTGTAATCTTTCACAACAAATCTACTTATGAAAAATTTCGTTATTCACCTAAGTTTCACATTTGAATATGTTAGGACAAAACACCAGCTACTCAGGAAGCTGAGGCAGGAGGATCACTTGAGCCCAGGAGTTCAAGGCTACAGTGAGCTATGATCTCGCCACTACGCTCTAGCCTGGGCAACAGAGCAAGACCCTGTCTTTAAAAAAGAAAAGAAAAAACATACAGACACGATAACAGAAAGTGAATAAATATGGAATGAATTCAAAATGTGGAAAATGGGGTAGAAACATTGGAGAGGTTATTAAAATAATCAACTAGAAGACATGATGTGTTGGAGAGAAGCGTGATTCCTGTAAAATGAATTCAAATTTAACACAACAGAAAAAGACAATGATGTTATTCACCAGTCCTGAAAATCCCTATCTCATCACCTGAAATTCTGAAAACTTCCTTGCTTGTACCCTATCCCTGCTCTTTTAGTGAAGGAGCTTACCCCATAGATTGTTCAGAACTAGAGCTGAGTTATTAACCAAAGATATTGTCTGTGGTAGTTTAAAAATAGGGACCTTTTATATCAGAGTTAAAGTCTTTGGTGAAGCTTAAACATTCTTAGTTAATGTTACAATTAGACATCTTGGCTTCTTTCTCAAGCTGCTGCAAAAGACAGAATGGTATCAAGGTGGAGGGTCAGAGCAGGAATGACTGCAAGTGAAAACCATTCCCAAGGCCTGCCTTATCACAGAAAGAAAGGCAAAACTGGAAACTGAAATAAAACAAAAATAGCATCTATGAAAGGAAGATTGCTGGGTCATCCTGGTGATAATCAATCAGCTGAGGCTATTACCAGAACTCCTGAAGGTAGAAAAATAAGCTAAGCTATAAATAAATGCTTTAAATAAAATTATTTAAGTTATAAATAAAGATTACCAGTTTGTAATCTAAAATCAAGAAAAAATTTTTAATAAAGAAAAAGAAAAAGTCTTGTAAGTATTCCTGTCATAGGCTTAATGGATAATAGTTTTTGGTTTGTTGTTCCCTTAACAATACACAATGGTTATTTCTACAGTCACTCATCAGATATACAACTATTAAAAATAAATAGGAAAAGATCTGGATGGTAAAGATCTCTCTGAATACCTCAAGGGAACACTAACATGGCAAAGAAAACTCACTGATATAAAGCTAGTATCAAAAATGAGCAAATAAATCTGTAAGTATTTTCTATCTGCCTTGCATAATTCTTTGTTAACTATCTTAAGGAATAAGGAGTTTAATCTTCACACTGCAGCCACAGTGATACCACAGAATATATCAAACAATGTTTCTCCTCTGTTCAAAACCCCCTCCAATGGCTTCCCATCTCATTCAGAGAAAAATCCAAGTCCATTTGGAAGCATCCATGATCTTATATGATGTAGCTTCCTACCACCTACCTGGCCTCATCTGCTACTACTCTGTCTATCTCTTATTCATCCTCTAGCCACACTCTTCTCCTATTTATTTCTAGCCACATTATTAACCCATCTATCTGTATTCAGCAGGTACACTCCTGATTCGGCAACATCACACATGTTGTCTCTACCCAGGACAATCTTCCCCCAGGCATCAGAAGGTGGTACCTTACTTTCTCCAGCCAGTGTAAATTACATCTTGGATATGCTTTCCTTTACTACTCCTCAATGAGATTTCCTAAATATCTTTATTTTTTTCTCTTACATGTATCACTACCTGGCACACTCCATAATTATTTGTTTATTTATTTTCTGTTCCTCATACCCTATCTCCTAGGAGTTCAATTCCCAGTTGTATCTTAGGCCTAGAATAGTAGCTAGTGCATAGTAGAAGCTCAATGAAAATTTATGGAATGACTAACTAGTAAAGGCTAAAGTATGATGAGGCCCCCAGGAAGAGCTAGCAAGTTCTGCTTTATGCCTGAGTTGTTGCCTACAAGAGAAATAGGAAGGATGCCAGATAGCAAAGGGGATTCAAAACGGAAGAACAGTATTTCACATGATAGAAATGTTTAAGAAGAATCATGGAAGCAAGCATAAGAGAGAACACTTCAGAACTAGTTAAAGCCAATGAAGCAGGGAAATACATATTTTAGAATGCTTCCCATTTAAGCTCAGATTTAATCTTTTTAACCTTTGTTGGTAATTCCTTCACCAAGGGTTCAAGATATCTGAAGTAGTTTAGTTTCCCTTTATCATTATGAAAGTTACCTCACTACCTCTGATTATACTTTTGCATTTAAGCCTACTGTGTTTGATATTAATATAGCTACTCAGCTTTTCTCTTCTTTTTTTGATGGCTGTTACATAGCTTATCCTTTTTTATATTTTTATGGCTACCCTATTGGCTTATTTATCTTTAACTTTTTTCTTATAAATGGCTTATATATGGGTTTTGATATTTTAGCCAATATGACAGTCTCTGACTTTTCATTGTCATTTCTTATCCTATTTTTATTAATGTAATTATTATTATAGTTGGATTTAAGAATACCATTTTGCCATTTGTTTTCATTTGTTTCATCTATGTATCTTTTTTTAACTTCTTATGTTATTTTGGCTTTAAATAATATATATAGTATTTTATTTTATCTTTTTTATTGGCTATTTTCCTATACCTTTTTTTGTATTTTTAGTGTTTATTTTAGGAATTATAATATGCCTCCTTAAATTATCACTGTCCACACTGAATTAATGTTATACCACTTCACATACATCACATATAAGAACCTTACAACTGTACACTTCCATTTACCCTCTTTCTGTCTTTTCTGCTTTTGTTTTCATATGTTGTATACATATCCTATAGATCAACAACACAGTATTTTTTTTTTACTTTAAAGAGTCAGCTGTCAAGAAAATTTTTGCAATCTATCCATTTGACAAAGGGCTAATATCCAGAATCTACAAAGGACTTAAACAAATTTACAAGAAAAAAAACCACCCCATCAAAAAGTGGGCAAAGGATATGAACAGACACTTCTCAAAAGAAGACATTTATGTGGCCAACAAACATATGAAAAAAAGCTTATCATCACTGGTCATTAGAGAAATGCAAATCAAAACCACAATGAGACACCATCTCACACCAGTTAGAATGACGATCATTAAAAAGTCAGGAAACAACAGATTCTGGAGAGGATGTGGAGAAACAGGAATGCTTTTACACTGTTGGTGGGAGTGTAAATTAGTTCAACCACTGTAGAAGATAGTGTGGTGATTCCTCAAGGATCTAGAATCAGAAATACCATCTGACTCAGCAATCCCACTAGGGGGTATACACCCAAAGGCTTATAAATCATTCTATTATAAAGACACATGCACACATATGTTTACTGCAGCACTGTTCACAATACCAAAGACTTGGAACCAACCCAAATGCCCATCAATGATAGACTGGATAAAGAATATGTGGCACATATACACCATGGAATACTATGCAGCCATAAAAAGAATGAGTTTATGTCTTTTGCAGGGACATGGATGAAGCTGGAAACCAGCATTCTCAGCAAACTACACAGGAACAGAAAACCAAACACCACATGTTTGGTGGGAGTTGAACAATGAGAACACATGGACACAAAGAGGGGAGCATCACACATCGGGGCCTGTCAAGGGGTGGGGAGCTAGAGGAGGGATAGCATTAGGAGAAATACCTAATGTAGATGATGGGTTGATGCTTGCAGCAAACCACCATGGCAAGTGTACACCTATGTAACAAAATTGCACATTCTGCACATGTATCCCAGAACTTAAAGTATTGTTTAAAAAATGCATTGACAAAGACTGTTAACTAAATGTTAACAATGGCTATCTCTCAGGGGTAGGATTACAAGTGATGTTTTTTTCTTCTTGCTAATCTGAATTTTCCAAATTGTATACATTAAATTTTTACAATAAACAAAGCATTCTCACATACCCACATGCTCACAATTTTTGGTGATTTTTATTTTTTGTGTAGATCTAAGTTTATATTTTGTATTATTTCCTTTTATTCTGAAAAACTTCCTTCAACGTGTCTTAGTACAAGTATGCTGATGTTGAATTATCTCGTATTCATTTATTTAAATAAACATATTTATATAGTGTATAAATATATATTTATATTCATTTTCGAAAGACGTGTTTATGGATATAAAATTCTAGGATGACTTTTTTCTTTCACCATTTTAAAGATGTAGTTTTTTTCATACTTGCATTGTTTTACATAAGTCAGCAGCATTCTTCATAATTCCCAGTTTATTATAAGACTTAATCTGACTATTCCTAAGATTTCTCTTTATCTTTGGTTTGTCAGCAATTCAAGCATGGTTATGATTGATGTTCATTAAGCTTCTTGGATATGTGGTGCTATGGTTTGGATGTTTATTCCTCCCAAAATTCATACTACAACTTAATCCCCAATGCAATAGTATTAAGAGGTGAGGCCTTTAGGTCATGAAGGTCATTCCTTATGAATGGAATTAGCACCCTTATAAAAGGGTTTCAGGGAGTTTGATAGTCCCATTTTGCCCTTTTGACCTGCTCCTCTTCCACCACGTGAGGATACAGCAAGAAGACACCATCTTGAAAGTAAAGAACAAGCCCTTACCAGATACCAAATCTGCTGGAACTTTGATCTTGGACTTCCTAGCTACCAAAACTGTGAGAAATAAATTGCTACTATTTATTAGTTACCAAGTCTATTTTGTTATAGCAGCAAAAGTGGACTAATACATGTAGGTTGATATTTTTAATAAAATTTGGGAAACTATTAAACTATTATTTCACCAAAAAAAATTTGCCCATTTTTTCTTACCTCTCCTGTTGGGACTGCAAATATACATCTATTAGACTATTTGATGTTGCACCAAAAGTTATGGAGGCTTTTTTGTTATAAGTTGTCTTTCTCTATGTACTTCAGTGTGGATAGTATATTTTGCACTGATTTAAGTTCACTGATATTTTCTTCTGCAGCATCTACTCTGCTGTTAAGCCCATTCAGTTAACTTTTTATATCAAGTATTGTACTTTTAAGATCTAGAATAACTACTTCATTCTTTTTTAAGGTTTCCCATTTCATGGCTGGGATTTTCCACCAACTATTCAATCACTAAGCCCATCTTTTCCTTTACATTATTAAACATATTTATAATAGCATTTTAACAACCTTGTTTGCTAATCCTAATATTTCTGTCACCAATCTCTATTGACTATTTTTTTTCATGGTTTTCTCCTATCTAGTGATTTCTTAAAGTAGCTGGCAATTGTAGATGCTACATTGTTGACATCATCAGAGTGACGAGTTTCATTCTGGCAGGCAGCTAATTTACTAGCACATTAGCTTTATCCTATCAAGACTTCTTTAAAGACTCTGTTAGGGGATGTCTAAGGCAATCAATCAAAGGCTGGAGTAGGCCTCCTCCAAACGCATGAATTTTGGGTGGTGTCAGCCCAATGACTAACATGTTCAGCAAAGTCCTTCTGCTCTAGCTCACAAAAATTCCAACGTTACCCAGAACTGTGCAAACTCCAGAATCTCTATGTAGCTCACAAATATTTAGTTGCTGCCAAACCTCATCAAATTTCACCCTGCACTCACGCATCTTATTGTTCAACAAGACTAGGCAGTATTTCCTATGCAGATTATTGGAGTTCCTTCTCCACACAGTTCTCTCATATCTAGTATCTTACCCTGCAAATTTCACCCACCTTAGCAGCTGTAAGAGCCAATATTTCTTTCCTCCACCCATTAAGATTTTTGCTTTCTACCAAGCAACATGCTAAATACCAATAAAACTTGTCTTATATACTTTACTTGTTTCAGGGATCACAGTCTTATGTTGAATGTTGTTTAATGCCCAAAAACAGTTGCTTTATGACTTTTGTCCAATTTTTTAGTTGCCTATGGCATAAAAGTAGGTCTGATATACATTATTCCATCACATTTGAATAATATAATATCTTTTGATAATTTTTATTTTCATCAAAATTTTGGAGTGAAATTAGTCCACTTCAGGTTATAGAAAATATTCACAAATAGCCTAATTGACAAAGACAGTTATTATTGAACCATCAGAAAAATCATATTTACTTTCTCTCAGAATAAAAGTCTAATTTAATTTTTAATTACAACAAAGGTATCAATATACCTTTCCACAAAAACAATGTTACCTCTTCGAAGCAAATGATAGATAGATAGAATAAGGCATTTCCATGAGTATGTCATCTGGACAAGCTAAGTATAAATACTTTCAATATTTCTTATAGATTCTTTCTTTGTTTTTCTCTCACAGTAGCAATTTACTTTTCCTAATACTCAAGGGATAAAAAGTCGTGGCATCATTCAGGAAAAATTGACATCACTCTCACTGTTCTACTCTAAAGCATACGTGAATTCAGAATGTGACAATACTAGACAAAATAATTTATCTAAATTACCTTAATTTTTCCATAATAGGAATATGCTTAACACATGGAAAGACAGGAAGCCCTGTCACAGCTTTGTGGGGAATTTAATTCATGGCACTTTGCAGACAGCAATATTTCCAAATGTACTTTTATTTGGTGACCCAGATGACAAGTCTCTAGATGGAAGAAAGGTAAAACAGAAACTCCAGTTTGAAGATCTTGCTTCTGTATGGCCTTAATGCCTTTCTTTCCATGCGTTATGTTTAATTCTATTTTAAATTTTTTTACTTTTTGTACCTGTGATTTCTTTTAGTTGCAATAGTTTGGTAGATTTCATGTGGTTTTTTTTCCTTTTCCTTATAAGGAGAAAAGGCTTTCTGCATGGGAATTCCTTTTGTTCTGACATATGGGTGATTTCTTGGTGCTATTTCCCACCTATTTCTGTCCCCAGCTACAGGTTGAGGTCTGCGTATTGTTTTTTTTCTTAGAGGCATACAAAGGGCAGGAGGAAAACTAAACTAAGAGCATATGTGGCATCTTTAGAGTAAAATTGATCACTCTCTCTTCAGAGTTTGTAAAACATCCTGTCCCAGGATTGACTTCTCCTAACTGTAATGTTATATTACCTGTGGTTTCCCTAAGATCCCTCATTTTTCACAGAGTCAGCCTCACTGTTTACTTCATCATTTTAGCTGTTTTACTCCATCAGCCATTTATAGCAGCCATTAATAACAAGAAGAAAAGCATAAGGCTACCCACTCACTTGTGGGGATCTCTCCAGGTTTGGTCATATTAGTGAGAATTCTAAAAGTTTTGTCAATGTACTAATTAGATTTTACCAGAGATAAAGGGGACAGTGTTGGCAAGATAATGGGAAGGAGGGCTAGATACCATTAGAAGCCAAACTCTGCTGTGCCTCTCTATTCTACTCTGGATCCTTAATTTTTTTTTTTTTTTTTTTTACCTTGGACTCTAGTTTTTCAAGATTGCTGCATCAGATTTTGGACCTTTCCTTTTCTGGTGGTGGTGGCTGTTGTGACTATGTGTGTGTGAGTTTTAACTAGTTTTTGCTCCTGCAATTAGGTATTGAGAATGGGGAAATATGTGTTGCAGCTTCAGTATGCCATCTTAAACTTGAAATATCTTTAATTTTCACAACAATCCTGAGAAATATTAGCTTGGCAATTTTAAAGTGCAGAGAGGTTACAATTATTAATGAGAAGATGAAATAGGATTGCAAAGTTTTCATTCTTTAACAATATTAATTGTGTTCCTACTATGTGCCATCCACTGTGCTGGGTAATGAGGATGCAGAAATGAACCAAAGAGATGTGGCCTCTGCCCTCACAGAGCTTACCCTCTAGTAGGGGAAACAGACATTTAAACTACTGATTATAATATAGTAAAATATGTTCTATGATACAGGAAGGTACATCAACAAACAGAGTCTAATATAAGGACAGTGAGAGCTTTTCAAGTTAAAAAATACAGAGTATATATGGATAATAACAGATGCTCAGAAAATGTTAATTTTCTTCCCTTCCTAAGCTTCCAAATAACCACAAAACATAAAGGCACTCTGTATTGCCTACTCCTAGCATTGTTGGAAAGATGCCATTATACAGCGTGCACAGAAAGAGTGTTTGTTATCTCTAGGTGTAGGCTGATGAGGACTAAATTCTGAGAGTGAAATCCAGGTCATGCAAACTAAGGGCAGGAACTGCTACGTCAAATAGTTTAACCAAAGGGTTTAGTAATGCACCTGATCAACAGAAAGTGCCTAATGATCAATTTGAGTAGACAATTAAATGGGGCACCCATGGATATTAGAGAAAGAGAAAAATAATTTTCTCCACTCTTTCTGTCTATCCATTAGAGTGGTTAAGTCCATAACTCTATGTACTAAGTGATGATCTCATTCAAATGAAAACATATTCACCATAACACCTTGGGTTAAGACATTTGGCCTGGAAATCATGCCTCAGGGTTAAAAGTAATTTTTTAGGTTCTCTCCCTTATGAATCAATTTTTTAAATCCAGCTACAGCCACTGATAAAATAACCTTTTTTATTTTAATGAAATTATTTATTTATTCTGTTTTCTGTATTTGTATAGTGTCTTTTCATCAAGAGGGACAAAAATCACCACAGACACAAATTAACCTTTCCAATGTCCCTGTCAGACAGGAAAATTATCGTGTTACTATATATGCATCTATCTCTCTATATAATCATTCAGTTTCACAAATATTAGGGAAGACTAACAACAATTGAAGTAATTTAAGGAAGACAATATTTTAAATAAATTCTCAATTTCAACTCAGGCAATAGAGCATGTAATAAGGCAGATGGATTAATTTCAAAATCAATATTGGCCAGTATATTCAACCAGCAAACAGATGAAGAGAACATTTTAAAATACTATGAAGTCATTAGCTGCAATTAATAATTCATTTCAAAAGTTTACAGTTTCAATTTTTAATAGCAAACAGTCAGAATTTTAAGTGCTTCTCAAATGTACCTATCAAGTAAAGATATTCTTGTTAAGGTGGTAGGAAATACAGATGGGCTTATATTGGGATATTGTATGCCTATGTCCTTTCATCCATCCTTTCATTCATCCATCTATCCATCCTTTCATTTACACATTAATCCAGCTATTCACGCATTTCCTCATTCAACAACTCTTTAGAGTCAATAATTATAGTAAGAAAAGTTTAGAAGTACAAGCAAAATTCATTTTTGTTTATGTTGTTAGGAAAATCTTCCAAAAATGAACTGAAACCTAATGAATGAGTAGAATTTTAACAAGGGAGTTGGGGGAAGACGGGAACAGAAAGAATTACATGTAGAATGAAAAGTGTGGACCAAAGAACAAAACTAGGAAAGAGTATGTTCAGAAAACAATGAGTCAATATAAGTAAGTTGACATAAGTATTTATAATTACTTTTAAGTACTTAAAAGTTATTTAAGAAGATTTGAAGTAGAAAGTAGAATAGTAGGAAATACAGATGAAAAAGTGGTGAGGATCTAGATTTTTGAAGGCTTTGAATGCCAGAATAGATCATATAGAAATTATTTTATTGTCAGTGAGAAGCCAGTAAAAGTTGTTGAGGAATAAAATAATCAAAGGGGTACTTTTGGAAGTCTCCTGTAGGCAATGTGTAGAATATAGTTTATGAAGCATTAACTAAAAGGAGACTTATTCAGTAGATAAAAACACTGCGCATATATCGATTACTTGTATTTTAACACTTCTATAGTCAGGATGAGGGAAGGACCAAGCAGATAAGAGATGGCTTACTAAAAAAAGTTAAGTCTATATTCTAAGATCTTTACATATATTAATTCATTTAATCTTCACAACAAACTATAAGGAAGATTATTAATCTCACTTTACAAACAAAGAAACTGTAGCACAGAGAATTCAAATCCATGCTGACTCAAAATCCAACACTATTTTTTAAAAAGCTGCCACTCGTCCAGTGCCAACAGTATTACTAATAGTTTGCCAGGACTTCTATAACAAAACATCACAGACTGGGTAGCTTAAACAACAGAAATTTATTCTCTCACAGTTCTGGAAGCTGTAGGCCCAAGATCAGGGTGTGAGCTGAGTAGATTTCCTCTGAGACCCCTCTCTTTTTGTCTTGCAGATGGCTGTCCTCTTGCTGCTTCTTCACATGCTCCTCTCTCTATGCAAGGCACCCCTGGTGTATCTTCTTATAAGGATACCAGTCATATTGAATGAGGGTCTCACCCTGACAGCCTCATTTTAACTAAATAACTTCTTTAAAGGCCTTATCTCCAAATACGGTCATATTCTGAGGTAATGGGGATTAGGGCTTCAACATACGAATTTCAGGGGAGACATAATTTAGTGTTTAACACCAACTATGTGTCAGATGTTTTATGCATGTTCTTAATTAAACCTCAAATAACTATGCAAGATTCTTGCATAGTTACTTGCATATACTGTGTGCATATAACAAATGAGGAAACTGAGGTTCTAAAATTTTTATTGACTTGCCCAAGTTCACATAGTTATTCAAAAAGTGGACTGAGACCTAAGCCCAAATGTGTCTAATCTTTCTGGTCCAGGTATCCAACAATTTCATCTGTAAGAATATATGTTCATGATGACACAATGTGTTAAAGTTAAGTCAATCCACCCTTTCTCCCCAAAGTTGCCAACAATCAGCAGAAACTCATGTTTTAACAAAAGCTTCCCACAAACTACATGTCTATGTGTGGAGACACAGAGCCCACAGAAGCCAAGCTTCATGAGACCATAACAATCTGCACACATGAACACTTCTGGTGAAATGACACTGCCCAGCCAGCACCTGAAAATACGCCACTGATTAAGCGAATGTCACCTAATGAGTGCCAGAGTTAGATCCAACTCTAAAACAGATATTGCTTCCAAAGCAGAAAAGAATCTAGATTGAGTTTTCATAAATTTACAGGGAAAGCTCTTACAACTTCACATTATTTGCTAAATGGCAAAAAGGAGGGTGGAAATTAAAATTGTTTTCTGGTATTAATTAATAGGGAAATGAATGAGATGCCTTCACCAAGGGGTTTGTACAAAAACCCTTAAAGAGCCTAAGCTGAGAACCAAGTACAATAATTAAAATATTTATAAAATTTTCTTATATTCATATAGGGTCTGTGAAAAAATATACACAGTTGACCCTTAAACATGAAGGTTATGGGCTCTGACCTTTGTGCAGTCAAAAATCCATTTAAAACTTGACTCCCCCAAAACTTAACTAGTGTAAACTAAAAATAAAATCCTAAATCCCTCCACTAACTGAATGGACTTACACTTGTGGCCAAGGGGACCCCTGAAAAACTTTAAAACTGAGTTCCTGATCATGACCAGATGGGAGGTCAGACACAC
The DNA here is from genome assembly GCF_000001405.40 of Homo sapiens. Classification (NCBI taxonomy): domain Eukaryota; kingdom Metazoa; phylum Chordata; class Mammalia; order Primates; family Hominidae; genus Homo; species Homo sapiens. The sequence goes on from NC_000011.10 coordinate 85,237,661, forward strand.
CTCATTATACCCCCTCCTGTCTGTAGTTTAGATGCAACTGACCAGCAATAATGTTAAAATACAGACTGTCAGACTGACAAAACAGGCTCTTAAAAGGCAGACCCTTACTGGCAAGGTGCTTTCTGACTTTGGAGACATAGCACCAGAGGAACCAGTCCAGAAAAAGGGTTTTCATTGTCCAGCCCTTCTTGTACAACCAAAAGACTGGCAGTTGGTGTTCATCTTTTCCCTTCAAAGCAGCTTTATAAATTAAAGCAGTCCTAATTAGAAACTTGATTTATGCATTTGTACAAAATATTATAGTAGAGTTTGCCTATCCCTTTTTGCCTTAAATCCTGGTGCTCACTTCTTTCCCTTACTAGTAAATATTCTTTGTGGATTTTTTTTCCAGAATAGGGCAGGTTTGTCCGCATTAAAAACCTGTTTAGGTAAGAATCCTGTTTCCTCAATGATTTTCTTAATGGCATGTGGAAACTCATCTGCTGCCTATTGGTCAGAGGCTGCTTTTCCTATTATCTTAACTTTTTTTTATTTTTTATTTTTATTTTATTTATTTATTTATTTATTTATTTATTTATTTATTTATTTATTTATTTATTTTGAGACAGAGTCTTGCTTTGTTGCCCAGGCTGGAATGCAGAGGCACTATCTTGGCTCACTGCAACCTCTCCCTCCTGGGTTCAAGCAATTCTCCTGCCTCAGCCTCTCAAGTAGCTGGGACTACAGGCGTGCACCACCACACCTGGCTATTTTTTGTATTTTTAGTAGAGATAGGGTTTCACCATGTTAGCCAGGCTGTTCTCAAACTCCTGACCTCAGGCAATCCACCTGCCTCTGCCTCCCAAAGTGCTGGGATTACAGGCGTGAGCCACTGTGTCCCACCTATCTTAACATTTTTAAAGCCAAACCTCTTTCTAAAATTATCAAACCATCCTTTGCTGGCATTAAATTCTCCAGCTTTAGATGCTTCTTCTTCCTTCTTTTTTAACTTATGTAATGACTTTACTTTTTCTCAAATTATATTAGAGTCTTTAGGTATGGCTTTCTTATAGCAGTCCTGCACCTACATAAAAGCTGCATTTTCAATAAGATAGAAAAAAGTATTTTGCAAAAAGTTCAAGGTTTTTCATGCCTGCTGGTATACCTGAAGTGACAGCTTCACAAATTTTCTTTTCTTTTTTTTTTTTAACAATCATCCTTACACTGAATTCATTTATCTTGCAGTGGCTTTGCAACGTCAGCTGCAAACCTCAATATGTAGTACCTATCAAACAACTCAACTTTTCTTTATAATGTCATGACTTTTCTCTGCTTCTTGGGAGTACTTCCAGCATCATTAGTGGCACTCCATATGGTTCCCATGGTGTTATTCAAGATTTACAATATTGTACTATATATGAAGAAAAATACACAAGAACCTTGAACTTTGAGTGATCGCTTTTTGCTGACATGTGCAATTTACTGGAGAGATAAACTGCTCACATGGAGATAATGAGGGTTACACTACCTTTATTAAGCAGAAACTCACAACACTTGGGCTCACCACAATAGCAACAAGAAGTTATTACAGTAGTACAGCATGTACTACAGCTAATTTTGTGCAGTTATGTTTTAATGCTGCATCTTTACATTTGTTTACATTTCTCTCAACTGCAAATGGCACCATGTATGGTCTATAAATGTTTGTGTGGGTAAGTTTTTATACATTTTAGTTTTTTATAAAAGATTTCTGTATATTTTATAGTAGTAAATGTTAAAATAGACTAGTATCTACATATACTTTATTCATTCATGACATACCTGACTTCCTCCTAATTTTATCAGTATTTCTAGTTTGTGTGAGTTTATTCAAGTTATCACAAATCTCAAATAATTTTCTAATACATTTATTTTTTAAAATGTGCATATAAGTGGACTCATGCAGTGCCACCTGTGTTGTTGAAGGGTCAACTGAACTTTAAATATAGTGGTTTTGACTTTATAAAAGTCTATCCTATTTATATAATCTTTTGGGACTCCCTTTTTCCCTCAGTATTACATTGTTAAGATTGATGCATATTTTTGTTTGTAGCTGTAGTTTCACCAATTTGAATACTATGTAATTTTCCATTGCAAGAACATAACACAATCCATTTTTCTGTAAATGGACATTTAGATTATTTCCAGGTTTTTATTACACTGGACATGCTATGACTATTCTTGTCTATGTTTCAAACTCTACAAAATCTGTAAGAAGTTTCTCTAGGGTATATACCTAGGACTAGAAATTGCTGGCTCATAGGATATGCAAATGTTCAATTTTACAAGACCATGCCAAACTAACTTGTTAACTTGTTAAACTCATAGTTCCATCAACAATATATAAAATCCTGCTATTCTACATCTCCTTCTTTGGTATTGCCAGTGTTTTTATTTTATTCCCATCTAGAAGACTATAAAGTGGCATTCATCTTAGTCTTAATTTGCTTTTGCCTGATTATAAAAGAAGTTGAACTTATCTTTATATATTTATTGGCTACTTATGTTTCCTCATCTGTGAAAAGCCTGATTATTTTTCCTTTGGTTTACTTGACATTTATTGATGTTGTTCATTATATATGCTCATTATATGATCATTATATATTGATGTTGACTTTATATATGTTGTTCATTATATATTTGTTAAAGAAATCTTATGTTGATTACTCTTACTGTAGACATCTAATTGTTTGTAACTTGGTTTTTCACTTTCTTAAAATAACTTGATAAACAAAAGCTCTTATGTTTTAAAGTCAAATATATCACCTTTTCCTTATGGTTAGCTCTTTTTATATTTAAAAAAAATCATTCTCTACCTCCAATGTTAGAGTAATACTCAAATATATTTTATATTAAGATTTTAAAGGCTTGTTTCTGATATTTAAGTCTTTTATCCATCTGGAATTGATCTTTGTGTTTGATGGAAGCTGAGGATCCACCTTTATTTTTCTGTATGTGTGGTCAGTTTATTGAATAGCTCTTCCCTTCTCCATTCGTCTGTCATAACACCACTTTTATATATCAACATTTCACACACATAAGTTTGTTTTTTAAGTTACCTTTCATTCTTGGTCAATTTATCAATACCAACCAGTAGCATGGTGTCTTATTACTATAATGTGTCTTATTACGATGTCTTAATTACTATAACTTTATAATAATTCTTAATGCCTAGTGGTAAGCCATACCTCTTTACTCTTTTTCCTATCTTAGTTATTCTTAATATCTATACTTCCATAAAAATCTTAAACAAGGTTATCAAGTTTCAAAAGAAACCTGTTAAATTTTTTATTAATGTCATTTTAAATAAAGATACATTTGGAGAGAAATTTGACATTTTCATATTAAATATCTCTATGAACATGATTTTATTTATTTAGATATTATTAATGCTTTTTAATAAAGTTTTATACCTTTGTATACATTCTTGCACAGTTTTGGTAGATTTATTACTAGATACTTGATTTTTTGATGCTATAATAAATGGTACCTTTTAAAATTATGTTTTCCAGTTATTTGTTAGTAATGTTTAGACATGAAGTTGATTTTTCTTTGATGATTTTATATCCAGCTTCCTGTTAAACTCTATTATTTCTATTAATTTGTTTATAGGGTATGGGAGGGATTAATAGTAGACAGTCATATCATCTACCAAAAATGTTGCTTTTATTTCTTATTTTCCAATCCTTTGACTTTTAATTTCTTTTTTCTTGTTTTACAACATTGGCTAGGGCTTCCCATATATTGCCAAACAGAACTTGAGATTGTTATCATTTCTGTCTCAATTCTGAATTTTAATTTTAAAATAATGCTTCTAACATTTCTCTGTTTACATTAATGGGGTATGTGTGTAAGTAAAATGGACTTCATCAGATTAAGGACATTTCTTTCTATGCTTTAGGATGATTTGGCTGGATATAAAATTCAAAGTTCTGTTCTAACACAAAGAATCAGATTGTTAAATCAGAGTCACATGACTAAGATATTATCCAGTATCAAGCTTTGCTAATAATTTCTACCATGGCAGCAATCAAGTGGCACAAGTGAATTAGAGAGAGATCTGGGACATCCCACATATGTCTATAAATTCTTTCTCCTTGCATTAGATATGCTATGTGGCCAGATTAATAGAAGTCTGTAATTAAGGTTTGTGAGTTCCCCCACATAGGTTTGGGTTACAAAACATCTCTGTTTTATATCCTAGATAGTTTTGCAACTGATACAACATTTCCAAGAAGCCATGTCTCATAAATCCATAAATTATAGGTTTGTTTACCATAAGCAATCCTAACTCAAACACATCCTGAAAAGAGGATTCCATATATAGTGAATCTCCTTCTAGCAAATATCATTTATATGTCTGTCAGGTCATTTATATGGATATTCAACTAGGCCACCTGCCTCTGTCCCAAAGAGTATGCCAGCCACCCATACCTCACTATCTTTAATAGGAGAATAAATGGATTATAGGCCAGTGCTTTAAATTCTTCATCCTCAATTCAAAGCCTTTTTCCTTCAAAACTTGAAAGTGTTAAACCATCGTCTTCTTGCATCCAGTGTTACTATTGACAAATCTGCTATCATTTTGGTTTTTTTTCCTCTGAATGTGATCTCGTTTTTCCTCTTTGGAACTTTTTATAAACGTTTTATTGTTTTCTATATGTTTAATGTTTTCTATTATGTATCTTGGTGTGGGTCTTTATCATTCCAGTCTAGTATTTTGTACCCATTACTCTTAGATTAGCTATCTTTCTTAATTCTTACTTCTGTGGAATTTACCTTTGTTACTTTCTCAAAAATCACTTCTATAGTTTTAATTTTCTCTTTTCTGGAACTCCTGTTACTCAGGTGTTGGTACCTCAATTTCTATTCTCTATCTCTTTTCTGCTTCCTCCTGGAGGAATTTCTCTTTGCTTTCAACAACCTAATCCATTTTTTTCAGCTGCATTCATTCTATTATTCATCCCATCTGTTATGTTCTTTATTTAAAATATTATATTTATTATACCAAATAATTGGCTTTTTATACTTATTTTATTTTCTTATAATTCTAATATCTTACTTTATTCTATCTGTTGAGTTTTGATGCTTGTCAGAAAACCTTGTCTTTCTAACACCTGTGATCTACATGGTACCTGTAATCTATATTTGTTCCCTTTTTTCCTTTTAAGTGTTTATGCTCCTCAGTCACATTATCTTGATCTATGAGTTTATATTCCTGCTGTGGGTATCTAAGCACTTCCCAAGACTACTCAAGCCCCACACCAAGGATGTGGGTACCAGAAGTCTGAAGTATAGCTGCCAATTACCATGGTAACGATCCAGGCATTTGGTGTCCTAAGGCAAAAGCAGAGGAGAATCAAAAGTAGAATTCAAACTGTTTTTTCTTTTAATTTTACCGCTCATAGCCTAATGGACCAATCCCTGACCTAGGCTGCAGCCATCCCCCTACCACCAACAGTTGAAACAGCTTTCTGTATACCCACAGGTTACTTATAATTTTTTTATTCCCACTTAGATTTCCACCCAGAGTTGACTTTGAGAGAGGAGACTAGAAGCTTATGCTAATTTTGCATTTCATTAGGAGCAGGATTCAAAAATGCAATTGCTTATTTACTTGTCTTATGTTTTCCACTGTGACTAGACATTGAGCTTTTCGAATTCAGAGATTCTATTTCATTCAATTTTACATCCCAGACCCATATAGCATCTGGCATGTAGCTGACATTTAATAAATAATTCTAAGTTGAATGAATAAATTCCCGACTTAAAGTTGGAAATATTTCACCAAAAAGTTTTTGCTATGACTACAAGTTACCATTAGTCTTTTTCATGGCACCCTATAGCTTATTTACCAGCTGTGTTACCTTGGGAAAGTCACTTAAGCTTTCTAGTTTTCAGTTTCCTGTCTAAAGGGTTCAAAGCAGCAGTTGGCCTTACCAATGCATGAGACCAGTTTTATTGCAAAGTCAAAGAGAAAAGAGTCATATGCCAAAAACAAATAAAGAGCATATTAAAGGAAATAAGATGTAGAAGACAGAAGCAGACCCTGGAGAAGCCAGGAGTTCTAACTCTAGTTCTGCCACAAACCACCCGCCCAACCTTGAATAACTCACTAAATATCTCTAAATATTATCCTTAATTCTAAAATGAGACAATTGAGAGACAGAATGACATGGAAGACAAACTGGAGTAAAATCTCAGATCTCCCACTTTCTTCATTTGGTACTTGGTCAATTTCCTAACCATTTTAGTCTAAGCGTCTTTATATGAAAATAAAGTTATTATCATCTCCTTAGAGTTGCTATGAAGTTTCAATGAAAAAAATATAAATAAAGTGCTTTGCACAGCATCAGTTACATATTGAGTGTTCCCAAAATGTTAGTTTCCTGTCTCTCCACATTTTCTCAAGTGTCATCCAGCTTTACATAGTTATGAATCTAGATGATTTATTAAAAACTGGATCTACTTCTCTAATCCAATATAGATGCCTACCAAAGTTTCTACTGCATTATTTCTCCTGAGAGCTAAACTTTTCTTTTAGATGTCAACTTTTAGTTATAAATTATTTAGAAGTTTAGTAGGTGTGTTTTAATGCTTCTGGGTGTTAAATATTCAGTCATCATTGGCTAGTGGTGAAAGTTTATGCGAGGAAAGGAAAAGCTAAGTGATGTGCATATATCATTTATACTTTAACAACAGCACCTGCTCCAGTCAAATAGTCATCCACCAATGATATACGAGGGAAGTGTTTATGCATTGGGGCAACAATATGGAAATCAACATCTGTGGTTAAAAAAATTGTATGTGTCACTGCTTATAGCTGTGAAATGAATGGGCAACCATAATGGGATGGTGTAATGAATTTGTGACAAGGACCAGAGGAAGGAAATGATCATCTTAATCAGATTGCTATTGATGCCTTTTTTTGTGACAGCAAAAAATAAATATCTATTAATTACACTAAAATGAAAAGTGTTTGGATACAGCACTAAGGAAATAGATAGTTCCAGTTAAATTGTTATATATGTCAATGATCAGAGATAAAATGAGTAAGTGCCAGGAAGTCTCTGCTGAACTATTTATGTAACAGCACTATCAAATAAGTGAGATGGTTCAATGATTTCTGTGAAATTATACAATACAGTTGTATTGCTTTAGAATAATTAGAACTCTTGCAGGTGATTCAGATATTGATCATGGGACAATTTCTCATTTATCACAAGAAACTTTAGTAAAAGGTACACCTCAGGATTCACTCCATTCATTTCTGCTGTTTATCCTAAAAACTGGGCAACATGGAATCATAGACCAGTGTGGGAGCTTAGAGTTAGGTGGAATTATGCTTGAAAAATTTACTTCTGCTCATTAGTCAAAAAGGTAAATTAATAAATTCATTCATTCATTCATTGTGAAATTTCAGAACACTATATTAAAGACAATATTGAAGACTCCAGGAATGAAAATAGGACATCAAGAAGGAAATAAAACTAGATTCAGGCCTTATTAATCCTTATTAATAATTTGGCCATTTATATTCAACTGTAAATGTTACATCTTCTGTTGTATATCTAATAGGAATTTCAAGTTCAGTCTATAAAAACTTTAATGCTATATCTTCCCCACCTCCAAACTTGCTCTGCTTACAGCCTCCTTCACTTTAACCAATGTCCACTCATTCTTTCTGTTACTCACAATGGAAACCTTGAAGACATTCTTGATTTCTCTCTTTCTTTTACATGCCATAGCCAAGGTATTAGGAAATATTTTGACTTTACCTTCAGAATATATTGAGAATCCTAACACTTCTCACCACTTCCATCACTACCACCCTGGTCTGACCCACACCATTTCCAACCATTATACAATGGCTTTTGGCCTACTCTGTTGCTTTTACTATTGGCTCCTGTGAAGTATTATCCACATAGCAGCCAAAGTAATTCTTTGAAATCATGATAAAAGATGTCAATTTTCTGCTCAACTTCTTGTAATGAATTTACCCATTTCACTCAAAATAAAGGTCAGAGTCATTAAAATGACCAACAAAAACCCAGATGATCTGGCCCTCCATTCCCTCTCTGGCTTTACCTGCTACACTATACTTAATACACTCCTTCTCATCTACTCTACTCCAGCCTCAATGTCCTCCCTGCTTTTCCTAAAATGCATAAGGCACATTTTGTTGGACTTTTAGATTAGTTGTTCTCTCTGCTTGAGATTCTGTTTCTGTAAAAATCCACATAGGTAATTCCTTCACCTCTTTTAAGATTTTGCTCAATTGTCATATTCTCTGTGATTCTTATTCTATCATTTTTTAAATTGCAACTCACTCCCACTCCAATCCTGATCACCCTTAACTCCATAGCATTTATCTTCTAACACATTTATATTATTTATTTAATTATTACTTTTATTGTCTATAGCACCATGATCCTACCTTATGAGGATGTGAATTATAAAATTCAGGTATCTTTATTGATTTTGCTCATGGTTGTATTTCAAATGCCTATAAAAGTATCAAGAAATATTGAAGAACTCAAAAAATAAGTATCAAGTAAGTAACAAAGCTCTAAATAAGTGCCCAAAAAATAAACAACAAAATGAATATAGAATTCAAGGTTTATTCACAAAGAAACATGCATCAGACTAGCTGACTAGCCCCAATGAATGTTAGAAAACAGGTCAGTAAGGTCATTCATTTCTGAGGAAATATGAACCTTGAATTCCATATCAAAACTATTTGTCTATCAACAAAAACTGAAGTAAAATAAAGCCCCATATGCTTAATGTGAATTCCCAAAATGTTAACATTGTACTGTGTTTATTACTGTCTCTCACATGCTCCCTCTCCACGTCCCTCCCCCTCACCCCCTCCCTCCAGCCACACACACAAGTAAATATATAAATAATCCAACTACTAGATAAAATAAGGAATACATGGAGCTTTAAGTATGATGAAGATTAATTCTCAGTAACTAAAATCTACATGTCTTCATGAGAATAGTTGTTAGTATTTATTAGTAGTCATATAATTGCATAACAACTGCATAATTATCCTGTAGTTGTATAATTGTAGTCATATAATTATACACTTATATTTGTGTAGTTGTATAATAACATGAACATAAGTCTATATCCAATCTGAAGATAGAAGTAATGCAAGATAACGATCACTAACATAGTTATCCAATCAGTATTACATAGTAACTAGGCCTTTAGTATAATTTAAGAGCATTGCTGTTTTTGCTGGGGAACCCACTAGAATAGCATTCCAGAACCTCTTCTGAACATATACAAGCTGGAATGGCATTTTCAGCTTCATCTTTAACATGTGTCAGTCACTAAATGAGCAAAGCACACATTATATGTTGATAAAATTTAATGTTCAAATCCTCTGTTTTCTTCTATCTCCATTTATAATAGGAGTATTACGTTGATCATACAATTTTCTTAAATAATTGTGTGCAAGTGTATTCCACTTATCTGGGATACAATATAAGCGTAGCCTTTTTGCTATCAGTAACATCAGAAAACTATTAGAAGGGGAGATAGTAAAGAAAAATAAATAAAGTTATTTGTATTTTTTATAATACTATGTGGTTAAATGGTAACTCTACTGCTGCTGCATTTGCCTACCTCCCCCTGGGCATGGGGTCAGTGGACTTAGCAGGTAAACTCAAAGCGGGATTCATTCATAGACCATAGGAATATACTTTAGGTCTTTATTCAATTGTCATCTTCTCAGTGAGTCCTTCCTGGCCATTCTATCCAAAATTACAAGTCCTAAACCCTGATACTTCCTGTGGCCCCTTCTTCCCTCATTTTTTCCTTAGTATTCATCACTATGTGTTTCATTTATTCAATTTTCTTGTTATTAGTAATTGAATAAAAAAAATTATTCAATTTTCTTGTTGCTAGTCTACAGGCAACAGAGGAGCTTTCCAAATTTTCCAGGGGAATGAAATATTTCCCTACCCATACCCAGAGGACTTATTCAAGAGACAAGGGATAGCTCAGGAATCTTTTCTGTCTCTTGAAAAGTCTGATTTTCTGACTTCAACAAAGAGACTGAAGGCTTAGCTTGCTATCCTGAGCATGAGCATTAATATATAGACTAGCTCATCATTTTCCTAAATCACAGGAGTATATATTATATTAGATACTTCTGTTGATCCTTCTATTTCAATGTCTCAGCAACTCAGAGCCACATTTTACAATCATTGCTTTGGTCCCCTTCCAAATTCAATTATCTTGACAACATTCATCATTCTCTGCAACTTGCCACCCTGAAGAAACTTAAGACCTTATTTATATCAGCTCTCTGATCTCAGATGAAAACCACTATATTATTGCCAATGTACTCCCTGTCATTCCATCCTAGAAATGTAGACTGGTTGCATACTCATTATCTATTATATCTGTGTAGCACATTTTGCTTTCAAAGTACTTTCTCACTGTCTCACTGAACCACGTGAGATAGCTAAGACAAATGCTACTACGCCATTTCACAAACAAACGAACTGAGGCCTGGTCTTCTCAATTTGTTACCAAGGTAAAGGCATAACCTCTGTTAGTGTTTTCACTGCTTCATCATTTGGTTCTGATGTCAGCATATTTATACCTTTTTGTTGTGGTCACCCTTGTAAAAAGCATTGAGATCATTATTATTTTAAAGTTGCAATATGCTTACATTCTTGACTTCTTCGGTAAATAGTTCTCAAATGACAGATTTTTTTTTTAATTAAAGATTTTTTTTACCTTTTAAAAATTTAGAAGATTCAAAGATTTGCTTCAAAGTCAAAACAAAACTTCTGACCTTTCTACCTGGCCAGCCATGTCTCATGAATATGAATTAGAATCACAGCTTCAGAGTGTAGAAGTTGGAGTCTGAGGTGGTTGTGTTAGGGAGGCTGGAGGTGCCAGTAGGGATGAGAAGAAAGAAACAAAAATTCCTAGTGAAAATATTCAGTGGAGATAAGTCTTCCACTAAAAACAGGCAATCTCCAGCAAGGTTACTAAGGTCAAATAGGGAAAGAAATAAGGAAGTGCTAACAAGTGAAAATATCAGAAAGTCAACCATAGAATAATTACCAAATTCAAGAATATGCAGCTGCAGCATCATTTTGCACAATATTTATGGCCTCATGAAGGGCTTAAGTATAGGGTCTGGTAACCAAAGTCAAGGAGTGACAGATTCAGACTTGGGAATCTTTTGACTAGGGGACAAATTCTAGGACTAATTTTTAGGGGCACAGGTTTGCCAATGACAGTAGAGGATATTTCAAAATTCTAAATCAACTCAATGAAATATAATCATTTGATGGGGAGAGCAATTTACATCTAAGGATTTTTTTTAAAGAGTGTAGCCACTATAAGTATTAAAAAATCTTTTTCTTCACTACATGTTGAAAATAAACTATGCTTTATGAATATTGTAGGTTTGACAAATCCTGTTGGGGATTATTATTTTCATTACTTTATTTCTAGATGTTTTATCATGCTCATTTGGGATCATGTGTAACTTTTTCAGATATATCATAGGTAATGTAAATTTGCCATTAGATTGGAAACTAATGATATTTACATATTAATCAACTACTACTTTAATGCTGAGAAACAGTTACCTACGATAGCAGATGCAATTCAAGAAACAGTGTGTATGATCATCATTTTAGCCTACTATAATGTTATAATTTTAGCCTATATATATCTGTATGTATTTATATGTGTATATATCATGTGTGCATATATATATTAAATACATATATAAATATAAAATAACTGTCTTATAAGATGAATGCCCTCCTTGTAGGCTTAAAATCTAATTGTTCTATGAGAATTGTATGTTGACCTATATAACAAAGTAGGCTCTTTCTGAGTTGAGAGTGCTGAGAACAAGTATCAAACTGAAATGAAGAAAGAGGCAGGGATCAGAGGCCTGAAAAAATGCAGTGACACTACCAAAAGCAGAATCAATGATGGAGACAAAGGTCACTTATCTGTCAAATATCCAAAGACACCATGTTTATATCACAATGAGAATGCAAGCTGGAGTCCAGGAACAAATCCAAAATCAAATCTGGAGATAGTGGGCCAGGAATCAGAGCAAGGAACTAGATTACCTTTGCAGTAGTCCAGATGAATTTGCATATTTCCTTGTAGTGGGACTTCATTCCTGAAGCAACTAAGAACCTCTTTTATTTCGGGAAGAATGCTAGACAGCATGGAGAATTTATGTCGACATTTGTTTAAAAGAAAATAAAAAGAAGAAGAAAGAAAGGAACATTGTCCTTACTCTAAAAGACCTCAAACTCTGGTGTAAGGCAGAGATTTCATGCTAACAAATAAATTACAATGAAATGTTAAATGGCTAAACAGAAATTTTTACAGGGGCCCAGCCCAAAGGAGGGAGTGATTGTGTCCACATGGGTGAAGAGGAATAAGAAAACTACCATACAGCAAGGAGTATGGTTCAGCATACGTTTGACGGTTTTAAAGGCACAAAATTCTAAAGTCAAGTATCATAAATGCGTTTCTTTTTAAAGTCCCTATCACTCTACATACCCAGATAACTAAGGTGTACCAAATAATTAACTATATATCAGTTTTATTTACCCCTTTGTCAAACATTTACTGTCTATTTGCTATGTCACCCACTGCTCTAGGTTAATGTACAATTAATACAACATATATGCTTATTCTTTTAGCATATTATCATAGTAGTATGCCTGCCTCAAAATTTGCAGTTCATAAATCCACTGTTTTTTAATAAAAGAAGTTAATCCTTTTAAAAGTTATTCATGTACTTGTCTTGGGATAACACAGTATAAATTTACTACCCAATTTTTTAGTGGGAAAGGCTCTCATGTTTTTCTTGCAAGAAGATTATTATTCACCTAATATTTTCCTCATAATTGTATGTAGCTTCTGCTACATTCACATTTCTCTTTGAGGTTCTTGAAGATACAAAGATGAACAGATCATGGAGCATATAATTTAGTAAAAAAGAAACATAAACTGCTAACTATAATTCAATGTGAGAAGAGCAATAATCAAAGGCACAAATAGTGAACCTAATGAACTTTAAGTTTCAGAAGCTCTCCCTTAGACAAGCTCTCTCCAAGCCCTATAAGGAGCCCTAAAATGTCTTCAAATGGTCATATTTTTTGTAAGATTTGAAAAAAATATATATTTTAACTACAAATGTTTAAGATTATTGTGTATTTTTATTCTGACTTCTCCTCCATTATATTTTCCTTGTACAGGGTGTCATTGGAGTGGTCAAAGACATTTTGGAGACCTAGCAAAGGGTGAGTTGGGAATACATTTAGTTTAATCTTAGTAGGATTTATTTACGAAATCCATAGCTACTTCTATCAACAGTAAGGTTGTTAGCATTCTCAGTATAAAAATTGTTTCCAGGTACACTCCCATCACCCACTGTGGGAAAGCCAGGGATGGCCTTATGACATGAACATGTGCTATGATGCCTGGAGCAGGAAGTGTGTGGAAAGTGCAGAAAAAATAAGGTCTCACTATGGAATTAAAAGCTAGTCTGTGGAATATTCTTCCAATCTTCAAACATGTAATATTGTAAGCAGAATATTGTTTTCATTAACATCTAGTCAAAATGGAAACTCTCATCTGTGGGAATTATACTTAATAATGTAGCACATCGTTATATATATCCCATATATTTTTCTTTTTATGGGAATCAAATGAAAATAAACTCTATCAGATTTGCTGTGTTAGTATAGCACAGATCTGTCACAATTACAATAAACTGTAAGTATGTCTCTAATAATGCATACGTGAAAAACTTGATACAGATTTTTTTCAAATTTGATCATCTTAAAACACCCTAAAATTTCACTGATATCAAATAATAAATAACAATTGGTGAGGCTTAAAGAAGCTTTTTAAAACTATGAATAATAAAAAATAAATTTTGATCCACTATGCCAGAGGAAAGATCTAATTATCCTTCTGTTCTCTCTATAGAAAATATTACAAATTTTTGGACTGATTAAGAGGCCATTAATAAGTATACAGCCAGAAAATCGAGGAAAATACTACAAAAATATATTAGGCCATAATTAGTTACAATATCATACAATATTTTATGATTTTGTGATATTTGCAGTAACTTTTTACTTTTTAAAATGTGTAACTTATTAAATTTATTTTTGAACTCTAAATAAATATTCACTTTTTAACCTAATTTTGTATTGGTAATTTTATATTCTTTACATTAAAAAGACAATTATAAAACCTGGATCTGCTATAATAGTTATTTCTTTTGTCCACCTGTGCGCTTATATAAGATAACAAAATAGCAAGAGCAAAAAGCCCATTAATGAAGGAGTTTCCTCAGGCCAAGGCAAAGGAAAACATGCCAAAGAGAGGCAATGAATAAAAGGCATAAACTGAAATATGAGCTTATAATTAAGCTGGGGAAAGGAACCCAACTGTGCATCTAACCCAAGGAAACATTCACAACTGGATAGAGTAACTAAAGTTTTGCACTCTGTGATATCAGAGTAGGGACCACTGAATCAACGGCGTAAGATAGAAAGGGATCTTTTGTGAATGCACAGAGCAGATTTTATGGCCCATCATTACATCATGTAAGAGAGGGACAGATTTGTTTTAATAGTTAGGAATGGTTGGGAGGCCAAGGCAGGCGGATCACGAGGTCAGGAGATCAAGACCATCCTGGCTAACACAGTGAAACTGTCTCTACTAAAAATACAAACAATTAGCCAAGCATGGTGGCACACACCTGTAGTCCCAGATACTTGGGAGGCTGAAGCAGGAGAATCGCTTGAACCCAGGAGGTGGAGGTTGCAGTGAGCCAAGATCACGCCACTGCACTCCAACCTGGGCAACAGAGCGAGACTCTGTCTCAAAAAAATAAAAAATAAAAAAAGTTAGGAATGGACAATATCATGGTGATATATGTTCTTATAAGTGAATTTGCACAAGTGAAGTCAGTGTTTAATACTTACCTAATAAATATAAACATTGTAAATATCTACATATTTTATGTATTTATATATACAGAATTGTAGGGAATTGAAAGCATGAGGAAAGGCTGTGGGGAAAGGAAAAAAATACACTGGCAAAAAGAGCAAAACATATGTATTTTAAAGGTATAAGCAAGTACCAAGAAGGGTTTGAATAACTTGGATATCTACTGAATCTATCCTTCTAGCAATTAAAACTAATTAAACCAGTGTTTCTAAAAGTAAGACTGCTGGACCTAATCTCAGGAGTCTATTAAGTTCTCAAATTTTTTAAAAAATTCTAAACCTATTGTTAAAATCCCTGAAAAATAGTCTACAAATTCTCTTATATTACATATTTATTATCATATGCTCATAATTACTTCCTATCTCTGAGGATGTATTTAGTTTCTCTTGTTCTGAATGAATTTATATTTGCTCTAATGCATAGCATATACATGATTTCTACACATTTTCTACACAAGGATCTGAGACAAGTGATACCATCTGCATAGATGTGGAAGTAAAAATTAAATGGACAGGTTGACCCAAAAATTCTACTCCCAGGTATTTATCCTAAGGAAAAATCACATACATAGCAAAACAAAATTTTTATATAAGGCAAGTTATGATGGTACTACTCATAAAGTGAAATACTGAAGCAGGATATTTCCCTGACCCCTTTGTGGGTGGAAACTGGAGTGAACAGGTGCTGGAACTGGCTGGCCACTTTAGTGCTGGGAGGGGTGAACTCCACTCACTCGCTGCTCCACCCCTCACCAGAGGGAGGGTGAATAGAAGCAGGTGCAGGAGCCAGGGTGAGTGCTTTTGGGCACCGACAAGAGCGAACTACATACCAGCCCAGCAGCAGTATCTAGGGGAGGGTGCCTGCGACCCCTGAAGCTCCAGAGGAAGGGTTACAGTACTCTTTTAGCTCTGCCATCCATGGACAGCTTAAGTGTTAACAGCTCAGTGGAGGGTCAGTGTGACAGCATTTTGCACCCACACTCATGGCACCCGAGTTCTTGTCTGGTATCCAGGAGGAATGAGATCATACAAATGAACTGAAGATGGTAAATGTGGGAGATTTCATTGCCAATGAAAGTGGCTCTCAGTGAGAAGGGAAAAAAATGCCAAAGGGGAGCTGAAAAGGGGACAGAGCAGGAAGGCAATCTTCCCCTGAAGTCCAGCCATCCAAGGCTGGACTCCTCTCTGAATCTACGCCATCAATCTGTCCCTCTGAAGTCAAGCCACTTCTCTCCAACATCCAGCTGCTTCTCCTCTCTGCCAGCTGAGCCTTGGGTTTTTATGGGCACAGGATCGGGGGCAGGACAGGCATTGGATGGTTTTGGAAAAGGCAACATTCGGGCAGGAAAACAGGGATGTAAATTCTCACTTTGGGCCACAGTGCCAGGCTTTTTGGCTTGAGGGTGGGGCCCTCACTGGGGACCTGCCCACTTCTGCCAACAATTTCACTGCCTCCTGTCCCTATCAATACTACAAATAAGTTAAATTTAAAAAAAGGAAAATTGTCCAGTAAACTAAGGTACATATTACCATAAACATCATAATTCATTAAACATGTAGGAAAGAATAGTTCTCAAAATGGAAGACATCTACAATCTATTACAAAGTTTAGAACAGGTTACAAAACAGTATATAGAGAATATAATGTTGCAAACAAAAATATACACACTTACCTAGAAAAATATTGGACAGACTTGTCTGAAGAGCCCAGTCTTACCTTTGTGTAATAGCATTATTAACGATTTGCTTTTTCATTCTGTTTTTAATTTAGGTACATTTATGTTTTCTACACCTTCTATATTTATTAAGCATGTATTTATTTCTTTGTTATTAAGAAAAAATTATAAAAGAAAAATAGGAAAAAAAGTCATGAAATGATAGTTGGATGGTTAGAAAATATTTAACTCTAGATCTTGACTACATGATTTCATGGGAATCCTGGTATAGTTTATAACTGAGGAAATTCATTCCTCTAAAAATCAATTAGCATTTGTATTTATAAGAATTAGGCTGGGCGTGGTGGCTCACGCCTGTAATCCCAGCACTCTGGGAGGCTGAGGCAGGAGGATCATGAGGTCAGGAGATCAAGACCATCCTGGCTAACATGGTGAAACCCCGTCTCTACTAAAAATACAAAAAAATTAATTAGGCATGGTGGCAGGCGTGTAGTCCCAGCTACTCAGGAGGCTGAGGCAGTAGAATGGCGTGAACCCAGGAGGCGGAGCTTATAGTAAGCCAAGATCACGCCACTGCACTCCAGCCTGGGCAACAGAGCAAGACTCCATCTCAAAAAAAAAAAAAAAAATTATAATTGTTTATATGCCATTTGGTTGAAGAATCAAATAATTTTATAAAATTGAATCAAAGTAAACTAAAATTATATTAAATAACAAACTTTTTGCTCTATAAGTCATCCACTCTAATCATTTAACATCTCAAGCACATTTCATACAACTGTATTTAAAGTTAAATTGCCAACATATCCTTTAGAGGGCTTATAATTAAAAGGATTCCTATTTAACTCCACTGATATCACACTACTAATAAGCAACTTAAGTTTATGAATTTTAGCAGTGTTTTAATTTTACCTTGATATTTACCACAGTTAAATCTTATATACAAAGGATATTACATACACAAACATACGCATGGATATTCATATCCACACATTCATAAATACACAGATAATTATGTATATAAACTGCATTTTAAAATGCCATATACTCATAATAATGCTTAAACATCTAAATTAATTTCACCTAAAGTTCAAATATTTAATTTTCAAAGAACTCAGTGGAAAAGTAAAGAGTTATTATTCATTTAGAGGCACTTCAATTCTGCCACCCAATTATTTGGTTACATCTTTCACTATTCTATGCCCCTGATAAGGCAATCTAAATTAACAGAATCTTAAGTACATCTGAAGAGTAATATCAAATACTTGGAATGCAGACATATCTCTTATGCTTCTATATTTGAAAATGACTTCTAATTATTATATGTTTGGTCTTTGCATTGGAAGACAAATTTAAAATTATATTAGCTCACTGCTGGAAGAAGGAAGGAAAGCAGACAGAAATAAAGAATTACAAAAAGAGTGAGAATAAAATAAAGAAAAAATGAGCAAGACTGAGTGGGAAAAGAAGAAAAGAATATATTGCAAATAACCATGTAATCTGGAAATCTAACCAAGATGTCCTGTAATCGCTGTTAATAATAATTCAGAGTTAGGGGCAAGAAACTTCAGGAAAATTTTCATATCTTCAGCTAAAAGATATTAGATAATGATATGGACAGGAGACAAGAAAACACTGGGTAGAAGAGGGCAGTTCTGTGGCAAAGGCCCAACCTCCAGGCCTGGAAACCTGTGGCCCTAAATGGGAACAAGCAAACCTGTTTTTGTGTCCAGATGTTGCCTTTTGGCCAGCCACGCCCCCTATCCTGTACCCATATAAACCCCAAACCCCAGGTTCCATGAGCAGAAAAGCAGATGAACAGAAGAGCAGAAGACCAGAAGAGAAGGAGTGAAGAGAAGGAGAATCTGAACATCAAAAGGAGTTCGGCTAGGGATGATCGGAGAGGAGATCAGCCACTGGATGACCAAACTCCAGGCGAAGATCATCTTCCGACTCCATCTGCTTTCCAGCTCCCCATCCATGCCACTGACAGCCACCTCCACCACTCAGTAAAACCTTCGCATTCATCCTTCAAGTCCATGTATTACCTGATTCTTCCTTGATGATGGATAAGGACCCAGGTAGCAAGAGGGCACTGAGCTGGTTAACACTTAAGCCACCTGCAGATGGCAAAGCTAAAAAAGCACACTGTAACACATACCCACTTGGGCTCCAGGAGTCGCAGGCACCCACCCCTAGACACTACCATGGGGCCGGAGCCCAAAATGCTCACCCTAGCTCCTGCACCCGCCCATCTGCATGCTCCTCCTCCTGTAAGGGGGTTTGAGCTCACATGGCGGCCAAACAGAGGAGCCACGCCCCTGTCGATGTCGTGTGAGGGGGGGTCAGGGAACTCTCCCATTTCAATTAGAAAGATGCTTTATATACTTTGGCCATTAAAAAAAAGTCTTTACAAAAAAGTCTAGTGTATCATTGTTATCAATACTTTCGATACTATTATTTGCAACAGCTCAAGAGATAATTAATCAGAAAATATTGTATTCAGAAAAGCCACCTAATATAGAATGTTGTATAATTATCTGAATGCTTATAGCAAGCTAACTCAAAAGTCTTCAGGTAATTAAATAGATTTTTAAAATGCATGACAATGAATTACTCAGGCTGAAAAAATGGAAAGTGTACATGTGAGCTAAATGTAGAAAATGAAAGAAAGAAAAAGACAGAGAAGAACATCATCTTAGCTAGATAAAGATTGATGCATGCTGTATAGACAGGGAATGAATAATTTCATGATATCTAGTGATACAAAAAGTGGGCCACCTAGACACATTTACTTAGTTATGGAAAGGCAAAAAATCATTACAGCTGTGAAAGTAGGCTTAAGGCAAAATCACATTCCATTTATTGGCATGCAAATATACACATCAAACCTCTGAGGGGTAATATTTCTTTGTCAAATGAAATCTGTTCAGAATGCTGTGGAATGAGTTGAACTTAGAAGTACCTTTTTCTATACAAAAGTGTATGAGAAAGAAAACATAATCTAGCTATTTATAAGAAGCAAAATACCAGACATTTGAGAGTCAATGTTGAATTTTTACACGTAGTGGATTTCTGAAACTAGATAAACACATGCAGGTATGTCTGTGAAAAATGTTATTTACAATTCATCAGACTTTGCCATTGACAACAAAGTGATTAGAATTTTTAATAACAATGCAGTAAAACTTTTTGATAAAGGTAAAGATGAGGTGGATGAAGAAGCCTGCTATTTTGAGCTTGCCAGTCCAAGAAATGATCACTGAAATATGTAGGCAATATTCACCTAAATCTATTTGTACAATAAGATTGTAAATGAACTGATGTTATCCTATGTAATACAATG
Source organism: Homo sapiens (assembly GCF_000001405.40). Classification (NCBI taxonomy): domain Eukaryota; kingdom Metazoa; phylum Chordata; class Mammalia; order Primates; family Hominidae; genus Homo; species Homo sapiens. The sequence goes on from NC_000011.10 coordinate 85,257,733, forward strand.
AATCTTTCAAAGCTTTGGTTGAATTTACCTTCCCAGGAAACAACTTCTCCATAAGAATGAAACAACAAAAAAGAGAATTTAAGTTTATAAACTGCATTCATATATAATATCATTTCATCCTTTGAAGAGTTTTACAAATGAGAAAATATAAGGTTTGAGAGGTTATGAAATTTACCAAAGGCCATAAGATAATATATTATGAAGTCAGTATCCAAATGAGTTTCAAGTAGCTGGAACCTGGCTCTATAGAAGAAGAGCTCTTATATACACTTTTACTCTAAGGACTCAGGAACTGATACTGTGGTTGTCTTACAGACCATTTAAGGTCACATTAGCTAAGGGGCTTCCTCTTCCTTTTAAGCAATGTGCCTCAAGTCAACTACCAAATTTAGAGTAATATGTAATTTGTGGCCTTATATTACTTTCTTCCATAGGAAATGCATTTTTTGAAAATACCCAAAACTTTTCCTGCTGTAGAAATATCAAATATGATTATTTTGACTGGCTTATTCAATATAGTCCTCTCCACTATTTCTTATCCCTCTAAAACTGGAATTGAAAAGAATAATCTTGTGGTATTTTCTATTATATGTGTAATATTTAAGTGATAAAAATGAATAAATCAAGAAAGGATTGAAATACTATCTTAAATAGATTTTTAGGAAAATATTCAACTCAAAGTATTTAGTATTCTGCTTAAAGAACAAAATTCAAGCAACTGAAATATGAATTTACTACCTGGGATATGTGACTTTCCTATGAGAATACAAACCCTTAAGGATCTTGGTTTAGCATAATGCATTTCAATACACCTTTACTGAATTGACTTTTATGCTAAGTGAGCATTTAGTATATATTTTTAATGTTTGTAAGCATATACCAGGTAACTTCTAAAAAAGGTTCTCTAAGAGAAAATAGTTAAAAGGTCAATGTACCCGTCTCCCAAAAACTCTTCTACAATACGCAGTTATGTTCCATTCAAAGGTGTGATTATTATGGAACCCATAATAAAGCTGAGTTAACAATAGGACAGAAGCTCTTTAGGATCAGAAAGAATCAGTGTAGGAGAGGGGAGGCTCAAGCTCTGCCCTCTCAAAGCTGGATATTGGAGATGGAACTAACACTTATTGAGTACCTGTTTTGTTCAGGCAAAGTGTTGTGTTTTATCTACATTTAATCTCATTTAATCTTCATGACTATTTTCTGAAATTATTATAATCCTTATTTCACAGATTAAAAAACTGAGCTTCATAGAGAGTAAGGACCATATATTTCATCTGCCTCCTTTGAGGTTCTGTCACCCCTTACTTTAAGACTAATTCCCTTACTGTGTAATATGGTTTGGTTGTATGTCCCCACCCAAATCTCATGTTGACTTGTAATCACCAGTGTTGGAGGTGGGGCCTAGTGAGAGGTCATTGGATTATGGGGCTGGTTTCTCATGGTTCATCACTGTCCCCCTAGTGCTGTCTCCTGACTGAGCTCTCACAAGATCTGGGTGTTTGAAAGTGTGTAACACCACCCCCTTCGCTCTCTCCTCTCTCCTGCTTCATCATTTGAAGATGCATCTGCTTCCCCTTTGCCTTCCACCATGATTGTAAGTTTCCTGAGGCCTCCCGAGAAGCAGAAGCCTGTATATCCTGCAGAACTGTGAGCCAATTATACCCCTTTTCTTTATAAATTACCCAGTCTCAGGCAGTTCTTTATAGCAATGCAATAACAAACTAATATACTGTGTTGCCTTACTTTAAGACTAATTCCACCATGTCAGCCATGGACAATCCAGCTGACCCTCCCAAGTAACCTTCCTTGGTTTCCCTAGATCTTAATGTAGATTTCATATTACACTTCTGCTTGTTTTGGGGTGCTATGAAGGCCTCAGCTACTTAGGTCCCAGCTCTTCTGCTTGCTTGAATCTGGCCCATCCCATCACCTGGACTCCTATAAAGCTTCCCATCTGAACCTGTCTCTCCATAAATTCTGTCTTACTTCTCATTGACAATCCAAATCCCCTGGCCAGAAATTGCAAATTATTTAATACATCCACATTAGCCTCCACCTCACTATTTTTTTCAGGCATATTTAAGGCAATTCAGAGCTATGGTGAAGATGAGTTTATTGATGTAGAAATTGTTTGGTATTCACTTATACATTTCCTGTACCTAACACACTATCTTGTACAGGTAGGCCATCCAATATGTTTTTTAAAGTAATAAATGAATGAGTAAATGAAGAAATATGTTGGTGAGCATTGGGCTAAGGTACCCAGGGCAGATTCTCTGTTTTTTCTGCTGCCATTATCTGAGAGCAGAACACAGAATAAAAATTTTTGGTTTGAGTCCTGGCTCTACCATCAACAATGTGACTTTTGTTAAGTTATTCTGCCTCAAATTGCATTATTTGTAAAAAGGGGGATAAAGATAAAATCCACCTCATGGAGCATTGTGAGGATTAAATGAGAGAATTAATGTGATGCCCTTAATAAGCCTGGCACAGTATAAGTACTCAGGCACAATATCTCTCTATTACCTTACATTCTATAATTAGGACAACTGTCAATAGAGTGCTACTTCTTGACTTTTAATAGACATTTTTTGGATAGATATACATGACTATAACATAATGAAATTGATTGTTAAACAGTTATTCCTTCCATTGGGCCTATGTCAATCTTCCTTTAACTTCAACACTTTTGTTCTAAACTTTGAGGATCTTCTTCCACATGAAAGCTGAAAGTTTCAAGGCTCCATGGTCACTTTTGGTTGTACCTCCCTAATACCTTAAACTGTAAATTCCTTCATATGTATTCATTCACTAACTCATTCATTCATTAAATAACACCTATTAAAATCCTACAATGTGCCAGGTAGGTACTCTGCCAGATAAAAATAAACAGAGATAAATAAAATACAATTTTTGCCTTCAAAACCCATACTTCTATGCAGGAGATGGGCTTGGTTGTGTCTCTCTTGGCCATTCTGGTCACTCGCTTTTGAATGCCCTCACTTTTGTCTACATTCCTATTAAAGTTTCCAAAAAGGAGTACAACATGTGACCAGTGCTGAGAAGAGCAGAACAATCACTTTTTTATTACACTGATCTGCATGTGGGAAAGAACCAGAGATGGGATGTAGCAATCTCTTCATGGTAGACACAGTCCCACCCCACCTCACATGCACCATGGTAGGGGTGGGGAACTAGGAGGTTAAAAGCTGTTGGAAACAAATGGTAGATTCTTTTTTTTTAATCTAAAGTCTCTCTTGAGATGTTCCCTTTTGGAGGATGTCATGGGTGCATCTGGCTGGGGCCCAGCGTAGCAGGTGGTAAAAGAATTTACTAAAACAGTAGTGAGTTAAAGAAAGCAAGTTTGTAAGAGAGAAAGTATGTTGCAAGGAAATAACAGACAGCACAGCAGAGAAGGGGCTGTCTGCAAAATGGCAGGGGCTGGAGGGAAGTTTTATAGGGTCATGCTGGAGGGGCTACATGCAGATAATGTTATGCTGCTGGGGCTACATGCTGAGTGAGATATTTGGGAACAGAATGTTGTGCTAGTTGTTTATTTGTGGTTAGCCATCTCTTGGAACAATTGTTTTCCCCTACCTGAGGCCCCTTCCTCATTGTTGCTTACTTATGAGGACACCACATCCCCCACCCCCACCACACCTCCCCATAGAACAACAATGACAAGTCTTTGGCATTAGGGTGGAGGTCTCAACTTCCAACTACTTCCTGCTGGCCTGCATCATAGAATTGACCCTACCTATGGTTGTTGAGAGTCTGTCAGCAGACCCCGTGGGCCATTGTCCTGGATTGTGGGAATTAGGATATTGGATCTTGCGGGAGGAAGGGACTCATCAGAGAGGGGGAGGATATCAAGGTAAAACTGGGGTATAGCAGAATCCAGGAGAGATTCATAAAGGTAGCAGGCATCATTGGGAAGAGACCAATATCCCCTTCACAGCAGCATTTGAAGGTGAAACTGCTGAATTCTGGAAGACATGAATTTGACAAGTTGAAGATGCAAGGGCCAAAATGGGATCATAAGTGGCCCCTGACCTAGTGTGTGATGAGGAGAAGGGTCCCTGATAAGGAGGCGGCCCTTAAAAGTGACATCAAGGTTGGGCTATCAGGGGGAAGGTGAGGGAGAAGGAGTAGATGGAGTAGGTGTAGTTGAAAGTGAAGGTGGTTTGTCAGGGGAAGAAAGTATGGCCTCAACCTGTCCAGCCAGTTGGGGTGAATGGGAGAGAGAAAAAAGTTCATCTAAAATGTCAGGAGAGTCACTGAGGCTAGAGAATTTGGCGAGGCACATTTGACAGGTTTGGCAGAGATCGCAATCCTGAGAGAGAGTCATGAAAGCCTGAATATAAGGAACTTCAGACCATTTAGAAGAGCTGCAACAGAAGAGGTCAAGCTACAGAACAGTGTTGGGGACAAGGGTCCCACCTAGAGGCCAGGATTTCTGATCCGGAAGTTTTTTAAGTGGCCATGTGGCAGGCCAGGTCTGACTAATGTAGGCCTCCATAACAACTGTTTCAGCACTGACTGAGTGGTTAAATTAAATATTAAAAGCTGATAGAGCCAGTGCCCTTATACAAAGGCTGGAATGTAACAAAAGCCCACCAAGAGTTTTGCCTAGGCCTTTCCTGGGCCTTGAAGCATGAAACATAATGAAGGAATTCTTAACAAGACCCGTTTAGGATTAAACAAGTTTATTGGAGGTCTGAAGAAACCACCCGTACTTCCACAAACAAGTTTAATGGGAGTCTGAAGGAACTCCTCAAACCTCCATGATTTAGCAGGAGACAAGATAAGGGTAATCACCCTAGCACCTGGATCCATTCAGATTAAGTAAATTTACTAAGGCTCTAGAAGAAGGTCTTCAGGACTCAGATCTTAGTTATAGATGAGAAAAAGTTAACCACGTCTATCTTTAGATGAATGCACACTTACACATAGACATATAGCTTAGAAGGTACATAAGATCTGGAAAAACTTTGTAATTTTAAGTTGGTCTGGTGATACTTTCCAGGCCTTCTCCCTGTACCTGGTTACAGTAATAAACTCCCTTCTTTCCCAGTTCATCTGCATCTCATTATGGAGCCACGAGAATAAGCAGCCCAACCCTCATTTGGTCCGGGAACAGCCATGCTATGTTACATGAGAAAATTAGACATTTCTTTTTGAGAGTCTGAGAGTCAAATTTATCCCAGTGTTTGAGAATGGAGCCCAGGGATGAGTCTGAGGAATGGAAGGGCTTTGTCCCATGGTGGGACCAAAAAGAATGTCTGCTGGGGACCTGAACCATAATTTCTCTCAGGGCATCCCCCCAGGAAAAGGGGGTTCCACTTATGTCTGCTGAGGGACTCCAAGATGCACTTTCCAAAGGGCATCCCATCTATTGGAAAGGAAATCCTGGCACTAGGGCCTTACACTGGATGAATACTGCATGAGCAACCCCAGGTCAGTCCAGGTATGAATTATGCAGGGTGCTCAATCCAGGTACAAGAGGAAAAGGTTCAGGGAAGATTTATCATTCCAATGCTGTTTGAGATCACCTGGCTTAAAAGGTCCAGAGCAGGATGGCTGGCTGGCTCTCTTCATGGGAGAATTTAGAGTGAGAGAGGGGGTCTGAGTTCCCCCAAAACGCATGTGAGTTTGCCCAAAACGCATGTGGGTTTGCCCTGGTTGAGCTGCCACTGCCAATTGTGCCACACATAGGGATTGAGGACTTTTGACCAGAAAGGATAGGAGAGAGTCTTCCTCCCTTCTGGGCAAGACAGCAAAACCTGTTCACCCCTTGACCTTCAGCCTACACCAGGGAATGGCCCTGGCCAGTTGCCATCAGTTGCCAGAGGGATACTAAATATTGTCTGCTGGAAGACTGGAAAGAAAAGTAAACTCTAAACTCTCACCCTATTGAGTGGCAGTGTTCAGACGTCTTTCCCCTGTGACCTTCTGATCCCCTGGGGAATAGCCATGGCTGAGGACCATCAGTTGTCTCCAGGCTTGAATGCTGTCCAATGAGAGATTGGAGCTGGAAAACAGGAAAGGGGGATAGTAGGGGAGAGGTCCCCATACGGGTCACCAAAATGTCATAGGTGCATCTGGCTGAAGCTGACATCATAGGTGGTAACAGTTATTGAAACAATAGTGAGTTAAAGAAAGCAAGTTTATTAGAGAGAAAGTATATTCCAAGGAAACAACAGGCATCACAGCAGAGAAGGGGCTGTCTGCAAAGAGGCAGGGGCTGAAGGGAAGTTTTATAGGGTCGTGCTGGAGTGGCCTGTGTAGATAAGGTCGTGCTGCTAGGGTTATGTGTAGAGCAAGGTATTTGGGAACAGGATGTTGTGCCAACAGGTTTGTGGTTAGCTGTCTCTCAGACAATTGTTCTCCCCCACCTGCTGCCTCTTCCTTGTTGTTGATTGTTTATCTTATTAGGACTCCACAGAGGAATCACGTTTTGGAGTTTCTTTTCTCATGCATCCAGTAGAGTAAGAAAAGCCTATATCCTCCACCTTTCTGAGAATATCCTCTTCCTCCCACCTTGGCCCTTAGAAACAAAGCAGAAACCAGGGACAAGACTCAGGGGAAAAGAGGTACAAATGGCCAGCTTAAGCCTGATGTTCTAGGCCTTTTGGTGAAATACTTTCCTTTTCTTTGGCATTTTCCCCCTTAGGTTTATCTAATCTTCCTTCTTCTCACCATCAAAACAGTAATATTTAAAGAACTAAGATGGGGTGAAGTCCTAATCAACAGGACAGGTGTTTAGGTTGCCAGCCATCATTAGATACATTTTTGATTGAAAATGGTTAATACTCAGTTTTGCTGTACTGCTAGTCAACAAACCCATAATAAGGGCTATTGATGAGGGCCATTGCTATGAATGGGGTACCATTTTACCTAAAAAGACCAAAACAAAGCCAAGATAACAGCACCGTATCCACATGGAACCTCCCAACCACCCCAGGAGTGTAGTCTTCTCAGACTACAGGGTACTAAGCATCTTTCTCTCTCAAAATCAGTATTTGCCCCCAGGGGTTTTTCGCAAGAAACATTTCTTTCAGGTCTCATGGATGTAGCTTCCCAACAGTCAACAGTTACTGACATTGAACTTCTGTTCTAATTTGTTCTTAAAATCTTCCAAGGAGTTCATACTATCTAAATCCTTAGAGATTACGTAAGGTTCTTATTAATCTGATCCTGTCTATGATCCAGTCTTACCTTCTATCATCCTCCACTTACATTCTAGTCATGCAGAGCTACTTGTAGCTCCTAGTAAAAACCAGACATGCTCTCTTTCAAATGTCATGTATTTGCAAATGTTACTCCTTCAGCTATAAACTCTCCCTACTCTATTTGCTCCTATTACATTCCTCAATATTTTTCTTAAGATGCCTTCTCTGAGAAGCCCTTTCTTTCCTATCATATGGACAAATGCACTATCTATATTATGACATCATATTGTAGTACAGACTGAATATCTGCATGACCCCACTGAACTAGGAGCTTCTTAAAAACAGACACTGTCATATACATAACTTCCATTTATTTAACACACACTATGTGTCAAACCCAAAACAATTAGATGCTTTACATATATCAGTTCCATCTTCAAAACAATCATAAAGGCAAATTTTTTTATATTTATGTACAGGCTAAGTGGGACAAGTTCAAAACCACATTGAAGTAAATAGGGGAAACAGAATTCCTACTTTAGCCCCATTTGGCTCCAAGGCCTATGCTCCTTCCATGGCAGCACTCTGGCCCCCACGACATACTGATAGAGGCAGGAGGCAGAGAAACTCTAGGCAGACAGGGGTGGGTCCCTGGTGGAAACCCCACCTTCAAGCCAAATGTAGCCTGAAACCTGCAGCCCAAAGTGAGAACTTCTATTCCTGTTTGCCTGCTCTCTTGATTGGTTCTTTCTGATTAATGTCTTTTTACCAATCAAATGTTGCCTTTTCCAAAACTACCAATAGCTTGCTGCACCCACCATCCTGTGCCTATAAAGATCCTAGACTCAGCCAGTAGAGAGAAGTAGCTGGACATCAGAGAGAGGCAACTTGACTTCGGAGGAGAGAGGCAGAGAGATAACTTGACTTCAGGGAAGAGTGACCTGCCATTCCCATTCCCTTTCCAGCTCCCCTGTCTGCTGAAAGCTTCTCTCATTGCTCAATAAAATTCTCCCCATTCACCATCCTTTGATTTGACCACATTACCTCATTCTCTTGGATACCAGAAAAGAATTCAGGACCCACCAAATGTGGGTACCCAAAAAGGCTGTCACACTGGCCCTTTGCTCTCACTGACTGAGGGCAGCCACTCCATGCAACGAGGCAAAGGGCCACTGAGGTGATAACACACTGCTGTCCATAGACAGTGTAGCTAAGAGATCATTGTAGCATGCCCTCTGAAGCCTTGGAGTCATGGGCCCCCCAACCTGGACACTGCCACAAGGCCTGCATGGAATTTGCTCCTGTAAGGGCCAAAGTGTCTGGCAAGTTCCTGCACTCTCTTGCCTATGTGATCCCTCCCATGTGCGGTGGATCATGGTGGGCCTAAGTAAGTGGAGTTCCTCTTGCCAGTGCCAAAGCAGCCAGCCATTCCCATACTTGTGTGCTTGTGTGCTCCCTACCAAACACCGCATGTTCTCGCTCATAACTGGGAGTTGAACAATGAGAACACATAGACACAGGGAGGGGAACATCACACAGTAGGGCCTGTTGGGGGATGGGGGACTAGGGGAGGGATAGCATCAGGAGAAGTACCTAATGTAGATATCAGGTTGATGGGTGTAGCAAATCAGCATGGCACATGTATACCTATATAACAATCCTGCATGTTCTGCACATGTATCCCAGAACTTAAAGTATAATTTAAAAAAAAAGAAAGAAAGAAAAGAAAAAGAAAACATCCTGCATCAATACAATGCAGTTTCACTCATCTTTGTATTCTTTAAGTGTGGCATAAAGTAGGCTTCTGGGCAATCAATGAAAATGTGTTGAAAGAATGAAGAAATAATTTATTAAATATTTTGTACGCCCACTTTGCTTTCTTTTACTCAGAACCCTCAATTCTGATGAAGAAACATTTGCTTCACAAGGAGTCATTTTACCACAGTCCTCAAAAAATGTTAGAAACCAAAACTTTTTAGTGTTGCACCACAAGTTATAGAGAGTATAAACTTTCCATTCTGGGTAATAACAGTTTTTTCAGGATATCCTTTGGTAGTAGTTACATAATTCAAACTCAGTGGACTTCCTCTATGCTCCCACAAAATTTTGCATCCATCTCTACTTTAGGATTTTGCTATGGACTGGATGCTTGTATCCCTTCAAAATTCATATGTTGAGATTCCAATTCCCAATGTGATGTTATTTAGGCCTTTGAAAGGTAATTGGGTCATGAGGGTAGAGTAATCATGAATAGGATAAGTACCCTTACAAAAAGACATGAGAGGACTTACTTTCTCCCGCTCTGTTCTCTGCTATGTGAAGGTACAACAACACGGCTATCTATAAACCAGAAACAGGGCTTTTACCAGGAATTCAGACATGCTGGTACCCTGATCTCAGACTTTCAGCCCCTACAACTGTGAGAAATAAATGTTTGTTGTTTAACCCACCCAGTCTATGGCATTCTGTTTTGGCAGCCCGAACTGACTTAGATACATTTGCTATTAAGCTACATGGGTGTACGCCTGTCTTTCTTCTAGACCATCACCTCCTTGAGGACAGAGATCTGATCTCACTTATTTCTATACCCCCCACAAAAAACAAAAGAGATCCTGATACAAGGTGCTAGTTAGTTTATGTAGAATTGATGTTGTCAAATAATCTGACACAGTAACACCAAAACCAACTCAAACTAGACAAACACCTGTCTATCTGAAACCATGTGGAATCAGTTATTTAAAAAAAAAAGAAAACAAGTTTTCCAGGTAGCTTAGACTTTAACCCTTTAAAAGAAAATTTTTATTTTCATTTTATAGGGAAGCCTTTCTAAAATATACATAATTCTTTTTTCTTAAGGAAATCATATTTAAAATAATTTAAGCTACTTTGAACATTATTTCTCTACTCTATAACAAAATAATTGTTTCAGACAGTTTACCCCACACAACGATCTCAGACAACTGTGATGACTTTTGTATGTGTGTGTGTGTGTGTGTGTGTACGTATGTGTGTGTTCCTGCTTTCCTTTGCTATCAGGCTGTCAGATTTCATTTCTCAGGATCATGAATATGTTTGCCAATGGCAACTGCTCCCTGTATTTAATTACTTTCATTTATTGAAGGTTCACTAACAACCAATGCACTAAGCACTTTATTTGTATTATTTTATTTAACCTGACAAATTTCAAAGAGTGTAGAATGGACTCTGACTCCTCAGAGCTTGTTTTCTGCTTTTACTGACACGTTCTTCATGCATGTGAAAGGAAAATATCTTGGGCCCCTTCAAGCTAGGAACTGCTCAGCGAAAATCTACCTACCATTCTATTTAAAGCCATCCCTCTGCTCACTGAGATAGATGCATATCTGATTGCCTTCTTTGGAAAGGCTAATCAGAAACTTAAAAGAATGCAACCATTAGTCTCTCACATATCTGTGACCTGGAAGTCCCCTCCCCACTTTGAGTCTTCCTGCCTTTTCTTCACATTGACCTGCCTTTCCAGACTGAACCAATGGACTTCTTACATATATTGATTGATGTCTCATGTCTCTCTAAAATGTATAAAGCTAAGCTGTGCCCTGACCACCTTGGGCACATGTCCTCAGGACTTCTTGAGGCTGTGTCACAGGTGCATGTCCTCAACCTTGGCAAAATAAAATTTCTAAATTAAGCGAGACTCATCTCAAATTTTCAGGGTTCACATGGGTAAAGCTCTAGGATGTAACTAAACATGGCTAAATTGTTATCCCTTTTTCAGAAAATCCCATTCCAATGACTTTATGTCAGGTAGCACATTACAAGGATAAATACTTCACTGTCGTCCTATTTTCTTAATGTTTATAATAACACACAATTAGAATGGCTAATGCCTCTCAAAAAGCTCTCTGTGATGCCTACAACAGATAAATACTTGGTAAGAAAGGTTGGGAGAAGAATTAGGGAATGATTGGTGGTTTTAAAATGATAGAAAAGAAAGTATATTTGCCCTGTGGTTTCAAAATTACAACTAACGGATAGAATTTTAAGGAAGTATATGCTGCTATTTCATGTGTGAGAGAATTTTCTAAGTACTAGAATGTGTCATAATAGAAATAGTAAGCTCTATATCTCAACTCTATACTTTTAAAGTAGCCTAACATTCTAACCATATAGCTACTAGCTTGCTAAAATATCCCAGGAATGTGTGTGCTTCAATCTAGTTCTCACTCAGATGTTTTCCTTTTCAAGCCCACAATTTCTTTATTGGAATTATTATTTGCATCTTGTTACTCAGCCTCCTGATTTTCAACTTCTCCCTTGTAGAATGCAGATTGGATCTACCTCATCTACTTCCTCTGCTTCAGACTGCCTCAGAAAGCATGTCTGGCTTGGATCTTGGCCCATCAGAAAACATTTGGTTGGCCTGCTCAGGTCTTTGCACTGTGAAGAGATTCCAAATTAGATTGGATTCCAGATTAGATCAAATTAAATGCTACATAAGACATCTTCATTACATAAGTCCTTGAACTACTTGAACAACAAGATTTCTCAGACTTCTTAGGATTCCATGACTCCCCAAGGGGCAGAAAAATTAAGAGTAAAGATTGTAGAGTCAGAGATAACTGAGTTGGAGTTCTTAATCTTCTACTGCATTATAAAATATGCTAAATAATAGTACCAATTTCTTAAGGTTCTTGAGAGAATAATGAGACTGTATATGTAAGAAGCTTGGCATACTGTTAATATACTTAGCAAATGTTAACTGTTCACAATAGTGTTAATGTTAGGCCAGTAGCAAGCATAATCGTACCAATTCCAAAGCCAAGCCCACACAAAGAGAGAAGAAAAAGAATTAAATGAAGGTCTGCTCTTGTTCTGTTTTGTTTTGTGATTATTGTCCAGGAACATAATCTATCATTTTGAAAAGTATGTTTCACTTACTGGTTGTGTAATGTTGAGAAATTATTTAAATTTTCTGTATCTTAGATTATTCATATTTAAAATAATAGTAATAATAATACCCATCTTATATGAATGTTATAAGAATTAAATGAATAAATATATCTAGAACACTTAATATATGTAAAGCACTGCTTAGAATATAATAAGGGCCAGATAAGTGTTAGCTATCATTAAAATGTGTTAGTACCTGTATTAGTCAGAGTTCTCCAGAGAAACAGAACCAGTAGAATGGATGAGTGAATACATATATGAATACATATTGGTACCATTTGGCTGTGTCCCCACCCAAATCTCATCTTGAATTGTAACTCCCATAATTCCCACATGTTGTGGCAGGGACCTAATGGGAGGTAATTGAATTATGGGGGCAAGTCTTTCCCATGCTATTCTCATGATAGTGAATAAGTCTCATGAGATCTGATGGTTTTATGAAGGGGAGTTTCCCTGCATAAGTTGTCTTCTCTTGTCTGCCGCCATGTGAGACATGCCTTCTACTTTCCACCATGATTGTGATGCCTCCCCAGCCACATGGAACTGTGAGTCCATTAAACCTCTTTCTTTTGTCAATTGCCCAGTGTCTGGTACATCTTTATCAGCAGCATGAAAACAAGCTAATACAGTAATTTGGTACTGACAGTGGGGTGCTGCTGAAAAGATACCTGAAAATGAGGAAGTGACTTTGGAACTGGGTAACAGGCAGAGGTTGGAACAGTTTGGAGGGCTCAGAAGAAGAGAGGAAAATGTGGGAAAGTTTGGAACTCCCTAGAGACTTGTTGAATGCATTTGACCAAAATGCTCAAGATGATATGAACAACGAAATCCAGGCTGAGGTGGTCTCAAATGGAGATAAGGAACTTGTTGGGAACTGGAGTGAAGGTGACTCTTGTTATGGTTTAGCAAAGAGACTGGCAGCATTTTCCTCTGCCCTAGAAATTTGTGGAACTTTGAACTTAAGACAGATGATTTAGGGCATCTGGCAGAATAAATTTCTAAGCAGCAAAGCATTCAAGAGGTGACTTGGGTCCTATTAAAGGTATACAGTATTATAAGGGAAGCAGAGTATGAAAGTTTGGAAAATTTGCAGCCTGACAATCCGATAGAAAGCAAAACCCCATTTTCTGAGGAGAAATTCAAGCTGGCTGCAGACATTTGCATAAATAATGAGGAGCTAAATGTTAATCACCAAGACAATGGGGAAAATGTCTCCAGGGTATGTCAGAGACCTTGGCTCAGAAGCCAAGGAAGAAAAGATGGTTTTGTGGGCCAGGCCCAGGGTCCCTCTGCTGTGTGCAGTCTAGAGTGTCCTGTGTCTCAGCTGCTCCAGCCATGACTAACAGGGGCCAAGGTAAAGCTTAGGTCATGGCTTCAGAGAGTGGAAGCCCCAAGCCTTGGCTGCTTTCATGTGGCATTGAGCCTATGGGTACACAGAAGTCAAGAATTGAGGTTTGGAAACCTCCGCCTAGATTTCAAAGGATGTGTGGAAACATCTGAATGCCCAGGCAAAAGTTTGCTGCAGCGGTGGGGCACTCATGCAGAACCTCTGTTAGGGCAGTGCAGAAGGGAAATGTGGGGTGGGTGCCCCCACACAGAGTCCCCACTGGGGTGCTGTCTAGTGGAGCTGTGAGAAGAATGCCACTGTCCTCCAGACCCCAGAATGGTAGATCCACCCACAGCTTGCACCGTGCACCCAGAAAAGCCACAGACACTCAATGCCAGCACAGGAAAGCAGCCAGGAGGGAGGCTACCTTGCATAGCCAGAGGGGCTGAGCTGCCCAAAACCATGGGGACCCAGCTCTTGCATAGCATGACCTAGATGTGAGACATGAAGTCAAAGAATATCAATCTGGAGCTTTAAGATTTGACTGCACTGCTGGCTTTCAGACTTGCATGGGGCCTTCAGCCCCTTTCTTTGGGCCAATTTCTCCCATTTGGAACAAGTATTTACCCAATGCCTGTACCCCTATTGTATCTAGGAAGCAACTCACTTGCTTTTTATTTTACAGGCTCATAGGCCAAAGGGACTTGCCTTGTCTCAGATGAAACTTTGGACTGTGTACTTTTGAGTTAATGCTGAAATGAGGTAAGACTTTGGGAGACTTTTGGGAAGGCATGATTAGTTTTGAAATGTGAAGACATGAAATTTGAGAGGGGCCAGGTGTGAATGATATGGTTCGGCTATGTTCCCACTCAAATCTCATCTTGAATTGTAGTTCCCATAATTCCCATGTGTTGTGGGAGGGACCTGGTGAGAGGTAATTGAATCATGGGGGCAGGTCTTTCCCATGCTATTCTCATGATAGTGAATAGGTCTCACAAGACTTGATGGTTTTATAAAGGGGAGTTTCCCTGCACAAGCTCTCTTCTCTTGCCTCCCACCATGTATGATGTGCCTTCTTTCTGCCATAATTGTGAGGCCTCCCAAGCCATGTGGAACTGTGAGTTCATTAAACCTCTTTCTTTTGTAAGTTGCCCAGTCTCAGATATGTCTTTATCAGCAGTATGAAAATAGACTAATACACATAGATTGATTGATTTTAAGAAATTGACTCTTGCAATTGTGGAGACTGATATGTCTTAAATCTGTAGGATAGGCTAGAAGTCTGGAAACTCAGGCAGAAATGGTGTGGCAGCCTTGAGGCAGAATTCCTTCTCCAGAACAGTTTTGCTCTTAAGGCCTTCAACTGATTGTATAGGTCCACCCACATTATTAACAGTCTGCTTTACTTAGAGCTACAAACCACTGCTCAACGAAATAAAAGAGGACACAAACAAATGGAAGAACATTCCATGCTCATGGATAGGAAGAATCAATATCGTGAAAATGGCCATACTGCCCAAGGTTATTTATAGATTCAATGCCATCCCCATCAAGCTACCAATGACTCTTCACAGAATTGGAAAAAGCTACTCTAAAGTTCATATGGAACCAAAAAAGAGCCCGCATCACCAAGACAATACTAAGCAAAAAGAACAAAGTTGGAGGCATCAAGCTACCTGACTTCAAACTATGTTACAAGGCTACAGTAACCAAAACAGCATGGTACTGGTACCAAAACAGAGATATAGACCAATGAAACAGAACAGAGCCCTCAGAAATAACACTACACATCTACAACCATCTGATCTTTGACAAACCTGACAAAAACAAGAAATGGGGAAAGGATTCCCTATTTAATAAATGGTGCTGGGAAAACTGGCTAGCCATATGTAGAAAGCTGAAACTGGATCCCTTCCTTACACTTAATACAAAAATTAATTCAAGATGGATTAAAGACTTAAATATTAGACCTAAAACCATAAAAACCCTAGAAGAAAACCTAGGCAATACCACTCAGGACACAGGCATGAGCAAAGACTTCATGACTAAAACACCAAAAGCAATGGCAACAAAAGCCAAAATTGACAAATGGGATCTAATTAAACTAAAGAGCTTCTGCACAGCAAAAGAAACTACCATCAGAGTGAACAGGCAACCTACAGAATGGGAAGAAATTTTTACAATCTACCCATCTGACAAAGGGCTAATATCCAGAATCTACAAAGAACTTAAAAAAATTTACAAGAAAAAATCAAACAACCCCATCAAAAAGTGGGCAAATGATATGAAAAGACACTTCTCAAAAGAAGACATCTATGTAGCCAACAGACACATGAAAAAATGCTCATCATCACTGGCCATCAGAGAAATGCAAACCAAAACCACAATGAGATACCATCTCACACCAGTTAGATTGCTGATCATTAAAAAGTCAGGAAACAACAGATGCTGGAGAGGATGTGGAGAAATAGGAACACTTTTACACTGTTGGTGGGACTGTAAACTAGTTCAACCATTGTGGAAGTCAGTGTGGTGATTCCTCCAGGATCTAGAACTAGAAATACCATTTGACCCAACCATCCCATTACTGGGTATATACCCAAAGGATTATAAATCATGCTGCTATAAATACACATGCACAAGTATGCTTATTGTGGCACTACTCACAATATCAAAGACTTGGAACCAACCCAAATGTCCATCAATGATAGATAGGATTAAGAAAATGTGGCACATATACACCATGGAATACTATGAAGCCATAAAAAAGAATGAGTTCATGTTCTTTGTAGGGACATGGATGAAGCTGGAAACCATCATTCTCAGCAAACTATCACAAGAACAGAAAACCAAACACCACATGTTCTCACTCATAGGTGGGAATTGAACCACGAGAACACTTGGACACAGGGTGGGGAACATCACACACTGCGGCTGTCGTGGGGTGGGTGGAGAGGGGAGGGATAGCATTAAGAGATATACCTAATGTAAATGATGAGTTAATGGGTGCAGCACACCAACATGGCACATGTATACATATGTAACAAACCTGCACGCTGTGCACATGTACCCTAGAACTTAAAGTATAATTAAAAAAAGTAAGATTAGGTCGAGCAGTGCAAGGAAACTAAGGTGGGCCATTGTTATCATAGTATTGCAAGGCAATGATAATTCCCACCAGCAAATAAACTAGTCTCAACAACAATAACAAAAAAAGAGTCTCCTTTACTTACAGTCAACTGAATGTAGATGTCTTACTTATCTAAAACATACTTTCACAACAGTATCCAACTTAGTGTTTGAATAAATAACTAGGTACTATAGCATAGCCAAGTTTACAAATAAGACTAACCATTACAGTAAAGAAGTATCATAAAATATATTTTATATTACACACTGTAGGGTCTCAGAAAATGATATCTCCAAATGAAGGGTTCACAAGTGACTCTCTCTGAACTTGTACTCTGCTGTCTCTGACCATTCATTCTACCCCAAGTCTACCCCAAATCTCTTCCCCAAGGTGGGTCATAAAAACACAACCCCTTTCCTCCAAAGCCAGCCATAAAACCTTAAAATATTACTTAAAATACCACTGTTTGTAAATAAATTATCTGTTTGATCGTAAGTCATAAGACTCCCATTCCAGAAAGGTTCTTGTACCATACCCAGAAAAAAGAATGCTGCACAGAGAGGCCAAGAATAATCTAAACAGACAGGCCTTGCTAGGTTTCCCCTCTCAGTTTATTAGCATTGGATCATACCCTTTCTGTCCAGACATATTTCTACATGGCAGCTCATACTTTGTTGAACTTAAGCATAAAAATGGATAGTTTTCCCTGTATCTTCGGGAAGATACCCTATCCTTCATTCTAAAGGCTCCTATATCACATGAAAATTTTATCAAATAAATTTGTATGCCTTTTCTCCTGTTAATATGCTTTTTGTCAATGATTTTCAGTGAAACTTCAGAGGGCAAAGGGGAAGCTTTCCCTCAGCCCAACAGAACTATCTTTAAGAAATTAGTTTAGCCAATGACTAGAGGTGCTAATTGCTTTGGGTTTTTTGACTCACTTACTCTTGTAGACTCTACAAGACAACTCGGGTTTTTCTGCTAATATGATATCTGGTATTATATTCATGAATTTATTTTTCATCATGTGGAAGATGACCAGAACAGATTTCAAAATAAAACAACTTTCTCTTAAATGACAAAGGATTATTCATATGCTAGACCTTAATCTTATATTACTTACTTTCAATGACAGCTGCATACTTACAAATCTGTCATATTTACTAAAATAATAATGAAATTCTAACTGAGAATACTAGTATATGTGAACATTTCATAAAATGTTTAACTAATAGTGCACTCTCTCATCTCAAAAATAATCCAGAACTATTATCTGATTCAGTTCTTGGACAGTGCTTTGAGTTGGATAATCATATATCTGGATTTTCAGGAATACTCTCAATTTTAAATATTCTGCCCTGTATAGAAAAAAAAAGTCCATACTTTTATATAATTTGAAAACTATGCTTCCTTTAGATTAGACAGTAATATAATTCATTTATTTATTCAATGAACATTTACTGGGAAGTTAATATATGTAAGGATCTAGCTTAGTCCTGAGAAGATATAAACCATATATTCAGGGCACACAGGTCCTGACTCCACAGTATTGTAGGGGAGTTCTATCATGCTTACAATAACTATAACACAATGTAGAAAATACGAAGCTCCCCAAGGGAAAAAAAAAAATGCTTACTGATTCTAGGTAAGGACAGTACACTGTTTTAAGGATCATAACAAGCCATTTTGAAGTCTCCACATAAAGCTCTCCATGGACGGAGTCTAAGGCAGGTAGATGTCCTTAGACCCACTCCAGTGCTATCTAGGCAACAATGTGTCAAGCTTGTATAGTATGGATATTCTGAAACTTTTTCTTTACTGTTACATTCTGATTATCAAGTTATTGGCAGTTCTGCCTCCTGAACAAATCTTACTCTCTCACCATAATATTTTCAAAGTTGGATTGACCTCCATATAACACAGGCTCCTTTCTCTGCGGGAGAAAAAAACTTTAGGAATGTGGCACTTCCTCTATCTTTTTTGCCAGGATAGTCTGCCTGTTGAATAAGAAATGGGATTACAGAATTTCACTATTACAAGAATGAATGTTTAAAAGAGGTCAAATTATTAAAATGGGCAAGCAATCAACCCAAATCAAATCTGAAATAGGAAAGATGATAGTCATTGCAACCTAACCATTCTCTCCGGTCTCCATAATGACTCAGTTTTGGAGAAACTCTGACATCTCTAACTCTGATAGTAACACAATCTGCAGGGAAGAGTATGGAACTGTATGACATCATTTTAGCCCATAATTGTCCCATGTTGTGCCATAAAATAAGTAATTTGAAGGATAGGGTGAGCTGTACCGCCATGACTCATTCCTGTGTTTTTAAAACTATCTTCAGAATCTTACCTAGGACTAAGCATCTTTTCACTGGGTCAACCAGGAAATTTTAATTCATGTTTCTAGCATAATATACATATACTTAACAAAACAACATATCATTCTCTGACATCAAGAAAAATACAGTCAATCATCTACTTCATAAACATTTATTGAATACTTACTGCCTAAAAAGCTCTGAACCATATTACAGCTGTGTAAATAAATATAATACTTGATATTAAGGTATGATCTAACAAGTGAAACACTTGAGCAAGTCATTTAAATGCAATATGTCAAACACTATAACAGAGGCCTTGGGCAGTACAGGAAACAGAAGAATTTTTCTAGTTAAGGTCATTAGAAAATTCGTGATTGATAGACAGGTAGACCTTTAAAAAGATTAAGTAGAAAATTTCCAGATGAAAACAAAGGGAAAAATATTCCAGGCAGAGGAATGAACAAGAACAAGGCTTAAGTAAAGCTTAATGTAAGTTCAGTCCAGACAGTAAAGATTATGCTAAGGAGATGGCACAATAATCTGTAAAAAATGAAGATCAATAAATAGTTTTAAAACTGTTAGCCTAGGGAGGTAGAGCTACAAGAGGAAAATCCTGACTATGAAGACCAGTTAAAGCTTGTTTCTAAATCTGTAGAAAGATTCTATGAAAGCCTGAATTAGATCAGTGCCATTGTGAATGGAGAGGAAGGTCAAACATAGAGATATTTCAAGAAGTTATGAATAATAGTGACATTTTACAGTTAAATATCTTTGCATCATCCAAGTAATATTTCTTTGAGGTCTAGTATTTCTGGTAAGTATGAATGTAATCTAATTTCATTATATTTGAAAAATATTAGGTAGAAAACCAAAGTACTCTCACTATTTTAGATCATATTATTGGAAAGTTAGCTAGAGTACTCCAAAGAAAAATCTTACTGTAAACTATTCACAGATAAATGCTGAGTTAACTTCAGCCTCAGCAAAGTAACTACCAGCTCTGTGAGTTACTCACAGGCTTCCTAGGTGATTAATTTTGCAAGCAGGATTTTTCTTTCTTTTACAAGTTAGTTTGAGTGTATTTTCTAAATTTAATTTGATTTTCTTCTTTATAAATCAAGTTACTACCCATGAGAAATGATGCTTTGTCAAGAAAAAATCTATCCATGATCTTCCAGGAGGGTAATACATAGTCTCCAGGTACCTAGTTGAACAGTTTCTGGTGTGACAGCTACCTAATTGGTCTCCCTGTCACCGGTTTCTCTTGTCTATGATCTACTATGCATGATACTGCCAGTTTAATCTGCCCCAGCATAGCTGATAATGCCATTTACTTGCATAAAAACCTTCTGTGGCTCACAACGACCTGAAGAAAAGCATTTAAATGCTATAGTATTGCAATTAAGGCTCTCAAGCAGACAGCTAGAATAACCTAATCAGTCTTACTACTCTCAGCTCCCCACCTACTAATCCTAAATGTTCACTATTTATAAAACCTTTCCCACTTTCTCCTAAGAAAGGTGATGGGATGTCAGACACATGTTTATTAATCCCCACTATAGCACAATTTACTGTGTATCTTTGATGAAGACATTTAACTTCTCTGAGGCTTACTTTCCTCTTCTGCAAATTATAAGTAATACCTACCTACCGCTTCAAATCTTATTTAAAATGAAGTGAGGAATGAATCAATAAAATATCTACCATCATGGGTTGCTATAGAGATTAAGAGATAATATATTAAAAGTGCCTGGGCAGATCACCTGAGGTTGGGAGTTTGAGACCAGCCTAACCAACATGGTGAAACCCGTCTGTACTAAAAATACAAAATTAGCTGGGCATGGTAGTGCATGCCTGTAATCTCAGCTACTCAGGAGGCTGAGGCGGGAGAATCGCTTGAACCTGGGAGGTGGAGATTGCGGTGAGCCGAGATGGTTTCATTGCACTCCAGCCTGGGCAACAAAAGCAAAACTCTGCCTCAAAGAAAAAAAAAAGAGCCTAGCCTGGACTTTATTTATAAGTATCAGGTTTTATTACTCTTCTAAGCCTTTACTCACATAGTTTTCTCCACCTGCAAGACCTTCAACCCAGATCTTATACATTACACAAAGCCCATTTCTAAACCCACCCAGCTATGAAACCATCTCTAGTACTCTAGTAAAAATCATCCTTTCTCGGCTATAGTGTAAAGGAAAAATTCTTGTCTTGAAATCAAATTCCTGATTCTACCCATTTTCTAACAGTATGACCCTGGACAAGTTGCTTATCTTCAGCTTCCCCATTTCTAATGTGGATAGCAACAGCAACTCTACCTGCCTCACTAAGCCATTATGAGAATCAAGTTAGAGAAGTTATATTTTTAACTATAAAATGGCCTATATATGTGAGAGACTGTTATTTCCTCTAAAGTATAAGATCAAATAAAAAACTTTGGTTTTCCTCATCTTTATAACTGATATCCAAAAGATATGTTATGAAAGAACACCAAGTCCAATAAAGAAGAAAATAGTTAATATCCAGGTCAAGAACTAGAATATTGGAATCAAGAAGGGATCAAGTAAAAAGGATAGGTTAAAGATAGCCGGGCAGAGCTGAAGTTATGAAGAAAAAACATGTTCCTGAGTTTCACTTTACATAGCAACCAATGTGTGCAAAGGTAGGTGGCAGCTTAAAGAAGCTACACAAAGATGAATATACATACCAGATGCTCAATAAGTGATAAGGAGAGGGGAGGGAAGGAAATAGGAAGAAGAGAGGAAAGGAAAAGAGGAGAGAGAAAGGAAACAGAAGGGAAAACAGTTTCATCATTCCTTTCAAGGGCTAATTTCTATGCCACTTGCCAGGCTGCTATAATAAAAAGTTAACTGGTAGCTAAAGCTTATGTATGAAAACACTCACTTCTCCTTTAAGGTTCCCTTTCCTTGACTGTGCCTTTTCTCTCCACTCTACCCCTCTTCCAACTCCTATTTATCAGTGTTTACTTTCCTCCCACCATTACCCAGGACCTCCAAATACCAACACAAATCCATACGAAGTAATTACTCTTTTCCACCCACTATCTCAGAAAAACAAACCAAAACAAAAAATAAACAAGCAAACAGCAAAAAAAAAAATTGTTTTTATTTAAATGTCAAGAGCCTCATAGGTGCATTCAAGAACCTATTGAGAGCAGTATTGTGTTACCCTACAATAGCATGCACAGTTTAACAGGGACTACCTTAACTCCCTTTGTCTTCTGGAGCCTCACCAAAATATCCATGGAAGGAATTTTAAGTAACAGTAATAGGTTTAAATGAGAAGATATTTGTGCATTGTATAGTAATGATGGTGAGATTTTCTTATATTCACATAATGCTTTTTGCTTTGCAAAATGCTTTCTTATTGGTTATTTGATCTGAATTCCCAGGGAGAAGTGACAAAACAAGGGGAAAAGTCCTATTTATACTATGCATTTTAATATAATGCAGTTTTACAAAATTCCTTTTTCAAAGCATATATATATATCCTTTTATTTGATTCTCCCTGACATATAGTTTTTATCTCCATTTACTGATGAAGATAGTGAGTGAGACTCAGAGACGTAACAGGACTTTCCACAAGATCATTATCAATATAAGTGCTCTTTATGGACCATTTCCTAGGTCCAGGAATTGTACTCAGCACTTTACATGCCTGATAGCTTATTTATTCTTCACAATAACCTTATGAGGTAGACACTATTATTACTTTGACATTTTACAGATTAAAAATCAGATAGGTTAAATAATTTGACAATGGCCATGTAACTAGCAACTGGCAAAAGCAAAATTCAAACAGAAGACTTTCAGATTACTCTTGATTGTTCTGCTATACCAAGCAGCCTCCTTCCTGGCCCAGTGCTGTTACTGTAACACTGTTAGTAATATAAACTTACTTTCTTTCTGTCACCAAGTTAGAATTGCAGATTTCAGCCCAGCAGCTCAAGTTCTATGGAGAAAATACACACACATATACTTAAAGCAGAAGTGAGGAGGATGCTGTGTCCATTTTTTTACACCAAAAAAACCCATAAATGAAGCAGAAAACTCACCATAATTGGGAGCTAAAAATCAGTTATTATAGTGTTGGCAGACAGGAGAAGGGTGATATGCACCTCAGTATAGAATATTGTAGAATAGAGAGATGAATTACTTATAGTTCAGCAAAACACCTAAGAAACAAACAAAAAAATCAAACCTCGGAATAGATGCTTCTTTTAAAATGTTTTTAAAAAGGTCATTTATTTTTTATTCCTAAATAAAAATTTCTATCATATTTCAAAACACCACCAATCCAACACAGAATAGCCATATTATGACTCTGCTCCTGTCATCTTATGATATCAACAACATATTACAGGTTAAAATGCTATGGGATGTGAAGGATCAGGGTGCTGATTTACATTTTCCAGAAACTTCATATAAATCAGAGTTTAAGGTGAGCAGCTAGAATTCTATCACACATATGCTGAGGAAGTAAGAAGACAGATCTCTTTCCACCAGGCACTGGAGATGAAATTTCAAAAAACGGTAGGTGAAACTTGTATTTAAGATCTTCCCAAGCTGAATGCAAACAAGTCGATGTCACTTTCTTTCCAGACAAGAAAAGTCTAAAACCTTTACCTCCAGGTCTTTTAAACTTACATGCTATTAAAATCACATCAAAGTTTTGCTTCAGAAGCCCATCTGATTTTCTTTCAAGGAGAAAAGGAATCATTGGGTGGCACACTGTAGGGACTCCATGAGATTCAAAATAATGATCCCATTGTTCTTCCTATCAACCTTAATATATACTAAATATATAGCTATAATAACGAAGCCTGTGGAAACTAATAATGAGTTCAACAGATCCAGGCAAAAGTAAAATATTTCTAATTTCTAACAACAGGATATTCTGTATGCCTTTTGGGAAGCTCAGATCAACTCATTCATATGCTCAAAACTTTCCAACGGTTTCTATTTCGCTCATAGTAAAATCTTTCCAATAGCCTCTAAGGCTATCCCTTATCTGTCCTCCTCTTTGAGCTCACTGCAGTTAAAATGGCTTTTATAAAAAAGACAGGGCAATAACGGATGCTGGTGAGGATGTGGAGAATGGGGAACCCTTGTACACTGTTGGCAGAAATGCAAATTAGTACAACCACTATAGAGAACGGTATGGAGGTTCCTCAAAAAACTAAACTTAGAGCTGCCATATGATTCAGCAATTCCACTGCTGGGTATATATCTAAAATAAAGAAATTCAGTATATTGAAGAAGTATCTGTACTCCAATGTTTATTGCAGCACCATTCACAATAGCCAAGATATGGAATCAATCAAAGTGTCCATCAACAGATGAATGGATAAAGAAAATGTGGTACATACACACAATGGGAATTTACTTGACTAAAAAAAAAATAAATAAATAAACTCCTGTCATTTGCAACAACATGGATGGAATTGAAGGACATTATGTTAAGTGAGATAAGCCAGGCACAGAAAGACAAATATCACTCATATATGGAAGCTAAAAAAAATAAAATGTACACATGCAGATGGAAAGTTGAATGATGGGTACAAGGGTCTGTGAAGGTAATGGGCAGGGGAGAATAAAGAAGAGATGGATAATGGGTACAAAAATACAGTTAGATAGAAACAGATCTAGTGCTCAGTAGCACAATAGGGCAGCTATGATTAATAATATATTGTATATTTCAAAATAACTTAAAAAGTGGAATTAGAATGTTCCTAACACAAAGAAATGATAAATGCTTGAGGTAATGGACATCCCAATTACCCTGATTTAACCATCACACATTATATGTTTGTATCAAAATATTGCATGTACCCCATAAATATGTATAACTATTATGTATCCATAATAATTAAAAATAAAAATTAAGAAAAAACACACAAAATGCACAAATTGCTAACATCAGTTACCTTGCATGCAGGGAGGATAGAGCTGATACAGTATAAGCGGAAAGTGAGTGAAAGGGGAGTCCACAAAAATAGAAAAATTGTTTTAAGAACAACTGTATTTAGAATAAAAAGTATATATTTATCATTTATGCTTCTATGCAATATATATGGGACTATGCATCTAGAAATTGAATAAAATAATGTTTTTGAAAGTTTATGTTCTTTCGTAATGACACATGCACCCCTGTATGTTCATTGCAGCACTATTCACAATAGCAAAGACATGGAATTAACCTAAATGTCCATCAGTGGTAGCCTGGATAAAGAAAATGTGATACATATATACCATGGAATACTACACAGCCATAAAAAGGAACGAGATCATGCCCTTTGCAGGAACATAGATGAAGCTGGAGGTCATCATCCTTAGCCAACTAACACAGGAACAAAAAAACAAATACTGCATGTTCTCACTTATAAGTGGGAGCCAATGATGAGAATACATGGTCACAAACAGGGGAACAACAGACACTGGCACCTACTAGAGGGTGGAGGGTGGGAAGAGGGAAAGGATCAGAAAAAATAACTACTGGTTACTTAGCACCTGGGTGATGAAATATAATCTTACAACAAACCCCTGTGACATGAGTTTACCTATATAACAAACATGCACATGTACCCCTGAATTTAAAATAAAAGTTAAAAATTGATTAATTAATTAATTACTTTTTTAAAAAAAAGAAAATTGAAAAATCAAAAATATCAAGGCAATGAAAGCCTAGAAAAAAATACAGGAGAATACTTAACTAGTCCTAGAATGAAGAAAGATAAAGCAAAGAAGAAAGAATTTTTTAAAAAGTAATAATTTTATCACATAAAAATTAAAACTATTTTGAAGGTTAAAAAGTACTATAAGCAAAATTAATAATAATAAACAAACCAGAAAAAAAAACAATTATGACAACAGGATGGCATGTTTCATAAATAAACTGCTCTTTCAAAGCAATTAAGAATTCTAGTACCACTTAGAAAAATAGACAAAGAGCTTGAATGGATCATGAAAGAAAAATAGACAACCAATAATCATGTAAAAAGTTGAATCATGATAGTGAACACGTAACTGCAATATAAAGCATTAAGTAAAACATCTTATCTATTAATTTGACAACATATTTTAAATAATAAAATAATGCTACTAAAGATATAGGCAGATTGGCCTTTTGAAAGATGGCTGATAGCATTGTTCTCCAAAACAGCTTGACAATTTGTATCCAGAGACTTAAAAATGTCCATACCCTTGTACTCAACAGTTTCATTTATAAAATCAATCCTAATGAAACAGTTAGAAAAAAAAAAAAAAGCAATGGCTTATACACATGCACATCCATTACAGCATTATTCAAAGCAGGAAATTGAAGATAGCCTAGATTTGAATGAAGATCTGCTTAAATAAGTTCCAAATCATGGAATATTCATAGCCACTAAAATATTTTCCAAAAATGTTCAATGTTATGATATGGATAAATGCTATTAGTGTAACATTAAATGTAAAAGACATAAAATGCCCTATATGCTATTGTCCCAACTTCATGTACATATATTTGTACAAAAAAGGACTAAAAAAGTCAAAATAATTACTTCTAGGTGCTAAAATTAGGATGATGCTTATTTTTATGCTTTTAAGTATAATTTCACAAGGTTGATATCTATTATTTATCAAATTATTGTCATGATTAACTTTTTTTTTTTAAGTGACTAGGGTGATAATTAGGCTCTGTCCTTCCCAGTTTACAAATCAGCTCTGAGCAGGACAGAAAATATATGAGAGGCCTCAATATTAACAATACAAACTCAGCAATCAACATGCTATTGATTGGCACTAGGATTCCATGTAGCTTCCAAAACATCGAGTTGGCTACATGACTCCAATCTTGAAAAATAGTGTGTGTGGGTATGTACTATTACCTCCCTTCAAAGTATTGACTGCCACTTAAAAGTATCCATTGACTTGTCCCTGTTAGCCCTTAGGTATGAACCTGAGACATGCCTCAACTTGCCTTAGTCTTTGGTAAATGTTGATTTTTAACAGTAGTGTCCAAACTGTTTGATTCCATAATTCTATTTGTAAAAACAAGTTGATCGTACAACTCTAATTGCTTTATATTTATTTTTAAAATTAGTTACTACTAATATATAAGTTACCCAAATATAGAAAATTTTAAAGAATATGATTAAAAGAACTGGAAATAGGAATTCTAATATTCTGCTCCTACACTTCAACTGATCATTTTATATTCTTGCCCCAGGATATGTGCCCTTCCTATGGAAATCAGAGTCTTAGACCACACTTCCCTATTCTACCATCCATCTCCTTCCCCTACAGCACAGGTAACCATGTTCTGAAACTCCAGAATGCCTTAGACTTGAGTCAACTCAAACTATGACAATTTTGCTAACATAACCCACTCAAAAAATATAAAGAATCATATCATTCCCACCCTATTTTATGTTTTGGAAAAATTGAATTTTCATATATGAAAATTGCATACAGTATGGTATAACTACATTTCTATTATTGTTGTTGCCATTTGTTGATAATAATCACCACTACTACCATTACTTCTTTAGTGGCCTAAGTCCTAGTATTATTCAGTTCTTTTGGAAGTTTCAGTAGTATACCTCTGAAGATTTTTGAAGTCTGTCATGGCACGGAGCAAGAAGGGATGTCTTCTCCCATTTCTGTAAAACTTGATTGGCTTCTTCTATCTTCTGCTCACAACTTTTTTGAGAATTTAGCAATGTCACCTCATAAAATTCTTGGATATCTGTAAAGAAAATGTAAGGAAAGCATCAAAATGTAATGCATGACTTCATAAATAGCTTCTGCATATATGTCCATATATAGACATACAGAAATTTTGCTGATTAAAAGAACTGCATAAATATATATCCCAAAGTAAAACAGAAGAAATCCTGAAAATTATCTTTTTACCTGCATTTAGAATGCTTATAGCAGCTTTATTCATAATTACAAAAACTAGAACAAATCCTTCAAAAAGTGAATAAACTGTAGTAAATCCATATAATAGAATGTTATTCAGTAATAAGGAATGAGCTATCAAACAAAGCAAAAACATAGATGAATCTTAAATGCATATTGCTAAGTGAAAGAAGTCAGTCTGGAAAGGATACATACTGTATGATTCCACCTATATAGCATCTGGAAAAAGTAAAACTAAAGAGATAGTTTTAAAAAATCAATGTTTGCCAGAGGTTCTGAGAAAGAGAAGGAGGTTTGACTAGATAATGCAGAGGATGATGAAAATATTCTCTAATGATACTGTAGTGTTGGACACATAACATGAACCATTTGTCAAAACCCAAAGAACTCAATAGCACAAAAAGTAAACCTTAACGTAGGCAAATTAAAAAAAAAATCATGTAGGAAGTCAGAGGATCCCAAGATGAAATGCAGACTGTTACAAAGGAATGTAACTGTATTACAAATGTATAAAATAACCTCCAAGAAGTCAACAGGAAAAAAAAAGTACTGACTTAAGTAACTTTGAAAATGAACAGAGACTATAAAACCAAAGTCAAGGAAACTATACAAAAGCATCATACTCTAGTTGGTAAACTTGTGTCCTGTTGGGTACAGATGAACAATTCTGAAAACACAATACATGTATACTAAAATTGAACAATTAAGTGAATGGATGGTAGATGATGGGAGCCAAGTTTCTTACTGTTCTATAGAAAGTTACAGGCAAGTAAGGTTAAAATGATTCATATGATATTAGATGAGAGTTGGAGACATGTTTAGCTTAATGTAGATACAGATGAATACATATAAGAATATTTACAGACATGTATATACACAAATCAGTTATACACACATATATTTCCTTGCTCCATCTGCTGAGAAGGCCTAGAAGCAATGATGCCATAGTAATAACAAACAAAACTAGCACTCTGATTTTGGCCTCTGTGCAGCATTGCTAAAGAGTAATGAACACTGTCATATTATATTAGCAATGAGGGTGTCTATATGAACTCAAAGTTTTCAAGAGCTACAGGATAGAGAGATAGATAAAAATATGTTTAGAAACAGAAATGAATATGTATCTGGACATTTCCCAGCTTTGTCATATATAATTCCTGGCTCTGTCTTCTGAGAGGACCTAGAAGCAGGGACACCCCAGCAGCAACAAACACACCCAGAGCCCAGATCTTGGTTTGTAATACTATTTTCCAATAAAAGAAGCTCCTTGGAGAAATGGTTGATCGTAGGACTGGGGCAGGAGACATAAGATGAGCATGGAACATCTTATAGCCCCAGCAAATAAAGAAATAGTCACCAGAGAAACAACCCTGCTACAGTGGGGGAATATCAAAGAAACACAAGAACCACATGAAAGAGCTGCCAAAGATGGCCAAAGCTGGAGCAATTTGAGCAAAAACAATATTACCTAGTATTGGATTATAACACAAAATATAAAATAAAGGGATGAGTAGGAGGGATTACAAAAGGGTAAGAGGAAACTTCTAAGAGTGATGTGTATGCTTACTATCTTTATTGTGCTTATAGTGCATACATATGTCCAAACCTATTAAATTATGCATTATATATGTAGTTCATTATGTATCAATTATGCATAAAATATATATATGTATCAATAAAGAAAGCAAAAAGACAAGGTACAAATTGAAAGAAGATAATTTCACAGCACACAGACAAAGGAACAGTATCCAGATATGAAAAGAAATACAAATCGCAAAGAAAAAGACAAGCAAACTAAAAGAAAAGAATTGGTAAAAGTTATGAGCAGGCATTTCACAGTAAAAGAAATACATGTCACAGATAAGCCTAGGAAAGATCCTCGACCTCATTGGTGATAAAAAATACAAACTAAGATCATAGTCAAATGCCATTTACATCAAAAATATTGTCAAAAATAATTAAGTCTCACAGTACAAGGACTAGAAAAAGACATGAATCCTTGGTAACTTATTTATTCCTAGCAAGTGCAAATTGCTATAGCCACTTCAGAAAATAATTTAACATTTGTTTATCCTATAAGTCGGTATTTCTACTACCCAGTACATATCCTAGATAAACTTTGGCACATATGCATCAAAAACAAACCAAAATATTCCTAACAGCATAGATTACAGTAGCAAACATTAGAAACATTCCAATGTCCATCAAAAGTGAAATAGATAAATTGTGATATGTTCTCAAGATGGAGTGTATGGAGCAGTAAAAATGAATGAATGATAATATCATGAAACTATATATCTTAGAAAAATAACGTTGGGTGAATAAAGCAAGTTGCAATATGAAAAAAATTTTGTAAAGTTGAAAAATGTACAAAACTGAACTATATATTTTTAAGCATCCATACATATACATGTAACAAAACAAATAGACAAAAGCAAAGGACGACATGAAAAGATGTAGTTACTTCAGTAGACAGGGTGGGCAAGGAAGTGGGATAAGGAAAGTACATATGAGTAGATACAAGTTAATGGTAAGGATCTATTTCTAGATGTCAGTAGCAATTTCAGAAATGTTTGTTTTGTTATGCTGTGTATATTATAGATAAATTGCATATATTATTTTGTATGAATTAAATATTATATTTTCATAAATAATAAAGAAAAATTTTGTGTTTCATAAATATTAAGATTTACAGAGAAAAGTTAGCAATCCTTAAATTTTATGTACAGCTACAACTTTATTCTCCACTAGCAATAAAGTAACTGTGAGGTCATGTTTGAAAAATGTGTAAGAACAGAAAGTAAAATCTGTACAGATATACATCTTTCCCAGATTTTTTTAATAACATACGGGCTGGTAGGTTACTAATTGGGTGGACAAAAATCAGAGAAATAAGGAATAAAAAAAAGATAAAACCCAGAAAACAAAATATGTTTGCATCATCTTGCCTCACGTATTAATGGAGAGAAAAGAATTTGGGCATGGTGGTGTGTGCCTGTGGTCCCAGCTACTGAGGAGGTTGAGGCAGAACTGCTTGAACCCAGAAGGTCAAGGCTGCAGTGAGCTGTGTTCATGCCACTGCACTCCAGTCCTGGTAACAGAACAAGACTCACTTTCAAAAAAATAAAAACTAAAAATAAAGGGAAAAGAAAAAAAAGAATTTCTGTAAACATATCTGCAGCTACAGTCTCTTAAAAGAATAACGACTTGTAATGAATAAAACAATTTTTGTAGATAGTAAAATTTCAAGAGTCTTTTTCTCTGTATCGTTTTATAGGATATAAACAGTTTCATGAGCAGTATTTGCAAGTCACCAAAATTTGAAATACTACGTGTACAAATTATTCAGAAAAGAAAGGGTATTTATCATACTCACGCTATGCATTTATATCAATAAGCTGTACTTCGAAACATAACAAACAGTGATTTGATCACATTTAGAAAAACCCTAGGGACAATATTTTTAATATTAAACTTACAAATCTTCATTAATTTATACCCCCAAATGTGAAGAAGTGTTCTAATTCTATTTCACTCTTTTGTCTGCTTATTCTCCATGCCTTAAGCAACTACTAGAGAGGAAGAAAATAACCATGATTAAGTCAAAGATGACTTAAATTTGATGATAATTCAATGATCAATGTCAAATTTCACTTTTGGTTAACAAGAATTATTTTTTAATAATTGACATATATCCCCTTGTCACTTTCCAAGCATCTCTCTTTTGCACCCTCTTTCCTCACCACCAGCACCATCATTCCCACTGCCAGAGTTCAGGCCCTCGCCATCTGTTACTCACACTCTTCTCTAGGCCCAGATCCCCCTTCCCACACTTAGAAATCCTCCTTCTCCTTCAATGCCCAGTTCCAGTTCAGTGTGTGTAAAAACAATATTTGAAGTCAGAGATCTAAATATGAAATGTCATCATCAAGAAATTATTTTTACTAAAACTGGGTTCAATTGAGTAGGTAGTAAGAACACCCAAGCCACTATCATCAAAAAGAAAATATGTTTGGAAAGTTGTAGGGGATTGTCTTCTTACAGCTTCAACAAACAGATGGTAAAATGTGTTAAAACATACGCCTATGCTTCTTCCAACATGCCTTGTTCCCTTACGACATACCTGCTTTGAATTCATCTAGACAGTATAGCACAGTTGATCTTCCTATATTTAACGATGTTGCAAATTATATTAGGCTTTTCTGAACACTTGGTTCTGCTTAGGGAGCTAGATAAATGCTCATATCCACTTCCCTTATCCTGTATCCAAATCCCATACTTTCTCTTCTGCAAAGTAAAATGCTGCTGTTTTCTCCTGTTCCAAAAACATACTGCTTGAATCTACTCAAATAGTTATTTCTCTTTCAGCCTTATAGTAGAAATAGTTGTTCACCCACCTGTTTTCAACATTTCAATTCACTAAGTAGTTTTTAAGCGCTATGCAAGGCCCTTAGGAATGAAGACAATGTTCTATCCAGCCATATATTCTCTAGTATCTAGCATTATCCTTAAACTCAGCAAGCACACAATGAATTCTTGGTAATTTTCATTTACTTGTATTCCCTCTCTTTTTAAGGATCTAACAGAAGAAAAATCATTGAATGAAGTCAAATCCCTTCTCACTCAGGACTGCTAAACCCTGCATATTGTTTAGATTACATTTTTATGTGACTTGACTCCTTGATTTAATCACAGCACCTCAAATTCTTGAAGACGTGTCCATTTTGATGTCACAATTTTTAAAGAATCATCTATAAATTATTGTTAAATTTACAGGAAAGTGTTTACAAACTCTAATGTACACAAAAATTTCCTGGGGACATGGGGCCTGAATTTCTGCACTTCTAATAAGCTCTCAGGTGAGGTACATGGCTTCTGATCCACTAGCAACATTGGACTTAAGAAATAGCATCTCAGGGATAAGAATTTCATACTCTCAATTCAAATAGCCCTTTTGAGTCACTGCAATCCTCTTGCAGTGACTCAAAAGAAAAGTGGGGTTAAAGAGGGGAATAGGGTGAAAGATGCCCATAATAGAAGGAAGATGGCAAGTGAAGAACTCTGCCTATTGATTCATAAACAATAAGTACTTAGTATGGATATTATTGACTAAACTGATTTAGATTGAATTCATTAGAACTTAGTTGAAAGAAGCTGTATGTCCATCTTCTGCCTTTAGGATCCATTAAAACAAAAAAATTGACTTCTAGGTGAGAGCTGAGAGAGCCCCTATTCAGTCCAATCTCTCTCTCTTTTAACCTACACTCCTTGAAAATGAGATCTGGTCTTCATAATAATGATTCTGACACAGTTAGGTCTTCAATTGTCAAACAGCATGTTGAAGGAAATTCATAATAAATAGGACTGGATTTTCAAGCACATCCTTAAAAACTCAACATATACTCAAAATATTTCATCTTCTTCCAAGAAGAAACACCTAACATGACATACCTATTTCAATGATGCTACTATTTCCTCAAAAGACACTTAAAACTCCTCTTTGAGATATACCTTCAAGCATTTGATGAGATTTTTAAGGTCCTTGGAAATGGTAAATATTTTTCTCTTGAAAGGAAGTTTGGTTTTCTTGAAATCACCAAAATTCACTAGGCAAACTTCAAATATAAGTAATGGAAAAAAGGATTTTTTACATGACTTAAGAAAATACGATTCTTAAATCATGAGGCTTTTTTCTTGTGTGACTCATGAGTTGCTCTGCAATTATCTACTTAACCACAATAAAATTAAAAAGTAACTAGAATGCCCAATGTGTAACATCTTTACATACTTTTTAATCTATTATGGGCTAGAATAAAAGTGACTGGGGAATGTCTTTTTGCACTTCTTCCCATCCCAGCCTTCATGTTACCAGGCATAGTATTATGGGAACAATAGCAGTCACCTCTGTACTCTGCCAACCAGAAACCCCTGTGGAGGTTGTTAGTGTTGATTCATTTGGTTTTTGGTGATTGGCATATATGGCCATAGCTCACCAAAGCTGTTTAATCCCAAAAATTTACCAAAATCACCTGAGGATTCTCTTCTTTTTTTTTTTTTTTTTAAGACAGAGTCTTGCTCTGTCATCCACGTTGGAATGCAGCAGTGCAATCTCGGCTCACTGCAATCTCCGCCTCCAGGGTTCAAGCGATTATCCTGACTCAGCCTCCCAAGTAGCTGGAATTACAGGTGCCCAACACCATGCCCAGTTAATTTGTGTATCTTTAGTAGAGATAGGGTTTCACCACATTGGGCAGGCTGGTTTCTAACTCCTGACCTCAAGTGATCCACCCGCCTCAGCCTCCCAAAGTGCTGGGATTACAGGCATAAGCCACCACGCCTGGCCAGGATTCTCTTCTTACAGCTGCAACAAAGAGACGGTAAGATGTGCTTTAAGACATATGCCTTACGCTTCCTCCAACATACCTTGTTCTCTTACCACATACCTGCTTTGAATTCAGCTGGACAGTATAGCACAGGTGATCTTACTATATGTAATGATGTTACAAAATGATATTACAGTCTTGATGTTCCATTAGGCTTTTCTGAACACTTGGTTCTGCTTAGGGAGTCAGATAAATGTTCATATCCAATTTCCTTATCCTGTATCCATATCCCATACTTTCTCTTCTGCAAAGTAAAAAGTTTTCATTCTCCCAATCCATATGAGTCCAAAACTACTAGACACTGAAGCATAGAAGTGGAATTTTCAATAAAGCCTTTATCAGTGTGGTAAACGTCCTATCTTAGGCTTTGTACCAAGAAAAGTTTCTTTAAGAATATTACCTGGAACTAGAGGAATAAAGTTGAATGTGAGGAAGGGACTGAAGTTGAATGTAGATGAAATGAAAATATAAATTTCACAGCCTAGACCCAGTGAAAGCAAGTACCAAGTAAGGGAATAAAAGAGACAAAACAGGAATGAGTGCAAAACCCGGAGTCCAAGGACTAACGCAAAATGGAACTCAATAGATGCTGAACACATAAGACCAGAGAATGAGTAAATGCTCATACCCAAAGGGTCATGCAAATTCCACATTGTTCTGATATGATTGGGCTTCTTCTGTGCCTAGACAAAGCACAACCGAAGGAAGGAAGGAAGGAAGGAAGGAAGGAAGGGAGGGAGGGAGGGAGGGAGGGAGGGAGGGAGGGAGGGAGGGAAGGAAGGAGGGAGGAAGGGAAGAAAGGGAGGAGGGGAGGGAAGGAAAAGAAAGAGAAGAGAGGAGAAAGGAAGGAGGGAGTGGGGGTGGGGCAGAGAGATTATGAAGGAAATCTTGGTTTCAAAGTATTTTCCTCTATTAAAAAGAACCAAGGCTTTTTGGAGAAAGGGCTCACAGGATGAGAACAAGGAAATTATGAGTCTAGTACATCTTTTTGTACTAGAAAGTAAGGAAGTGCTCAAAAATCACAGGATCATATCAAAAGGACATGTAAGCCAGCTTGAAGGGGCTCTTAATGACTAAATCTGAAATAATTTGAGCCTTAAAAATAAATTAATAGTCATGGGATATAACCTTTTTAATAAAATAATAATCCATTATTTCATCCTGATATAGAAAGAATTAATGATTAAATGGGGGAGAAGGGAAAGTTCTTCCTTCCAGAATTCCAACTAATAAATATAGAAGAAATGATGGAGTTATAAAATCATTGAGGGATTCTGCAACTAGTGGTAAAAAATAGGACAAAGAATGTGGCATTGTATAGCCTTATAGTATCTCCCCACCAATTAGAACAAAATGGGCCAGGCATGGTGGCTTACGCCTGTAATCTCTTTGGGAGGCGAACGCAGGAGATAGGAGCAACAGTTGAGCCCAAGAGTTTGAGAACAACCTGGGCAATATAGTGAGACCTCATCTCTGCAAAAAATAAAAAGGTACTTATAAAATTATTTTTTAAAATAGTACAAACTGGCACGGGGAGCCTCCTGTTATCAAATACCAAGAAGAACATAGCATAATTTCTGTAATATTCCTGCCCAAAATGCGTAAGTTGAATCTAATCATAAGGAAACATCAGACAAATGCAAATTATAAGACGTTCTACTACATACTTGACTTGAAATCTTCAAAAATGTCAAGGTAAGAAAAGAAAAGCTTATGAACTATTGCAGATTAAAGGAAACTAAACAGGCATGACAATTAAATGCAACGGGTAATGTAACTTAGATCTTGGACTGAGGAAATACAACTATAAAAGACATTATGGAGACAACTGCTGAAATGAGTTTGGACTGCTCATTAGATAATAATATTGTAGCAATGTTAAATTTCCTGATTTTGATAACTGCACTATTTATATAAGAGAATATTCTTGGTTTTAGAAAATGTGTAAGTATTTAGTGATCAATGTGCCTAATGCCCCCAACTATTCTCAAATGAGTGAATGGCATCAGGCACTTCATTAATAAGATGCATGCAAAGCTGGGCATGGTGGCTAATACCTGTAATTCCAACACTTTGGGACGCCGAAGTGGGAAGATTGGTTGAAGCCAGGAGTTTAAGACCAGCCTGGTCAACATGATGAGAACCCGTATCTACAAAAATAAAAATAAACTGATATGCATATATATGTATATATGTGTATATGTGTGTATAGAGATACAGAGATATATAGAGACATGCATATATAGAAAATAATAAATAGAGTGAAATGTAAACAATTGGTGAATCTGGGTAAAGTGACTACTATTCTTATAACTTTTCTGTATATTTGAAATTACATTGAAATACACCACTTTGAAAAATGGTAAGGTGACTAGGAGGTGTTAGTGATAAGTATGGAACTGAGAAATATCCAGTAACATTTGTAAAAAAAAAAAATCTACAGGAAAGAGACTCGAAGAGGAATGAAGTATACAGTGCAGAATGGCATGGAAGAGGTAGAAGATCAGATCATTAGGGCATATGTGAGGTAGTATAATTACTTGGAGATAAAAGCACAAGCTCTGAAGTCAAACAAAATGGCCCTGGCTCTGCTACTTACTAAATGTGTGACCTTATGCAAGTTACTTAACTTCTCTAAACCTCACCTTCTTCACCTATAAAATTTACATGTGTAAGTACTCCATGTGGTTGAACAGTTATATAAAACATAGTAAATGGTAGCTATGATATTCTTTGATTAACATATCTTCCAACAATACTGTGTACCAGGCAGTCTCATTAAATGTTGAATACCTGAACATAGAATATGCTCAGCCAGGAGTCACTTCTTCCATAAGAGTCAAGGGTGCAGACACTTGAATCAATAAAGCAGAATTAATACTTGACAAGGAGGCAGAAATTGTTATTTACAAGTTTTTAAAAAGCTGATTCAAATGGAAATTGTAACAGAGATGCAATAAGATGTGCATGAAGGAACACAGTATTTTTGTGGCCCAAATAAGGTCTTTAAAAATACGACCTCTAAAATGAATTTTAATTCAAAATATCTCCTTGATGAATAAATGTGCTACTTCAAGTTGCTCAAAAAGCAGGCACTAAATAAACTCAAGATATTGTTAATGCAAATCAGCTACCTTTTATCTTACACTTATAGCACTTATACTCCCAAACCACCAGGAGGTGTGTCTTATTCTATATCTAGGAGATAATTAACTTTCAATTTCACATCAATCATTCAAGATGTAGGAACGTTGTCAATTCTTTTTACCTCACAAAGATTTACCATGTAAATTCTACAAATCTTCAGAAGATAAGTAACTATATGTAATCTGTATGAGCCCAGTTTTAAGTTACATATTCTTTCATGCCTACCTCCCCACTAAAAAATTCCCAATATCTTCCAATCTGTGATTAAGTATTGGTATTGCTCATTGAAGACAGGAGAGAAGAAAGAAATTAGCATTTGCCATTTACCAGCCATGCATAAACTCCATGTGTTTAGTTGTACTTTGTAAATGTCATTCATTTTACTAACTTCTTTTGATCATCTTATGAGACATGTAGGTTACACCCATGTTAGAGATGGAGAAACTGAGACTGGTTCAAGGTCATCAGGCTGGACAATGGCAAGGCTATTACTGGAATTCACATTTGACACTTAAGCCTAAACCCTTTAATGCAACATGCTGCAACAGTATGCATAATAGAATGTTAGGGGTTAATTAAATAATATCAGTGCTAAAACAAGTATATTTTATTGTCAAACGCATGACTAGAATATCATTTAGAAAATTCTTCAGATCACCAGATGGAAAGAAAATCAAACCTAAGGAACTCTCAAAAACTTTCCAGGACCTGTTACCAAGGATATTTTAACTAATCTCAATAGCACAGTGCTTAGCTGAAGCTACTTGGTTGGTTTCCATCAGCAAAATCTCAAACAGAATGAGAGTTTGGACTCCAGGGATCTTTCCAGCTGATGAATGCCAAGGGAGACAAGAATGCTTATGCACAGAAGTAGCTATAGACTTTCAGTATAGTTAAGCCAGGAGACAAACATTAAAGAGGATGCTACAAATTGACTCTATTGGCCTCTCAGATTTGCTTTTTACATGCTGTGAACACAGAGTATTCAATAAATATTAGTTACGCAATAATATTGTAACAATTTTTTCCAGAGGATAAGAACTAACTTTAACAGAAAATAAGCAGCAGAAGAGAAAAAGATGGCAAAACAGCTATGAAATAATAGACTTTGGAGGAATCTTTGCTGTCAGGCACATAAGTATAGATTTACTTAATATTCTGTTTAATGGTGATTTTATGCAATTTTATAATCAGTCCAATTAAACAACTCATATAAGGAAAGAATAGCATTCAGTCTACAGGGAGACATTATCCATAGAGACACATGTTAAGTAGGAAAATAAACCTCTGTCTCTGACATGTAAAATACAACATCCCTCTCATCTCCTCAAATCGGATATATAAGGACTTTTATTACAACTTGCCAAAATGGCAAGATTGTTTTGTTTCGATTTTCTTTTTTTTTTTTTTTTTTCACTTAGTTCTTTCTTATTTTTTCCTTCTTTTGGACATACAGCTCTGAATCAGAAGACTGTAAAGAATTCTACTCATAAATACCAAAAGCTTAGTCCCCTCTTATGTATACCATGAAATGAAGGGTATTTTTTGGCAGATTAATAAATCTAATATCAACTATCACTTGAAAAAAGTATCACATTCCACTGCACCAAAAGGATGAATTTAAATGAAAGTCTGTAATTTCACCTGGAATTGGTCCAGTAAGTGACAGCTGATGGCTAATCTCAAAAAGAACATGCTTGTAAACACCTGTGTTCCAATTATCTGAAAATCAATTTTAGATTGTAGAAATTATTGAAAATATATTCCTATAAAATGTGTAATAAAATTTTATTATAATTATGATGTAATTTTATTATATATAATTATATTATTGTACAAAATGATACAATCATATTATAATTTATTGTAGTGTACAAATTATATTAATTATATAAAGTTAATTATCATATACATATCATTATAGTACAGATATAATCATTTCCATTATATTATTTTAAATTTTATGATCTACTGTGCTAGAAAATCTTATGAGAATGTACTGCTTAAATAAAATTGTAGAAAAATAAAACCAAGAGCCATTAAATATGTCACCTTTCTTTTTCCCCAACTTCCCCAATAACTAAAGAGTTAGCTTAAGAGAAAATATTATGCCCAAATACCAAAGTACAGATTAGAAAATATGCTACCCAATATACCTAAGGTATCATTAGCATACTTTTGTACTGGTTAAATAAAGTATACTGCCTTTTGTTCTAAAGTGATAGTGGAAAGCCAGCTTGTAGATGAATGGTTTTTATGTTGCAAGAACCATCCGATCAACTGCAGTCCCCAAGTACGACATGAAGCTTTGTAGTTCTCTCTTAGACTGCCTAATGTTGTATGATAATCTTGAGACCACTGGAAAGCCACACAGGACCCCATAGTCAAACCAGCAGGCCATTCTGCCTGTTTCCAGACAAGGAAAACTATGCTGATAGTTCCACTAACAGTCTTTGGAAAATAGTAATGTTTCTTCTTGCTTTATTGAAAAATACATCTATGAGCTTCTTCTCGTATTTTCTTCTTTCTCTTTTCATTCCATTCATTCTTTTCCTTTCCCTTTCCCTTTCCCTTTCATTCCCTTCCTGAACAATTCAGTCCCAAAGCCACTGGGTGAAGTAGAGCAAGGTCTACTCTGGTGGTGAAGGAGTTTGGAGAACAGAGCTACAGTGGTCCAGAGCAGAGTGTCAGAGTGGCCCAGGGCCTAATCAAGATGAGAAGGGTATTCAAGTATGGAGGCAGACCACAGCAGAGTTACAGAGCCTGACAGAATGAGGAAAGAGTCCTTGAAGACAGGTAGGCTAATATGGGCTGTTGGAACTAAAACAAGTTAAGGAAGGCCAAATAGGCTACATAATGTCTGAGCATGGAGTTAAAACCTGAGTAGTATGAGGAGGGCGCCCATGTGATGGGAAGGGACTGAAGTGCTTTGTCCTAGCTAAGTAGAGTGACGAGGTCTCCCATGCAGAGCAGTGACCTAGCAAGGGTTGTGAGAGCCTGAGTTTGGTGAGGAGGGTATCTGTGCTGGGGTGGCAGTAGCAATGGGAGACTGGTTACATACAGAAGGATGGGTCAAATAAGTAAATAAAATAAGGATAATTTGAATCTATCAGAAAAGAGAGTGAAAATATGGCAGTAGAGAAAACTACAATGAATTATATAGTGTTAGACTGGAACTGGAGTAATCAGTGTGAACTCATGGTTTTCAATAGAGATAGATAAATATAGATATTAATATAGATGTAAATTTGTCTGAGTTTAAACATACACAAAAGTGAAAATAACTTCACAGTGGGGAAGCCTGGAAAACACAACTTCAATTGTGTGCTCAGAGTGAACATCATAAGTAAATGCAGCAAATCTAATTACGTGCCACCTGATAGGATGCAATGAAAAGATCACAGCCTCACTTCTGTAATACTCCTATTTCAGAAATGTCAGTCACAAAAAAAGAAAAAAGTAAAAGCTGAGAGTCTGCCCCAGAATTAAGGAAATTAGAAAGACATGACAACTAAAGATGACATGTGATTCTGAACTAAATTCTTTGCTATAAAGCACATCTAACTGGGACATCTGTTAATTTCCCATTAATACCAATATTGGTAATATTGGTATTATTGGTATTAACAGGAAATTAACCAATGTCCCAATATGTTAATTTCCCATTAATACCAATATTCCCAATATTACCATCTGATTTTGATGGTAATATTGCAGTTATATAACAGATTGCTCTTGTTCCCAGGAGATACACTAATGTATTAGGAAGAAATGGAACAAGTTGGTCACTTAACACTCATATGGGTCAAGAGACTTTTTTAAGTGCTGTACTGTACTTTCACATTTGAGATTATTTCAAAAAAAATTTAATGCCCTAAAAATAAATTTTAAAAATTATTTCTAAAAAACAAAGAAAGAAAATTACATCTAGGTCATAGAAGATGTAAATTCTTTGTGGTTGTCTAGATGCAAACCCCTCACCCACTTTTCAACTTCAAGAGTCTATTTTTGTGTTAATAATAAAGGCCATTCATCAAACATACCATAGCAAGTTGAGCATTGTATGTACATTATCTCATTTACTATTCCCAATACTCCTATGAGATAGGTATTATTTTTATCCCTTTACGAAGGAAGAAACTCAGGAAGAGAGAGGTTGAGATGTTTGCCCAGTTTGCTTAATTTATAACTGGCAGAGCTGGGATAGGAACTAGGTATGTCTCACTCCAAAGCCTGTGGCCTTAACTATTACAAACTGACTCTTTATGTCTGGAGTAATTGTTAGATTTTCTTTGTTTTGCTCTGGGTTAACAGGGATTTTGTTTGTTCATCTTGCTTTTCTTGTCACCTAGGATGTTTTATGGACCATGACTCAGCAGTTCCAGCTCAAAGATTCTTTCTCCCTGAAGCCTCCTTCACCAAAAGTCATTTCTCCCTTCCTCCCCATTATTGCCTTTGCACTTTGCATTTATCTTGTGATTCTTATGACCCTGTGTCATTGGAATATATGTTTTATTTCCCTACATGTAAACTTTGCAAAGTTAAAGGCCAAGTCACACTCCATTCTTTATCTCACATAAGCAGTGGCTGTCAAATTTTATTGTGCACCAAAATCACCCAAAGAGCTTGTTAAAAAACAGATTACTGGGCTGTATCACCAGAGTTTCTGATTCAGTAGTCTAGGGTAGGGCCTAGAATTTACTTTTCTAATAAATTCCCATGCGATGCTGGTGTTGCTGGTCCAGGGACTGCACTTTGAAAAACATTTCAGTACTGTATAGAGCTTACCAGTCTCTTACCAAAGTAGCTAAATAGTGTTTTTTGATTTATAAAACTATAACACATACATTATCTTCTTTGCTATAATATGTCCAAATACAGATATAATATATGTATGCCATAGAATGCCTCATATTATATGGTAATAATAAATTGGTTGGTTCATCTTTCCCACCTTTTATTCATTCACTCATTTCTTCAACAAATATTTCTTAAGTATTGACTGTGTGCCTTGTACTGATAGAGCAGTGAATAAGACAGATTAGCCTCTGCTATGATAAAAACTAACAGTCTAGTAGAAAAAAAGAAGACTAAGCAAAATATGACAAATTTCCATACTTCACTTCCAATTATCTTCATGGGAAGAGATATTTGATAAATGGGAGCAACAAAACAAAATGTGTATTAGCACAATAACACATTAAAGTTATAATGGGTTAGGCAGAGAAAGGTTTGTTGGTGTTAAGAGACTTTTCACTCTAGAGTACCTGAAGCACTAAAACAATCTTCAAAGATGTAGAGACCTGAGAACATAATACTGCCCCTCCAACTCCTCAGGGATACAGTAAATGGAATCACTACAGGAAAAGCTAGAGTCTGGGGCAGGCAAAACAAACAAGGAGTAAAATTAGAAAGAAGCAGGAAAACCATAAAGGAGATACCCCTTATGCCCATCAGAGATGGACTCTCAGATGTTCATATGCTGTATGAATAGATAGATGGGAAAGAAAATTAGAATTCTGCAGAATCCTTGGGGATCCATGTACATTCATGTTGTCCAGAAGCAAAATTTTCTTTCTGGATATATGCAATAGTTTAATCAAGTTACTACTATAGTGTCAGTGAATATCAGGCCTAAAGAATATAGGGTATAATGAGAATACATGACAGAAAGCCTGTTCTAGGGAGTTTATTTCCCAAAGGAGGAAGAACATTCAACTGAGACAGAAGGATTAGTAGGCATTTTCAGGCATGGGAGTTTGAGGACAGGGAAGTGGAAGAGATGGAGAACGTGCAAGAACCTGAGAGAGGAGAAAGCATGACAAGGACCCTAAAAAAATTATTAGAGACTGGCCGCGGTGACTCACGCCTGTAATCCCAGCACTTTGGTAGGCAGAGGCGGGAGGATCACTTAAGGTCAAGAGCTCAAGACCATCCTGGCCAACAAGACGAAACCTCATCTCTACTAAAAATACAAAAATTAGCTGGGTGTGGTGGTGCATGCCTGTGATCCCAGCTGCTCAGCAGGCTAAGGTAGGAGACTTGCTTGAACCTGGGAGGCAGAGATTGTAGTGAGCCAAGATCACACCACTGCACTCCAACCTGGCTTACAGAACAAGACTCCATCTCAAAACAAAACAAAACGAAAAAAACAACTCATTAGAGAAGGACAAAGAGAATGGTATAAGATAAGGCTGGAGAGGCAGGCAGGTAGGTAGACTGATGTATTCTGAACTCGGTTTTTAGGACCTTGAAAGTATTGATCATGTCAGTAAATTTTATATCATTGTTGCCAGGAAGACTATATACGTTCTATAAAGGTGGAATGAGAGAATCAATGAATGGATGGATGTGTAAAGCAAATATATGGTACAAAAGACAGAGGCATAAAATTCAGATGGCATGATCTGGAAGCAAAGCGTTGAATGGACCAATGTAAAAAAGAAAAGGAGTCTGTGAGTCTCGATTATGCAGGGCTAGAACTGTGAGGGGGCTGAAAATCATCTTATCAATCTGCTTACTGTAGAAATGAAAAAACTAAGGCTGGTGAACTAAGGTGGCTTCTCCAAGAACACAAAGCCAGTAGTGGCTGAACCAGGACTTGAATCTCCTGGTTCCCAAACCAAGAAGCTTTCCACTACAGTCATAGCTCGTTCTGGACCTAGAAGTATAAGAATAAGTCTCTAACGGTCACTATGCAGGCAGATGCCAAGCACATCAGAACCTTATCCCTAACAGATGCATAACTAGCAGCTGCCACAATTTCTCTAGTTGAAAAAGTTTCTAGTTAGAACTTAGCTATGGATGATATAAGAAAAATACTTATCCCTCCCTGTCATAAAATTGATTCATTTAGAAAATGGCTATTCTCTCTGTGTTATTATTTCCTTTTCTACCTTTAGCCTGAGAGAATTAATACAAATAGTATAGTAGCAACACTCAGCACAAAATTATCTTAAGAGCACATGAGGTCAGACTGTCATGGGAAGAAATCTCTCTAAGCAGCTGCATAACTACCTATAATTCACAGGAAGGTAGACTCAATAGGATTCTGGAAGGCTGACCGCACATTCTGTTCCTCTTT
Organism: Homo sapiens; assembly: GCF_000001405.40. NCBI lineage: Eukaryota > Metazoa > Chordata > Mammalia > Primates > Hominidae > Homo > Homo sapiens. The sequence goes on from NC_000011.10 coordinate 85,302,156, forward strand.
AGGTAACTACAGTTTGTCAGAAACTTGGACAGACACTACTAACATATCACAAATAATGATTTTGCCCTGAGTGACTTTTGGTCTGTTATTTCCAACTTTCTTTCTCTCTGCTGATTAAGTTCACTAATAATACTACTACATAAAGAAATAACATATTTTACTCATTTAAACATCACATTTGTTATTAATCAAAGTATTACAATTTGGCTTTCTTTTTTCTATGCTTCTCATACTAGTCAGGCAAGGTGGTAGGTAAGAACTACACCATCATCTTTTAGGAAGTGTCAGAATGCCTGCTGGGCCTACATTCCCCTTCTGAAGGATTTCCTACAGATAAGCTATCCCAGACTGACTGGTGATTGCTGAGCACCTGACCTGAGACTAGTCAATTGCTAGATGGGCCAGTAGGTATGAAATGGCCTGGTATAAGAACTCTGCCTTACACAGGTGGTGATAGGCTAATCCAATTGGATACTCTCACTTGAAAAGTTAAAAAAAAAAAAAAAAAAACAGTCAGTTAGTTGATAATTTCAGAGGAATAGAAGCCAAAACAGAGAGCTGCACATTCAGCGTAATAGTAGAGATGAGATTTGGGAGAATGGCTGTTGAGGATATAGGAGAATAACCTGGTGGCTAATAACAACAGCAGCTACAACAATAACAAGAACAATCATAATAAAGGCTTACTTTTATTGAGCTCTTACTATATTCCAGACATGATAAAAAATTCAAATGCATTATTCTACCTAAACCTTGCAACTACCTATGAAGTGGGTTCTGTTATTATCTCCATTTCACAAATAGGAAAATTGAGACGGAGCAAAGTTAAGGAAGAGCACAGTCACTCCTTTAGTAAGTGATGGAACCAGGATTCTAACCCAGATTTGTTTGATTCCAGAACCCTGCTCTTAACCACTATCCTAAGTTAGAGCTTATTTTATGTTTAGAAGGACATTTTAGGCTTCATACAATGTTTAGATCTCTACCTTTTGTATTCCCACCTGAATTTGTACAGCAAACCCCCATTACTTAAGGAAAATTGAACACAAGGAAGGTGGTGCTCTGGAACTAAAATGTATGCTCAGGCTTGGTTTTGAAGTACACAGCTGAAAGTTATGTTTTCCAACCTTGGAATTGTTACCCTACCATATGTATCTTAATCATATCTCTGGCATCTTACTGTACATAGGTTTCATTATCACTCTTTGTTCATTTTGACCATGAGAAATGATGATAATAATAGCAGAGGGAGAAAAGAATATTAGAATATGGGAACATACATGTAAATATCTTGGTCCATGTAATTCAATAAATATTTATTAAGTGCTATTTATATGCAATGTACACATACCCATGTATGTTCCCCTTATTACCCAGGTTGATATAAAAGTCACAATGCAGCATAGCTATGTGTTGTGTTCATGTCTCCCAATCTCTATAATTTCTGTTACCATACTATCATGTATCAGAGTTGATACTAAGATCAGAAATTGTGTTTGTGTGTGTATGTCTGTGTGCGTATGCAGTATGGGGTGCTAGAAAGATTCAGAGATCTGAGTTCTAGTCCCAATTGCCATTAACTAGCTATCTGGCCTTATAAACTTCACATCAACTCTCTGACCCCAGTTCCCTCATTTGAAAGAAATGGATAATTGAACAAGAGGAAATCCAAGACCCTGTTAACTTTGAAGTTCTGCTATTTAGTTCTCATTTACTTTTATTTAAAAAGTGAAATTAAATGTCTCTCCTTGACCAGATAGAAGAAGGCATACCCTCTAAATGTGTACTGGTCAATTTCCAGGACGTAATGAAATGTTATACATGGTTTTCAAAAATATTTTTTGTGGAGGGTTTGAATCAGACCTTTTTGTCAAACAAAATCTTAGACAATCCCAAATACATAAGGCTAAAAGTAAATAAACAAAGCTGCTCTATTGAAGAAAGGAAGAGGAAGCCTTGTTGTTACACCTAGCAGATTCTGCTTGGGTTAGATCTGTGGAACCCTACATTTTCCAGGAACATAGCTTAAAAACTATGGCAAACCAGACAGCAGAGGTACATTAATCAAGTTAAATGTTATTGTTCATCCACTATGCATAGAGCAATATAAAAGGAAAGTAGAGAAGTAGAAAACATACCCTCTGCTTGCAAGGAGCCTGCAGTTTCCATGAAGAGATTGGGTAGAAACTTCAGAATTAATTTAAGAAAACCACAAAGCAAAGAAAAGCGGGGGCAAGAAAGGTAAATCCTAGGTTCTGAGAAAATGCACAGTAGAGACTAACTGAAGGTCCAAGAATTTTAATTAACAAAATTCAATATTTTTGAAAAAGAGATTATACAGGTTGAGCATCCCAAATCCCAAAATCTGAAATCTGAAATGCCCCCAAATCTGAAACTTTTTGAGTGCCAATATGATGCTCAAACTAAGTACTCATTAGAGCATTTCAGATTTCAGGTATTCAGATTTGGGATGATCAACTAATAAATATTTCAAAAATTAAAAAAATTGAAATCCAAAACACTTCTGGTTGAAAGCATTTCCGATAAACGATACTCAACCTGTAGTACAGAATACTTCTTGATTAAACAGAAAAGGGCAGTAAAGCTGTCAGGGGATCTGACAACATGGAAGTCATTGCTGACTTTAAGAACAGCAGCATCAGTAGAAAGTTGGAAATGGAAATGATTTGTCTGCTTATTTCCCCATAGTATTTATTCAATTATGTAAGCATTTTATTTCCATATTTTTAAATGTATTTATTGTCTGTCTTCTCCCTATTAGAACATACGCTCCATGAGGACAAGTATCTTTCCAGGTACATTCAACTCTATATTACCAGAGCCTAAAAATAGTGCCTGGAATTGTAGGTTCTCAGTAAATATTTGTTGAATGATTGAATGACCATGTATTGTGCTAGGTATTAGGGAATAGAGTAAGGGATTACAAAATGAATATGGCATGGTTTCTGGTTTTGAGAAGCTTACAATCTAATGAAAGACATATACTAATTCACAAGCAACTACATCACTGCTTCTCAAACTTGAATAAAGAGCGGTACTCTTTAAATGTCACAGGCTATTGATAAAGTTTGGCTGAAACTAAGCTGCTACTTTCCACATAAACGATACTGACTGTGGTAACTTGGCTTTAGATTGGTATAAAGCAGCGATTATAGATTAAGTCCACCTCTGTTCTCTTTACCATAGCCTGTGACATTTGAAGAGTACCACTTGTCACCAACGAAACAGTAAACACAAGCGCAACTACAGGCCTTCCGGGAAATCTGCAGCAGTGCTTAGTTGTAAAGTGGTTATCCAGAGAATCTGAAATAGGCTTTGGATTTCTTTCTTTCCTATTTATTTATTTATTTTTTTGAGACAGAGTCTCACTCTGTCGCACAGGCTGGAGTGCAGTGGCGCGATCTCGGCTCACTGCAAGCTCCGCCTCCCGGGTTTACTCCATTCTCCTGCCTCAGCCTCCCGAGTAGCTGGGACTACAGGTGCCCACCACCATGCCTGGCTAATTTTTTGTATTTTTAGTAGAGAATGGGGTTTCACCATGTTAGCCAGGATGGTCTGGATCTCCTGACCTCATGGTCCGCCCGCCTCGGCTTCCCAAAGTGCTGGGATTACAGGCGTGAGCCACGGCGCCTGGCTGGATTTCTTTCTTTTATACTGTGAAAGGAAAACACAAAAATGTTTGTAATGTCACAGAAAATGTGCAGCACTTAGTATATATCTAACTCCTCTCATAGACCAGCTCCTTTATTTTCATATGTTCCCGGATCACAAGTAGGCAATGTAGAGAGGAAAGAAGATACATTCCAGAATCCAACTTGGGTTTGAGTCCCAGCTCTGCCACCAACTAGCTGTGTAACTGTGGACAAGTTACTTAATTTCTATGAGATTCAATCTTCTCACATAAAATACAGAAAATACCCATCTTGTAAAATTATTGTAAGATTAAACTAAATTATATAGAGAATGATGCCTGACACATAATAGAAGTTCATTAAATGTCAGTTTACCTCCCCTTCTCCTGGTTTCAGCCTCATCTGCAAGTCTCTTCTATGCCACCACCATTTATGATACATTTATTTCACAAATATTTATTGAGTACTTTCTATGTACCTGCCACTGCTTTGTGTACTTTGGATACAGCAAAGAGAAAGGGCCTTTCTCTCACAGAGCTTACATTCTATAAAATGCCTGACCCAAGTAGGAGGAATGGAGATAAATGTTTGAGATGGGTATTAAAAATACATAGCTGGCAAATAAACCTAGTCTCAGGCTCTTGGCTTAGAGATTAACTACAACCTGTCCAGATTTACTTGCTGCTGCCAGGTGAATGGGGCCGAAGAGCCCTTCCAACCCTTTAGGAACTATTAGTGGAGATCTGACCACATGTATGTCAGTAGTTGAACCTTTTTTTTGAGACGGAGTCTTGCTCTGTGGCCCAGGCTGGAATGCAGTGGTACGATCTTGGCTCACTGCAAGCTCCACCTCCTGGGTTCAGGCCATTCTCCTGCCTCAGCCTCCCCTAAGTAGCTGGGACTACCAGCGCCCACCACCACGCCCGGCTAATTTTTTGTATTTTTAGTAGAGACGGGGTTTGACTGTGTGAGCCAGGATGGTCTCAATCTCCTGACCTCGTGATCCGCCCACCTTGGCCTCCCAAAGTGTTGGGATTATAGGCGTGAGCCACCACGCCTGGCCAGTTTAACCTTTTTTAATGTAACCTGGAAGACTGAAGACTCCCTAGCTCTAAATTCTATTAGTAAAGCAATGTTATGCTAATGAAAGTTGTGAATTTGGGAACTCATGACAAAGTCAATGTCATCTCAAGAAGAAATGCAAAGGCTGCAAGGAGGGGGGATGAAAAATACTGCAAGAAATAAGCAACAATTGAACTGAATAAACTATTGTAGGCAAAGACAGGTTGGCCATCCACACAGTATAACGAAAGAAGACGCTGACCTTGTCTTTAGGGCACAAGGCATGTGCTCCACAAACATTTGTTAAATGTATGAATGAATGCCTGTGACTGCAATCTGTCAAAACAACACCACCAAAAATGGAACGGAAGAAAACTGGAGGAAAAATTAAAAGTACATAAAACAGAAATCGAAGAAATAGAAGACTCAAGACAAGTAATAAAAGAAAGATTGTTAGAGATATATAATACATAACATAGTTTGACAGACTGTAAGCGGTGGGAAAAAAAGAGAAAAAGAACTAAAATTGCTGCCTAGATTCTAAGCATGTGAAAAAAAAATCCTCTTTTAGTTAGTGTAGAATTTAATTATGAAGATAACTACTTTATATGGAAATCTTTCTTCAAGCATTTTTTTAGCAGACGTTGGCTAGGTGACAGAGGAGAAGAGCCAAACTCATAATGAGGTCATTTTTCTCTAAACCACGATGATCCCTTTCCTCAATTTCACAGGAATGTTGAATCACCCCATAGTATAAAATAATTCCCAACACCAATGGGAAAGAGATGTTTCCTGGTCCTGCCACAGTACTGATCCACTTTCAAAACTGAAAATAGATTCTTTACTGACACTGATTTAGTTCCTTATCCATGTGCTATCTAGTCTGGTCTCTCTATTTAGGCACAGTTTCATTTGTGTTTAATTGGATGATAAAACCACTGATATATTAGACTTACAATGTTTTTTGACAGTTACAGGTGCTTATGTCAAAATAAAACAAGAGGCTGGGCGCGGTGGCTCATGCCTGTAATCCCAGCATTTTGGGAGGCCAAGACCGGCAGATCACTTGCAGTCAGGAGTTCAAGACCAGCCTGGCCAACATGGTGAAACTCCTTCTCTACTAAAAATACAAAAATTAGCTGGGTGTGGTGGCACATGCCTCTAATCCCAGCTACTCAGAGGCTGAGGCAGGAGAATCGCTTGATCCCAGGAGGCAGAGGTTGTAGTGAGCTGAGATCATGCCACTGCACTCCAGCCTGGGTGACAGAGCGAGACTCTGTCTCAAAAAATAAAATAAAATAAAATAAAATAAAATAAAATAAAATAAAACAAGAAAGAAAAGGTAACAACTCTTTTCAGAAAGCCAGTTTCTAATTTAAAGAAAAAATTAAGGGGAAAAAAGGAATTAAAAAAAAAAACTGACCCACAAAATATGCTAGTTATCCTATTTACCCCTTACCATCCATTCACTTTTCTTTTTCCTGCAATGTGCCCAGGATGCCGATTTCTACAGACTAAGTCACTAAGATTCTTTGCCTTTTGGCTTCTGGTTGGGATCAGCTAATGTGAGGCTCTGGCAGAAAACCAGAGAATAGGAGAAGAGAAGGTCAGGGTATTTTTTTGCCAGTGGTTGTGTTCTTCTCCCTAAGAGCAAAGCTCCTATCCAGCAACCCCTCTCTTGCAGCTGAAGCTCTTACCGAATCCTGGTCAAACTTCCTTTTGTCCTTTGGACCTAAGTGTAATGATGATGGCCAGATTTTTGTAGTTCCCCTTAACTATGAACACATCTGTCTAAATAACCCCTCTAATAAATTATCTTCAATTAAACTTTTGAGAGTGTGATTCCTTTCCTTCCACGACTCTAACTAATATGCAAAATTATTTAACTTTACTATATAAGCTTTACTAGCTAATAATAATGTTAGCTAGCATTTATTTAATATTCCTTATATGGCAGACTATAGAGAGTACTTTACATGACTTATTTCATCATTTAATCTTCACACACAAAATACTACTATTGTTATTATTTTCCCTATGGTGGGTAATATTATTATTCATTATTCAGACATTGACACCCATTCGCCTCACTTCCATGAGATGCATATACTTACTCCATTGATGTTGGCCTTGGTCCTGTGTCTTGCTTTGGCCTATAGAATAGGGAGAAAATAATGATATGCCAATCTGAGCCCAGGTCTTAGGAGGTTGTCCAGTCTCCTATATTTACCACCAACATAAAAAGGACATGCCCAAATTAGCTTCTCAGTCCCAGGAGAAGATTTAGAGACATGTACCAGAGCCACCTCAGTCAAATACAATACATATCAATCCACCTGCAAAAAAAATGTAACATGAGCACAGCCAAGACCTCCCAACCAATCTAAGTCCAGCTCAGATAATCCTGAGCCAACACACAGATCCATGAGTATAAAAGATTGCTATCTTAAGCCACTGAGTTTTGGGATGGCTTATTATGTAGCAATTTTACAGTAATAGCAAACTGATGAATTCCAATTTTATATATGGACCACAGACTCCATATAGGGGTTTTCTACCAAAAAAAAAAAAAAATTAGCATGAAGTCAATAAAAAGTCATTCTCCAGTAAAACCAAGTTATAAACCATTAAACTATTAATCTGCAAAAATTGTTTCTAATTGTTACTAAGAAAAGATTCCCAATAGGCATTTAAATGAAACATATAGTCATTACCACAAAAGACAAGGCCCTTCATAGCCTGCTTATGTCTTTATTCCCACAACCTGACATCCTCCCTGTCCCTGCCCATCACTAGAGACACACAAATTTACCTGAATTTGTTTGGGTATGCTGTGCAGTCTCTCAGCTCTGTTTCTTTACATGTACTGTTCTCTCCACCTGAAAATTTCTTCTACTTTTTATCCCTTAACTCACCTCTAGTATCATCTTACCCTGATTCCTGCAGGCTGAGTCTGGTGCCCTTGTTCTGTGTTTTGTGTTTGCCTCTGCTTATCTCTCCCATAGCCATTATGGCACTGTATTTTAACTATGAGTTCCTTGAGGGTCAGGATTTTGCTTTCTGTTTATCACCATATTCCTACTAATAACATGCTACCTGGTACATAGCAGTCTCTCAGATGCTGATACAATCATTTTAGAAAGCTATAAACCATCCAATTGGTTTGAAGGGAACACTGCATTGGTAACTGATAGGAAAAGTAATTGAGGAATTAAGAGTTTGTCAGTCTTAATTCAGCACTATCTAAAATGAAAGGTACTGATTCCTGGTTCTTGATACAAATCACCCTAGAATAGACAAAAATAATCCATCAAACTGCCTTAGCTTGAGGTATATATTCCTTGAGAATATCTAACACCCTTTGTCTAATTCTTTGCTCAGCATTCTTATGCTGGCAAAGTTGGTGTCCTGGGTGGACAAAATATTGGTCAGGAAGATAGAAGAAGAAAATAGTAAAGATAACCAATCCCTCATTCTGGAGCTAGCCACACTTCATAGAAATAGGTTAGCATGAGTCTGTTTTTGAAGTTAATCTCCATTGAATAAACTAAAAATAACTGCAGGATTTCCAAAGCTACGCCCCAATCCTGACTTATAAGAAGTCCCAACAAGGGACTGTCCCTTCACCCAAGAGGCCTGGCCTAAAACAACCAGCAGATGTCTTGGGCATCCCTTTCCCTACAGTACTCTGCAGTGGTAGCAACTGCTAAGGGGAAGAAAAACTAGAAAAATCAGACTGGTGGGATAGCAAACCCAGATGCTGTCCTCCCTGTTGCTAATGGTAACAGGATTAGACTAGATGGGGAACTGTAATTAGGCACTTGGCTTTTATATCTGACATGTTTACAGCCATCGTGCTATTCTGGGCTCTTATATAACATTTATATCTGATGCTATAATAGGCATTTTTGTGATCGTACTTTCTTCCTCTTCCATCTAAGTGACTACAACAAGCAAGCACTTCTTTCCTCTTCCAAGTTTGGACCTGAAATGCCCCACTCATATATGTATGCTCTGTAAATATCTGCTTTTTAGCCTTAACTTTTTAATAAACACAGATGCTTAATCTTGATTCTATGCTGTTATTTATTTGATTAATTTCTCTATTCATGTAGATCAGAGATTAGCAAACTATAGTCCATAGACAAACCTGCCCCCACAGTCTGTTTTCATATGGCTTATGAGCTAAGAATGATTTTTACATTTCTCAAATGTTATATAATACAAACAAACGTAAGCAAAGAAAAATGCAGCAAAGCCAATATATGACCCACAGCCTAAAATATTTGCTATTTGGCCCGTTACAGAAATGTTTACCAACTCTTCATCTATATCGATGTTGTCCATTACAGATGAAGCTAATTTATCTAGCATTTGATGATGATGGTGAGGATGAGAATTAATATTTGTAGGATGTTTACCATATGCCAGAAACTAAGCACTTGCCATTTATTATCTCAGTTAATCTTCACAAACATTCTTTGAGGCCAATGCTGTTATCAGCCTTATTTACAGATACAGAAAGTTTAAATAACTTGCCATGGTCACACCTATAGTAAGTGGTGAAGCCCAGATTTACATCCACACAATCCAGTTGAAGACTCCATCCTATAATACTTCCAAAAATCAATAGAATCATGACATCTTCCAGTAAGTATATAATCCCCTTTACATGATAATCTGATAAAGGATTACTCAGTCTCTGGTTACCCATGCTGAGGTAAATTGTCCCATCATTGAATAGCTCGAAATTCAGAAGTTGTCTACAGTTTGAAATGAAACCTTATAGATAACTTTTATCTCTTAGACTTATTTATTTCCTCTGAACCACACAGACTAAATTTATACCCTTTACAACATGCCCTTCAAATATTGAAGATAGCTCAGATCTTTCCAAAGTCCTATTTCACTCTACACATTCATTCACCTAGAACTTTTCAAGCATTCTTCCTTATTTTTTATTCAATAGAATTTCAAAGCCTTCTCGCCACCCTAGTCACACTCCTTGGTTGGCTCTATAGTATAAAGTATGCTGCCAAGAACCACAAAATACCAAATATCTTTATTGGTCTCTAGTTACATGTACCTAATCAACACTCACTAAACATACCATTGTTTTTCATGACTCTGTCCTGTGCTCTTTATCTCTACAAGGAATGTTCTTCTCCCTTTTCTTTATGGGCCAAACTTCTAATAATTTTTCAAAAGTCAATTATCTCTGTGTTTTAACCATACTCTGTACATTCCTCTATAGTAAAATGTGTCACACTGTATTGTCTCTATTAATTATCTCACATGTAAGATTAGGGCTTCTTAAGAAAAAACATTGTGTCTTATTCAGTTTTGTATGAATGCATATATTTATGAACCAATAATGGATAATACCTTATTTTGTTATAATACCATCCATATTACTTAGGCAGCCAATATTAAACCTATATAAGGAATTCTAAAAATGACATCTCTCAGCTTTGTAAAATTTTAACTTATTATAATTTATTATAATTTATAACCTTATAAGTATATAATTATAATTTTGTAATTATGAGTTACATGTAATATACAATTATATTTAAATTATAATTTATAAACTTACCATATTTAACATTCTTTGAGATGTTATAAATTAAATTTGATAATGATCATTGTTTTTATTGAGATATCATACATTCATGCTGAAAGCATGAAAAGATTTTCAAATTCCTAAGTCCCCAGATCCTAAAGTTTCAGTTTGACTCTGATAAACAAAATTCTGACCAGAGAAAATTCAAGGCAGATTTGTCTCCATTTACCTTTTAAAAATACTTTCACTCACCTAGGAGCTTGAAAAAGTAAATACTTTAGAGTCTAAAAAAATTCAAAATCACTCAAGATCTTGTGAAAGACTGTTTTCTGTCTATGAAGTGTGATGTCCACTTCAACTTGTTTTCCATAGAGCAAGCACTTTTATCATTAAATTGATGGATGTGGCTTTGGCAAGAAAAACATTTAGAAAAATATTGAGAAATGATGAATTTTTAAAACTACCCTCAACTTATTTAGAATTAAAACACTCTTTAGGAACTATGGCAGAGATTTCTAGTAATCACCAAAACCCTTTTGGATATACATCTAGGTCAAACTTCCTGGTCTCCCTTGCATTTGGCTGTGGCTATATAACTGAATTATGGCTTTTGAGACGAGACCATACATGATGTGTGTCACATCTAGACCTGACCAATAAAAACTTCTCACAGGTTCAGGGAAGTCATATTTAGAAAGAAAAAAATAAATTTTTAAAAAAGGGGAAAAAACCTTTTTACAGGTGATCCCCCTTCCTCTTTTAACTCTTTTGGCTAGCTAGAATGGAAATGATCCAAAGAGTGACCTTCAGAGCCCCTTGACCTACTTGTTGAAGATGGCAAAGTCATAAGATGAAAAACATTAAAGTTCTTGAATTAATGCTAAAGGGAAAACTACCTAACCATGTACAGTCACATTAGATTTTGACATAAACAAGAAATAAATCCTTATTGTGTATAGCCACTGAGATTTTGGGATTTATCTGTTATAGTAGCTAATGTTAACAAATACAAGGATAGATCAACTTACACAGATTCCCAGCAAATGAAAACATCTCCACATCTCTTCATGGACATTTAAGTACATTAATAAACTACAATAATGTAACATAGTCTATATCCAATAGTCAAAGTGTTTACAATTGTTTTTCATGTAAAAGCATCTCCACAGAGGTGCTGCATGGAGAAAACTATTTAAAAACTTACAAATGCCATTACATAACTAATATTTAAATGTGAATGAACCTATTTATTCATAATTGAAAACCACAGCATCATTGAAGGTAAAATAATTTACTTCTTGGTTTTTGTTTCCTAATATGTAAAAGTTTATGTATCTCTCTTTTTTTTTATTCAGCAGTTAAAAACTCTTGAGCAATAACTGCACTCCTACTGAGATAATACCTTCCTGCAAATATATATGACCTCAATTGCAAAACTCATTGGGTCTCTCCAAAGTAATTTAAAAATCAATCTGATCTGTAACAAGAAGTCAATAGAATTCCTGAAAAATTTACATAACACAACTCCCTCTGTGTTTAAAATTTCACAGCAAAAGTTGTATATAAGGAAGAGCTTTACAGAAAGCTTAAGCAATGGCCCCAAAATGAAACAAAAAGTAAAGAACAATTAGACTGCTTCTAAATTTTAGTGGACTGATGTTATTATATTTATTCAAGGAACATTTATTGAGAACATACAATATGCCAAGCTCTGTGCTAAGCAACATGACAGCTACAAAACTGGCTCCTGATTTTCTGGATAGTATAGGAGATAAAAACACAAAGTAATTAACTGTTTCCTTTTGGTATTCTGAACTCTAAAATATTTCTGTCTAACACGATAGAAAAATAAAGCAAATCCCAAGCTCACTCCTAATAAAATATCTTTTAAAAATATCAATAACTGTGGATAGGGTTAGATGTTATCTGAAAGGAAAAACAGGTCAGCTAGGAAAAGATTCAAAAATAGAGAGGATCATATAAATATATCTATATGTATATATATTGACATATATACTCATATACAAACATACATATATATTATACATGCACACACATATACATATAATATATATACATCCTAATTTTGTCAAATTTCAGATGATAGTGGTGTGTCTTAGCTCCAGTGTCCTATAAGTAGAGCCTGAGGCAAATTAAATTTCTGGTACTTTATTTTGGGGGGTGAAAGTCCTTTATTTAGGAGGAGCAATAAGAGAAATACTACAGAAGAAAATGAGCAAAGAAACGTGCAAAGCAATGTAGTATAATGCATAATTGCATTGGCTTTATGAAAAGCCATGAATTGCCCTACCAGCTCTCTCAGCACAGGATACTTCTTTGGAAGGCTTTCAAGGAGAAACTATACTGTGGGACAGTTCACAGAGGGGAGAAAGGAGAGATACATTGTCAGCCTGGTAGTGTACCTCAATCTTCCATTTCACCTTCATACAGAACCAGTTCCCCCATACTTCAGTGTTGTGTCGTCCAGCCCACCAATGGTTATTTCACAAGCCAGATTTCACAGGCTCTGTGTCATTTCATCTAAGCCTGGAAAGTGAGAGGCAACTCAGGGTACATGAGGTTGGCATGAGAGAATTATGAGCTATCTAGGCCTGTGCCTCTGATCTTTGAGGGTTGTTGGGAGGGATTAGAGCACATATAAAAAACGCCTGTCATAAAATAAGATTCCAGCCTGGAAAAGATAGTTAAGGAATTAAGTAACAGCACCAGCACCAAAACAAGTCCCTGGCAGGTTCATCACTGAGCTCACAGCTTCCCCATGTGCTTTTTACCTCAAGAAGTGTCCCAGGCTAGCATTATTGCTTCTGGCTATTCCACTATCTTGTCCTGTCTTAGCATGAGCCAACTTTAACTCCATCCAATCCTGTCTTGCCATCCTGTTTTTCCTAGCAGAATCTTCAATAAGGTTGATAAACAACCACTCCAGCTGCAAGGACTCCCTGCATACCATTAGTTCTGATATGGTATCATAAAAGGCTCAGTTCTGCTAACAAGTCCTCTTCCACCAGAGGACTCAGCAGTGGGATAACCCTGGAGTCATCACCTGGTGTAAGACTGCTCTACAACATGCTACTATGTATTTCTGGATTGCTGTGCATGCATCACACTGATATCGAACATCTTCCAATGCAGGGAGCAACAGTGAACATCATATATCAGGACACACCAAAGATGTTGGTACCTCAACCCAAGATAGAGACAGGACACCTGTTAAGGCAGCTCTCATGCTTCTTTAAAACCAAAATTGTTTTCTCAAACTGCCTATTCTATAGCTGTCCTATTGGGGTGCTAATTCTCTAACGCTCAGTCCACACAGGAGTGAGGCCACCTTGTTTCTTATTTCCTCCCAGGAGGCTGTGTAGGATATTTAAAAACTGCCTCTTCACCTCTCTCAATCAGAGGAGCAGTTTCAGATCTGGAAAAATACAAGGATTTCCCTGTCTCCTCTGCTCTGGAAAAAATAAAATGTCCCCCAATCACAGGGTGAAAGGTTCTCCCTCACCTGAATTATCTGCCAATGCCCAGCTGTGTCCCTCCCCTCTCTGAGGACGATTTGACCCCAATTCATAACAGGAAAAACTTTTAAATAAACTAAAGGGTTGAATTACTGTTCACCACTTATTACATTAGCTGGGCTTGAGCACAGCTCGAACAGGTCAAACAGAAGATTTTTTTTTTTAAAGAATGTGAATCCAGTCAGATTCATCTGCAAATAGATCAAATAAACTACTACTATTTAACAGATCACTGTTTCTTATTAGCTGAAACTTTGTTCTAAAATGACTATTCTCAATGTCGCTAGTGTAATTAATTTAAAATGCTACTTCGATTTATAAATAACTCTCATAAACTAGAAAGACATATTTCTATAATCTAAACACCGATTTAAGCTATCCTGATGTTTAGTTATTTGAGCATGAGATGGACAGAAAGACAAGACTTATATTTTTAAATATCTGGTACTATCTCCTACCAAGTGGGAGCCATATTGGGATTAATATATTACCTCAAAATCTCAAAGGGACATCATTATGGAGCAAGGTGGGTTACAGGTAGCAGGAAAGAAGGGGAATAAATGAATACTATAGATGATGCAGCAGAATAAAGAAGGAAGAATGTGTCTTCTTTCTTGTGCCTATTTGCTGCTCTTAGCCAATGCCTCTCATGTACAAAAGCTAAAGATAGGATACAACTGGGTATTTGAAGAGAGTGACCAGGACAAACTCAACCCTATCTGTATACAGGGCTTCCCTATTTTATTCACATAAAAATAGAAAATCTTCTTTGGCAGAAGAAAAAAAACAGGTAAAATACAACTGGGTTTTATTATTTCAAAAAAATTGGGATATTTTCTTTGTCCCAGGGACTAGGCAAGGCACTAAGGATAAAATGGTAAATAAAAGTACGGTCCCCACCATCCTAGAATCTACAGTCTTATGGGAGACACAAAACTTATCAAATACATACTTAAATAAATCAAAACTGTAGTAAAAGCAATGTAAAAAAGATACAACATAGCACAACTGGGGAACATGACCTGTTCTGAAGTGTCAGAAATGGCTTCCTTGTTCCCAGTTTTGATCCAAAGTATGAATATCAACTTTGAAGGTAAAAGGGGGCAGAAGTGGAAAAGTAAATACAGAAGCATTGTATTCCAGGCAAGTAAACATCTTGTGTAAAAGCTCTGACGCAGGAAGCAACATAATTTGTTTGAGGATCTGAGAGAAAGCCAGTGTGGCGTGACAACAACTAAAAGAGGATGTGGTAAAGCTGCAGACATAGACGGGGCTCCATTTTAGTCTTTATTTAAAAATAATGTAAGGCCACTGAAAGGGTTCAATATTAATCCTTTATTCTAACTAAAGCTACCGAGAAACTAACATGCCAACTTCTCCAGCTACAAACGGAAGGAATCATCACTCTGAAGGCAGCCTCATGATATAATTTTATGCTCCAAAAACATTAATTTGCCCAGTATGTAGCAGGCCCTAACCTAGAAAGAAATGAGTAAAAGAAAATTAAAGAATATGCTGTCTAATGTTTTATGGTCTGATGGTAGAGACAGGGTCTTACTGGAAGAAAATACAGGAAGCACTAAAATAGTGGTATGTGCTGGATGCTATGAGAATAGTCTTTTGTTCCTTCCTCCAAGGAAAGAATTGAGCATTTAGGAGGACCCCATTAAGTTCCCCCCAGTTTTAGGGACTGAACAAAATAATAAGTAAATAAACTACAGTATAGGTGCTCAATGATGAGAACACATGAACACATAGAAGGGAGCAAGATACACTGGGGCCTATTGGAGGATGAAGGGTAGGAGGAGGGAAAGGATGGAGAAAAATAACTAATGAGTACTAGGCTTAATACCTGAGTAATGAAATATCTATATAACAATCCCCATGACACAATTTTACCTATGTAACATATCTGCATATGTACCCTGAACCTAAAAAAAAAATAGCACCCAATTTAGGATATATTTCATGTAAGTGTGCACATCTGTGTGTCTGTTCCACAATACTCATAATCAGGAGGTAGCACACATCTGAGGATAATTTTATGAACCAATTTAATTACATTTCCATGCCAATCCATCACAATTTTTTTCTTGTTCTTATTTACCCTTCTCCTCTAGTATCCAAAGTCAAAAAAAAGTAGAAGCAGTATTTAATCTGAGTGGATTATCAATAACTTGTCAAATTTATAAAATGTAGTTTTAAGACCAGCTGCATGTGAAATAAGCCAGCATATTGGCATCCCTAAATGATCACTGAATCAGAGAATTAATTCTTCCCACACTAAATGGACTTCTGGCAAAGTAAAAGTCTACTACAATTTTCCAATGTGGCCAAATCCTTCTCCAGAAATTGCACTTTGAGAACTAGAGGCTCCTGATCAATGTTTATCAAGTTCTAACAAAACAGAATAAAGCAGCAGAAACCCAGTAGACTCATGATATAAATAGTTGACAACATTAATGAGTAGAAAAAAAAGGAAAGTACACTCTACGTTTTGAGGAATAAAAGTGCAAAAAAGAAACCAGGCAGCCTTATCTTGGCCAAAGCTCTCATTTTTCATCATCTTTGAGCTGATAAAATGCTTCCCAAAAGGCTTTGTAAATTCCACTTGGTTGAAATGTAAGGGAAGGGAAAGGGAAGTAAATATGAAGCCAACCGGACTAGAAAATATTAGAGAAGGAGGAATTAGGGAGGAAACAAATGAAAGAAAGATTTCTAAGAAAAAATAATTTCATTACTCAGAAGGTAAGGAAAGACCATAAGGAAACATGAAAGTTGAGCAATACTGTTGCAGCATCTTTACTTTCCACCTCTTATCACTTCCTTCCAGCAACCCTCTAAAACACTTCTGCCACTAAGGTCCACTGTTGAGGTTAAGAATCCATGACAACTATGGATTCAAGGTATCAAAGTTTGTCACATTATACAATGACTACATAACAATTTGCCACTGCTAATTTCATCCACAAATAAAGCCATCACTAACAAAAGCAACACAAGCTAAGCTTTACTATTATGTAGATGACAGTAAGTCATTTAAAACAAGAACATCTCACAAATGCCTAGTTGCATTTAAATTTTTAAATAAAAATGTTATTTTTCAAATGACTCTATCTGTAACTTCTCTGGTTCTTTTTATACATCCCTACTTCAGGATAATGTGAAGCTAAGCAATTTCTTTAAGCCCAAAATGAAACCATATAATATGCTATTTCTTAACAGTCTCAAACCACAAAGACTTATAACCTTAGAAACAATAAAAAAAATTCAAGAATGCTTTTAAATCTTTCTTTTTTCCCAAAATTAAGTTGAAAATAGTAATTTATCTTTCAAACTCATCTAAAAGTGTAAATATTAAGGTTTAACAATAGTAATCTTGGAGAGTAGTTCCAGTACATCATTAACTTTATGAAACATTTTAATAGATGCCACTTTCCTTCTGGTTTTCTCTACTGCTTTGTAATAGCATAAATATTTATTCACTAAATTCTAGAACTCTTGCTATATAAATGTTTTATGGCTATATCATATAATTTGTATAAACACTATCCTCTATATCTTGAAGAAAAGCCTCTTAATGTACAGTTTCAGCAATCTGTGTTAAATTATAAAACTCATGGTATAAAAAGATATCATCCACAAGGTAAGGTAGAGAAGAGAAATGGAACGCAGTGTCTGAATAGTTTGAAAATTTAAAGAAGAAGCAACCAGCCTGCCAAGACAGGTCACTGAGGCACCATTCCTGGAGAATGTTCAATGTGCATTAACATATTCAACACAGTATAACTTTATTTATGCTCTCTAATTCTTAAGGAGATATAAGTCTTAAAATCCTGTGTCTCTGATGACCTTCTCAATTGCAACTTAAAATCTGGAGAGCCTACACCATAAATTTTATTTCTAAGTAGTTGAGATCTTAAATTACTCCTAAGTCAAAGTTTACAGCTTGGCTATTTTAGTTTTTGTGAAAAAAATTGCAACATTTTTGGGTACTCAATCATGTTTCATTCCTTCATATCAGGTAAAGCCCATAACTGAGATGAAGGTAGAAAAATTTCTTAAACCATGCTCTTTGAGCCTCTCATATATTTTCTAGATGCCTGAACTAAGCCATGTGCTAGCAGCACATGCCATCTTATAGACTACATCCCTCAGCATCATCCTGTAGATAAGTTACCATATGCTGTGATAAAAATATTGGTGAAAGGAGTGAAAGCTCAAAGAATGAAAATTTAGAGTCATGAGCATTATTTAGGGATAGAAAGGTCCTTAGAATTCATCTAGTCCAGCAGCCTTATTTTACAAATAACAAAGCTAAAGCTCAGAGAAATTAAGCAGCTTGTCTAAATTTTCAGAGCATGTAAGTAGGGAGCTAGCTTAGGAAATCAGGTCCATCTAATTCTTGGTTCAGCACTTTTATTTGTATATTATGCAGTCTCTTAATCAAAAAGAGGCATTTAATCATTCAAAAAAATGTACTGACAGGCACAGGAATTACAGAAGAGAATGAAAAAAGAGATGGTATTCCTAGTCTAATAAAGCTCACATTCAAGTGTGAGGAAAAAATATAAAATTATATACACAAAATAAATATATGATATATGTCAGGTAGTGACAAGTGCTCTGGAGAAAAATTCAAGAGGTGAAAGGGATGAACAGTGAGAAAGATTACTTTATATCAAATAGTCAGTAAAGAGGTGAAAAGTAGACAGACACTTGAAGAAAGGATGAAGCAAGCCATGTAATTATCTAGGGATAAAGTACTGTAGGAAAAGGGAACAGAGGGTGAAAATATCTTAAGTCAGGAATGTACTATTCATGCTCAAGAATCAACAAAAAGCCACAGAGACTGGAGCAGAGTGAATGAAGGTGAATCATGACAGAAGAGGATGTTGGAAACATGGTGTGGTGGCTTATTGTTTAGACCTTTGGATTTTTTTTTTCAGTAAGGAAAATCAATGGAAGTTTTCGAATAGAGAAATTTTATGATCTAACTTCCATTTTAAAGTGTCCCTCCTTAGTCTCATGTATGGTCCAAAAAATAAAATAAAATAAAATAAAATAATCTCTCCAGCTACTGTTTAGGGAATAGGAAACTATTGAGCACTCTAGGTAAGAGATGATAGTGATTTGAATGAGGGTAATAATGGACAAAGTGATGAAAAAATATTGGATATATTTTGAAGATAGGGAGAAAGAGATTTTTGCCTATAGACTACATGAAGGCTATGAGAGAGAAAAAGTAGTTTTTTAGCCTGGGCAAGTGGAAAAATTGAGTCACTATTTATTAAGATGGAAAAGACAATGGGAGAAGTTGAGTATCAAGGGCTTAGTATTGGCTATTATAAACCTGAGATGCTTGTAAGGTATTCCAAGGTGAATATTGAGTAGTGTTTGGTTTTATGAGTTTAGAGCTTAAAAGAAAACTTATAACTAGAGATATAAATTTAGAAGTTGGAATTATATAGATTGCATTTAAGTCACAAAACTGAATAAAATAATCTAGCGAGTATGTACAGCTAGAAAATACAGACTAAGGATGATAGGGTACATAAGAGAAGCAATGAGCAAGCAAGGCTACAGGTGTGAGTCCTGGAACATTTCAATATTTAGAGATTTGGGAAAATAAACAGGAAGATCTAGGTAAGATGACTAAGAAGGAGCAGCCAGTGAAGTAGGAGGACAAGCAAAGGATTGTAGTATCCAGGAAGCCAAATAGAGTTAAATGTATCAAGGAGGAGGAAAGGATCAACTGTGACAAAAGATTCTGATAAGTCAAGGAGGATGAGGTCTAATCAATGTTTAGTCATTGATAACACTGACAGGATCTTCGCAGGACAGGTTTAGTGACGTGGTCAGCAAGAAGAGTAAGTTCAAGAGAGAATTAGAGGAAAAGAGATGCAGACAGTAAGTGTGTATAAATTTGTTGAGTCTGGAGTAAATGGGAGCAGAGAAATGGGGCAGTTCCGAGAGAAAAAAGGGATCGATGTTATATTAAGGCTATAAGAATCAACCAGGAAATGTGTGGCAGCAGTTCCCTATTTCCTATTACATTTTACTTCATTATATTCAGTAATATTCTCCTCTACTCCACTTTTATACCTACTCTCCAAACCTTATCATCACTCCAAAGTGCCCTACTATATCATAAATAGATACACTCCACCTTCTGGTCACCATATCCTTTTCTCACCTCATCTGTACTTTGACTCCAGTGGTACCTCCAGTGTACTGATTCCTCTACATCACCGCCACCCATAAGCCCCTTTCCGTGTAAATTTTCCTATCCATTCAGCTTATATTCCTTGGTCCATCACTTCAGTCACTCTCTCATTAAGATTCTAAACTCCTTTCCTCTATGGTCATTCCACTGAGTACAGGAAATCCTCAATCTTGGAAATTTTGGATGAAAATCATTTGCCTAACCTATACTAGCATCTTGGCTGCTGAGCACAGTTTAAGTAAAATCACACAATGGGAAAGGTTTGCATTATTATAAATTAGTGATTATCAACCTCAGATTAGTGACTAATATCAGCTGATATTGCTTCCCTATGTAGACTGTTCTCTCATTTTCCACAATGAAAATTTTCAAAAACACCTTAACCACATATCCTTAAACCTCTCTTATTACTTTGAAACAGTAAATGGTTCCATAACCAAAAACAAAAACAATAACAAAAATCTTATTCTCCTCCACTAGTATTTCTTACATCCAGAAATATTTCCACTGATCACCCAGTTGCTCTGTCAGAGACTTCAAAGTCATCCTTGATACCTCCCTCTCTGCCACTTCCCCCTCTCCAATCAATTATGAAGTCTATAGATCCTATATAATAAATATCTCTTGATTTGTCAATTTTTCCCATTCCTGCTGCTGCTAGCTAAATCCAGGTAACCAACATCTCACACCTGCACTACCACAAGAGCCTATGATTCCTGTTTCTACCCTTTAAATAGGATAATCTTTTAAAATTATAAGTCTGATCATGATGCACACACAACCCCCATTGATTTAACTTTTTAATGACTGTTCATTGCATTTATTAATAAAATAAAGTAAAACAATTCTTAATATGGCCTGCAAGGCCCCCAATAATCTATGTTCTTTCTAACTCACCTGTCACTTTTTCCTTCACTCTGTACCATATTGGGTCACTGTGAGGAGCTGGAGGAAACCTTTCTCTCTCTCTTGCCTGTAGGCCTTTGACCTAATATTAGTATTCTACCCTCTTCCAACCATTACTATCACTAACAGTCTCCTAAAATATTGTCAGCTGAAATATCAACTCCAAAGGATCTCTTTCCTAACTAGGCAGAAAAAGTTAACACCATAAACTTCCCTTGCAAAGCATTTGTTGCACAGATAATTACTTATTAAATGCCCTTCTTTCTTTTTATTTTTTGACATATAATTTTACATGTTTATGGGGCACATATGTTTTGATACATGCATAGAGTGTGCAATGATCAAATAAATGAAATTAGAATATCTACCAACACAAATATTTGTCATTTCTTTGTGTTGGGAACATTCCAAATCTTCTCTTCAAGCTATTTTGAAATATACAATAAATTATTGTTAGCTATTCTCACTCTACTGTGCTATCAAACACTAGAACTTATTCCTTCTACCTAACTGTATTTTTCTACATATTAACCAACCTCTTTTTATCCTCTCCTCCCTACTACCTTTCTCAGCTTCTAATAAGCATCATACTACTCTCTACCTTCAGGAGGTGAACTTTTTTAGCTCCCACATATTAGTGAGAATATACAATACTTGTATTTCTGTGTCTGACTTCTTTCACTTAACATAATGTCCTCCAGTTAGATCCATGAACTGCAAATGACAGAATTCCATTCTTTTTATCGCTGAATAATATTCCACTGTGAATATATACCACTTTTTTTAAATCCATTAATCTGTTGATGGACACTTTGCCAATTCACCACAGGTGGCTCAGCCCTCCTGTCACTTCCAATTGTTCCCATGTAAGTGGATGGTAGTGGGCTTCCAGCAAAGATTCTCAGACTGGTGGGGAGTGAACATCTAACTCCAATTCTCTCCTCTCACCTCAGAAACCATGGGTCTAAAGAAGTTCTCTGTAAGTGACATCGTCCTTGCTTGGGGTAGGGGGTCACACAGTCTGAAATGACCATTTATTTAAGTCACCAGACATGGCTTCTCTGAATTATGTAGGCCCAGAGAGCTTCTCCACTTCTCCCCTGAGTTCACCAGAATTCCTGTCTTTGAATAGCTTCTACTTGTATTTTTTTGGTGGAGTGATGCCAGGATATTTTTTATTCCACCGCCTTGTTGACATCACACCTTCTATCTAGCTTTCCTGCTAGATAGACTATAAGTTTCATAGAGGTAGCCTTATATTTCTATCACCATTATATCCTTAGCTCTTACTACAGAGTTAGAACTCAAAATGTATATGTTGAGTTGAATTTAACACCTTATTTTGCCTTTAAGATTTTCATCAAAAATTCGGGAAAGACTAAAATCATCTGAACATCTGATTACTGATACACTGGTATTATTAAACTTTCGGAGCATCATCCCCATTTCCTAAAGAAAAGTAAAAGCTGAAATCTAGATTTTTATAAACATTGCTCTATCTTTAGTAGTTTCTAACATACCTGAAAACGGCTGCCTACAGAAAAAAGCTACACAAGAGGTTTTGAGGTTTGCTGTATTTGTGAAGAATTCAGGACCAAAAGAAATAATTTTTAGGTGACTGAAAAACGGTGTGCTTAAAGAAGAAAAAGAAGTTGGGGAGGGAGGAGCCAAGATGGCCGAATAGGAACAGCTCCGGTCTACAGCTCCCAGCGTGAGCGACGCAGAAGACGGGTGATTTCTGCATTTCCATCTGAGGTACCGGGTTCATCTCACTAGGGAGTGCCAGACAGTGGGCGCAGGCCAGTGTGTGTGCGCACCGTGCGCGAGCCGAAGCAGGGCGAGGCATTGCCTCACCTGGGAAGCGCAAGGGGTCAGGGAGTTCCCTTTCCGAGTCAAAGAAAGGGGTGACGGACGCACCTGGAAAATTGGGTCACTCCCACCCGAATATTGCGCTTTTCAGACCGGCTTAAGAAACGGCGCACCACGAGACTATATCCCACACCTGGCTCAGAGGGTCCTACGCCCACGGAATCTCGCTGATTGCTAGCACAGCAGTCTGAGATCAAACTGCAAGGCGGCAACGAGGCTGGGGGAGGGGCGCCCGCCATTGCCCAGGCTTGCTTAGGTAAACAAAGCAGCTGGGAAGCTCGAACTGGGCGGAGCCCACCACAGCTCAAGGAGGCCTGTCTGCCTCTGTAGGCTCCACGTCTGGGGGCAGGGCACAGACAAACAAAAAGACAGCAGTAACCTCTGCAGACTTAAGTGTCCCTGTCTGACAGCTTTGAAGAGAGCAGTGGTTCTCCCAGCACACAGCTGGAGATCTGAGAACGGGCAGACTGCCTCCTCAAGTGGGTCCCTGACCCCTGACCCCCGAGCAGCCTAACTGGGAGGCACCCCCCAGCAGGGGCACACTGACACCTCACACGGCAGGGTATTCCAACAGACCTGCAGCTGAGGGTCCTGTCTGTTAGAAGGAAAACTAACAACCAGAAAGGACATCCACACCGAAAACCCATCTGTACATCACCATCATCAAAGACCAAAAGTAGATAAAACCACAAAGATGGGGAAAAAACAGAACAGAAAAACTGGAAACTCTAAAACGCAGAGCGCCTCTCCTCCTCCAAAGGAACGCAGTTCCTCACCAGCAACGGAACAAAGCTGGATGGAGAATTATTTTGACGAGCTGAGAGAAGAAGGCTTCAGATGATCAAATTACTCTGAGCTACGGGAGGACATTCAAACCAAAGGCAAAGAAGTTGAAAACTTTGAAAAAAATTTAGAAGAATGTATAACTAGAATAACCAATACAGAGAAGTGCTTAAAGGAGCTGATGGAGCTGAAAACCAAGGCTCGAGAACTACGTGAAGAATGCAGAAGCCTCAGGAGCCGATGCGATCAACTGGAAGAAAGGGTATCAGCAATGGAAGATGAAATGAATGAAATGAAGCGAGAAGGGAAGTTTAGAGAAAAAAGAATAAAAAGAAATGAGCAAAGCCTCCAAGAAATATGGGACTATGTGAAAAGACCAAATCTACGTCTGATTGGTGTACCTGAAAGTGATGTGGAGAATGGAACCAAGTTGGAAAACACTCTGCAGGATATTATCCAGGAGAACTTCCCCAATCTAGCAAGGCAGGCCAACGTTCAGATTCGGGAAATACAGAGAACGCCACAAAGATACTCCTCGAGAAGAGCAACTCCAAGACACATAATTGTCAGATTCACCAAAGTTGAAATGAAGGAAGAAATGTTAAGGGCAGCCAGAGAGAAAGGTCGGGTTACCCTCAAAGGAAAGCCCATCAGACTAACAGCGGATCTCTCGGCAGAAACCCTACAAGCCAGAAGAGAGTGGGGGCCAATATTCAACATTCTTAAAGAAAAGAATTTTCCACCCAGAATTTCATATCCAGCCAAACTAAGCTTCATAAGTGAAGGAGAAATAAAATACTTTATAGACAAGCAAATGCTGAGAGATTTTGTCACCACCAGGCCTGCCCTAAAAGAGCTCCTGAAGGAAGCGCTAAACATGGAAAGGAACAACCGGTACCAGCCGCTGCAAAATCATGCCAAAATGTAAAGACCATCGAGACTAGGAAGAAACTGCATCAACTAATGAGCAAAATCACCAGCTAACATCATAATGACAGGATCAAATTCACACATAACAATATTAACTTTAAATATAAATGGACTAAATTCTGCAATTAAAAGACACAGACGGGCAAGTTGGATAAAGAGCCAAGACCCATCAGTGTGCTGTATTCAGGAAACCCATCTCACGTGCAGAGACACACACAGGCTCAAAATAAAAGGATGGAGGAAGATCTACCAAGCCAATGGAAAACAAAAAAAGGCAGGGGTTGCAATCCTAGTCTCTGATAAAACAGACTTTAAACCAACAAAGATCAAAAGAGACAAAGAAGGCCATTACATAATGGTAAAGGGATCAATTCAACAAGAGGAGCTAACTATCCTAAATATTTATGCACCCAATACAGGAGCACCCAGATTCATAAAGCAAGTCCTGAGTGACCTACAAAGAGACTTAGACTCCCACACATTAATAATGGGAGACTTTAACACCCCACTGTCAACATTAGACAGATCAACGAGACAGAAAGTCAACAAGGATACCCAGGAATTGAACTCAGCTCTGCACCAAGCAGACCTAATAGACATCTACAGAACTCTCCACCCCAAATCAACAGAATATACATTTTTTTCAGCACCACACCACACCTATTCCAAAATTGACCACATAGTTGGAAGTAAAGCTCTCCTCAGCAAATGTAAAAGAACAGAAATTATAACAAACTATCTCTCAGACCACAGTGCAATCAAACTAGAACTCAGGATTAAGAATCTCACTCAAAGCCGCTCAACTACATGGAAACTGAACAACCTGCTCCTGAATGACTACTGGGTACATAACGAAATGAAGGCAGAAATAAAGATGTTCTTTGAAACCAACGAGAACAAAGACACCACATACCAGAATCTCTGGGACGCATTCAAAGCAGTGTGTAGAGGGAAATTTATAGCACTAAATGCCTACAAGAGAAAGCAGGAAAGATCCAAAATTGACACCCTAACATCACAATTAAAAGAACTAGAAAAGCAAGAGCAAACACATTCAAAAGCTAGCAGAAGGCAAGAAATAACTAAAATCAGAGCAGAACTGAAGGAAATAGAGACACAAAAAACCCTTCAAAAAATCAATGAATCCAGGAGCTGGTTTTTTGAAAGGATCAACAAAATTGATAGACCGCTAGCAAGACTAATAAAGAAAAAAAGAGAGAAGAATCAAATAGACACAATAAAAAATGATAAAGGGGATATCACCACCGATCCCACAGAAATACAAACTACCATCAGAGAATACTACAAACACCTCTACGCAAATAAACTAGAAAATCTAGAAGAAATGGATACATTCCTCGACACATACACTCTCCCAAGACTAAACCAGGAAGAAGTTGAATCTCTGAATAGACCAATAACAGGCTCTGAAATTGTGGCAATAATCAATAGTTTACCAACCAAAAAGAGTCCAGGACCAGATGGATTCACAGCCGAATTCTACCAGAGGTACAAGGAGGAACTGGTACCATTCCTTCTGAAACTATTCCAATCAATAGAAAAAGAGGGAATCCTCCCTAACTCATTTTATGAGGCCAGCATCATTCTGATACCAAAGCAGGGCAGAGACACAACCAAAAAAGAGAATTTTAGACCAATATCCTTGATGAACATTGATGCAAAAATCCTCAATAAAATACTGGCAAACCAAATCCAGCAGCACATCAAAAAGCTTATCCACCATGATCAAGTGGGCTTCATCCCTGGGATGCAAGGCTGGTTCAATATACGCAAATCAATAAATGTAATCCAGCATATAAACAGAGCCAAAGACAAAAACCACATGATTATCTCAATAGATGCAGAAAAAGCCTTTGACAAAATTCAACAACCCTTCATGCTAAAAACTCTCAATAAATTAGGTATTGATGGGACGTATTTCAAAATAATAAGAGCTATCTATGACAAACCCACAGCCAATATCATACTGAATGGGCAAAAACTGGAAGCATTCCCTTTGAAAACCGGCACAAGACAAGAATGCCCTCTCTCACCGCTCCTATTCAACATAGTGTTGGAAGTTCTGGCCAGGGCAATCAGGCAGGAGAAGGAAATAAAGGGTATTCAATTAGGAAAAGAGGAAGTCAAATTGTCCCTGTTTGCAGACAACATGATTGTTTATCTAGAAAACCCCATCGTCTCAGCCCAAAATCTCCTTAAGCTGATAAGCAACTTCAGCAAAGTCTCAGGCTACAAAATCAATGTACAAAAATCACAAGCATTCTTATACACCAACAACAGACAAACAGAGAGCCAAATCATGAGTGAACTCCCATTCACAATTGCTTCAAAGAGAATAAAATACCTAGGAATCCCACTTACAAGGGATGTGAAGGACCTCTTCAAGGAGAACTACAAACCACTGCTCAAGGAAATAAAAGAGGACACAAACAAATGGAAGAACATTCCATGCTCATGGGTAGGAAGAATCAATATCGTGAAAATGGCCATACTGCCCAAGGTAATTTACAGATTCAATGCCATCCCCATCAAGCTACCAATGACTTTCTTCACAGAATTGGAAAAAACTACTTTAAAGTTCATATGGAACCAAAAAAGAGCCCGCATCGCCAAGTCAATCCTAAGCCAAAAGAACAAAGCTGGAGGCATCACACTACCTGACTTCAAACTATACTACAAGGCTACAGTAACCAAAACAGCATGGTACTGGTACCAAAACAGAGATATAGATCAATGGAACAGAACAGAGCCCTCAGAAATAATGCCACATATCTACAACTATCTGATCTTTGACAAACCTGAGAAAAACAAGCAATGGGGAAAGGATTCCCTATTTAATAAATGGTGCTGGGAAAACTGGCTAGCCATATGTAGAAAGCTGAAACTGGATCCCTTCCTTACACCTTATACAAAAATCAATTCAAGATGGATTAAAGATTTAAACGTTAGACCTAAAACCATAAAAACCCTAGAAGAAAACCTAGGCATTACCATTCAGGACATAGGCGTGGGCAAGGACTTCATGTCCAAAACACCAAAAGCAATGGCAACAAAAGCCAAAATTGACAAATGGGATCTAATTAAACTAAAGAGCTTCTGCACAGCAAAAGAAACTACCATCAGAGTGAACAGGCAACCTACAACATGGGAGAAAATTTTCGCAACCTACTCATCTGACAAAGGGCTAATATCCAGAATCTACAATGAACTCAAACAAATTTACAAGAAAAAAACAAACAACCCCATCAAAAAGTGGGCGAAGGACATGAACAGACACTTCTCAAAAGAAGACATTTATGCAGCCAAAAAACACATGAAGAAATGCTCATCATCACTGGCCATCAGAGAAATGCAAATCAAAACCACTATGAGATATCATCTCACACCAGTTAGAATGGCAATCATTAAAAAGTCAGGAAACAACAGGTGCTGGAGAGGATGTGGAGAAATAGGAACACTTTTACACTGTTGGTGGGACTGTAAACTAGTTCAACCATTGTGGAAGTCAGTGTGGCGATTCCTCAGGGATCTAGAACTAGAAATACCATTTGACCCAGCCATCCCATTACTGGGTATATACCCAAAGGACTATAAATCATGCTGCTATAAAGACACATGCACACGTATGTTTATTGCGGCACTATTCACAACAGCAAAGACTTGGAACCAACCCAAATGTCCAACAATGATAGACTGGATTAAGAAAATGTGGCACATATACACCATGGAATACTATGCAGCCATAAAAAATGATGAGTTCATGTCCTTTGTAGGGACATGGATGAAATTGGAAACCATCATTCTCAGTAAACTATCGCAAGAACAAAAAACCAAACACCGCATATTCTCACTCATAGGTGGGAACTGAACAATGAGATCACTTGGACACAGGAAGGGGAATATCACACTCTGGGGACTGTGGTGGGGTCGGGGGAGGGGGGAGGGATAGCATTGGGAGATATACCTAATGCTAGATGACACGTTAGTGGGTGCAGCGCACCAGCATGGCACATGTATACATATGTAACTAACCTGCACAATGTGCACATGTACCCTAAAACTTAGAGTATAATAAAAAAAAAAAAATTAAAAAAAAAAAAAAAAAAAAGAAAAAGAAGTTGGGATGTAAATTTTTTTATTTCTTTTCCAGAGTCTGCTCAAATTCTCATACATAAACCCTTACTTCCACCTGGTGGTTTCCCACAATGTGGAAAGTGATTATTGGGATTTCCCATGTATACTGAGTATTACTACACTTGAAATGAATCACGGTAACATGCAGGGATGATAAAATACAAACTATTTATATGAGGCACGAAGCTCATCTGTATTAAGTTTAAAATATATGAAATGATAAAATTCTAAAATATGCCCAAGTACAAAAATAAACCCATAATGTTGACATTCACTTTATTTTTTCCAAGAATATAACTTCTGTTTTCTAAAGATCTGAACCTGATTTTGTAGTATGTTGTCATGGCCTATGGACATGTGGCATGGGTTTCAACTAGCAGGCCAAAACTGTTAATGAGAACATTAATATGACAAAATATGTAAATAGACGCCCTATAAAAAGGGTTCCTGGCCAAAAAAAGTTCAATATATATACCTCTTAGAGGTAAATGTATACAAATGCATATTCACTTTTAAAGATGCTAGCGGTAATAAAATCATTTAACTTCTTTTTGTGTGCCTTGCCCTTCTTTTTCTTTATTACATTTTGTTGTTAATTCCAAAAGCCTGGTTTTCTTTTTTATTTCTTTTTCAACTTTTACTTTAGAATTGGGCGTGCATATGCAGGTCTGTTACATGGGTAAATTGCATGCCACTGGGATTTAGTGTACAAATAATTTTATTATCTAGGTAGTAAGCATAGTGCCTGATAGGTAGTTCATCAAACCTCATTCTTCTGCCACCTGCCACCTGAAGTAGTAGGCCCCGGTGGCTATGATTCCCCTCTTTGTATCCATGTGTACTTAAAGTTTAGCTCTGCATATACGTGAAAACATGAAGTATTTAGTTTTCTATTTCTGTGTTAATTTGGTTAGGATAATGACATCCAGCTGCATACCAGTTGCTGCATTTGACACAATTTTGTTCTTTTATGGCTGCATAGTATTTCATGGTGTAAATGTACCACATTTGCTTTATCCATCCACCACTGATGGGCATCTAGGTTAATTCCATGTCTTTGCTATTATAAATAGTGCTACAATAAACATACAAGTACATATGTCTTTTGGGTAGAATGGTTTGTATTCCTTTGGGGTATATACCCAGTAATGGCATTGCTGGATTGAATGGTAATTGTTTTAAGTTCTTTGAGAAATCTCCAAACAGCTTTCCATGGTGGCTGAACTAATTTATACTCACACCAACAATCTATAAGAATTCCCTTTCCTCTTCAACCTTACCAAAATCTGTTATTTTCTAACTTTTTAATAATAGCTACTCTGACTGGTTTGAGATGGTATCTCATTGTAGTTTTGAAATGAGTTTCTATCATGATTAGTGATAATAAACATTTGTTCATGTGTTTGTTGTCCATAAGTATGTCTTCCTTTAAGAAGTATCTGTTGATGTTCTTTGCCCATTTTTTATTAGGTTGTCTGTTTCTTGCTTGTTGATTTGTTCAAGTTGTTTATAGATCCTGGCTATTAGACCTCTGTTGAATGCACAGATTGCAAATATTTTCTCCCATTCTGCAGGTTGTCTACTCTCTATGGGTCCTTTTATTTTGCAGAAGCTTTTTAATTTAACTAAGTCCCTCTTGTCTATTTTTTCTTTTTGTTGGAATTGTTTTTGGAGACTTCATCATGAAATGCCAGAGCTGATGCCAGAATGATACGTTTTAGATTTTCTCACAGAGGTTTTATAGTTTTAGATCTTAAATATAAGTCTTCAACCCATCTTGAGTTCATTCTTGTATATGGTGAAAGGAAGGGGTCCAGTTTCAATCTTCTGTGTATGACTGGCCAGTTATACCAGAACCATTTATTGAATAGGGAGTACTTTCCCCATTGTTATTATTGTCGACCCTCTCAAAGATCAGATGACTGTAGGTGTGTGGATTTATTTCCAGGTTCTCTAACTTGCTCCATTGGTCTGTCTGTTTTCCTGCAAGTCCCATGTTATTTTGGTTACTGTAGACTTGTAGTATAGTTTGAAGTCAGAGAGTATGATGCCTCCAGCTTTGTTCTTTTGGCTTAGGATTACTTTGGCTATTCAAACTCTTTTATATTTAATATGAATTTTTGAATACCTTTTTCTAATTCTTTGAAAAATGTCATTGCTAGTTTGATACGAATAGCATTGAATCTTTACATTCCTTTGATCGTATGGCCATTTTAACAATATTGATTCTTCCTATCCATGAGCATGGAATAATTTTCCATTTGTTTGTGTCTTCTCTGAATTCTTTCAGCAAGTGTTCTCATTGCAGAGATTTTTTACCTCCCTGATTAGCTATATTCCTATGTATTTCATTATTTTGTGGCTATTGTAAATGGGCTTGTGTTCTTGATTGGCTCTCAGCTTAGATGATAGTGGTATATAGAAATGCTACTAATTCCTGTACATAGATTTTGAATCCTGAAATTTTATTGAAGTTGTTTATCAGTTCTAGGATCTTCTTGGCAGAGACTATAGGGTTGTCTGGGTATAAAATCATATCATCTGTGAAAAGAGATAGTTCAACTTCCTATCTGAATGTCTTTTATTTATTTTTCTTGCCTGGTTGCTCTGGCTAGGACTTTCAGTATTACATTAAATAGGAGTGGTGAGAGTGGTGATCCTTGTCTTGTTCCAGTTCTCAGAGGGATTGCTTCCACCTTTTGCCCATTTAGTATGATGTTGGCTGTGGGTTTGCCATAGAGGCTCTTATTCTGAGGTATGTTCCTTTGATGCCTATTTGTTAAGGGGTTTTGACATGGGGAGATTTTCAATTTTATCGAAAGCTTTTTCTGAATCTGGTGAGATGCTCATGTGGTTTTTGGTTTTAGTTCTGTTTATGTGATGAATCAAATTTATTGATTTCCATATGTTGAACCAAGTTTGCATCCCAGGGATAAAGCCTACCTGATTGTGGTGGATTTGAATTTTGATGTGCTGCTGGATTCAGTTTGCTAGTATTTGGTTGAGGATTTTTGCACCTATGTTTACCTGGGATATTGGCCTGAAGTTGGTTTTTTTTTTTCACTGTGTCTCTGACAGGTTTTGGTATCAGAATGATCCTGCCCTCACAGAATGAGTTAGAGAGGAGTCCTCCTTCTTGCTTCTCTGGAGTAGTTTCAGTAGGATTTGTACCAGCTCTGCTTTATACATCTGGTAGAATTCAGCTGTGAATCCATTTCATCCTGGGCTTTTTCTGGTTAGTAGGTATTTTACTACTGATTCAATGTCAGAATTCATTATTGGTCTGTTCAGGGTTTCAATTTCTTCCTGGTTCAATCTTGGGACATTTTATGGTTCTAGGAGTTTATCCATTACTTCTAGGTTCTCTAGTTTCTGTGCATAGAAGTATTCATAATAGTTTCTGAGGATTTTTTGTATTCCTTTGGGGTCAGTAGTAATGTCTCCTTTGTCATTTCTGGTTGTGTTTACTTGGATCTTCTCTCTTTTTTTATTTATTATTCTAGCTAGCAGTTTATCAATCTTATGTATTCTTTTAAAGAACAAATTTTTTGTTTCATCTATATTTTGTATAAATTTTCATGTCTCAATTTTGTTGTATTAAGTTCTGATTTTTATTTCTCTTCTCCTTCTAGCTTTAGCATTAGTTTGCTCTTGTTTTCTCTAGTTTCTCTAGGTATAGTGTTAGATTCTCAATTTGAGACCTTTGTAACTTGTTAACATGGGCTTTTAGCTCTATAAACTTTCCTCTTAACACTGCTTTAGCTGTGTCCCAGAGATTTTGGTATATCTTTTTTTCATTGGTTCTAAAGAATTGTTTGATTTCTGCCTTAATTTCATTCTTTACCCAATAACAATTCTGGAGCAGATTACTTAATTTCCATATAATTGTATTGTTTTGAGATATCTTCTTGGTATTAATTTCCATTGTTATTTCACTGTGGTCTGAGAGTGTGGTTGGTATGATTTCATTTTTATTAAATTGTAGAGAACTGCTTTATGGCTGAGCATGTGGTCAATTTGTGAGTATGTTTCATGTGACAATGAAAATAATGTATATTCTGTTGTTGTTGGGTAGAGTATTCTGTAGATGTCCGTTAGGTCCTCTGGTCAAGTCTTGAGTTTAGGTCCTGAATGTCTTTGTTGGTTTTCTCAATGATCTCTCTAATACTGTCAATGGGGTATTGAAGTCTCCCACTACTTTTCTGTAGTTATCTAAGTCTCTTTGAAGACCCATAAGAACTTGTTTTGTGAATCAGAGTGCTCCAGTGTTGGGTGCATATATATTTAGGATAGTTAAGTCTTCTCGTTGAATTGAATGCTTTATCATTGTGCCCTTTGTCCTCTTTGATCAATATTAAAGTCACTTTGTGTGAAATAATAATGTGAAATAACAGCATCTCTGCTTTTTTTTTTTGTTTTCTGTTTGTTTAATAAATCTTTTTCCATCCTTTTACTTTGAGCTATGGGTGTCACTGCATGTGAGACGGGTCTCTTAAAGACAGCATACAGTTGGGTCTTTCTTCTTTATCCAATTTGCCACTCTTTGCCTTTTATTGGGGCATTTAGCCCATTTACCTTCAAGGTTATATTGATATGTGAGGACTTGATCTTGTCATCATGTTAGCTAGTTGTTATGTAGACTTGATTGTGTAATTGCTTTATAGTCTCAATGGACTATGTTATTATGTGTCTCTTTGTAATGGCAAGTACTGATCTTCTATTTCCATGTTTAGCTCTCCTTTAAGGACCTCTTGTAAGAGGCCTTATAGTAATGAATACACTTAGCATTTGCTTGTCTAAAAAGGATTTTATTTCTCCTTTGCTTATGAAGCTTAGTTTGGCTGGATATAAAATGCTTGGATGACAAACACCGCATGTTCTCACTCATAATTGTGAGTTGAACAATGAGAACACATGGAGATGGGGGCGGAGGGCATCACACACCAGGACCTATCAGGGGGTGGGGGACTAGGGGAGGGATAGCATTAGGAGAAATACCTAATGTAGATGACGAGTTAATGGGTGCAGCAAACCACCATGGTATGTGTACACCTATGTAACAAACCTGCATGTTCTGCACATGTACCCCAGAACTTAAAGTATAATAAAAAAAAATTCTTGGTTGAAATATCTTCTATTTGCACATGCTGAATATAGGCCTCCAATCTTTTCTCCCTTGTAAGGTTTCACTGAAGGGCACACTATTAACCTGATGCGGTTCCCTTTGTATTGCCAAAAGAGCATCCCAAGAGCCTGTTCCATGGTGTACCCATATTTTTTCTGGCAATGGCAATGTACTCAACCAGCTTTGCTTCTGACTCATTCTGATTTGGTGACCACACCAACATGCCAAGACTGTCCCAGTCTTGGCTGCATCTTGCCAGTTTGGTGGGGTTGAAGTCAGTCACCACCACCTGGTACTGGGGTCTGCCCCTTATGCCACCACCACTGTGCTCCCCATGGCTGGACAAGCCCAAATGATCTGCCTTCATCCCAGGAGGTTCTGCTGCCATTGCCATTGAGATCCCCCCCTGCCAAATTTTTATTCTGGCTATTACTGGGAGCAGTGGCAGTTGAGGCAGCAGCAGCTGAGGTGTAGGTGGTGGCAGTGGACAAAGATGTGGGCAAGGCATGGGTGGCCAAGGTGGTAGCAGCAGCTGAGGAGGTGGCCAACATAGCTGTGTTGTTCCTCCCTCTCCACTTCTCTGAGACCTCAGGGCCCTTCTCCACCATGACTGGCATCAGCAGGGGCAAAAGTGCTGGGGACCCACAGCTCCTGAGGATGGGGTCCTGAGCCAGGAGGAGGGAATGTGGGTGGACATGGGGTGGGTGTGGGGCCTTTTAGGCAAAGTAGGAGCCCACAGGTGCAAGTTAGAGCTGGGGCAGGCCCAGATGAGCAGAGCAGAGCACAGTTGCTTCAATCTCCCAGTGCCAAACTGAGCAATTTTGGTCTTATGACCACTTTCACTTCATTAGTATTCTTTTAACTTTAACCCACTATTTAATGGAAAAAATTAACCATCAATCCATTTTCTCACAAATCACCTTTTAGCATCTCATATGACTCTAGCATTCATCCATAGGCTTTAAGAAATACTGGCTTTAGGAAGTACTGGCTTCCACTGTAGTCATGATTTTCCTAGTTTGACACAAAAACTATTATTCACATGCTTTCTTAAAATACATAAATAAATAAAAGGCAAAAATGAGCTCTTCATTGAATCAACTGAACCAAAATTTGCGTAGTTCAATAAAGTTTAAATCATTCCGAAAGGCTAGGACACTTAAGTAATAATATGTGAGCCTAAACTATTAATTCGCAGCATAAATTCATCGTGGATCTTATTTCCAAATATAATTAAAATATATCTATGTCACTGAATTATTCTGTTAAAAATATTTTAATTCTTTTTCTTTTTCTTTTTTGTAGAGACAATGTCTCTCTGTATTGCCTAGGCTGGTCTCAAACTCCTAGCTTCAAGTGATCCTCCTGTCTCGGCTTCCCAAAGTGTTATGATTACACGCCTGAACCATCAGGCCTGGCTAGATATTCTAATTTTAATCTGATGTACACACTTCTAGGTAATGATTCCTAAACTTAGTGTTTATTAGAATTACCTCGGGTATTTATGTTAAAATGAAATTTCCTGGGATCCATATCAAAGTTTCTGAATCAGAATTATTGGGTGTAAGATGCAAGACTGTACATTTTTAGCAAACATCTTAGGTAACACAAAAAATTCCATCTCTAAAACTTTATTATTACAGGTGATTGCCAGCATGAGAGGATTTCTCTATCACAGTTCCAGAATGCCTAAGTTCATCTGCTTATGCTGATTAGGCTCAGTAAAGTCTAGATAAGTCCTTCCTGGTGCTCTACACTGGAAGAAAATATCTTTCGTCTACCATTTCTGCTTCTTTCACAATGACAAAACTGCCTAATGACCCTTTTCTCAAATACCCCATTGTTAAGTGAAGCATTGGTGTATTGAAGAAACAAAAACACTGCCAAATGTACCCAGGCAGATTTTCGAAAGAACAAATTAGAACATCTAGAAATATTAAATGTAATCATTA
The DNA here is from genome assembly GCF_000001405.40 of Homo sapiens. Classification (NCBI taxonomy): domain Eukaryota; kingdom Metazoa; phylum Chordata; class Mammalia; order Primates; family Hominidae; genus Homo; species Homo sapiens. The sequence continues at coordinate 85,337,916 of NC_000011.10, forward strand.
AAGTTAAAAATTCACTTGACTAGTTAAACTGAAGATTGTACATAGCTGCAGAAATAATTAATAAGGTGGAAGATAGTGCTAATATAAAAACTTACCCAGAATGCAGCTCAGAGTCACAAAGTAATAAGAAATATAAGAGAGACACAAGAAACATATAGCATATTCAACTACCTAAAGGAAAGAAGAGCAAGAATAAAAGAGAGGCAATATTTAAAGAGTTAATAGTAGAGAATGTTTTCAATAAATGCATCTTAAATGAAAATTATATTCTATTGTTAACTCTAGGGAAAAAAGGGAAATCCAAAAAGGAGTATTCTGTAAGACAATAAATAGTAGCAACCAAGTAACACAAGAAAAACGTAAATCAAAAGAATCTCACAATAAATTAAAAGGGAATTCATTTGGCATCAATACTTGGAACAGCATTTATGTACAAATCACTTTGTCCCCAGCTTGCAGTATTCAATTATGATAATGTTTTCACAGTTACTTAAATCAGTTCTTTTCTTTCCCATCCACTGCAGTGTGGTTAGGTCATCCATCTATAATACAATTAGGTTCATTTCTTAGTATTGATATTCCTTTGTGGGTTCAATCTATATCCTGGTTAGTGTTGTTTAGTTTGGTGGTGTGTGAAGGGTATCTGAAATATTACTATAGTAATATTTCCATATTACCAGATTATTTGAAAAGATATACTCAGATAAGTATATCACATCCTGCTACCTAAAGCCCACTGCATCACTTCCTTCCATCCTTTCCCACACACCCTCTGTGTATAAATAATTTTTTTTTTTTTTTTTTTTTTGAGACGGAGTCTTGCTCTGTCGCCCAGCTGGAGTGCAGTGACGCGATCTCGGCTCACTGCAGGCTCCGCCTCCCGGGTTCACTCCATTCTCCTGCCTCAGCCTCCTGAGTAGCTGGGACTACAGGAGCCCACCACCGTGCCCGGCTAATCTTTTGTACTTTTAGTAGAGACGGGGTTTCACCGTGGTCTCAATCTCCTGACCTCGTGATCCGCCCGCCTCGGCCTCCCAAAGTGCTGGGATTACAGGGGTGAGCCACCACGCCCGGCCATGTGTAATTAATTTATCTGGTTTCTGATATATCCTACCTGTATTTCCTTCACACAAATAAGCAGACATCTGTGTATTTTTTAGATCCCCTTATTTCTTACATAAAGAGTAGAATATTATATTTTTCTTTTGAGCTTTGCTTTTTTTATTTGACAGTGTGTTCTGAAAATGATACCATATCAGTCTGTACAGATCTTCCTTATTCTTTCTTAACAGATGTACAGTACTCCATGTGGATTTGCCATAGCTTATGTAGTTGCTCTCCTACATATGAACATGTAAGTTGTTTGCAATTTTTTATAATTAGAAACCATGCTATAATGAATAATTTTCTGCATATATATTTTTGTTTTATTGGAGTTATCTCTTTAGGATACATTGCTACAAGAAGGATTACTGGGCTGAAAGGTAAATGCACCTGTAATTTTTTACTAGGTATTGTCCATTTTCCCTCCAGAAGGGTTATATCAATTTGCATTGACATCACCAATATATGAAAATTTCTGTTTCTGCACAGCCTTGCAAATAGAATGTGTTATATTTTTTATAAGGGAAAAAATGATGTCTCAGTGCTATTTACATTTGTATTTCTCTAAATGAAAGTGAATTTGAGCATTTGTTCATATATTTCTGTGCCACTTTTATTTCTTGTGAATTTTCTGTTCTTATATTTTTCAAAAATTTTTATTGGCTTTTCAGTCATTTGTCCCTCAGTCTTTAAGACTTCTTTGTATATTAAGAATATTAGCCCTTTGTGGGCTAATATCCAGAATCTACAAAGAACTCAAACAAATTTACAAGGAAAAAGCAAACAACCGCATCAAAAAGTGGGCAAAGGATATGAACAGACACTTCTCAAAAGAAGACATCTATGGAGCCAACAGACACATGAAAAAATGCTCATCATCACTGGTCATCAGAGAAATGCAAATCAAAACCACAATGAGATACCATCTCACGCCAGTTAGAATGGAGGTCATTAAAAAATCAGGAAACAACAGATGCTGGACAGGATGTTGAGAAATAGGAATGCTTTTACACTGTTGGTGCTAGTGTAAATTGGTTCAACCATTGTGGAAGACAGTGTGGCGATTCCTCAAGGATCTAGAACTAGAATTACCATTTGACCCAGCAATCCCATTACTTGGTATATACCCAAAGGATTATAAATCATGCTACTATAAAGACACATGCACACATATGTTTATTGTGGCACTATTCACAATAGCAAAGACTTGGAACCAACCCAAATGCCCATCAATGATAGACTAAATTAAGAAAATGTGGCACATATACACCATGGAGTACTATGCAGCTATAAAAAAGGATGAGTTCATGTCCTTTGCAGGGACATGGATGAAGCTGGAAACCATCATTCTCAGCAAACTATCACAAGGACAGAAAACCAAACACTGCATGTTCTCATTCATATGTGGGAATTGAACAATGAGATCACTTGGACACAGGGCAGGGAACATCACACACCAGGGCCTGTTGGGCGGGTGGGGGCTGGGGGAGGGATAGCATTGGGAGAAATACCTAATGTAAATGATGAGTTGATGGGTGCAGTAAACCAACATGGCACATGTATACCTACGTATCAAACCTGCACATTGTGCACATGTACCCTACAACTTAAAGTATATAATTTTTAAAAAGGTAAAATTTTTTTAAAAAGAATATTAGCCCTTTGCCTGTGGTACAGGTTAAGAGTATTTTATTTATACATCAGATGTCCTTAATTTTGTTTATGGTGTTAGTTGTCATGCAATTGGTAGTCAAATTTATCAATCTTTTCTTTCGTTTTCTCTAGAATTTGAGTCATAGTAGAAAGCATTTCCCTGTATCAAGATGAAAGAGGAATTCATGCATGTTTCATTGTTGTACTTATAGGATTTCATTTCTTATATTTAGATCCCTAATTAATTTGGAGTGAACTTTTGTGTATGATGTGAGATATGGATCTAATTTTATCTTTTTCAAATTGCTACACAGTTATCTCAGAACCATTTATTAATGGTTGACTGAATTCTACTTGACTGAATTCTTTTCTTGTTGAGTTAATCATTGATTCTCTGAGGTAGAAGGTATGAAAATTTTGTGGCTTTTTCTTGTTTGTTTTTGTTTTGTTTTGTTTTGTTTTTTGAGACAGAGCCTCACTCTGTCGCCCAGGCTGGAGTGTAGTGGCACGATCTCAGCTCACTGCAAGCTCCACCTCCCAAGTTCATGCCATTCTCCTGCCTCAGCCTCCCGAGTAGCTGGGACTACAGGCACCTGCCAACATGCCTGGCTAATTTTTTTTGTATTTTTAGTAGACACAGGGTTTCACCGTGTTAGCCAAGATGGTCTCCATCTCCTGACCTCGTGATCTGCCCGCCTGGGCCTCCCAAAGTGCTGGGATTACAGGCATGAGCCACCGTGCCTAGCTGAAGTATGAAAATTTTATGTAACAGTGTATCATCTGCGAGTAAAGACAGTTTTATTGTTTCACCCGTTCTTGTGCCTCCAATTGATTTATCTTGCCTAATTGCATTGGCTGATTAATCTAGTACAATGCTTAATAGTAGTGAAGATAGTTGGCATCTGTACCTTAGTCCCGATCTTAGTAAAACTGCCACTAGTGTTTCTTGATTTTAAAACATACTTGTTTTAGGACAAAACAATCCTAAAATTGTACTTTTAGGACAAAAGTACAATCATGCATCATTTAACAATGAGGATACATTCTGAGAAATGTGTCATTAGGTGATTTCATCATTCTATAAAAATCATAGAGTGTACTTACACAAGCCTAGGTGATAAGGCCTGCTACACACTTACACTATATGGTGTAGCTTATTGCTCGTAGGCTACAAACCTGTACAGCATGTTATTGCACTGAATACTGTAGGCAATTATAGAACAATTATAAGTATTTGTGTATCTACACATACAAAAGATACAATAAACATATGGTAAAAAATATAACAAATGAGATATCTGTATAAGGCCCTTACCAGGAATGGAGCTTGTGGGACTCTGATGAGTCAATGAGTGAGTGGTGAGTGCATGTGAAGGCCTAGGACATTACTACACACCACTGAAGACATTATAAACACTCTAAACTTTGGTTACACTAAATTTATATTTAAAATACTTTTATTTCTTCAATAATTACATTAGCTTAATATAACTTTTTTGCTTTCTAATTTTTCTAATTTTTTAAACATTTTTACTCTGTTGTAATAACACTTAGCTTAAAATGCAAACACATTGTACAGTGGAACACCATGTTTTCTTTCTTTATATCCTTGTTTGTTAAGATTTTTTCTACCAATTTTTTTTTTACTTTTTAAACTTTTTTTGTTAAAAACTAAGACACAAACACACATATTAGCCTAGGCCTATATGAGGTCAGGATCATCAATGTCACTGTCTTCCACCTGCATATTTTGCCCCACTGGAAGGTGTTCAGGGGCATGGAGCTGTCATCTGCTTTGATAATAATGCCTTCTTCTAGAATACCTTTCTGAAGGAACTGCCTGAGACGGTTTTCCAGGTAACTATTTTTTTATATAAGTCAAAGGAGTACACTCTAAAAAATGATTTAAAAGTTTAGTACAGTAAACACATAAACCAGTAACACAGTCATTTATTATCATTATCAAGTATTACGTGCTGTGCATAATTGTATGTGCTAGACTTTTATACAACTGGCAGCACGGTAGGTTTGTTTATACCAGCATCGCCACAAACGCATGAGTAATGCATTGTACTATGACATTACAACAGCTACAATGTCACTAAATAACAGAAATTTTTCAGCTCCGTTATAATATTATGGGACCACCATCATATAAGTGCTCTGGCATTTACCAAAGCTTAATATGTGTATGTAAGGTGTGTAATAAAGTAATAACATACATGTATAATATATGTAATATGTAGAAATATACTAACACATATGTATCTAATGCACTTTTTTTATCTACTATGACTGTGTCCTCAGTTGGCTCTCTAAAAAGTAGTTCTCCCTAACTTTAATGCTGTTTCGTAATGTGAGTTTTTTCATTACTATTCTCTACCTTTATATGTCAATAAATTTTCAATTCCTCTAATATACAGTCTATATTCAAATTGCCCTAACTGTCTCAAAAATGTCATTTGAATGGCTTTGTCCAAACCAGTACAGAACCCAGGTTTATGTATTGCATTTGGTTATAATATCCATTGTGTTCTTTTAACCCAACACAATTCCATTATTTCCCATTTTTTCCCAGGAGACAGCCTTGCTGAAGGGACAAAACTAGTAGCCCTTCAGTGTGTCTTACCTTCTGAATTTGTCTAACTGCTACCAGAGTGACACTGAGCTTGTGCACTCTCTCCCCTATATTTCCTCTTTGTTTATCCCTCCCTAAACTAGATGGTGAACTTTTAATGGTCCAGGATTGTGACCTGTTCATTTTTGTATTTCCAGATTTAATACCATGCCTGACTCATGGTCAAGTTTTAGTGTCTTTTTTTAATTAAATAAAATATGTATTGAATAAACCTGTGAAAGAGCAGTCATTGCTAAAGTTACCAGCAAGCCTTGGCATTTTTTTCAGCTTATTATGACCTAAAAAGTTCACTTATGTGTGCACACGTTCTCTCTCTCTCTCTCACACACACACACGCGCGTACACGCACATACATACACACACACACACATATACACACTAGAACATATCATTTGAAAGTACAAAAAGAGAGTGATGATGTATGGTTTTTGAGGAAGGCGGAACCTGATAGAGCAGCGAGGAAAACCTTCTGAAGTGCAATGATAATGACAGTGATTATACAGTGTAAATGTTGCTATTAGGTGAGCAACAGGGAGTGTTTTCTTGGCAAATGGGCTTTGAGCGTAAATGTTTCCAGAAATCATACATCATTTCAGCAAAGAAAATTAGGATACAGATGCAGAATGGAAGTAATAAGCCACTCAATCACAGATTTGAAAAAGTGGATGTGAAGGAAGTTAATTTTTAAAAACAATAATAGCAGTATCTTATGTTTATAAATATACCAGGCAGATTAGTAAGCACCCAAAATAATCATCTTGAGACCTGATTCTAGTTCTCCCCCCATTGTGTGTTACTTTCAATAAAGCATTTTACTTCTTTGTACCTCTGTCCACCTATAAAATGCAAATAATACTTGCTATTGTCTTAAGTAGACCTGTTGGCTTCCTGAATCTGATCAATCTCATCATCCAAGGCAATGAAAGGAAGGTCTTCTTATGGGGCATCTTGGTCTTAGGCCCCAGTTCTTAGCTCCTGAGCTTCACCTTTTCTATGAGACTTTCTCAGGTGACTCATAGAGATTGTCCCTAATTGCCATCTCAAAAACTCGAGGCTTAGTTTTGTTACGGGAATTAGAGGGCTTCTTTAGAGCCTAATGACGGACAGAGGCAGAAATAAAGCCCAACATAAAGATACGTGAAATTCATTTCAATAGAATTTATATGATAACTACTTCATATAAAGAATTTATGATATAAATTCTATTCTCTTGCCCATGACTAGGCTCTCTGAACTTTTATTCAGTAAAAACTGTTTCCACTGTAGTTTCTTTTATTTCCTATTTAGATTATATTATGCAATATTGCTTATTCTAATAAGACACTATACAAAGTATAGTGATCTATCATTTTGATTGTATTTTCATAATTTCTCAAACTGCCTTCCAGGTGTTCCATTATGGATCCTACAGGCTATATTTTATAACTTGATTGATTTGCTTCTCATTTTTATTTAGTATTGCTGAGTTGGATTTCCCTTAAACATGTCATTAAATGTTTTTCAATTCCTGCTTACTCTTGTTTTTTTTCAAACTTCATTACTTCATTACAGAATTTATTTTAAATCTTAGAGAAAATAAAAAGTTGATAGTAACACCATATGCTACACACTGCTCAAGACAGAGCAATAAAGTTCAAATCAAATACATAATTTTAAACAAAAAAAAAACAGCAAAATACTGTACTTAAGTAGAATAGGTAGTAACTCAATACGGTTGGTTTCTATACTCCAGAAAGTCAAGTAAATAAAATATCTCCCATTATGTCAAGAGTAAAGAAGCACATTGAGGGTTGAAGTACAAAAGCCAACACTGTGAAAATAGACCATTTCAAATCATTATGCACACGGTCTCTTCATTCTTGTTATAAATCATACTAAATATTGCCAAAATTCATCTTGGAAGTTGCATAAGGATCATTCCTTAGAAAGATATTTACAGTAATCAATAGCTTTTGTGGAAGTATGGCATGTCTTGGTGCTCCTTGGGGCACAATATTGCTTAATTCTCCAAAGGGAGAACCCCCGACTCCCCAATTCAAAAGAACAGGCAAGTACATAGGGTGTGGCTTGATAGTGACGTTAAGAAGAAAAGGAAATTTACACATTGTTGAACCACTACCAGATGTCAGGTAGTACATAGTTTTACACATATTTTTTATTTTGAATTTCACAACAACCCTCTGAGAAATCTGAGACATACAGAAGTTGAGGAATTTGCATGATATCACACACCTGGCAGAAATGGAACCAGGATTCAAATTAGGTCTGTCTGGAAAGTCCATTATCCTTTCACTGGGCCATGCTGCATGGCTGCAAGACCTTTCATATTCCCATAAAATACATCCTTAACTGGTCTGCCTAAAAAGCAGCAATCATCCCTCTTTCATCCCTCTTTCTACTTGCCTGAAATTATTACCCCCATTAGCCTGATAATAGGATCAAGATGACAGGTTTTAGAAAAATTACCATTGAGAATTGTTACCCCAAAGAGCACAGCTGCATGCCTTTGTGTTGCCTTCTCCAGAGCAAAAGTTAGTTGATCACATATGATAACTATTGCTTTAAAAAAAACAAACGCCAAATCTGGTTTGTGTGCTTCGACAAATGAGATTCATGGTGTTACAGGGAAGAGGTCCCTATCCAGACCCCAAAAGAGGGTTCTTGGATCTCGTACAAGAAAGAATTCAGGGCGAGTCCACAGTGCAAAGTAAAAGCAAGTATATTAAGAAAGTAAAGTGGTGAAAGAACAGCTACTCCATAGACAGAGTAGGACGTTCCTGAAAGTCAGAGGAGGAACGCGTCCACCTTAGGTACGATGCTTGTATATATGAGATGTGCTCTGCTACAAGGGTTTGTGATAAAGGATTAATTTTCTTTCTTTTTTTTTTTTTCTTTGAGACAGAGTCTCGTTCTGTTGCCCAGGCTGGAGTGCAGTGGCGCTATCTCGGCTCACTGCAAGCTCTGCCTCCTGGGTTCACGCCATTCTCCTGCCTCAGCCTCCCGAGTAGCTGGGACTACAGGTGTCTGCCACCACGCCCAGCTAAATTTTTTGTATTTTTAGTAGAGACGGAGTTTCACCATGTTAGCCAGGATGGTCTTGATCTCCTGACCTCGTGATCTGCCCGCCTCGGCCTCCCACAGTGCTGGGATTACAGGCTTAAGCCACCGCGCCTGGCCAATTTTCTTAATTACTATATTTTGCAATAACCGATATTATTGTCTTTAAAGCAAAATTAAGAATGCCTTTGTTCTCCAGAAATCAGAATACGTAGACACTCCCAAGTCTGGGTCTGTTTAGTAAGCACTATTAATTTGTTCCCTTAACCGTAAACATCTAGAGGCAAGAAATGTCTAACTTTCTGAGAATGCAGCCCAGCAAGTCCTAGCCTCATTTTCCTAGCCCTCACTCAAAATGGAGTCGCTTTGGTTCAAACGCCTGTGACAATGGGACTGCAATAAGATGTTAAAAACAGTAAAGGACATCACAAAGAAAGGGCAAATAATGGTGAGGCATCCATTCCCTTAACAGGTGGGAGGCGGGAAGTAGTCAATGAATGGAGAAGGCAGACTGAGGGTCAGGATTTGTAGAATGGGGTTGTAGGCAAAAGGACACAGCCAGGAAATATGGAAGCTCTGGCCAAGGGTCAGGATAAAGACTTCACAGAAGTAGAGAAAGGAATCATAGGTGGGACATAAAAGGAAAATGCAACCACACATAAAAAGGAATTTCAAATCACCATTGCTCACCTCAAAATAGTCATTCCAAAAGTCAAAGAAACAATATAGATGTATGTATGTATAATGTATATATTCTTGTTCCACTTTGCCACTTTTGGGGGTGCAGAAAATAATCACCCAAATTATGACATTTGGGCATGCTGAGTGCTTTTGAAAACCGAAAGGCCTCAGAAATTAGTCTCAGAATCATGCTCCCCCTAAGCTTGTCTTGTTTCTCCCCCTGAAGCACAGGGAGGGGCTCTCTCTGGAATTTTCTAATCTGGCCAAGAAAGCTTCTTACTAAAAGAAACACAAGCGCCTTCTATCCACTCCCTGTTATCTGATTGCAGAAAATAAAACAAGAAAGCAACCAGACCTGGATGGACTTTTTAGCAAGACAATGCCTGCCTGTTGGGCTCATTCAAATTCCAAAGAAAATTATTTACAAATTAATTTCTGTCTCCTTGGTCCATTCATTCTTTCTAGTAATCATTTACTGTATGTCAAAAAACTGTCACATTTCCCCTCTCCTCTGTCCCCTATATAAAAGGGTATATAAGCTTCTGTACTCTACTGGGAGATTGAGGTAATCACCATGAACTCCCCCATGATGTTAATTAATCTGTATGCCTTTTTTTCCTATTGATCTGCCTTTTGTCAGTTGATTTTTTAGCAAAACTTCAGAGGGCAAAGGGGAAGTTTTCCCGTGTCTCCTACATAACTATTGACTTTTTCCCCCTATCAAGGGCATGGTACACTAAGAGGCACTCTTTTTTTTTTTTTTTTTTTTTTTTGAGAGCAAGTCTCACTCTGTCACCCAGGCTGGAGTGCAGAGGTGCAATCTCGGCACATTGCAGCCTCGACCTCCTGGGTTTAAGCAATCCGCTCACCTCAGCCTCCCAAGTAGTTGGGACTACAGACTCATGCCACCACACTTAACTTTTTTTTTTTTTTTTTTTTTTTTTTTTTTTTGAGACAGAGTCTCGCTCTGTTGCCAGGCTGGAGTGGAGTGCAGTGGCACAATCTTGGCTCACTGCAATTTCCGCCTCCCTGGTTCAAGCGATTCTTCTGCCTCAGCCTCTCAAATAGCTGGGACTACACGCGCATGCCACCATGCCCAGCTAATTTTTGTACTTTTTAGTAGAGACAGGGTTTCACCATGTTGGCCAGGATGGTCTCAACCTCTTTATTTTTTGTTTTTATTTCTTTTTTTTGAGACAGAGTCTCACTCTGTCACGAGGCTGGAGTGAAGTGGCACGATCTCAGCTCACTGCAACTTCAGCCTCCCAGGTTCAAGTGATTCTTCAGCTTCAGCCTCCTGAGTGGCTGGGACTACAGGCCCGCACCACCAAGCCCAGCTAATTTTTGTACTTTCTTAGTAGAGACAGGGTTTCATCATGTTGGTCAGGATGGTCTCAATCTCCTGACCTCGTGATCCGCCCGCCTCGACCTCTCAAAGTGCTGGGATTACAGGCATGAGCCACCATGCCTAACATAAGAAGCATTCTGAATTTATGATCAGAAGTTATACCAAGGCATTTAGCAGCCAACCGGCATTTTAAATTCAATGCCCCAAACTGAAGTTATTATCTCTTTCCCCCCTCCATGATTACCCCAAAATAGCAACCTAACTTTCCTGTACTTTCCTTTCCTTGGAGATAAAATTCTCATTGAATAGTGCAAGCCAGAAATTTAGGAGTCATTCCAGATTCTTTTGTCTACCTCACATTTACATCCAGTCAATCACTAAGTTCTGTCAATTATATCTCTAAGCATCTCTCCAGTCATCCCTTCATCTCCATCCCCATTAGTATATCTTGATTCACACTCATTATTTTTCATTTAAATTATTATAACACTGCTGACAGTATTCTTTCTAACATGCAAATTTGATTAATTTACTTCCCCTGTTTAAAAATCATTGAGTTGCTCATGTAAACCAAAAATAAAATTCTAAGCCCCCAACCAACTGAATGGACTCCTCCTCTCAGCCAAGGGCATTCCAAGTTAACCAGAAACACCAGTTCAGGCCATGATTGGAATGGGTGGTTGGACATGCCTCTTTATAGCTTTCTTTCTTTGGAATTCAGGCTCAACTGACCAGCATTAACATTAAAACAGAGACCTTAACTCTAACTGAGCAGACTGTTTGTAGATAAACAAATACAAGCATGACAGACAGCATTAACATTAAAACAGAGACCTTAACTCTAACTGAGCAGACTGTTTGTAGATAAACAATACAATAAAATACAAGCATGACAGACAGCAGACTCTGAAAGAAACACCAAAAGAAACACTAAGTGCCTTCTATCCACTACCTGTTACCTCATTATTTATAGCTGAAAAGAAAACTAAAGAATGCAACCACACCTGGATGGACTTTTTTTTATTATTATTATACTCAAAGTTCTAGGGTACATGTGCACAATGTGTAGGTTTGATACATAGGTATACATGTGCCATGTTGGTTTGCTGCACCCAACAACTCATCATTTACATTAGGTATTTCTCCTAATGCTATCCCTCCCCCAGCCCTCTACCCTCCAACAGGCCCCAGTGTGTGATGTTCCCCACCCTGTGTCCAAGTGATCTCATTGTTCAATTCCCACCTATAAGTGATAACATGCAGTGTTTGGTTTTCTGTCATTGTGATAGTTTGCTGGGAATGATGGTTTCCAGCTTCATCCATTTCCTTGTAAAGGACATGAGCTCATCCTTTTTTATGGCTGCATAGTATTCCATGGTGTATATGTGCCACATTTTCTCAATCCAGTCTGTCACTGATGGACATTTTGGTTGGTTCCAAGTCTTTGCTAGTGTGAATAGTGCTGCAGTAAACATACGTGTGCACGTGTCTTTATAGTAGAATGATTTATAATCCTTTGGGTATATACCCAGTAATGGGATTGCTAGGTCAAATGGTATTTCTAGTTCTAGATCTTTGAGGAATCGCCACACTGTCATCCACAATAGTTGAACTAATTTACACTAGCACCAACAGTGTAAAAGCATTCCTATTTCTCAACATCCTGTCCAGCATCTGTTGTTTCCTGACTTTTTAATGATTGCCATTCTAACTGGCATGAGATGGCATCTCATTGTGGTTTTGATTTGCATTTCTCTGATGACCAGTGATGATGAGCATTTTTTCACATATCTGTTGGCTACATAGACGTCTTCTTTTGAGAAGTGTCTGTTCATATCCTTTGCCCACTTTTTGATGCAGTTGTTTTTTTCTTGTAAATTTGTTTAAGTTCTTTGTAGATTCTGGATATTAGCCCTTTGTCAGATGAGTAGATTGCAAAAATTTTCCCCCATTCTGTAGGTTGCCTGTTCACTATGCTGGTAGCTTCTTTTGCTGTGCAGGAGCTTTTTAGTTTAATTAGATCCCATTTGTCAATTTTAGCTTTTGTTGCCATTGCTTTTGGTGTTTTAGTCATGAAGTCCTTGCCCATGCCTATGTCCTGAATGGTATTGCCTAGGTTTTCTTCTAGGGTTTTTATGGTTTTAGGTCTAACATTTAAGTCTCTAATCTATCTTGAATTAATTTTTGTACAAGGTATAAGGAAGGGATCCAGTTTCAGCTTTCTACGTATGGCTAGCCAGTTTTCCCAGCACCATTTATTAAATAGGCAATCCTTTCCCCACTTCTTGTTTTTGTCAGGCTTGTCAAAGATCAGATGGTTGTAGATGTGTGGTATTATTTCTGAGGCCTCTGTTCTGTTCCATTGGTCTATGTCTCTGTTTTGGTACCAGTACCATGCTATTTTCGTTACTATAGCCTTGTAGTATAGTTTGAAGTCAGGTAGCGTGATGCCTCCAGCTTTGTTCTTTTGGCTTAGGATTGTCTTGGCAATGCAGGCTCTTTTTTGGTTCCATATGAACTTTAAAGAAGTTTTTTCCAATTCTGTGAAGAAAGTGATTGGTAGCTTGATGGGGATGGCATTGAATCTGTAAATTACCTTGGGCAGTATGGCCATTTGCATGATATTGATTCTTCCTATCCATGAGGATGGAATTTTCTTCCATTTGTTTGTGTCCTCTTTTATTTCGTTGAGCAGTGGTTTGTAGTTCTCCTTGAAGAGGTCCTTCACATCCCATGTAAGTTGTATTCCTAAGTATTTTATTCTATTTGTAGCAATTGTGAATGGGAGTTCACTCATGATTTGGCTCTCTGTTGGTTTGTTAATGGTGTATAGGAATGCTTGTGATTTTTGCACATTGATTTTTTATCAGTCAAACTTTGCCAAAGCTGCTTATCAGCTTAAGGAGATTTTGGGCTGAGATGATGGGGTTTTCTAAATATACAATCATGTCAACTGCAAACAGGGACAATTTCACTTCCTCATTTCCTAATTGAATACCCTTTATTTCCTGCTCTTGCCTGATTGCCCTGGCAAGAACTTCCAACACTATGTTGAATAGGAGTGGTGAGAGAGGGCATTCTTGTCTTGTGCCAGTTTTCAAAGGGAATGCTTCCAGTTTTTGCCCATTCAGTATGATATTGGCTGTGGGTTTGTCATAAATAGCTCTTATTATTTTGAGATACGTTCCATCAGTACCTAGTTTATTGAGTTTTTAGCATGAAGAGCTATTGAATTTTGTCGAAGGCCTTTTCTGCATCTATTGAGATAATTATGTGGTTTTCGTTGTTGGTTCTGTTTACGTGATGGATTATATTTACTGATTTGTGCATGTTGAACCAGCCTCGCATCCCAGGGATGAAGCAAACTTGATCGTGGTGGATAAGCTTTTTGAAGTGCTGCTGGATTCAGTTTGCCAGTATTTTACAGAGGATGTTCATATCGATATTCATCAGGGATATTGGGCTAAAATTCTCTTTTTTTGTTGCGTCCCTGTCAGGCTTTGGCATCAGGATGAGGCTGGCCTCATAAAATGAGTTAGGGAGGATTCTCTCTTTTGCTATTGATTGGAATAGTTTCAGAAAGAATGGTACCAGCTCCTCTTTGTACCTCTGATAGAATCTGGCTGTAAATCCATCTGGTCCTGGACTTTTTTTGGTTGGTAGGCTATTAATTATTGCCTCAATTTCAGAGCCTGTTATTGGTCTATTCAGGGATTCAACTTCTTCCTGGTTTAGTCTTGGGAGGGTGTATGTGTCCATGAATTTATCCATTTCTTCTAGATTTTCTAGTTTATTTGCATAGACGTGTTTATAGTATTCTCTGATGGTAGTTTATATTTCTGTGGGATTGGTGGTGATATCCCCTTTATCATTTTTTATTGCGTCTATTTGATTCTTCTCTCTTTTCTTCTTTATTAGTCTAGCTAGTGGTCTACCTATTTTGTTGATCTTTTCAGAAAACCAGCTCCTGGATTCACTGATTTTTTGAAGGGTTTTTGTGTCTCTATCTCCTTCAGTTCTGCTCTGATATTAGTTATTTCTTGCCTTCTGCTAGCTTTTGAATGTGTTTGCTCTTGCTTCTCAGTTCTTTTAACTGTGATGTTAGGATTGATTTTAGATCTTTCCTGCTTTCTCTGGTGGGCATTTAGTGCTATAAATTTCCCTCTACACTCTGCTTTAAATGTGTACCAGAGATTCTGGCTACAGTAACCAAAACAGCATGGTACTGGTACCAAAACAGAGATATAGACCAGTGGAACAGAACAGAGCCCTCAGAAATAATACCACACATCTACAACCATCTGATCTTTGACAAACCTGACAAAAACAAGAAATCGGGAAAGGATTCCCTATTTAATAAATGGTGCTGGGAAAACTGGCTAGCCATATGTAGAAAGCTGAAACTGGATCCCTTCCTTACACCTTGTACAAAAATTAATTTATGATAGATTAAAGACTTAAATGTTAGACCAAAAACCATAAAAACCCTAGAAGAAAACCTAGGCAATACCATTCAGGACATAGGCATGTGCAAGGACTTCATGTCTAAAACACCAAAAGCAATAGCAACAAAAGCCAAAATTGACAAATGGGATCTAATTAAACTAAAGAGCTTCTGCACAGCAAAAGAAGCTACCATCAGAGTGAACAGGCAACCTATAGAATGGGAGAAAATTTTTGCAATCTACCCATCTGACAAAGGGCTAATATCCAGAATCTACAAGGAACTTAAACAAATTTACAAGAAAAAAACAAACAACCCCATCAAAAAGTCGGCAAAGGATATGAACAGCCACTTCTTAAAATGAGACATTTATGCAGCCAACAGACATGTGAAAAAATGCTCATCATTACTGGCCATCAGAGAAATGCAAATCAAAACCACAATGAGATACCATCTCACACCAGTTAGAATGGTGATCATTAAAAAGTCAGGAAACAACAGATGCTGGAGAGGATGTGGAGAAATAGGAATGCTTTTACACTGTTGGTGGGAGTGTAAACTAGTTCAACCATTGTGGAGGACAGTGTGGCAATTCCTCAAGGATCTAGAACTAGAAATACCATTGGACCGAGCAATCCTATTACTGGGTATATAACCAAAGGATTATAAATCATGCTGCTATAAAGACACGTGCACACATAGGTTTATTGCAGCACTATTCACAATAGCAAAGACTTGGAACCAACCCAAATGTCCAGCAATGATAGACTGGATTAAGAAAATGTGGCACATATACACCATGGAATACTATGCAGCTATAAAGAAGGATGAGTTCATGTCCTTTGTAGGGACATGGATGAAGCTGGAAACCATCATTCTGAGCAAACTATCTCATGGACAGAAAACCAAACACTGCATGTTCTCACTCATAGGTGGGAATTCAACAGTGAGAGCACTTGGACACAGAGTGGGAAACATCACACACTGGAGCCTGTCATGGGGTGGGAGGAAGGGGGAGGGATAGCATTATGAAAAATACCTAACGTAAATGATGAGTTAATGGGTGCAGCACACCAACATGGCGCATGTATACATGTGTAACAAATCTGCACGTCGTGCACATGTACCCTAGAACTTAAAGTATAATTAAAAAAAAAAGAAATTCCTTAATAAAAAAAAAAAACTAAATCATAATAGAGTCACTGCAGTATTTCACTTGGAGGAATCAGATGTATGCCTAGGTCCTCTCGCACTATTCATTTTTTTCTATGCCTCATCTTTCGTGCCCCACTACCCTATATCTCCACAAAATAAAGGAGATAAAAAAGTGATTTCCAACTTTCAATCTTTTAGTATCATAGCAGTTTTAAGCCAAAAATTATCTCATGTCTTTGAATAATTTCAAGACATAACGTAAAAATTGATATAAATTAAAACTAACTTAAAAAAATGATTTAAGTATTTATTGTCTCCTATACACCAACCACACTCATCAGATATTACCTACATTTATTTATATATATAATCACTCAAAACTCAGATATACGACAGTCACTCTCCTGCATGAGAAGAACAAAGGGGAAGGCCTATAAATTTTCACAATGTCACCTTCTTATAAAGTCATTATTTCCTTCCCCTTGTTCTTCAGGGGTATTCCAAGTCTCCAGCTTTCACAATTCCTGGGTCTTATCTCATGAAGGAGCCAATACATTTTTTTTTTCATGATAGCAAATGTGCCACATCTATCATCTGATTTGGATCTAATTTATCTGAGGGTTGAATATCATCTTGATCTTTGGTTTAGTACTTGGTATGCTGACATTTTGTTGAGAAACTGCCAAATCATTACCAGGAGCACCACATTTGACTGATTTCCAACGTCACTGTTTCTCTCTCTCTCTCTCTCACACACACACACACACATACACGCATGTGCACACTTACCCATTCTTATGAATATTAATTTTTCAAATGCTTTTTTGGCTGGTCTTCCCCACATTTCACATATATCTTAGAACAGAGGAACAGAAGACACTACAAAAGTGAAAGATAATTAACTCTTGTCTCTTCGTTTCATAAATTAAAAAAAAAACAGATAACATTTCTTGCCAAAGGATTATAGCCCAGTACTTTGGATTTTTAGTTTTAAAAATTTGTGACATCATGCTATTTTGTTTTTTGCACATTTTTGGCAAATTTTGACAATATATTTTCTATTTATAATATGCCATTTAATAAATCAGGCTTTAATGTTATAATACATGAAATTTTTGTGGTATATACACAATTTATACTAAATAGTTCAGTGCTCAGCACAAGAAGATGATCAATTGATCAGTTGATTGAATAAAAGATTGAATATTCACTGAGTTTTCATTATGTGCAAGGTATTTTTCTAGGCATAAAAGATTTGATTAGCACTTTTATTGAAATTAAATCAAATATATGGAAAATGATCTGTTAATTACTTTAAAACATTTTTAAAATGAGTGTGGGGTTTTCTGGATTATTATCCATTATTTTCTTTATATTTTACTTTCTTTTTTCCAAAAATACCTATCTTTTTAAATGACAATCAAACATACTCCCTGTGAATTTAATATATTAAAGAATACTTATCAAGATTCTTCCTAAATTTTGATTAGTCAGTTGCTCATGTTTAAAAGAAATAAATGGTCTAATCAACTTTAAATTATACTAGGTTTCTCATAACAGCTTTGTTGCTGATAAGAAGCCTAGTTGAGATTTATGTGTTTAACAATAAAGGAAAAGCTGTACTTTTGTTTGAGGCATGTGCTTTAAAGACAAAAGGACTAATTTTTTATTTTTAATAAAATGTTAATGAAAATTTCTAGATAGTCCAATATCAGGCATCCCAAGCTCCAGCAAAGGCTGGATAACAATATATATAACCATATATATAGGATAACAATTTCCCATGATTCCTTGTTAATGTGGCCCTGTTTGCTATCCAAGACTAAGAGTTTAATCTCCAAGTCGAATCACCCTTGGGTTTCCTCTAAAAACAAAATTGCTCAACTAGCTAATGAGATTGTCCTTTTCCAACATTTGTCAGCTATTTACTGATCTACCTATCTGCCTTTGAGAAGCTGGGCTGTGATCCATCTTGCACAGATCACCAAACACCCACCAAAGGGTAATAGCTTTAGCTCTTTAGACCCAGAGCTTAGAGATGAAAGAATCTGAATCTCATTTTAAACTGCCTGAACTATCCATTTAATCAGATTAAAGCCAATTTCATATTGCACATAAAAAGTTATAAGAAAAAGAGGCAGAAGAGCCACAGACTCTCCATTTGTTGCCTTTTTCTGGGAAATCATTCTCTAAATACACAGTCTTCATCTTCAGCTGCTATAGCTCATAGTAATTCCATATTCTTTTTTTACTCCTGCTTATACAATGCCCTTGCTGAATAATTTTTCCTCTTCAGAGGCATTTTTGCCTTTAACACAGTATGATACTTTATAGTCTGTTTACTTCAAACTGAGGAGTAACAGAATTTGTCCTTTTTTTTTTACATAATGATGAGGAAAGGGAGTCACACTTGATACTGAGAGTTGAAAATGTAAAGTGAAAATGCAAGCTCCTAGAGTACAAAGAAATATTTATGGAATTATTATGAGACAGAGATCCAATTTTGATAAGTCTGGTATAGACCTATTATAGTGAGACATTCAAAACAAGAGAACCACAAACTGTGTTCACTTACAACAAAGAATGATATGAATTTCTACAGCAGCATTTTATTCCTTGAGCATGTACTAGTCCATTGATCAGTCAATGATCTCAAGCTTTTATTTTTTCATATTTACAAAAGAGGTAGAATTCTTGCTTTTCAGTGTATGAGCTCCAAGAGGGCAGGAATCATGTCTACTTTGTTTACTACAGCATGCCCAGAAAGAAACAGTAGGTAAGTAGATAGATAGATAGATAGATAGATAGATAGATAGATAGATAGATAGATAGAGATGATAGACAGACACACACTCTTTCATTTTGCTCAGTGAAAATTGTTTCACTTATTCCACCCCCACTCCTCAACAGTGTGTTTCCAGAATGTGGTTAAAAGGCTTAGGAAGCAGAATATTTTACTGGGAAGCTTCTGGGTTCTTATGTCAGTCAAACCTAAGTTTCAAATTCATGTATATAATATTTGGCAATTTACAGAACTTAATTAGGCCTGTGTCTCTTATAGAAATGGCACCAAGTAGGTGCTCAATAAATTGTAACTATTAGTACTTTTTAAAATGATTTTTAGAAGGTGAGGACAGGAGGAGAAGCAAGTCACAGAGCAGCCTGCATTTCCTTTTCACTATGCATACCTCCAAAAAGATAAGGTTTGAGAGCAACCTATCAGATTCCTTTCAATATCCTCTTTGTGTGTGTGTGTGTGTGTGTGTGTGTGTGTGTGTGTGTGTGTGTGTGTGTTCATGCCATTCTCCTGCCTCAGCCTCCCGGGTAGCTGGGACTACAGGTGCCCGCCACCATGCCCAGCTAATTTTTTGTATTTTTAGTAGAGAAGGGTTTTCACCGTGTTAGCCAGGATGGTCTCAATCTCCTGACCTCGTGATCCACCCACCTCAGCCTCCCAAAGTGCTGGGATTACAGGCGTGAGAATATCCTCTCTCCTTTAAGTAGTTGGAGGTGGCACTGTTGTAATTGTTTTTATTCTTATCTATGACTACAAGTCTTCTGATCTAGTTTGCTGGCTTCCTCTTTTCCTGACACTTAAAAGTCAATAGTGGCTAAATTTATTATTCAGCCAAAGGTTATCTTTCTTGTAAGAATTTGGAGGCTAATATGGCTACTATATATGTACAATACGCCAGGCACTGTTCTGAATTATATATATATATATATATATATATATATATATATATATATATATATATATATATATTTTATACTTTAAGTTCTAGGGTACATGTGCACATTTTATCCTCATGACAACTGTTAGAGGTGAATGTTATATTGCTCTTCTTCCTCTCAATTTGCAGATGAAGAAATTGAAGAACAGGAAGGATAATCTATCATCACAAAACTAGTAAACAGAAGTATTAGGATTCAAATCAGGCAGTCTGCCTCCAAATTCTACCTATGTTCTGAGCTACTATGCTAGAGGTTATCTCCAAGAACTTAGAAATAAAGGAAAAGGATCAGCCTCTGAGAATTAAACCCTAAGATGGTGATTAAGAGATTAGAAAAGAAATATGGAAAATCGCCTGAAAAACAAAAAAAAGAACAGAAGGGAAGAAGAGAAGAAGGAAAAAAATGACTTTTCAACCATGGCACCTGACTGTAAACTTTTTTAAAAAAATAGTTGGAATGAAAGTTATTAGCTAACAAGACATTTAAAAAGAAATCACAGAAGTAGATACTGGGATTTTTCACTTCAATTACATGGTGTTCATATTTTGACAGACAACCACAGCTCCCTCACTCTCTGTGTTTACTCTCTTTCTACCAGGTTTCCCATGTGGCTTTCAACTTAAATAACACCCTCTACAAGCAGTCTGCACTGACTAATCCAGATCCCAGTCTTTTCCTCTAATTTTCCATAGTATTTAAATCTGGGCTGCTCATGTATTTACCCATTCAGACAACAAATATTTGAGCACTGAACCATGCTCTAAAAATTATTGCAATATTCAAAACCAGAGATAATGAGGTGCTGAACCAGGGCAGTGAAAGGGATGCTGTGTTCAAGTGTTCAAGGCAAAGACTATAAAATCAGAGCCAGTATAATTTAGCACATGCTATATATTGTCTTGCAGTGTTCCAAATTGCTTCAAGTGTTATCAATAATGTCTTCTGAACCAGATGTAAACTTCTAGCTGGAACCAAACACTGAATCTTAAATTCTTTCAAATACTCAGAATAGTGTGGCAATTAGTAGATATCTGATAAATAATTGCTTATTGAATGTACACAGATACAACTTAAGGAGCCATTACCCTTCTCTTTATAAGACAATGGTAGATTTTAACAACTTCTTGTTGGCTTCCTCAGTTTAAAACAAAATGGCATCTATTTCCTCACAGCTAATTACTTTTTTTCTTTATCTTACCTAAGTTTTTTTCTCTTCAGAACTCACTACTCTGCGCTTTATCTAAATTTATACTAGATTTGCCATTTGTTAATATAAGAACCAAAAATTTAAAAACCTCCAGGAATGCAATTTCAGCAAATTATTTAGTGAAAAGCAGATAAAGCCTTGATCTTCCCTAGACTATGCAAAGACATTGTTATCACACGAATAATTTACACAGTCTCATTAAGTTGGCTTTTAACCTCATGTCCCAATGGGTGGAGTTCACTTCAGATTCTCTAATGAACACATCTTCAAGCTCAAGATAGCTCAATGCTCAGTGGTAATTAGGATTAGATGAATGGAAGCAATCCGCTTCATTCAACATATGTCTTCACTCTATAAAATTCCACCAAGTATAAGAAGATTAATTTAAGCCTACCTTTCAACCAGCAATTAACAAAAACAAACCATAAGTTCTCAACCTTAAAGGGAAAAATAATTGTATTTTCAGAGATCAGAGCAAGATAAGAATAGGAAAAACTACTTTACTAAAATCTATACCCTTTCAATATCAAGCTGGTCATTATAATTTGTTCAAGAAACATTTAATCACAAATCTGATGTGTACATAGTGCTATGCTGAGCACTGTGGGAGAAATAAAGATCAATAAGACATGGCTCTTGCCCTTAAGCACCTCTTAATCAACTAGAGGTGATATGCACAACAAATAATTGTTTAACATGGTTGTAATTATGCTGTAGTATAATTAGAGAGCTGACAGTTCAGGCAATGCTCTTTAATAAGAAACATGATATGACAGCAAACACCATAGGGGAGGGCGCAACAACGTGAACAAAACAATAAGAAACTCAATGACTGTTAAAGTAGGGTGGTGAAGGAGTACTACAGAGGAGTAGAATACATTATAGCACAAAAAAAGGAAGAGGTTCTCCCCGTCACACACAAAAGAAAAGAAGATTTGGGTGATGAGACATGATCATGTCTAAAGAACTATCGTGTGAAAAAAATGGTTTATATAACCAAGTGTTCTCCAGAGGATGGAGCTTACAACATGAGAAAAATTATCAGAGAGACTCATTCTCTCTATACTCAGCTCACACACCCTGCATACTCAGGGCGTGTGCTGAAGCAGAGCGAAAGATTACCCACAGGCATTATACAGATGATCCCTGTGCTGTGTGAAGGATTCAGTTGGACGGAAAAGTCCTCTACAATTCAAAACTCCTGTGGTATGATTTTTAACACACTTGTCAGCGGTTTCTAGTTGTCAGTTTAGAAAACAAGGGTTTTAAAATAAAAGTACGCAATACACTGTAACAACTGAGAATATAGGCTGTAATGTCTGAAAGGCTTCCATTCTTCTAATCACTAGGTGTGTAACTTTGAGTGTGGCTTAGCCTTTTTGTGCTTCCGTTTCCTCACCTGTAGGAGGAGAATAATATTAGGGCTTAAGTCACATAATTGTTCTTAGGATTAAATGACATAAGACATGTAAAAAGCCTAGCACAATGTTCTGTAAGCATTTAGTACATGGTAAGTTTTGTTATTAGCCGGGTCTTACCTTCACTACTATTCTTCTACAACCCAGTTCATCCTCCTCATAGCTGTAAGTCTTATTTTTGCTTAGAATCAGTCAGGGCCACCTCTTCACTGGAGAATGCTGTCCTAACTGATTAGTTTGGTCTGATCTTCTCCGTGGAGTCTTATCTTTGACTTTTATCCCACCACACAGGAGGCTCCTTCCAAATTGCTTCCAGTTTTAAATTACCAGGATGCTTCAAACTTTGCTCACACTTTCAACTTTACTGGAAGTGTCCTCCCCTTCTCCCAAGCTAAGAGTGATTCAACTTCAAAATTCTCTTCCAGGACGCCCTTCTCAATAAAATCTCTCCTGGTATCAACATAAAATTGAACACAGAAGAAGTCTTCATACAAGTGAGGAAATGAAAGCTCAGAAAAGTTAACTTAGCCAAGGTCACCAACTTATAAATGACTACAGTGGTAATAATAGTAGTAATAGCAAAAATACCTTACATGTATAGAGAGTCTCATTGTATGTAAAGCTCTTCCCTATAGTATTTCATTGTATTTTTACAGCTCTATGAAAAAAAAATAAAATCTTCTTCTTTTTTATGGATCAGGAAAACAGAGAGTCTGAGTGACTTGTACAAGGTCACACAATTTGTCTTGTTAAAGGCACAGTCATGCCAGATCCCAGACCCCAGATTCTGTTATTCTTGGTCCACAAACTTTTTTCTTTAGACAAAGTCTCACTCTGTCACCCAGGCTGGAGTGCAGTGGCACGATCTTGGCTCACTGCAAACTCCGCCTCCCTGGTTCAAGCAATTCTCCTGCCTCAGCCTCCCGAGTAGCTGCTTATTCCACAGACTTTTCTATTTTTTTTTTTAATTTTTATATACTTAGGGGGTACAAGTGCAGATTTCTTACATGCATACATTCTGTAGTGGTGAAGTCTGGGCTTTCAGTGTACCCATCACCCAATACTGAACATTGTACCCAATAAATAATTTTTCAACCCTCACCCCCTCCCACCTTTTGGAGTCTCCAATGGCTATTATTCCACTCTGCATGTCCATGTGTACGCATTGTTTAGTTCCCTCTTGTAAGTGAATACATGTGATATTTGACTATCTGTTTCTGAGTTATTTCAGTCAGGATCATGGCCTCCAGTTCCATCCTTGTTGCTGCAAAAGACATGATTTCAGGACTTTTTATATAGCTGAGTAGTATCCACAGCATGTGCGTATATACGCTGTTTTGGTCACTATAGCCTTGTAGTTTAATTTGAAGTCAGTAATGTGATGCCTCCAACTTTGATCTTTTAGCTCAGGATTTCTTTGTGTATTTGGGCTCCTTTTTCGTTCCTTTTGAATTTGGGGATTGTTTTTTCTAATTCTGGGGAAAATGACATTGGTAATTTGATAGGGATTGTGTTGAATCTGTAGATTGCTTTGGACAGTGTGGTCATTTTAAGATACCGATTCTTCCAATCCATGAGCATGGGATTTTTTTCCATTTGTTCTTGTCATCTATGATTTAGTTCTCTTTTTTTGAGACAAAGTCTTGCTGTGTCACTGAGGCTGGAGTGCAGTGGTGCAATCATGGCTCACTGCAGCCTCGACCTCCCAGGCTCAAGTGATCCTTCCAAGTAGCTGGGACTACTGGCATGGACCAGCACACCTGTCTAATTTTTGCATTTTTGTAGAGAGGGAGTCTCACTATGTTGCCCAGGCTGGTCTTGAACTCCTGGGCTCAAGCCGTTTCCCACCTTGGGCACCCCAAGTGCTGGAATTATACGCATAAGCTATCATGCCCAGCCTCCTGTGATTTGTTTATTTTTTGTAGTTCTACTTATAGAGATCTTTTGCCTCCCTGATTTAATATGTCCCTAGGTTTTGTTTGTTTGTTTGTTGTTTGTTTTTGGGTTTTTTGGGTAGCTATTGTTAATGAGATTGCCTTCTTGATTTGGTCCTCAGATAGATCACTACTGGTGTATAGAATGCTACTGATTTTTTTATGTTGATTTTGTATCCTGCAGCTTTACTGTATTCATTTATCGAATCTCAGAGTTTTTTTGGTGGAGTCTTTAGAGTTTCCTAGATATAAGATCATATCATCAGTGAGCAGAAATAATTTGACTTCCTCTTTTCCAATTTGGATGCCTTTTTTTTTATTTTTTTTTAATGCCTGATTGCTCTGGCAAGGACTTCCACAGACTTTTCTTTACAAAACATGCCATTTTGTAAATAAGTGAAATTATTCCTTTTAGTAAATAAATGAAATTATTCCTTTTTTATCTTTGACCTCTCAGGGATGATATTTTTCTTTTTTGAAATTATTGAATAAATGAAAAAACAAAAATGACTCAATTTATTTTGTTGATACTGAGTATCTTATTCTAAAACTTTGAGCATGTCAAGGACACAGGAATAAAGTTGAGGAGCAGCCTTTAATAAAAGCAAAATTTTCTCTCTAAAAATTACTGAGCTAACTGCAAAAGCATCACTAATTTGCCAGGACTAAAGGTAGAGCTGGTTTAATGACAGGCATAGTAACAAAGCTTGCACACACTGTCACAGAAGATGCAAAATTTCACAGTTAACTAACTAGATTGAACCTTAAAACAATTAGTGAACAAAAGAGTGTTGTGATTTCTGGAGCAGTGGGGTTAGGAGTCTTCGGCAAGTACCAAATTATCCACACAGTTTACATATTTTAGAACATCTGAAGAGTAAGTGAAACCATCATGGTATTTACTAGGCACAAACTGACTTATCAATTAAATGCAATGTCCTACTAAGAAGAAATACAGGAAATGCAGAGACTGCCTCTGTGCGTAATCTTCTATAAATTTCCCAGGAGTTTTTAGTAAGCTATTCTCCTATTAAGGAAGCTGTCAAACAGCTAGAATAATGAAGGGGAATGGAAAGGAAAGGAGGCTTGAACAGATAGAGGAAGAGTTTTTGAAAAACAAACAAGTCTCTAAAATTTACATTAAGGATGACGATTTCTTCTAATTGTAGGAAGACATCTATGGTTAACTATGTTGTCTAATATTAGTAAGAAACTTGAGTTATTTATCTCTGCCAGATAATACACAGACATTCATCTAGCTAAAGTTCTAAATTAGCAGTGCCTAACATGTTGTAGGAGCTCAATCTTTGAAAATAAATAAGAGAAAGGACCAATTTAATCCTGAAGGTTCACTGTGAATGGTAAATACATTTCAAAAACTATATTTTACCTTTTAAGTACCTACTATGTAACAGACATCATGCTAGGATCTAGTCATTTGGAAAAAATTTTAAGTGCTTTGGCATTTTAATGTTCATAAGACATGGAAATGTTCATTCATCTTTTCATATAGTTGTCAAAGTATAACAATGGTTACTGAGGATAAATTCAGAGTCCCTCTTCCCATGCAATGCAGGGAAATTATAGTTTGTATATTACAAGTTGACAGCATCATTTCTCATATGGTTTGCAGGATGATTGGTTCATAGGATTAAAGTGGGTCTAGTCTTTTCCAGTCTTAAAACAAAAGTCATGTTTCCTATTATTAATAGAAGATTTGTCAGAAAGTATATATAATTGTATTAGCAGTTGGTGCTGAAGACCAATGTTCTACAGATGAGCTGGGTTATAACAAGGTTCTTTCATTTCTGCAGTAATAAGCACCTTGGCTGAGGTCCAGCTATGTTTCTACTTATAGAAAAAAAATCACTAATGCCTAAAAATATAGGTATTTGTATCAGTATCTAGAATGATCTTGTTAAGATGGTGTAGCAAACACTGTCTATGCCCCCAACCATATTCCTTAGGCCTTACTATTATGGTGCAAGCCAGACTTCCAAACTGCCTTAGGGCTTTTTCTGGAGCTAAAGTCCACTCTGCCAGTATGCAGAGCAGACTGGAGTACCAGGGAATCAAGAGATACTCCTTCCCACTAAGAAGCAGCCCTTAACTAATAATTGACAGGGATTAGTATATAATAAATACCCTAGCTGCTTCGTCACTGTGGGTGACAGAGATATAATTAATTGAGGCTGACTGATTCTACACTGACACATGGAGTTGCCAGTGAGATTAAGGTACTAGCTTGTTAATGCATCCTTTATTAGCTACCTTACCTTCCCTGCCTTTTTTCCTTACTGCCCTTCTGATGCTTTCTGGGATCATCTCTGAAAAAAACCATTTAAACATAAATGTGAATACTTGTTTGGGGGCCTCTTCTTGGGGAACATAAACTAGACAGAATTGTTAAGCCCTTATAATATTCATTGTTACTGACTTTAATAGTAATACATTTAGTGTTAACAATTCCATGAAGCATGACATAGAATGTGATTTCAGATAGATTTTCAAAATAGCTTTAAGGAAACATTCTTTTAATTTAGTTTTATCACATAGTTTTTTTGTTTTTCCCTATCCTTCTGAGCTTTTTTTTTTGGTTCAGAGTTGGTACATTGTTTAACCACCATGTATCACCAAAAAATTATAAAGGTGCTTCCATCTCCTAGAGAGGATTAGAATTATAGACGGGGGCAAGAAAGAATGCCAGTCATACTTTAATCTGGGACCCTCACCCTACAGACAAAAATGTAAGAATATAAGGCCAAAAAACATGAAATAAGTTTCCTAACACCATACAGCTGGTCAATTATTTAGTCACAAGAATTGTTGTTTATAAAAATCTAACTTAAAAAAAATCATTAGCAAACCTAGGACGGCATCCCACCTTGCTGACTCTCAGGAGCGGCTCTTTTTGTAATACTATCCTAAATAGCATCCTTCTTTGTGCAGGTAAGATTAATGGCAAAGGGTATCCCAGAAAACAATAATGGGAGAGAATGAGAAGATCACATGCCTATATATAATTTATGAGTCTGATATTTAAATAGGTCAAATTCTCTATTCTTTGATTCATTAACTTGCACACGTGTAAGTCTGGTAGGAAAGGGCTGGGAACTGCACAGTTGAATGACAAGAGGAAGAGTTATCTGGAATCTGTGTTAACCTTTAAAATTGAACTTCTGTATCTTCAATTGAACCAGTAGACTTATTTCACACATTGTGGAAGACATTGTGGTGATTCCTCAGGTATCTAGAACCAGAAATACCATTTGACCCAGCAATCCCATTACTAGGTATATACCCAAAGGATTATAAATCATTCTACTATAAAGACACATGCACATGTATGTTTATTGCAGCACTATTCACAATAGCAAAGACTTGGAACCAACCCAAATGTCCATCAGTGATAGTCTGGATAAAGAAAATGTGGCACATAGACACCATGGAATACTATGCAGCCATAAAGAAGGATGAGTTCATGTCCTTTGTAGGAATGTGGATGAAGCTGGAAACAATCATTCTCAGCAAACTAACACAGGAACAGAAAACAAAACACCCCATGTTCTCACTCATAAGTGGGAGTTGAACAATGAGAACACGTGGACACAGGGAGGAAAATATCACACAACAGGTCCTGCCAGGAGGTGGGGGGCTAGGGGAGGGACAGCATTAGGAGAAACACCTAATGTCAGGTTGATGGGTGCAGCAAACCACCATGGCACATGTATACCTATGTAACAAACCTGCATGTTCTGCACATGTATCCCAGAACTTAAAGTATAATAAAATAAAATAAGGATGTTGGAGTTGAGGATGGGGGCAGTCCCAGACATTACCAAAATGTAATTGCTAGCTCTGGATTGCTATAATTCTAAGAAAGGCACATTTGGAGGTATGGAGAATATGAGAAACCTGTTGATTTATATGTCTTCATGTGAAATAACATAGCTTTTCACCTTATCTTTACAAACACCAGTTTCATCACTGCCTATTTTTTATTTTTTCTATTTCATCCCACTCCTCTTCCCACAACTAAATAGAATGTAGCTTTTTTTCTTCTTTGCACAATATATATAAATAAATATCTAAAAAGAAAATTATTACTCTAGAGGATTATCAAGCCAGACTCAAAAACAAAAAGTCATTAATTTGTATGGGCATTAGAAACAGGAGAAACTTAGAAGTCCAATTTCAGTTAACTAATTCCTCCATGGTTTTCTAACAAATGGATATATCCTATTAAATGGACATTGCATATTTAAAAACCAATATTTTTTGTTAGACATTCAGGTTATATTTAATATTTAGCTATTCTAAATAATACTGAAATTAACATTCTTATAAAGAAATTGTTAGCCATATCTCAGAATTTTTGGGGGGTAGAGGATAAGTTCCTAGGGAATTTGCTGGATAAGAGAGTTAAAGTATACATTTTGATGTATATATAGCCATAATCGTTGGATTTATTTTCTTCCCACCAACAGGGAACAAATGTTTCTCTGTTAACATATTCTCATCAGTCTTGAATACTATTAATCTTATAAGCTTTGCAAACTTTCTTGAACTTTTCACTTTTTAAGTCAACCATTATTAACTATATTTTTGTGAATTCCTTGTTTATGATGTCATGATGTCATTTCAATTATGTATCACTGTGATTTTGTTTTTCTCATTGAATAATTTTCACATTTTTTATAGTATACTTCCAGAAAAGTTTTACTAAAGATACTGTTGCCTGAATACTTCAACACCTTGTTACTGAATTTAATGGCAATGTATTTAGCGTTAACAATTCCATGAAGTATGACATAGAATACAGAATGCGATTTTAGATCAACGTTTTAAAAAATAATTTCAAGGAATCATCCCTTTAATTTAGTTTAATAACATAGTTTTTTGTTTGTTTCATATTGTTTTCCTTCATTTATTATGAGGGATGATTGTTCAAATGTTCTAGAGGCAGTATAGCAACTGCTCTGAAAGCAGATTGCCTGGATCCAAATCATAATTCACTGCTTAATAGCCGACTGATGCTGAAGAGTTTACTTAAACTTTCTCTACCTAACTTTTCCTGTCAGTAAAATGGGAATAATGATATTAGCATCTGTGTCATATGGTTTTAGTGAGGATGAGTTAATTCATTTAAAGTGTTTAATGTAGTATCCACCACACAGTAAGCACTTGAAAATGTTAGCCAAATATAAATATTATGGCACTATTATTATTGTTGCATATTGGGAGGTGCTCTGACAGAGTGGCTTAATCAATATTACATGTTCTTGTTTTCATATCTTAGCTTTCTCATATGCTAATTATGTGCATTTGAGCAAGTTACTAAACATTGTGTGTGTCAGTTTTTCTCATCTAAAATATGAAGATAAAATACTTCATGGGAATTTTGTATGAATTAACTGAACATATATATACTTAAAGCACTTACAATAATGCCTAGAACATAGCTCATTATAGCATTCAACAAATGTGAGCTATTACTATTACCTATTTCGGTTGCATCTTTTATTTATTAATGATATGCCATATTAATAGATTTTCTCATAGTAATTTCCATTGCATTTATAGAACAAATCTTTCTTGGAACTTTTTAATGTACTCTTGAATTAGATTAGTTCTCTTATTAGTATTTTTAAACTATATTCATAAATGAGATTAATCTGTATTTTCTTTTAGTGTTCAGTTTTTATATACACTATTTTCCTAAAATTAGAAAGTTTCTTTGCTATTTCACTAGTTTGGAAATAAGCACCAATCATGAGACTTACCTATCTTTGAAAGTTTACATGTATTTGATTTTAACCCTACCTGAGTTTGTTTCATTAAAGTTAATTCTTTGACAAAATTTTAATTTATTCCAAGGTTATGAGTCTATTCATGTTTTCAATTTCTAATTGGATCAATTTAGGTAGTTTATGTGGTGAAAAGAGAAAATTATAAGCCCATATTCTTTAATTCAGCTAGAAATTGCAAACGTGAGGTTGCATTCTTCAGTTAATACAGCTGCTTTAAGAAGACAAAGCCCTGTGCTAGCCATCACTTCTCAATAAATTGATGAGGCAACTTTATTCTTCCAGTTGTTCAGGTCTAAATCTTTGAAGATACCCTTGATACTTCTCTTCTTTGACATCTAATCCACCAACAAATCATTTGACATATATCCAAAATTCAATTGCCTCACCACCTCCACTGTTCTCCTAAATTCCAACCTATCATTATCTCTCACCCGGAGTATTTCATTAATCTTCTGATGCATCTTCCTACTTTTTCTCTTGTCTTCTAGAGTATAGAACGAGGTGTACTACCCAGATCTCCCAATCAGAACCAACGCTTTCAATTCCCAACTTCCAGGATTGTTGGTGGCCAACAGTGCATATCTGAGTCTCTCTCAATAAATTGCTCTCAGCTCAAAGGGAATTCCTTCATCTAGGGTCACACCTGTTTCCCAAAGGTAGACAGCTTCTAACTGAGACAACCAGGTGGGAGGGGTCCCTGGAGAAACTCTAACCAGCCTGCCCACTGCGGTGGAACCGCAGGAAGTTCACAACATTTGCAGCAGAGAGGAGACTGACCCCTTTTCTTCCTGTGTGGAGCCTGGGATTCAGGCAGTGGGCAGGAAGCACTCTAGTGGAGGTACTCTGGATTTGCAAGAGTCCCTGATTCCCCAGAACCCCATCTTTAGCTAAACGAAGGAAAAGTCCTGCAACATTTTTGGCACCAAACATGGGGCTCCAAAAGCAGTGAATGAAATGGGGACTCAAAATCTCTCACTATTGCTCCTAAGCATTTTCATCCTCAGACTACTGAGGGTGGGGGAAACAAGCCGCCAAGCCCTGTCACTCTTGGGGGTCGGAGGAAAGGCCCTTTTCTTCCTTTTTCAGGATGGACAGGCAAGCGGGGTCTCCTTGCTCCCCCTCCCCTCTGTGTGGAGGCTGGGGTGTATGGCCCAAGGGTCCCACACAGCTAGCTGGCTGGCTCCCAGACAAAAGCCACAGCAGCCTTCCCTTTCCCCCCGCCAAGAGGTTCAGCTTTTTCTGACAGTAATTAAGCTTTTCTCCTGGTGGAGGAACCACTTTCATAACAATAAGAGGTTCTTCCCCAGGCATTTTTAAACTGTTTTTTTTTTCTTCCCCTTCTCTACCCCGTCAGCAGTTAACCTTTAACTTTTTTTTTCCTTTTAGAAGACGTTTTTACTAGACCAGGCAACCCAACTATCACTGTTTGTACTCTCTGTAAAGTTTTGGTCATGAAAAAGGATTTGTGGGGCTAGTCTTTGGCTATGGCCCATCTGGTGTGCTTTGCCTGTCTGCATGGTTTGTGCTCCAAGCCTCCATCTTGCTTTACATCCTGGGGGCATAGCTGGTAAGTGCTTGGCAAGGCTTTGTTTAGCAACCCTGCCTTAGGGGATGAGCTCTCTCTGGTTCAATATCTGCAGGTTTTCCTAGCCCTGTCTCTTAAAGGACACCACAACCACTGGGTTTTCTTCTGCCTGTCTGTGTGTGTACTGTGATGTCTGTACAAGGAGCTCTGATTCATGTGGCCTAAAGAAAGGGTCTTGGATCAAGTATTTTTTAAAAAGGGAAGATAAAAGCTGTGGTACCTTTCAGGTCACATGACTTTAATCTTTGAGAAATAAAATCAGCCTTAAAGATTATTGGTAAAATGTAGATGTCATTAAAATGTAAATAGGTGAACTGAAGAATGCAGGTCAGATGCAAGGTTTGCCAAGTGTTTTGAGGTTACAAACTGGTTTTTGGGTTTTGAAAAGTATTTGACTTGCTGGCTTCACAATTGATAAGGCCTATGGAACTGACATACGGAACTAACCATGCCCTTAATTAAGAAGGCAAAATTTGGCTGCAGTTAGCACACAATTAAAGCAACTTACCAAGTTTTACCTTAAAGTTAAAAATGCCTAGGAGTTAACTGAAACTACTAGAAATAGATTTACATGAAAGGTGTATAAGAACAGTAAAATGTGTTTTTTAGTAAAAGGTTATAAGAAGGCATGGAAATGTAAACTTTTGCCTAGAGTTAAAGGATTGTTTTGAGTTAAATTAGGAAAAAGCTGAAGGTTAAAAGAAGTAGTGCAACAACTGTGGAAATTAATCTTGCAGAAGAGGTTCTTCATGTGAACGTATTGACTAAATTCAAAAAAGGGTATTATATGGTTTTTCTGTAAATTGAGCACTCAAATAAATGCATAACAAGGTTTTCCTATGGCACCAATCTGCTCTTTGGCAACATTTGTAAGTGGTTATAAAAGGTTTTTGCTTCTTTAAAATTTCTGAGTCATCATTTTGGCAAAATAATTACCTTACGGTACTCTGGAATTCTATTTTATAATATCAAGTATTTTACACCTCAAACATTTAACAGCCTTCCGAAAATCAAACTTCAGTTTCAAAATTGTCTTCCCTGGCACCTGGCTTTTTGAGTACTTCAGAGGGCCCCTGACGTGTCCAGAAAAGAGAGGTAAACAGGATTATTTGACATGTTTAGGTAGATGGGATTTCCAAAATGATGCTCAATCTTCTTTAGGTTATATATTGGTACTATATATGGTTATATATATAATGCTAATATATGTTCCAGAATTGTATGGGATTTCTAAAATTCTAATGTCTAAGTATATGCTACCAATCACAACTAACATTGTTATGTTAAGTTATTGTAAGCCATGGAGTTAACCAAACTTCTCTGACATGAGTGTTTCTGCTTGTAGCTACCCTGGACATTTTGTTATTCACAGACAATTGTCTTGTTTTAATCCTTTTCAAAGATGGTTTATAATGAGCTATAGAACTTTAACAGGTGCTCTCAAATACAGACTTCTGATAACTTTGGATATTGTGACATTGGAATACAGGAACATGCCCAGGACTCATGAAGAGCTGAAATGTTCATGAATATCAAGCAAAACAGGAGTTAACTAAATGGACTGAACTCAGGAAGCTGAAGCAACCTTTTTGACTTTCGCTTGGAATATTGCTAATCCATGTTTTGTTTTTCAGAGTCAAGGAAACTTATTTTGGACTATTTACGGCCTTTAATAATTGAGTAAGGTATACTCCTATGAATGAAATTTGAAACATGTTGGTTACTCTCTGCCTGGTTCCTCTAGAATTTAGAAACTATCTGTGAGTATTCTTATGACAATATAGTTATGTGCATCAGTGCAATAAGAATCCATTTTTCTTTTGCAACAGGACACAATTGGAGAAAGTAGTTATTTTACCAAGGCTTTGACTGGAAGGGTATGCTTCCGTTTGAGGAGTGAAGCTTGACTTGCAGAGCCAATAAAAGCCCCATGGGGAAACTGGCCTCATACCCTTGTCTATGCTGTCCCTGTGCAGAGTTCTTGACCTGTGGTCAGTAAAGAATGTCACTTTATAACAGGGATAGGAGCTCCAAGTTTATCTTGGGACCTTTGGAGAGGATCACCCAACTCACAAGTATTTGAAGATGAAAACCCATGGCTGGGCTTGGTTTTAAAAGGTCTTATCCGTGATTCCTTGTGGTACACACTTCCATCAAAGCCAGTCCAAAAGGCCTATGTAGAAATAGTTATTCTTGCTCTACTTTATGCAAATAATCAGGCCAAGTATAAGACTAAAGTCCCTTTTGCAAACCACTCAGTCCTGACATAATTTGTTTTTTAACAAAAATGAGAACTGGAGAGAGAGAAATTATATTTCAAAACTTATACATTTGTCATTAAATTCTAAACTCACTAGCTGTTTTTAAGTTTTTGTCTACATTTTAGACTAACCCTGCTTGTTCCTTTGAACCAAGGAGCAATCTCCAGCTGTAGCTCCGAAAGAACTAAAGGGATGGGTAATATAAAAATCTGGATCAATATTCTAGTTCTGAGCAGTTATCCTGCAAATCCTGCCAGGTGATGGGAATAAGTAGAATATCCATCACTTGGAAGTTTCCTTTTTGGGAAAGTAAGACTGAGGGAGCTGACCAAGGCTGGGCACCAGGCAGCCAAATCCTAGCAAGCATAACTATAGCTACCAATTATCTGGGTGTGTAACAAGACATCCTTTCCTCTCCCTTGGAGGAGAACTCAGTTCCACAGCTTTACTTAGCCTTTGGTTTATGATAAGGAGTCCATGCAACCCCCCTGAGATACATTTTGTCTCAGACTCAATTCCAAGCTTCGGGTCAAAGCCCTAGGAAAGAAAATTGTATCTAAGGGATCCAGAAGCAAATGATAATGAAGGTTAAAACACACAGTGCAGGTGAGCGTGGCTGATTACTGCCAATTAAGGCAACCCCAAGCTTTTTGTTTCATGGATAAAAGCCACATTAATATCCATGGCATAAATGAGGTCTAGGGAACTCTAAGGCTACTAAGACTAGGTAGGAAAGAGACATAGGTGACAGCGAATAATTCCTATTCTCTAGGCCCTCTCTGCTTCATGGGTACAGCCACTTTGGCACTCATGGCAGCACCTGCCAAGGTTGCCAGAACTCAGGAATACAAGGATGGAAGAGGGAAAGTGGACGCTCTTCCCTCTCTCCCTGAAGTACCCCTGGTATCTGTTAGGAAGAGAAGAGAACCAGGGACACCTGCTCCCTTTTTTCTAGATGGGTAGCCACTCACCTTCAGTCTGTACCCATTTCAAATGCATCCTGAACCCTTGGGACTCCTTTAAAAAATGCTTTATTTTTCCTTTCTCTTCCTCGGTTCTCTCTTCAGATAGGTAATTGTGTCTCCATACCATGGGACACTCCCCTCAGATGCATCCTCCAAACTGAAAAGAGTTAATTTCCCAAACCTTAAACTGGTCGACCTAGGTTTGGGCTTAGGGAAGGGAACCCGGAAGTCCAACATGCTGGCCAAAGGGTAAAGCTTTTTTTAACCAGTCGGACTTTTGGCTTCCCTCTCTCTGTGCAAACTGGTAAAAGGCCTTGGAATTTTTGAGCTGTCCTTAACCCTCCCCTTGTTTCATTTTGATACATGTTTCCTAATAATCTGGTTTGTCTGTTCTTGCATTCAGGCCATCAAACTCCAGTCACACAACTGGAGCCTCAGATGATGGCCCCTCCTACCAGGAACACTTAGGCTTCTAGGGAAGCTCTGACTGCCATTTCCCCAAAACAGCGGCCCATGTCAGCAGGAAGCATTTAAGATCAGTCTTCATCCTTATCCTTAATCTAACATCAGTTAGATGTACTTCTTTGGAGGCAGGAATGAGATAGTCAGATGGGAAAGAGTCCCTGGAGAAACTCCAACCAGCCTGCCCATTGGGGTGGAGCCTCAGGAAGTTCACGACATTTGCTTCAGGGAGGAGCCTGGCCCCTCTTCTTCCTGTGTGGAACCTGCAATTCAAGAGGCAGGCAGGAAGCACTCTATCTAGCAAAGGGACTTTGGCCTTGTAAGAGTCCCTGTTTTCCCCTTTTTTCCCTTTTCATGCAATAAAACCCTGCTTTACTCACCCTTTAAACCATCTGTGAGCCTAAATTTTCATGGCCATGGGGCAGACAAGAACCACGTCTTTAGCTGAACTAAGGAAAAGTCCTGCAACATAATGACTGGTCAATGTAGATCTGGCCCCTTTGCCTCAATTTAGGACAACTCTGAAAGGATATCTGAGTTTCAGAGCTCCTGTGGATCAGTGGAGGATATTATGATAGCCACTTTTCATGTAACACGTCACTCTGCCCAATCCTACATTCTCACTAACTCATAAGTATTGTTCCTGAGCACACTTCCTAATAAACTTTCTATGTGCAAATTCTTCATCTCAGAATCTGCTTTTCAGGGCCACTGACCTAAGATGCTTTGTGCAAGGAATTATATGAAAAAAAAAGCAGACAGTTTTTGAGCTGCAACACCCAGTGGCTCTCTGGCCAGTGAGAACTTTATTGGTGGTGTAAGTAAAAACTGATAATTCTTAGCATGTTATAATGATGAAGTTACTAAAACTTTCACCTGTGGTGAACTGGGAGAAAAAAAACAGAGGGAAGGAATGCACTGGTAGTTATGACATCCCAGTCACACAAGAGGTTTTGGGGAAATAATAATTATAAAAACCATGGATTTGAATGGATGTTGTTGAATGTGATCAAAGCTTTAAAGAAAGACAATGCAAGACTAAAGGTGATTAATCACCAATATGAGGTAAAATGTAAAAGTCAGAGAACTCCTGAGCTATAAAGATACTTATGTCCTACAGCCACACCTGGCTAATTTTGTATTTTTAGTAGAGATGGGGTTTCACCATGTTGGCCATGGTTGGCCAGGCTGGTCTCAAACTCCTGACCTCAGGTGATCTACCCGCCTCAGCCTCCCTAAGTGCTGCAATTACAGGCATGAGCCACTGCAGCGGGTCAAATATTTTTAAAATAAACTTTACTACAGCAATAAAAGAGGGTACTGGCACTCAAAACCTAGAAACCACTCAAGTACCTCACCCTAACTACAAAGAATCTTCTATCATTGCTGGCTCAAGAAAATTTAAAACATTTCCAAATGAAAAGAAAACCAAAAACAATAATCATATATATCTATAACAAGAAAAAAACAGAAAATGTGATAGTGGTATTGAGGTTCTGTCAGAGACTATCTTTGTTCTTAGGAGATATATACTAAAACCTTTAGGGCTGAAATGTTACGATACTTGCAATTTAATTTCAAATTATTCAGCAAACACACACACACACACACGAAGACATAAAGTTTAGTACCAGTTAGCAAATATAAACAACTATGTCTTCTTTTTACTTCTTTATTCCTTTTCATTTCTTTTTTTTTCCCTTTGTTCCTTCTTTTTTCTTTTCTTTTTTTTTTATCCTGGAACATTTTCTACATTCACAAGTAAGGTATTATTTCTCTAGTTGTAATGATACTGGATATAAACATCCTCATTTCTGACCAAACTGATCAAATATCACAGAAGAATAATTGTATGACCTTGTAGAATATTGGAGAATAAGCAAAATGCATTAAATAACTACTGGGGACTATGTTGAAAACTTTTGAAAGTTCAATACACATAGATCTTCACAGTTAAGAAGTGATGTGATGATTTCTTGCCTAATCAACCAGATCAAACACCCGAATCTAAAACTGCTCTTTTTTCGACTGGGCATGGTGGCTCACGCCTAACCCCAGCACTCTGGGAGGCTGAGGCAGGAGGATCACTTGAGGCCAGGAGTTTGAGACCAGCCTGGGCAACATAGCCAGACCTGTTTCTATGGGAAAAAAACCAAAAACAACAACAAAAAAACTGTCCTTTTCAGTTGTCATTCACAACAAAAGTTGTTATATAATCAATCAATGTAGTTTTATTTTTTCAGTATTTTTCAGTACTCCTTTGTAAGTATACATACCCACACAGGTATTTCCTGCTTATGCTACTAGTCTAAAAGTCACTGATCTAATTGTTTAATTCAATTTGAACAGTAATAAGGACAACATAACTCACATGGAAGCATTTGATAATGATTTTTGACTGTGCTCTTGTAAAGCAAGAGACCATGATGATTTGATTTAGACAGCAGTTATGACAATACAATTTGCATTCAGAAACTTAATAAACACTTTAATTGTGCTCTTGGTTGACTCTCCCCAAGATAAGATATTTAGAGATACAGAGAGAAGTCTAAGTAAACACAGGATGCCACATGTTAGAAAATAAGTCCAATGAGAAAGAAAAATGCCAAGTATACATAGATATTAATATTTTACATTTGTATATACTCCCAGTTAACAAAGCACCATTGCACTATTTCAACCTAATAAGTAGTTATAGAGCACATACTCAAGGCACTATACCAGACAGTCTACGAAAAACAAAAAATGAATACATCCCCACAGAGGGCTTACAATCCAGTAGAAGATATGGTCTGCTTAACTCAAAGAAATAGAAATTGTAGAGATGCAAATTGTTATAGGAATATAGAGGGAGGAGAGATGAAATCTAACTGGAGGTGTCAGGGAAGACTTCATTCAGCAAGCAGTATTTGAATTTGGGCCTTGAAAAAATAAAACATCATTTGATTAAAATCAAACATTATAAGACAATCATAGAATTCACTATTATGTCAATCTCATAGGTCAAGAAACTGAGGCTGAAAGAGGCTAAGAGGACTCTCCTACTCATGGTCTTACAACTGGTAAATGTCAAGAGGCCTGAACCAAGTTTTTTTATTCCTTTATTTAGTGCTCATTTACTATATCACTCTATAAGAGTTGTCTTAATCTGGGCAAGAGAGCAGATGTTCTTTCAGTATAGTAAAAAACTTTTTAAAAAGACTACTCATTTCTGCTATAATAAACTTGGTTGTCCTTTGTAAACCATATGAAAATAAATGTTCTTATCCTCTAAATGTTAATGTTATTCCCTACTGTAAGTACAGAAAATTCCTTACGGTATTTCAAGTATAAGTACTGGAAAAATCAGATCTTTGTTTAAAGATTAAGAAACCAACCATTAGAAAAGGGTGAAAACCAACTTCATCATGATAAGTAAACAGACTGTGGTATGATAGTGAGAGTGATACCCCACTACTAGTCTTTGCATCCCCGGGAGGATAGAAAAGGAGAGGACAACAGGATTAAGCTGTACTGGATATAAGGTAAATTTTTTCCAATGGGAAAGAATACCCAAGAAAATAATAACACATGTGCGCCTTACTATATGTCAGGCACTCTTCTAAGCACCTTGTACTTAATTCTCAAACAACTCCATGAAATAGGTATTATTATTACCACCCTTTATGGATAATGAATCTAAGCCACAAAGAAACATAGCCAAGGTCATGTAAGTGATAGAGGTAGCATATAAACTGTGTCTGGCTATAGAATCCTGATTCTTAACAATTCAACTCTACCATCTGTCAAAAAGTGAGATTGCATACTCTTTTTGAAGATGGCTTTAAAATATTAATGCAAGTACAAATTAAATCTGTAACACATAATGGAAGTTCTAGTCCTAGGAAGCAACAGCTTAGCAAGGCATCTAAGAACATAAACTTTGGCATCAAGCATACCAGGTTTTAAGGCCTCAGTCAACCTACCTGTGTGAACTTGGGCAAGTTATGAAAGCTTGAGTTTCCTCCTTTCGAAAGGAGGCAGCAATTATTGTGCTTTGAGATGAGAATGGGAGCAAGCAGCACAGTATGGTAAGAAAAGTACTGGGCTTGAATGTCTAAAAATTCAGATTATACCCTCAGCTACTAACCAGCCCTGTTAAATAAAATAACCCATGAATCAACAAATATTTATAAAGCTTTATATATGACTCTGTTGTATATACTCTAGGGATATAGCGGTTAAAAAAGACATTGTTCCTTAGTTTCTGAGAGCTAATTCATTCAAGTTTGCTCATTGGTTTCCTTAATAATTGGACTCAAGCCCCAAATTAAGGCTGTTTGGCATTTATATTCTATGATTCTGAGACAGAACTTGAATAACAATACCATGGTGGCTCTGTTTCTTGCTAAGTGCAATTTGTGTGTGTATACATATATATATATATATATATGTGTGTGTGTGTGTGTGTGTATACATATATATGTGTGTATACATATATGTGTGTGTATACATATATATACACACACACACAAACACACACACACATACATATATATATACACATATTTCAATTCCTCCTTTTATTAGTTATAAGGAGATTTGTACAGAAAGAAATAGAGACTGAATTTCCAGTCACTACCTACAGCTGCTATAACCAGCTGTTCCCACATATTTTCTTCATGGGACAACATTTTTCTGGAATGTAGATTAATACATGACACTTCATTGAGCCACAGTAAAAGAAAGCAGAATCAATGTGATTTACAGAAACTTCATGGAAAATATTGTCTTTTTTCTCTTCCTCCAAAAGGAGCTCAGTGACAATTCCAAACAATTCATACAGAAATTGGAGAAATAATTTTCACATCTTGAACATATTTCCATTCCTCTAGTTGACAGGGACTGGCAATACTACTGTGAATTTTTTGTGATTATTCATGAAATGAAGTCTCATAATGGTAAGAGCATCAGCTTTGAGGTCAGATTGTCAAGCACAGAGATAAATACAAATATACATAGATATAAATCCCAATTTCATCACTTACAAGCTGGGAGACTTTAACTGTTTTGACCTTCAGTTTCCTCATATGTAAAATGAAAATGATTATACCTATTTTCTAGTTACCAAATTAGATAAGACTTGGTATATAGCACTTCATTTAATTACAGCCATTAAACTTATAATCATCCTTAGCTGTTAAATATATATATAGATAGATGTGTGTGTGCAAGAAGAAAAAAATGAACTATCTTTTCAAAATCTAACTGATTTTTATACAAGAAAAACTACTACTTCAGCTATTTTACATTAAATCACCACTTAGGAAATAAAATAGACAACACCTCCTAAATTCCTTTGTAGGCAGATCAATATTTAATACATGCCATTAAAATATTTTGCAGTTTAGTACTAAAACCACACCAAAATGGCAAACCAAATTACAAGTTTATTCTCAATACTTACAAGATTTCATACATAACAAAAGTTTGAATACATCTTTCCATGTACCTACTATTAAAATTATACTTTAGGTATTCTGACAGGAAAAATACACATAAATTTCTAAGTACCACTTCAAGTTACGAGCTCTAATTTTGCATCCCCTTTACCAGCACTTAAATTGCTGGTTTTATAATCATAAATGTAGGAATAACAAGCAAAACAAAGCAAATAATACATAACTTCAGAATTCAATATTTGTGAGCAAATCATTGAAATATTTCAAGTCACCAGTCATGCTTCATTCACCATAAGTAGGTCAACAGAAAAGTAAATTAACTTACAATGAACAAGAACTTCCTTGGACTCCATGAAAATGCGGAGAAGAGTGGGATGAACTTAGACTTTTACACATAAATGTCTGCTAGTCATTGTTAGACTCCCTAGCTCTGTCCCTTGCTCATACCACCTCATCAAACATACAACCACAGACGCTCCTCCCTAACAGCTGACTTTTAATCCTGTCTTTAGGTTTAAACAAGATCCTTTCAAAGATATGTAGCATGTGATATGAAAGTCACCAAGAAGAAAATTATTTTAAAAAATCATCTCCTAGTACAGGAATGCTCTATCTCCCTACATGTTCCTCAGAAAAAGCAGATTGACTTAAGAGTGGAACGATAATTTGTTTTCACACCAGTTGCTACATTGAATATATTAAGACTACCCAAAACAAGTCTCTTCTTAGAGCTGGAGGATGTGCACTCTGGGATATAACAAAAATGTCAAAGCCATTTGGGTACCAATAAAAATGAAACATTAATGTTATAAAGTCAACTATTATAATCAGGCTATATTACTTCCAGGAAATTAGTAAACACTATCTAATCCAGGCTCTCCCACAACACAAAAGCCTAGAGCCAGTGGATTGGCAATGATATTATAGAGATTGCAACGATACTTCTGGCTGCTGTTTTTCCCTACTATACCATGTAAGATATGAAGGAGTTCTCTTCACCTAACTCCCTCAAATGCTAAATGGTGGTGGTACTTTTTACTCACAGAAAATAATTTCAATTCCAAAAATTCACTAGCTGTTTCTCTTTTTTTATATGTCACAAAATGTCACGTTTTCTTATTTACAAGCCTTATCACTTACAAATATTTGAGAATAATTACATAAAAGATGAACATCATTTCCTATTACTATCTGTATCAACAAAATATAAAAGTACTACGTTTGATTTTCCACAAAATATTGCCCCCAAGATTTTTACACACATAAGAACTCCTCACCTAAATATCACCCACAGCTAACATTCATTTGATGCATAACTACTGAACCTAGCTGTGCTAGACCCTAGAGATACAAAAAATGTAAGACATGATCCTTTGTGAAAAAGTTTACAATATATATAGTGTTTATTCCAGTGGTATACAACAATGTTGCCACATTGAAATTCTCCCTCAATATTCCCTTTTCAAAAATCTCTGCATCGAAATACGTTCCATATCATTTTATTTCATTAAGGTAAATTCTGGTCAACTATACTGAATAAAAGAATATTTAAAAGTGAACATGGGTTGGGCACAGTGGCTCATGCCTGTAATTCCAGCACTTTGGGAGGCCAAGGCAGGAGGATCACCTGGAGGTTGGGAGTTTGAGACCAGCCTGACCGACATGGAGAAACCCTGTCTCTACTAAAAATACAAAAATTTACTGGGCGTGGTGGCACATGCCTGTAATCCCAACTACTCGGGAGGCTGAGGCAGGAAAATCCCTTGAACCTAGGAGGCGGAGGTTGCGGTGAGTCAAGATTGCACCATTGCTCTGCAGCCTGGGCAACAAGAGTGAAACTCCATCTCAACAACAACAATAAAAAAAAGTGAACATGGAGGAGTGACAGAGAAACAGAGAAGCATCATAACTAGTTAACTATGCATCAAATTGGATTTGCACATTGAAGGCCAGTTTATTTCTATAGAG
The DNA here is from genome assembly GCF_000001405.40 of Homo sapiens. Lineage (NCBI taxonomy): Eukaryota > Metazoa > Chordata > Mammalia > Primates > Hominidae > Homo > Homo sapiens. The sequence goes on from NC_000011.10 coordinate 85,380,782, forward strand.
GCTATTGAGGATAATCCAAGGAATGACAACACTTATAGGAGTCCAGAATTCTTACTAGACTGATCTAAACATTTAAGTCATCCAGTTGTCCAATCAGAGAAGATCCCCTGAAGCAGCAACCACAAACTCAAAACTCTAACAAGACCAAGGGAAAAATGTAAATGAGTAGCATCGGCTAAGAGTTACAGAAAAATCACATGAACTTTTTGGTTTATCTTCTATTTCCCAGAAAAACTTAGGTAAAAATGAATATTTCTCTACTATAAGAAAAGGAATGTTGAATGCAAATGCAGACAACTTATACTCTGCTTCAGTATAAGAGATACCATCAGGAGTGCTAGCGACTGTAGTCTAATGAAGAGAGCACAGCCATGCACTTAAAGTATGCAGCAACCATTGCCATGTACAAATTTGAGCCAAGTATTATTATTAGACTTTCTGGTTTTTCAAGTGAAGCCAGAAATTCAGATTTTTGTGTGAAGTTTCCTAATATTTGTATGTTAGTTCAATGTTTAAAAAAATTGGTAGGTTCAAATGCATCAGTCTGTATAACAGATCCAGCCTCTTCAACATGAATAAAGGGTATCTATGAAAAACTCACAGCTAACATCATACTTAATGGTGAAAGACTGAAAGGTTTTCCCCTAAGATCAGGAACGATACAAGAATGGCTGCTCTCTTTATTTCTTTCCAAAATTATACTGGAGGTTTTAGCCAGGGTAATTAGGCAAGAAAAAGAAATCAAAGTCATCTAGACTGAAAAGGAAGAAATCAAATTATCTCTAGTTACAGGTGATATGATCTCGTATATAGAAAATACTAAGGAATTCACACACAAAAAAGAAACTATTGGAACTAATAAATGAGTTCAGCAAGGTTGTAGGATACAAGACTAATACACAAACATTAATTGTATTTTATATACTAGCAATGAACAGTCCAAAAATAAAATTTAGAAGACAATTCCATTTGTAAATTTTTTTTTAAATTATTAATAAGTTTAACAAAGGAAGAGTAAAGCTTGCACACTAAAAACTACAAAACATTGTTGAAATAAAGTAAAGATATAGATAAACAGACATTCCATATTCATGAATTAGAACGCAATATTGTTAAGATGGCAATACTCCCTAACTGATTTACAGATTCCACATGACCTTTATCAAAATCCCAGCTGAGTCTATGGTCATAACACCCTGAAAACAAAAAATCTCAGATGACTTTTTTCTAGACATTGACAAGCTGATCCTAAAATTCATACGGAAATGCATGGGACCCAGAATAACCAAAACAATCTTGAAAAAGATGAACAAAGTTGGAGAACTCACACTTCCCTATTTCAAAACTTACTTCTGTAATCAAGACAGCATGGTACTGACATAATAAAAGTCACACAGATTAATGGAGCAGAATTGAGAGTCCAGAAGTAAACTCACATTTATGGTCAGCTGATTTTCAACAATGATGCCAAGACAATTCAGTGTGAAAGAATAATCTTTTCAACAAATGTTTTGGGGACAATTGAAAATTCATATGCAAAGGAATCAATTTGAACCTTTATTTCATACCATATGCAAAAATTAACACAAAATGGATGAAATACCCAAATTTAAGAGCTAAAACTATAAAACCCTTAGAAAATAATATTAAGCGTAAACCTCATGACCTTAGGTGAGTGAACTATTTCTTAGACACATCAAAAGCATAAGCAACCCAAAAAATATAGACTTCATAAAAATTTGTACTCCAAGTGAAACTATGAATAAAATCAAAAGGCAACCCACCGATGAAAAATAACATTTGCAAGTCATTTTTGATAAGGGTTTATTATTGAGATATCTAAAGAACTATTACAACTCAACAACAGAAAGACAACTCAATTTATTAAATGGGCAAATATTTGAACGGACAATTTGCCAGAGCAAATATACAAATGGCCAATAAGCACATGAAAAGATGTTCAACATCATTAGTCATTAGGGAAATGCAAATCAAAACCACAATGAGATAGCACTTCACGTGAGAATATTGTGGCTACAATAAAAATGACAAATAATAAGTTTTGCTTAAGATATGGAGAAGTTGTAATACATTGCTAGTAGAAATGTAAAATAGTGCAGTGGCTTTGGAAAAAGTTGTCAGTTCCTCAAAAAGTTAAACATAAAGTTACCATATGAACCAGCAATTCTGCTCCTCAGTATAGACCCAAGAGAACTGAAAACACATCCACACAAGAATCTGTATGCAAATGTTCATGGCAGTATTATTCATAATAGTCAAACAGTAGAAACAAACCAAACTTTCATCAGCTGATGAACAGATAAATAATATATAGTCTATCCATACAACAGAATATTATTCAGCAATAAAACAGAATTAAGTACTAATGTCTACTAAAACATGGATGACCTTGAAAACTTTAAGTGAGAGAAGCCAGTCATAAAAGGCTACATGTTGTATGATTTCATTTATCCAAAATCCAGAAAAGGCACATGTACAGAAAGTAGATTAGTAGCCTAGGTGCTGAGGATAGGGGATGTGAGGAGTAACTACTAAGGGGTCTGAGGATCCTCGGGGGTGATAAAAATGTTCTGGAATTATATAGCTATAACTGCATAACTTTGTAAACTTACTAACAAAACGCTGAATTGTGTACTTTAAAGGATAAATGTTATGGTATATGAATCATATGTCAATAAAGCTACTAGTAAGAACAAAAATAAGCCCAGCCCAACCACTTTGCAACATTTGCCTAAAAGGAGTTCTACATCAAAACGGCTCCTTACTAATATTTAAACGGAGTTTTGCAAATATTAGCACACGGTAAGTAGAGTGCTCAGTTTTCTAACGTCAACTATCCGGCATAACCTATTTCAATATTTCAAATAAAATACAGCCTTTAAAATTTTAGTAATAACAATGATTTTCAGAAAAAGAATACTTCAATGCTAGAAATTGCTTCCTTCTGCCTAATAAAGTTATATCTTTTCATCCACAATCCAGTTAGCCAATCTTTCCAATTTTACAGCTTATATTAATAACTTCCCTATAGGCTTCCCACACTTCTGCCAAGTTAGATCCTTTCTGTGCCTTGAAAACACCTCAGGCTTTCTTAAATGTGCTCCACCTATTTGGAGTGCCCTTCTCCCCTACAGAAATATCTGAACTATACCTACTCGTCAATGTTTGAAATGCCATTGCTTTTTCTGATTCTCCTTCAAAATCAGGTTCTGACTCTAAGTAAACTGTCTCCTAGTTAATACTCCTTTATATCTTTCCTAGGATACTTTTTATTGAATTTTATGTGCACTTGTCTCCTTTCCCCCTACTGAACAGCAGGTCTTATAATACATATGAAAGTCCAACATGTGCCAGGTACATCAGTTCTAATCCTCACAACAGCCCTGCAAGAAAGGTATTATTCTTATTCTCTTATAGATGAAGAAATTGAGGATTTGAGAGGACAAAATTACTTATTCAAGGTCCAATAATAAGTGGAAAGTCTGAGATTTGACATTGGTTCATCTTTGGTGGCAACTTTGTTTCCCAGAAATTGACAAGCTGATCCTAAAATTCATATAGAAATGCAAGGGATATTTGAAAAAAAAACTTTGCATTTAATAGGTCTTCAAAGATGGTTCATTGAACTATTAATTGGAACTCATATCAAAAAGCTAGTTACTTAACTTGAGCATAGGCTTTAGAGTCATACTCACCTTGGTTCAAGTTTTATCTTCCCTATTTATAAACTGAGCTGAGGTAAGTTACTAAATATTTTTTGTTTGTTTTTTTGTTTGTTTGTTTTGAGAAACAGTCTCACTCTGTTTCCCACGCTGGAGTGCAGTTGCATGAGCTTGGCTCACTGCAACCTCCACCTCCTGGGTTCAAGTGATTCTCCTGCCTTAACCCCCAAGTAGGTGGGACTACAGGTGCATGCCACCATGCTGGGCTAAGTTTTGTATTTTTAGTAGAAACAGGGCTTCACCATGTTGGCCAGGCTGGTCTCAACCCAACCCCTGTCCTTGAGTGATCCACCCACCTCGGCCTCCAAAAGTGCTGGGATTACAGGCGTGAGCCACCCCACCTGACCAAGTTATTAAATCTTAGTCTCAATTTCCTCGTTTGTAAATTGAAGATTATAATATTTAGGTAACTGCATTCTCATCAGGATTAAATGAGAAAAAATAAAATTACATTCTTAGCTCATAGTGGGAGCTCAATAGATGTGGATTTTCTTCCTGTTTATACTTTTTTCCCCTGTGCCCTGCCTCCTACTTACAGTGGCTTAATGAGAACTAATTCTTTGAGACCAGCAAATATGTTACACTTCTACAACTCTTTAGCCTTCTGGCTCAATCATTAGTACAAAATTATCTACTTTATAGAAGGACTGTAAAAAATAAATGAATGTATCTGAGTCAGTGGCTCTCAAATAATATTTTAGCAGCAGAGCCTGATAGGGTTATTTTATGGAAGAAATGTGCTTGAATAGGAAATGAGGAGATAAGGGCTGCAGTCCAGGTTGAAGCATATACCACTGTGCTCCACAGTCAGCTCTTCGTGGAAGGGTAGAAGGAGCAGCTATAGGTTTTTTGTTTGTTTTGTTTTTTTACCAAGGAGTAGGGAAGTTATTTCTTCCCAAGTTTTATAAAACTCTTTATAAGGATGAATAAATAGAAACTAGAATCAGAAGGAAAAACACAAATGAATTATTTGTAGAGCAAACCTATAAGTGGGGAAATTCCAATCTAATGATAAACATCAGAAATCCAAAGAGGATCAGATGTCTCATGCAAGATCCAGCCAAGATTTAAGAAATAAATAAGTATTTTAGCCTGTTCACATCAGTAAACTCCATGTTTTTATTCCTAAAAATCTCACTTAGGCAAGCTATGCTAAGGCTGTGAAACTGATTAATTTAAAAGCTATTTTTCCTCCCCTGAGGCCAGAAGGGATTTTTGAATGATGCAAGAAAGAAAGAGAGAATAATAGAAACAACAGGTGCTCTGAACAGCTGTGGGGAGAGAACTGAACTTTTCAAGATGATCTTAAGAACTAATAAATTGTTAAATCCCTGTTTCAGAAGAGACACAATAAACAATGCACCTCTAAAATAAAAGTTTCCCTTTACTCCACCCCACATTCCCTGAAAACTGACTTTACCCACGATTAGTTGACGATTCCCTGAGATGTCAGAGTTCATCCTCGAGGAGAATTAGTCTTTTAATTGAAAATCCTTTTACATGTGTTTTCTTTAAGAGAAAAACAGAAATTTAATTGGTTACTGAAATTTCATTTTTAAAATTCTGTGATCCACAAACTTGAATATGTCTTGGAGGAAATATGAAATTGTGGAAGAATCACAGACTTTGAAATCTAAAAAATCAGGTTCTAACACATTCTAGCTGTGTGATTTCAGGTTTGTAATAATAATGCCTACATACCACCTATTATTCTAACCACTTTCATATGTTAACTTACTTAGCCCTCAGAATAAGTCTCTATGTAGGTATTATTATTGATTCACTTTAAAGACGAGAAAACTGATGTTTGGTAAGATAAAATAGTTTGATCAAAGCTTCACAATTAATAAGTGACAGAACTAGGATTTGAATGTCGACACCCTACCTCCAGAGACAACATTCCTATCTCATCACATTGACTTCTGACGTGCTTTTCTGATTTTTTTTCTGTGTTGTTCTTTTTTCAACTGTAAAATGGGATGAATTCGTAGGACTATTTTAAATACTAAATAAGATAATATATGTAAAGTACAGTTCCTTGCACATAGGTACATGACAAATAGATTTTTATATGATAATTATTAACATAGATTATGTTATAGGGTCTCAAATTAGCCCCTGTATGATTTACAGAATTGTATTTTCTCTTCATTAAATAACTATGGTATATCCTTTAAAAGAAAGGAGCTTATCTTTTTATTTCTGTTTGTAGCTGTGCCTACCACAGAGAAGATGTTTAATAAATGATAGTGAAAAAAGAAAAAAAGGAAGGGAGAAAGGAAGTAAAACAGGAAAGAAAGAGAGAAAGAGAGGGTAAGACAATAGGAAGGCAACCAAAAAAAAAAAAAAGTTAAAGAATATCCTTTCTTTTTTTTTTCTTTTTTTTTTAGATGGAGTTTTGCTCTTGTCACCTAGGCTGGAGTGCAATGGTGTGCTCTTGGCTCACTGCAACTCCTGGGTTCAAGTGATTCTTCTGCCTCAGCCTCCCTAGTAGCTTGGATTACAGGCACACACCACCACACTCAGATAATTTTTGTATTTTTAGTAGAGACAGGGTTTCACCTGTCTGGTCAGGCTGGTCTCAAACTCCTTACCTCAGGTGATCCACCTGCCTCAGACTCCCAAAGTGCTGGGATTACAGGTGTTAGCCACCAGAATATCCTTTCTTAATGAAATATATTTTATCTTTGTGAAGAACATTCCAGTGCACACCAATTATTGCAAATTGTACTCTACAACATTTTTATAACATTTCCTTGTCTTAATTTCAAGCAGTTGTTCCAGTAAACTATAAGATGATATTTAGTCCATTCTACCTCAAGACTATTAACTTGTATGAAAAGCAGGTAATAATTTTAGACTAAAGGGAGTTCTCAATTTTTCCAAAAAATCAGTGTTTGTTTTACCATTTAAATACAAGCCTTACTAGTGAGTTCTCAATTTAATTACACTCAATGTGTAACATTTTCAAAAGTAAGTTTGAGGAAGGGCCACAATATGGATCCTAGCCATGTCAGCTGACAAATGACCAGTGTATGTCTAGCAGCTGTGGATGCTGAATAATGCAACTAATACAGCTGTCAGTAAGTCAAATATTTTGTTTAGGACCTCAATAATGGATCAATGAGTATCAGCTAATTTCTGACCACCATGTGCAAAAGGGCATCCTCTTACTTTCTGTCAAGCCAGTAATATTTGAAGAGGGACATATCACTCTGAGTCAATATATCTAAAATGATAGGTATAAAATCTTTATCTTTAAAAGTGGAAAATCTAGAGGGGAAAAAATGGCAGACAGGAAGGAGGCAGGACTAACTGGCAGCTCCTACTCAGAGGAACAGAGCAGCATTTGGAAACCCACGTCATGAACTTTTCTCCAAGAACTACCACAGGTACAACCAGGAAAACTGAGAGAATCCACAGACCATTTGAAGGAGGTGGAATGCCACTGCAGAATCCATGGGACAGCTGAGGAACTGTGAGTCTGCTTGCTTTCTTAGCTGGGAGGCTTGTAGCCTGTGACAAGTACTCAGCCCTGCTCACTGGCTGCCTGGAAATAAATTTGGTGCTGTTGGGGGTGTGGGGGCCACAGTGGGAGTGAGACTGGTCTTTTGGGCTGCAGGTGGCATGGGAGCTGGTTGAGGCCAGTGGCTGCTAGCTTTTCCCCACTTCCCTGGTGACCCGTGTGACCCAGCAGAGACAGCCATAAGTCCCCTGAGAACATAATTCCATTGACCTGGGAACCACACCCCCAGCCCCCAAAACAAAGCAAGCCCTGCTTAAGGAGAGTCTGAGTTCAGACATGCTTAACCCTGTCCCCACCTGATATCTTTCTCTACCTGCCCTGGCAGCCAAAGACAAAGGACATATCTCTTGGGAGCTCTATAGCCCTGCCCACCACCTGAGAAACCTGAATACTTATCCAAAGGCTACCCTAGGAAAAGCTTGTGTCCTCCCTATATAATCACAGCTGATATGCTCTTGAAAGCACCACCTTCTGGCTGGAGGTCAAGCACCACAAAACCAGAGCACTTAAAAAAGACACAAGCAAGCGCTCATACAGAGAACACTTCACTCCCCTGCTAACTCCACCAGAGTAGGTGCTGGTATCCACAGCTGAGAGACCTGAAGACAGATCATATCACAGGACTCTTTGCAGACACTACCCAGTACCAGCCAGAAGCCTGGTAGCTCCTTTGGGTGGCTAGATCCAGAGGAGAAATAACAATCACTGCAGTTCAGCTCTCAGGAAGCCCCATCCCTAGGAGAAACGGGAGAGCACCACATCAAGGCAGCACCGCCATGGGACAAAAAAATCGGAACAGAAGCCCTTGAGTCCCAGATCTTCCTTCTGACAAAGTCTACTCATAAGAAGAAACCACAAAAAAACAATTCTGGTAATATGACAAAACAAGGTTCTCTAATGCCCCCAAAAGATCACAATAGCTCATCAGCAATGGATCCAAACCAAGATGAAGTTTCTGAATTGCCAAAATATAAAAAATTAAGAAGGGTAATTACCAAGCCAATCAAGGAGGTACCAGAGAAAGGTGAAGTCCAAATAAAAGAAATTTTTAAAAAAGATACAGGATAGGAATGGAAAAATCTCCAGTGAAATACATAGAATAAATAAAAAACAATCGCAACTTCTGAAAATCAAGGACACACTTAAAGAAATACAAAATGCACTAAAAAGTCTCAGCAATAGAATTGAACAAGTAGAAGAAAGAACTTCAGAGCTCAAAGACAAGGCTTTCAAATTAACCCAATCCAACAACAACAAAGAAAAAATAATTTTTTAAAAATGAACAAAGCCTCCAAGAAGTTTGGGATTATGTGAAACGACCAAACCTAAGAATAACTGATGCTCCCAAGGAAGAAGAGAAATCTAAAAGTTTGGAAAACATATTTGAGGGAATACCTGAGGAAAACTTCCCTGGTCATGCTAGAGATCTAGACATTCAAATACAAGAAGCTCAAAGAACACCTAGGAAATTAATTGCAAAAAGAGCATCACACAGGCACACAGTCATCAGGTTATCTAAAGTCAAGACAAAGGAAAGAGTCTTAAGAGCTACAAGACAAAATCATCAGGTAATGTATAAAGGAAACCCTATCAGATTAACAGCAGTTTTCTTGGCAGAAACTCCATAATCTAGAAGAAATTAGGGTCATATCTTTAGCCTCCACAAACAAAACAATTATCAGCCAAGAATTTTGTATATCCAGAGAAACTAAGCTTCATAAATGAAGGAAAGATACAGTCTTTTTCAGACGAACAAATGCTGAGAGAATTCTCCACTACCAAGCCAGCACTATAAGAATTACTAAAAGGAGCTCTAAATCTTGAAACAAATCCTTGAAATACACCAAAATAGGATCTCCTTAAGGCATGAATCTCACAGGACCTATAAAGCAACAACACAATGAAAAAAGTACTCAGGCAACAAACAGTATGATGAATAGAATAGTACCTCACATCTCCATACTAACACTGAATGTAAATGGCCTAAATGCTCCACTTAAAAGATACAAAATGGCAGAATAATAACTCACCAACCAAGTATCTGCTGTCTTCAAGAAACTCACCTGACACATAACCACTCACATAAACTTAAGGTAAAGGGATGGAAAAAGATATTCCATGCAAATGAACACCAAAAGGGAGCAGAAGTAGCTATTCTTACATCAGACAAAACACACTTAAAGCAACAGCAGTTGAAAAAAAAAGGAGAGACATTATATTATGATAAAAGGACTAGTCCAACAGGAAAATAGTACAATTCTAAATATATATGCACCTGACATTGGCACTCCCAAATTTATAAAACATTTACTACTAGACCTAAGACCTAAGATAGACAGAAACACAATAATAGTGGGGACTTCATTATTCCACTGGCAGCACAAGACAGGCTATCAAGGGAGAAAGTCAACAAAGAAAGAGTGGACTTAAAGTATACCCTGGAACAAACAGACTTAACAGATATTTACAGAACTTTCTACCCAACAACTGCAGAACAAGTCTCAACAAATTTAAGAAAATCTAAATTATAGCAAGTATTCTCTCAGACCACAGTGGAAAAAAAATGAAAATAAACACCAAAAGGAACCCTCAAAATCATGCAAATACATAAAAATTAAATAATATGCTCCTGAACAATCATTGGGTCAAAAATGAAATCAAGATGGAAATTTAAAAATTCTTTCAACTAAACAATAAGAGTATCAAAACCTATCAAAACCTCTTGGATATAACAAAAGCAGTGCTAAGACGAAAGTTCATAGCATTAAATGCCTATATCAAAAAGTGTAAAAGAGCTCAAATAGACAATCTAAGGTCACACCTCAAGGAACTAGAGAAACAAGAACAAATCAAACCCACACACAGAAGAAGAAAATAAATAACCAAGATCAGAGCAGAACTAAATGAAATTGAAACAAAAAACTGCAAATGATATATGAAACAAAAAGCTGGTTCTTTGAAAAGATAAATAAAATTGATAGACTATTAGCAAGATTAACAAAGAAAAGAAGAGAGAAGATCCAAATAAGCTCAATTAGAGGAAAAACAGGAGATATTGCAACGGATACCACAGAAATACAAAAGATCATTCAAGGCTATTATGAAAACGTTTACATGCATAAACTAGAAAACCTAGAGGACATGGATAAATTCCTGGAAGTATACAAATTCCTCCCAGATTAAACCAGAAAGAAATAGAAACTCTGAACAGGCCAATAACAAGCAGCAAGACTGAAATGGTAATTTAAAAGTTGCCAACAACAAAAAATAGTCCAGGACCAGATGGACTCACAGCTGAATTATATCAGACATTCAAGGAATTGGTACCAATCCCATTGGTACTATTCCAAAAGATAAAGAAGGAGGGAATCCTCTCTAAATCATTCTATGAAGCCAGTATCACTAATAGCAAAACCAGGAAAGGACATAACCAAAAGAGAAAACTACAGACCAATATCTCTGATGAACATAAATGCAAAAATCCTCAACAAAATACTAGCTAACAGAATCCAACAGCTTATGAAAAAGATCATCCACCATGATCAAGTGGATTTCATACCAGAGATGCTGGGATGGTTTAACATCCACAAGCCAATAAATGTGATACACCACACAAACAGAACTAAAAACAAAAATCAGATGATCATCTTAACAGATACAGAAAAAGCATTTGACCAAATCCAGCATCTCTTTATGATTAAAATTCTCAGCAAAATCAGCATACAAGGGACACACCTTAAGGTAATAAAAGCCATCTATGACAAACCCACAGTGAATAATATACTGACTGGGGAAAAGTTGAAAGCATCCCTGCTGAGAACTGGACCAAGACAATGATGCCAACTTTCACCACTTCTATTCAACATAGTACTAGAAGCCCTAGCCAGAGCAATGAGACAAGAGAAAGAAATAAAGGGCATCCAAATTGGTAATGAGGAAGTCAAACTCTCTGTGTTTACTGATGATGTGATTACATACCTAGAAAACCCTAAAGACTCCTCCAGGAAGCTCCTAGAACTGGCAAATAAATTAAGCAAAGTTTCAGAAAACAAAATTAATGTAAAAAATTAGTGGCTCTGCTATACACCAACAGCGACCAAGTTGAAAATCAAATCAAGAACTCAACCCCTTTTACAATACCTGCAAAGAAAATAAAATACTTAGGAATATACTTAAGCAAGGAGGTGAAAGACCTCTGCAAGGAAAACTACAAAACATTGCTGTAAGAAATCATATATGACACAAACAAATGGAAACATATCCCATGCTTAAGGATGGGTAGAATCAATATTGTGAAAATGACCATACTGCCAAAAGCAATCTATGAATTCAATGCAATTCCTATCAAAATACCACCATCATTCTTCACAAAACTAAAAAAAAAAAAAAATCTTAAAATTCATATGGAACCAAAATAGTCTGCATAGCCAAAGCAAGACTAAGCAAAGCAAAACAAAGAGGAACATTATATAATGAAAAAGAACAAATCTGGAGGCATCATACTACCTGACTTCAAACTATACTATAAGGCCATAGTCACCAAAACAACATGGTATTGGTATAAAAACAGGCATATAGACCAATGGAACACAATAGAGAACGCAGAAATAAACTCAAATACTCACAGTCACCTGATCTTCAACAAAGCAGACAAAATCATAAAGTGGGAAAAGGACACCCTATTCAACAAATGGTGCTGGGATAACTGGCATGCCACATGTGGAAGAATGAAACTGGATCCTTGTCTCATCTCTCACCTTACACAAAAATCAACTCAAGATGGATCAAAGACTGAAATATAAGAGCTGAAACCACAAAAATTCTAGAAGATAACATCGGAAAAACCCTTCTAGACATTGACTTAGGCAAAGACTTGATAACCAAGAACACAAAAGCTGATACAACAAAAACAAAGATAAGTAGATGGGACTTAATTAAACTAAAAAGCTTTTGCACAGCAATATAAATAATCAGCAGAATTAACAGACAACCCATAGAATAGGAGAAAATCTTCACAGTCTATACATCCAACAAACAACTAATATCCACAATCTACAAGAAACTCAAATCAGCAAGAACAAAACAAACAATCCTATCAAAAAGTGGGCAAAGGACATGAATAAATAATTCTCAAAAGAAAATATGCAAATGGCCAACAAACATATGAAAAAATGCTCAACATCACTAATTACCAAGGAAATGCAAATCAAAACTGCAATGTGATACCACCTCACTCCTTCAAGAATGGTCATATTCAAAACACCAAAAAATAATAGTTGTTAGCATGGATGTGGTGAAAAGGAACACTTTTACACTGTTGGTGGGAATGTAATACAACTACTATGGAAAACATTTTGGAGATTCCTTAAAGAACTAAAAGTAAATCAACCATTTGATTCAGCAATCCCACTCCTGGATATCTACCCAGAGAAAAAGAAGTCATTATATGAAAAAGACACCTGCACACACACGTGTATAGCAGCACAATTTGCAATTGCAAAAAATGGACCAGCCCAAATGCCCAACAATCAACAAGTGGATAAAGAAAATGTGGTATATATATATATATGGTATGCATATGTGTGTGTGTGTGTGTGTGTGTGTGTGTGTGTATTCAGGTTGCAGCAAATGTCATTATTTCATTCCTTTTTATGGCCAAGTGGTATTCTATTATATGTATATAATATGTATGTATATTTTATGTATATATGTGGATGGAACTGGAAACCATTATTCTAAGTGAAGTAACTCAGGAATAGAAAAACTAAACATCTTATGTTCTCACTCATAAATGGAAGCTGAGCTATGAGGATGCAAAGGCATAAAAGTGATACGATGGACATTGGGGACTCAGGAGAAAGGGTGTGAGAGGGATGAAGAATAAAAGACTACACACTGGGTACAGTGTACACTGCTCAGGGGATGGGTGCACCAAAATCTCAGGAATCATCACTGAAGAACTTATTCATGTAACCAAGCTCCACCTGTTCCCCAAAAAAACCTATTGAAATATTTTCAAGTGGAAAATCTAGAAAAAAGAATCTATATATCAGCAGAAGACAGGTTGTCTGCCCTTAACTTCTGTTCCTTTTTATCTTTTTGTTTAAACATCTAAATAACTATAAGATGTATATACTTGAAGATATTTTAAAACAAATGAGGTAATATATATGTTAATTAGATTGATTTAGCCATTCCACTATATATCAGTGTAAATCAACACATCATGTGGTACACCATAAATATATTTCATTTTTATTTGCCAACTTTTTAAAAGTGAAAGATCTGCTTAAAAAACATTAGTACGTTTAAAATTTTTAACAAACCAATGAGCATGGCAATAGCCACTTTCAGATAAAAAGAGTAAAGCTTTGGAAGCTAAAGCATCACACAGCAGGTGAGTGACAGCAAAAGACAACACTGATGTCTGTGCCACCTGCAGCAGATGTCAGGCCCCGACCCTGCCAAAACACACTGAAATGTGTAAACATCTCTGATTTAGCACTAAAGTTGGTTAGAATAATTGTTGACTTCTCAAAAGACTGAGAAAATGTAACTTAACATTCAGTAAGTATTTTATTAACTCAAGACATTTATTGAGCAATGAATCACTGAATAAGGCCCAGCCATTCAAGAATAAAATAAGGCAATTTCCCTATTCTCACAATCTAGGGTGAGACAGATATTATAAAGACAAAAGTGACTCCATCTCAGATGCTAATCTGCCATGTTGACTTCTGGTTAGCCCCAACACCATGAATGCCTCCTAATTCCTACTTCATTTACTGTTCTTAGTGTAAGAACATGTGAACCTTGATGTTACCACACAAATTATAGGTTATGATGAATATAGCATTCTTGCCTGTTCTGCAGGGCTCCAATTAATTGTCTTGCTGGAACATGTATACTTTTGCACTATGATATATAAGCCCTGGGCCTAAGGAGTAGTACCAGAGATCTACCTGTCTTGCAAATGCCAAAGACCATGCTTCTGTCTGTAAGATCTCCCAGTGAAACACTCTTACTGACAAACTGGATTTGTCTGCCTCTTTCTTTGTTTATCTGTTCCTTTGGCACTTGGGGACAACTTTGCATAAACAGCCCTTTCATGGAACAGGTACATAAACATATAAATGAAAAAAGTGTTAATAAAGATCAGAATGTTAGGATATTTAGGAAGAGCCTCACAGAAGAGTAACATTTAAGCTGGATCAAGAAAGATAAGAAGCAGTTGCTTCCAGGGTGGCTGAATAGGAACAGCTCTGGTCTGCAGCTCCCAGCAATATCGAGGCAGAAGAGGGGTGGTTTCTGCATTTCCAAATGAGGTACCTGGTTCATCTCATTGGGACTGGTTGGACAGTGGGTGCAGCCCATGGAGGGTGAGCTGAAGCAGGGCGGGGTGTTGCCTCAAACAGGAAGTGCAAGGGGTAAGGGGATTCCACTTTCCTAGCCAAGGGAAGCCGTGACAGGCCATACCTAGAGAAACGGTACACTCTGAGCCAAATACTGCACTTTTCCCACAGTCCTAGCAACCAGCAGACCAGGAGATACCCTCCCATGCCTGACTCAGTGGGTCCCCTGCCCACAGAGACTTGCTCACTGCTAGCACAGCAGTCTGAGATTGACCTGCAATGCTGCAGCTTGACAGGGGGAGGGGCGTCTGCCATTGCTGAGGCTTGAGTAGCTCACAGTGTAAACAAAGAGGCCAGGAAGCACAAACTGGGTGGAGCCCACCACAGCTCAGCAAGGCCTACTGCCTCTATCGATTCCACTTCTAAGGGCAGGGCATATCTGAACAAAAGGCAGCAGACAGCTTCTGCAGATTTAAACATCCCTGTCTGACAGCTCTGAAGAGACCAGTGGTTCTCTCAGCATGGGGTTTGAGCTCTGAGAACAAACAGACTGCCTCCTCAAGTGAGTCCCTGACCCCTGTGTAGCCTGACTGGGAAACACCTCCCAGTAGGGGCCGACAGACACCTCAAACAGGTGGGTGTTCCTCTGGGACGATGCTTCCAGAAGAAGGATGAGGCAGCAATATTTGCTGTTCTGCAGCCTCCGCTGGTGATACCCAGTCAAACAGTGTCTGGAGTGGACCTACAGCAAACTCCAACAGACCTGCAGCTGAGGGGTCTGACTGTTTGTTAGAAGGAAAACTAACAAACAGAAAGGAATAGCATCAACAACAACAAAGAAGACATCCACACCGAAACCCCATCTTTAGGACACCAGAATCAAAGACCAAAGGTAGATATAACCACAAACATGGGGAGAAACAAGAGCAGAAAAGCTGAAATTCCAAAAAAGAGAGCACCTCTTTTCCTCCAAAGGATCACAGCTTCTCAACAGCAAGGGAACAAAACTGGACAGAGAATGAGTTTGAAGAGGTGACAGAACTAGGCTTCAGAAGGTCGGTAATAACAAACTTCTCCAAGCTAAAGGAGCATGTTCTAACCCATCAGAAGGAAGCTAAAAACCTTGAAAAAAGGTTAGACGATTGGCTAACTAAAATAAACAGTGTAGAGAAGATCTTAAATGACCTGATGGAGGTGAAAACCACAGCACGAGCACTTCGCGATGCATGCACAAGCTTCAACAGCCAATTCAATCAAGTGGAAGAAAGGATATCAGTAATTGAAGATCAAATTAATGAAATAAACTGAGAAGAAAAGGTTAGAGAAAAAAGAATACAAAGAAATGAACAAAGCCTCCAAGAAATATGGGACTACGTGAAAAGACCAAATATATGTTTGATTGGTGTACTGGAAAGTGATGCGGAGAATTGAACCAAGTTAGAAAACACTCTTCAAGATATTATTCAGGACAACTTCCCTAACCTAGCAAGGCAGGCCAACATTCAAATTCAGGAAATAAGGAGAACACCACAAAGATACTCCTCGAGAAGAGCAACCCCAAGACATATAATTGTCAGATTTGCCAAGGTTGAAATAAAGGAAAAAATATTAAGGGCATCCAAAGAGAGAGGTTGGGTTACCCACAAAGGGAAGCCCATCGGACTAACAGCAGATCTCTCAGCAGGAACCCTACAAGCCAGAAGAGAGCAGGGGCCAATATTCAACATTCTTAAAGAAAAGAGTTTTCAACCCAGAATTTCATATCCAGCCAAACTAAACTTCTTAAGAGAATGAGAAATAAAATCCTTTACAGACAAGTGAATGCTGAGAGATTTTGTCACCACCAGGCATGCCTTATAAGAGCTACTGAAGGAAGCACCAAACATGGAAAGGAACAACAAGTACCAGCCACTGCAAAAACATGCCAAATGGTAAAGAGCATCAATGATATGAAGAAACTGCATCAATTAACGGGCAAAATAACCACCTAACATCATAATGACAAGATCAAGTTCAAACATAATAATATTAACCTTAAATGTAAATGGGCAAAATGCCCGATTTAAAAGATAAAGATTGGCAAATTGGATAAAGAATCAAGCACCATTGGTATGCTGTATTCAGGAGACACATCTCATGTGCAAAGACAAAAATAGGCTCAAAATAAAGGGATGGAGGAAGATATACCAAGCAAATGGAAAGCAAAAAAAAGCAGGAGTTGCAATCCTAGTCTCTGATAAAACAGACTTTAAACCAACAAAGATCAAAAGAGACAAAGAAGGCCACTACATAATGGTAAAAGGATCAATTCAGCAAGAGGAGTTAACATCTTAAATATATATGCGCCCAATACAGGAGCACCCAGATTCATAAAGCAAGTCATCAGAGACCTACAAAGAGTCTTAGACTCCCAAACAATAATAATGGGTGACTTCAACACCCCACTGTCAATAACAGACAGATCAATGAAAGAGGAGGTTAACAAGGATATCCAGGGCTTGAACACAGCTCTGGACCAAGCGGACCTAATAGACATCTACAGAACTCTCCACCCCAAATCAACAGAATATACATTGTTCTCAGCACCACATTGCACTTATTCTAAAATTGACCACATAATTGGTAGTAAAACACTCCTCAGCAAATGTAAAAGAACAGAAATCACAACAAACTGTCTCTCAGACCACAGTGCAATCAAATCAGAAATCAGTATTAAGAAACTCACTCAAAACCGCACAACTTTATGGAAACTGAACAACTTGCTCCTGAATGACTAGTGGGTAAATAACAAAATGAAGGCAGAAATAAAGATGGTCTTTGAAACCAATGAGAACAAAGACACAACGTACCAGAATCTTTGGGACACATTTAAAGCAGTTTGAAGAGGGAAATTTATAGCACTAAATGCACACAAGAGAAAACAGGAAAGATCTAAAATTGACACCTTAACATCATAATTAAAAGAACTAGAGAAGCTGGAGCAAACACATTCAAAAGCTAGCAGAAGGCAAGAAATAACTAAGATCAGAGAAGAACTGAAGGAGACAGAGACACAAAAAAATCTTCAAAAAATCAATGAATCCAGGAGCTGGATTTTTGAAAATATCAACAAAATTGATAGACCACTAGCAGGACTAATAAAGAAGAAAAGAGAAAAGAATCAAATAGATGCAATAAAAAATGATAAAGGGGATATCACCACAATCCCACAGAAATACAAACTACCATCAGAGAATACTATAAACATCCCTACACAACTAAACTAGAAAATCTAGAAGAAATGGATAAATTCCTGGACACATACTCTCCCAAGACTAAACCAGGAAGAAGTTGAATCTCTGAATAACCCAATAACAGGTTCCAAAATTGAGGCGATAATTAATAGCCTACTCACCAAAAAAAGTCCAGGACAAGACAGATTCACAGCCAAATTCTACCAGAGGTACAAAGAGGAGCTGCTACCATTGCTTCTGAAACTATTTCAATCAATAGAAAAAGAGGGAATTCCAACACTATGTTCTGGCCAGGGCAATTAGGCAGGAGAAGGAAATAAAGGGTATTCAATTAGGAAAAGAGGAAGTCAAATTGTCCCTGTTTGCAGACCACATGATTGTATATTTAGAAAACCCCATTGTCTCAGCCCAAAATCTCCTTAAGCTGATAAGCAACTTCAGCAAAGTCTCAGGATACAAAATCAATGTGCAAAAATCACAAGCATTCTTATACACCAATAACAGACAAACAGAGAGCCAAATCATGAGTGAACTCCCATTCACAATTGCTTCAAAGAGAATAAAATACCTAGGAATCCAACTTCCAGGGGATATGAAGGACCTCTTCAAGGAGAACTACAAACCACTGCTCAATGAAATAAAAGAGGACACAAACAAACGAAAGAACATTCCATGCTCATGGGTAGGAAGAATCAATATCGTGAAAATGGCCATACTGCCCAAGGTAATTTATAGATTCAATGCCATCCCCATCAAGCTACCAATGACTTTCTTCACAGAATTGGAAAAAACTATTTTAAAGTTCATATGGAACCAAAAAAGAGCCCGCATCACCAAGTCAACCCTAAGCCAAAAGAACAAAGCTGGAGGCATCACGCTACCTGACTTCAAACTATACTACAAGGCTACAGTAACCAAAACAGCATGGTACTGGTACTAAAACAGACATATAGATCAATGGAATAGAACAGAGCCCTCAGAAATAATGCCACATATCTACAACGATCTGAACTTTGACAAACCTGAGAAAAACAATCAATGGGGAAAGGATTCCCTATTTAATAAATGGTGCTGGGAAAACTGGCTAACCATATGTAGAAAGCTGAAACTGGATCCCCTCCTTACACCTTATACAAAAATTAATTCAAGATGGATTAAAGACTTAAATGTTAGACCTAAAACCATAAAAACCCTAGAAGAAAACCTAGGCATTACCATTCAGGACATAGGCATGGGCAAGGACTTCATGTCTAAAACACCAAAAGCAATGGCAACAAAAGCCAAAATTGACCAATGGGATCTAATTAAACTCAAGAGCTTCTGCACAGCAAAAGAAACTACCATCAGAGTGAACAGGCAACCTACAAAATGGGAGAAAATTTTCACATCCTACTCATCTGACAAAGGGCTAATATCCAGAATCTACAAAGAACTCAAACAAATTTACAAGAAAAAAACAAACAACCCCATCAAAAAGTGGGCAAACGATAGGAACAGACACTTCTCAAAAGAAGATATTTATGCAGCCAAAAGACACATGAAAAAATGCTCACCATCACTGGCCATCAGAGAAATGCAAATCAAAACCACAATGAGATACCATCTCACACCAGTTAGAATGGCTATCATTAAAAAGTCAGGAAACAACAGGTGCTGGAGAGGATGTGGAGAAATAGGAACACTTTTACACTGTTGGTGGGAGTGTAAACTAGTTCAACCATTGTGGAAGTCAGTGTGGCGATTCCTCAGGGATCTAGAACTAGAAATACCATTTGACCCAGCCATCCCATTACTGGGTATATACCCAAAGGATTATAAATCATGCTGCTATAAAGACACATGCACACGTATGTTTATTGCGGCATTATTCACAATAGCAAAGACTTGGAACCAACCCAAATGTCCGACAATGATAGACTGGATTAAGAAAATGTGGCACATATACACCATGGAATACTATGCAGCCATAAAAAATGATGAGTTCATTTCCTTTGTAGGGACATGGATGAAATTGGAAATCATCATTCTCAGTAAACTATCGCAAGGACAAAAAACCAAACACCGCATGTTCTCACTCATAGATGGGAATTGAACAATGAGAACACATGGACACAGGAAGGGGAACATCACACTCTGGAGACTGTTGTGGGGTGGGGGGAGAGGGGAGGGATAGCATTAGGAGATATACCTAATGCTAAATGACGAGTTAATGAGTGCAGCACACCAGCATGGCACATGTATACATACGTAACTAACCTGCACATTGTGCACATGTACCCTAAAACTTAAAGTATAATAATAATTAAAAAAAAAAAAAGAAAAAGAGGGAATTCTCCCAAACTCATTTTATGAGGCTAGCATCATCCTGATACCAAAGCCTGGCAGAGACATAACAAAAAAAAAAGAGAATTTTAGGCCAATAACCCTGATGAACATTGATGTGAAAATCCTCTATAAAATACTGGCAAACCAAATCCAGCAGCACATCAAAAAGCTTATCCAACATGATCAAGTGGGCTTCATCCCTGGGATGCAAGACTGGTTCAACATATGCAAATCAATAAAAGTAATCCATCACATAAACAGAACCAATGACAAAAATCACCTGATTATCTCAATAGATGCAGAAAAGGCCTTTGACAAAATTTAACAGCCTTTCATGCAAAAAACTCTCAATAAACTAGGTGTTGATGGAACGTATCTCAAAATAATAAGAGTTATTTATGATAAACCCACAGCCAATATCGTACTGAATGGCCAAAAGCTGGAAGAATTCCACTTGAAAACCAGCACAAGACAAGGACACCCTCTCTCACCACTCCTATTCCACATAGTATTGGAAGTTCTGGCTAGGGCAATCAGGCAGAAGAAAGAAATAAAGGGTATTCAATTAGGAAAAGAGGAAGTCAAATTGTCTCTGTTTGCAGATGACATGATTGTATATTTAGAAAACCCCATTGTCTCAGCCCAAAGTCTTCTTAAGCTGATAAGCAACTTCAGCAAAGTCTCAGGATACAAAATCAATGTGCAAAAATCACAAGTATTCCTATACACTAATAATAGACAAACAGAGAGCCAAATCATGAGTGAACTCCCATTCACAATTACTACAAAGAGAATAAAATACCTAGGAATACAACTTACAAAGGATGTGAAGGACCTCTTCAAGGAGAACTACAAACCCACTTCTCAATGAAATAAAAGAGGACACAAAAAAATGGAAGAACATTCCATGCTCATGGATAGGAAGAATCAATATTGTGAAAATGGCCATACTGCCCAAGGTAATTTATAGATTCAATGCCATCCCCATCAAGCTACCACTGACTTTCTTCAGAGAATTAATAAAAAACTACTTTTAATTTCATATGGAACCAAAAAAGAGCCCACATAGCTAAGACAATCCTAAACAAAAAGAACAAAGCTGGAGGCATCACGCTACCTGACTTCAAACTATACTACAAGGCTACAGTAACCAAAACAGCATGGCACTGGTACCAAAACAGAGATATAGACCAATGGAACAGAACAGAGACCTCTGAAATAACACCACACATCTACATCCATCTGGTCCTTGACAAACCTGACAAAAACAAGAAATGGGGAAAGGATTCTCTATTTAATAAATAGTGCTGTGAAAACTGGGTAGCCATGTGTAGAAAGCTGAAACTGGATCCTTTCCTTACACCTAGACAAAGATTAACTCAAGATGGTTTAAAAACTTAAATGTAAGACCTAACACCATAAAAGCTCTAGAACAAAACCTAGGCAATACCATTCAGGACATAGGCATGTGCAAAGACCCCATGACTAAAACACCAAAAGCAATGGCAACAAAAGCCAAACTAGACAAATGGGATCTAATTAAACTAAAGAGCTTCTGCACAGCAAAAGAAACTATCATCAGAGTGAACAGGCAACCTACAGAATGGGAGAAAATCTTTGCAATCTACCCATCTGACAAAGGGCTAATATCCAGAATCTACAATGAACTCAAACAAATTTACAAGAAAAAAACAAACAACCCTATCAAAAAGTAGGCGAAGGACATGAACAGACACTTCTCAAAAGAAGACATTTATGCAGCCAACAGACATATGAAAAAATGCTCATCACCACTGGTCATTAGAGAAATGCAAATCAAAATCACAATGAGATGCCATCTCACGCCAGTTAGAATGTCGATCATTAAAAAGTCAGTAAACAAGAGATGCTGGAGAGGATGTGGAAAAATAGGAATGCTTTTACACTGTTGTTGGGACTGTAAATTAGTTCAACCATTGTGGAAGATAGTGTGGCAATTCCTCAAGGATCTAGAACTGGCAATACCATCTGACCCAGCAATCCCATTACTAGGTATATACCCAAAGGATTATAAATCATGCTGCTATAAAGACACATGTACACGTATGTTTATTGTGGCACTATTCACAATAGCAAAGACTTGGAATAAACCCAAATGTCCATCAACAATAGACTGGATTAAGAAAATGTGGCACATATACACCATGGAATACTATGCAGCCATAAAAATGGATGAGTTATTGTCCTTTGCAGAGACATGGATGAAGCTAGAAATCATCATTCTAAGCAAACTATCACAAGGACAGAAAACCAAACACCGCATATTCACACTCATAGGTGGAGTTGAACAACAAGAACGCATGCACACAGGGTCGGGTACATCAAACATTGGGGCCTGTCAGTTGGTGGGGGCTGGGGGAGGGATAGCATTAGGAGAAATACCTAATGTAAATGATGAGTTGATGGGTGCAGCAAACCAACATGGCTCATGTGTACCTAAGTAACAAACCTGCACATTGTGCACATATACCGTAGAACTTAAAGTATAATAAAAAAAATTAAATTTAAAAAAAAGAAAGATGAGAAGGACATAACAAGCAAATAAGAAGTCAGGTATAGAGGCACAGAGCATGAAAAGCCTGGCTTTGGGAGAAGAGTCCAGTTGCATATGCCTAGAGTCTAGTGTTTTGTGGGCAGGGTAAGGAAAATGCAACTGGAGATGTATGATATCACGTTTTGGAAGGAGAGAGTGGAAACCAACAGAAATCTTTAAGCAGGATGATGGCATGAGCCTCTTTGTTATGGGGGAAGATGCCTCTGGTAGATATGTGAAAGACAGGCTGCAGTGGGAAGAAGCAGTAGTGAAAAGACCAAAAGTGGTAAGCTGTTGTAATATACCACACAAAAGAAGACAGAGGATTGAAACAAGACATTGATAGTGAAGACAGAGAGCTAGGGGTAAATTCAAAAGAAGTTTCTAATGTAGAAGGGACAAGATTTGTTAAAATAAGGGTTGTAATAGGTGAAGCGGGGAGAAGAACCATAGCCACCAAGCCTCTAACTTGCACATTTTAAGTTTGAACTGTTAACATAAGTCTACAGATTTGCAGAGTAGAGGGAAACTTAACAAGCTTGAATCATTTTATGAAAAGAGTAGCTCTGGAGACCCTAACCTTGAATGGATTAGAAGATAAGGGTAGGATCCACGTTATGATACTAAGAAGACAGAAATACAAGTTTGAGCTCAGGAGAGAGATTAGTATTAGAGAAAAATATCTGGCATCATTGGCATATATAGACATGAAATAGGAGAAAGTAAGGTAACTCAAGAAGAGTGCACAGAGGTGAATTCAGAAGAGGACCAAAGATGTAGGCCCTAGAAACACTACTACTGAATGGATTAAAAGAAGATTAGCCATCAAAAGAGAATTAAAAGGAACAAGAATTAATTTATTCCAAATTGTCCAACCACTCTATTCTATTATTATTGATCACCTAATACAGAACAATCATTGTAGGTACCAGGGAGTAGGGATTATAAAAATTAATATGATAGAGTTTCTGGGCAAGGATTGGGCTCTAATGGGGTTCACAGAAAATTTGAGAGACACTTGCAAAACTGTTGCATAGCTGCTACAACAGAAAAACTTACATGGTGGAAGGAGAGTACAGGACAGCACCCATTTAAAGGACAATCAAGAAAAATTATGAAACCAAGAGAAAAGAGATTATCAAAAAACAGTATCAGCACTGTCAAATGTGATCTCTGCACAGATGTTATTAAAATTTGAATGTTGGTATTTATAGTCTCTATCAAGTTGCTCCTTCCAGTAAAACATGCTGACTCTTAACCCTCAAAACATTTTTAGTGGTCACTTTACACATTCTATCATAACGTATCACAGAGCAATTGAGGCATGTCTGAGAGGCTGTGAAAAGGAAAGTAATCGTGTTTTATAACTTATACACTCAAATTAACACTATTTAGACTGCAAAGTGATCCTTGGACAGTCAGGAGGTTCTAGAAAATCCCTTGAAGTTCCACAGATACTGTATTTTCCCCCCTAGAGTTACAAGAGTGGTGGAAGAGGAAAAACAATGGCTAATATAGTTTTAAAAAATGTTGCTGAATGACATTCTATTTGGTCAGGCACTGAGCAGGCCCTGAATACCCAGCAAGGCATGTAGTGTGGTTTGACACTGCTAAGTACTATAGATTTGTGCTCAGTCCCAGCTCTGCCCCTTGCATGCTAGATTTTAATGTTTCATTTTATAAAATGAATGATTTGAATAGAATATTCAACATTTTGTGGCTCAGTGAGCCTAACTTGTATGAAGAAAAGATATAGTCTCTAAGGAATAAGCAACTAATAAACAAAAATGTACAACATGGCCAAGAAGTCCTTACGCATAAGATTTTGTCTTCTGTGAGTTATTTGTTTAATAACAATTTCAGGTAATAACAGTTAAAGACCTAAAAATCACTAAAGAACATAACAGAAAATCAAGGTTTACATGGAGAATGAATGAGAACATGCAGATCATTTATAATGAGCACACACATGTATTTTCTGTGTATATTTAAAAACAGTTAATGTGCACTGACTGCTTACCATCCACCAGACACTATGCTAAATATTCCATACACAATATTACTAATCTCCACAACAACTCAGTGAATTAGGAATTATTATTATTCCCATTTTACAGATTAGAAAGGGGCTTAGAGAGGTTAAATATTTTGTTCAAGGTTACAAAGCTAATCACTGACAGTAGTAGGTTCTAACACAATTTACCTAAATCCACAGCCCATGTTCTTCACCATTCCACAATACTATTTATAAATCATGGTAACTATAAAGAGAGGTGAAAGAAAAGTATTGAATCCAGACATGTACCAACTGATTGAAAATTATGTAAAGTGAATCAGAGAAAGTCTCATTAAGGAAATAGATCAGAAGATATGCTTTAAAGTTAGATTATCAAGAGATATTACCATAATACTGATCTAAATAATCCAAAAGTGTTTCACTTTCATGGAGGAAAAAACTAAGCTAGATATACTCATTTTAAGTCAACAGTTATCATCTAATCACTACAGTAAATTTTACCTCTTATGTCATAGTGAGTACTGAATTTCCACACAATTTATTCTTCAATTATAGAGTCACACAACTTATACAGAGGGTAGACTGATGGATATCAAACATTGGACTCTGAATGAAAAGTTTATTCAGGAGACCATTAGACAATTACATCCAAATATGTGTGCCTCTGATAAGAAACCAGGCTGCAATTTAACAAATTCTCTCTGACAGAGACAGCAGGAGAAAAAAAAAAAGAAGGAAAAAAGGAAGGTATCTGTAGAAGTTAAGATAAATATCACTGAGAAAAGAGAGTCAAGCTTCATGAGAGAATCTCAGAGTCAGCATTGTAGGGAAGTGGAGGAAATTCTGAAAGGAATTTTTAAAAAAACAGAAAAAGTTAGAATACTGAAAGCACATTCAAAAGCATTGAACGACCTATCAAAACTGAATTCTGTTAAATCTAAGCAGCTGCTGTGGTGTGTCATCATGTTGCTGAGACAGAAGACCCAATTACAACTTTAGTGGCTAAACCATAAAGATACGATGACTGGTGAGAGCTGGTAAAAAAAAATGCCGAGAGTCAGAAAAACTATTTGATATAAAGAATTTCTCTTCCTCTGGTATTCAATAATAACACTCATCAGCATGACTTTTATTCATTCATTCTTTAACAAATATTTATTGAGGCCACTGTTTTGGGTACCAGAAACAGAGTAAGTTAAACAAAACAAAAATCTCTGCTCCTGCAGAGCTTAGATTCTGGTCCAATAAACCATTTTTCAGTGAAATATATATAGTATAAAAGATGGTGCTAAGAACTATGAGGAAAAATAAAGGAAGGAAATGAAAATGAGGAACATGGGAGACAAGCCCAAGGGAAATGCATTTTTTAAAAGGAATGAGAGGAAAGGACTCAATAAGCAGATAACGTTTAAGCAGAAACCTGAAGGAGATAGAGAAAAGAGTCATGGAGATATTGGAGGAAGAATGTAGAATGGCCAGTGCAAAGGCCCTGAGGCAAGAGTATTCTTGGCAGCTTACAGGAAAAGCCCAATGACCAGTATGCCTAGATTAGAGTGAGAGAACGAAAAATCATAAGAATGAAGTCGAAAGAGTAGTGGAGGTAGAGGGACCAAATCATGTATGATGTTTCAGGCCATTATAAGAACTCTAGTTTAACTTAAATGAAATGGAAAAATTTTGCAAAATTTTTAGCAGAGAAGAAACATAATCTTCTACATGTTAAAAGGTAGTAAAGGCAAGCCTAGAAGAGAACCAGTTGGAAGGCTAATGGGTATATTCATGAATGCCTTAAAATTGCTATCAATTCTTAAAGAATAATGGTTAAAACTTAGGCTCTGGAGTCAAACCTGTGTTCAAACCCTAACTCAACTACATACCCAAGCCTAAATTTCTTCCTACATGAAATAAGAATCCAAAAAAGAAGTATTAAACAACCAAACAACTGCTGTGTGTCAGACCCTGTTCTATCATATCTAATATTAGATTTCCTTCTGAAGTGGACTAGGAGGCAAGAATTTGAGTGCAATTTGCTTATTAGGGAAGAACAGGAATCATATCACGGGAGTCACGAAGCAGCACAAGCAGGGAAAGTCAGCCTATGTAGAGTATGTTACCACACCAACTACTGCAGTGGACAGCTGAAACTTAATCACACAGAAAAACTCTGGGAAAGAGACTACAACACAGAATTGTCCCACCCAAGAAGCAGGGAGATGGAATAATACTTATACTCCAAGTTGAGTCAGCCATGAGTTATAGGCAGCTACAGAGAGGTGTTAATTTCCATGTACTCCAGTCTGTCCCTGTCTTTCATCAGCAGAATGGCTTTCTGCGGTTCTTGAAAAAGCCCTCAAGCATGGAGAGGCACATATGGCTGTTGGAAGTCTTTTGGAGTACACTGAAACAGGCTGATCTGAGGGATATGGGTCAGGCACCGACAGCAACTGCTATATATCTAGACAAAAAAAAAAGACTGACAGTCTATAACACAAAATGCTAAAAGTATTTATTTCTCAATAACAAGAATTTTTTGTGTTCTGTATTTTATTTTCTGGGCACCTTTTTATCTTAAAAATTCTGTAACAAATATTTATTATTTATAAAATAAGATTTAATATATAATATCTAATATTTATAGAAATCTTTTTTTTGATTTTGGAATTATTTTCTTTTTTTAATTCAAAATACAGAGTTTAATCATAACTTATTGCTGTGTAACCGTCAGAAAATATAAAACCAGAAATAGTTAAAAGAAATTATCCCTGACATATAACAGAACTGACATTTGGGTGGGCAGAATTGGTATTTATCTTCTATTGTAAATTGTTTTGTACTATTATTTTTATTATTATTATTATTATTATACTTTAAGTTTTAGGGTACATGTGCACAATGTGCTGGTTAGTTACATATGTATACATGTGACATGCTGGTGCACTGCACCCACTAACTCGTCATCTAGCATTAGGTATATCTCCCAATGCTATCCCTCCCCCCTCCCCCCACCCCACAGCAGTCCCCAGAGTATGATGTTCCCCTTCCTGTGTCCATGTGTTCTCATTGTTCAATTCCCACCTATGAGTGAGAACATGCGGTGTTTGGTTTTTTGTTCTTGCGATAGTTTACTGAGAATGATGATTTCCAATTTCATCCATGTCCCTACAAAGGACATGAACTCATCATTTTTTATGGCTACATAGTATTCCATGGTGTATGTGTGCCACATTTTCTTAATCCAGTCTATCATTGTTGGACATTTGGGTTGGTTCCAAGTCTTTGCTATTGTGAATAATGCCACAATAAACATACGTGTGCATGTGTCTTTATAGCAGCATGATTTATAGTCCTTTGGGTATATACCCAGTAATGGGATGGCTGGGTCAAATGGTATTTCTAGTTCTAGATCCCTGAGCATCTTGTTTCTTACTGAGCTCTTATGACAACTTAGTGAGGAGAAGGAATTATTATTATTATTTCAATTTTACAAAGAAAATTGAGTCATTGAGAAATCGAATGGATTGCTCCAAGTTGCATCAGCAGTTATTGGTTAAGACAGCTTGTGTAGATGTCATGATTCCATTACCTTTTACCATTCATAGTCTCACCACCTTGAATATAGATACTAAGTCAAACACTTTATTTTACAGATGAGACAAATAGGGTACAGAGTAATTAACCCCAGGTCACATAGCCAGAGAAAAATGAAAGCTTCAGGCCTTCTGAGTCCTGGTTTACATGTAATCTGGTTCACACAAGGTTAAGAACATGGACTCTGTATCCACGCTATCTGGGCTCAAAGGCATCCAGAGCCACTTTGGCAAGGTGACCTTGAGCAGTTTTTCCTCCCTAAAAGGGGAATATAAAAATGTCTACATCAGGGTAATGGTAAGCATTAAAATAACAAATGCCTGAAAATTATGGTCAGGAGTATCATATAATAATTGCTATTATTAAAGGAGAAAAAAATGGATACAGAAAAGAAACTGCCTAGGATTAAGGAGTTCAATGGATCTTGGAAGGAAAGAGTTTTAGCATTTGTATTGTAGTCCGGTTACACATTAAAGAATCTTGAACTCACTTCCAAAACTTCTGATTAAGGTCATCAAGACTAATGCCAATGGGAGGCAGTTATATATCTGGGGGGGTGGAGAAATACCGAATACTGGGCTTGAACTCTGGTTCTGACACAGCTATTTGACCTTCAGCAAATTATTTAAACTCTCTGTATGAAGATTTTCTCATTTACAAAATGGGAAGAGAAGTACTTAAAACTCAGAACAGTGTCTACACTACATAGGAAGTAATCAATAAATGTTGCTCATTATCATTACTAGATGTTGGAGCTGCTCAGTTCAACGCATATTAAATTAAAAGAGAAGAACTGTGACCGAATATAACAGGATTTCATCCTGGAGACAAAAGATACAATTTGATCCTAGGTAGGGATGTTTACAGTGGTGGGTCCAGGTTTTAGTACGGAATGGCATAGCATACTAGAATCTTTTATTGTCAGCAGCATTAAACATATGTGCTCATGTAAATCACTACTGCAAAATTGATGGACACATAAGACAAGAATAAGAAGTTAGCAAGTTAATGAAAACAAAGAGGAAATTGTACACTTAAGGGTGTGAAGTAGAAGAGGCTTTTTCTCTCCCATTATGAGAATCAGCACCTCATTTTTTATATTACAGATACACTGCATTTCATCTTCTTCAAAGTGCAAGAGCTGTCTTGAGCAAGATAAATAAAATGTAATCACTGTGAAACTGAATATTAATATATTTATTAGTATGAATATTAATAAATATAAATTAAGTACAAATCAGGACCAATAGTAGCCCATAAGCCACTTTTGAGTAAAGTAGAAAAAGGTGCCCCTTTCTCAAAAGAATTTACTTTCATCTGTTAGGAAATTGTCATAATATAATTATTTTCTTATAATTAAACACTTCACTACAATCTGCCCCAAAATTGTAATGAATGTACAAATTTAAGATGTGAGTGATGTTAGTGGTATGCCCTAGGATTGTGTAGTGAAAATATGAACAACTGTATACCAGTGGGTCCGCTTAATGTGTGTTTAATGAATGAAGTATTTGTCATAAAAATTCACTTTGCTAAACGCTGAAAATGTGCATATTTAAGAAAATATGGTCTCAGCCCTCATGAAGCTCACAACCAAATAAACAAATGAGTACACTATGGTATAGTAAGTGATGTGTTACAGGGGAGAAATTCCTAAACTGAGTAGGAGTCTGTATTAACAGATTTGCACATACTTTAATGGCAGTGATTATAAAAACTAAAACAGCCACCCCCAATTATCTGGAGTAGGTCGATGCTCATTATTGTCACTCTTTGCTTCAGTTGACAGATGCCTTAAACCAAAGAAAACAAAGCCACAGCAAGTTTGCTTCCAGAGGCAAACTATTCCTATAGTTAGTGAACCTGCTAGGAAGGCATAGCTAATTTATCCCACTGGAAAGAGATAAGGGAAAGAAGGTAAGTGAAAGGGAAATAAAAGCAAGAGATTTGAGGGAATATTCTTCAGAGCAGAAAACAGAAAAGCAGAAGTATAAAGAGAACAAGTACAAAGGAGGAGGAATAGTGGGAAAGAAGAGAAATAAGTGACATGATCAAGGCAGTACCTTATTATTACATGCATGCAGTGTACATCTGCAAAAAATTAAAAGTAAAAGAAAAATAAGGACAAAAAAGAGGAAGCATAAAATGAGAAAGAAAAAGAAAGCTTGGAAATGAAGAGAGGAAACATGGCATTTAGCTAGACTCCAAGACACTTACAAAAGTAGTCTATGAGTCTCTTGCAGCGTTAAAGAACATAGACATTATAAGAGAGGGTACTAGTTGGGATATTGAATTCTCAAATTGCTTTGACCTCAAGTTTATCATGTTGAATTTGCAAATATTAATAACAAATTTGTTGTTGAAATATTAGGCTTGCAGCATAGCAGTTTTGATACCACTAATTTCTATTGTTTCACATCTGTAAAATATAGGTGTTGCAAATTGTACCTAATTGTGATGATCAATGTCATTCAGTCATATGCATACATCCACATTTTGAGCATACGAAATGGATAATTATTCTGTCAACAGATAGATCTGTAAAATGATAGATGATACATTTATTTGATTGATGGGAGTGATAAGCGGTGTTGAGGAAAATAGTGATTTTAGCCTCATGGAAGAATTATTCAAGTAGAAATATGAGAATTCCAATACAAAAAATAGCTCTAATTCTAGCCTAAGAACAAGAAATATAACCAATTTGCTTATTCATACTATCACAAATAAGAAAAAGCCCTCCACTTCTACACCTCTGACTGCAGTGTCTTTTCTCATTCTCCAAACTTATCTAAATTTAAATATTTCAAGGCTAAAACAAAATGCTCCTCTGCAAATCCATTCTATTCTCCCCTATGCTGTATCACCAATGTGTTTTTGGTAATTGAACTCAGGTCCAATTTGAGCTCTGATTAGTCTAAGCCAATCATGTTTAAATCATGTCCTATCTTCTTTTCCAGGCCTGAGCAAATCAACCCATGTCATTCCCCTGGTGATATTTTAGAGTTAGGAATAAGCATATGGCCTAAGTCGGCTCAATAAGACTGAAGGAAATGATTTTTGTTCAATAGCTGGCAGGAGGCATCCATTCTCTTCTGTTTGATAAAATAAGGAATTGTATAGTCCTCATTGCTCTGGCAGGTAGCTGACCACAGACCATGAGGAAGAACAGCCCTAGGATGAAACAACATGATGGATGGTAGGGAGGTAAGACAGAGGAACCTGGATTCCTGATGACATTCTTTTTTTCCCATAGGTTATTGGGGAACAGGAGGTGCTTGGTTACATAAGTTCTTTAGTCGCGATTTGTGAGATTTTAATGCACCCATCACCTGGGCAGTATACACTGCACCATATTTGTACTATTTTATCCTCGCCCCTTTCCATTCTTTTCCACGGAGTCCCCAGAGTTCACTGTGTTATTCTAATGCCTTTGCATCCTCATAGCTCAGCTCCCACTTATGAGTGAGAACATATGATGTTTGGTTTTTCATTCTATGTAATTTCACTTAGAATAATAGTCTCCAATCTCATCCCAGTCTCTGTGAATGCTGCTAACTCATTCCTTTTGATGGCTGAGCAGTATTTCACACACACACACACACACACACACACACACACACATATATATATATATATATATATATATCACAGTTTCTTAATCCACTCATTGATGGATGGGCATTTGGGTGGGTTCTACGTTTTTGCAATTGTAAACTGTGCTGCTATAAACATGTGTGTGCAAATATCTTTTTCGTATAATGATTTATTTTCCTCTGGGTAGATAGCCAGTACTGAGATTGTTGGATCAAATAGTGGTTCCACTTGTAGTTATTTAAGAAATCTCCAAACTGTTTTCCATAGTGGTTGTACTAATTTACATACCCACCAGCAGTGTAGAAGTGTTCCCTCTTCACCGCATCCCTGCCAATATCTACCATTTTTTGATTTTTTATTGTGGCCATTCTTGCACGAGTAAGGTGGTATCGCATTGGACTTTTGATTTGCATTTCCCTGATCATTAGTGATGTTGATCATTTTGTGTATGTTTGTTGGCCATTTGTATATCTTCTTTTGAGAACTGTCTATTCATGTCCTTAGCCCACTTTTTGATGAAATTGTTTTCTTCTTGCTAGTTTGAGTTCATTGTAGATTCTAGATATTAATCCTTTGTCTGATGTATAGATTCTGAAGATTTTTTCCCACTCTGTGGGTTGTCTGTTTACTCTGCTGACTGTTCCTTTTGCTGTACAAAAGCTCTTTAGTTTAATTAAGCCCCAGCTATTTATCTTTGTTTTTATTGTGTTTGTTTTTGGGTTCTTGGTCATGAAATCCTTGCCTAAGCCAATGTCTAGAAGGATTTTTTTGATGTTATATTCTAGAATTTTTAGAGTTTCCGGTCTTAGATTTAAGTCCTTAATCCATGGTGAGTTGATTTTTGTATAAGGTGAAAGATGAGGATCCAGTTTCATTCTCCTACATGTGGCTAGCCAATTATTCCAGCACCATTTGTTGAAAAAGGTGTCCTTTCCACACTTTATGTTTTGGTTTGCTTTGTTGACGATCAGTTAGCTGTATTTCGGTTTGTTTCTGGGTTCTGTATTCTATTCCATTGGTCTGTGTGCCTATTTTTATACCAGTGCCATGCTGTTTGGGTGACTATGGCCTTATAGAATAGTTTGAAATCAGGTAATGTGATGCTTCCAGGTTTGTTATTTTTGCTTAGTCTTGCTTTGGCTATGCAGCCTCTTTTTTGGTTCTATATGACATTTAGAATTTTTTTTTAGTTCTCTGAAGAATGATGGTGGTATTTTGATAGGAATTGCATTGAATTTGTAGATTGCTTTTGGCAGTACGGTCATTTTCACAATATTGATTCTACCCATTCATGTGCATGGGATGTGTTTCCATTTGTTTGTGTCATCTATGATTTCTTTCAGCAGTGTTTTGTAGTTTTCCTTGTAGAGGCCTTTCACCTCCTTGGTTTGGTATATTCCTAAATATTTCACTTTTCTTCCAGCTATTGTAAAAGGGGTTGAGTTCTCAATTTGATTATCAGCTTTGTCGTTGTTGGTGTATAAAAGAGCTACTGATTTGTGTACATTAATTTTGTTTTCTGAAACTTTGCTAAATTCTTTTATCAGTTCTAGGAGCTTTCTGGAGGAGTCTTTAGGGTTTTCTAAGTAAACAATCACATCATCAGCAAACAGCGACAGTTTGACTTCCTCTTTACTGATCTGGATGCCCTTTATCTCTTCCTCTTGTCTGATTGCTCTGGCTAGGGCTTGCAGTACTGAGTTGAAGAGAGGTGGTCTGAAAGAGTGCTTGATATAATTTCAATTTTCGTAAATTTGTTGAGGCTCATTTTGTGGCCTATCATATAGTCCATCTTGGAGAAAGTTTCATGCGCTGTTGAATAGAATGTATATTCTGCGGTTTTTGGATGTAATATTCTATATATATCTGTTAAGTCCATTTGTTCCAGCGTATAGTTTTAATACATTGTTTCTTTGTTGACTTTCTCTCTTGATGATCACTCTATTGCTGTAAGTGGAGTATTGAAGTCCCCCACTATTACTGTGCTGATGTCTGTCTCATTTCTTACATCTATTAGCGGTTGTTTTATAAATTGGGTAGCTCCAGTGTTAGGTGCATATATCTTTATGATTGTGACATTTTCCTGTTGGACAAGGCATTTTATCATTATATAATGTCCCTCTTTCTCTTTCTTTCATTATTATACTTTAAGTTCTGGGAGACATGTGCAGAACGTGCAGATTTTTTACATAGGTATACACATGCCATGGGGGTTTGCTGCACTCACCAACTGGTCATCTACATGAGGTATTTCTCTTAATGCTATCCTTCCCCTAGCCCCACACCCCCTGACAGGCCCCAGTGTATGATGTACCTCTCCCTGTGTCCATGTGTTCTCATTGATCAACTCCCACTTATGAGTGAGAACATGCAGTGTTTGGTTTTCTCTTCCTGTGTTAATTAGCTGAGAATGATGGTTTCCAGCTTCATCCATGTCCCTGCAAGGGGCATGAACTCATCCTTTTTATGGCTGCATAGTATTCCATGGCATATATGTGCCACATTTTCTTTATCCAGTCTAACATTTATGGGCATTTGGGTTGGTTCCAAGTCTTTGCTATTGTGAATAGTGCCACAATAAACATACATGTGCATGTGTCTTTATAGTAGAATGATTTCTAATTCTTTGGGTTTATACCCAGTAATGGGACTGCTGGGTCAAATGGTATTTTTAGTTCTAGATCCTTGAGGAATTGCCACACTGTCTTCCACAATGGTTGAACTAATTTACACTCCCAACGACAGTGTAAAAGCATTCCTATTTCTCCACATCCTCTCCAGAATCTGTTGTTTCCTGACTTTTTAATGATCACCATTCTAACTGATGTGAGATGGTTTCTCATTGCGATTTTGATTTGCATTTCTCTAATGACCAGTGTTGATGAGTTTTTTTTCATATGTTTGCTGGCTGCTTAAATGTCTTCTTTTGAGGGTGTCTGTTCATATCCTTTGCCCACTTTTTGTTGGGTTTTTTTCTTGTAAATTTATTTAAGTTCTTTGTAGATTCTGGATATTAGCCCTTTGTCAGATGGATAGACTGCAAAAATTTTCTCCCATTCTGTAGGTTGCCTGCTCACTCTGATGATAGTATCTATCATCAGATACTAACTAAACTAAAGAGTGGAAGCTCTTTAGTTTAATTAAATTTCATATGTCACTTTTGGGTTTTGTTGCCATTGCTTTTGGTGTTTTAGTCATGAAGTCTTGGCCCATGCCTATGTCATGAATGGTATTGCCTAGGTTTTCTTCTATGGTTTTTACGGTTTTTAGGTCTTACATTTAAGTCTTTAATCCATCTTAAGTTTATTTTTGTAAAAGGTGTAAGGACGGGGTCCAGTTTCAGTTTTCCGCATATGGCTAGCCAGTTTTCCCAACACCACTTATTAAATAGGGAATCCTTTCCCCATTGGTTGCTTTCGTCAGGTTTGTCAAAGATCAGATGGTTGTAGATGTGTGACATTATTTCTGAGGCTTCTGTTCTGTTCCATTAGTCTATTGTCAAAGATCAGATGGTTGTAGATGTGTGACATTATTTCTGAGGCTTCTGTTCTGTTCCATTAGTCTATACATCTGTTTTGGTACCAGTACCATGCTGTTTTGGTTACTGTAGCCTTGTAGTATAGTTTGAAGTCAGGTAGCATGATGCCTCCAGCTTTGTTCTTTTTGCTTAGAATTGTCTTGGCTATACAGACTGTTTTTTGGTTCCATATAAAATTTAAAGAAGTTTTTTTTAATTCTGTGAAGAAAGTCATTGGTAGCTTGATGGGGATAGCATTGAATCTGTAAGTAACTTTAGGCAGTATGGCCATTTTCACAATATTGATTCTTCCTATCCATCAGTATGGAATGTTCTTCCATTTGTTTGTTTCCTCTGTCATTTCCTTGAGCAGTGGTTTGTAGTTCTCCTTGAAGAGGTCCTTCCCGTCCCTTGTAAGATGTATTCCTAGGGATTTTATTCTCTTTGTGGCAATTGTGAATGGGAGTTCACTCATGATTTGGCTCTCTGTTTGTCTATTGTTGGTGTGTAGAAATGCTTGTGATTTTTGGACATTAATTTTGTATCCTGAAACTTTGCTGAAGTTGCTTATGAGCATAAAGAGCTTTTCGGCTGAGATGATGGGATTTTCTAAATATACAATAATGTCATCTGCAAACAGAGACAATTTGACTTCCTCTCTTCCTATTTGAATATGCTTTATTTCTTTCTCTTGCCTGATTGCCCTGGCCAGAACTTCCAATACTATATCGAATAGGAGTGGTGAGAGAGGGCATCCTTGTCGTATGCCAGTTTTCAGAGAGAATGCTTCTAGCTTTTGGCCATTCAGTATGATATTGACTGTGAGTTTGTCATAAATAGCTCTTATTATTTTGAGATATGTTCCATCAATACCCTTGTTTATTGAGAGTTTTTAGCATGAAGTGGTGTTGAATTTTATCAAAGGCCTTTTCTGCATCTATTGAGATAATCATGTGGTTTTTGTCTTTGGTTCTGTTTATGTGATTAATAACTTGTATTGATTTGTGTATATTGAACAAGCCTTGCATCCCAGAAATGAAGCTGACTTGATCATGGTGGATAAGCTTTTTGATGTGTTGCTGGATTTGGTTTGCCAGTATTTTATTGAGGATTTTTGCACCGATGTTCATCAGGGATACTGACCTGAAATATTCTTTTTATGGTGTGTCTCTGCCAGGCTTTGGTATCAGGATGATGCTGGCCTCATCAAATGAGTTAGGGAGGAGTGTCTCTTTTTCTATTGGTTGGAATAGCTTCAGAAGGAATGACACCAGCTCCTCTTTATACCTCTGGTAGAATTCGGCTGTGAATCTATCTGGTCCTCAGCTTTTTTTGGTTGGTAGGCTATTAATTACTGCTTCAATTTCAGAGCTTGTTATTGGTCTATTCAGGGATTCAACTTCTTCTTGCTTTAGTCTTGTGAGGGTGTATGTGTCCAGGAATTTATCCATTTCTTCTAGATTTTCTAGTTTATTTGCATAGAGGTGTTTACAGTATTCTCTGATGGTCATTTGTATTTCTGTGGCTTCAGTGGTGATATCACACTTATTTTTTATTGTGTCTATTATATTCTTCTCTCTTTTCTTCTTTATTAGTCTGGCTAGCAGTCTATCTATTTTGTTGAACAAAAAAACAGCTCCTGGATTCATTGATTTTTTTGAAGGGTTTTTAATGTCTCTATCTCTTTCAGTTCTGCTCTGATCCTAGTTATTTCTTGCTTTCTGCTATTTTTTGAATTTGTTTTCTCTTGTTCTTCTATTTCTTTTAATTGAGATGTTAGGGTGTCGATTTTAGATCTTTCTCACTTTCTCCTGTGGACATTTAGTGCTATAAATTTCCCCCTAAATACTGCTTTACCTGTGTCCCAGAGATTCTGATACAGTACACTTTGTTTTTGTTCTCATTGGTTTCAAAGAACTTATTTATTTCTGCCTTAATTTTGTTATTTACCCAGTAGTCACTCAGGAGTAGGTTGTTCAGTTTTCATGTAGTTGTGTGGTTTTGAGAGAGTTTCTTAATTCTGAGTTCTAATTTGATTGCACTGTGGTCTGAGAGACTGTTTATTATGATTTCCATTCTTTTGCATTTGCTTAGGAGTGTTTTACTTCCAATTATGTGGTCAATTTTAGAATAAGTGTGATGTGTGCTGAGAAGAATGTATATTCTGTTGATTTGGGGTGGAGAGTTTTTTAGATGTCTATTAGGTCTGCTTGGTCCAGAGCTGAGTTCAAGTCCTGAATATCCCTGTTAATTTTCTGTCTCATTGATCTGTCTAATATTGACAATGGGGTGCTAAAGTGTCCCACTATTACTGTGTGGGAGTCTATGTCTCTTTGTAAGTCTCTAAGAACTTGATTTACGAATCTCAGTGCTCCTGTATTAGGTGTATATATATTTAGGATAGTTAGCTCTTCTTGTTGCATTGATCCCTTTACCATTAAGTAATTCCCTTCTTTGTCTTTTTTACTCTTTGTTGGTTTATCAGAGACTAGGATTGTAACCACTGCTTTTTGTTTGCTTTCCATTTGCCTAGTAAATATCCTTCCATCCCTTTATTTTGAGCCTGTGTGTGTCTTTGCACATGAGA
The DNA here is from genome assembly GCF_000001405.40 of Homo sapiens. Taxonomy (NCBI): domain Eukaryota; kingdom Metazoa; phylum Chordata; class Mammalia; order Primates; family Hominidae; genus Homo; species Homo sapiens. Next base: position 85,418,839 of record NC_000011.10, read on the forward strand.
TGGGTCTCCTGAATACAGCACACTGATGGGTCTTGGCTCTTTATCCTATTTTCCAGTCTATGTCTTTTAATTGGGGCATTTAGCCCATTTACATTTAAGGTTAAGATTATTATGTGTGAATTTGATCCTGTCATTATGATGCTAGCTGTCAGTAAGTTGATGCAGTTTTTCATAGTGTCGATGGTATTTACAATTTGGTATGTTTTTGCAGTGGCTTGTACTGGTTGTTCCTTGACATATTCAGTGCTTCCTTCAGGAACTCTTTTAAGGCCAGGCCCTGTGGTAACAAAATCTCTCAGCATTTGCATGTGTGTAAGAAATTCTATTTCTCCTTCGCTTATGAAGCTTAGTTTGGCTACATATGAAATTCTGGGTTGAAAATTATTTTCTTTAAGAGTGTTGAATATTGGCACCCACTCTCTTCTGGCTTGTAGGGTTTCTTAAGAGAGATCTGATGTTAGTCTGATGAGATTCCCTTTGTGGGTAACCCAACCTTTCTCTCTGGCTGCCCTTAATCTTTTTTACCTTCATTTCAACCTTAATAAATCTGTCGATTATGTGTCTTGGGATTGCTCTTCTTGAGGAGTATCTTTGTGGTGTTCTCTGTATTTCCTGAATTTGAATGTTGGCCTACCTTTCTAGGTTGGGGAAGTTCTCATGGATAATATCCTGAAGCGCAAGCATGTTTTCCAACTTGGCTCCATTCTTCTCATCATTTTCAAGTACACCTATCAAATGTAGGTTTGGTCTTTTCACATAGTCCCATATTTCTTGAAGGCTTTATTCATTCCTTTTCATTCTTATTTCTCTAATCTTGTCTGCATGCTTTATTTCATTAAGTTGATCTTCAATCTCTGATATCATCTCTTCCACTTGATCAACTCGGCTATTGATACTTGCATATGCTTCACAAAGTTCTCATGCTGTGTTTTTCAGCTCCATTAGGTAATTTATGTTATCCTCTCAACTGGTTATTCTAGTTAGCAATTCATCTAACCTTTTTTCAAAGTTCTTAGCTTCCTTGCATTGGGTTAGAACATGCTCCTTTAGCTAGGAGGAGTTTGTTATTACCCACATTCTGAAGTCTACTTCTGTTAATATTTCAAACTCATTCCCCATCCAGTTTTGTTCCTTTACTGGCAAGGAGTTGTGATCCTTTGGAGGTGAAGAGGCATTCTGGTTTTTGGAATTTTCAGCTTTTTTGTGCTGGTTTTTCCCCATTTTCATGGATTTATCTACCTTTGGTCTTTGGTTGGTGACCTTTGGATGGGGTTTTCATGTGCATGTCCTTTTTGTGGATGTTGATGCTATTCCTTTCTGTTTTTTAGTTTTCCTTCTAACAGTCAGGCCCCTCTGCTGCAGGTCTGCTGGAGTTTGCTGGAGGTCTACTCCAGACCATGTTTGCCTAGGTATCACCAGTGAAGTATGCAGAACAGCAAAGACTGCTGCCTGTTCCTTCCTCTGGAAGCTTCGTCCCAGAGGGGTGCCCACCAGATGCCAGCCAGAGTTCTCCTGTATGACATGTCTGTAGACTCCTGCTGGGAGGTGTCTCCCAGTTAGGAATCTTGGGGGTCAGGGACCCACTCGAGGAGGCAGTCTGTCCCTTAGCAGAGCTTGAGTGTGCTGGGAGATCCACTGCTATCTTCAGAGCTGGCAGGCAAGAATGTTCAAGTCTGCTGAAGTTGAGCCCACATCCCCCCTTCCCCCAGGTGCTCTGTCCCAAGGAGATGGGAGTTTTACCTATAAGCCCCCTGACTGTGGCTGCTGCCTTTCTTTCAGAGATGTCCTGCCCAGAAAGGAGGAATCCAGAGATGCACTCTGGCTACAGTGGCTTTGCCAAGCTGTGGTGGGCTCTGCCCAGTTTGAACTTCCTGACAGCTTTGTTTACACTGTGAGGGAAAAACCAACCACCTACTCAAGCTTCAGTAATGGTGGATGCCCCTCCCCCCACCAAGCTCGAGCATCCCAGGTTGACTTCAGACTGCTCTGCTGGCAGCAAGAATTTCAAGCCAGTGGATCTTAGCTTGCTGGGCTCCCTGGCCGCAGGATCCACTGAGCTAGACCACTTGGCTTCCTGGCTTCAGCCCCATTTCCAGAAGAGTGAACAGTTGTGTCTTGTTGGCATTCCAGGTGCCATTGGGGTATTAAAAAAATAAAAATAAAGATAAAATAAAAATGAAAAAAACACTCCTGCCACTAGCTCAGTGTCCAAACAGCTGCCCAGTTTTGTGCTTGAAAAGCCAGGGCCCTGGTGGTGTAGGCACCTGAGGGAATCTCCTGTTTTGTGGGTTGTGAAGACCACGGGAAAAGCATAGTATCGGAGCCGGAGTGTACCATTCCTCATGGCACAGTTCCTCACAGCTTCCCTTGGCAAGAGGAGAGAGTTCCCTGACCCCTTGCATTTCCCTGCTTCAGCTTGTCCTTTGTGGGTTGCACCCACTGTTTAACCAGTCCCAATGAGATGAGCTGGGTACCTCAGTTGGAAATGCAGAAATCACACCCCTCCTGCGTTGATCTCGCTGGGAGCTACAGACCGGAGCTGTTCCTATTCGGCCATCTTACCAGCCATCCATCCCTCCCCCTTTTTTTTTTTTAACTGCTGTTGCTTTGAAGTTTGTTTCATCTGACATAAGAATAGCTACTTCTGCTTGCTTTTTGTGTCCATTTGCCTGAAATGTCTTTTTTCACCCGTTTACCTTAGGTTTGTGCAAGTCCTTATGTGTTAGGTGGGTCTCTTGAAGGCAGCATATAGTTGGTTAGTGAATTCTTAACCTTTCTGCAATTCTGTATCTTTTAAGTGGAGGATTTAGGTCATTTACATTCAATGTTAGTCTTGAAATGTGAGGTACCATTCCATTCATCATGCTATTTGTTGCCTGTATACCTTGGTTTTTTGTTTTTTGTTTTTGTTTTTCTTGAATTGTACTTTTGTTTTCTTGGTCCTCTGAGATTTAGGCTTTAAACAGTTTCCATTTTGATGTGTTTCCAGGATTTGTTTCAAGATTTAGAGCTCCTTTTAGCAGTTTTTGCAGTGGTGGGTCGGTAGTGGCAAATTCTCTCAGCATTTGTTTTTCCGAAAAAGGCTGCATCTTTCCTTCATATATAAAGCTTAGTTTCACTGGATACACAATTTTTGGCTGATTATTGTTTTATTTGAGGAGGATGAAGATAGGGCCCCAATCCCTTCTAGCTTGTAAAGTTTCTGCTGAGAAATGTGCTTTTAATCTGATAGGTTTTCCTTTATAGGTTACCTGGTGCTTTTGTCTCAGTTCTTAAGATTCTTTCCTTCATCTTAACTTTAGATAACCTGATAACAATGTGCCTAGGCAATAATCTTTTTGCAATGAATTTCCCAGGAATTCTTTGTGCTTACCTGTATTTGGATGTCTAGGTCTCTAGCAAGGCCAGGAAAATTTTCCTTGATTATTCCTCTAAATATGCTTTCCAATTTTTAGATTTCTTTTCTTCCTCAGGAACTCAGATTACTCTTAGGTTTGGTTGTTTAACATAATCCCAGATTTCTTGGAGGCTTTGTTCATATTTTCTTCTTTTCCCTTTGTCTTTGTTGGGTTGGGTTAATTTGAAGACCTTGTCTTCAAGCTCTAAATTTCTTTCTTCTACTTGTTCAATTCTATTGTTGAGATTTTCCAGAGCATTTTGCATTTTTATAACTGTGTCCATTGTTTCCTGAAGTTTTTATTTTTTTTGGTGGGGGGGATTTGTCGGGGTTTCTTTGTTTCTTTGTTTTTTGAGATGATTCTCTTGCCTCAGCCTCTGGAATAGTGGGGATTATAGACACGTGCCACCACATCTGGCTGATTTTTGTATTTTTAGTAGAGATGGGGTTTTACCACATTGGTCAGGCTGGTCTCAAACCCCTGACCTCAAGTGATCTGCTCATCTCAGCCTCCCAAGGTTCTAGGACTACAGGCACGAGACACCACACCTGGCATGATTGGTTTTTATTTCTGCTATCTATTTCTTTGAATATTTCTCCCTTCACTTCTTGTATCTTTTTTTTTATTTCCTTACATTGGGCTTTGCCTTTCTCTTGTGCCTCCCTGATTAGATTAATAACTAAACTCCTGAATTCTTTTTCAGGTAAATCAGGGATTTCTTCTTGGTTTGGGTCCATTTTTTTTGAGCTAGTGTGATTTCTTGGAGGTGTTAAAGAACCTTGTTTTGTCATGTTACTAGAGTTGGTTTTTTGGTTCCTTCTCATTTGGTTAGGCTGTGTCAGAGGGAAGGTCTAGGGCTGAAGGCTGTTGTTCAGATTCTTTTGTCCTACAAGTTGTTCTCTGAGGTAGAACTCTCCCCTTTTTCCTATGGATGTGGCTTCCTGAGAGCTGAGCTGTAGTGACTATTATCACTCTTCTGGGTCTAGCCACCCAGCAAGTCTACCAAGTACTGAGGCTTGTCTGCACAGAGTCCTGGGATGTGAACTGTCTGTGGATCTCTCAGCTGTGGATACCAGCACCTTTTCCAGTGGAGGTGGCAGGTGGATGTACTGGATCCTGTGACAGTTCTTAGCTTTGGTGGTTTAATGCACTATATTTTGCTGGTTGGCCTCCTGCCAGGAGGTTGAGCTTTCCAGAGAGTATCAGCTGTGGTAATATGGGGAGGAACAGGTGGTGGGCAGGGCCATAGAACTCCCAGGAATATATGCCCTTTGTCTTCAGTTAACAGGGTGGGTAGGGAAGAACCACTGGGTGGGAAGAGGGCTAGGTGTGTCTGAGCTCAGACTCTCCTTGGGCGGGTCTTGCTGCAGCTGCTGTGGGGGATGGGGGTGAGCTTCCCAGGTCAATGGAGTTATGTTCCTAGGAGGATTATGACTGTCTCTACTGTGCTATGCAGGTTGTCAGGGAAGTGGGGAAAAGCCAGCAGTCACAGATCTCATCCAGCTCCCATGTAATCCTAAGGGCTGGTCTCACACCCACCATGCCCCCACCAACAGAACTGAGTCTATTTCCAGGCAGTTGGAAAGCATGGCTGAGAACTTGCCCCACTACCTGCATCCCAGCTGCAAAAGCAAATATGGCTTCCCTTCTTCCCCCACCTACGGAGTCTGTACAACAGATTCATGCCCTCCCCCAGGTTCTGGCCAGGAGGCTTCTTGATCAGTTCAAATTGTTACAAAGTTCAGCTAGAGATTTCCCCCATGGCCATTTCCCCATGGCCTTTTCCCAGTGCCTCTGGCCAACCTCCCAAAGGACCCCATGAGGCCAGGCAAAAATGGCTTGCTAGGGGACCCATTGCTTCGTCTACCACTGTATTTTGCTTGGCTGTCTACACTGACTCAGCTCCAGGTAAGGTCAATATCGTCTCCCATAATCAAGGCCTTCAGTTTCCCTAGCTGGGGGGTGTGTTCAAGGGTGGATGATCCCCCTTTCCCACTTTCACAATTTGGGCACTCACAGTATTTGGATGTCTCCCAGGTACTGCAGGAGCAATCTTCTTTTTTCGGGGGATCTGTGGGTTCTCTCAGGTTTCCTGATTTATTCCTGCCATCACTCTGGAGCAAAAATTCATGATGCAAGGCTTCATATGCTGCTCTGTCCATCCAAGTCAGAGCTGCAATCTAGTCCTACCTCCCATCCGCCATGACCCCCAGTTCTCCTGGGATGACATTCATGATTCATTGAATAAGACAACCCTGAAACCCAGCCTACTGATATCCAGTTAGCAGAGTCAATAAATTTCCTTGACATTTAAACCAGTTTGCATTAGGTTTTTTCTTATGTGAGGCTGAAAGTATCCAACTGAAGTAGATCCCAGGGGTTAGGCATTACTATTCTCTTATATATTACAGATAGTGAAGCACTAGGTATTATTAACTTCAGAGAGGTTAAGTAAATGGCCCAAAGTTGGTGAGGTAAGACGAAGCAGACCTGACATTCAAACTCTGATTTTTTTTAACTCTAAGATCTATATTCCAAGCTCTCTACAATGACAATGTGAGGATACAAGGGAAAAACAGCCCTCCACAAATCAAGAACAATTCCCTCACCAAACACTGGATCTCCCAGCACCTGTTCTTCGACTTCGCAGCCTGCAGAATGGTGAGAAATAAATTTCTGTTGCTTAAGCCACCCTATCTATGGTATTCTGTTATAAAAGCCTGAACTGACTAAGAAAGTTTCCATGGTCACCTTAATCCACTGAAGTTAGTACTTCTAGAGCAAAAAACAAACAAACAAACAAAAAAACAAACCCACCACATAAATTCATGCCTTACCCCATAAACCAGAAGAAATACTATATGTGAATAACAGATTGTAAATTACAGAAAGCAGAATAAACTATTTCCAGGTCTTCTGATAGATGTTAATTTTCTAAGGTTTAAAGCAGAACATCTCAAAGAAAATGTTGTTAAATACATAAAATTTGAAACTTCAATGCTTATAAACAACACTAATACAAAAAAGAATGCAACAGAGATGAAAAACATTTGCTCTATAAATGACAAAAGGTTAATACTTATAATTTTCAAAAAAGTTCATTTAAATACAGCAGAATAAAACAATATTGAGGTGCTATCGGTAAAAATAACAAGGATATAAATGGAAAATTTACCATAATGAACATATATATTGTAAATAGTAAATATTTAAATATTTATACCCAATGTTTTTGAGGTTATGGTAAAAGTGGTACACTCATACATTACTGGTAACACTTTAAATTGAAAAAAAACTTTTAGAATGTAACTTGTCAATTCATTGTAAGAATCATAAAAGTACCTGTACCCTTTGACCTAGTAATCCTACTTTCTTAAACGTACACCAAAAAATAATTCTAAACAAGAAAAAAATCGGGGGTGGAGGCAAGATGGCCAAATAGGAACAGCTCCACTCTACAGCTCCCAGCATGAGCGACGCAGAAGATGGGTGATTTCTGCATCTCCAACTGAGGTACCAGGTTCATCTCACTGGGGAGTGTCAGAAAGTGGGTGCAGGACAGTGGGTGCAGCACACCAAGCAAGAGCCGAAGCAGGGCAAGGCATCGCCTCACCCAGGAAGCGCAAGGGGTCAGGGAATTCCCTTTCCTAGTCAAAGAAAGGAGTGACAGATGGCACCTGGAAAATCGGGTCACTCCCACCCTAATACTGTGCTTTTCCAACGGTCTTAGCAAACAGCATACCAGAAGATTACATCCTGCGCCTGATTCGGAGGGTCCTACCCCCATGGAGCCTTGTTCATTGCTAGCGCAGCAGTCTGAGATCAAACTGCAAGGTGGCAGCAAGGCTGAGGGAGGGGCGCCCGCCATTGCCGAGGCTTGAGTAGGTAAACAAAGCAGCAGGGAAGCTCGAACTGGGTAGAGCCCACCGCAGCTCAAGGAGGCCTGCCTACCTCTGTAGACTCTACCTCTGGGGGCAGGGCACAGCCAAACAAAATCCTCTGCAGACTTAAATGTCCATGTCTGACAGCCTTGAAGAGAGTAGTGGTTCTCCCAGCACGCAGTTGGACATCTGAGAACGGACAGACTGCCTCCCCAAGTGGGTCCCTGACCCCTGAGTAGCCTAACTGGGAGGCACCCCCCAGTAGGGGCAGACTGACACCTCACACGGCTGGGTACTCCTCTGAGACAAAACTTCCAGAGGAACGATCAGGCAGCAACATCTGCTGTTCACCAGTATCCGCTGTTCTGCAGCTTCCACTGCTGATACTCAGGCAAACAGGGTCTGGAATGGATCTCCAGCAAACTCCAACAGACCTGCAGCTGAGGGTCCTGATTGTTAGAAGGAAAACTAACAAACAGAAAGGACATCCACACCAAAACCCCATCTGTACGTTACCATCATCAAAGACCAAAGGTAGATAAAACCACAAAGATGGGGAAAAAACAGAGCAGAAAAACTGGAAACTCTAAAAATCAGAGCACCTCTCCTCCTCCAAAGGAATACAGCTCCACACCAGCAATGGAACAAAGCTGAATGGAGAATGACTTCAATGAGTTGAGAGAAGAAGGCTTCAGATGATCAAACTTCTCTGAGCTAAAGGAGGAAGTTCAAACCCATGGCAAAGTAGTTAAAAACCTTGAAAAAAAATTAGACGAATGGCTAACTAGAATAACCAATGCAGAGAAGTCCTTAAAGGACCTGATGGAGCTGAAAACCAAGGCACGAGAAATACGTGATGAATGCACAAGCCTCAGTAGCCAATTCGATCAACTGTAAGAAAGCGTATCAGTGATGGAAGATGAAATGAATGAAATGAAGTGAGAAGGGAAGTTTAGAGAAAAAAGAATAAAAAGAAATGAACAAAGCCTCCAAGAAATATGGGACTATGTGAAAAGACCAAATCTACATCGATTGGTGTACCTGAAAGTGAAAGGGAGAATGGAACCAAGTTGGAAAGCACTCTACAGGATATTATCCAGGAGAACTTCCCCAATCTAGCAAGGCAGGCCAACATTCAAATTCAGGAAATACAGAGAAAGCCACAAAGATACTCCTCGAGAAGAGCAACTCCAAGACACATAATTGTCAGATTCACCAAAGTTGAAATGAAGGAAAAAATGTTAAGGGCAGCCAGAGAGAAAGGTCAGGTTACCCACAAAGGGAAGGCCATCAGACTAACAGCTGATCTCTTGGCAGAAACTCTACAAGCCAGAAGAGAGTGGGGGCCAATATTCAACTTTCTTAAAGAAAAGAATTTTCAATCCAGAATTTCATATCCAGCCAAACTAAGCTTCATAAGTGAAGGAGAAACAAAATCCTTTACAGACAAGCAAATGCTGAGAGATTTTGTCACCACCAGCCCTGCCCTAAAAGAGCTCCTGAAGGAAGCACTAAACATGGAAAGGAACAACCGGTATCAGCCACTGCAAAAACATGCCAAATGGTAAAGATCACCAATGCTAGGAAGAAACTGCATCAACTAATGAGCAAAATAACCAGCTGACATCATAATGACAGGATCAAATTCACACATAACACTATTAACTTTAAATGTAAATGGACTAAATGCTCCAATTAAAAGACACAGACTGGCAAATTGGATAAAGAGTCAAGACCCATCAGTGTGCTGTATTCAGGAAACCCATCTCATGTGCGAAGACACACATAGGCTCAAAATAAAGGGATGGAGGAAGATCTACCAAGGAAATGGAAAACAAAAAAAGGCAGAGGTTGCAATCCTAGTCTCTGATAAAACAGACTTTAAACCAACAAAGATCAAAAGAGACAAAGAAGGCCATTACATAATGGTAAAGGGATCAATTCAACAAGAAGAGCTAACTATCCTAAATATGCATGCACCCAATACAGGAGCACCCAGATTCATAAAGCAAGTCCTGAGAGACCTAAAAAGAGACTTAGACTCCCACACAATAATAATGGGAGACTATAACACCCCACTGTCAACATTAGACAGATCAATGACACAGAAAGTTAACAAGGATATCCAGGAATTCAACTCAGCTCTGCACCAAGTGGACCTAATAGACATCAACAGAACTCTCCACCCCAAATCAACAGAATATACATTCTTCTCAGCACCACACCCCACTTATTCCAAAATTGACCACTTAGTCGGAAGTAAAGCACTCCTCAGCAAATGTAAAAGAACAAAAATTATAACAAACTGTCTCTCAGACCACAGTGCAATCAAACTAGAACTCAGGATTAAGAAACTCACTCAAAACCACATAACTACATGGAAACTGAACAACCTGCTCCTGTATGACTACTGGGTACATAATGAAATGAAGGCAGAAATAAAGATGTTCTTTGAAACCAATGAGAACAAAGACACAACATACCAGAATCTGTGGGACACATTCAAAGCAGTGTGTAGAGGGAAATTTATAGCACTAAATGCCCACAAGAGAAAGAAGGAAAGATCTAAAATTGACACCCTAACATCATAATTAAAAGAACTAGAGAAGCAAGAGCAAACACATTTGAAAGCTAGCAGAAGGCAAGAAATAACTAAGATCAGAGCAGAACTGAAGGAGATAGAGACACAAAAAACCCTTCAAAAAATCAATGAATCCAGGAGCTGGTTTTTTGAAAAGATCAACAAAATTGATAGACCGCTAGCAAGACTAATAAAGAAGAAAAGAGAGAAGAATTAAATAGACGCAATAAAAAATGATAAAGGGGATATCACCACCGATCCCACAGAGATACAAACTACCATCAGAGAATACTATAAACACCTCTATGCAACTAAACTAGAAAATCTAGAAGAAATGGCTAAATTCCTCAACACATACACCCTCCCAAGACTAAACTAGGAAGAACTTGAATCTCTCAATAGACCAATAACAGGCTCTGAAATTGAGGCAATAATTAATAGCTTATCAATCAAAAGAAGTCCAGGACCAGATGGATTCACAGCCGAATTCTACCAGAGGTACAAGGAGGAGCTGGTACCATTCCTTCTGAAACTATTCCAATCAGAAAAAGAGGGAATCCTCCCTAACTCATTTTATGAGACCAGCATCATCCTGTTACCAAAGCCTGGCAGAGACACAACAAAAAAAGAAAATTTTAGACCAATATCCCTGATGACAAATGGGATCTAATTAAACTAAAGAGCTTCTGCACGGCAAAAGAAAATACCATCAGAGTGAACAGGAACCTACAGAATGGGAGAAAATTTTTGCTATCTACTCATCTAACAAAGGGCTGATATGCAGAATCTACAATGAACTCAAACAAATCTACAAGAAAAAAACACAACCCCACCAAAAAGTGGGCAAAGCATTCAAACAGACACTTCTCAAAAGAAGACATTTATGCAGCCAAAAGACACATAAAAAAATGCTCGTCATCACTGGCCATCAGAGAAATGCAAATCAAAACCACAATGAGATACCATCTCACGCCAGTTAGAATGGCAATCATTAAAAAGTCAGGAAACAATAGGTGCTGGAGAGGATGTGGACAAATGGGAACACTTTTACACTGTTGGTGGGACTGTAAACTAGTTCAACCATTGTGGAAGTCAGTGTGGCGATTCCTCAGGGATCTAGAACTAGAAATACCATTTGACCCAGCCATCCCATTACTGGGTATATACCCAAAGGATTATAAAACATGCTGCTATAAAGACACATACACACATATGTTTATTGTGGCACTATTCACAATAGCAAAGACTTGGAACCAACCCAAATGTCCAACAATGATAGACTGGATTAAGAAAATGTGGCACACATACACCATGGAATACTATGCAGCCATAAAAAATGATGAGTTCATGTCCTTTGTAAGGACATGGATGAAGCTGGAAACCATCACTCTCAGCAAACTATCGCAAGGACAAAAAAACCAAACACCACATGTTCTCACTCATAGGTGGAAATTGAACAATGAGAGCACATGGACACAGGAAGTGGAACATCACACTCTGGGGCCTGTTGTGGGGAGGGGGGAGGGATAGCATTAGGAGATATACCTAATGTTAAATGACGAGTTGATGGGTGCAGCACACCAACATGGCACATATATACATATGTAACTAACCTGCGCGTTGTGCACATGTACCCTAAAACTTAAAGTATAATAAAAAAAAAGAAAAAGAAAGAAAAAAATTTACATGATTGAAATGTTAATTGTGGTATCATTTATTAAAATAAAAAATTAGGAAAAAATCTAATTATCCTATAATAGCAGTCTAGGTACAAAAATCATTACATATCTATTGAACATAATATTCTGAATCCATTAAAAATCCAATTTTTAAAACTTTAACAAAATGGAGATATTAATGATATCTTATGAGCTAAAATGTGAGAAGTAAAAATGTAACAATTCTTAGTACTCCATAGAGCTCCCAAAATATTTGCTTGGTAGCTCAGATTTGACCTCATTTCTGTGGGTTTGACTGCAAACAGGACAGGGTTTATGTTTGTAATTGAATGCTGTTTTCTGGGCAACTTTCACAGATGCAACTGAAGCTAGTTTTTAAGGGGGACTGAACTGTAAAGCACAACACTCAATCAGGAAAACATTCTGAAAATCATTGTCGTGAGTTTTTTCTAATGGAAAAGCTAGCCAGTCAAAAAAAAAAAAAAAAATACAGCTGAGGCACAAGAATCACTTGAATCTGGGAGGCAGAGGTTGCAATGAGCCAAGATTACACCACTGTATTTCAGCATGAGTGACAGAGCGAGACTCTGTCTCAAAAACAAAGAAACAGAAAAACAGTGTAAAAAATGATTTTGGGTTTCAAATAATTGGCTTAATTTTTTAGTTTTTTTTATTTCTATACATCAAACATGTATAGAATGCTTCTGTCAAGTTTTTATGAGAAGATATTCTTGTTTCCAACGAAGGAGACAAAGCAGTCCAAATATCCACTTTCAGATCCTGCAAAACGAGTGTTTCAAAACGGCATGTGAATCCTGCACCAGCAGCTGAGGTATCCATGTTCTGTCATTAGGACTGACTAATGACAGCTAGGGTGACCCACAGAGAGGAAGGAAGACCAGTGTGGTGCAGTGGACCACCTGAGAGCCACATGGGACAGGGGAGCCCCCACCCCCAGCCAAGGGAAGTGGTGAGTGAGCATGCTACCCAGCCTAGGCAACCATGCTTTTTCCACTGAACTGTGCAACCCATGGATCAGAAGATCCCACTCGTGAGCACAGACTACCAGGACCTTGGCTCCCAACCACGGAGCCCTGCAGATTCTCAACAGCCACATGGCTAGAATCTGCCTAAGCCTGCCAAGTTCCCAGGGGAAGGCAGCCATTACCACTGCCACTGCTGCCTGCTGGCTAAGCCAGTTGAGCTCCTTGGGGGAGGGGTGGCAGCCAACACTGCAGCTTCAGGGCCAACAACTCCAACCAGGGGCTCAGGGACCAAACTCTGATTTCCCAGAGCCTGAGCTCCTAGCGGGAGTGGTGCCACAGTCTCCATGAACCAGCAGACATAGTCTTTCCTCCTGCTAGCTCTGAGGAATCTGGACAACCCAGATGAGTGGGGTCCCCCCAGCACAGCACACACTCTCCACCAAGGGACAGCCAAAGTGCTTCATTAAACAGGTCCTGCTTCCTATGCCATCCAACTAGGTAAGAGCCCCCAACAGGGGTTGCCAGACATCCTGTACAGGAGTGTTCCTACTGGCATCAGGTCGGTGCCCCTTTAAGTCAGGAACCCAGAGGAAGGAGCAGGCATCCATCTTTGCTGTTCTCCAGCCCCATCAAGTGACATCTCCAGGCACAGGAGCAAAATAAATGAATAGGGCCTGGAGCGAACTCCCAGCAAACCACAGCAGCCCTACCGAAGAGGAACCTGACTGTTGAAAGAAAAACAAACAAACAGAAAGCAACAACAATAGCATCAATGATAAAAGTCCCCCAAAAAATCTCATGCAAGGATCAGCAGCCTCAAAGATCGAATCTAGACAAGTTTATGAAGATGAGAAAGAATCAATGAAGAAACATTGAAAACCCAAAAGCTCAGAGTGCCTCTTCTCCTCCAAATGATTACAACACCTCTCCAGCAAGGGTGCAGAACTGGACGAAGGATGAGATAGATGAATTGACAGAAGTAGGCTTCAGAATCTGGGTAATAACAAACTTCACTGAGGTAAAGCATGTTCTAACACAATGCCATGTTCTTGGCAAAGAAGCTAAGAACCTTGATAAATGGTTACAGGAGCTACTAACTAGAATAACCAGTTTAGAGAGAAACATAAATGACCTGATGAAACTGAAAAACACAGAACAAGAACTTCAAGAAAAAATACACAAGTATCAGTAGCCAAATTGATCAAGCAGAAAAAAGAGTATCAGAGATGGAATAACGGAGGCAGGCAAGACTAGAGAAAAAACAATGAAAATGAACAAACCAAACCTCCCAGAAATACGGAACTACATAAAATGACCGCAGCTACAACTGATTAGAGTACCTGAAAGAGAGGAGAATAGAACCAAATTGGAAAACACACCTTGGGATATTATCCAGCAGAACTTCCCCAGCCTAGCAAGAAAAGACAACATTCAGATTCAGGAAATACAGAGAAACTGACTAAGATACTCCACGAGAAGAACAACCCCAAGACACATAATCTTCAGATTCCCCAAGCTCAAAATGAAGGAAAAAATGTTAAGGGCAGCCAGAGAGAAAGGCTACATCACCTACCAAGGAAAGCCCATCAGACTAACAGAAGATTTCTCAGCAGAAACCCTATAAGCAAGAAGAAAGTGTGGGCCAATATTCAACATTCTTAAAGGAAAGAATTTTTAACCCAGAATTTCATATCTGGCCAAACTAAGCTTCATCAGCAAAGGAGAAATAAAATCCTTATCATAGAGCAAATGCTGAGAGAATTCATCACCATTAGGCCTGCTTTGTAAAAGCTCCTGAAGGAAGCATCAAATATGGAAAGGAAAAATCAATACCAGCCACTGCAAAACACACAAAAATATAAAAACCAATGACACTATGAAGAAATGGCATCAACTAGTATACAAAATAAGCAGCTAGCGTCAGGATAATGGAATCAAATTCACATATAACAACATTAAACTTATATGTAGATGGGCTAAATGCCCCAGTTAAAAGACACAGACTGGCAAATTGGATAGAGTCAAAACCCACCAGTGTTCTGTATTCAAGAGACCCATTTCATGTTCAAAGACACACTTAGGCTCAAAATAAAGGGATGGAGGAAAATTTACCAAGCAAATGGAAAGCAGAAAAAAGCAGAGACTAGTTTTGTCCTAGTCTCTGACAAAACAGGCTTTAAACCAACAAAGATCAAAAAAGACAAAGAAGGGCATTACATAATGGTAAAGGGATCAATTCGACAAGAAGTGTTAACTGTCTTAAATGTATATGCACCCAATACAGGAGCACCCAGATTCATAAAACAAGTTCTTACAGACCTACAAAGAGACTTAGACTCCCACACAAGAATATTGGGAGACTTTAACACCCAGCTATCAATATTAGACAAATCAGCAAGATAGAAAATTAACAAGGATGTTCAGGACTTGAACTCAGCTCTGGATCAAGTGGACCTAATAAATAGCTACAGAAATCTCCACCCCAAAACTACAGAATATACAGTCTTCTCAGTGCCACATGGCATTTACTGTAAAATTGACCACATAATTAGAGATAAAACACTCCTCAGCAAATGCAAAATAACTGAAATCATAACAAACAGTCCCTCAGACCACAGTGCAATCAAATTAGAACTCAGGATTAAGAGTTCTAACTCACTCAAAACCAAACAATTACATGGAAATTGAATAACCTGCTCCTGAATGACTCCTGGGTAAATAATGAAATTAAGGCAGAAATCAAGAAGTTGTTTGAAACCAATGGAAAAAAAAGAAAACATACCAGAATCTCTGGAACACAGCTAAAGCTGTGTTAAGAGGGAAATTTATAGCCCTAAATGCCCACATCAGAAAGCTAGAAAGATCTCAAATCGACACCCTAACATCACAGTTAAAAGAACTAGAGAAGCAAGAGCAAACAAATTCGAAAGCTAGCAGAAGAAGAGAAATAACTAAGATGAGAAGGGAACTGAAGGAGATAGAGACACGAAAAACCCTTCAAAAAATCAATGAATCCAGGGGCTGTTTTTTTTGAAAAAATTTTAAAAAAAAAATAGACCACTAACAGACTAATAAAGAAGAAAAGAGAGAAGAATAAAATAGACACAATAAAAAATGATAAATGGGATATCACCACTGACCCCACAGAAATACAAACTACCATCAGAGAATACTATAAACACCTCTATGCAAATAAACTAGGAAGTCTACAAGTAATGGATAAATTCCTGGACACATATACCCTCCCAAGAGTAAACCAGGAAGAAGTCAAATCCCTGAATAGACCAATAACAAGTTCTGAAATCAAGGCAGTAATAAATAGCCTACCAACCAAAAAAAGCCCAGGATCAGATTGATTCCCAGCCAAATTCTACCAGAAATACAAACAGGAGCTGGTACCATTCCCTCAGACTATTCCAAACAGTTGAAAATGAAGGACTTCTCCCAGCTCATTTTATGAGGCCAGCATCATCCTGACACCAAAAATTGGCAGAGACACAGCAAAAATAGAAAGCTTCAGGCCAATATCCCTGATGAACATTGATGTGAAAATCCTCTATAAAATACTGGCAAAACGAATCCAGCAGCAAATCAAAAAGCTTATCCACCACAATCAAGTCGGCTTCATCCCTGGGATGCAAGGCTGGTTCAACATATGCAAATCAATAAATGTAATCCATCACATAAACAGAACCAATGACAAAAGCCACATGATTATAGATGCAGGAAAGGTCTTTAATAAAATTCAACATCCCTTCACATTAAAAACTTTCAGTAAACTAGGTATTAACGGAACATATCTCAAAATAATAAGAGCTATTTATGACAAACCCACAGACAATATCATACTGAATGGGCAAAAGCTGGAAGCATTCCCTTTGAAAACTTGGCACAAGACAAGGATGCCCTTTCTCACCACTCCTATTCAACATAGTGTTGGAAGTTCTGGCTATCAGGCAAGAGAAATAAATAAACGGTACTCAAATGGGAAGAGAGGGAAGTCAAATTGTCGCTGTTTGCAGATGACATATTCCTATATTTAGAAAACCACATCGTCTCAGCCCAAAATCTCCTTAAGCTGATAAGCAACTTCAGCAAAGTCTCAGAATACAAAATTAATGTGCAAAAATCACAAGCATTCTTACACAACAACAAGAGACAAGCAGAAAGCCAAATCATGAATGAACTCCCATTCACAGTTGCCACAAAGAGAATAAAATACCCATCAATACAGCTAACAAAGGGGTGAAGAACCTCTTCAAGGAAAACTACAAACCACTGCTCAAGGAAATAAGAGAGGACACAAACAAATGGAAAAACATTCCATGCTCATGGATAGGAAGAGTTAATATTGTGAAAATGGCCATACTACCCAAAGTAATTTAAATATTCAATGCTATTCCCATCAAACTACCATTGACATTCTTCACAGAATTAGCAAAACCTACTTTAAAATTCACATGGAACCAAAAAAGAGCCCTCATGGCCAAGACAATCCTAAGCAAAAAGAACAAAGCTGGAGGCATCATGTTACCTGACTTCAAACTATACTACAAGGCTACAGTAACCAAAACAGCATGGTACTAGTACCAAAACAGACACATAGACCAATGGAACAGGATAGAGTCCTCAGAAATAACACCACACATTTACAACCAACTGATCTTCAACAAACCTAAAAAAAACAAAAAATGAGTAAAGGATTCTCTGTTTAATAAATGGTGTGGGAAAACTGGTTAGCCATACGCAGGGCACTGAAACTGGACCCTTCCTTACATCTTATACAAAAATTAACTCAAGATGGATTAAAGACTTAAATCTGAAACCCAAAACCATAGACACCGTAGAAGAAAACCTAGGCAATACCATTCAGGACATAGGCATGGGCAAAGATTTTATTATGAAATCACCAAAAACAACTGCAACAAAAGCCAAAATTGACAAATCAGTCCTAATTACACTAAAGAGCTTCTGCACAGCAAAAGAAACTATTACAGAGCAAACAACCATCCTACAGAATGGGAGAAAATTTTTGCAATCTACCCATCTGACAAAGGTCTAGTATCCAGAATGTACAAGGAACTTAAACAAATTTACAAGAAAAAAACAAACAACTCCATTCAAAAGGGGGCAAAAGATATGAACAGATGCTTCTCAAAAGAAGAAATCAATGCAGCCAACAAACATGAAAAAAACACAGCATCATTGATCATTAGAGAAATGCAAATCCAAACCACAGTGAGATACTATCTCATCCCAGTCAGAATGGCAATTATTTAAAAGGAAACAACGGATAATGGTGAGGCTATGGAAAAACAGGAATGCTTTTACACTGTTGGTAGGAATATAAATTAGTCCAACCATTGTAGAAGACAGTGTGGTGATTCCTCAAGGGTCTAGAACCAGAAATACCATTCGACCTAGCAATCCCATTACTGGGTATATACCCAAAGAAATATAGATTATTCTACTATGAAATACATGCACATATGTTTGTTGCAGCACTGTTCACAATAGCAAAGACATGGAACCAACCCAAATGCCCATCAATGATAGACTGGATAAAGAAAATGTGGTACATATATATCATGGAATATTATGCAGCCATAAAAAGGAATGAGATCATGTCCTTTGCAGGGACATGGATGAAGCTGGAAGACATCATTCTCAGCAAACTAACACAGGAACAGAAAGCCAAACACAGTGTGTTCTCACTCATAAGTGGGAGTTGAATACTGAAAACACATGGACACAGGAAGGGGAATAACATACACCAGGAACTGCGTGGGGAGGGATGCAAGGGGAGGGAGAGCATCAGGACAAATAGCCAATGCATGTGGGGCTTAAAACCTAGGTGACGGGTTGATAGGTGCAGCAAACCACCATGCCACATGTATACCTATGTGACAAACCTGCATGTTCTGCTCATGTATCCTGGAACTTAAAGTAAAAAAAAAAACAAAAAAAAAGAGAAGAAACAATGATACATATTTTCTAAGAAGGGTAACATGGGATGTTTCATACATTGACTGCCAAAAAGTCATAGAAAATAGAAAATTAATTTATTTGTGCTAATGTGGCAACATCACTCTGTAAAATCAGTTATTCATTAAGCATCTACTATGTACCCAGGGTCTTTGCTAAGTATTAGGAATAAGAGAGAGACAAGATAGTGCTCTTGTCCTCAGTGACCTAGTAGGGGACACAAATATACACTACTCAAAAAAAGAGTCTATATTTTACAAACTCTATTCAATTATTGAGTTATTAATTTCTTTACATAAGGCTTAACAGCACAAATTTTAGAGTAAGTGAAATAAATCATTTGTTTTTTAACTAGTGCCAAAATTTTTAATTTTTTTCTTTATAATGGAACTAATATAAGTTAATTTAGGAAATATAGAAGATATGTATAATTAAAAGTAAAGGAAAAAAGAAAAAATAAAGTAAAATAAAGTGAATCCTTCATCTGTAGATAACCTTCATGAAAATTTTGGACGTACTCACCCACACTATCTTCTAAAAATACATAAACACATAGAGAACAATACTGTCTTAGCCTATTTGTGTTGCTATAAAGGAATACCTGATGCTGAGTAATTTATAAAGAATAAAGGTTTATTTGACTCTTGGTTCTGCAGGCTGTACAAGTAGCATGGCATCAGCATCTGCTTCTGATGAGGGCTTCAGAGAGCTTCTACTCATGGTGGAAGGCCAAGGGGGATGAGGCACTACATACTGAGAGAAGAAAGAGAAGGATGGGAAGGAGGTACTAGGCTCTTTTTAACACAGAGATCTGGTGGGAACTATAGAGCAAGAACTCACTCATTACCCTAAGGATGGCATCAAACTGGTCATAAGACATCTGCCCCCATGACCCAAACACCTCCCAACGGACTCCACCTGCAACATTGGGAATCAAATTTTAACATGAGATTTGGAGGGAAAAAATATCCAAACTATATAAAATACTTGCTGTGACACAATTTTTTTAACTTAGTTGTTGTTTTTCTTGTCTTTATTTTCTACAGGAATATTCATGCCCTGATATATTTTAAAATTAAAATTTTTGTTAAGATAATTATAGACTTACTTGCAATTGTAAATATGTATATATCCATTACTTTTAATAGCAAAAACCGCAATTACTTTTGCACCAACCTATAATATACAGAGATATCTTATACACTTTACACAGTTTCACCCAATGGAAATATTTCATAAAACTATAGTACAATATCACAAACAGGATACTGGCATTGGTACCACACAATGATATCACTCATATTTCCCATTTTACTTGTCCTCATCTTTGTGTGTGTATGTACATGTATATCATGTGTATATAGGAGAATTTTGTTCTATACAATTTTATCATGTACGTAGGTTCCAGTTTCTACTATCGGAGTCAAGATACTGAACAGCTGAATCGCAAGGACACCTCTTGTCCTTTTATAACCCCACCCACCTCATCTCATCCCCACCTCTATCTCTACCCTCTGATAACCACAAATCTGTCCTCTATTTCTAAAATTTTGTCATTTCAAAATGTTATGTAAATGGAATCAATCATATATTATGTAACCTTTTTGTTTTGGCTTTTTCTACGCAGCATAATTCCCTGAAGAGTCATCCAACTTATGTATATATTAATAGTTTCTTCCTTTTTGTTGCTGAGTAGTATTCCATGGTACTAATATACCACAGATTGTTTAACTGTTCACCTACTGAATGAGCTGGTTCCAGATTTTGGCTATTAAAAATAAACTGCTGTGAACATTCACATATAAGATTTTGTGTGACCATATGGTAATTGCATGTTTCGTTTTATAAGAAAGTATTCAACCTTTTCCCACAGCGGCTGTGCTATTTTACTTTCCCACCAGCAATGAATGAATGACCCAGTCTAGTTGCAAGTTCAGGATCTGCTACATGTTAACCAGGTGAACTTAGGCAAGCTACTTTATTACTTTTAGGCTTCGCTTCCTCAGCATTTTTTTTTTTTTTTTTTGAGACTGGACAGCCTCGCTCTGTCGCCCAGGCTGCAGTGCAGTGGCTTGATCTCTGCTCACTGCAACCTCCGCCTTCCAGGTTCACGCCATTCTCCTGACTCAGCCTCCTAAGTAGCTGGGACTACAGGCACCCACCACCACACCCGGCTAATTTTTTGTATTTTTAGTAGAGACGGGGTTTCACCATGTTAGCCAGGATGGTCTCAATCTCCTGACCTCATGATGTACCCGCCTCGGCCTCCCAAAGTGCTGGAATTACAGGTGTGAGCCACCGCGCCCGGCCTGTTTCCTCAGCTTTTAATCCGAGGATCACAATATGTTTTTAGGGCTGTTACTGGGATTAAAAGAGATATATGTGTGAAACAAAAAGTCAAAAAGTAGTAACAGAGTATAGAGTAATGGCTAAGAAGACACATTGCATATTAAAGAGCCTTATTTTATGAATAAATGTTTGCAGTAAGGAGGAAAATGCCTGGAGTTAAGCAGGAAGACTGGATATTAGAAAGGAAGAGAATATAAAGTATAGATTAGTGCCATTTTTGCTTAATAAGGTCATAAACGCTAGATAGAGGTATTTTATTTTAATGTGTAAAAATCCTAGGCTCTGAAATCAGACTGTCTGGATTTGAATTCCACCTCTATCTCTTACTATATGGCTTAGGTAGGTTACTTATCTTCTTTGTGCTTTAATACTTTTATCTATAAAATTATAATATGACTAATATTTACTTCATCAATCTGTTGTGAAGATTAAAAGTGTTGATACACATAATGAAGTTAGACTTATGCCTACAACAAAATAATTATTAACCATTATCATTTTTAAATGTCTGCTTTGTCTCCCTTCTATGTATTCGCTGTATGACCTTGGATAAATCATGTAACAATTGCTGTGTCTCAGTTTCCTTATCTGTACAAAAGAATAAAATATTATAGAACTATGATAAAGATTAAATGTGATAACATATTTAAGATGTTTGGTACATAGCAAACATGATATAAATGTTAGCTCCCTTCCCTTCCTAATCATCAATTATGTCACTATATTGTAACCAGACATTTTTCTCATTTCTCCCAGGAGTAAGGCTGTCACCTGTCACTTTTCCCAAGAGTATGCCTTTGTACAGCTGCTTAACTTGCTGCGTGAAGTTTAGAGTACAGAAGCTTTGCACCAAAGTATACTTTAATAGTTCACAAGTGTCTTTATGCTCAATTTCTAGTAATAGACTGTTTTTGAAAATTCATTCCTAAAAATGTGTGTCTCTCAACTAGGACAAAGTTGCTATAGTGATGATTACTTATTTTTTCCAGAGGGAAATAAATTAGGTAAACACAACCATATTATCATCTTGTCTAACAGTATATTAAAGAAGAAAGACTAGGCTCTTTATAAGTGGGTATAAAGCACAGCAGGTAGAGTGGAGATTCCTGGCAGAACTTATAGGCTCTGGTGTTATAAATTCCATGAAACATGGGGCCTAGGCAACCCTATGAAGTAGATAATTTGGGTCTGTAAACTCAAAATTAATAAGATCTCAAATAGACTTCCTCTGAGAAGCATGGTGGTACCTTGTCACGTCCATTTGACTCAGCTGTTTTGATTCAGGAGCATTTTGATATTTGGGCATTTTGACACCTCCTAAAAGCAAACAATTAAGCTTTCAGCTTTTATGATAACTGTGTAACTTGTATTAAAACAGGAACATCATCCCTAAGTCTTAACCCTTTGTGATGGGGTCAAGGATGAGATGGAGGAGAGCTTAAACATCTCACAAGAGCACCGAAGTATATATTTTATTAAGATTTCTTCTGTATATCCCACAGAAAGCACAGCTCAGGAGTCAAATCTAAACTCATCACTTTCTCCCCTGATCCCACTCTCATTTCTCCCCCTTACCGACCCTACTCTAAATATGGTTTTCCTTATATTTGTAAATGGTACCATCATCCACACTTTCAACCAGAAGTTAACTCCTCCCTCTTCATAACCAATCCTTTATAATAGGCCTGAGTCTTCTCCAGTATATTTCCTATGTGCTTCTTAAATCTCTCATTTCCTTTTCCTCCCTTCTGCCAATGATTTTGTTAAGGTCCTGATTATCTTTCAACTGATCACTGTAATACTCTCCAAATTGGTATCTCTGACTCCAGTCTCAATCAATGATCACTTATTCATTCAGTCAACAAATATTTATTATTATTATATGTTAAGCTCTGAATATACAACGGTGAGCAAGGTAGCCATGGTTCCCACTCTTGTGGACTTTATAGCTTTCACAAAAAGAGAATTAAATTATTGATAGCACAAAGTGTGGTAAATGCTATGATTCACTCATCTAAAAACTACTGTTAGGCAGAATCTACTAATGTATAAAGGCACTGTTCTAGTCCCTGAGGATATAAAAATGAATGACAGACAAGGATCCTGTCCAGGAATAAATACATAATTTTAAAAATATGATAGTTTCAAGTAATGGCGAGTGCTATTTAAAACATAATAAATAGTAATATGATAGAGCACAAGTGGAAGATGTAAGGATAGCTAAGTAGTCTTGGTGGTAAAGGAAGGATTTTCTGACTTAAGCTAAGACCAGAATGATGAGAAGAAAACCAGCCATGAAGAGATCCAGAGGAAAGTATCCCATACAGAAGAAAAAATCAATGTAAAAGCTGTTAGGGACAAGCTGAGACACAATGAGCAAGGAAATAAGTGGCAGGAGATGAAGTCGGAAAGCTCCATAGAGAATATATTATGTATATCTTTACAGAACATGTCAAAAGATTTGGATTTTTATCCTAAGTGTAGTAGAATGCCATTTAAAACAGAGAAATGACATGATCAAACTTACATTTTTAAAGAAGACTTCTGACTGCTGTGGTAAAAATGGATACCAGGAGCAAAAGTAGAATTAGGAAGGCCAGTAAGTCAACTCCTAAAGTACTCTAAGCAAGACATCATGTTGGCTTGGACTAGAGCAGTAGCAGTGGCATATACAAGAAGTATAAATATGGTCAAGTTATATTTAGAGTTAGAGACAGTGAGACTTGATGATAGATTAGACGCGGGGATGAAAAGAAAGTGGAATCAAAAATGACTCATCAGAGTTTAGCATGAGAAACCTCGGTATATGGTGGTGCCATTACCAGGGATGAGAAAGTTAGAAATAAAAGGATAGCAAAAGAGAAATTAAAAGTTTTCTTTTGGGTCAGGTACAATGGCTCGTGCCTGTAATCCCAGCACTTTGGAAGGCCAAAGAAGGAGGATGGCTTGAGGTCAGGAGTTTGATACCAGCCTTGGCAACATAGCAAGACCTGTCTCTACCTAAATAAAAAAAAATAAAAAATAAATTAAAAAAAATAGCCAGACATGGTGGCATGTACCTGTAGTCCCAGCTATTCAGGAAGCTGAGGCAGGAAGGTTACTTGAGGCCAGCAGTTCAAGGCAGTGAGATTTCATCACGCGACTACACTCCAACCTTAGCAAAAGAACAAGAACTTCTCTCAAAAAAAGGAAGAAGGAAGAAGAAGAAGGGAAGAAGAAGAAAGAAGAAGAAGGAGGAAGAAGGAGGGAAGATAAAAAGGTTTTCTTTTTGAACAAGTTAAGTTGTTAGGCAAAGTACAGTGCTATGACAATATACAACGGGGGGAAATATAACAAACTAATGGTGTCAGGAAATGATTCCAATAGAAAATAAGATGTGAAAAAAAAGAATTGAAAAAATCCTCCGTAATAGTCAGTGTAATCTTTATAAAATACACATTTGACTAGAACATTTTTCTTAAGATCTGTCACTAATTTTTTTATCTACTACAGCACGATTTCTCTGAATACCCTTTAAGATGTCAATCTCCTCCATCAGACTGTGAGTCCCTTGGGTGAAGAATTCATTGTTGTTCATTCACAATTTATCACAATAACTAGAAAATAGTAATTGTGACTTCAACCTAAAACACAGTACTTGTTACATTGAACATAGAACATAGCCCTGTGTTAAGTGGGTAATCTAGCTGTGTAATTGTCAAGTCGCTTAGTCTCTCTGAGGCTTATTTCTTCAATTATGAAAGACAGAACCTCTTTAAGATCACCTCCAACTTTAATATTCTATGTTTCTCTGTGATATGTGAAAACTTTACGTTTGAAAGTCATTTGCAATCAATTAGAATTCCAATCCAGACTTGTGTGACTCTTAAATGTGCTACACAGTTTCTCAACACCTCTGTTTCTTCATGTGTGAAATAAAAAATTAAAATATTGCTCCACTTCATAGAAAATCTCATTGATGACATAAACCATATTTAAATGTCAAATGATTAAAATAGTAAGCAAAATTCTGCAAATGAAAGAACATTTTTTCTTAAATGATTTGTGATCAGAAATGAGACTTGTTGCCTGCTAAATTATGCCTTACTACATTTGGAAGGAATATGTTCATAACTAATGATTTCTCTTTGTTTTGTCTTTTATCAAGCTGTTCTTTGGTGTGTGTGAATCATTACAAGAACAACAAAGTAAGCCCTAATTTTTTCAGGAGTATGTTTGTGAAATACAACACAAATGTACAACCTCTTCCAGCTCTTTATATTCTTCACCAGCCTTCTCTATTTTGTTTTTACCATTGTATCAAATCTCCAATTTTTAAATATTCACCAATGGCAAAGTATGATTTTATGTAGAACCAACTTTTCAAGAACATTATATCCTATTATATGATATTCACTCTATGTTCAATAATTTTACTTCATTCACCTACTACCTCAATGTGTTTTACAGTGGAAAATTTTAACTCCAACTTAAAAAAATGCTACCAAAATCAAAAATCTTTTGGAAACACAACAGAAATGAAACATAATTCAAGAAATCTAAAAATATAAACTGGAAAAACGTATACTGAAATGGAATGAACAGGGGTAGGAATGCCAGCACTGGTAGGAGTTATCCTTGACCACGACATTTGCAGCTATAGCTGAGTAAAAAAAAAAGTTAATCCCAGTGGAATTGCTCTATGGCTAACAGGCAGTATGTAAAGAGTGTTATAATATCAGTTTGTTTTCAGGATAATACACCCTTTTAAAAGCTAGACACATTTTGGTGGAAACTGGCTAACATTCACCAATCCTACTACCTTTGCTTCCTTAGGCACAGTTAGATTCTACTACCAAGATCCTTTGGAGCTAGGTGCAGCCAGATGTCCAAATTGTGGCCAGTGGAATATGGATAAATCTTCTCCACAAGGCAACATGCATGCCCTCGACAAGAGCTATGCCCATCTCTTCTGGCTGCCAGGCCAGTAAATAAAAGATCTCTGGTCTATGTTCATGAGACAGCTGGTGGGAAGGAACACAGCAGCTACCTGTTATAGGCTTCTGTCTTTGATTTTGCATAACTATGCTTCTAATACATTTACTAGAAAGTTAAGTTGGTACAAAAGTAATTGTGGTTCTTGTAGTTACTTTTAATAGCAAAAGCCACAATTACTTTTGCACCAACCTAATAGTGTATATTGCCTTTCTTAGCAAAAACTGTACTTGCCAGAACCATTGCTGAGAAGATTTATAACTTTGTTTACAAGGTTAAAAATAAAATATAACCATGAGAATAAAAAGGATTAGGAGGTTGAATTTAAAACATTAAAACCAAAAATAAAATAAGAGAAAGAACAGATAAAACAACATAAATCTGGGGAATAAAAGTGTACTAAAACAATGATAGACCAACATCTACAAATTCTACCAAAAATGCTGTACCTGGTAGATATTAAATAGCATATGCTGTTGAGGAATTCAATATCTTGAAATCAGGACAAATACTATCTGCAAAGAGGAGTAGTTAAAAGATTTAATGTAAAGGATTTTGGATGGTGGGGAGAAACAATTACAAGGAAACAGGCAGAAATGGACTCCAGACATGTTTTTGAGAGGGTTTAGACTCTCCCATCTCCTGGACAAATCCAGAAGCCATACCTCTGGAGAAGAGCCACAACAAAGCCCATTGTGATAGGAGTCTCAAAATTGAAAGCACTGGCCGGGCGCGGTGGCTCATGCCTGTAATCCCAGCACTTTGGGTGGCCAAGGTGGGTGGATCACCTGAGGTCAGGAGTTTGAGACCAGCCTGGTCAACATGGTGAAACCCCGTCTCTACTGAAAAATGCAAAAAATTAGCTGTGCATCATGGCCTGCGCCTGTAATCCCAGCTACTCAGGAGGCTGAGGCAGGAGAATCGCCTGAACCTGGGAGGTGGAGGTTGCAGTGAGCCGAGGTTGCACCACTCCTGTCCAGCCTGGGCAACGAGAGTGAAACTCCGTCTCAAAAAAACAAAAAGATTGAAAGCACTAATCAGAACAGGCACACCTCATTTAAAAAGAGACACATTCCTAAAAGTGGTATAGAGTTTTAATTTTTATTTTTTCTTTTAAACACACAATTTCCTTTTTTAGAACCTAACACAGTGGGCACTCTATAAAAATTTTGGGATTGATGAAACCATTGATGGAGGAAACCATGGAGGCTTTCCATCCATTACTCACACATTGCTCTATATATTATGTACACTGCCTCTAATCTACAGATGAGAAATTTTAGGCACAGAGATATTAAACAACTTGCCCAAAGCCACAAATATGTCTGCTGACTCTAAAACCCATTGTTTACAACTTGTGGCTTTGTTTGTTAAAAGATCCCTTCCTCTTTAAGTAAAAGAGCAAATTTTACCTTACAAACCATCAGACCCTAAATTAATCTACCTGAAAAATAAAATGTTGGTATGGTGTTTTGAGTTGTTTCAAAGTGAGACACATTAAGGACAAAGTATTTGAGAACATTTAAAGGTCTTTTAACTTCATTAGGGATTTTAAGTCTGATAGATTTAACATGCCTCTACAAAATGTACAATCTAATCATGTTGAAAGATCAAATCTAGAATAAGCCCTATCAATTAGCACAAGAATAACAGTGCCATTTGTTGCCATTGGAGGAAATGGTTTTGTTATAGATTTCTAAGAGAAATTAGTTAGATTTTACTTTGAAGGCCATAAAATGTTGTTTATATTCTTTTTCAAATAACAATTCTTGTAATAAGATAACAAAGACATACTGCTTTGTAATTCTTATGAAAATAAATTTGTTAATAATCACTTAAAATAATAGCTTCCATTTGTTTAGTAAATATCGATCAGGTAAATGTTCTAGGCACTTTATAAACATCTTATTTAATCCTTGCTACAACTATTTAAGATAAAATACTATTTTTCACATTTTATAGGTTCATTAAGGCTTAAATAACTAAAATTATGTAGCGTGAATCATACAACCACAGATGCATCTTATTCTAAAGCCCATGCTATCTCCATTGTGTCCTAACTGGAGCTACCTTAAAAGAAATATTACTCAGTGACAACTCCAGTTTGAAGGGATATAGTATATGTGTGTGTGTGTGTGTGTGTGTGTGTGTGTGTTTATATATTGATATATAATATTTTAAAATTTAGAATGTAAATTTGTTTTAAAATGAAAAACTTCTAAGAAAAAGCTTTGTATATCAAAGACAATAAATACATTCTGCCATTTGAATAAAATCTTTTAGTCTAATGAATCACGGCAATTTTACGTTATTTAAAAAGAGAAAGGCAACACAGTGTGCATTGGTCATAAGTTGAAAATATTCCATTGTAAAGTCAAAAAATCATAAATAGAACCATTATAAATTAAAGACCAACTGTACAGAAGTTCTAATCTGCCATTTAATTGACTAGTTGTATAACTAATCTTACAATTTTCACTTTAAGTCTTCAAACTTCACCCATACTGATAATCTAGCTTTCACTTCTTTATTTAACAAATACTAAATTCTAGAAACATTGACAGACTCCAAGAATACTATGATGAAAAACACATTTGTTATGGACTGAATTGTGTCTCCCCTGCCCCCTGCCCAAACTAATATGTTGAAATTCTAACTCCCAGTACTTCAGAATGTGACTATATTTAGAGATGGGGTCTTTAAAGAGGAAATCAAGTTAAATGAGGTAATTAGGGTGGAACCTAATCCAATATGACTGGTGACTTTATAAGAAAAGGAGAAGATTAGGACACAGATACAGAAGGAAGACCATATGACAATACAAGGGGAAGATAGCCATCTGCAAGCCAAGGAGAGAGGTCCCAAAGAAACCAACCTTGCCAACCATTGCCAACCACCTTGATCTTGGAATATTAGCTTCAAGAATTGTGAGAAAATAAATTTTTGCTCTTTAAACAATTGAATTTGTGATATTTATTATGGCAGCTCTAGAAAACTAATACATATTTCATGATTTATTTGTGTTCCCTCAGTCATTACCCTAAACATTAAAGTAAAAATTTGAAGCTTAAAATTTCTGAAAAAAAAATTATGAAAAGGTCAAATCCCAAGAAAGCAAAGAAACCATAAGTATTTTTATTTTGGAACTTTAACTGAAATTAGACTTGTACATCAATAAATTTGAGAGGGATGAGATAGACAGAAAAGGCAATTGTTTCCCAAACTGATCTTAACCAATCTCTTTGAAAATGTTTTCCCAAAAGTCTAATAATTCTAGGAATTCTCTGAACTTGGAGGCAGCTTAGAGCAATGGACAGATCGTTGACCTTACAGACAGTTAAATCTCAGTAGCTAGCTGACTCTGGGCAAGTTATTTAGCATTTCTTAGCCTCGATTGCTAATATGAAAATTAAGAAACTCATAGTTTGACTCAAATGAAATAATCCAAATTAAAGCGATTTTTATACTTGAAAGTACCTTACAATGTTTTCATGAGGAATAATTTTCCTGCTTTAGCAATCTAAAAAGCCCTATCAGAAAAGGATATCAATGAATTTCTAATCTAAACTAGACTATTGCTAAGAAACAACATTAAGTTTACCATTTCCTGGAAACTATTCATTTTTAAAACACTACATTCAGTATTCTGGAATTGCCTCAATTCTCCTTGAGCATTCAAATAATGAGCAGAGACCTTGAGATAAGATTTGGGGTGAGAAAGTAAAAATAAATTCAGACACCAAAAATCTGCCCTGACATTCATCAGGCTGGAATAATAGGCCCAGATAAAGCTGGCTGGAAAGTTAAAAGGAAACACTATTTCACCCAAGGATATGCTGCCATTATAAAGTATCATCACAACCCCTTTCTTTGAATGCCTACTGCTTTCTTACTGAAAAACTTTGTTCTATAAAATCAAAGACAATCAGAGACTTTGCTTCTGAAATTCTCTCAGTAAAAATGAAATATCCCACTCTTGTCTGGAGATTCTAAGTCACTTTGACACAGAGAAGTAGCCTCTATTTAGGATCCAGGAAATACCTTCAGATAAGGGTTTGGGGACCCAATATTCAACATCTATCTTATCTTTATTGCTTCCAAGGAAACAAGTCCATTGCCACATCCACATCTAAAGCATTTACACATAGCCTTGCTCCTTCCTTTCCTTTGAGCCTATCAAACACTAATATATTTAAAGTAGTTCCCATTCTTCATTTCTGACTGTGCTTATTTATGCTTCTCTCTCCCTCTCCCTCCTCCTCTTCCTTCCACTCTCTTTTAAGTCAAACATGGCAGAAGTTGTTTACGTTAATCTTATCAAATGAAACTCAGTCATTATTGATCCTCTTTATTCTGTGTTTTGTTTGTTCAATCAGTATCTTCTCTATTATTTCCTTTTTTCCATTTTATTGAATTTATTCTGTCCTTTTTCTAACATGTTAAATTGGATACTTGGCTTATTAATTTTTTTCCTTTCCTTTTTCTATTTATTTTCCTTGGTTAGAATTTTTATGCTTCCTGAAACAGAGAATTATGTCTTCCATCAATTCTGGAAATTTTTCATCCAGGACTTAAAAATTGCTTCTGCCACATTAATTCTAGTCTCTTCTGGAACTCCAATGGGTGATATCAGCTCTTGTCATTCTAATGTCCATGTCTTTTAACCACTCTTTTATGTTTTTCACCTCTTTGTGATAATTTCTTTAACTCTATCCTTTATTTCATTAATTTATAATTTTCTTTTGTATAATCTTCTTTTTAACCATCTACTTTTTAGTTATTATAATTTTCATTTTTAGGAGGTCTATTTTGTAATTTTTATTTCCTATTCTGCCCCTTCTTTTTAATTATATCTTATTCCTTTCTTATATTAGAGAGTACATGCTTTATTTAAACATTTTAAACATTATATGAAGTGTTTAGTGATATTTTCTGGTAAGTCTCACTTATAGTGATTTATTTCTCATGTATTTTGTAGTTTTCATTCTCAATTTATGTTTTATTAAAGCTGTTTTTAGGTAACTCCATGAAGCCTGGGTTGAAGCTACATTCAGTGAAAGATGATATGCATTTGCTTCTGCCAATCACCTGAGTGCTTTCGAATTGGAACTACCTAAAGTTTTTTTTTTTTTTTAGCTCTAGACTGCTCAGACTACAAAAATGACGTAAATTTTGACTAGGCACAGTGGGTCACGCCTGTAATCCCAGCACTTTGCAAGGCCAAGGTGGGTGGATCACCTGAGGTCGGGAGTTCGAGACCAGCCTGACCAACATGGAGAAATCCTGTCTCTATTAAAAATACAAAATTAGCCGGGCATGATGGTGCATGCCTGTAATCCCAGCTACTTGGGAGGCTGAGAAAGGAGAATCGCTTGAACCCAGGAGGCAGAGGTTGCATGGTGAGCCAAGATCGCACCACTGCACTCCAGCCTGGGCAACAAGAGTGAAACTCCGTTTTAAAAAAAAATGACATAAATTTTAACTTGAAAGCGATATCAGGGCAGCCTTTGTGGTTATCAATTTTCAGAGCAGATATTTCTATTGTTTTCTATGAGAGCCCAGGCTAACACATACCTTCTTGCCAAGTTGTCTTGCTTATCTTCGTTATTTGACAGGGAGACATTTTTTTTCACCTCTACCCTCATATTAATCATAGAGTTAATTTCTGGCTTTATGTGGGTTCTCAGAGATATCTTCACATCTGTGTATATACTAGGCTTTTTCTCCTCCACTGCCTGGTCATTAAAACAGGATTACCATAATTAGCAAATGCCCTCTAGATAGCTATGATATCAGCAACCACCTACAATTCTATTTCCAACTCATCTTCTTTTTTGGCCCCCACAGACTTCCTTTACTTATTTGTGAGCTCACTTAGGAATTTTAAAATATTGTTGCTACTCCATCAAGTAATTGTAAATATCTTATATTAGAGATTTTTTCAGGACATTTTATCTGCAATTTTGCTGGTAATGAAACTCAGTTCACTCTTCAACCAACCCCAATCTGGGGCTTTTACTCTCATCATTACATTGAAACTATTCGCACAAAGATAAAACTTAGCTATAATTTTCTATGAATCTCAATTTATTTGGCCTCTCAGAAGTTTTCGGTGGAATTGAACTATCTTTCCTTCTTCTCTTTTCTCAGCTTCCATAACTCTATATTCTTTTTGTTTCCTCCTACCCATGTAGCTTTTTTCTGCCTCCTTTGCTTGCTCTTCCTCCATATTTCTAAACATTGAAACCACTCAGAGCTTGTTTCTAATCATCTCCTCAATCTACATTCTCATCCTAAGAAATCTTGACCACTTCCATGACTTTATATTATTCACATGCCAACAACTCTTAAATGTGTATCACCAACCCAAAATTATCCTCTAAATTCCAAATCCACATCTCTAACTACCTACATGTCTGCCTGTACATCGCATAGGGATCTCAAACTTCATCTTCTAATCTAACCCATATCTGCAAATGATACATCCATCAACCTACTTATTATTGTCAAAAGTCTAATGGCTAGCCTTGATAACTTCTTCAACTTCTCTGCCACTAACTCACAACCAAACCATTACCAAATTCCATAAATATTACCTAAAAATACATATCTTAAATCAACCCACTTCTCTCCAACAGCAGACCAAGTCACCAACATTTCTTACCCACAATATTGCAACAGATGTAACTGATTTAACTGTTTACTCAGTAACCAGCACCCTCCACCCCCAATACACAATATCTGTAGTGATTTGAAAATATTAAACTGGCTCATGCTGCTCTCTAAACCAAAAAAATTGTGACTTGCTTTATTGTAATATTCACTTTCTTGCAGTGGTCTGGAACTGAAATCACAATACCTCCAAGCTTTGTTTATATATGTAACTTCTCATAAGCTTCTTAACTCTTCTCAGACTCAAATTTTGACATTTATTAAATAAGGATAGTAAAAATACCTAACTCAGAATTATTGTGACAATTAAATTAGATAATTTAGATAATTTGTATATAGTACCTAGCACAGTACCTAGCCCACAGTAAGCCCCCAGTACATTCTTTTAATGCAACAGGGTCTCGCTGTGTTGCCAAGGCTGGTCTTGAACTCTTGGCCCCAAGCAATCCTCTTGCCTCAGCCTCCCAAAGTGCTATGATTACAGGTGAGCCAGCATGCCCTGCCCAATTTTTAATTTTGTTTATTTTTATATTGCTCTGTCATGGAAATTGAGACTAGCTGGTTTTAATTCCTTTTATATTCTATAAACTCATTCGAGGCTTTTGCATGTTGAGTAGCTGAAATTTCTTTTTTTTATTTCAGTATAATACTGTATTTTCCAATGTATTAAATGAAAGCCAAGAAAATATCAAATTAACTTTAAAAGCAAATCTTTACTCTTTAAAGAAAAAATACAAACTGTGGTATTTTTATAATAGATTATATTTTACATAATATAAATAAAATCACTAATGCATCTATATGCTTGGTTTCCTTAAACTACAATGAACCATAGAATGTGTGGAAAATGGGTTTAGTTTTTGGTGAAAAACAAACATCTTGGGAAAAACAGGTAGTTGTTTTTTTTTTTAACTGTCTATGCACAGGCACTGACATAACCAAGCCTTAATGGCCACCACTTCCTTTTCCTTGTCCAAAGCAGCCATTTCCATAGCTCTCCCTTCCATATCCTCACTGGCATCTCCCAGATCCTCTGAAACCTCCACTAGACCTTCTGTAGTCTCCACCAGAGCTACCACTATAGCCACCTCAGTTATGTCCTCTATAGTCTCCACCACCATCTCCACCATATCCTTCCTGACAGGGTGGAGTAGTGCCACCATAGCCTCCACTACTATAGCCTCCATCACTGTAGCCACTGCCATAGCCTCCAACACCATAACTAGAATGTACCCTCCTATATCTACTTCCATTGTCATATCAGGCCATCTTGGGAGGATGTGGACCATCTCCATACTGTGTATTGCCAACCACAAGATTGATAACAGGAGCTAAGGGCCTAGAGATTTGGTGGATAATGTTCAGCATATATTAATTAAAAGGGTCCAACTGGCTGAAGATATCAGGTTGTTTGTTACTTCAACAACCAGAGGTTGTTGAATCTTCAACTCCAAGATTTCCTGGAAAGCAGTAATGCAGGCAGCAGCTTCATGGGATATTTGCAGTTTAATTCAGTCATCTACAAGAACAATCTGCCTATCACATTATACTTTCTTGAAGGCAAAGAGAAGCAACTTCAGGGAGGTGACTAAGGTCATGCCTTTAGCAGAGATGGCTCAGATTCAAGTACACCTGATCAAAGACAGTATTTGAACCCGAGCCATCTCTGCTAAAGGCACGGCCTTAGTCACCCCCGGCTTTTCACCAAACACAAAGAAAAGAGAGGAGCACTTTTTGTCTTGCTACTAAAAAAACAATTAACAGACAATTTGTGGATAAGTGCATTATGCCCTTCATGGTGAGAATATTTCTCTTTTCCTTCTGATAGCATCATTTGGGTACACACCAAAGGCCAAGAGGGAGATAACAGCATCCAAATTATTATCTGGTCCAGTGTTAGTAAACACTTGTGTCAATAATCTTCTGGAAATCCAGAATTAATATGAATCTCTTTGAGCTAAACTTTGGCTTCATAAGTCATTCTTAGTGTAGCCCTATTGAGTCTTTTGTGCTCACAAAATTGAATCTGAGTTTCTTCTCTACCCGTTCTAGAATCATTCCAGGATTGGAATACTGATAAAAGGGACACATAATCAGAAAATGGGTTTCCAGCAAAATTTCGGTGGATATATCCCACTTTCCTTCATCAATGAAAACAGGTAGCAGCAGAGATGGTATAGACAGGATCTCTCTCATAGAAAATACACCCCATTATCATCGTTTTGCCAAGATGAGGCTCAATGGAGAGTTTAGTCAGGACCCATCCTAGAGAATTAAACTTATCATTGCCATATAATGCATCAAGCTCTCCAAGAGTGTGCTCTGCCTAAATCACAGGATCCAAAGGTGGAGGTCCTTGGATTGCCTTGGCCAGAAATTAGCCAATTTCTCCCAGACACAGGAGTTTCATACTCAACATAATCACCCCTCACTTTTGTCTTTTTTTAAATTTTATTTGGGTTTAGGGGTACATGCACAGAATTGTTGTATAGGTAAACTGTGTCACAGGGGTTTGGTGTCCAGATTATTTGGTCACCCAAGTAAGCATAGTACCCAATAGGTATTTTTTTATGCTCTCCTTCCTCCCACCCTCCACCCTTAAGCAGGCCCTGGTGTCTGTTGTTCCCCTTTGTGTCCATGTGTTTTCATTGCTTAGCTCTGACTTGTAAGTAAGAACATGTGGTATTTGGTTTTCTGTTCCCAGGATAATGGTCTCTAGCTCCAACCATGTTGCTGCAAAGGGAATGATCTCATTCTTTTTTATGGTTGCATAGTAATCCATGGCATATATGTACCACATTTTCTTTATCTAGTATACCACGTGTATAAGCATTCCCCTTTCTCCTCAACCTCACCATCATCTGTTACTTTTTGAGTTTTAATAATGGCCAGTCTGACTGGTATGAGATGGTATCTCATTGTGGTTTTGATTTGCATTTCCCTAAAAATTACTGATGTTGAGCATTTCTTATTCTTGTTGACCACATGTATGTCTTTTGACATGTATGTCCTTTGCCCACTTTTTAATAGTATTGTTTGGTTTTTGCTTGTAAATTTGATCATGTTCTGTATCGATTTTGCATATTGCACCTTTGTCAGATACATAGTTTGCAAATATTTTCTCCCATTCTTTAGGTTGTATCTTTATTGATATTATAGTTTCTCGTGCTGTGCAAAAGCTGTTTAGTTTAATTAGATCCAATTTATCAATTATTATTTTTGTTGCAATTGCTTTTGGCATCATTGTCATGAAATCTTTGCCAGGTCCTATGTCCAGAATGGTATTTCCTAGGTTTTCTTCTAGAGTTTTTATAGTTTTAGGTTTTACGTTTAAGTCTTTAATACATCTTCAGTTGATTTTATATACGGTGTAAGAAAGGGGTCCAGTTTCAATCTTCTGAATATTGCTAGCCAGTTATCCCACCACTATTTATTGAATAGCAAGTCCTTTCCCCATTGTTTGTTTTTGTTAGTTTTGTGGAAGATCAGATAGTTTTAGGTGTGCAGTTTTACTTCTGGGCCTCGATTCCGTTTCATTGGTCTATGTGTCTGTTTTCGTATCAGTGTTTTCATTACTACAGCCTTGTAGTATACTTTGAAGTCAGGTAACATGATACCTCCAGCTTTGTTCTTTTTGCTTATAATTGTTTGGGGTATTTGGATTCTTTTTTGGCTCTACATAAATTTTAGAATAGTTTCTTTCTAATTCTGTAAAGAATGTCATTGATAGTTTGATAGGAATAGCATTGAATCTGTAAATTACTTTGGGCAATATGGTCATTTTTATAATATTGATTCTCCCTATCCATGAGCATGGAATGTTTTTCCATTTGTGTATGTCATCTCTGATTTCTTGGAGTAGCGTTTTGTAATTGTCCTTGCAGAGATTTTACACCTCCCTAGTTAGCTACATTCCTAGGTATTTTATTCTTTTTCTGGCAATTGTAAACGGGATTGTGTTCCTGATTTGGCTCTCCACTTAGATGTTGTTTGTATATAGGAATGCTACAAATTTCTGTACATTGATTTTGTATCCCAAAA
Source organism: Homo sapiens (assembly GCF_000001405.40). Classification (NCBI taxonomy): domain Eukaryota; kingdom Metazoa; phylum Chordata; class Mammalia; order Primates; family Hominidae; genus Homo; species Homo sapiens. The sequence goes on from NC_000011.10 coordinate 85,455,385, forward strand.
CTTTGCTGAAGTTGTTTATCAGATCAAGAAGCTTTTAGGCAGAGACTATAGAGTTTGCTAGATATTGAATCATGTCATCTGCAAGCAGGGATAGTTTGACTTCCTCTTCTCCTATTTGGATGCCTTTTATTTCTTTCTCTTGCCTGACTCCTTGGGCCAGGACTACCAGTACTATGCTGAATAAGAGTGGTGAGAGAGGGTGTACTGGTCTCATTCTGGTTATCAAGGGGACCACTTCCAGCTTTTGCCTATTCAGTATGATGTAGGCTGTGGGTTTGTCACAGATGGCTCTTATTATTTTGAAGTATGCTCCTTCAGTGCCTAGTTTCTTGAGGGTTTTTACATAAAGGGATGTTAAATTTTATTGAAAGCTTTTTTGCATCTATTGAGATAATCATGTGGTTTTTGTTTTTAAGTTCTGTTTATGTGTTGAGTCTTATTGATTTGCATATGTTGAGCCAAGCTTGCATCCCAGGGATGAAGCCTACTTGGTTATGGTGGATTAGATTTTTGATGTGCTGCTGAGTTCAGTTTGCTACTATTTTGTTGAGGATTTTTGCATCTATTTTCATCAAGATGTTCAGCTTTTTATTGTGTCTCTGCCAGGTTTTGGTATCAGGATGATACCTGCTCCTCAACTTTTAGAATTAGTTTCACTAGGAGTGGTACTAGCTCTTCTTTATACAACTAGTTGAATTCAACTGTGAATCTGTCTGGTCCTGGGCTTTTTTTGGTAGGTAGGCTTTTTATTACTGATTCAATTTTGGAATTCACTATTAGTCTGTTCAGGGATTCCTGGTTCACTCTTGGGAGGTTGTATGTGTCCAGGAATTTATCCATTTCTTTTAGGTTTTCTGGTTTGTGTGCATAGAGGTGCTCATAGTAGTTCTGATGGTTATTTGTATTTCTGTGGGGTTGGTGGTAATGTCCCCTTTGTCATTTCTGATTGTGTTTATTTGGATTTTCTATATTTTCTTCTTTATTAGTCTACATAGCAGTCTATCTATCTTACTTATTCTTTCAAAAAACAAACTCCTGGATTTATTGATCTTTTGTATGGTGTTTTCACATCTCAAATTCCTTCAGTTCAGCTCTAATTTTGGTTATTTCTTGTCTTCTGCTAGCTTTGAGATTGGTTTGCTCTTGTGTCTCTAGTTTCTCAAGGTGTGATGTTAGGTTGTTAATTTTAGATCTTTCAAGCCTTTCGACGTGGGCATTTAGTGCTATAAACTTCCCTCTTAACACTGCCTTAGCTGTGTCCCAGAGATTCTTGTATGTTCTGTCTTTGTTTTCATTTGGTCAAAGAATTTCTTGATTTCTGCCATAGTTTCCCTATTTATCCAAAAATCATTCAAGAGTAGGTTGTTTCATTTCCATGTAATTTTACGGTTTTGAGCAATTTTCTTGGTATTGGTTTCTATTTTATTGTACTGTGATCTGAAAGTGTGGTTGGTATGATATCAATTGTTTTGAATTTGCCAAGGATTACAACTTTAGAGTTGTGCCATGTGGTGATGAGAAGAATGTTTTTGAACAGAGAGTACTGCAGGGTTTTATTAGGCCCATTTGGTTAAGTGTTGAGTTCAGGTCCTGAATATCTGTTAATTGTTTGCCTCAATGATCTGTCTAATACTGTCAGTGGGGTGTTGAAGTCCTGTACTCTAATTGTGTGGGAATCTAGGTCTCTGAGAAATTGCTTTATGAATCCAGGCACTCCTGTGTTAGGTGCATATATATTTAGGATACTTAAGTCTTCCAGTTGAATTAAAACTTTTGCATTATGTAATGCCCTTCTTTGTCTTTTTTTTTTTTTTTTATCTTTGTTGGGCTTAAAGTCTCTTTTGTCTGAAATTAGGACGTCAACCCCTGCTTTTCCATTTGCTTGGTAGTTTTCCATTTGCTTGGTAGGTTTTTCTCCATCCCTTTGTTTTGGGCCTATGAATGTTGCTGCATGTGAGATGGGTCTCCTGAAGACAGCATACCATTAGGTCTTGCTTCTTTATCCAGCTTGCCACTCTGTGCCTTTTAACTGGGGGAATTTAGCCCATTCATATTCAAGGCTAATATTGATATATGCCAATTTGATCCTGTCATCATATCGTTAGCTGGTTATTATGCAGACTTGCTTGTGTTGTTGCTTTATAGTGTCACTTGTCTATATGCTTAAGCATGTTTTTGTAGTGGCTGGTAATGGTCTTTCTTTTCCATATTTAGCACTCCTTTCAGGACCTATTGTAAAGCAGCAAGTCTGGTGGTAATGAATTCCCTCATTTGCTTGTCTGAAAGGGATTTTATTTCTCATTTATGAAGTTTAGTTTGTCTGGATATAAAATTCTGAGTTGAAAATTATTTTCCTTAAGAATGCTTAATATAGGCCCTTATTCTCCTCTGGCTTGTAGGGTTTCTGCTGAAAGGTCCACTGTTGACCTGATGGGATTTCCTTTCTAGATGAACGTCCCTTCTCTCTAGCTGCCTTTAACATTTTTTCTTTCATTTCAATGTTGAAGAATCTGATGATTATGTGTCTCGGGGATGGTCCCCTTATTTAGTATCTTGCTGAAGTTCTCTGCATTTCCTGAATTTGAATGTTGACATCTTTAGTGAGGTTGGGGAAGCTTTCACAGGTGATATTCTAAAATATGTTTTCCAAGTTGCTTGCTTTCTCTCCATCTCTTTCAGGGACAACAGTGAGTCATAGATTTGGTTTCTTTACATAATCCCATATTTCTTGGAGGTTTTGTTCATTCTTTTATATTCTTTCTTCTTCATTTTTGTCTGACAATTATTTCAACAAGACAGTCTCTAAGCTTTGACATTTTTTCCTCAGATTGGCCTATTCTCCTGTTAACACTTGTGATTGCATTATAAAATTCTTGCAGTATGTTTTTCAGCTCTATCAAATCTGTTTGGTTATTCCTTATAATGGCCATTTTTATCTATCAGCCTCTGTATTTTTTTAATGATCCTTAGCTTTCTTGCACTGGACTTTGACATTGTTTTCAACCTCAATGATCTTCATTCCTATCCATATTCTGAATTCTATTTCTGTCATTTCAGCCATTTCAGTCTGGTTAAGAATACCTGCTGGGGAACTAGTGAGGTCATTTGGAGACACTGGCTTTTTGAGTTGCCAGAGTTCTCGCACTGGTTCTTTTTCATCTGTGTTGGCTTGTGTTCTGATAACTGACGTGTAGTTTCAGTACAGTTAGTACACTTCTTTTCTGGGTGTTTTCAGAGGGCTGAGGCTTTGTGCAAGGTCTTATTTGTAGTTGAATTCTTTTTCTTGGTTTCAAATATTAGTAAAGTATTTTTGGTATTGAATTTTGGGCTGTGATCCAGTAGGTGGCACTTACACATAGTGGCCTGTAGGCAGCCACTTAATCAACAGTGTGGCTCCTCTTTATTTCCTCATGATTGCAGCCATGCTTCTTCTCAGTGCTTTGAAAGTATGGGTTCCTCTCCCACTTGAGTGCTGACTGCAAATCTTGGCTTGGGACTCTTGGGCAGAAGGGGAAGGGATCTTAGCAGTGGTTATGGCAGAGAGCCTTTCACTTGCCTCTTGGGGTTCCAACCCAGAGAGATGTGGACCCATTATTAATCAGTGCAATTGGCCCTGGATGGGGCACCTGTGCTTTGGGCTCAAGCTAGGAAGGCCCGCCTGGTGATGAGAGGGTGTCAGGGACAGGTAACAGGGAGACAGACTGGCCTCTTCTCCCTAGTGCAAGAGCAGCTTGCTGGAGGTGTGGTTAAAGCACTCAGGGTCTTCGCTGCTTCTCCAATTCAAGGACAGCAAGGTCACTACCACTGCAGTGGCAGTAGCAGAGGGCCTTTTGGTTGACTTCAGGAGCTCTACCTCAGAAAAATGTAGAGCCACTGCTACTGGGAAAATTCAGCCAGGAGGTGAGACAGTTGTTCTACTGGCTCTGCTTGTTGAGGAGTGGGGGTTCGAGTGCTCACAGGGATGAGCGACCAGGCTTCTCTCCATATGGTGACTGTGGTGTATTGGAAGCTCAGGTGAAGCCCTCAGGCTCTTGGTTTCTTCCCCAGACCAAGGGTAGCAGGGGCAGAACCATTGCTGTGGCAGTGGCAGAGGGTCTGCCAGTTGTCTCAGGGAGCCCCACCCCAGGGAAACTCAGAGACATTCCGTGGGTATGCTTAGCTGTGGATGGGTGGCTATTATGTGGTGCAAAGCCGGGGCCCTGCCTGGTAAAGAGTAAGGGGTGGGAGCTCCCAGGGAAGACAGATCACTCCTTTCCATATAGTGGCTGTAGTGTGCTGGAGATGCCCATGTAGTGACTGGCCCTTTGTTGCTTTCACACCAAGAGTGGTTAGGGTGATACCACTGCAGCTGCAATTCCAGAGGGGTTGTGGGCTGTCTCTGGGATTTCCTCCTCAGAGTAATGCTGAACCACCTGCAACTGAAATGTTCAGGTTGAAGCAAGTTAGCTGTGCTGGAATTCCAGGCTGAGAGGCCCTGCCTAGTAAGAAACAAGTAAGGTCCAGGACTCATGTGTAGAACACTCTGGCCACTTTTCCATGGGATGGCTGTGCTGTACAGGAGATCTGTACCACTCCCTAAACATTAAGTACTCTGCAGAGCCTGAAGGCTATATTGGCAGGGGCTGACAGACGACAAAGGTAACCAGCCTCTCTTTCTGGGAGCTCCATCCCAGGGAAGTGCAGAGCTGCTACCAGCCCAAGAGCACAGACAGGGGGTGGCTGGAGACCCAGACCACTGGGCCTCATCCTGTGAAATGCAGTGGAGGTGAAGCCTGGAGTCCACTGCTGCTCAGCCCTCTGGATTCAGCCACTTTCCTGGGGGAATGAAGGGAGCCCGACCTCTCCTACTGCTGGAGCTCCAGTCACTAATGCTGGGATACCTAGGAATTCATGGCTCCCAGGATTCCATGTGTGCCTGGGCAGCAGCTCTGCCCAGACTCCACACAGCTCTCATTGTCAGTCTGGAAGCTCTGGTGGGGTAGGCTTATGCATGGATCACCTGAGCCCAGGGTTGCAAAGGTCCATGGCAGAACTGTGGGTCCCTGGGGACTCTCACTCACTCACAATTTCCTGGCAGTGTGGGAGCCTACTCTGGCTCCATGCCACTCCTGGGTGGGCAGTTGTCCTGTCTCACTTTGCTCCATTCTCCATGGGTCAAGTTGTTTCCTTGATGAACCCTAATGTTTCCATCTAGATGTTCCAGTTGAAGATACAGTAGTTAATCACCACTTTCTTCTCTCTGTGAGAGAGGTGCACACTAGCTACTAATAGCCATCTTGGCCTCTCCCATGATCACCCCTCACTTTTCAATATTTTAATCAATTTGCCTTGTCTTTAGTCCAATTTCTTCACAGTTGTTCTCCATTGAAGGATCCTGAAGAGAAGCTCTAGTATCTTGATCTTTGTAGAGCAAGTTCCTGCTTTGAAAAACTAAGACCAAGGTTAGACATCTTGTAATTTATGTATATTTGTGAGGTTTATGTTTGTCGATGATGCTGTTGGTTAGGTTTTATTTGGGATGAGGGTTGAGGTTTTGTATTTTCATTTGTTTTGCCTTTTGGCTTATTTGTTGGTTTGATTTGTGGTGGTGCTCATTTATTGGCCTTCATTAGAAAATGAAGAGTAATTTCTCAAAGAACCACTGCAAATATATGTTTTCATTTAAAAGCTTCTATTCTTAAACTTTACCATTCATACAGAAACAGCAATCATTTTAACTGGACTTGGATTCCTACGGAAGTTATACACACCAGGGAATCCAGCATATCAAGATAAACAGGCTGTAGAGTACATATATATTAACATCATTTCTTCCTACTTATTGTAAAACACTCTTCTCATCACTTTTCCTCTCTTGGTTTCCTTTTTCAGCCTTAAGTTTATTATATACTCCATTTGAATGTGTCAGGATGCTTGCCAAAGTTAATAGAAGAGAGAAAAGAATACAGTTGAGGGAGAAAATAGATATTTCTCTTCTTTCAGGTGTATTGACAATTGTGACAAAACTTATTTTTACAAGGAAAGAGAACACAAGAAAACTGACATTTGGGCAAAAAACAGTTATGCAGTTTCCTGGCTGATCTCTACCATATTTGAGTCTGACTATGCTGCCATGAGTGGAGTATATACTGTAGCAATACTGAGAGTGAGAGAAGTCCTTGAGTACCTGTGACTGAAGAGGCCAGTGATGGGAAGTACTCATTCATTTTTTTAACAGTTTTAATGTGTTTACTTAGGCATGGGGAATACTCCTTGATCTTTATCTTTATTATCTCTACTATCTTCACTTCCCCAAGCCACATGCAGCAGCAAAAAAGGAGACGGAAACTGACAAAGGGAGATGTCAATCTAGCATGTAGTGAACTCCCTATTATGGACTGAATAAAGTAATGGCAACAAAAGCCAAATTTGACAAATGGGATCTAATTAAACTAAAGAACTTGTGCACGGCAAAAGAAAATACCATCAGAGTGAACAGGCAACCTACAGAATGGGAGAAAAATTTTGCAACCTGCTCATCTGACAAAGGGCTAATATCCAGAATCTACAATGAACTCAAACAAATTTACAAGAAAAAAACACAACCCCACCAAAAAGTGGGCAAAGGATATTAACAGATACTTCTCAAAAGAAGACATTTATGCAGTCAAAAGACACATGAAAACATGCTCATCATCACTGGCCATCAGAGAAATGCAAATCAAAACCACAATGAGATATCATCTCACGCCAGTTAGAATGGCAATCATTAAAAAGTCAGGAAACAATAGGTGCTGGAGAGGATGTGCAGAAATAGGAACACTTCTACACTGTTGGTGGGACGGTAAACTAGTTCATCCTTTGTGGAAGTCAGTGTGGCGATTCCTCAGGGATCTAGAACTAGAAATACCATTTGACCCAGCCATCCCATTACTGGGTATATACCCAAAGGATTATAAATCATGCTGCTATGAAGACACATGCACACATATGTTTATTGTGGCACTATTCACAATAGCAAAGACTTGGAACCAACCCATATGTCCGACAATGATAGACTGGATTAAGACAATGTGGCACACATACACCAGGGAATACTATGCAGCCATAAAAAATGATGAGTTCATGTCCTTTCTAGGGACATGGATGGAGCTGGAAACCATCACTCTCAGCAAACTATCACAAGGACAAAAAACCAAACACCGCATGTTCTCACTCATAGGTGGGAATTGAACAATGAGAACACATGGACACAGGAAGGGGAACATCACACACCGGGGCCTGTTGTGGGGTGGGGGGAGCGGGGAGGGATAGCATTAGGAGATATACCTAATGTTAAATGACGAGTTGATGGGTGCAGCACACCAACATGCCACATGTATACATATGTAACAAACGTGCACGTTTTGCTCATGTACCCTAAAACTTAAAGTATAATTTAAAAAAAAAAATGAAAACCTAACTTACACTGTGGCTACATTTGGAGATAAAACCTCTAAGGAAGTCATTAAGGTTAAATGAGGTCAGAAAGGTGGGTCATCGATCTGTTAAAATCAATGTCCTTATAAGAAGGTTCACAAGCAAGCTGTATCTCTCTTCACACATGCATAAAGAAGTCATATGAGTAGACAGCGAGAAGGCAGCCATCTGCCCAAGGGGAGATCCTTCACAAGACACCAACCATACCAGAACCTTGATCATGGAATTCCAGTGTCCAGAACTGAGAGAAAATAAACTGTTGTGTAAACTACCCAGTGTATAGTATTTTGTTACGACAGCCCTAACAGACTAATATATTCCCTAAGATGGGGAATCATTTTATTTTTCATTGTATCCTCAGGAGTATCAAGGTTGGATACATTATCTCTTTTATGGGTCCCATGCTAAATTAATTACTCAATAATAACTGCAAAGTGGTTAAAAATGAAAGTTCAATCAGAAGAAAACTAGGCAATACTGTATTTTTCTTGAATAATCCTCAGAATTTTGAAATATCCTTAGCAGAAAATGTCTATGAAAACAGAAAGCATCAAAAGATTCACAATAGGTTAGTACACCACACAAGAAGAAGGAGAGATAAAAGGAAGATAATAGAAATAAGAAATGTGTAGAATGAATTACCAAAAAAACTTGGGATGGGTGCAGTGGCTTGTGCCAGTAATCCCAGCTCTTTGGGAGGCCAAGAATGGAGAACTGCTGGAGGCCAGGAGTATGAGACCAATCTGGGCTACATAGTCTATAAAAAAATTTTTTTTAAATTAGGCAGGCATGGTTGTGTGCATCTATAATCCCAGCTACTTCAGAGGCTAAGGCGGGAGGATGACTTGAGCCCAGGAGTTCAAGGCTGCAGGGAGCTATAATCATGCCACTGCATTCTAGTCTGAACAACACAGAAAGACCTTGTTTAAAAATTTAAAAATTTTAAAAAACCTCGTCAGATATTGGTATTGAGTACATGAGAGAGAACTGTGTCAAGGACTGAATGTGACAAAGGAGAGCATTTAGAATTATATCAATGGCAGACACTACTACCTTTGTAGATAGCTACTACACAGCAAGCACTATACTATGAATTTAATATACTGTACTATTTAATATATATTATGCACCATATAGACATACATGTACACACACACACACATACACACACACACACACACGCCCCCCGAGAGAGAGAGATTGAAAGGGGAGAAGGGTAGGTTGTATCATATACAAGGTGCTATATCATTTGCCAGATATACAGTGATAAAACAATCCCTTTCTATCTGAAACTTAAGTTTAGTTTCCAACACTACATCATGGTGCAGAATCTTGTACTTATACATGTTCTTCTAAAATATTCTATGCATTTTGTAATCACCAGATGGATTCTTCCTGCCTGCTGCACAGACAAAATCAATCCACTGAGACCACAGCATTGCATGAGAGAGAGTTTAACTGCTGTGAGACCAGCCCTCACAGAAGAACTGGAGTTACCACTCAGATCAGTTTCCCTGAAGGCTTGGAGGTTATGGTTTTTACGGACAACTTGGTGGGCATGGGGCAAGGGAAGGGGTGCTCCTGATTGTTGGGGATGAAATCATAATGGTATGGAAAATGTTCCCTGTGAGCTTAGTCCACCTCTGGGTGGAGCCACAGGATCAGCTGAGTTACAGGTCACAAGTTCGGGTGGCATCAGTCTGAAAGATATTTCAAAAAAACAATCTTAGGTACTATAACAGCAAAGTTATCTATAGGAACAATTGGAATAGTCACAAATCTTGTGACCTCTGGTCACATGACCCCTGGGCAGTAAAGGATTATAGAAACTATTCCCATTTTAGCAGAATTCAGGCCCTTATCATAATCCTAATGTTGTGGCCTTTCATTAGATTTTTACAAAGGCAGTTTAGTTTGGGAAGACAGCTTGGGGGTCAGAAGCATGATTGAGGCCAGGCGCGGTGGCTCACACCTGTAATTCCAGCACTTTGGGAGGCCGAGGCAGGTGAATCACAAGGCCAGGAGTTTGAGACCAGCCTGGCCAACATGGTGACACCCCGTCTCTACTAAAAATACAAAAAATTATCTGGGCATGGTCACAGGAACTTGTAATCCCAGCTACTTGGGAGGCTGAGGCAGGAGAATCACTTGAACCTAGGAGGTGGAGGTTGTAGTGAGCCAAGATTGTGCCACTGTACTCCAGCACGGGCAACAGTGCAGAACTCTGCCTCAAAAAAAAAAAAAAAAAAAAAAAAAAAAAAAAAAAAAAAAAAAAAAGAAGCAAGATGGAGTCAACAATATAAGATTTTTTTTTTTTTGAAACAGGGTCTTTCTCTGTTACCCAGGGTTAATTGTCGTGGCACAATCATAGCTCACTGGAAACTCAAACTCCTGGGCTCAAGCAAACTTCCCACCTCAGCCTCCCAAGTAGCTGTGACTACTTCATAGCCACTGCAACTGGCTAATTTTTTTTTAATTATACTTTAAGTTCTAGGGTACATGAGCACAATGTGCACGTTTGTTACATATGTATACATGTGCCATGCTGGTGTGCTGCACCCAGTAACTCGTCATTTAACATTAGGTATATCTCCTAATGCTATCCCTCCCCGCTCCCCCCACCCCACAACAGGCCCTGGTGTGTGATGTTCCCCTTCCTGTGTCCATGTGTTCTCATTGTTCAATTCCCACCTATGAGTGAGAACATGTGGTATTTGGTTTTTTGTCCTTGCGATAGTTTGCTGAGAGTGATGGTTTCCAGCTTCATCCATGTCCTTACAAAGGACATGAACTCATCATTTTTTATGGCTGCATAGTATTCCATGGTGTATGTGTGCCACATTGTCTTAATCCAGTCTATCATTGATGGACATTTGGGTTGGTTCCAAGTCTTTGCTATTGTGAATAGTGCCACAATAAACATATGTGTGCATGTGTCTTTATAGCAGCATGATTTATAATCCTTTGGGTATATACCGAGTAATGGGATGGCTGGGTCAAATGGTATTTCTAGTTCTAGATCCCTGAGGAATCGCCACACTGACTTCCACAATGGTTGAACTAGTTTACAGTCCCACCAACAGTGTAAAAGTGTTCCCATTTCTCCACATCCTCTCCAGCACCTGTTGTTTCCTGACTTTTTAATGATTGCCATTCTAACTGGCGTGAGATGGTATCTCATTGTGGTTTTGATTTGCATTTCTCTGATGGCCAGTGATGATGAGCATGTTTTCATGTGTCTTTTGACTACATAAATGTCTTCTTTTGAGAAGTGTCTGTTAATATCCTTTGCCCACTTTTTGATGGGGTTGCTTGTTTTTTTCTTGTAAATTTGTTGGAGTTCACTGTATGTAGATTCTGGATATTAGCCCTTTGTCAGACGAGTAAATTGCAAAAATTTTCTCCCATTCTGTAGGTTGCCTGTTCACTCTGATGGTAGTTTCTTTTGCTGTGCAGAAGCTCTTTAGTTTAATTAGATCCTGTTTGTCAATTTTGGCTTTTGTTGCCATTGCTTTTGGTGTTTTAGACATGAAGTCCTTGCCCATGCCTATGTCCTGAATGGTATTGCCTAGGTATTCTTCTAAGGTTTTATGGTTTTAGGTCTAATATGTAAGTCTTTAATCCATCTTGAATGAATTTTTGTATAAGGTGTAAGGGAGGGATCCAGTTTCAGCTTTCTACATATGGCTAGCCAGTTTTCCCAGCACCATTTATTAAATAAGGAATCCTTTCCCTACTTCTTGTTTTTGTCAGGTTTGTCAAAGATCAGATCGTTGTAGATATGTGGCATTATTTCTGAGGGCTCTGTCCTGTTCCATTGGTCTATATCTCTGTTTTGGTACCAGTAGCATGCTGTTTTGGTTACTATAGCCTTGTAGTATAGTTTGAAGTCAGGTAGCGTGGTGCCTCCAGCTTTGTTATTTTGGCTTAGGATTGACTTGGCAATGTGGGTTCTTTTTTGGTTCCATATGAACTTTAAAGTAGTGTTTTCCAATTCTGTGAAGAAAGTCATTGGTAGCTTGATGGGGATGGCATTGAATCTATTAATTACCTTGGGCAGTATGGTCATTTTCATGATATTGATTCTTCCTACCCATGAGCATGGAATGTTCTTCCATTTGTTTGTATCCTCTTTTATTTCCTTGAGCAGTGGTTTGTAGTTCTCCTTGAAGAGGTCCTTCAAATCCCTTGTAAGTTGGATTCCTAGGTATTTTATTCTCTTTGAAGCAACTGTGAATGGGAGTTCACTCATGATTTGGCTCTCTGTTTGTCTGTTATGGGTGTATAAGAATGCTTGTGATTTTTGCAATTGATTTTGTATCCTGAGACTTTGCTGAAGTTGCCTATCAGCTTAAGGAGATTTTGGGCTGAGACGATGGGGTTTTCTAGATATACAATCATGTAATCTCCAAACAGGGACAATTTGACTTCCTCTTTTCCTAATTGAATACCCGTTATTTCCTTCTCCTGCCTGATTGCCCTGGCCAGAACTTCCAACACTATGTTGAATAGGAGTGGTGAGAGAGGGCATCCCTGTCTTGTGCCAGTTTTCAAAGGGAATGCTTCCAGTTTTTGCCCATTCAGTATGATACTGGCTGTGGGTTTGTCATAGATATCTCTTATTATTTTGAGATATGTCCCATCAATACCTAATTTATTGGGAGTTTTTAGCATGAAGGGTTGTTGAATTTTGTCAAAGGCCTTTTCTGCATTTATTGAGATAGTCATGTAGTTTTTGTCATTGGTTCTGTTTATATGCTGGATTACATTTATTGATTTGCGTATGTTGAACCAGCCTTGCATCCCAGGGATGAAGCCCACTTGATCATGGTGGATAAGCTTTTTGATGTGCCCCTGAATTCAGTTTGCCAGTATTTTATTGAGGATTTTTGCATCGATGTTCATCAGGGATATAGGCCTAAAATTATCTTTTTTTGTTATGTCTCTGCCAGGCTTTGGTATCAGGATGATGCTGGCTTCATAAAATGAGTTAGGGAGGATTCCCTCTTTTTCTACTCATTGGAATAATTTCAGAAGTAATGCTACCAGCAACTCCTTGTACCTCTGGTAGAATCCAGCTGTGAATCCATCTGGTCCTGGACTTTTTTTGGTTGGTAGGCTATTAATTATTGCCTCAATTTCACAGCCTGTTATTGGTCTATTCAGAGATTCAACTTCTTCCTGGTTTAGTCTTGGGAGGGTGTATGTGTTGAGGAATTTAGCCATTTCTTCTAGATTTTCTAGTTTATTTGTGTAGAGGTGTTTATAGTATTCTCTGATTGTAGTTTGTATTTCTGTGGGATCGATGGTGATATCCCCTTTATCATTTTTTTTTTGCATCTATTTGATTCTTCTCTCCTTTCTTCTTTATTAGTCTTGCTAGCAGGCTATCAATTTTGTTGATCTTTTCAAAAAACCAGCTCCTGGATTCATTGATTTTTTGAGGGGATTTTTGTGTCTCTATCTCCTTCAGTTCTGCTCTGATCTTAGTTATTTCTTGCCTTCTGCTAGCTTTTGAATGTGTTTGCTCTTGCTTCTCTAGTTCTTTTAATTGTGATGTTCGGGTGTCAATTTTAGATCTTTTCTGCTTTCTCTTGTGGGCATTTAGTGCTATAGATTTCCCTCTACACACTGCTTTGAATGTGTCCCAGAGATTCCGGTATATTGAGTCTTTGTTCTCATTGGTTTCAAAGATCATCTTTATTTCTGCCTTCCTTTCGTTATGTACCCAGTAGTCACACAGGAGCAGGTTGTTCAGTTTCCATGTAGTTGAGCGGTTTTGAGTGAGTTTCTTAATCTTGAGTTCTAGTTTGATTGCACTGTGGTCTGAGAGACAGTTTGTTATAATTTCTGTTCTTTTACATTTGCTGAGGAGTGCTTTACTTCCAAATAAGTGGTCAATTTTGGAATAGGTGTGGTGTGGTGCTGAAAAGAATGTATATTCTGTTGATTTGGGGTGCAGAGTTCTGTAGATGTCTAATTTTTTTTAAATATTTATAGAGATGGAGTCTCACCACATTGCCTAAGTTGGTCTTCAACTTGTGGGCTCAAGCAATTCTTCCGCCTTGGCCTCCCCAAGTGCTGGGATTACAAGCATGAGCCACTGTTCCCTGCCTGTCAGATTTCTGACATAATCTTGCAAAGGTGGTTTCACTCTTTCCTTTATTACTCCATTCAATATATGTTTATTGAGTGCACGTACTCTTTTACCTCAATAAATGGAACCTAGATTCTTCCAATCGGGCAAGTCAAGAACCATGAAAGTATTATCACTGTTCTATTTCTCTCATATCCAATCCATCAGCAAGTCCTATCAGCTCCTCATTCTAAATATAGCTCAAATATGACTGCTTCTTACCACCTTTACCACTTTGGTCAAAAGAGCTATCATTTCTCACTTGAGTGATTTCAAGAGCCACTTTATTGGTCTCCTTGCTCCTACTCATTCCAACTCTGGCTCCTTGTTGTGCAAATAAAATCAATCAGATATCAGACTTTCTGCTACAGTATTTATTGAGAGAACTGCATAGCAAAACAAATAGTAGCATATGTGTAAGTTCACCTTTGCCCACTGAATTCTGAAATAACAAAAAAGGATCTAATGGGACTGAACATCAAACTCCAGCCATTGGATTGTAGGGCTTTTAAGCTACCTAATGAGGGAAACACCAAACTACTCTGGTATGATCACAGAGGCATCCAACTGTAGTAATTATGTCATGGCCAAAATTGATCTTCAGTCCTCTTCCACCACGTTGGCATCCTTCAGTTAAAGGAACAACAGCCTTTCACCTGGTGTGGTCAGTGGATTCGCATACAAGGTTTGTAGTTCTTATTTATGATGTGACAGACCAGTGATCTACTTCGCCATTTCAGCATCCTGTCAGAATTGATTGCCTTAAGTATTTGGTTTTCCAGGGAGCTCTAAAAGAAGCCAATTTCTAGTCTAGGAGGCCAGTTGAAGGGAATCAGTATTGAATATGATGATCCTACCAGCTATCCATCTAAATAACTTAACACAAGCAGTAAATATGACCCACCTAAATCAAAACTCATATAATGCCCTTCCTCTATTCCAAGGCCTCCAGTAGTTTCCCATTTCACTCAGAGTAAAATCCAAAGCCCTTACTTTAGCCTACAAGGCTCTACAAGATCTGCCTACCTTTCTACTTCCTCTTCATTCTTACTATTATCCCCATCACTCACTCCTATCCATCCACACTGTTCCTCTGACAATCTCACCAAGCTTTTGCATTTGCTGTTCCTTCTGCCTAGAATATTTTCTCCCTAGATACCAACAATGTAAAAAAAAAAAAAAGTAACTTTGGTGAAAAATCAGAAAGACATGAAAACCAAATTAATCTACTTGGTTTTTTTTTTTAATAAAAATCCCCCCAATCATTTAAAATAGAAAAAAAAACAAAAACAAAAAACCCTGGCCCATTGATATCACTAGGACACTCAGAAGAAGCCATAGCAAAATCATTTTGGATGACAATTTTTATGAGCTAGGCCACAAAGGATTTGCACAGTTGGGGTAGGGGTGAGAAGGAGAAGAGTTCCACTGAAGATATTATAGTGAGTAAATTAATATTTTTGGCCAGGTATTGTGGCTCATGCCTGTAATCCCAGCACTTTGGGCGGCCAAGGCAGGTGGATCACTTGAGATCAGGAGTTCGAGACCAGCCTGGCCCACATGGTGAAACCCCATCTCCACTAAAAATATAAAAGTTAGCTGGGCATGGTGTTGCATTCCCCAGCTACTCAGGGGGCTGAGGCTGAGGCTGAGGCATGAGAATCACTTGAACCTGGGAAACGGAAGTTGCAGTGAGCCAAAATCATGCCACAGCACTCCAGCCTGGGTGACAGAGTGAGACTCTGTCTCAACCAAAAATAAAAAAGAATATTTTCATGTTACTAGATGGTTCTGGCTTTCTGAGCAAATTTTACCAGAAGCTAAATTAGAGGCCAAGACTTGGAAGTTAAATGATGACAGAATAGACAGTGAGAGGACTTTTTAGAGATATACCTTCCTGGATGTTTACATTTCAAAGGAGGATAAGACACAGAGACATTCAGGCATTGTAAATCCAGACGCAACTGTCTTATCTTCTGCCTTGCAACACTTATTTACATTGCAAAGTGTAAGTACCCAGGACTCCTTCTTTTCTCTTCCCTTATTTACATTTGAAAGACTAGGTTTCTCTCACTCTGAGGTGGGCAGGATGGCAGATGTTTAAACTATCCTATATAAACTGCCCGAATCATAATATCAGAGTTCCTTTTCTGCAGTATAGTTCCTGGTACATGTAGAATGACTTAGACTCTCACCATATTGTTCCAGAGGATGAAAAAATTGGGCAAGAAGAACGAATGCAGTTATTGATGTAAGAAATAATACCTTTGATCTCTGCTTCAGAAACTTCATGTTTATATTCAAGTTAAGATATATAAACATAGATTTTTTAGACTTATTTTAAAATCTAAACTCACAAAACACACAAGAAAATAATCCCCCATGAAAAATAGCCGACCTATCAAATGGAAGGATGAGCAGCCCAGGAACTTGAAAAAAGGGAACAATCTGAAAAGGACTATAAAATGATGGTATTTAAATGTTTTTAAAAGATAAAAGGAGGCACAAAACACGTAAGGAACAAGACAGCATGAAGGAAAAATAGACAAATTTAAAGAGAATCAAACATAAATTCTTGATTTGAAATTAATAGACTCAATGGCTTAAGTTTGAAAGCTGTTAGGAAACACTAAAGAGAAACAACTAGTATAAGATTCCCATGCAGAATACAATACAAAGAGATAGAGATAAAAAAGCCCAAAGGAAGGTTAAGAGATACAGAAGTGAGAATGATCAAGCACAACATACTTGTAAGAGCAGTCCCAGAAAGCAAATAGCAACAATATGAGAGAAGCAATAATCAATGAGCTAAAGGAAGAAAATTTTTAATAATTGATAAAAAGACATGATTTTTTTCATGTTGACTAGCACACCAAATTAAAAATAAATAGACAAATCCTAGACACCAATGACAAAGAATTATATAAGCAATCTTAGATTTAAAAAAAAGACCCACAAGGAACCATAATGTGACTTTTAGATAATAACAGAATAATATCTACAAAATTGATCACAGCAGGAGGCAGACAAATTCCTAGGCAGACAAGGGTGGGTCCCTGGTGAAACCCGACCTTCAAACCAAAGACAAATTAAAGCCTGAAAACCAAGCTGCCAGTCTGGGTGAAGTCCCTGACCAGGGTGAGAATTTCCTTGATGCCTTTTAGCCAATCAAGTGATGCTTTTTCCAGTGCTGCCCATGGACCAATTGGCACACACTCCCCATTCTGAGCCCATAAAAACCTCAGACTCAGCCACATGCTGGGACTACCTGCCTTCAGGTAGGGGCTACCCACCTCAGGTCCTCTCAACTGAGAACTGTTTTTTGTTTTTGTTTTTGTTTTTGAGACAGAGTCTCACTCTGTCACCAGGCTGGAGTGCAGAGGCGTGATCTCAGCTCACTGCAATCTCCACCTCCCGGGTTCAAGTGATTCTCCTGCCTCAGCCTCCCGAGTAGCTGGGACTACAGGCACACCACCAAGCCCAGCTAATTTTTGTATTTTTAGTAGAGACAGGGTTCCTCCATGTTGGCCAGGATGGTCTTGATCTCTTGACCTCGTGATCCACCCGCCTTGGCCTCCTAAAGTGCTGGGATTCCAGGCGTGAGCCACCACACCCAGCCGAGAGCTATTCTGTTGCTCAACAAAATTTTCTCCACCTTGCTCACTCTTTGGTTATCCTTGTAACCTCATTCTTAAATGTGGGAAAAGAATCTGGGACCCGCCAAAAGGCAGGTGCCAAAGGAGCCGCTGTAACAGTATAGCCCCCGTGTACTCCACCAGCACCAGACAGCCACCCCATGCAACAGGAAACAAGGTGCCAGGCCAGCCCAGAAGCCACAGCCCAGAATCGGGCGAAGGGACTGAATGAGCTGTAACACAAACTAACTGAAACCCACTCCTTCTGCCAATTCACTGTGCTGCTGGAAGCAAGAAGAGAAGAGTTGCAACCCTTCTGGGAGCCCAGACCTCAGGGCTCCTCAGGCCAGAGCTGTGACATGCTGTAACACTGCCTTTGGGGTTCTGTGGTTGCTGGCATCTCCAAGTTTTGGGGGCACCACTGCTTTCCCCTTGTCTAGACACGGGCGTCTAAGATGGAAGCCTCTTGCAGTACGTCTGGTCTAGCTGCAGCCTCACACAGAGCTGGCACCTGAAGCCGCCTGCCCTGCAGCAGTAGCCGGCACACCTGGCTTGCCCTTGGTGGGCCTGAGATCTAGGCCAGTAGCAAAAGCCAAGCACAGCCTGCTGGGCTGAGTGGGCGGAGCTAGCTCAGTCATCCTGAGTGAAACTTGAGCAGAGGCACCATTGGCCACAAGGTCCCCAGCTGGCAAAACAGCCCCCCAAAAATCCTGTGTCAAAATGTTGGAAAATAATAATCAGTTCTGGACTTTTGCCCAGTTAAATAATTATTCAAAAGCAGAAGGAAATAAAAACAGCTTCAAACAGTTTTAAACAAGCAAGAGCAATGTTTATCATTAGCATATATGTTTAAAAGAACTATATTTTTTAAAAAATTTAATGAAGAAAAACATTGAACATGAAGAGACCAGAGTGAAGAAATAAATTAGCAAATATGAGTATATCTGAAAAAGTATTGACTATAAATGTAAATTTTTAACATAATGACCACTTTTAAAAGGTTTAAAAATTAAGGTGAAAATAAAATATTATACAATGTATCAAAAAATAGAATAAATAAAAAAGAAAAAGTATTCTACAGTTCAGAAACAAGGTATATTCCCTAGAGGTAGACTTGTAGAAAAAAATACATAAATATTGGTTAAATTTAGAATTTATTGAGTCAAATATGCATGTTAAAAATGAAAAGGTAGCAAAGAACAGAAGTAGAAGTCACAACTTTCAAACCAGTAAAAGGAAGAAAGAATAAAGAAAATTTGATCAATCTGATACAAAGCAAGAAAGGAAATAAAAGGAAGTATAGGAAAATACATATAGTAAATAAAAACCACAAAAGACGATAGAAATAATTCCAAATATATCGGTAGCCTCAATAAATATAAACAGAATAAACAACTACTTAAAATATAGATAGTCATGTTGAACTACAAAACTCCAACTCTATGTTTCTTACAACAGATGTACCTAAAGTATAACAATGAAGAAATACTGGCAGTAAAAGTGTGAAAATGATGAAATAAAAAAATTAACCAAAATAGTTAAATTGTTAACAACCAAAATAGACTTTAATGCAAAGATCATTATTGATAAAGAAGCTATTTATGTAATAGTCAGAAGACTAATTTACCAAAAAAATAGAACAAGCCTGAAACTGTATTTACTTCACAACATAGCCTCTCAATAGATAAGCAAAAAATTACAGACATGAAAATTTGAATTGAATCTGTATATATCTTATCATATAGACTCAAAATCCACAAACAAGAACTTAACAAGATTACAAGAAAAAATTAACAAGTTTCCAACCATGGTGAGCTTTTAAAATATATTTCCATTAGTAATTAATGGATCAAGCAGAGAAAAAATTGAACTGTGCTGTTCTAAAGGATTAGATTTTAAAATACTAACTATTTGAGAATAAATTCTTTTAAAAACCCAGCCTATGAAATATATCAAGAAAAAGACTGTACTCTTTTGAGGTCATTTCTCAATTATAGATATGCTGATCAGGAGCAACTGTATCCAATAGACCTTTCAGCAATAATAAAATTGTTCTCTATCTATGCAGTCAAATAAGGTAGCCTTTAAAATCAAGTGTGATTAAAACAACTAAGGAATTAATTTTAATTTTAGTTTTAATTCATTTAATTTAATTAAAATTTACTTAATGTAATTTATTAATTTATTCTATTTAATTTAAATTTAAATGGCCACATGGTTACCATATTGACAGTGAAGTTTTAGAGTAGTATTAGTAAAAAGTTTATATCTTTCAATGCTTACATTAGAAAAGAAAAATTGTCAAAATGAACAAGCAAAGTTCCTAATTTAAAAGGCAGAAAAATATAAAATCAAAGAACATAGAAAGGAAAAGGTAACAAAGAGTAGAAAATAATAAAATTTCTAAAAAGTTACAAAAATTTTAAAGACTAATAAGATAAGCCTCTGGCAAAAATAATTAAGAAAAATGAAATACATAAATGTAAAATTTTGGGAGTGAAAAATGTACAGCAAACTTTTTAAACTTAACCAAGTACAATAAATACAATTTTTTTAAGTTTAAAAAGAAACAGAAGAAATAAATAGATTTAAACTTAAAAAGACATCAAAGTAGTAGCAAAACTGTACCAAGATAAAACAGAGCAAAACAAAAATCTTCCCAGATAGTTTGACCAATTCTACCAAAACTAAAAAATTAATCTCTACCTTCTATAAACATTCTAAAAAATAGAAAAAAAATTAAATTCTAACCCATGTATTATCCTAATATAACCTTGAAACCAAAATCAACCAGAGTACAAAAAATAAACATTATATGCCAATTTTATTTATGTGTCAAAACTCTATAAAATAATATTTTCTAGCAATGTAATTTTTAATTATACCACATAAAACTATGAAAGCAAGGATGCTTTGCTAATATAAACTCTATTGCTGTAATTTTTCCAATCAACAGAGTAAAGAGAAACTAACAAAATTATCTCAAAAGAGAATACTATTAGATAATAATAAAGACTGCTGGCTGTGTTCCATAGTTCAAAGTTCTGCATCTATAAATTTATTTATTCTTTACAACAACGTCTGATGTATTTTTATTTTCATTTTATTTTCTTATTAGGCATTGTCATTGACTAACAAAATAGGCAATAACAAATAACAAAGCTGTGGCAGAGAGAAGCTCAATGTCATCCAGCTTACTAGTGGCAAGTCCAGGATTTGAAATCAGACTGATTTCAACATCCATGCTCTTAACTACAACATATGTTCTTTCTCAAGTCCCAGTTGCTATTTTTAGGGGGAAATCTTAGCAAACTACGAATAGACGTAATATCCAAAGATCTAAGAAAGTATCTACTAACAAACAATCTATAGTTATGCATTGTTTAATGACAGGGATATGTTCTGAGAAACATATCGTTGGGCAATTTTGCCATTTTGTTAACACAATAGAGTGTACTTACACAAACCTAGATGGTACACCCTACTACACACTTAGGCTACATGGTATAGCCTATCGCTCCTAGGCTACAAACCTGTACAGCATGTTGCTGTACTGAATACTGTAAGCAACTGTAACACAATGGTATTTGTGTATCTAAACATAGAAAAGGAAAAGGTACAGTAAATATATGAAAGATTTTTAAACGATACTTCTGTATAGGCACTTACCATGAATGGGGCTTACAAGTCAAGTCTGGAAGTTGCTCTGGGTGAGTCAGTAAAGGAGTGGTGAGTAAATGTGAAGGCCTAAGACATTACTCTACACTACTGTAGACTTTATAAACACTGTACACTTACGCTACATTAAATTTATTTTATTTTACAATAATAAATTAAACTTAGCTTACTGTAACTTTTCTACTTTACACATCTTTTAATTTTTTTACTTTTTGCCTCTTTTGTTGTTACATTTTAGCTTAAAACACAAACACACATTATAGAGCAATACAAAAATCTTTTCTTTCTTTATATCCTTATTTTATGAGATTTTTTCTATTTTTAATTTTTTACATTTTAAACTTTTTTGTTAAAAACTGAAACACAGGAACACACACTAACATAGGCCTACATGAGGTCAGGAATATCAGTATCATAGTCTGCCACCTGCACATCTTGTCCCAATTAAAGCTCTTCAGGGACAATAACATACATGGATCTGTTATCTACTATGATTAACAATGCCTTCTTCTAGAATACCTCCTGAAGGACCTGTCTGAGGCTGTTGTTCAGTTAACTTTTTTTTTAATAAGTGGAAAGAGTACACTCTAAAATAATAATAAAAAGTATGGTAAATACCTAAACCAGTGACATGTATTATTTATCAAGTATTATGTACTGTACATAATTTTATGTGCTATACTTTTAAATGACTGGCAGTGCAATAGGTTGTTTACACCAGCATCAATACAATGACAAGAGTAATGCACTGCTCTACAACTTTAGGAAGGCTACAAATGCACTAGTTGATAGGAAGTTTTCAGCTCCATTATAATCATATGGGACCATAATCATACATGTAGTCGGCTGTTCACCAAAACGTCATTATGGAGCACACAACTGTACTTCATAATAAAATGTTGAACATCCTATTTAAAGACACAAACAAGAAAAAATGCATGCATGTTTCTAGATAGCTGGCTATTTTTATGATAAAATATAAAATCACACCAACACCTCGTATGTATACAAAATTAATTCAATATGAACTTAAGACCTTGGTATGAAAAGCAAAACTTACTATAGTAGAACATGTTTGTGACTTGAAGGTAGAGAAGGATTTCTTAAATGAGACACAAAAAACAAAAACCAGAAAAGAAATGGTCAATGAACTTGACCATAGGTAATAACCATGTATTCTACTACTACGGAAGATTACAGACATTAGAGAATAAATAGTGGTAACAGTTATTCTACATTTACTAATCTAATCTTTGCCACCATTTCTTTTTTCTGGCTAGTGTTTCTGAGTTACTTGTGTTAAATTGCTGTATGTTCTTTAGGTAGGGGTATGTATAATCAGGGCTGATAGCCTCTACCTAAAACATACCATTTTCACAAATAACCTCTATGCTATGAGAAAAGCTCCAAATTATTCTATTTCTGTCATTTAACACTATCAGAGTGCCAAAAAAGAGTAACATGGAAGATATTTCAAACTATCTCATGAGCCTTGACAGGATTACATCATAAGGACAATAGAAAGTATTTTTGAATCTACCTCTAGCACTAATTTAATAATGTATTCATAGCGTTTCTTTTGTTCTTTCAAAAATATTTCTTATTCATTTGCTGTCCACAAGGTTCTTAGCACACATTAAGACAGGTAGAAATATTTAAACTAACAGTTTCTCTGGCTTGGAGAAGTTGGGTATTGGGAGGGCTGAGTGGAACAATAGCACTTTTTTTTTTTTAAGAGACAGCTTTCGTTCTGTCACCTAGGCTGGAGTGCAGTGATGGGATCATAGCTCACTGCAGCCTCAAACTCCTGGGCTCAAGCAATCCTAATGCCTCAGCTTCCCAAGGAACTAAGACTAAAGGCTTTGTCACCATGCCCTACTAACTTATTTTATTTATTTATTTATTTATTTTGTAGAGAGAGGGTCTCACTATGTTGCCCAGGCTGGTCTTGAATTCCTGGCCTCAAGCTGTCCTCCCACCTCAACCTTTTAAAATGGTGAGATGACAAGCATGAGCCACTGCACCTGGACCCAAATATTTTCAATAGAGTGTAATTATTCTAATAGAATTAAGTGGCCTCTTCCCTTTCTCTGCTCCAAGCCCTCAGATGACAATCTTTATAGGACTGTCTTGTGCCAACACACAGTATATTTATTCATAAAAAAAATTTCTGAACCTACTATGTTATCATTCTTGATTACTAAATTTCTCAATTATCTTTGCTTTATCTACAATGTGAAATTTGTCAGAAAGACCAAAGCTCAAATCTCAATTCTACTACTTGCTAATTATGTGACCTTGAACAATTTATTTCACTACTCTGAGGCTGAGTTTGCTTATTTGTAAAATACAGATAATTAACAACTGCCTCCCATTGTTGTTAGGATTTCATAATAATATGTAAGTAGGGCACAGTCCTGTTATGATGGTGGTTCTACCTCTCTCTTTTAGGGAAGGAATTATCTCCTGTAGCATTCTATATATTGCTCTGAACACAGTATATGTAACAAATAATTGGTGCTTGGTTGTTTAAGCAATTAAATAAGTCAACAAAAATTGTGAATCCTTAATGCATAAAAACAAATGCCAAATAGGTTTAAGACCTAAATTTTGAAAGCAAAATTTTAAGATTCTTAGAAGAAAACATAAAAATGTTACCCTTATGGTCTTTGAGCAGAAAAACTTTGTAAACAAGATATAGAAAGCATAAACAATGAAGAAAAAGATTTCTTAAGCTGACTACATGAGATTTTTAATTTTCTGCATCAAAAACCATCATTTAAAAGAAAACAATCATAAAAGACTGGAATTTATACATTCAACAAAGGAGTCAGCATCAATAATATTTAACTAGTACATTTGTCTTAGTCCATTTGGGCTACTATACCAAAATATCAAAGACTCTGACTTATGAACAATAAACATTTACTTCTCACAGTTCTGGAGACTGAGAAGTCCAATATCATGGCAAAGGCAGATTCACTGTCTCATGAGGGCCCGCTTACTTCTTAGAAGACAGCTGTCTTTTCCCTATGTCCTCAAATGGCAAAAAGGGCAATGGAGCTCTCTAGGACCTCTTTCCTAAAGGCACAAATCTCATTCATGAGGGTTCCACCCTATCACCTCCAAAAGGCCTCCAAATACCGTCATATTGGAGATTAAGTTTCAACATGTGAATTTTGGGAAGACATAAACATTAAGTCTATAACAGTATCCATAAAAACATTACTTTAAAATAATATAAACACTTATGAATCAGTATAAAAAATAGAAAACGGATTCATTATGAACTTTTGAAATGATGCTCAACCTCTCTACTTATCAGGAAAATGCAAATTAAAACCAAAATGAGATCGCTTTTCATATTCATTGAATTGGTTTGCGAGAACTACAGTAATTAAGTACCTGGGTAGCTTAAACAACAGTAATGTCTATTCTCACAGTTCTGGAGCTTAGAAATCTGAGATCAAGGTATCAGTAGTGTTGGTTTCTCCTGAGAGTTGTGAGGAAAGGATCTGTGCCAAGCCTCTCTCCTTGGCTTGTAGATGGCTGTCTTCTCCCAATGTCTTCACATTGTCTTCTGTTCAAATCTTTGTTCAAATTTCTCCTTCTTATAAGAATACCAATCATACTGGATTGTGGCCCACCCTAAAGACCTCATTTTAATTTAATTACCTCTTTTAAAGACCCTATCTCCAAAATACCATTACGTTCTGAGGTACTAGGGGTAGGACTTCAACACATGAATTTTGTGGGGGAGGGGACACAATACAGCCCATAAGACTTAAAAAATTGGCAAATAATTTTTCAGTCTGGTAACACCAAGTATTGGCAAGGAATGGGGAGAAAAAGAAATCTCATACTTTGCTGATGGAAGTATAAATCGGCACAATCACTTTAGAGAACATGCAGTAAACCTGAAGATAGACATTGTAATCCAGTAATTCCACAACTATGTATTTAGTCTAGAGAAACACTGGCAAATGTGACTCAAAAACAGTTACAAAATATTCTAGCTACATTATGATAAACAAAATATGGAAATATCCTAATTGTCCATCAACAGGAGAAAACACAAGTACATTCTGGAATGTCTTTATAATGATATACCATGAAGCAAGAAAAAAAAAGTGAACAGGAGCTACAAGTATCCATAAGGATGAATCTCATAGATGTGATATTGAACAAAAAAAGGCGAGCTGCAAAAAAATGCAACATCATAACATTTATATGCAACTTAAAATATGCAAAATAAAACATATATTGTTTATGGATATACATGTGTAATGAGAGCATATGCACACTTAACTATTTTTAAACCAATAAATAAATTCCCAAATGTTAACTATTTTTCCACCAGAACATTCAATAATATAAATTCTTAATTAGGCTCCAAGAAATAAGTACTCTTACCAAAAGCACACACAAGTCAATTAAAAAACAAGTGAACTGTAAATTCAGTGACAATTAAATAAAAAGAATCTATTCTGGAGCCTTTAAGGTTCTGTCTTTTTCAGCTGCACACAGGAAAAAAAACTAAATGTCATGTTTCAATAGTGTTTAAACTATCCTGCACACATGCAAAAAAAATACCACATGCACATTTAAGTAAAACTCTTTCAAAATAGGCAAAACAGGATGGTGTAGCACAAAGAGACTACATTTACTCCAATCTGTAATGAAATCCTGGTTTTGCCTCGCTGGCTGGGTGGGTTTAGCAAGTCACTTATTCAACTTATCTCAGCCTCACTTTCTTCATATGTAAAATCATATAAACTTCAGTTTTCTCATTTGTAAATTCCCTCACTTTCTTCATATGTAAAATCATATAAACTTCAGTTTTCTCATTTGTAAATTCCCCATTCAGTTTCCTTCTGGAAAGGTTTGTGTTTATGTTCGGTATCTACACATAACGTGCTCAAATGGCACCTGTACGGGTAGAATGGTATTTGATCAGTACAGTAGAAATTAAGATAAAAGTGTTATTGAGTATCAGCAAGATGGCAGAATAGGGCTCTCTAATGCTTGTCTCTCCCACAGAAACATCAATTTGAACAATTGTCCATGCACAAAAATACTTTCACAATAGGTAAGGAAACCAAGAGATTACAGCACCTGGGTACAGCACCAAAATAAGAAAACATGCATGGAAGAGGGTAGAAAGAACAGCTTTACATTACCCATTTCACCCAACTCCAGGCAGCACAGGGAGAGATACCTTCCACTTGAGAGAAGGAGAGGGCAGTGAGTACAAGACTTTGCCTCAGATTCCAAAGCTAGGCCCACCCCCAATAAAGCCTAGCACCAGGAAGACCCCCAACAGCCCCAAACTCCAGGTCTGTATAGCAAATTAAGTATCCAGGCTGCCCCATGACCAGGCTGACCCCAGTGGCCCCAGTCTGTAGACTGCCCCCAGCATCAGGCTAGCCCTCACAGCCACAGGCTTCAGGCCTGCCCCAGTACCAGGCCAAACCCACATAGTCCTAGTCATTGGGCCAGAACCTATGGACCCAGCCCCCAGGCCAGCCACTGTGGATGGAGACTCCAGGCTTGTCCAGTGCCAGACCAGCCCCCTGCAGCCCCAGACTCCTGGCTGCTACCCGCAGACTGAGCTTCCAAACCTGCCCCAACACTATATAGGATCCTGCAGCCCCAGGGTCCAGGTCTACAGAGCAAATTTGAGCTCCAAGCCTGCCACAGCACAAGGCTAAGCCCAGAGGCCCCAAGCTCCAGATCAGACCCAGCAGAAGACATGACCTGCAGAATCAGGCTCCAGACCAACCCCAAGGCCAGGCCAGCCCCTGTGGCCCCAGGCTGCAGACCACCCCTAGCACCAAGCTGGATGCCAAAGTCCCAAGCTTCAGGCCCACTTGACCATCAGGCCAACTCCTGCAGCCTTAATGACCAGGCCAGAACCCATGGACCTTGCCTCCAGGAAGACCTCTGTGAATATAGGATCCAGGCTCCACCCAGTCCAAGCTAGCTCCTATGGCCCCAGGCTTCTATCCCACCCCAATGCCAGCTTGGCTCCCCTGGCCTTAAACAGCAGGCAGGCACCAAGACCTAAGCTCCAGGCCTTCCCAGTGCAAGGCCAGTCCCCATGGTCCCATGCTCAAGGCCAGATCCTATGGTCCAATGATGCTACAGTAACCCAGAGTCCAGGAGACCCCAGAAGAACCAGTCCCCACGAACCCAGGCTCTAGGACCACCTCTGTGTACCTACTACTCAATCTGGTTCCTTGTCCCAAGACCCAGGCTAGGCTTTATGGATCCAATCCCTAGGCCAGGTCCTAGACCTGTGCCTCTAAGGCAATACCAGCAGGCACAGGCTCCAGACCCAAAGATCCCAGGCTCCAGGCCAGCCTAATGGTCCCAGGTATCAGGCAAGTACTTGTGATCCTAAGCTCCAAACCAGTGCCCACAGACCCAGGCTCCACATGGACCCCAGCATCAGGCTAACCCCAGGCTCCAGGCTGGTCCCAGTGGCCCAGACTCTAGAAAACCCAGAGTCCAGACCTGTTCCAGCAGACCCATGGTCCACCCCCAGTCCCAGTCTAGACCTTACAGACTAAGGCTCCAAGACCACCCCTTCTGACCCAGGTTCCATGATAGCCTTTGTGGACCCAGGAAATATTTGATATATATCTGCTATATAAGATATCTGATATATAGGAAAATATACATATATCTCTCTGATATATAAGATTTCATAAAGGAGAAAAGAAAGAGAAAGACAAAGCGTAGCAGAAAACTTTTCAAATTTGGAGAAAGATATAAATATCCAAGTAGAGGAACAGATACAGGCCTCCAGTCAGATTCAACCCAAACAAGACTACAAAATGACAATATGTCAAAAATCAAGGACAAAGAGAGGATCCTATTAGCAAGAGAAAATTAGCACGAGGATCCTTATTAGTGAGAGAAAATAAGCAAACCATATATGAATAAGTTCCAATAAGGCTAGCAACAAATTTCTCAGCAGGGACGTTACAGGCCAAGAGAGAGTGAGATGATGTATTCAAAGTGCTGAAGTGTAAAAAATTTTTTTTAAAAAATGTGCCAACTAAGAATACTGTATCTAGCAAAGCTGTTTTTCAGAAATGAAAGAGAAATAAAGACTTTCACAGACAAA
Source organism: Homo sapiens (assembly GCF_000001405.40). Lineage (NCBI taxonomy): Eukaryota > Metazoa > Chordata > Mammalia > Primates > Hominidae > Homo > Homo sapiens. The sequence goes on from NC_000011.10 coordinate 85,483,424, forward strand.
CAAAAGCTAAGGGAGTTTATCACCAACAGCCCTATCTTACAAGAGATGCTAGAGGGAGTATTCAACCTAAAAGAAAAGGATGCTAATTAATAAGTAACGCAAAAACAACTAAAAGCATAAAACTCAATGGTAAAAGAAAGCAGACAATCAAATCCAGAATACTCTAACTGCAATGGTGATATGTAAATCACTTATAACTTTAGTATGAAGGTTAAAAGACAATCTATTAAGAATAATAGGCCAGGCGTGGTGGCTCACACCTATAATCCCAGAACTTTGGGATGCCAAGGCAGGTAGATCACTTGAGGTCAGGAGTTCAAGACCAGCCTGGCCAACATGGTGAAACCCTGTCTCTACTAAAAATACAAAAATTAGCCAGGCATGGTGGAGGGCACCTGTAATCCCAGCTACTCAGGAGGCTGAGGCAGGAGAATCACTTGAACCCAGGATGCAGAGGTTGCAGTGAGCCAAAAAAAAAAAAAAAAGAATAATAATAGCTACAATACTTTATTAAGGTATATACAATATAAAAAGATGCAAATTGGCCCGGGTCTTCCAGGAGTCGGGTTGCTTGGGAATGCAGCCCAAAGCGGGTGGTAAACTCCATTTAAGGCTAAATACCGGCACGAGACCGATAGTCAACAAGTACCGTAAGGGAAAGTTGAAAAGAACTTTGAAGAGAGAGTACAAGAGGGCGTGAAACCGTTAAGAGGTAAATGGGTCAGGTCCGCGCAGTCCGCCCGGAGGATTCAACCCGGTGGCGGATCTTTCCCGCCCCCCGTTCCTCCCGACCCCTCCACCCGCCCTCCCTCTCCCACCGCCCCTCCTCCTCCTCCCTAGGCATTACCATTCAGGACATAGGCATGGGCAAAGACTTCATGTCTAAAACACCAAAAGCAATGGCAACAAAAGCCAAAATTGACAAATGGGATCTAATTAAACTAAAGAGCTTCTGCACAGCAAAAGAAACTACCATCAGAGTGAACAGGCAACCTACAAAATGGGAGAAAATATTCGCAACCTACTCATCTGACAAAGGGCTAATATCCAGAATCTACAATGAACTCAAACAAATTTACAAGAAAAAAACAAACAACCCCATCAAAAAGTGGGCGAAGGACATCAACAGACACTTCTCAAAAGAAGACATTTATGCAGCCAAAAAACACATGAAAAAATGCTCACCATCACTGGCCATCAGAGAAATGCAAATCAAAACCACAATGAGATACCACCTCACGCCAGTTAGAATGGCTATCATTAAAAAGTCAGGAAACAATAGGTGCTGGAGAGGATGTGGAGAAATAGGAACACTTTTACACTGTTGGTGGGACTGTAAACTAGTTCAACCATTGTGGAAGTCAGTGTGGCGATTCCTCAGGGATCTAGAACTAGAAATACCATTTGACCCAGCCATCCCATTACTGGGTATATACCCAAAGGATTATAAATCATGCTGCTATAAAGACACATGCACACATATGTTTATTGTGGCACTATTCACAATAGCAAAGACTTGGAACCAACCCAAATGTCCGACAATCATAGACTGGATTAAGAAAATGTGGCACACATACACCATGGAATACTATGCAGCCATAAAAAATGATGAGTTCATGTCCTTTGTAGGGACATGGATGAAGCTGGAAACCATCATTCTCAGCAAACTATCGCAAGGACAAAAAACCAAACACTGCATGTTCTCACTCATAGGTGGGAATTGAACAATGAGAACACATGGACACAGGAAGGGGAATGTCACACTCTGGGGACTGTTGTGGGGTGGGGAGAGGGGGGAGGGATAGCATTGGGAGATATACCTAATGCTAGATGACGAGTTAGTGGGTGCAGCGCACCAGCATGGCACATGTATACATATGTAACTAACCTGCACATTGTGCACATGTACCCTAAAACTTAAAGTATAATAACAATAAATAAATAAACAAATAGAAAAAAAAAAGATGCAAATTGTGACATCAAAAATTTAAAATGTGGAAGGATGGGTCAGGATCACTCATTAGAAGCAGCTAGTACACACCTCCTCCATGAAAAGGAACCAGAATAGTAAATAAACACTTTGAATAGATCATCTAAGAGAGACTTAGATTCAACAAAGAAGTGATGAGAAGTACTGAATGTGAGTAAGGAGAGGGAAGGGGGCAGCTCTCTTGGCTGGGGATCAGCTGGGAGCCAGAAAAAGCTCCTGGATGCAGGGAAAGGGTAAAAGAGAAACCCCCAGGGTTCTACACTCTCACCGCAGGCTTTTGCATTCTTGGCTATGAGAGAACCTCTTGGCCCACAGACCTTTGGCCTGACATGAGGAACAGACTAGAGACTGTACCAAGATGTCGCTCCAGACGGGGAACCCACATGGAGTCCCACAGGTATCTGAGCCCTGAGCAGCTGCTTCTTGGTGCCATCCTGAGAACTTTGCTGCTTAGAATCTGCATCCTGTCCTGAGGCAGGACTGACACAGCCAGTGCAGCTGCCACCACTAGGCTGGGACGGGAAAGGGGAGACTGGGCACTCCCACAGACAACTAGGATAGTCCACATCATCATGCTAGAGGCTACTGTGAAACCAAAGAATGAGTAGACTTCACTCCTCATGTCTACTTGCCCACAGTGCGCCATCTGAGAGGGGCCCAGCCTTCCCTGGTGGTAGGCCCACAGCTGACATTTTGACAGTTTAGTCACTGGAGGTCTGCACCCTACCCTTGAGCTGGGCTAGGGTTGTTGCTGCTGCAGCAGCTGCCAGTCCAAAAAGGGAAAGAGGAGACCAGGCACTCCCATGACCCCTAGAAAAGTTCCCACTGCCCTGTGTGGGCTGCTGTGAGACCAGAGCAAGAGCAGTATGCATTCCCCAAAGCTTCTTGCCCACAATGCTCTAACTGAGAGGGGCCTCATCCTTCCTGGTGGTAGGCCCACAGCACAGCCACCAAAGCCCACAGGGAACATTCCACCAGTACACTGGAAATCACCCTGCCTCTGCCTATTTCAGCCAGTGCCTAAACACACTACCAGGGAGCCTGTGAACAAGTCTACTTGCCTAATCCTATCCCCCAAGTACTTGAGCATGCCATCCAGAAGCCTGGAAATTTTTTAGCCCAGTCTACCACCATTGGCACCTGATTAGTCCTGCCAAGATTTGAGGTCAGGCTGACCCAACCTACTGATACCACCACAGCTGACACCCACACACACATGGTACCAGCAGGCCAGGGGACTGGAATGCCCACCCATAGCAGTCACCACCAACACCAGTATGGATCACTTGGATTCCAGTAGGTTGCTTTACCACTGCTACTGCCATCACCCTTATCACACCTGCTGCCCAGGGCCTGAGTGCCTGCCCACAAGCCTGGCCCCCCCTGCTACTACCAGCATCCAAGCAAGCCACCTGGGGATCCAAGAATTGGCGCTCCAGGACCACTAACAGGTGCGAGAGTAATCTGCTCTGGGGCCTTAAAAGAGACACCACCACTGCCACCACCAAGACCTAAACAATGGTCCAACTAGTGTCCTAGTCCCATGCATAACTTCACCAACATCTCCACTAATAATCATACCCTAAACCACCGAGAAGTTCAAGATACCACTGACCCTGTGTGCTGATTAAAAAAAAAAAAACAGAGATCACACTACTTGCTGCAGGCCCCAAAATCAAAGCCAAAAACTTCCTATTCAGCCAACAATGTATATACAAGATATATATATATCTTGTATGTCTTCAGGAAAAATCCTCCCCCATGAAAGCAACTTCAGAAAAATTGGAAGAAGTGACTATTACACCAGATATGTAGACATGAATGTAAGAGCACAGAAAACAGCAAAAAGCAAGGAAATATGATACCATCAAAGGAACACAACAATTCCCTGAAATAAATCACAATCAAAAATAAATTCACAAAATCCCAGATCAAGAATTCAAAATACTGATTTTAAAGATGCTCAGTGAGATACAAGAAAACTCTACAAAATAATACCAAAAAATTAAAAAAAAAAAAAAACCTCAGGATATGATGAAAATTTTACCAAAAAGATAGGTATTTCTAAAAAGAACCAAATAGAACTTATGGAACTGAAAAATTAATTGGAGAAAATACAAAATAAACTCAAAAGTTTTAAAAATAGACTAGAGCAAGCAGAAGAAACAATTTCATAACTTGAAGACAGGTATTTTGAAATAATCCAGTCAGACAAAAATTTTTAAAAAAATAAGAAAGAAAAAAGCCTTTAAGATGTTTGGCAGTACATAAAATGACAAAATTTACAAATTATTGGTAGTTCCAAGGGTGAAGAGAGATCAAAAGACTTAGAAAAAATAATAGATGAAAATTTCCCAAGTCTAGCAAGACATTTAGACATACAGATACAGGAGGCTCAGTGATCCCCAGGAAAACAATGCAAAGAAGATTTTGCCATGGCACATTATAATCAGACTGTCTAATATGGTTTGGCTCTGTGTCCCCACCCAAATCTCATCTTGGACTGTACTCCCATAATTCCCATGTGCTGTGGGAGGGACCCAGTGGGAGATAATTAGAATCATGAGGGTGGTTTCCCCATACTGCTCTTGTGGTAGTGAATAAGTCTCATGAGATCTGATGGTTTTATTAGGGATTTTTGCTTTTGCATCTTCCTCATTTTTCTCTTGACACTGACATGTAAGAAGTGCCTTTTGGCTGGGTGCAGTGGCTCACGCCTGTGATCCCAACACTTTGGGAGGCTGAAGTGGGCGGATCACGAGGTCAGGAGTTTAAGACCAGTCTGGTGAATGTGGTGAAACCCCATCTCTACTAAAAATACAAAAATTAGCTGGGTGTAGTGTGAGGCACCTATAGTCCCAGCTATTCAGGAGGCTAAGGAAGGAGAATCGCTTGAACCCAAGAGGCAGAGGTTGCAGTGAGCCGAGATCGCACCACTGCACTCCAGCCTAGGTGACACAGGGAGACTGCGTCTAAAAAAAAAAAAACAACAACAACAACCACAACAAAAAGTGTCTTTTACCTCCTGCCATGATTCTGAGGCCTCCCCAGCCATATGAAACTGTAAGTCCAATTAAGTCCAATTAAACCTCTTTTTCTTCCCAGTCTCAGGCATGTCTTCATCAGCAGTGTGAAAACGGACCAATACACTGTCTAAATTCAAACTGAGAGACTGAATTCTAAAATCAGCAAGAGAAAGGTATCAAGTTACCTATAAAGGAAACCCCTTTAAATAAACAAGAGTATTCCCAGCAAAGCCTTATGGGCCAGAAGAGAATGGAATGACATATTCAAAGTGCTGAAAGAAAACAACTGGAAGCCCATAATTCTATATCTAGCAAGATTAATGTTCATAAATGAAGGAGAAATAAAGTCTTTCCCAGACAAGGAAATGATGACAGAATTCATCACCACTATACAAACCCTAAAAGAAATGTTCAATGAAGTCCCAAACTTGGAAGTGATGGAACAACATTCACCATCAAGAAAACACAAAGTATAAAACTCATTGGTAAATTAAACACACCAAAGAGGAAGAAAAAAGAATCAGATGATACCACTATAGAATTCTACCAAACCACAATGACAGGGAAAAAGAAATAAATAATTTAGAAAACAACCAGAAAAAATTAACAACATGACAAAGAAAAGCTCATATATCAGTATTAACCTTGAACATATACAATTACAGGCTCCACTTAAGAGATACAGATTGGAAAAATGCATGAAAAAAATCATCCAACTATATACTGCTTATAATAACCCAATCTTACCTAGAAAGAAACACATAGACTAAAAGTAAAGAGGTAGAAAAGAATATTCCACACAAACAAAAACCAAAAACAAGCAAGAATAGCTACACTTACATCAGATAAAATGGTCATGGACAGTGAAAAAACATTATGTCACTATATAATAATAAAGGTATCAACTCAGCAAGAGGATATAATCATTCTAAATATATATGCACCCAACACTGCAGCACGCAGATTCAGAAAACAAATATTATTAGACCTACAGAGAGAGGGACAGTAAAACAATAATAGTGGGGACTTCAACACCCCCACTGATAACACTAGACAAATCATCGAGACCGAAAATCAACAAAAAAACATGAAACCGAAATTGGACTTTACACAAAAGGGACCAAACCAGAACATTTTACTCAACAACTTCAGAATACACATTCTTTACATCAGCACATGGAAGGTTCTCTAAGATGAACCATATGTTAGGCCACAAACTAAGTCTCAACAAATGTTTAAAAATCATATTTTTGAAAATCAAAATCATATCAAGTATCTTCTCAGATCATAGTGGAATAAAACTAGAAATCAACACCAAGAGAAACTTCAGAAGCTATACGAACACATGGAAATTAAACAACATGCTCCTAAATTATCACTGTGTCAACAAATAAATTATGAAGGAATTTTTTTAATGTTTTCAACTTTTCTTTGAAAGGACATGCAAAAAATGAGTAAATAAAAATAAAAATATTTTTTTCTTGTCCAGGTGTGGTGCAGCACTTTGGGAGACCAAGCTATAAGGATTTTTTGAAGTCAGGAGTTCAAGACTACCTTGGACAACAAAGCAAGATCCTTGTCTCTACAAAAACTTAAAAATTAGCCAGGTGCAGTGGTATGTACCTGTAGTCCTAGCTACTCTGGAGGCTGAGGTGAGAGGATCAATTAAGCCCAAGAATGTGAGACTGCAGTAAGCTATAATCATGCCACTGCACTCCAGCCTGGGTGACAGAATAAAATCCTCTCTCTAAAGAAAAACAAAAAATAAATATATTTGAAACAAATGAAAATGAAAACACAAACATACCAAACCCTGTGGAACACAGCAAAAATAATGCTAACAGGGAAGTTAGCACTATTTTTGTAGAAAATAGTGAAAAAATAGTAGAAAGTAGAAAAATTACAACTTAACAATCTAACAACTAGTTAGATTGAACAACTAGTTCAAGGAACTAGAAAAGCAAGAACAAACCAAACCCAAAGCTAGAAGAAGAAATGAAATAACAAACATCAGAGCAGAACTAAATGACAAAAAAATCTTAATAATATAATCAATGAAATGAAAAATTTGTTCTTTCAAAAGAAAAACAAACTTGAAAAACCATGAGCTAGAATAACCAACAAAAAAAGAAAGAAAACTCAAATAAACAAAATCAGAAATGAAAAAGGAGACATTACCAGTCATACCACAGAAATACAAAAGATCATCAGAGATGATTATGAAGCACTATATGCTCACAAACTATATGCTCAAAACTTAGAGGAAATGGATAAATTTCTAAAATCATACAACCTCCCCAGATTCAACCAGGAAAAAATAGAAAACCTGAACAAACCAGTAACAAGTAGCAAGACTGAATCACTAATTTAAAAAACTTCCAACAAAGATGAATTGTACCAAAAGTACAAAGAAAAACTAATACCAATCCTCCTGAAACTTTTCAAAAATTCAAAAAGGGAAGAATTATCCCGAATTCAATCTATGAGGCCGGTACCATCCTGATACCAAAACCAGACAAGGATACAACAAAAAAGAAAACTATAGACCAATATCCCTGATGAATATATACATAAAAACTCTCAACAAAATACTAGCAAACTGAATCCAACAACACAATAAGAAGATAATACATTATGATCAAATGGGTTTTATAACAGAAATGCAAATGAATTTTATACTAGAGATGCAACAAACGTGATACCTTATATAAACAGAATAAAGGACAAAAGCCATATGTTCATTTCAATAGATATAGAAAAGGCATTTGATAAAATTCAGCATCCTTTCATGATAAAAACTCTCGAATTAGGCATAGAAGAAGCATACTTCAAAATAGCAAAGGCCATGTGTGACAAACCTACAGTTAACATTATACTGAATAGGAAAAAGATGAAAGCATTTCCTCTAAGAACTGGAACAAGACAAGGATGACCACTTTCACTCCTGTTCTTCAACATAGTACTGGAAGTTCTAGCCAGAGCAATCAAGCAAGAGAAAGAAATAGTCACCCAAATTGTAAAGAAAAAAGTTAAATTGTCCCTGTTGGCAGATTTTCATGATCTTACAAATAAAAACACTAACCACATCAAAAAAAACTATTCTAATTAAATAAAGTTGCAGGATACAAAATCAACACAGGAAAATCAGTACTGTTTCTACATGCTAACAAGAAACTATCCAAAAAAGAAATTTATTTAAAACCTACTTACAATAGCTACAAAAAATAAAATACTTAGAAATAAATTTAACCAAGGAGGTGAAAGACCTGTATACTGAAAACTAAAACACTGGTTAAAGAAATAATGGAAGTCACAAATAAATAGAGAGATATCCTATGTTCATGAATTGGAAGTATTAGTATTATTAAAATATCCATACAACACAAAGCTATCTATAGAGACAATGCAATCACTGTCAAAATTTTAATGACATTTTCACAGAAATAAAAAAATCGTAAAATTCGTGTGAAACTACAAAAGGCCCTGAATAGCCAAACCAATATTAAGCAAGATGATCAAAGCTAGAGGCATCACACAACCTGACTTTGAAATATACTACAAAGCTAGAATATCAAAACAGCAAGATACTCTCATAAAGCCAGACACATAAATCAATGGTAAGAATAGTTAACAATGTAATATATTCTTGAAAATTGTTTAGAGCAAATTTTCAGTGTAGTCACTACAAAAAAAGATAACTATATGAAGTAATATACATGTTAATTCGCTCAATTTAGCCATGCCACATATGCATATTTCAAAACAATATGTACACAATAAATGTGTATTCGGTTGGTGCAAAAGTAATTGCAGCAAAATTTGCCATTAATGGCAAAAACCGCAATTACTTCTGCACCAAGCTATAAAATTTGCATTTCTCAATCAAAAAATTGTAATTGCTATTAATTACAATGAAGCCATTTATCTGCATTTTATATATAACTACAAAAAACAAACCACTAATATAGAGGAAGCTGTCTAGATATACCATGGTTTTCTAAAAAAAACTGCAGTGTAAACTTTCACATTCAAATCAGATAGTCATGACTAAGGTAACCCCACTCATCTGTATTTCTGTTTTCTTTTAACATTAATATTCCATTTATATTTAACATTTTTGTTTTGCTTTTTATCATCTCAAATTCTTTTTGGAGAAGTACAGAAAATAGATTTATACAAATAAAATTAAGTGTCTGCTTCCCTTTATTATGTCAAATGAATGCAACCGGATATATTAGCATCAAATTGGGAGGGTATATTTGGGATGGTCTGACTTAAAATATAGGTTACATGGCACACTAAAATTCATGGAGTGTCCCTAGGGAGGTACCTTAAAAGGATAAACAATGAACTTCTTCTAGCAGCTGAACCTGAGGTATAATGAGTAGCTCAAATGACGGTTGATAGGGAGAAACATCATATTGTTAAGGTATAAAAAGAAAAAATAAGTTGCCTTTACATGCCCTAAATTAAAAGTCACAACATCAGACATTTCAAGCTGAAGATGCTGATTTTTGTTGGAGTGACTTTTGAAGGAGTTAGCGCTAAGTATCATACTCCAAGCTATAAAAAAAAAAGAGCTTTATTTTAAAAACCATGGTTAATAATTTTCCTGAGTCATATTGGCAGGCTAACTATAAGTAAAAATATGTTGAAATAACCAGAAACAACTAGTAATCAGGAGGTTTATGAACTGAGTACTGATGAGTTGATTAAAGTACCCAGGAAGGTTTATATGGTAGTAGTACATGAGGTGCAATGTATTAGATTAAAACAAGCAGATTTTAAATGCTTTTGAAAGCATTTTCAAATAAGTAGAAGCTGAATAAACTTACAACTACACTATACTCCAACCACACTATCTTGCTCATTTCCATCTTATGGCCTTTGCAATTGCTGCTCTCTCTGCTTTTCTCCAAGATCTTTTCAAGCCTTACTCCTCATTTCACTAAGTCTCTGCTTAAATGTCACCTTCTAAAGAGGACTTCTTTGACCTCATCCAAAATAACGCTGCCTTAGTATGCTTGTTTGCTAGAACAAAGTACCATGAACTGCGTAATTTATAAACAATAGAAATTTAGCTGGGTTCACTGGCATGTGTCTGTAATAACAACTACTTGGGAGTTGTTATTTTGGCAGGAGAATTGCTTAAGCCCAGGAGTTCGAGGTGCAGCGAGCTATGATTGTGCCCCTGCACTGCAGCCTGGGCAACAGAGCAAGATCCCATGTCAGAGAGGAGAGAAGGGGAGGGGAGGAGAGGGGAGAGAAAAGGAGGGGAGGGTAGGAGAGAAGAGGGGAGGGGGAGAGAAAGAGAGACAGAGAAAGAGAGAGGGAGGGAGGGAAGGAGGGAGGAAGGAAAGGAGGGAAGGAGGGAGGAAGGAAGGGAGGGAAGAGAGGGAGAGAAAAGAAAAGAAGAAAGGAAAGAAAGAAAAAGAAAAAGAAATTTATTTCTCATAGTTCTGGAGGCTGGGAATTCCAAGATGAAGGCACCAGTAGGATTGGCATTCAGTGAGGGCTGCTCTATATTTCCAAGATAGTCCCTTGTTGCTGCATCCTCTGGAGGAAAGAAAAATCATGTCTTCATATGACAGGAGAGAAAGAAGGGTAACAGAGTGCTTCCTTCAATCTTGACCCCTTATATAAGGATACTAATCCCACTTGTGACGGCAGAGCCTTCATGACTTAATTACCTCCCAAAGATTACATCTTTAATACTGTTGCATTGGGGATTAAGTTTCAACATGACTGTTGGAGGGAACACCATCACTTGAACCACAGCAAACCTTACTGTCTTTTATTTTACTCTGCTTTAATTTCCTTTATAACATGTATTGATTTTTGGTAAATTACCCATGCTCCAAACAAGGTAGAAAATAATTAAAGCCTTAGAAAAGAAAAGGAATTGTTCTTAAAAAAATTACTGAACAAAATAGCTCAGTGTGTCTAGTTATATATTTACAGCCCAAAATCTTGGTTGATGTGGTAACTGGGAAAAACAAAACCACTATCTTTATTTCATCAATTGCTTCAGATAAAAAAGCATACACAAACAAGATTAAAAAAAAGGAAAGTAAGCAATGTTAAAATTTGGAGTGGCTTTTTTTTAATCTTAAAAGTAAGACAGTCTCCTGGATTATGCTGCTGACATACATTTTATATATTACATAAGCTTATAAAATACTCTTGGAAAATGCCTTCCCTGTGTTTTATCTTTAAAGAGTCCAAAGATTAATGAATCTCATAAAAATGATAAATTAGTATTTCAAAAGCACATTTGCAAAAGAAACCAATAAAGAGTTTTGGCTTTAAAAGAAAGTTAAGACGAAATATGAAAGAAGAAATTATGAAGCTCTTCAAAGAAACATAGAAGATATAATTAAATAACATTAGATTGTAGAATATTTTTTTAAAAGAAAACACAAAAAGCAACAATCATGAAGTAAAAGTGATACCATAAAAAAAACAGTGAAAAACATGCTACTAAATGAGACATTTATCCCATTAAACAAACAACAAAGGCCTCATTCATGGATTTTATAACAAAGTCCCACACATCAATAAGGAAAAGACAACCTGTTACAATAGTGGTCAAGAGACTTAAACAGATATTTTACAAAAATAATATACAAATGGCCAATGAACATATAAAGAGATTATTAACCTCACTAATAACTAAAATAATAGAAATTAAAACAGAAATAAGCAAATACTCATCCACTACATTGGCAAAAGTACTGACAATAAACGTTTTGGCAAAAATGTAGAACAATATAAAATCACTGCTCTTGAATGTTTAAGTTGGTATACCTACTTTGAAAGCTGGCAATACCTACTTAAATAGAAGAATCACATGCTCTAAAATCTAGCAATTCATCTCTTAGAAATATACTCTAGAAGTGAACAGGCAACCTACAGAATGGGAGAAAATTTCTGAAATCTATCCATCTGATGAAGGTCTAATACCTAGACTCTACAAGGAACTTAAACAAATTTAAAAGAAAAAACAAACAACCCCATCAAAAAGTAGGCAAAAGATATGAATAGACACTTCTCAAAGGAAGAGATTTATGCAGCCAACAAACATGAAAAAAAGCTCATCATCACTAGTCATTAGAAAAATGCAAATCAAAACCACAATGAGATACCATCTCATGCCAGTTAGAATGGTGATCATTAAAAACTCAGGAAACAACAGATGCTGGTGAGGATGTGAAGAAATAGGAATGCTTTTACACTGTTGGTGGGAGTATCAATTAGTTTAACCATTGTGGAAGACAATGTGGCAATTCCTCAAGGATCTAGAACCAGAAATACCATTTGACCCAGCAATTCCATTACTGGGTATATACCCAAAGTATTATAAATCATTCTATTATAAAGACATGCACACTTATGTTTATTGTGGCACTATTTACAACAGCAAAGATTTGGAACGAACCCAAATGCCCATCAGTGATAGGCTGCATAAAGAAAATGTGGCACATGATTGGCTTCCAAGATGGCCAAACAGGAAGAGCTCAGCTCTACAGCTCCCAGTGAGATCGACGCAGAAGACACGTGATTTCTGCATTTCCAGCTGAGGTACCTGATTCATCTCATTGGGACTGGTTGGACAGTGGGTGCAGCCCACAGAGGGCGAGCCAAAGCAGGGCACGGTGTCACATCACACAGGAAGTGCAACTGGTTGGGGGATTTCCCTTTCCTAGCCAAGGGAAGCCATGAGTTACTGTACCTGGAGGAACAGTATACTCCTGCCCAAATACTGCACTTTTCCCACAGTCTTCACAATCAGCAGACAAGAAGATCCCTTCCTGTGCCTGGCTCAGCAGGTCTCACTCCCATGGAGCATTGCTCACTGCTAGTGCAGCAGTCTGAGATTGACCTGGGACACGGGAGCTTGGCAAAGGGAGGAGCATCCACCATTGCTGAGGCTTGAGTAGGCAGTTTTATGCTCACAATGTAACAAAGTGGCAGGGAAGCTCAAACTGGGTGAAGCCCACTGCAGCTCATCAAGACCTTCTGCCTCTCTAGATTCCACCTCTGGGGACAGGGCATATCTGAACAAAAGGTAGCAAACAGCTTCCCCATACTTAAACGTCCCTGCTGGACAGCTCTGAAAAGACCAGTGGTTCTCCCAGCATGGCATATGAGCTCCAATAACAGACAGACTGCTTCCTCAAGTGGGTCCCTGATCCCCATGTAGCCTGACTGGGAGACACCTCCCAGTAGGGGCCAACAGACACCTCATACACGCTCGTGCCCCTCTCAGATGAAGCTCTCAGAGGAAGGATCAGGCAGCAATATTTGCTGTTCTGCAACCTCCACCAGTGATACCCAGGCAAACAGGGTCTGGAGCAGACCTCCATCAAACTCCAACAGACCTGCAGCTGAGAGGCCTGTCTGTTAGAAGGAAAACTAACAAACAGAAAGGAATAGTATCAACGTCAACAAAAAGGACGTCCACTCAGAGACTACAGCCAAAAGTCATTGACTTTAAAGACCAAAGCTAGATAAAACCACAAAGACGGGGAGAAACCACAGCAGAAAGGCTGAAAATTCCAAAAACCAGAATGCCTCTTCTCCTCCAAAGGAAAACAACTCCTCGCCAGCAAGGGAACAAAATGAGATGGAGAATGAGTTTGATGAGTTGACAGAAGTAGGCTTCAGAAAGTCACTAATAACAAACTTCTCTGAGCTAAAGAAGCATGTTCTAACCCGTCGCAAGGAAGTTAAATCCTTGAAAAAAGGTTAGACGAATGGCTAACTAGAATAGCCAGTGTAGAGAAGAACTTAAATGACCTGATGGAGCTGAAAACCACAGTACGAGAATTTAGTGAAGCATACACAAACTTCAATAGCCAATTTGATCAAGCAGAAGAAAGGATATCAGTGATTGAAGATGAACTCATTGAAAAAAACAAGGAGACAAGATTATAGAAAAAGGAGTGAAAAGAAAAGAACAAAGCCTCCAAGAAATCTGGAACTACGTGAACAGGCCAAATCTACAGTTGACTGGTGTACTGGAAAATGACTGGGAGAATGGAACCAAGTTAGAAAACACTCTTCAGGATATTATCCAGGAGAACTTCCCCAACCTGGCAAGTCAGGCCAACATTCAAATTCAGGAAATACAGAGAACACCACAAAGATATTCCTTGAAAAGAGCAACACCAAGACACAAAATTGTCAATTTCACCAAGGTTGAAATGAAGGAAAAAAATGTTAAGGGTAACCAGAGAGAAAGGTCAGGTTACCCACAAAGTGAAGCCCATCAGACTAAAAGCTGATCTCTCGGCAGAAACCCTACAAGCCAAAAGAGACAGGGAGTCAATATTCAACATTCTTAAAGAAAAGAATTTTCAATCCAGAATTTCATATCCAGCCAAACTAAGCTTCATAAGTGAAGGGGAAATAAAATCTTTTACAGACAAGCAAATGCTGAGAGATTTTGTCACCACCAGGTCTGCCTCACAGGAGCTCCTGAAGGAAGCACCAAACATGGATAGGAACAACTGGTACCAGCCACTGCAAAAGCATGCCAAATTGTAAAGACCATCGATGCTATGAAGAAACCACATCAATTAACAGGCAAAATAACCAGCTACCATCATAATGACAGGATCAAATTCACACATGACATTATTAACCTTAAATGTAAATGGGCTAAATGCCCCAATTAAAAGACACAGACTGGCAAATAAAATAAAGAGTCAAGAACCATCAGTGTGCTATATTCAGGAGACTCATCTGATGTGCAAATACACACACAGGCTCAAAATAAAGGGATGGAGGAAGATCTACAAAGCAAATGGAAAGCAAAAAAAAGCAGGGATTGAAATCCTAGTCTCTGATAAAACAGACTTTAAACGAACAAAGATCAAAAGAGACAAAGAATGCCATTACATAATGGTAAAGGTATCAATTCAACAAGAAGAGCTAACTATCCTAAATATATATGCACCCAATACAGGAGCACCCAGATTCATAAAGCAAGTCCTGAGAGACCTAAAAAGAGACTTAGACTCCCACACAATAATAATGGGAGACTTTAACACCCCATTGTCAATATTAGACAGATCAGCTAGACAGAAAATTAACAAGGATATCCAGGACTTGAACACACCTCTGCACCAAGCAGACCTAATAGACTTCTACAGAACTCCCCACCCCAAATCAACAGAATATACATTCTTCTCAGCACCACATCGCACTTATTCTAAAATTGACCACATAATTGGAAGTAAAAACACTCCTCAGGAATGTAAACAAACAGGAATCACAACAAACTGTCTCTCAGACCACAGTGCAATCAAATTAGAACTCAGGATTAAGTTCTAATTAATCCTAAACTGGCTCAAATCTGCACAACTACATGGAAACTGAACAACCTGCTCCAGAATGACTACTGGGTAAATAATGAAATTAAGAAATAAAGATGGTCTTTGAAACCAATGAGAACAAGGACACCATGTACCAGAATCTCTGGGACACATTTAAAGCAGTGTGTAGAGGGAAATTTATAGCACTAAATGCCCACAAGAGAAAGCTGAAGAGATCTAAAATCAACACATCAAAATTAAAACATCACAATTAAAAGAACTAGAGAAGCAAGAGCAAACAAATTCAAAAGCTAGCAGAAGGCAAGAAACAACTAAGATCAGAGCAGAACTGTAGGAAGTAGAGAAACAAAAAACCCCTTCCAAAAATTAATGAATCCTGGAGCTGGTTTTTTTAAAAGATAAACAAAATAGACCACTAGCAAAACTAATAAAGAAGGAAAGAGAGAAGAATCAAATAGACGCAATAAAAAATGATAAAGGGGATATCACCACTGATCCCACAGAAATACAAACTACCATCAGAGAATACTATAAACACTTCTATGCAAATAAACTAGAAAATCTAGAAGAAATGGATAAATTCATGGATAAATACAACCCCCAGGACTAAACCAGGAAGAAGTTTAATCTCTGAATAGACCAATAATAGGTTCTGAAATTGAAACAATAATTAATAGCCTACCAACCAAAAAAAGTCCAGGACCAGATGGATTTACAGCCAGATTCAACCAGAGTTACAAAGAGGAACTGGTACCATTCCTTCTGAAACTATGCCAATCAATTGAAAAAGAGGGAATCCTCCCTAACTCATTTCATGAGGCCAGCATCATCCTGATACCAAAGCCTGGCAGAGACACAACAAAAAAAAGATAATTTTAGACCAATAACCCTGATGAATATTGACGTGAAAATCCTCAATAAAATACTGGCAAACCAAATCCAGCAGCACAAAAAACAGCCTATCCACCATGATCACGTCTGCTTCATCCCTGGGGTGAAAGGCTAGTTCAACATATGCAAATCAATAAATGTAATCCATCACATAAACAGAACCAAGAACAAAAAACACATGATTATCTCCATAGATGCAGAAAAGGCCTCTGACAAAATTCAACAGCCTTTCATGCTTAAATCTCCCAATAAACTAGGTATCAATGGAACATATCTCAATATAATAAGAGCTATTTATGATGAACCCATAGCAAATATCACACTGAATGGGCAAAAGCTAGAAGCATTCCCTTTGAAAACTGGCACAAGACAAGGATGCCCTCTCTCACCACTCCTATTCAACACAGTGTTGGAATTCTGGCCAGGGCAATCAGGCAGGTGAAAGAAACAAAGTGTATTCAAATAGGAAGAGAGGAAGTCAAATTGTCTCCCTTTGCAGATGACATGATTGTATATCTAGAAAACCCCATCGTCTCAGCCCAAAATCTCCCTAAGTTAATAAGCAACTTCAGCAAAGTCTAAAGTTACAAAATCATCATTCTCAGTAAACTATCGCAAGAACAAAAAACCAAACACCGCATATTCTCACTCATAGGTGGGAATTGAACAATGAGATCACATGGACACAGGAAGGGGAATATCACACTCTGGGGACTGTGGTGGGGTCGGGGGAGGGGGGAGGGATAGCATTGGGAGATATACCTAATGCTAGATGACACATTAGTGGGTGCAGCGCACCAGCATGGCACATGTATACATATGTAACTAACCTGCACAATGTGCACATGTACCCTAAAACTTAGAGTATAATAAAAAAAATAAAAATAAAATAAATAAATAAATAAATAAAGTTACAAAATCAAAGTGTAAAATCACAAGCATTCCTCTACACCAATAACAGACAAACAGCCAAATCATGAGTGAATTCCCATTCACAATTGCTCCTAAGAGACTACAGTACTTAGGAATACAACTTATAAGAGATGTGAAGGACCTCTTCAAGGAGAACTACAAACCACTGCTCAAGGAAATAAGAGAGGACACAAACAAATGCAAAAACATTCCACGCTCATGGATAGGAAGAATCAATATCGTGCAAATGGCATTACTGCCCAAAGTAATTTATGGATTCCATGCTATCCCCATCAAGTTACCACTGACTTTCTTCACAGAATTGGAAAAAAATACTTTAAATTTCATATGCAACCATAAAAGAGCTCCCATAGCCAAGACAATCCTTGGCAGGAAGAACAAAGCTGGAGGCATCACACTACCTGACTTCAACCTTTACTACAAGTCTACAGTAAACAAAACAGCATGGTACTGGTACCAAAACATATATATAAACCAATGGAATAGAACAGAGGCCTCAGAAATAACAACACACATCTACCACCACCTGATCTTTGACAAACCCGACAAAAACAAGCAATGGGGAAAAGATTCCCTATTTAATAAATGGTGCTGGGAAAACTGGCTAGCCATATGCAGAAAACTGAAACTGGACCCCTTCCTTACACCTTATACAAAAATCAACTCAACATGGACCAAAGACTTAAACATAAGACCTAGGACCATAAAAATCCTAGAAGAAAACCTGTGAAATACCATTCAGGACATAGGCATGGGCAAAGGCTTCATGTCTAAAACACCAAAAGCAATGGCAACAAAAGCCAAACTAGACAAATGGGATCTAATTAAACTAAAGAGCTTCTGCACAGCAAAAGAAACTATCATCAGAGTGAACAGGCAACCTACAGAACGGGAGAAAATTTTTGCAATCTATCCATCTGACAAAGGGCTAATACCCAGAATCTACAAAGAACTTAAACAAATTTATAAGAAAAAAGCAAACAACCCATCAAAAAATGGGCAAAGGATATGAACAAACACTTCTCAAAAGAAGACATTTAGCTAGCCAACAGACATATGAAAAAATGCTCATCATCTCTGGTCATTAGAGAAATGCAAATCAAAACCACAATTAGATACCATCTCACACCAGTCAGAATGGTGATCATTAAAAAGTCAGGAAACAACAGATGCTGGAGAGGTTGTGAAAAATAGGAACTCTTTTACATTGTTGGTGGGAGTATAAATTAGTTCAACCATTGTGGAAGACAGTGTGGCAATTCTGTAAGGATCTAGAACTAGAAATACCATTTGACCCATCAATCCGATTACCAGGCATATACCCAAAGGATTATAAATCATTCTACGATAAAGACACATGTACACGTATGTTTATTGTGGCATTATTCACAATAGCAAAGACTTGGAACCAACCGCAATGTCCACCAATGATAGACTGGATTAAGAAAATGTGGCACATATACTCCATGGAATACTATGCAGCCATAAAAAAGGATGAGTTAATGTCCTTTGCAGGGACATGGATGAAGCTGGAAACCATCATTCTCAGCAAACTATCACAAGATCAGAAAACCAAACAGCTCATGTTTTCATTCATAAGTGGGAGTTGAACAATGAGAACACATGGAGACAGGGAGGGGAACATCACACACCAGGACCTGTGTGGGGTGGTGGGCTAGGGGAGGGATAACATTAGGAGAAATACCTACTGTAGGTGATGGGTTGATGGGTGCAGCAAACCACCACGACACGACACGTGTATACCTGTGTAACAAAACTGCACGTTCTGCACATGTAACCCAGAACTTAAAGTATAATAAAAAGAAAAAAAATGTGGCACATATATACCATGGAATACTATGCAGCCATAAAAAGAATGAGTTCATGTCCTTTGCAGGGACATGGATGAAGGTGGAAGCCATCATTCTCAGCAAACTAACATAGGAAGAGAAAACCAAACACCGCATGTTCTCACTTATAAGTTGGAGCTGAACAATGGGAACACATGGACACAGGGAGGGGAACATCACACACTGAGGCCTGTCGGCGGGTTGGGGGCAAGGGGAGGGAGAGCATTAGGACAAATACCTAATGCACGTGGGGCTTAAAACCTAGATGATGGGTTGATAGGTGCGGCAAACCACCATGGCACACATATACCTATGTAACAAACCCGCACATTCTGCACATGTATTCCAGAAGTTAAAGTAAAATTTTTAAAAAAGAAATATACTCTAGAAAAACTCATGTGTACCTGGATACACATATAAAGATGTTCATAGCAGCATTGATTTTAATAGCAAAGGCTGGAAACAACCCAAATGTCTACACACTCTACAATGGATACATTACAGCATAATCCTGCAATAGAATGATATATACCAATAAAAAATGAACAAACTAACACTATTCCCTACAATATAGAAGAAACTCATAAGCATACTCCCGTATGAAGAAGAAAGAACCAAAAGAATACATAAAGTATTATTCAATTTATATAACATTCATAAACAAGCAAACTAAACTATATATTTTAGGGATACCTACAGAGGTGATTAATTATTACACTGTATAGTAATTACACTGTACCATTATATTTTATACTTTTTTGCATTCAAGCTTTTTAAGGTTAAGTTTTAAAAGACTGAAGGAAAATACTTTTCTTGACACTTCTTTTCTTACTCCCCTACTTTGAGCCATCGACAAATTCTAATGACAATATATATTTAGTATCCAGCCACTTCTCAACTCTTTGATCTGAGTCACTATATTCTCTTTCCTTTTCCATTGCAGTTGACTTCTAACCAGTCTCCCTGTTTTCCCATATAACCTATTCACAAAGTATCCAGGATGGGTGCTATGGTTTGAATGTTCCCTCCAAAATGTAAGTTGAAACTTATCTCCAATATGACAGAATTGAACAGTAGGGTTTTTAAAAGGTGATTGGATAATGAAGGTTCTGCCTTCATGAATGAATTAATCCTATTCATAGATTAATGGGTTATCATGGGAGTGGAACTGGTGGCTTTATAAGAAAAGAAACAAAGACCAGGAATGGTGACCCATGCCTGTAATCCCAACACCTTGGGAGCCTAAGGTGGGAGGACAGATTGAGTTCAGGAGTTCAAGACCGAGCCAGGTAACACAGCAAGACATTATTTCTACTAAAAATCAAAAAATTAGTTGGGCATGGTGGCACACACCTGTAGTCCCAGCTATTCAGGAGGCTGAGGCATGAGGATCACTTGAGCCCTGGAGATTGAGGCTGCAGTGAGCTATGATCATGTCACTGTACTCCAGCCTGGGCAACACAGTGAGACCCTGTCTCAAGAAGGAGGAGGAGGAGGAGGAGGGACAGTGATGATGAGCATTTTGTCATGTGTCTGTTGGCTGCATAAATGTCTTCTTTTGAGAAGTGTCTGTTCATATACTTCGCCCACTTTTTGAGGGGGATGTTTGATTTTTTCCTTGTAAATTTGTTTAAGTTCTTTGTAGATTCTGGATATTAGCTCTTTGTCAGATGGGTAGATTGCAAAAATTTTCTCCCATTCTGTAGGTTGCCTGTTCACTCTGATGGTAGTTTCTTTTGCTGTGCAGAAGCTCTTTAGTTTAATTAGATCCCATTTGTCAATTTTGGCTTTTGTTGCCATTGCTTTTGGTGTTTTAGTCATGAAGTCCTTGCCCATGCCTATGTCCTGAATGGTATTGCCTAGGTTTTCTTCTAGGGTTTTTATGGTTTTAGGTCTAACATTTAAGTCTTTAATCCATCTTGAATTAATTTTTGTATAAGGTGTAAGGGAGGGATCCAGTTTCAGCTTTCTACATATGGCTAGCCAGTTTTCCCAGCACCATTTATTAAATAGGGAAACCTTTCCCCATTTCTTGTTTTTGTCAGGTTTATCAAATATCAGATGGTTGTAGATGTGTGGTATTATTTCTGAGGACTCTGTTCTGTTCCATTGGTCTATATCTCTGTTTTGGTAACAGTACCATGCTGTTTTGGTTACTGCAGCCTTGTAGTATAGTTTGAAGTCAGGTAGCGTGGTGCATCCAGCTTTGTTCTTTTGCCTTAGGATTGTCTTGGCAATGCAGGCTCTTTTTTGATTCCATATGAACTTTAAGGTAGTTTTTTCCAATTCTGTGAAGAAAGTCATTGGTAGCTTGATGGGGATGGCATTGAATCTATAAATTACCTTGGACAGTATGGCCATTTTCACAATATTGATTCTTCCTATCCATGAGCATGGAATGTTCTTCCATTTGTTTCATCCTCTTTTATTTCATTGAGCAGTGCTTTGTAGTTCTCCTTGAAGAGATCCTTCACATCCCTTGTAAGTTGGATTCCTAGGTATTTTATTCTCTTTGAAGCAATTGTGAATGGAAGTTCACTCATGATTTGGCTCTCTGTTTGTCTGTTATTGGTGTATTGGTGTACAGGAATGCTTGTGATTTTTGCACATTGATTTTGTATCCTGAGACTTTGCTGAATTTGCTTATCAGGTTAAGGAGATTTTGGGCTGAGACAATGGGGTTTTCTAAATATACAATCATGTCATCTGCAAACAGGAACAATTTGACTTCCTCTTTTCCTAATTGAATACCCTTTATTTCTTTCTACTGCCTGATTACCCTGGCCAGAACTTCCAACACTATGTTGAATAGGAGTGGTGAGAGAGGGCATCCCTGTCTTGCACCAGTTTTCAAAGAGAATGCTTCCAGTTTTTGCCCATTTAGTATGATATTGGCTGTGGGTTTGTCATAAAGAGGTCTTATTATTTTGAGATATGTCCCATCAATATCTAGTTTATTGAGAGTTCTTAGCATGAAGGGCTGTTGAATTTTGTCAAAGGCTTTTCTGCATTTATTGAGAAAATTATGTGGTTTTTGTCTTTGTTCTGCTTATATGATGAATTACATTTATTGATTTGCGTATGTTGAACCAGCCTTGCATCCCAGAGCTGAAGCCGACTTGATGGTGGTGGATAAGATTTCTGATGTGCTGCTGGATTTGGTTTGCCAGTATTTTATTGAGGATTTTTGCATTGATGTTCATCAGGGATATTGGTCTAAAATTATCTTTTTTTGCTGTGTCTCTGCCAGGCTTTGGTATCAGAACGATGCTGGCCTCATGAAATGAGTTAGGGAGGATTCCCGCTTTTTCAATTGATTGGAATAGTTTCAGAAGGAATGGTACTAGCTCCTCCTTGTACCTCTGGTAGAATCCAGCTGTGAATCCATCTGGTCCTGGACTTTTTGTGGTTGGTAGGCTATTAATTACTGCTTCAATATCAGAACCTGTTTTTGGTCTATTCAGGGATTTAACTTCTTCCTGGTTTAGTCTTGGGAGGGTGTATGTGTCCAGGAATTTATCCATTTCTTCTAGATTTTCTAATTTATTTGCATAGAGGTGTTTATAGTATTCTCTGATGGTAGTTTGTATTTCTGTGGGATCAGTGGTGATATCCCCTTTATCATTTTTTATTGTGTCTATTTGATTTTTCTCTCTTTTCTTCTTTATTAGTCTGGCTAGTGGTCTATTTTGTTGATCTTTTCAAAAAACCAGCTCCTGGATTCATTGATTTTTTGAAGGGTTTTTTGTATCTCTGTCTCCTTCAGTTCTGCTCTGATCTTAGTTATTTCTTGGCTTCTGCTAGCTTTTGAATGTGTTTGCTCTTGTTTCACCAGTTCTTTTAATTGTGGTGTTAGGGTTTCAATTTTAGATCTTTCCTACTTTCTCTAGTGGGCATTTAGTGCTATAAATTTCCCTCTACACACTGCTTTAAATGTGTCCCAGATATTCTGGTATGTTGTGTCTTTGTTCTCATTGGTTTCAAAGGACATCTTTATTTCTGCTTTTATTTCATTATGTACCCAGTAATCATTCAGGAGCAAGTTGTTCAGTTTCTGCCTAGTTGTGTGATTTTTGAGTAAGTTTCTTAATCCTGAGTTCTAATGTGATTGCACTGTGGTCTGAGAGACAGTTTGTTATCATTTCTGTTCTTTTACATTTGCTGAGGAGTGCTTTACTTCCAACTATGTGGTTAATTTTGGAATAAGTGCAATGTGGTGCTGAGAAGAATGTATATTCTGTTGATTTGGGGTGGAGAGTTCTGTAGATGTCTATTAGGTCCGCTTGGTGCAGAGCTGAGTTCAAGTCCTGGATATCCTTGTTAACTTTCTGTCTCGTTGATCTGTCTAATGTTGACAGTGGGGTGTTAAAGCCTCCAACTATTACTGTGTGGGAGTCTAAGTCTCTTTGTAGATCTCTAAGGACTTGCTTTATGAATCTGGGTGCTCCTGTATTGGGTGCATATATATTTAGGATAGTTAGTTCTTCTTGTCGAATTGATCCCTTTACCATTATGTAATGGCCTTGTCTCTTTTGATCTTTGTTGGTTTAAAGTCTGTTTTATCAGACTGGGATTGTAACCCCTGCATTTTTTGTTTTCCATTTTGTTGGTAGATCTTCCTGCATCCCTTTATTTTAAGCCTATGTGTGTGTCTGCACGTTAGATGGGTCTCCTGAGTACAGCACATTGATGGGTCTTGACTCTTTGTCCAATTTGCCAGTCTTTGTCTTTTAATTGGGGCATTTAGCCCACTTACATTTAAGGTTAATAACGTTATGTGTGAATTTGATCCTGTCATTATGATGTTAGCTGGTTATTTTGCTTGTTAGTTGATGCAGTTTCTTCCTAGCATCAGTGGTCCTTACAATTTGGCATGTTTTTGCAGTGGCTGGTACCAGTTGTTGCTTTCCATTTTTAGTGCCTCTTTCAGGAGCTCTTATAAGGCAGACCTGGTGGTGACAAAATCTCTCAGCATTTGCTTGTCTGTAAAGGATTTTATTTCTCCTTCACTTATGAAGCTTAGTTTGGTTGGATATGAAATTCTGGATTGAAAATTATTTTCTTTAAGAAAGTTGAATATTGGACCACACTTTCTTATGGCTTGCAGAGTTTCTGCCGAGAGATCAGCTGTTAGTCTGATGGGCTTCCCTTTTTGGGTAACCCGACTTCTCTGGCTGCCCTTAACATTTTTTCCTTCATTTCAACTTTGGTGAATCTGACAATTATGTGTCTTGGAGTTGCTCTTCTCAAGGAGTATCTTTGTGGTGTTCTCTGTATTTCCTGAATTTGAATGTTGGACTTCCTTGCTAGGTCTGGGAAGTTCTCCTGGATACTATCCTGCAGAGTGTTTTCCAACTTGGTTCCGTTCTCCCATCACTTTCCAGTACACCAATCAGACGTAGATTTGGTCTTTTCATGTAGTCCCATAGTTATTGGAGGCTTTGTTCATTTCTTTTCACTCTTTTTTCTCTAAACTTCTCTTCTCACTTCATTTGATTCATTTGATCTTCAATCACTTATACTGTTTCTTTCAGTTGATCAAATTGCTACTGAAGCTTGTGCATGCATCATGTAGTTCTCGTGCCATGGTTTTCAGCTCCATCAGGTCATTTAAGGTCTTCTCTATGCTGTTTATTCTAGTTAGCCATTCATCTAATCTTCTTTCAAGGTTTTTAGCTTATTTGCAATGGGTTCAAATATCCTCCTTTAGCTCGGAGAAGTTTGTTATTACCAATCATGTGAAGCTTACTTATGTCAACTCGTCAAAGTCACTCTCCATCCAGCTTGACAGAGGATCTTTTTAAACACAAGTCAGATCCCTCCTTTGCTCACTCTGCTGCAGCCACAGTGACATGCTTGATGTTTCTCCAACATGCCATCTACACCATGTACACTCCTGCCACAAGGCCCTTGCACTTGCTATTCCCTCTGCCTGATTAACCCTATACCTCTCTCAAGTCATTCGGCTCTCTAATCAATGTCACTTTATTAGAAATGCCTTTCCTTTCTACCTTAGGTATGTTCTTTATCCCCCTACTCTGTTTTATTTTTTGTGGTGCTTACCAGCTGACCTATTAAATACTTTATTTATTTTACATCTCTGCTCACTAGGTTGTAAGCTCCATAAGAACAAGAATTTCATCTATTTTGTTAACTGATATATCTCTAGTTTCTAGAACAATTGATGGCAAATTATACGCACCCAATAGTTATTAAATGAATATTAAACAAAAACAAACATACCAAAGTGTTAACAGTAGAGGGTAAAAGTATTTGTGTTCTTTGTATTTTCCAAATGTTCTACTTTGAAATTGTATTAAGTTTATAAACAGAAAAATAAGCTATTATTCCGAGACAGTAAAATAGCACCTAGCTTAGCATCTGACAGATAGTAGACAAGCAATAAACATTTATTAACTTGTTATCTAATCTAGATGAGAAAGGCTAACAATGACCAACATATACATATATTGACTATGTTGATGTTGAAGCATATAAAAAAGTAATAGTATAGTTTATTTCAGTCTTTAATTTATACATGCTGCAACTTTCATTGTTTCCTCCTAAATCACAAGAGTGAATATGGGTTTTTATTGTGAAATGCTGCCCAAGAAATATTTACTACATATTACTGATTTTGAAGCTCATGATTTCACTTACACAGAAAATTTCGCAGTGAGTTTTAGGACTTACAGAAGTAAATTTCTTTTAATCACGGTTCAAGGAATCCCATGCCTATCTACACCTGAGTCCTGAAAAGAAATAAATCTAACAGAAACCAAGAGTTTTTCTTCAAAAGATTACCTATATGGAAATTAAACTACTGCATGTAAAATAAACCAAAAGCTTAAAATCATACTCTAGAGGCTAATCTCATAAAAGCTATTTCTTATTCTAACATAGATTTTTGGAACCTAAAGGAATTCTCAAAAGTTGGGCATTACTTTAAGAAGTAAGTGCCTTACTACACAGTACAAGGCACATTGACTAACCCGAATGCTTGCAGAGGAGAGCAAGCAACCAGGACGGTGGAGGGCTCTGGTTTGTCAGAGGAAAGACAATCTAAGGACAGGATATGTATAGCCTTTTCTTGTGAAAGACAAACACACGTTCTAGCTGTCTCAACATTTTTTAAAGAATTGTCACATTGAAGAACCGATATCCTCCGATGTATCTAAAATGCAGACCTATTATTATTTTTCATTCATTTTATTCAACAAATATTTACTGCATACCTGCCATGAGTCAGGTGCTGTGATAAATGCTGATGATACATAGTGAACGAAAATACTGGGATAGAGGTTAAAAAGACATTAATCTATGAATCACTGATGAATTAAAATCACAACTGTGATATAAGCTACAAAGAAGTACAGAACACTATGAATGCATATAACTGGAGAATTTGATCTAATGAGGCAGATCATGGAATGCTTCATTGAAGAAATGATTGTGCTGAGATCTAAAAGACAAAGGTTAGTTCGGCGCTCACTTCAGCAGCACACATACTAAAATTGGAATGATACAGAGAAGATTAGCAGGGCCCCTACAAAAGGATGACACACAAATTCATGGAGTGCCCCATGTTTTTAATCAAAAAAAAAAAAAACAGGTTAGTTTTGTGAAAGCTGAAAGAAAATTAGGAAGAAAGCTACCCAGGATGAAGGAGAGCAAAAGAAAAGGCTCTGTAGAAGAGTAAAACAAAGAAAGAAAAACTAAAAGAAGGCCAGTCTGGCTAGAAGTGATTGGTTAAGAAAAGAATCATACAATATGAGAGGCTAAAGAGGTAGGCAGAAGTCATACCAGGAAGAACTGATAGGCCAGGATAAGAAATATGTCTTAATCCTTAGGCATGGGCAAGGACTTCATGTACAAAACACCAAAAGCAATGGCAACAAAAGCCAAAATTGACAAATGGGATCTAATTAAACTAAAGAGCTTCTGCACAGCAAAAGAAACTACCATCAGAGTGAACAGGCAACCTACAGAATGGGAGAAAATTCTTGCAACCTACTCATCTGACAAAGGGCTAATATCCAGAATCTACAATGAACTCAAACAAATTTACAAGAAAAAAAAACAAACAACCCCATCAAAAAGTCGGCAAAGGATATGAACAGACACTTCTCAAAAGAAGACATTTATGCAGCCAAAAAACACATGAAAAATGCTCATCATCACTGGCCATCAGAGAAATGCAAATCAAAACCACAATGAGATACCACCTCACGCCAGTTAGAATGGTGATCATTAAAAAGTCAGGAAACAATAGGTGCTGGAAAGGATGTGGAGAAATAGGAACACTTTTACACTGTTGGTGGGACTGTAAACTAGTTCAACCATTGTGGAAGTCAGTGTGGCGATTCCTCAGGGATCTAGAACTAGAAATACCATTTGACCCAGCCATCCCATTACTGGGTATACACCCAAAGGATTATAAATCATGCTGCTATAAAGACACGTGCACACGTATGTTTATTGTGGCACTATTCACAATAGCAAAGACTTGGAACCAACCCAAGTGTCCATCAATGATAGACTGGATTAAGAAAATGTGGCACATATACACCATGGAATACTATGCAGCCATAAAAAATGATGAGTTCATGTCCTTTGTAGGGACATGGATGAAGCTGGAAACCATCATTCTCAGCAAACTATCGCAAGGACAAAAAACCGAACACCGCATGTTCTCACTCATAGATGGGAATTGAACAATGAGAACACATGGACACAGGAAGGGGAACATCACACACCGGGGCCTGTTGTGGGGTGGGGGAAGAGGGAAGGGATAGCATTAGGAGATGTACCTAATGCTAAATGACGAGTTAATGGGTGCAGCATACCAACATGGCACATGTATACACATGTAACAAACCTGCATGTTGTGCACATGTACCCTAAAACTTAAAGTATAATAATAATAAAATTAAAAAAAGAAATATGTCTTAATCCTAAGAACAGTAAGAAGACAATAGATTTGAGTTATTAATTTCAAGAATTCAATGGCATCTCTCTTAGAACAGAGATTATAACATTTTAACAACTGAACCCATCTAACAATAAAATGGGTTGCCTCAGAGACTGAACATCCCATTACTGCAAGTAATCAAGCAGAACCTAAATGATATCTTTCAAGAATGCAATACAAGGGACTATGCATGTCTTGGAAATTTATCACTGAGGCTTCATCCTTCATTAAGATTAAATGTTTCAATTATTCAAACACCAAATAAGGATTTTCCAACACACTGTAAATGTTTGAAGTTTCTTTTTTTTTTTTTCTGGTTAGAGACACTCTGTTGCCCAGGCTAAAGTGCAGTGGTGGGATTATAGCTCACTGCAGCCTCAAACTCCTGGGCTTAAGTGATCCTCCAGCCTCAGCCTCCCAAATAGCTAGGACCACAGGCATTAGGACTATAGGCACGTGCCACCAAGCCTGGCTAATTTCTTGTTTTTTGCAGAGACGGGGTCTTAGTATGTTGCCCAGGCTGGTAAACCTTTGAAGCTTCAAAATGAAATATTAATTGTTCATACCAATGTGAAAAACAAAAATATTTGACTGCAGTTCCATGGTGTTTCTCAGGAAGGATCATAATATTATAT
The DNA here is from genome assembly GCF_000001405.40 of Homo sapiens. Taxonomy (NCBI): domain Eukaryota; kingdom Metazoa; phylum Chordata; class Mammalia; order Primates; family Hominidae; genus Homo; species Homo sapiens. Next base: position 85,512,060 of record NC_000011.10, read on the forward strand.
AATAGGAGATCCATTTTCAGTGTGGATTACATTGAGGGAGTGGCTCTTTTCCCCTGTCCATTGCCAAAGAACAGGTACAGCAATAAGCACAGGAGAAAGGGCATCAAATGAAAGATTTCTGTGGAACTAGCATGAAGGGATTCAAAAAATAGCAATAACAAAGAACTCCAACCTGGTGCAAAGCAAAGATTATTTTCTTGGCCACACTACTAAGGGGTTCTCATCATTCCTTTAGCAAAGATGTAGATAGAACACAATGGATAAGTACTTTAGTTGAAGTGACTATGCTGAAGTTAACTGTAGAGTGGAATGCATACAGTTTTTATTCTAAAACAAGGGTTGAGATATTTAAAAACTAATATTTGACTATCTTCATCAAATAATTAAGTGCCTTTGGATACTGTGTCTATAAATATTATATTGTGACCTTTCTCTATAAATAATATAACCCTATTTATAGATAACGTATCTTGAGTTAAACAGTGCCTACTTTACTGTCACTGTCAAAAATGGATAAAACCATCATTTAATAAATCAGTCTCCTAGCCAGGTTTATTCTTGCTCAGTGTGATACATGTCATACTAATACAACTTCTTTAGTAACAACTTTTTAATAAAAAGTCAAAAAATAACAGATGTTGGTGAGGTTGCAGAAAAAAGGGAATGCTTATACACTATTGGTGGGAATGTAAATTAGTTTAGTCCCTTGGAAAGCAGTGTGGAGATTTCTCAAAGAACTGAAAATGAAATTATCATTCGACCCAGCAATCCCATTACTGGTAATATACCAAAAGGAAAATAAACTGTTCTAACAAAAAAACTCCTGCACTCATTTTATTTATTGCAGCACTATTCACAACAGCAAAAACATGGAATCAACCCAGTTGCCCATCAACAGTAAACTGGACAAAGTAAATGTGGTACATATACACCATGGAATACTACACAGCCATAAAAAAGAACAAAATCATGACCTTTGCACCAACGTGGATGCAGCTGGAGGCCATTATTCTAAGTGAATTAACACAGAAAGAGAAAACAAAACACAGCATATTCTCACTTATAAGTGGGAGCTAAACATTGAGTGTACATGGCCAAAAAGATGGGAAAAAATAAACACTGAGGATTCTAGAAGGGGAAAGGGAGGGAAGGGAGAAAGTGTTGAAAAACTACTTATTGGGTAATACGTTCAATTAGCAATGGGATCATTAGAAGCCCAAACCTCAACGTCATACAATATACCCAAATAACAGACCTGCATATGTACCCTCTGAATCTAAAGAAATTTTAAAAATTAAAAATAGAGTTTTTAATATGAACCAAAAGAAAAAAGGTAAACATTATGGATTTTAAAAATCAAGCCAGATTTTGTACTTCAAGAGACAAATTGAGATGTCAATAGTGAGCAAACCAATACTATGTCACATGAACTTATCAGTTGAAACCTTAGAGTTAATTAGCTCTATGAGTTTTGGGGTTCTTTTTATGTAACGGTAGTATCTTCAATGAGCACTTATCTTTCACTAGTATATCTTCTTGCCTCCCCATTTAATCACCAGCAAGGTACAAACTTCTACTTTCTAATAGCTCCTTCCATGTCTTAATCTCCATTTTGATCTACCCCACCTTTCTTTAGGCTCATACCATTTACTTCTCCCACCAGACTGGTCTTGCTGTCATGCCATTAGAAGTATCTTTTTGTTATTCAAAAAAATAACAACACCTATTTGATATGTCTTATATTTAACCTATTGATACTTCTAACAGCTGTTCTTCATTATCCAACAATCTCCCAAATCCCCCAAATCTGATTAGTTACCAAGTCCTATTAATTACCTTTCTAAATATCTTTCAAGGTCATCTTCTGTTCCCCATCCTCATTGTTTCTTCTTTAGTTGAAGTATTCACTAGCTTTCTTTTGAACAATTTAGTTTTCTCTTGAACACCTTCTGGGTGTTTTTCCAACTACTAGTTCCTTCTCCCTTGTAATACATATTTCAGACCCTTGCAGAGTAATTTTGTAAAACTCAGATTTATTCATGTCCTTCTTGTTCTTATATAATCTATAATAATTATAGGTATCATTTCCTGTGTGTGTTTGTTAGGCACTGTGCCAGATGCATTATAAACACTGTCTTTAATCCTCACATCAACTTTGTAAGATAGATACTAGTATCCCTGTTAACAAATGCAGAAATGTAAGGCTCCTGGTAGTTAAATAATCTTCCAAAGTTTTTACAGCTCATTGGTGGATGTGAAACAGAGCCCAGATACACCTAGGTTTAAAGAGTCAGAGAATATGCCAACTGGCAATATCTGTGAATGAAATCACATAGGAGAAATTTTTGAATATGCTTTTATTATTTTACCTTACTTTTCAATACAATTCAACTTTCATATTTTGACATCTTCTCTAACTTTCCTGGTGGAAAGTGCTTTCATCTCTGGGTATAGGTACTTTACAGATTCTTACAGCACTTTTTGGAACACTGAATACCAAACAGTTATCATTCCTCTAACAGATTCTTATAGCACTTTTTGGAATAGTGAATACTAAACAGTCACCATTCCTCATGTATTTTTACAACTTGTTTTCTCTATGCATTAGCTGTTTTGTTTTAAACAGAGTTGTTAAATAGATGTTTAAATCTTTAAAAATGTCTCTTTAAAAATGTCTCTTTCTGTTGCTTACCTTTCTTTTCATACGCTCTTGGTTTCAGTGTATCTGAGTTTCAGGAAGGAGTCACTCCCCCTACATACTGGGCAGAGGTTTCATATTGGGCTCTCTGGAAATATATACTTTTGCTGTACACCAATAATCTTCTTGAATTATTTCACTGGAGGAAAATAAATCAAGAAAATATACTTTCGTTGTACATCTATCATCTTCTTGAATTACTTGGAGGATTTCTGGGAGCTAAGGTAAAAATTGAGAGTTGGGAACTATAGAATCATCTATATTTGTGAGTGATAAGGTGGACTGTCAAGACAATATTAAAAATAATTTGGTGGATGGTATGGCTGTAGTCAGATAACTGGAGTTGGTAGGAAATATAATTTGATTGTTGGAATATAAAAGACAAAAGGAGAAGTCAGAGTCACGTTTAACTAACTAATTTTGACCTAGTCCATCCAGTAAGAGAATTGTTCAGTGTACGCCTAGATTATTCTAATTTCAAAACTATATCTTGTTTATACGACACAGTAAATTAATGGAATATGAGTTCTCTAACGGGGGCAGATACTGTGAGTAGTGGACCTAAACATTTTATGATGGCAAGAACTTGTGTAGGTATGATTAATACGTGGTTAAACTTGGACTTTTGTGTCAAGCAGACCTGATTGAATCTCTGTTCCACAACTTACTAGCTGTGTAAATTTCAGCAATTCCTAAATCATCACTTTTCATTTTGTAAACCTCTTAGTCTTAAGACTTGATTTCTTCAGCTGAAAATTGAGGATATTAATAGTGTCTATCTTAATGCTTAATTCATAATACCTTGAATCTAGCAAGTGATCAAAATAATATGGGTTACTACCATTATTATTGATTTTCAGATCAGTCTTTCTTGTGTTCACTCTCAATGACATAAAGAGAAACAACAGGGTAATATAAGAACTGACTAGAAGTGGCAACACTGGTTTTGTTTTTGTGTTATGATAACATAGCTATCCTGTTTGCTAGGTTCTCATTCATATAGTAGAAATTTGTGAGGTTTTATGAATCTTCTATCCATAAATGGTTATGAGAATACAGGATTTGAAGATCTGGTTTGTGATGAGTAAAAGCATGATACTAAATCCTTATCATAGTCTAGATATAGTTCAAGTCTAACAGAATATGACAAGAAAGAAATAGAATCAGTTCTCCTTGATTACAAAGTAAGGTTATGTAATTTGTCTCCAAATAGCACTAAAAAATTCTGTAATTCACAGAGTGAAATCCCAATAATTGCCCTGATTACATTCTATTTTCCATTTACTTTTCCTAATCAAATACATTGACTCTCTCTGCTAAATCTTAATTATCATATCAAGTCACTTCTCAGACCACAGTGGAATACAACTAGAAATCAATTCTAAGAAGAACTCTCAAAAATATACAAACACATGAAAACTCAACAATCTTCTCCTGAATAATCTTTGGGTCAAGGACAAAATTAAGATGTAAATTTAAAAACTTTTGGAAATGAATAAAAAGAGACACAATACACCAAAACCTCTGGGATATAGGAAAAGACTAAGAGGGAAGTTTTGAGCAATAAATTTATACATCCAAAGGACAGAAAGATCACAAATTAACAACCTAACATTGCACCTCAAGGACCCAGAAGAATAAGAGGGAACCAAAACTGCAACTAGCAGAAGGAAAAAATTCAATGATCAGAGCAGAATTAAATGAAATTGAGACCAAAAAAAAGAATCAACCAAATGAAAAGTTTGTTTTCTGTAAATGTAAACAAAAGTGATAGAACACTAGCTAGATTGACCAAGAAGAGAGACAATTCAATCAGAAATTTAAAAAAGGAGACATTACAACTGAAACCACAGAAATACAATTGATAATCAGAAACTACTATGAACATCTCTACACTGACAAACTAGAAATCCTAGAGGAAATGAATAAATTCCTGAACACATAGAACCTTCCAAGATTGAACCCTAAAAATACAGAAACCCTAAAAAGACCAAAATGAGTAGTGAGATTGAATCAGTAATAAAAACTTTCCCAATAAAGGAAAACCCAGGACCGGAGGGATTCACAGCTGAATTCCACCAAAAGTACAAAAAAAGAAACAGTATCAGTCCTACTGAAACTGTTCCAAAAAATTGAGGGAAGGAAATCCTCCCTAACTCATCCTATGAAACCAGTACCACCCTGATATGAAAGGCAGGCAAAAACATAACAAAAAAAAGGAAAAACTACAGACCAGTATCCCTGATGAAAATAGATATAAAAACCCTCAAAAAATATGAGAAAACCAAATCCAACAGCACATCAAAAAGATAGTACACCATGATCAAGTAGGGTTTATTCCAGAGATGCAAGAGTATTTCAATATATGCAAATCAATAAATGTAACTCATCATATAAAGATAATTAAAATCAAAAAATGATATGATCATCTCAATAGATGCAGAAAAGACATTCAGTAAAATTCAACATCCTATCATGATTTAAAAAAAAACCCTCCCCAAGATAGGCATAGAAGAAACATACCTCAAAATAATAAAAGCCATATATGATGAACCTATAGCCAATGTCATACTGAATGTGGAAAATTTGAAGGCATTCCCCCTAAAACTGAAACAAGACAATGACTCCTACTTTCACCACTCCTGTTCAACACAATACTAGAAGTCCTAGCCAGGGCAATCAGGAAGTAGAAAGAAATAAACAGCATCCAAATTGAAAAAGAGGAAGTCAAATGATCTCTTCTTGGTGATGATATGATCATACACATAGAAAACCCCAAAGCTTTGGGAAACAAATTCAGTAAATGTTCAGGATACAAAATCAATGTATTAAAAATCAGTAGCATTTCTTTCTTCTTTTTTTTTTTTTAAGAGACAGGGTCTCACTCTGTCACCCAGGCTGAAGTGCAATGGCACAATCATAGCTCGCTCACTGCAGTCTTGAATCTGGGACTCAAGTGATCCTCCCAAGTAGCTGGTACTACAGGCACATGCCACCATACCTGGTGACATGGCTTGGCTGTGTCCCCACCCAAATCTCATCATGAATTCCCACGTGTTGTGGGATGGACCCAGTGGGAGATAACTGAATCATGGAGGCAGGTCTTTCCTGTGCTGTTCTCATGATAGTGAAGTAAGTCTCACAAGATCTGATGGTTATTATAAGGAGAGTTTCCCTGCACAAGTTCTTTTCCCTTTGCCTGTCACCATTCACGTAAGATGTGACTTGCTCCTCCTTGCCTTACACCACGATTGCAAGGCTTCCCCAGCCATGTGGAACTGTAAGTCCAAATAAATCTCTTTCTTTTGTAAATTACCCAATCTCAGGTATGTCTTTATCAGCAGCATGAAAACAGACTAATAGAGTAAATTGATACCAGCAGAGTGGGGCAATGCTGAAAAGGTACCTGAAAATGTGGAAGTGACTTTGGAACTTGGTAACACGCAAAGTTGGAAAAGTTTGGAGGGCTCAAAGAAGACAGGAAAATGTGGGAAAGTTCGGAACTTCCTGGAGACTTCTTGAATGACTTTAACCAAAACCCTGATAGTGATATAGACAATAAGGTCCAGGCTGAGGTGGTCTCAGATGGAGATGAGGAACTTGTTGGGAACTGGAGCAAAGGTGACTACTGTTGTGTTTTAGCAAAGAGATTGGAAGCATTTGGCCCCTGCACTAGAGATTTGTAGAACTTTCAACTTAAGAGAGATGAATGATTTAGGATATCTGGCAGAAGAAACATCTAAGCAGCAAAGCATTCAAGAGGTGACTTGGGTGCTATTAAAGGCATTCAATTTTATAAGGGAAGCAGAGCACAAAAGTTTGGAAAATTTGCAGCCTGACAATGTGATAGAAAAGAAAAACCCATTTTCTGAGGATAAATTCAAGCTGACTGCAGAAATTTGCATAAGCAACAAGGAGCCGAATGTTAATCCCCAAGACAATGGGGAAAAATGTCTCCAAGACATGTTAGAGATCTTCACAGCAGCCTCTCCCAACACAGGTCCGGAGGCCTAGGAGGAAAACATGGCTTGGTGGGCCAGGCCCAGGGACCCTCTGTTGTTTACAGTCTAGGGACTTTGTCCCTGTGTCCCAGGTGCTCCAGCCATGACTAAAAGTGGTCAAGGTACAGCTCAGGTTGTTGCTTCAGAGGGTAGAAGCCCCAAGCCTTGGCAGCTTCCACGTGGTGTTGAGCCTGTGGGTGCACAGAAGTCAAGAATTTAGGTTTTGGAACCTCCTCCTAGATTTCAGAAGACATATGGAAAGACATATGGAAACACCCGGATACCGAGACAGAAGTTTGCTGTGGGGGCAGGGCCCTCATGGAGAACCTCCACTAGGGCAGTGCAGAAGGGAAATGTGAGGTTGGAGGCCCCACACAGAGTCCCTACTGGGGCACTGCCTAATGGAACTGTTAGAAGAGGACCACCATCCTCCAGATCCCAGAATGGTAGATCCACTGACAGCCTGCACCATGCACCTGGAAAAGCTGCAGACAGTGCCAGCCTGTGAAATTAGCCAGGATGGAGGCTGTACCCTGAAAAACCACAGGGGCAGAGATGCCCAGGACCATAGGAACCCCCTTCTTGCTTCAGAGTGACCTGGATGTGAGACATGGAGTCAAAGGGGATCATTTTGGAGCTTTAAGATTTGACTGCCACCCTGGATTTCGGACTTGCATGGGGCCTGTAGCCTCTTTGTTTTGGCCAATGTCTCCTATTTGGAATGTCTGTACTTACCCAATACCTGTACCCCTGTTGTGTCTACAAAGTAACTAGCTTGCTTTTGATTTTACATACTCATAGGCAGAAGGGACTTGCCTTTTCTCAGATGAGACTTTGGACTGTGGACTTCCGTTAATGCTGAAATGAGTTAAGTCTTTGGGGAACTGTTGGGAAGGCATGACTGGTTTTGAAATGTGAGGACATAAGATTTGGGAGGGGTCAGGGGTGGAATAATATGGTTTGGCTCATCCAAATCTCATCTTGAATTCCCACGTGTTGTGGAAGGGGCCTGGTGGGAGGTAATTTAATCATGGGGTCAGGTCTTTCTGTGCTGTAGTAAGTCTCATGAGACCTGATGGTTATTATAAGGGGGAGTTTTCCAGCACAAGCTCTCTTCTCTTGTCTGCCACCATGTGAAATGTGCCTTTCACCTTCCACCATGATTGTGAGGCCTCCCCAGCCACGTAGAACTGTAAGTCCAATAAACCCCATTCTTTTGTAAATTGCCCAGTCTCAGGTATGTCTTATCAGCAGCATGAAAGTGGACTAATGCACCTGGCTAATTTTTTTTTTTTTATATTTGGTGGAGATGGGGCCTCTTTATACTGCCCAGCCTGGTCTTGAACTTCTGGCCCCAGCAATCACCCCATCTCAGCTTCCCAAAGTGCTGGGATTACAGGCATGAGCCACTCCACCCAGCCAGTAGCATTTCTATACACCGATAATGATCAAACTGAGAATAAAATCAAGAACTCAATCCCATTTACAATAGTTATGAAAAATAATGAAATATCTAGGAATACCTTCAAGTAGATAAAAGATCTCTATAATGAGAACGATAAAACATTGATGAAGGAAATAAAAGAGAACACCACAAAATGGAAAAATACTCCATGCTCATGGATTGGAAGAATCAGTATTGTTAAAATAACCTTTCTACCCAAAGAAGTCTGCCAGGTTCAATGCAATTCTTATCAAAATACCAATGGTATTCTTCACAGAAACAGAAAAAAATAGTCCTAAAATGTATATGGAACCACACACACACACACACACACACACAAAGAATAACCAATGCTACCCTTAGTAAAAAGAACAAAACTGAAGGAATCACATTACTTGACTTCAAGGTATACCACAGAGCTATAGTAACCAAAACAGCATGGTATTGGCATAAAAAAAAAACACATGGACCAATGGAACAGAACAGAGAATCTAGAAAGAAATCAACACACCTACAGTGAACTCATTTTTGAAAAAGATGCCAAGAACATACACTGAAGAAAGGATAGTCTCCTCAATAAAGGGTGCTGGGAAAGCTGGATATTCATATGCAGAAGAATGAAATTAGACCCCTATCTCTTGCCATATACAAAAATCAAATCAAAACGGATTAAAGACTTAAATACCAAGGCTTCAAACTATAAAATTACTAAAAAAAAACATCAGAGAAACTCTCCAGGACATTTCTCTGGGCAAAGATTTCTTGAGTAGTACCCTATAAGGACAGACAACCAAAGCAAAAATGGACAGATGGGATCACATCAAGTTAAAAAGTTTCCGCATAGCAAAGAAACTAATAAACAAAGTGAAGAGACAACCAACATAATGGAGGAAAATATCTGCAAACTATCTGATGTGGTCTGGCTCTGTGTCTCAAATCTTATCTTGAGTTGTAATCCTAATTATAATCCCCATGTGTTGGGTGAGGGACCTTGTAGGAGGTGATTAAACCATTGGAATGATTCCCCCATGCTGTTCTTATGATAGTGAGTGAGTTCTCACAAGATCTGACAGCTTTGTGAGGGGCTTTTCCCCCACTTTGCTCTGCACTTCTCTCATTCTTCTCTCTCCTGCCACCATCTGAAGAAGGATGTGTTTGCTTCCCCTTCTGCCATGATTGTAAGTTTCCTGAGGCCTCCCCAGCCATGTGGAACTGTGAGTCAATTAAACTTCTTTCCTTTATAAATTACCCAGTCCCAGGCGGTTCTTTATAGCAGTGTGAGAATGGACTAACTGGTGCCACAGAGAGTGGGGTACTGCTATAAAGATATCTGAAAATGTGGAAGCAACTTTGAAACTGGCTAACAGACAGAGGTTGGAACAGTTTGGAAGGCTGAGAACAAGACAAAAAAAAATGTGGGAAAGTTTGGAACTTCCTAGGGACTTACTGAATGGCTTTGAACAAAATGCTCATGGACCTGCTATATGGACAATTAAGTTCAGGCTGAGGTGGACTCAGATGAAGATGAGGAACTTTTTGGGAACTAGAGAAAAGTTGATTCTTGCTATCCTTTAGCAAAATGACTGATGGCATTTTGCCCTGCCCTAGAGATCTGTGGAACTTTAAACTTGACAGGAATAATTTAGGATATCTGGCAGAACACATTTCTAAGTGGCAAATCATTAAAAAGGAAGCAGAACATAAAAGTTTGGAGAATTTGCAGCCCAACGTGACAGAAAAAAAAAATTCTGGGGAGAAATTCAAGCCAGGTGCAGAAATTTGCATAAGTAACAAGGAGCTAAATGTCAGTTACTAAGACAATGGGGAAAATGTTTCTAGGGCATGTCAGAGAGCTTCACAGCAGTCCTTCCCATCACAGACCCCAAGGCCTAGGAAGGAAAAATTGTTTCCTGGGTTGGGTCCAGGGCCCTCTTGCTGTATACAGTCTCAGGACTGTGTCCCAGCCACTCCAGCCATGGCTAAAAGGGGCCACGGTATCACTCAGGATGTTGCTTCAGAGGGTGGAAGCCCCAAGCCTTGGCAGCTTCCACACAGTATTGGTTCTGTGGGTGCACAGAAGACAAGAACTGAGGTTTGGGGAACCTCTCCCTAGGTTTCAGAGGACATAAGGAAATGCTTGGATGTCCAGGTAGAAGTCTGCTGCCAGGGTGGGGCCCTCATGGAGAATCTCTGCTAGGGCAGTGCGGAAGGGAAATGTGGGGTTGGAGCCCCCATACAGAATCCCCCCTAGGGCACTGCCTAGTGGAGCTGTGAGAAGAGGGCCACCATCCTCCAGGCCCCAGAATAGTAGATCCACCAACAGCTTGCACCCTGCATGTGGAAAAGCCACAGACACTCAATGTCAGCCATGAAAGCAGCTAGGGCAGGAGGCTGTACCCTGCAAAGCCACAGCTTCCCAAGGCCATGGGAGCCCACCGTTTGCATCAGCATGAACTGGATGTAAGACATGGAGTCAAAGGAGATCACTGTGGAACTTTAAGGTTCAATGACTGTTCTGTTGGATTTCAGACTTCTATGGGGTCTGTAGCCCTTTGTTTTGGCCAATTTTCCCATTCGGAATGGGTGGATTTACCCAATGCCTGTACCCCCATTGAATCTAGGAAGTATCTAACTTGCTTTCTATTTTACAGGCTCACAGGCATAAGGGACTTGCCTTATCTCAGATGAAACTTTGAACTTGAACTTTTGGGTTAATGCTGGAATGAGTTAAGACATTGGGTGACTGTTGGAAAGGCAAGATTGTGTTTTGAAGTGTGAGGTCATGAGATTTGGGAGGAGACAGGGGCAGAATGATATGGTCTGGCTTTGTGTCCCCACCCAAATGTCATCTTGAATTACAATCCCAATTATAATCCCCATGTATTGGGGGAGGGACCTTGTGGGAGGTGATTGAATCATGGGGGAAGTTCTCCTGTGCTATTCTCATGACAATGAATGAGTTCTCACAAGATCTGATGGTTTTGTGAGGGGCTTTTTCCCACTTCACTCTGTACTTCTCTCATTCTCTCTCCCACTGCCATGTGAAGAAGGATGTGTTTGTTTCCCCTCCCACCATGATTATAAGTTTCCTTTAATAGCAGTGTGGAAACAGACTAATACTCTATCCATCTGACAAGGGATTAATAACCAGAATATATAAGGAGCTCCAACATCTCTATAGGAAAAGACTCAATAATCCAACTTAAAAATGGGAAAAAGATCTAAACAGACATTTCTCAAAAGAAGACATACAAATAGGCAAACAAGTACATGAAAAGGTACTCAACATCATTGAACATCAGAGAAATGAAAATCAAACTACAATAAGTTATCATCTCCCCCATTAAAATGGCTTTTATCCAAAAGACAGGCAATAACAAATGCTGATGAGGATGTAGAGAAAAGGGAACCATTACACACTGCCAGCGAGAATGTAAATTAGTAGAATCACCATGGAGAGCAGTTTGGAGATTCCTCAAGAAACTAGAAATAGAACTACCATACAATCCAGACATCCCACTGCTGGGTACATACCCAAAAGAAAGAAAATCAGTATTTTGAAGAGACATCTGCACTCCCACGTTTATTGCAGCACTATTTACAATAGCCAAAATTTGGAAGCAACCTAAGTGTCCCTCAACAGATGAATGAATAAAGAAAATGCGGTACATATACACAATGGAGTACTATTCAGCCCTAAAAAAAAGAATGAGATCATGTCATTTGCACCAATATGGATGGAGCTGGAGGTCATTACGTAAAGTTAAATAAGCCAGGCACTGAAAGACCACTTTGCATGTTCTCATTTATTTTTGGCAGCTAAAAATTAAAACAACTGGACTCATGGAGATGGAGAGTAGAACAATGGTTACCAGAAGCTGGGAAGGGTAGTGAAGTGTTGGGAGGGATTAAAGTAGGGATGATTAATGGGTATAAAAATATAGTTAGAAAGCGTGAATAAGATCTAGTATTTGGTAGCAAAGCAGGGTGACTACAGTCAACAACAATTTATTGTACATTTAAAAATAACTAAAAGAGTATAACTGGATTATTTGTCACACAAAGAAGGGATAATTGCTTGAGGTGATGAATAGTCAATTTGCCCTAAGGAAATAATTTCACATTGTATGCCTGTATCAAAATATCTCACATATGCCATAAACATATACATCTAATATGTACCCACAAAAATTAAAAATAAAAATAAATAAAAATGAAAATTTTTAAAATTAAACAATTTTAAACAGTATATTGAGTTAAGGAGCTAGGCTCAAAAAGAGAACTTCTCTAATTTTATTTCATTTTTTTGAGACAGGATCTTGCTTTGTTGACCAGGGTGGAATGCAGTGGCATGATCCCAGCTCACAGCAGCCTCCACTTCCTGGGATCAAGCAATTATCTTATCTCAGCTTCCCGAGTAGCTGAGACTACAGTCTCGCACTGCCACATTCGACTAATTTTGTTTATTTTTTGTAGAGATGAGGTTTCACTACGTTGCCCAGGTGGGTCTCAAGCTCCTGGACTCAAGCTGTCCTCCAACCTCAGCCTTCCAAAGTGCTGGGATTAGAGGTGTAAGCCACTGTACCCCACTGCTACTCTAATTTTATTTATACAAAGTTCACGAACAGGCAAACTCAATCTCTGGTTATTAAAAAAAAGAAATTATTGTTTCAGGGTGGACACAAGATTGACAGAAAGAGTATGAGAGAAACGTCTGGTATGATGGAAATGTTCCATGTTTGTGAATCTCAATGGGAATACTGGCATACATTTGACAAATGTATATACCTGGTATAACTTCCTTCCTTCCTTCCTTTCTCTTGTTCTTTCCTATTAAGAAAAAAACATGTAAAATTATAACATTTGTCAAAACTCATTTATTAGTACCCTTAACATCCATTTACACTATATAAATTTTACCTAAAAAATAGTTAATGTAATTTACCAAATTAACAGAATAAAATTTAAAATCCTTTGATTATCTCAGTAGATGCAGAGGAAGCATTTGAAAAAGTACAACACAATTTTTTTAGTAAGAAAATATTTGCAACTTAGGAGTAGAAGAGAACTTCCTGAATGTAATCAGTGACATCTACAAAGAACTTTTAAAAATTGTATTTGATGTAAAATGTTAAAACCTTTCCCAGTGAGGTCAGGAATGAAACTAAGGTTTTCATTATCATTATCTATCCTTGTCTGTTCAATATTTACCATATATCCTAGCTAGTGTAGTAAAGCATGAAAAAGAAAAATAAAGAATGTAAAGATTTTTAAAGGAATATACGAAATACTTATTAGAACAGAAAATCCTGACAACTTTTCTTCCAAATATGTACAGACTCCTGAGAGATTTCTACTATGAAACAGGATGGAGTAACAGATACAAAATTTACTATCTAAACTGAAACAAGTAAAAATATGAGCAAAATATATGAAATAATAATTTTCAAGGCATTGGAAAAAGCACAAAGGACAGTAATGCCTGAGATGTGGTAAAGAAATGAGGTAAGCCCTATTCTCACAGATTACTGCCAGGAGAATATTTTCAGGCCACAGCACAGAAATAGAGAACTCAGTTTATGCATGTAGTCTCTCTGAGAAGATGAAGCTGGGAATCTGCAGAGATCAAGGCAGTGAGAATTTAAAGGACAGAGACTAGACAGGAGAGATCTCAGAGAGTACCGGAGATCTACAGAGGATCCGCCTTTAGTCTTTAGCAGAGCAGTTATCAGTACATGAACGAGAGGAAACTATCTGAAGCTGTGAAAAGAACCACCCAAAAGGATTAGAGAAAACAGTACTTAAGGCTGACACAGATCTAGGAATATTTCCTCTTCCCACTAGCCAAAATGTAAACCTTCTTAATTCACTAGGCATTGGGTAGAATGCCTGAGAAGTGTATTGTTTCACTAGTGGGGAAGAATTAGCCCTAGACTAACTGCTACTCTAGTCTTGTTTAACAAAGCACAAGAGCAAAAATTAAAAGGATAAAACAGATTTCATGTAACTGAAGTATCATGAAGAAAACTATACAGAGCACTTCATAATTAAATTGCTTAAAATCAGTGATACAGAGAAAAATCTTAAAAGAGTCAGAGGAAAAAAGACACCTTATATAGAGGAACAAAGATAAGAATTACATCAGACTTCTCATCAGAAAAATGCAAGCCAGAAGACAGTAGTGCAACATCTTTAAAGACCTGACAGAAAAAAATGTGAACCTAGAGTTCTATATCCAAATATCTTTCAAAAATGAACACAAAATAGGACATTGAAATGCTGAAAGAATTCATTAACTGCAGAACCACACAATAAGAAATGTTAAATAAAGTCATTCAGAAAGAAGAAAAATGACACCATATGTAAATCTGGAGTTATACCAAGAATGAAGAGCATTAGAACTGGTAACTACATGAGAATAATAGTTAATTTTATGTGTCAATTTTACTGTGCTAAGGGAAACTCTGATTGCTAGTAAATAGTTTTTCTGGATGTGTCTGTGAGGATGTTTCTGGAAGAGATTAGCATTTGAATCAGTAGACCAAGAAAGAAGATCACCTTCCTTCTCTAATGACAATAGCCTTTTTGTTACCTAGAGACCTTTGTACTTGTTTTTTTCTGTAATTGGGAGCAAAAAAGGGGCCCAACATAAATACTAAAGGTCAAAACACAACATGTGAATATAATAATATTCATTGACTCTAATTTTAGGCCTCTGCATTGATAGGATGTAAATCACTTTTTCAATGAAAAAATTTAAGGCTCACAGGAGACAACCAAAATGTGTATATTTTATCCATTGTTTATTCTGTAGTTTTCCTAACTGACATGGTCAAACCAACTTTTAAAATGGGCAAGAGTCTTGAATACAAACTTTCACAAAGAAGATGTTCAAATTAACAACAAACACATGAAAAGGTGCTAAATTTCTTGGGGTTTTTTGTTTGTTTGTTTTTGCCTAAAGGATGTTTTTATTTTTTTTTTTTTTTATTTTACTTTAAGTTCTGGGATGCATGTGCCAAATGTGTGGGTTTGTTACATAGATATACATATGCTATAGTGGTTTGCTGCACCTATCGACCCATCATCTAGGTTTTAAGCCCCACATGCATTAGGTCTTTGTCCTAATGCTCTCTCTCCCCTTGCGCCCCACCCCTCAACAGGCTCTGGTGTGTGATGTCCCCTTCCCTGTGTCCACATGTTGTCATTGTTCAACTCCCACTTATTAGTGGGAACATGTGGTGTTTGGTTTTCTGTTCCTGTGTTAGTTTGCTGAGGATAATGGTTTCCAGCTTCATTCATGTCCCTGCAAAGGACATGCACTCATTATTTTTTATGGCTCCATAGTATTCCATAGTATGTATGTGCCACATTTTCTTTATCCAGTCTATCATTGATGGGCATTTGGGTTTGTTCCAAGTATTTCCTATTGTAAATAGTGCTGCAATAAACATACTTGTGCATCTGTCTTTATAGTAAAATAATTTATAATCCTTTGGGTATATACCCATTAATGGGATTGCTGGGTCAAATGACATTTCTGGTTTTAGATCCTTGAGGCATCACCACACTGTCTTCCACAATCATTGAACTAATTTACACTCCCGCCAACAATATAAAAGTGTTTCTATTTCTCCACATCCTCACCAGCAACGGTTGTTTCCTGACTTTTTAATGGTCACCATTCTAACTGGCATGAGATAGCATCTCATTGTGGTTTTGATTTGCATTTCTCTAATGACCAGTGATGATGAGCTTTTTTGCATATGCTTGTTGTCTTCTTTGAGAAGTGTCTGTTCATATCCTTTGCCCACTTTTTGATGGGATTGTTTGTTTTTTTCTTGTAGATTTATTTAAGTTCTTTGTAGATTCTGGATATTAGACCTTTGTCGGATGGATAGATTTCAAAAATTTTCTCCAAATCTCTAGGTTGCCTGTTCACTTTCATGACAGTTTCTTTTGCTGAGCAGACGCTCTTTAGTTTAATTAGATCCCATTTGTCAATTTTGGCTTTTGTCACAATTGCTTTTGGTGTGTTAGTCTTGAAGTCTTTGCCCATGCCTATGTCCTGAATGGTATTGCCTAGGTTTTCTTCTAGGATTTTCATGGTTTTAGGATTTTAAATATAAGTCTTTAACCCATCTTGAGTTAATTTTTGTATAAGGTGTAAGGAAGGGGTCCAGTTTCTGTTTACTGCATATGGCTAGCCAGTTTGCACAGCAGAAAAGGTGCTAAATTTCATTCATCATTAGGAAAATCCAAAATAAAACACAATGAGATGTTAAGTTAATGTTAATAATATGAAGCAGTAGGAAATCTCATACACTGTTGGCAGTAGAGTAAACTGGTACAACACTTTGGAAAACAGTTTGGCATTTAATCCTGAGTTGAATTTATGCATAACCTACAAATTAGCAATTCTATTCCTGGCACTCAAATGGGTTATGCTTCATGAATAAATAAATCCCCAAATCAGAGTAGTTACATGAGTATGTGACCCATGCAATTGCACAGGGCCTTGGACTTAGAAGGACCCTGTGCTTAGTTTAATTATCTGCTATAGTTGTCTTGAAATTCTTAATAAATGTTGAACAACAGACTTAACATTTTCATTTTGCAGAAAGACGCACAAATATTCAGCTGGCCCTGTTTCTAAGCATATAACTAACAGAAATGTGTACACCAAGGGAAATACAGAGGTGTGCCTATACAACAAAACTAGAAACAACTCATGTTATTCACCAATAGACTGAACAAATTGTGGAATATTCATAACATGAAATACTATACAGCAATGAAAATTAATGAAGTATAGCTGTATGCAACTACATTATTAATCTCACAAGCATAATGTCAAGAAAAAGACGAATCTACGTGTATTTTAGAATCATCTTGCCAGTTTCACACAAATATATATGCACACACAATTGTTGAGAGGTCGTTTGCAAGTTGTCATATCCCTCATTCCTGCTTTGAGAAATGTAGGAGCATACAGATGGAACTCTCCTTCACCTACATTCCTGAGTGAGGTCCACGTAAAGAGCCCTACCATCACCACCTGTTCCCCGACAAATTATGAACATGTAACATGAACAAAAAATAAACCTTTGGTCTTCTAAACTACTGAGATTTCAGAAATTATTTATTGCTGCACCATTATCCAGCCAAATCTGACTAGTGTACAAATTCATCTAATGACCAAATAAGATTATCAATCTTTTTAAATCCATCCTAGAAATATCTATTTTTTATCTTGTTCACTTGCTACAAGAATAAAGTCCTATGGCATCTAGTAGTCATCTGATAGAAAAATGTTCCCTTTTATTTTCCTAAAATAATTTTCATCATGCTTTAAAAAGTTCCCCTTAGTTCTAGTATTCTTGACTTTGGTGAACAAGTCTACTCAGACTCTTCATACACTTTACAATTTTAATGACTCTGATCATACCCACCATTTACCTTTCCATTTCTATATTAAAGTTTCTTAATCTCAGATATAACTTTGCACATAAAATCTCCATGCCTTTGATTATTGTACCAACTTTCCTTTCCTCAAACACTTTAGGTCCAGTGTCTCCAGGACCACCAAATACAGTTATATGTTTTACATAAAACAACAAAGGCTCCCAGACAAGGAGATGAGTTTGTCTTTATCTACTAGTCATGTTACACATCCTCACATGAAACTATGGCAGGAGGATTGTAAACCATTTTCTTTAAACCAATTTACCACTTTCTCTTCTAGCCAAGTAAACTTAGGGGTAGATCTGCCTAGAGAGGGTTTGTTTTTTTTTTTTTTTTTTTGAGGTGGAGTTTGGAGTTTCACTCTTGTTGCCCAGGCTGGAGTGCAATGGCACAATCTCACCTCACCACAACCTCCACCTCATGGGTTCAAGCGATTCTCCTGCCTCAGCCTCCCAAGTAGCTGGAATTACAGGCATACACCACCACACCCAGCTAATTTTGGATTTTTAGTAGAGATGGAGTTTCTCCACATTGGTCAAGCTGGTCTTGAACTCCCGACCTCAGGTTATCTGCCCACCTCAGCCTCCCAAAGTGCTGGGATTACAAGTGTAAGCCACTGCGCCTGGCCTTTTTTTATTTTTATTTTATTTATTTTATTTATTTTTTTTTTTGAGACAGAGTCTCGCTCTGTTGCCCAGGCTGGAGTGCAGTGGCATGATCTTGGCTCACTGCAACCTCCGCCTCCCAGGTTCAAGCGATTCTCCTGCCTCAGCCTTCTGATTAGTTGCAATTACAGGCACATGCCACCACGCCCAGCTAATTTTTTTGTATTTTTAGTAGAAATGGGGTTTCACCATATTGGCTAGGCTGGTCTTGAACTCCTCACCTTGTCATCTGCCCACCTCGGCCTCCCAAAGTCCTGGGATTACAGGTACGAGCCACCACACCTGGCTAGGGTGTTTTTCTAATGCTTTTTTATAGACTAATAGAGTTTCTGAGTTTGCCTATTGCTCAAAGTATTCTGCACCCCAGGTACTAAGACAATAAGGTTTGCTTTGGTTCTGCTTTGTTTTGGCTACCATTCTTACACTTCCTTTTGGGGCCTCAACAGTTTATTGCCAAGATCAGCTTCCTGAGTCTATTGGCCTAATGCCTTGTGGTTAGAAGTAGAGTTAAAATGCTTTGTCCCTCTGTATATTACATAGCTATCACACACTACTTTCAAAGCCACTTACTTTGACTTAGTTGTATAATAATTTCCTGAACTTGAGCAGGAAGAGTTAGGGGACCACTCAGAACTTCTTAGAGGCTTTCTGCCCTCCCCCTATTTCCCTCGTAAATAAAATAAAATTTTAAAATTAGACTGGGATTTCTTAAAATAAGTAAATGAAAATAGAAGAAACTCTTAATACAATGTATTCTTACATTATTCCCTTTCCTTACTGGTCATTAAAAGTATTTATAACAACTAATTCAATTATTTTTAAATGCCAAGAGTATGAAATCATTATAGTGATATCAAACTTTAAAACAATAATTGTAAAATGATGAGTGTTGTTATTCCCTTATCCTACATTCCTAAATAAGCTTGCTGTTGGAGAGGCTCTTTCAAGTGTTGCAGCATATACATCATCACCAGATGTTAGTACAGGAGCATGAAGCAAGACCATGCCAAACAGGGTGATTTAAGAATAACTGCTACCCCGAATTTCTACAACCTCAGATGCTCAAGCCAGTATTTAACTCAATTCAATACACATGTTTTTATATCTGCTTTGTGCCAGCACTTTGGGGTATTCAAAAATAAATCACAACTGAAAAATTAGAGCCTCTCATCCAAGACGTCACAAACCAATGGAATTTTAAAATGTAGACTGATTGTTGCTACAGGAAAGGAGTTTTGAAAGAGGAATGAAAAAACTTGAGAAGGCTAGAAGGAAAAGAGCTAGTGGGAGGAAGAGACCAGCTCTGAGCCTATCTTTGACAGGAAGAGAAGTGGGCGTAGACACCTGTGAAGGCATGATACAATAAAGTGAGCCTGTGACTGAATCAGGTTACACAGCGGTGGAGGGGTGGAGAAAGACACACGCTGCAAGATAAAATTAGAAAAGAAGGCTTCTTTCTTACCCTGGAGTTCATAGCAATAACATATTAAATAATCTGAATAGATTATAAATCTCCCAATAACCCTGTGAGAAAGATGCTAATATGTTCCCTATTTTATTGACAAATAAACTAAGGAACAAAAATGTTAAGCAACTTTCTCAAAGTCACATAACTGGAATTTTGAGAGACCCAGGATAACAAAATCCAAAACCTAGGCATTTAACCATATAATTTTATACCCATTATTATCCAAGGAGAGATCCAATATAAAGAAAAAAGTTGTTTAATACATTTAGGTATAGTTTATATGCAATAAGAAAAAATATTTCAATATCATAATCCCTCGCTTTTCTAGGTTCTCACTTACATAGTCCTCTACACTACGCAGTATATACAAAAGAAAAAGTGGTCTTACGTATGAAATACAAGCACATGTTAAAAAGCAAACTAATGTTTATATGTCTTTTAATTATTATTTATTCATAATAACTAGATGGAAACACCTAGTAATGAACAAGGACAGCAGAAAACTAGAGGGAACTGGCTCTAGCAGAGCTTCCTGGAAGATATTTTCCAAGACTAGTTTCCCTCATCTTTGTTCCATATGAGGAGCAGGAAGGCTTTAGGTTTAGTGATTCTGCCACAGATCACCTGCTGCTATCCTCTATACTTCCTTGTAGAAATACTGATTCAGAAATATGATGTATTCATTTGTTGTTATTCCTTTTCTATGCCTTTGAACAGAAATCAATTATTGGCTAAGTTACATGAGTATCACAGAGCACACCAACTATTGTTACCTATATGTATGGTCTACAGATAGAACAGATCATAATTTCCAGTGCAGTAATATTTGGATGGGCAGTGCTGTCATATGTCACATCCTTTCTTTTTAACTTAATCTGTTAATAGCTCCACTGGAAGAGAATACTCTTCCAACTTAGACAGTAAAAGGTAAGAATTCTCTTATATACTAATGATCTGCCCATAGAAAAGGCTCTGAGTAGATAACTAACCCTGGTTTTTAATTTCTATCAGTAAGGATTGCAAGTAAATTGTCCTGAAATCAAAGCTATTTTTTTTAATGTCCCACACCTGTTCCTTATCTTATGTTAAAAATTCCACGAAACAAAAAACAATGCATTTTGTTAAAGTATACATTTTAGAAACAGGTTATCTTAGAATATATGAAAAGAAATTTTGTGACTCAAAATTAGAGATGCCTAAGGTGTTTTTGTTGTTGTTGTTGTTGTTGTTGTTGTTGTTTTGAGACGGAGTCTCAGTCTATCACTCAGGCTGAAGTGCAATGGCATGATCTCAGCTCACTGCAACCTCCCCCTCCCGGGTTCAAGCAATTCCCCTGCTTCAGCCTCCCAAGTAGCTGGGATTACAGGATTACATCACCACACCTAGCTAATTTTTGTATTTTTAGTAGAGATGGGGTTTCACCATGTTGGCCAGGCTAGTCTCGAACTCCTGGCCTCAATCGATCCACCCACCTCAGCCTCCCAAAGTGCTGGGATTACAGGCATGAGCCACCACACCCAGCCTCCTAAGGTGTTTTATTGTGATTTTTTTTAACTGGCTAAGGTGTGCCTTTGGTTTTACTTGCTTTTTAAAATACATACACACACTATATACATATTGAAATATATATATGAAATACATATATATACATAAAATACATATATATATATATATATAATTCTTTTTAATAGCTGAATAGCATTCCAGGGTGTATACGTACTACATTTTCTTTATCTAAATCCATCACTGATGGACATATAGGTTGGTTCCATGTCTTTGCTATTGTGAATGGTGCTGCAATAAACATGCAAGTCCAGGTGTCCTTTTGTTAGAATAATTTATTATAGATATAGATAGATATACACATATATATCCCACAGCATCCAGTGGCAGGCACTTCTTTCCCCTTATTGGTTTGTTTGATCTACCTCTTGTAAGAATCTATCTGGATTGTGAATCGGAAAACATTCTTTAGGTTCAGCGCTACGCCTGAGAGAAGGGAATACTAATGTAGCTGAGCTAATCAGAAGCCTCCACAAGTTTATACAGCTTTAGAGGAAAAGCTAAAGAATAAGATTAGCTAAGAAGGCTGTTTACAAATGTTTAAATTCCATTTAAGGAAAACTCTAGGTTTATTTTAATAGAACAATATATGCCCACTAAAATGTTGCTCTCTGGTTTTTTGTTTTTTGTTTGTTTGTTTTTGAGACAGAGTCTCATTCTGTTGCCCAGGCTGAAGTGCAATGGCGCTATCCCAGCTCACTGCAGTCCCCACCTCCCAGGTTCAAGCAATTCTCCTGCCTCAGTCTCCCGAGTAGCTGGGACTACAGGCAGGCGCAACCATGCCTGGCTAATTTTTGTCTGTCTCTAACTCCTGGACTCACATGATCCACCCACCTCAGCCTCCCAAAGTGCTGACATTAAAAGTGTGAAAGGTGCGCCTGGTCTACTCTCAGTATTTTAGAAAGCAATTCAAATTAAATTAAATTAAATTTATATTAACTAAAAAAAGGTCTTTTTTATTTCATTTCCTCCATGAAATATAATTTTTTTTAATTTTAGATTTGGGGGTACTTATGCAGGTTTGTCACCCGGGTATATTGTGTGATGCTGAAGTTTGGGCTTCTAATAATCCCATTACCCATACAGTGAACAAAGTACCCAACAGGTAGTTTTTCAGCCCTTGCCCCACTCCCTACCTCCCCACTTTTGGAGTCCCCAGTGTCTATTGTTCCCATCTTTATGTCAATTGTGTACCCAATATTTAGCTCTAACTTATAAATAAGAACATGTGATATTTGGTTTTCTGTTTCTGCATTAATTTGCTTAGGATAAGGGCCTCCAGCTGCATCCATGTTGCCACAAAGAACATGATTATAGCTGAATATCAGTATTCCATGTGTGTATATGTACCACATTTCCTTTACGTATTCCATCGTTGATGAGCATCTAGCTTGGCTCCATGTGTTTGCTATTGTGAATGGTGCTGCAATAAACATATGAGTGCAGGTGTCTTTTTGGTAAAATAACTTATTTTCCCTTGGGTATGTATGCAATAATGGGATTGCTGCGTTGGATGGCGATTCTATTTTCAGTTCTTTCAGAAATCTTCACACTGTTTTCCACAAGGGCTAAACTAATTTACATTTTCACCAATAGTGTATTAGCGTTCCCTTTTCTCCACAACCTCACCAACACTTGTTATTATTTGACTTTTTAATATAGTCATTCTGACTGGTGTGACATGGTATCTCACTGTGGTTTTGACTTGTATTTCTGTGATGATTAGGTTTTACTTGCTTTTGAGTAGAGGTTAGAAAAAGTTTATGACTCATAGCAAAGTATGATAGGAAGAGGAAAGGAAAATATAGGGAGATTTGTAGACCATGGTAAGGAATTTTGTTTGTTTTGCAGTGTGGTGATGCGGAGTATTTAGCTGACTTTGAGGAGAAAAAAGAAAAAAATAATTTCAAACATTGTAGGTATTATAAATATTACAGTATTGCTAGTACCATATAATGTTTACTTCCATAAAGATTATACCAATTTGATAGGTCATTGGATGGGGTCAAAATAAATAAATAAATATATATATAAAAATAATGTCAGTGCGTAGCAGTTTGCTCTTAATAATTTTTGTTGAATAAACTGAATGAATGAAGAGATATATTTTTTAAATTCCATCATTAAAAAGTTTAAATGTGGAGAAGGTAGAACTCTCATGTATTGCTGATGGGATTGCAAATTAGTGAAACCACATTGAAAAACAGTTTGGCAGTTCTCAAGAAGTTAAACAGAGTTACCATATAAACCAGCAATTCTACTCCTAGATATATGCCCAAGAGAAATGGAAACAGATGTCCACACAAAAATCTGTACACAAATGTTCATAGCAGCATTATTCAAAATAGCCAAAATACGGGAATAACCCAAATATCCAACAATCAACTCATGAACAGATAAATAAAATATGATATATTCATACAAAAGAATAATATCCAGTCATAAAAAAGAATTAAGTACTGATACATGCTACATGGATGAAGCTTGAAAACATTATGTTGGTGAAAGAAGCTAGTCACAAAAGGCCACATAATAATGTAGGATTCCATTTATATAAAATGTTTAAAATAGTCCAAGTGTGGTGGCTCATGCCTGTAATCCCAGCACTTTGGGAGGCCAAGGCAGGCAGATGGCTTGAGCTCAGGAGTTAGAGACCAAACTGGGCAACATGGTGAAACCCCATCTCTACCAAAAAATATAAAAATTAGACTGGCAAGGTGGCACACACCTGTAGTCCAGCTACTTGGGAGGCTTTGGTGGGAGGGTTACTTGAGCCTGGGAGGCAGAGGGTGCAGTGAGCCGAGATCACACCATTGAACTCCAGCCTGGCAACAGAGTGTGACCCTGTCTCAAAAAAAAAAAAAAAAAAAAAAAAGTTTTAAATAGGCAAATCCATACAGACAATGTCAGGACTTAGAAAACAATACCCCCAAAGTACAGTACCTTGGCATGCTGCATCCTTTAAATTGAAGCACTTTGGGAGGACCCCAGAAGCAGACTCTTTCTAAACTTATTCTCCTGCCCTCCTTTCTCCTCCTTTCCTCCTCTAAGGTAGGTCATAGAAACTAGAACTAGAACCCTATTGAGAGGTGACAACGTGCTAGCAGCCCTCACTCGCTCTTGGGGCCTCCTTGGCCTTGGCGTCTGCTCTGCCAGTGTTTGAGGAGCCCTTCACCCTGTTGCTGCGCTATGAGGGCCCCTCTCTGGGGCTGGTTGAGGCTGGAGCCGGCTCCCTCTGCTCACAGGGAAGTGTGAAGAGAGAGGCGCAGGCAGGAGCTGGGGCTGCGTGCGGTGCTCACAGGCCAGTGCGGGTTCCAGGTGAGCGCAGGCTTGGCAAGCCCCGCACTCAGGGCAGCGGGCTGATGCCTGCTGGGCTTGATCAGAGGCTGAATCCCATGCATGGACCGCCATTCCCTTTTCACGGGATGATTGGCCACAATACCAGGTCTCCATCTCTTTCTCGCTTCCCCTCTTTTCCTCTTGATTGTCTGGGACGAGCTCCCTCTGGGCTGCCAGAGTGCCCAGACTAGGTGCCGCAAAGTCCCACAGTGAATGCCAGTGAGAGGTGAAGCTGATTGGGCTTCTGGGACAGGTGGGGACTTGGAGAACTTTTCTGTCTAGCCAAAGGATTGTAAATGCATCAATCAGCATTCTGTGTCTAGCTAAAGGTTTGTAAATGCACAAATCAGTGCTCTGTGTCTAGCTAATTGGGTGGGGACTTGGAGAACGTTTGCGTCTAGCTAAGGGATTGTAAATGCACCAATCAGAACTCTGTGTCTAGCTAAAGGTTTGGAAATGCACCAATTAGCACTCTGTCAATATGGACCAATCGGCTCTCTGTAAAACGGACCAATCAGCTCTCTGTAAAATGGACCAGTCAGCTCTCTCAGGAGGATGTGGGTGGGGCAAGATAAGGGAATAAAAGCAGGCGACCAGAGCCAGCAGGGGCAACTGGCTCAGGTCACTTTCCAGGCTGTGGAACCTTTGTTCTTTCACTCTTCGCAATAAATCTCGCTGCTGCTCACTCTTTGGGTCCGCAAAGCCTTTATGAGCTGTAACACTCACCATGAAGGTCTGCAGGTTCACTCCTGAAGCCAGTGAGACCACCAACCCACCAGGAGGGATGAACAACTCCAGACAGGAGGGATGAACAACTCCAGACGGGAGGGATGAACAACTCCAGATGGGAGGAATGAACAACTCCAGACGTGCCACCTTTGTGAACTGTAACACTCACCACGAAGGTCTGCAGCTTCACTCATGAGGCCAGCAAGACCACGAACCCACCAGAAGGAATGAACAACTCCAGATATGCCGCCTTTAAGAGCTGTAACACTCACTGTGAAGGTCTGCAGCTTCACTCCTGAAGTCAGTGAGACCACGAACCCACCAGGAGGAAGAAACTCTGGACACATCTGAACATCTGAAGGAACAAACTGCGGACACATCATCTTTAAGAACTGTAACACGCGGCCAGGCGTGGTGGCTCAAGCCTGTAATCCCAGCACTCTGGGAGGCCCAGGTGGGTGGATCATGAGGTCAGGAGATTGAGACCATCCAGGCTAACACAGTGAAACCCCGTCTCTACTAAAAATACAAAATATTAGCAGGGCGTGGTGGCAGGCACCTGTAATCCCAGCTACTTGAGAGGCTGAGGCAGGAGAATGGCGTGAACCCAGGAGGTGGAGCTTCCAGTGAGCCGAGATCGCGCCACTGCACTCCAGCCTGGGTGACAGAGCGAGACTCCGTCTCAAAAAATAATAAAAAATTAAAAAATAAAAAAAGAACTGTAACACTCACTGTGAGGGTCCATGGCTTCATTCTTGAAGTCAGCAAGACCAAGAACCCACCAATTCTAGACACACTATCCCCCAAAGCCAGTCATAAAACCTAGAAACGTTACTGTAACCTTTCTATGTAAGAGCTGGCCATAAAGACATTCTCTGATCTGGCAATTATTAAAAAGTCAAGAAACAACAGATGCTGGCAAGGCTGTGGAGAAATAGGAACACTTTTACACTGTTGGTGGGAATGTAAATTAGTTCAACCATTGTGGAAGACAGTGTGGTGATTCCTCAAAGACCTAGAACCAGAAATACCATTTGACCCAGCAATTGCATTACTGGGTATATGCTCAAAGGAATATAAATAATTATATTATAAAGATACATGCATCCATATGTCCATTGCAGCACTTTTCACAATAGCAAAGACATGGAATCCACCCAAATGCCCATCAATGATAAACTGGATAAAGAAAATGTGGTACATATACACCGTGGAATGCTATGCAGCCATAAAAAATGATGAGTTCATGTCCTTTGTAGGGACATGGATGAAGCTGGAAACCATCATTCTCAGCAAACTAACACAGGGACAGAAAACCAAATACTGCATGTTCTCACTCATAAATGGGAGCTGAACAGTGAGAACACATGGACACAGGGAGGGAAACAATGCACACTGGGGCCTGTTGAGTGGAACAGGGGAAGGAGGAACATCAGGATAAATAGCTAATGCATGTGAGGCTTAATACCTAGGTGATGGGTTGATAGGTGCAGCAAAACACCATGGCACATATTTAAATATGTGACAAACCTGCATGCCCTGCACATGTATCCCAGAACTCAAAATTAAATTACATTTTTTTAAAAAAACACCTTCTCAGATCCACCTTGTCTGAAAGTAGAGCATTAAGACCTTCATTGCAGAAGACCTGCTGCCCTATACCTGAAAGGAAGGAATGCCACACATGGATCAAGAGGCATCTAAATAGGTAGGCCTTGCTGGGTTTCTCCACTCAAGTCTATTACCATTAGATCATTCCCTTTTTTTATCCTATCACATTTCTGAATGCAGTGCCTTAGACTGCTCGGTCATCCTGACACATGATACAGCTGTCACTCCATTTAATCTAAGCATAAAAATGGACAGCTGTCCCTTGAGTCTCTGGATCTATTTCTGAAGTTTCTTGGGCTGCATAAAACTTTGATTAAATGAATTGTTATGCTTTTCTCCCATTAATCTTCCTTTGTCTGTTTTATTTCAAACCTAGCCAGGAATGCTAGAAGAATTGAGGAAATATTTCCTCCCCTATGACAGAAAGTATAATAATAGTTTCCAGGTACTAAGGAGAGGAAGAATTAGAGTTACTGCTAATGGGTATGAGCTTTCTTTTTGGGATTATGGAAATATTCTGGAGCTAGTTACTGATGATAGCTGCATAACTCTGTGAACATATTTAAAAACCACCAAATTGTACACTTTAAAAGAGTAACTATCTTATGTTACTCTTTTTCATGATTTTTCAAAAAATCATCATTAGAAATGAGTTTAACCGATAAATATATACACTTACTGTGTACCCACAAAAATGTTAAATTAAAAAAAGTTTTTAAAGAGTTTGACGTGTCTGTAGTACAGGGGTTACAAGAGCTAAGGCAAGAAATATAGATTGAAGCTGATGAAGGAAAATGGAAATGGTTTAGTCAAGGCACCTAAAATAGAGCCAGGAGGCCATTTCAGCTGGGGCTTCAGGCACACCTTAAGCAATGAATACTCAACCCTAGAGGTCACAACTTCCTAGTTTGCGAGTGCAAAAACATCTGCTGTCTTATCTTCTGCTATTTCCTGCTGAGCTGAGAAGTCCCTGACCATGGGCCCACCTTTCAAAGTGCTACAACCAATTCCCTGACTCCAATACTGCTTTAGATACAATCATACTGATAAAGGGGCAAAGCGGCAGGGGGGTGGTGCAGGAAGGGAAATGCTGGGTAGAGAAGGCCAGGGTCCCTGGTGAGGGATCCACCCTTGGGCCTTTGCCCACGGACATAAGTGAGGACAGCCACTCTTGTTTCCGTACCCAAATGTTGCATTTTCCAAGACCACTCTGGCCCACCACATCCCCCCATCCTGTGCCCATAAAAACCCCAAGACCCTAGCAGGCACAGACACACGAGCAGCTGGACATCGAGAGGAACAGAGGATCAGAAGAGCACACTGACAGACACCAGCAGATGCTGACAGGCCATCAATGGTGGGACCATGTGGAATTTGGTCAGTAGTGATCAGAGGAGATGCCTGCCGCTGGGCAGCCCAAACTCCAGGGAAACACCACCATCCCATTCCATCCCCCTCTGGCCTCCCCATTCACCTCACTGAGAGCTACTTCCAATCAATAAAACTTTGCAGCCATCCTCCAAGCCCACATGTGATTCAATTTTTCTGGTACACCAGGGCAATAATTCAGGATACAGAAAGCCCTCTGTCCTTGTGATAAAGCAGAGGCTCTAATTGGGCGGATTAACACAAGCTGCCTACAGACAGCAAAACAGCAAAGCTAAAAGAGCACACTGTGACACACACCCACTGGGACTTCGGGAGCTATAAACACTCAACCTTAGACGCTG
The DNA here is from genome assembly GCF_000001405.40 of Homo sapiens. NCBI lineage: Eukaryota > Metazoa > Chordata > Mammalia > Primates > Hominidae > Homo > Homo sapiens. The sequence goes on from NC_000011.10 coordinate 85,540,773, forward strand.
CTGTGGGGTCAGAGCCCAAAAACTGCCCATGACCTGCCCATCTGTATGCTCCCCCTAGGGGTTTGAGCAGCCAGGCACCAAAGAAGCAAGCCACATCCCTGTTGCACGCCCTGCGAGGAGGATAAGAAAACTCCTCCCATTTCAATACAAATTATAATAGTTGGAAAACAACTTTTGTTACCACCCTCTTTTCTTTAAAAGTTCACAATTCTCTTTTGTTCCCTGGAACACTTCCCAGGATAACTTGGAAGTGTTTCCTGGGCTGCAGTCATGCAAATCTGACTCAAATAAATTCTTTAGTATTTAAGCTCTGCCTCAGTTTCTTTCCAGGTCCATAAGGCGGTCTTACAAAAAGCATAATTGCTCTAATGTGCCATCCTAAGGACTTTTAACTTTACCCTGTGAATGATGGAAAACAAAGTAATGATATAATCACATCAGATTCAAAAAATAATTATTGAGACCACTGCTAATCTGAGTATAAATTATTTAATACTTATGTATTTATAGTTTTAAATTACAATGGATCACTTCTATTTATATACTAGGTCATTTCTTTCATTTTTAATGACTTCATATAACATACAGCTGGAAAAAAAATTAGAAATAAGCAAGTCCAATTTACTAACTTTACAGGTGAGGAAACTAGGCCTAAAAAAGTTAACTTGCCCAATGTCATACAGATAATGAGTATTATTATTTATGAATGTTTTATCTTTAATAAATATATATTATTATAATATATACTAATGGGCCCTATATGAAAGTTGGGTCAATAAATGACTTAGAAAACATCTCCAAACCCTTTGAGATGGCTTACAAAACTACTACTGATTTGACTTTTGCTGATTGTTTATGGAACAATTCATAGAGTGAGTGCAAAAAAACACAGATTTGAAGTCATAGAAAATTACTTCTAAGGATTAAAATTTTGATCCACCACCTTCTAATTAAAAGAAAAAAACACTTCAGCCAAATTCTGCATCATGAATTCAGTGCCTTTTTACTCCTCTGCCTCCCTTTCTCTTGTAATTATTCCCTATCTCCTAATACTAGGCTTCCTGTTGAATTGCTAACAAAATCCAGGAAATGCCCAAGGAATTTAATTCAAATGCAAATGGAATTATTTGTGTTATTCCTGTCTCTGCTTTTAAAAAATAATAATATGAAACAGTGTGCTATTGCTGAAAGCCTCACAGACTTCTCAGCTTGACACCTGAAGTAATTTAGAAGAGTAAGGGGGAAAAAAATCTGTAACTGGTTTACAGCTAATTTATTTACAACAACTCCAGAATTGAGAAAACCCACCCACATTCGTGTGCCCACAGAGAAAGAGAAATGAATTCTTTACAAAGCAGTAGCACTTTTTGTCCTGCTGGTCCTTTTTTCTCATTTATTTTTCTTTTCTTTCCTCCTCATTTCAGGTAACTTCAATGAGATTTTAGTTACAATTCTTGTGAATTCAACCTAAGTAGAAATTACACCAAAAGAAATGGGGCACCACCTTCATTGTTAAGCAATCTCTTGGAAATATATTATGTTGGAGAACTCCCCCACGGACCAACAAAAAATGTGTGTACAAACTGAGTGGCAAACAAATGATATTATACCTATGCATTTGATTAATCTGGGAATTATGGAAGATATTCAAAGGATCTGGGAATCCTTTGAAGATAAAATAGGACAAAATACATTTTGTTTATGAAGTAAATTTAGGAGTAAGGCTTCATCTTTTAAAGTATTAATAGATACCATATCTTCAATATCAGCATTTTTTTCCTTTTAAAGTTTGCATAATATATGACAACATGAACAATACAAAGAATCCTGACTTGTTGGCTCTGGGTTTTAAAGGAGATTTTAATATTCTCAAAGGTCTCTTTTAGATCTTAAATTCTATTATTCTATGATTCTTCATTCTCTGTTCCTATGTCATAGCATAATCATTTGACATGACATTTCATAGGCAAAAATGTCAAAGTAAATACTTGCAACACTGAATTAATGTTTCAAAAAGTAAAAGTCAGTCCTAGCCCAAGGGCATTTATTTAAAAACAAATGAAAACAGTCAATTATATCAATAAGATAAATATAAGTTGTATGTAGTCATATGTGTTTATGTGTGTGTGGATTTAAATGATTTTGGAAGGATATACATCAAAATGTTACTATTTCTAGGTAATACTGTTGCTAGGTGTAGCTATACAAAATTGATTCTCTTTTTTTTAATTATAATTTAAGTTCCGGGATACATGTGCAGAACTTGCAGGTTTGTTACATAGGTATACATGTGCCATGGGGGTTTGCTGCACCTATCAACCCGTCATCTACATTAGGCATTTCTACTAATGCTATCCCTCCCCTAGGCCCCCATCCTCAACAGGCTCTGGTGTGTGATGTTCCCCTCCCTGTGCCCATTTGTTCTCATCGTTCAACTCCGACTTATGAGTGAGAACATGCAATGTTTGGTTTTCTGTTCCTGTGTTAGTTTGCTAAGAATGATGGTTTCCAGCTTCATCCATGTCCCTGCAAAGGATATTAATTCATCATTTTTTATGGCTGCTTAGTATTCCATGGTGTACATGTGCCACATTTTCTTTATCCAGTCTATCATTGATGGACATTTGGGTGGGTTCCAAGTCTTTGCTAGTGTGAACAATGCCACAATAAACATATGTGTGCATGGATCTTTATAGTAGAATGATTTATAATCCTTTGGGTATATACCCAATAATGGGATTGTCGGGTCAAATGGTATTTCTAGTTCTAGATCCTTAAGGAATTGCCACACTGTCTTCCACAATGGTTGAACTAATTTACACTCCCACCAACAATGTAAAAGCATTCCTATTTCTCCACATCCTCTCTAGCATCTATAGTTTCCTGACTTTTTAATGATCACCATTCTAACTGTCGTGAGATGGTATCTCATTGTGGTTTTGATTTACATTTCTCTAATGACCAGTGATGATGAGCTTTTTCTCATATGTTTGTCGTCTGCATAAATGTCTTTTTTGGAGAAGTGTCTGTTCATATCCTTCATTCACTTTTTGATGGGGTTGTTTGTTTTTTTTTCTTGTAAATTTGTTTAAGTTCTTTGTAGATTTTGGATATTAGCCCTTTGCCAGATGGATAGATTGCAAAAATTTTCTCCCATTCTGTAGGGTGCCTGTTCACTCTGATGACAGTTTCTTTTGCTGTGCAGAAGCTCTTTAGTATAATTAGATCCCATTTGTCAATTTTGGCTTTAGTTGCCGCTGCTTTTGGTGTTTTAGTCTTGGAAGTCTTTGCCCATGCCTATGTCCTGAATGGTATTGCCAAGGTTTTATTCTAGGGTTTTTGTGGTTTTAGGTCTAAAATTTAAGTCTTGAATCTGTCTTGAGTTAATTTTTGTATAAGGTATAAGGAAGGGATCCAGTTTCAGCTTTCTACATATGGCTAGCCAGTTTTCCCAAGACCACTTATTAAATAGGGAATCCTTTCCCCAATGCTTGCTTTTGTCAGCTTTGTCAAAAAATCAAATGGTGGTAGATGTGTGGTGTTATTTCTGAGGCTTCTGTTCTGTTCCATTGGTTTATATATCTGTTTTGCTACCAGTACCATGCTGTTTTGGTTACTCTAGGCTTGTAATAAAGCTTGAAGTCAGGTAGTGTGATGCTACCAGCTTTGTCCTTTTTGCTTAGGATTGTCTTGGTTTTGTGGACTCTTTTTTGATTCCATATGAAATTTAAAGTAGTTCTTTCCAATTCTGGGAAAAAAGTCAATGGTAGCTTGATAGGGAGAGCACTGAATCTATAAATTACTTTGGGCAGTATGGCCATTTTCACAATATTGATTCTTCCAATCCATGAGCATGGAATGTTTTTCCACTTGATTGTGTCCTCTTTTATTTCCTTGAGCAGTGGTTTGTAGTTCTCCTTGAAGAGATCCTTCACATCCCTTGTAAGTTGGATTCCTAGGTATTTTATTCTCTTTGAGGCAAATGTGAATGGGAGTTCACTCATGATTTGGCTCCCTGTGTGTTACTGGCGTATAAGAACGCTTGAGATTTTTGCACATTGATTTTGTATCAATCAAACTTTGCTGAAGTTGGTTATCAGCTTAAGGAGACTTTGGGGTGAGATGATGGGGTTTTCTAAATACACAATCATGTCATCTGCGCACAGAAACAATTTGACTTCCTCTTTTCCTAATTGAATACCGTTTATTTCTTTCTCTTGCCTGATTGCCCTGGCCAGAACTTCCAGTACTATGTTGAATAGGAGTGGTGAAAGAGGGCATCCTTGTGTTGTGCTGGTTTTCAAAGGGAATGCTTCCAGTTTTTGCCCATTCAGTATGATATTGGCTGTGGGTTTGTCATAAATAGCTCTTAGTATTTTGAGCTACGTTCCATCAATATCTAGTTTATTGAGAGTTTTAGCATGAAGGGCTGTTGAATTTTGTCAAAGGCCTTTTCTGCATCTATTGAGACAATCATGTGATTTTGTCATTGGTTCTGTTTATGTGATGGATTACGTGTATTGATTTGCATATGTTGAACAAGACTTGCATCCCCGGGATGCAGCCAACTTGATCGTGGTGGATAAGCTTTTTGATGTGTTGCTGGATTCGGTTTGCCAGTATTTTATTGAGGATTTTCGCATCAACATTCATCAGGGATATTAGCCGGAAATTTTCTTTTTTTGTTGTGTCTCTGTGAGGTTTTGGTATTAGGATGATGCTGGCCTCATGAAGTGAGTTAGGGTGGATTCCCTCTTTTTCTATTGTTTGGAATAGTTTCAGAAGGAATGGTACCAGCTCCTCCTTGTACCTCTGGTAGAATTTGGCTGTGAATCCATGTGGTCCTGGGCTTTTTTTGGTTGGTAGGCTATTAATTGCTGCCTCAACTTCAGAACTTGTTATTGGTCTATTCAGGGATTCAACTTCTTCCTGGTTTAGTCTTGGGAGGGTGTATGTGTCCAGGAACTTATCCATTTCTTCTAGAGTTTCTAGTTTCATTTGCATAGAGGTGTTTATAGTATTCTCTGATGGTAGTTTGTATTTCTGTGGGATTAGTGGTGATATCCCCTTTACCATTTTTTTATTGCATCTATTTGATTCTTCTCTCTTTTCTTCTTTATTAGTCTGGCTAGCAGTCTATCTATTTTGTTGAACTTTTCAAAAAACCAGCTCCTGGATTCATTGATTTTATGTAGGGTTTTTTGTGTCTCTGTCTCCTTCAGTTCTGCTCTGATATTAATTATTTCTTGGCTTCTGCTAGCATTTGAATTTGTTTGCTCCTGCTTCTCTAGTTCTTTTAAATGTGATGGTAGGGTGTTGATTTTAGATCTCCCCTGCTTTCTCTTGTGGGCATTTAGTGCTATAAATTTCCCTCTACACACTGCTTTAAATGTGTCCCAGAGATTCTGCTACCTTGTGTCTTTGTTCTCATTGGTTTCAAAGACCATCTTTATTTCTGCCTTCATTTTGTTATTTACCCAGCAGTCATTCAGAAGTAGGTTGTTCAGTTTCTATGCAGTTGTGTGATTTTTGAGTGAGTTTCTTAATCCTGAGTTCTAATTTGATTGCACTGTGGTCTGAGAGACTGTTTGTTATGATTTCCGTTCTTTTGCATTTGCTGAGGAGTGTTTTACTTCCAATTATGTGGCCAATTTTAGAATAAGTGTGATGTGGTGCTGAGAAGAATGTATATTCTGTTGATGTGGGGTGGAGAGTTCTACAGATGTCTATTAGGTCTGCTTGGTCCTGAGCTGAGTTCACGTCCTGGATATCCTTGTAATTTTCTGTGTCATTGATCTGTCTAATATTGACAGTGGGGTGTTAAAGTCTCCCATTATTATTGTGTGGGAGTCTAAATCTCTTTGTGTGTCTCTAAGAACTTGTTTTATGAATCTGGGTGCTCCTGTATTGGGTGCATATATATTTAGGATAGTTAGCTCTTCTGGTTGCATTGATCCTTTTTCCATTATGTAATGGCCTTCTTTGTCTCTTTTGATCTTTGTTGGTTTAAAGTCTGTTTTATCAGAGACTAGGATATAACCCCTGCTTTTTTTTTTTTTTTTTTTTTTGCTTTCCATTTGCTTGGTAAATATTTCTCCATCCCTTTATTTTCAGCCTATGTGTGTCTTTGCATGTGAGATGGGTTTGCTGAATACAGCACATCAATGGGTCTTGACTCTTATCCAATTTGCCAGTCTGTGTCTTTTAATTGGGGCATTTAGTCCATTTACATTTAAGGTTAATATTGTTATGTGTGAATTTAATCCCTCCATTATGATGCCAGCTGGTTATTTTGCCCATTAGCTGTTGCAGTTTATTCATAGCGTCGATGGTCTTTACAGTTTGGCATGTTTTTGCAGTGGTTGATCCTTTCCATGTTTAATGCTTCCTTCAGGAGCTCTTGTAAGGCAGGCCTGGTGGTGACAAAATCTCTCAGCACTTGCTTGTCTATAAAGGGTTTTATTTCTCCTTCACTTATGAAGCTTAGTTTGGCTGGATATGAAATTCTGGGTTGAAAATTCTTTATGAGTGTTGAATATCAGCCCCCACTCTCTTTTGGCTTGTAGGGTTTCTGCAGAGAGATCTACTGTTAGTCTATGGGCTTCCCTTTGTGGGTAACCTGACCTTTCTCTCTGGCTGCTCTTAACATTTTTTCCTTCATTTCAATGTGAATCTGACAATTATGTGTCTTGGCGTTGTTCTTCTCAAGGAGTATCTTTGCGGTGTTCTCTGTAGTTCCTGAATTTGAATGTTGGTCTGCCTTGCTAGGTTGGGGAAATTCTCCTGGATAATATCCTGAAGAGTGTTTTCCAACTTGGTTCCATTCTCCTTGTCACTTTCCGGTACACCAAACAAATGTAGATTTGGTCTTTTCACATAGTCCCAGATTTCTTGGAGGTTTTGTTCGTTTCTTTTCACTCTTTTTTCTCTAATCTTGTCTTCTCACTTTATTTCATTGAGTTGATCTTCAGTCACTGATATCCTTTCTTCCGCTTGATCAATTTGGCTATTGATATTTGCGTATGCCTCATGAAGCTCTCCTGCTGTGTTTTTCAGCTCCATCAGGTCATTTATATTCTTCTCTAAACTGGTTATTCTAGTTAGCAATTCGTCTAACCCTTTTTCAAGGTTCTTAGCTTCCTTGCATTGGGTTAGAACATGCTCCTTTAACTCAGAGGAGTTTTTATTACCCACCTTCTGAAGCCTACTTCTGTCAATTTGTCAAACTCATTCTCTGTCCAGTTTTGTTCCCTTGCTGGCAAGGAGTTGTGATCCTTTGGAGGAGAATAGGCATTCTGGTTTTTAGAATTTTCAGCCTTTTTGTGCTGTTTTCTCCCCATCTTCATGGATTTATTTACCTTTGGTCTTTGAAGTCGGTGATCTTTGGCTGGGGTCTCTGAGTGGATGTCCTTTTTGTTGATGTTGATACTATTCCTTTCTGTTTGTTAGTTTTCCTTCTGACAGTCAGGCCCCTCTGCTGCAAGTCTGCTGGAGTTTCCTGAAGGTCCACTCCAGACCCTGTTTGCCTGGGTATCACTGGTGGAGGTTGCAGAACAGCAAAGATTGCTGCCTGTTCCTTGCTCTGGAAGTTTCGTCCCAGAGGGGCACCCGCCAGATGCCAGCCTGAGCTCTGCTCTATGAGGTATCTGTCATCCCCTACTGGGAGGTGTCTCCCAGTCAGGATACACGGGGGTCAGGGACCCACTTGAGGAGGCAGTCTGTCCCTTATCAGAGCTTGAATGCTGTGCTGTGAGATCCACTGCTCTCTTCAGAGCTGCCAGGCAGGGATGTTTAAGTCTGCTGAAGCTGTGTCCCCAACCGCCCCTTCCCCCAGGTGCTCTGTCCCAGGGAGGTGGGGGTTTTATCTATAAGTCCCTGACTGGGGCTGTGCCTGTTTTTCAGAGACGCCCTGTCCAGAGAGGAGGGAATCTGGAGAGGCAGTCTGGCCACAGTGGCCTTGCTGAGCTGCGGTGGGCTCCCCACAATTTGAACTTCCCAGTGTCTTTGTTTATACTGTGAGGGTAAAACCACCTACTCTACCCTCAGCAATGGTGGATGCCCTTCCCCCCACCAAGCTCGAGCATCGCGGGTCAAGCTCAGACTGCTGTGCTAGCAGTGAGAATTTCAAGCCAGTGGATCTTAGCTTGCTGGGCTCCGTGGGGGTGGGACTGCCAAGCCAAACCACTTGGCTCCCTGGCTTCAGCCCCCTTTCCAGAGGAGTGAACTGTTCTGTCTCAGTGGCGTTCTGAGCACCACTGGGGTATGAAAAAAAAACTCCTGCGGCTAGTTCAGAGTCCGCCAAAACAGCCGCCCAGTTTTGTGCTGGAAACCCAGAGCCCTGGTGGCTTGGGCGCTGGAGTGAATCTCCTGGGTCCGCAGGTTGTGAAGACCATGGGAAAAGCATAGTATCTGGGCTGGAGTACATGGTACAGTCCCTAATGGCTTCCCTTGGATAGACAAGGTGTTCCCTGACCCCTTGCACTTCCCGGATGAGGTGACGCCCCACCCTGCTTCCACTCGCCCTCCTTGGGCTGCAACCACTGTCCAACCAGTCACAATGAGATGAACCGGTTACCTCAGCTGGAAATGCAGAAATCACCCGCCTTCTGCATCAATCTCACCAGGAGCTGCAGACCGGAGCTGTTCCTATTCGGCCATCTTGCCAGCCAATTCTCTTCTTTATACTTTTCGATAATGTCTAAATATTTCCCAATACAATTGTAAATTGTACAAGTATGAAAAAAAGCATTTCCATTCAAAAATATAAAAACGTCAGAGGCATTTGAGCCAGAGCAACTCCATCTTGTATAGGGGCTAGGTAAAATAAGACTGAGACCTACTGGGCTGCATTCCCAGGAGGTTAGGCATTCTACCAGGATGAGATAGGTCAGCACAAGATACAGGTTACAAAGACCTTGCTGATAAAACAAGTTGCAAGAAAGAAGCTGATCAAAACCCACCAAAATCAAGATGGTGATGAAAGTGACCTTTGGTCATCCTCACTGCTCATTATACACTAATTATAATGCATTAGCATGCTAGAAGACACTCCTGCCAGAGCGATGACCAGTTTACAAATGCCATGGCAACATCAGAAAGTTACCCTATACAGTCTAAAAAAGGGAGGAACCCTCAGTTCTGGGAATTGCCCACCCCTTTCCTAGAAAACTCATGAATAATCCATCCCTTGTCTACCATAAAATCAAAAATTAACAATAAATATAAGCAGCTGAGCAGCCCATGCCACCACTCTGCCTATGGAGTAGCCATTCTTTTATTCCCTTACTTTCTTAATAAACTTGCTTTCATATTACTCTATGGATTTGCCTCCAATTCTCTTGCACAAGATCTAATCAATTCGTTCATGTAACCTCACTTCTCCTGGATGCCAGACAAGAGCTCAGGAGCCACAAGTATGATACAAAAGGACGTCATACTGGCCCTTTGCCCTCACTGGCAGAGGACAGCCACCTAGCATGAAAAGGTGGAGGGCCCACTGAGCTGTTAACACCTAAGCCATAGTGGATGGCAGAGCTAAAAGAGCACTGTATCACATCACCTGGGGCTTTGGGAGCTGCAGGCACCCCAACTGGACGCTGCCACGGGGCCTGCATGGAGTTTGTGCTGCCAGCGCGCAAAGGTGCTTACTCTGGTTCCTGCACCCACTCACCTGCGTGCTCCCTCCTGCAAGGGGTGGAATGCAGCAGGTCCAAGTGAGTGGGGTTTGATCCCCCTGGTGCCACTGGTGCCGCTGGTGCTGAAGTGCCTGGTGGATTCAAGCACTCATGCACGCCAGTTCCCAGGAGGAGTTGAGAGCGGCAGGCTGAGTAAAGGAGGCACCCACTGTTGCAAGTCCCATGAAGGGGTCAGGGAAATATCTTGCTTCAAAGGCAGAAACATCTGCATGGAACTTTTCCTAACAAAAGTGGCAACTGGCTAGTTTGGGTACGGCATATTCTACCCCTGCTATTCTGCACTATATGAGACTTTCTCTGGCTAACTCTCCAGTTCAAGAACAGTTCCTCTTTACTGTAATTACTAAGAATACTTTTTCTAGAGCCTGTCATATTTAAGGCCATGGCCTCTGGCATGATGAACATTAGTTGCTGAATGCCGTATTTCCAAAGGAAAGAAGGAACAAGTTAGCCACCTAGATCCTAAGAAAGACTTTTCAGAAACAATTGTGTCTAACAGTCAAGAAAGAAAATACAGAAATAGAAGTGGCACAATATTGCTCAAAATCTTCAGTAGCTTCTTGTTAATTTTAGGATAAAATCCTGACACCATTATCAAAATATGAGGTAAAGGAGGAAGTGAGGTAAACCAGATATATGTGTTTTGAAAACACTTTCCCAGATGATTCCGATATATTAGTGCCCATTTCTATGAAGCATTTTTGAGATAGACAACATCATCTCTATATACTGAGTAGATAGTATACATACTTCAAAGGTCAATTTGTATTAGGTGTAGAAATATGAGAAGCAGAATGGTTAAGCCATTATGTTCCCCCAAAAGATGACCAAATATGAATATATAATCAGCAATAAACATCGAGAAAAAAAACTGAGTTCAAAGTAGGTGCCATCACTTTCTAAATATAATTTTTTTCTAGTCATGATTAGCCCAGTTTTTCTCAGACTTCAGTTTTTAATGTAAAAATAATTATAATTGTACCAATGTTGCTTTAAATACTCATATTTTAATGCCATATAAATACATACTAACAAAATTAGATCTAAACTATTATGCATATAACTCCTTTATAACTATTAAATTAATATAAATTCACAAATTAAATATATTTAAAAATTACAAAAACATTGACATTCAAATTAATAACATTAATTTCATAAGAAAGATGATGTTTAGCTGAAATGGTATTGATGTTGCATGCAAATAATATCAAGTTCACATATAAATTTAATTATTTTCTGAATTTTTGTTTCAATAATAAGAGTATTCCTGTTCAAGCCTTCCAGAGTAACAATGTGCCACAATGAGTAGCTGATGTTATCCCACTACTAATATATACAGAATGCTGGATAAAATATAGTCCACAAATACTAAGTACATATCAAAACTAAAAAGAAAAAAGTAGAAATCCTCAGGCATAAGAAAAATGGAGGTAACTCAAGTCATAACAATAAGCAGAGAAACTAAGAATTCAGTGGGAAAAGAGAGTATCAGGTCCAAATATATATACCCCTAAGGCCTTGAGATCACAATTTTAATGGTAAGCAGGAACTGAGGCAGGATCTGAAAATAAAACTCCTTTCACTGGAACCTGAAAGGTTCCTATTCATGAAATGGGACTTAAAAGAAAAAAAAAAAAAAAAAAGGCTTCAGCATGCAGCCCAAGGCAGTAGCAAGAATGTTCATCTTTTCTGCTGAGTGCTGTGAGTAGAAAAGAAAAGCCTTCTGTGAGAAATCAAAACTCCAATCTCACAACGAGTGGTGCTACAAGAATCTCAAACCAAAATATTAACAAAAAAATGGCCTCATAACAGTGGAACTCCTGGAATACCCAAAAGAAATAAATGCAAAACTCATTTCTAGGTATATTTCTACAACACATATGGCTGTTACAGAAAAACAGACTTCTGCTGAAAATTAACTCACAAAGTTTACAAATCACCTGAGGACTTTTCACTTACCAAAAGGGAGTATCAGTAGACACAACAAATGGTTAAAACAGCACCCTCCCAAAAAAAAAGTTTAGAAAAATAAAACAATCTGATATTTTTAAATAATTATTCTTGATATTATTTAAAAAATAAAAGAAATACAGTTATACTGAAAGACCTTCCAATGAAAAATAGTGACTTAAATAAAATAAATAGAACTTCTAAAAAGGCATTAACATTTTTAAATCTCAATGTATAGATTAATTAGCAAATTAGATATTGCTGAAGAAAAAACTATTACATGGGAAGATGAGCTTAAGAAAATTACCCAAAATCCAATACAATAAAAAAATAGAAAATATAATGACAGAATGAATGTTATGGAGGATAGAATAAGAAACATTCATCTATCTATTTAAATAGGAGTTCCAAGAGAGAATAGGAAAGAGAAAATATTGAAGAGAAAATCGCTAAGAATTTGCCCAAAATGATAAAAAACATGATCAAATTCAGGAAACAAATCTCACGCAAAAAATTAAAAAGAAATCCACACTGGATACATCATTGAGAAACTTCAGATAATTAAAGACAAAAATAAAATACTAAAAGCAACCTCAGAGAAATGATACATTGAATGCAACAGAAAAACAATTACATGGAGAATGCCCTAATTATAATTTCATTTATTCACAAATATTTATTGAATGCCAGGCACTGTTTTAGTTCCTGAGGATATAGCAGTGAACAAAACAGACAAAAATTCTTGCCTTCATGGAGATTACATACTGGTGATAGGAATAGAATAATATCTGCAAAAAACAAACATAAAACAAATGTGAATTCTAAATTCACTTTTTTCTTTCATTCAATAAATACTTATTAGGTACTTTTTATATGCCAAACACTGTTTTAAGGTGTTGTGATGCATTAATGAAAAAGGGGACAAAAATTCCTAACTTCATTAAGCTTACATCATATGTAAATATATAAATAATAGACATAAAAATAGTTTTTAAATTATCATATGTTGGACTATAACAAGTGCTTTTTTTTTTTGGAGGTACACAACACCATGCCCGGCTAATCTGTTTGTATTTTTGGTAGAAATGGGGTTTCCAGCTAAACTACATTGAAGAATAAAATAAGTACATTTGCAGATGAAAAACTGATATTAATTGATTCTTACTGAAAGAGATTAAATGATGTGTGGAGGAAACTACATACAAAGGAGTGGAATATAAAATGAAATGTTAATAATCAACATTCCTTTCATGTACACATTATACATTTATAAAAATTATCCATATAACAGATCACACTCATCTCTCAACAAATACTAAATACCAAGAATAAGTTTACAGAATATAAATCAACAAAATTGGAGAACAAAAGTAAAAAGAAAATCAATTTAAGAATTACATTAAATTTCCACATAAAAATTATGTTACATTCAGCATCTTCTGCTTGCTAAAAAGTAAATTATATTACATAAAAATTATACTGCTAAATATTCATAGTTTAAGTTTCCATTTTATATGGATATACAGAATATTTAGAAAGTAACAGCATGACATATAAAAATATGTGGGTCGCAGATAAAGTAGTACTTAACAGTTATAGCCAAAAACTTAAAAGTCATAGCCAAAAAGTATATATTTGAGAAGAAAAAATACTGAAAACTTCTATCCAAGATCTCAACTCAAGAAGTTTTTAAAAGGACAATAGAGTAAAATAAAAGAAAGTAGAAGAAAAAAGAAATAATGGGAATCAAATTTAATAAAATAGAAATCAAAGAATAGTATAAAGCAAATTAACAAAAAAAATTGAGTATTTGAAAACAATAGTCGTCGTCAAACTTCTGATAGTATTGAACATAAAAAATATTAGAGAAAATAATATTAGAAATGAAAAATAAACAATTACAAGTAGAGATTTAAAAATCAGAAGATAATATTATGAACTAACTTAAGCCAAGAAATTTGAAAACAGACAGGCTGGGCAAGTTGCTGGAAAAAATATAATTGAAATTGCCTTAGCAAAGATTATGACAGTGAAAGAAGTCTAACATGGCTGACTCCATTTGATTCTAACATCACAAGCTGGCTGTCCTCACTCATTCCTAAATACAGGCCAAGCTAACTATGGGAAGAATTTAGTTCATAGCTTGGCTTTGAAGGAAGGAAGACAACAGTCCCTCCCTAAAACTAACCCTCTCCTTGCTTAAGGACCAAAACTGCCTTTGTAAAACTAATGAAAGCCCAAGAGATTAGGACTGGGGGGAGCTGAATTCTGCTAAGATGTAGACGCAGTTTGCCCTTCTATGATCGTTTATTGCACCAGAGGTCACAAGATTTGCAACTTCCCCAATTGCTCCTATAGGTAACACCCTATTTTAGAACCTAAGGTTGGTCTTTGAGATTTTTTTTCGGACTTTTGCATCCTGACAACTGACTGACTCTACCTGGACCTGTGAATCATGGCTCAACCAGTCCCATGGCCCCCACCCAGAGGCTGACAGTGCACAAGGATCATTTTCCACACACATATGATTTAACTTTCAACCAGTCTGCTGCACCCATTCCCTAGCCCCCCTGCCCACCAAAGTATCCTTGAAAAACCTAACCTCTAAGCCTCTGGGGAGATGGAGTTGAGTAGTAACTCCTGTCCTCCCACTTGGCTGCCTCATGATAATTAAACTCTACTGCAATAACACTGTCTCAAGTGCATTGGGTTTGTCTGTGCAGTGGGCAAGAATAACCCATCAGGCAATTACATAATTTACTTAAACTGACTAAAAGGAAATATACTACTTAAATAGATCTATACCCATTTAAGATATTGAATCAGAAGTCATAAAATTGACCTCCAGAAAAAACATCATGCACACATGGTTTCACAAAAACTTTTACTGCACCTTCAGACAACTGAGATCTCCTATCTTATACAAAATGTTTCAGGGAGTAGAATTCTTTATAAAGCTCATGTAACCTCAATGCACTAATTTATAAAACTTTGACCTTCACATTGTTGAGGTGCAGAGAATGATACCCCAACATATAGTGCTTTGGCACACTGACCACTCCTAATTAAAAGAAATCAGAAGGCCTTAGAAGCTGCCTAATTTTCTAAGCATCTCTTGTTTTTTCCCACCCACCTCCAAGTACGAGGAGGGACTCTCTCTGGAATTTTATGACTAAGGAAACTTCTTTCCAAAAGATAACCAATTGTCTTCTTGAATAACCAGGAAAAAAATTAACCACTGGAGAAGAGACTAAAAGTCATCACCATACCCAGAGAGACTTTTCATCTGTTCCATGGAGTAACTCCAAGAGATTATCTAGGGAACTCTGTCTGCATAATAAGACAACCTTTGTTCACAGGCCCCTCATTTTTCTGCCACCTCCCTCAGAGATGAGAGGAACTTTGCTCCAGGCGAGTGCCCTTTGGGTTTATTTATTTCCCCTGAAAGTTATCAACTATTTCATCAAAATTGTCTATACCTCCCATTTCTCTCTGCCCTGGGAAGAAGGTATTTGAGCCTCAACCATCTGGCCCCTCTTTGAATTTTACATCTGTGGGGACTCTCATGTCCATGTATACATAAATCAATTTGTAAGCCTTTTTTTATTGATCTATTGTCAGTCATTTCAATAAACCTTCACTGAGCATGGAAGGGAAGCTTTCCCTCCACCTCTACAACATAAAGATGAGGTTTACATTGAGATATTGTTGAAATTGGCATTATATGGTTATCTAATACAATGTTCTAGGAATCAAATACAAGAAGTCTACTCATTGCGTGTTTACTATTACAGTTATATAAAATCTTATTATGTAATCTACTTCATTTGAAATTTGGATGGAGAGCCTAAGCACCTCACTGGTTTAGTACCCTCCCTCCTCTGTTAATGCTCACGCACTGACTCTAGGACCCTGCAACTAACTTTGAAAGCCACTAGAATTAATTAGAATTACTTTTAAACAGGATTATATTGTAGTTTCTTCATAATTTATAACTTTCCTTGGACATACCCAAGCCTATCATAAAGGCATTATATCAAACAGACTTTTTCTTTACAAAGTCGATTATTATTTTGCATGTATTCTTCTAGTGTTTACAAATTAATTTAATGTTATAAATATATCACAAAGCCTTTTGACTGTAAAGTGTTTCTTCAGATAAATAGAGGTTTGTCTTACTTTTTATATAACTAATTTACTTATTAAGATCATTTTCCTAAAATCCAAAAGCTTAAGGGAATCTAAGCACAGATGTGGCAGCAGATGTAATGAATTGGACAAATCTTTTAAGCCCACCTATGTTCACCAGGTAATCAGAATGACAGTAACAGCAAAATGCCTCACAATCTCACAGTAGAGCCTACAGAATTTTTCTTTAAATGACCAACTTCAATCAAAGCCTCATACAAAGTTTATTCTCTCTTCTAGTTATCCAAATATAGAGATGAAAAAAATATATGTCATTAGATGATTAAATTTCTGTGATATTTGTCTCTTGAAAAGTAAGTTTGAGGAAGTCCTAGCCACTGCAATCAGGCAAGAGGAAGAAATAAAAAGCTCCAAATAAGAAAATAAGTCATTATCTCTCTTCACTGATTATATGATTCCATACCTAGAAAACTCTAAAGATTCTACCAAGAAGCTCCTGGAACTGATAAACAACTTCATGAAAGTTTCAGGATACAAAATCAATGTACAAAAATCAGTAGCATTTCCATGATGAGAACAGTAATAATAATAACCAAACTGAGAAACAAATCAAGAACTCATTCCCCTTTACAATAACCACACTACACATACATAAAATACCTAAGACTACATCTAACCAAGGTGGTGAAAGATCTCTGCAAGGAAAACTACAAAACACTGCTGAAGAAAATTACGGATGACACAAATAAATGGAAAAACATTCCTGCTGATGGACTGGAAAAATCAATATTGTCAAAATGGCCATACTGCCCAAAGAAATATACAGATTCAATACTATTCCCATCAAACTACCAACATCATTTGTCATATAATTAGAAAAAACTATCCTAAAATTCATACAGAACCAAAAAAGAGTCTGAACAGCCAATGGAATCCTAAACAAAAAGAACAATGCCAGAGTCATCACATTACCCGACCTCAAACTACACCCTAAAGCTACAGTACCAAAACAGCATGTTAATGGTACAAGAACAGACACATAGGCCACTGGAACAGAATAAAGAACTCAGAAATAAAGCCACATACCTGCAGCCTTCTGATCTTTGACAAAGTCCAGCAAAAACAAGCAATGGAGAAAGGACTTCCTATTCAATAAATAGTGCTGGCATAGCTGGCTAGCTATATGCAGAAGAATGAACCTAGACCCCTACCTTTCATCATACACAAAAATTAACTAAAGATGAATTAAAGATTTAAGTGTAAGACCTCAAATTAGATAAAAATCCTAGAAGAAAACCAAGGAAACACCATTTTAGACATTGGCCTTGGGTAAGAATTTATGACTAAGTCCTCAAAAGTAATTGCAGCAAAAACAAAAATAGACAAGAGGGACCTAATTAAACCAAAGAGTTTCTGCACAGCAAAAGACACTACAACAGAGTAAACAGACAACCTACAGAATGGGAGAAAATATTAGCAAACTATGCATCCAACAAAGGTCTAATATCCTGAATCTATAAGGAACTTAATTCAATGAACAAAAAACCAATAATCCCATTAAGAAACAGGCAAAAGACATGAACAGGCACTTCTCAAAAGAAGACACACAAGTGGCCAACAAACATATGAAAAATGCTCAATATCACTAATGATCAGAGAAATGCAGATCAAAACCACAATGAGATGCCATCTCACACTAGTCAGAATGGCTATTTTTAAAATGTCAAAAAGCAATAGATGTTGGCAAGGCTGTGGAGAAAAGGGAATGCTTATACACTGTTTATGGTAATGCAAATTAGTTTAGCAGTTTGGAGATTTCTCAAAGAACTTAAAACAGAACCACCATTTGACCCAGCAATCCCACTACTGAGTATATATGCAAAAGAAAATAAATTATTATACCAAAAAGATACCTGCACTCACATGCTCATTGCAGAGATATTTAAAATAGCAAAGACACAGAATCAACATAGGTGCCCATCAATAGTGGACTGGATAAAGACAATGTGGTATATATACACCGTGGAATACTATGCAGCCATGAAAAAGAATGAAATCATGCCCTTTGCAATAACATGGACAGAGCTGAAGGCCATTATCCTAAGTAAATTAATACAGGAGCAGAAAATCAAATACCCCATGTTCTCACTTATACATAGGAGCTGAATATTGGATACTCATGGGCATAAAGATGGCAACAATAGACATTAGAGACTACTGTGAGGAGGTAAGGAGTCGGGCAAAGGTTGAAAACTAACTACTGGGTACTATGCCCAGTTCCTGGGTGACGGGATCAATCATACCTCAAACCTCAGCATCACACAATATACTCAGGTAACAAACCTGCATATGTACCATCTGAATCTAAAATATAAATTGAAAACATTTTTTTAAATGAGAAGCTAAAACTAACGTGCAGAACTAAAGGGAAGAAACCCCTATAGTATGTAAGCTGTGAGAAGCCCTGAAATTCAATTTAGAAATAGATAGTGGTGATGTTATGAAATGAATTGTCAAAATGGAATATAGGGTTCCAAAAAGAATCCATTTAGTTCACATATTATATGGCTTCCATTATTATTATTATTTTTTTTTTTTTTGAGACGGTGTCTTGCTCTGTCACCCAGGCTGGAGTGCAATGGCATGATCTCGGTTCACTGCAACCTCTGCCTCCCGGGTTCAAGTGATTCTCCTGCCTCAGCCTCCCGAGTACCTGGGACTACAGGGTCCACCACCACACCCAGCTAATTTTTATATTTTTAATAGATACAGGATTTCACCATGTTGGCCAGGATGGTCTCGATCTCTTGACCTCGTGATCTGCCCGCCTCGGCCTCCCAAAGTGCTGGAATTATAGGCATGAGCCACTGCGCCCGGCCACATGGCTTCCATTATTGCTAGGTCTCTTCACCAGATCAGAAAGCAAACCGAAAACAGTATCTCACTTCAAAACCATTAATTTATATATGTGCTATTCTTAAATAATTAAATATATTAAAAATTTGTAAATATTAATATCTAACAGAAGACTTTTGTTAACCTAAAAAAATTCTCAAAAAAAGTAAGTTTGATATAATGGAAATTCAAAATTTGGGCAAATTATTTAAGACAGGTAAATACCATGTAAAAAAAAATTTAAGCACTGAAGTTGCTGTTCATGTAGAAAACTAACAACAAAAAAGCGAGGTATCTTAAATCTCAAAATCTAAAATACACACACACAGATAGATGGTGATTAGTTAGATGATTGATAGATAGATAGATAGATAGATAGATAGATAGATAGATAGAGATAAATATCCCTGGTGTAAAGTGTGTTAATCAGCCCCAAATCCTAATATCAAAAGTGGAATGAAGCAGAACACTCAAGAAAATAAAGGATAAAATTATTGATAGGATGTTATGAACTAGTAGTAACACAAGCTATGAGAAAACCATTTATTATAAATAAATTAAAACCACAATAAGATACCACTAATTCCCTAGAATAGCTAGAATTAGAAAGATAGACAATACCAAATGTTTGCAAGGATATGGAGAAACTACATCATACATTGCTAATGGGAATATAAAATGACACTGTCATTATGAAAAATAATTTGGCAGTTCTTGAAAAAGTTAAACATAAACTTACCATACAACCTAGAAATTTCCCATCTAGGAATCTACCAAAGACAAAAGAATACACCTGTCTAAACCAGGACATTTATACAAATGTTTACAGCAACAGTTTATATATTTAAAAACTGGAAACAACCCAGATGTCCACCAACCAGGGAAAGGAACTTTTTTAAATGTGATATGTGTATATTATGGAATATTATTCAGCAATAAAAAGGAATGAACTACTGATATAGGCTACAACATGGATGAACCTCAAAAACATTATGGTAAGTGAAAGAAACTAGACATGAAAGATAACATATTCTAAGATTCAACTTATATGAAATGTCCAGAAAGGGCAAATTTATACAAACAGAAAGTAAATCAGTTGTGGGCTGGGGCTGGAAGTGAGGATCTTTTTATGATGATGGGAATGCTCTAAAACCAGATTGTGGTGATAGTTTCACAACTTTGTAAATTTACTAAAAATTGTTGAATGATACACTTATAATGGATAAATTATATAATATGTAAATTAGTCCTCTATAAATATGTCTTTTTAAAAGTGCTGTGAGCTGGCTAGGCACAGTGGCTTATGCCTGTAATCCCAGCACTTTGGGAGGCTGAGGCAGGAGGATTCTTTGAGCCCAGGAGTTTGAGACTAGCCTAGGCAACATAGTGAGATATCGTCTCTACAAAAAATTTAAAAATTAGCCAGGTGTGATGGTGTGTGCTTGTAATCCCAGCTATTCAGGGAGTTGAGGTGGGAGGATTGCTTGAGCCTGAGAGGTCAAGGCTGCAGTGAGCTGTGATCATTCCATTGCACTCCAGCCTGGATGGCAGAGTAACAACATCCTATGTCAAAAAAAAATAATAAAAATAAACACTGTGAGCTGTGTAAGGCCAGGCATGGTGGCTCAAGCCTGTAATCCCAGCAGTTTGGGAGGCCAAGGCAAGAGGATCATTTAAGGGCAAGAGTTTCAGATCAGCCTGAAAAACATAGTGAGACTCCATTTATACAAAATAAATAAATAAACACGATTAGCCAGGCATGGTGGTTGAGACAGGAGGATCTCTTGAGCCCAGGAGTTCAAGGTTGCAATGAGCTATGATCATGCCAATGTACTCCAGTCTAGGTGACAGAGCAAGACCCTATCTCAAAAAAAAAAAAAAAAAAAAAAAAAAAAAAAAAAAAATAGCTGTGTAAACTTTCATTTTTCTTTACTTTAACTGAGAGTAAATGACAAAAATATTTTCAAAAACCCTGCACTTCCTACCAGTATTACAAAAGGGAAACTATATTCATAATTTTTCAAATTAAAGCTTAAGCAACTGTTCATCAATTTTCAAAATTTCCCTCGCATTAGCACTTAAAAATCTGAAGTAATAGTACAATGAAGGCAAGAAGCATGTTTGGCAATAACCAATTATTTGAATAGACAAAGCATAAAAGTAGACTTGTCAAATCAACCTCATAAGAAGTTTTAGCAAGCATGGTTCTATAGAGATATAAGACATTGTATACTAACTTCATTATGCTATAAATCTTACAACCGTTCTAATCACAAACTGGTACAGTTCTCTCAGATCTCTAAGTCTTCTCACTGAAATTTCTCTCTTAAATAATTTAATAATGATGTTTATGGCAACAATTTGATTGAACACTTATAATATGCCAGTTACTATGCTAACCATTCACATTTAAAATCGCATTTAA
This sequence comes from Homo sapiens, assembly GCF_000001405.40. Taxonomy (NCBI): domain Eukaryota; kingdom Metazoa; phylum Chordata; class Mammalia; order Primates; family Hominidae; genus Homo; species Homo sapiens. The sequence goes on from NC_000011.10 coordinate 85,561,890, forward strand.
TCCTTGCAAAGATCTTTTTATATATTCATTGATCACTCCATTTTACAGATACAGAAAGTGAGGCTCAGAGAGATAGAGTAAAGGCGCAAGGTTACACAGCCAGTAAATTACTTATCTGCAGGTTGAGTTAGTGGCCAATATACTTAACCACAGAACTATGTTTTCTAACTTTCAAAAAAGCAATACTGTACCTTTGCTTGAAAAAGGAACTGTACCACCAGAAAATGTCACTGTAGGTTTCTGGTTACAAAGCAAGAATGCCCACCTGTGCTGGAGTTAATTCTACTGTCACTTTTGGAGTAAAGTGTAAGAGTCATGAGCAGTGGGTGAAAATAAAGTTGATCCAGGCAACTTTTATATTACTTAGAACTACTTTCACCCTAGAGTCCTTGTAAATCTGAAAAGAACAAGTTTTAAATTATTATTTAATTTAGAGCTAAGAATTCCTTGGGTATCAGTGAGAAGAGAAAATGAGAGAAGGGAAATGTTTACCATTTGTATTGACCATTCGATTTTAGCCAGAAAATTTGCTACACTCTTCATGTATATATTTTATTTCATTTATCCTCAAAACGAACTCCTTAAAGTATTAGTATCTTCAATTTGCATATTAAAAACTACAGACTTCTGAGAGGTAAGGTGAATTGCCCCAAAGCACACAGTTAATAAGTGGCAAAGCCAGGATCTAATCCAGAAGCTCATGTTTTCACTATACCATGCTCACAGTCTAGTATTCTATTGTTTATTTCAGAATTGCTTTTCTCCAGTTCAAAAATGGCCTTGTCTCATGCCTTTCATCAAACAGTAAGTATTCCCTAAAGCCCGATCATGGACTTCCCATCTATTCATTCATTCATTCATTCCCATCTGCTGAGCCCTTTTATGTGCCAGTCAGAGCTAAACAGTGAATTAGAGGAAGCTCCTTCCTTTAGAAAATGGCAGTCTGGTAGTACATAATTTTAAAAATTAAAATGTGATTTTAAAATGACAGCATTAAGCTCAAGACACAATGCAAACATAGAGAAGGGAGTGCCTAAGTTATTTCTCCAGTTCTTCCAGTGTATAATATCTTCAGGATTAAATATATATTCTTTGGCTCACCTTTAAAGCCTTTAATTCCTCTGGTCACATTTATACTCAATTCAATATTGACTGAGCACCTGTTGTGGGTATTAAAAGGCTGTATGCCATAATGGAAAGAGGACAGACATAGAGTCAGATAGGCATGAGTTTATCCCATTCTCTCTCGCTTACTAGCTATGTAAACTTGAGCAAGCAGCTTTACCTCCTTTAGCCTCAGTGGGATTTTTTAAATCAAGTTTATTGAGGTATAATTTACATAAAATAAGATGCTTCCATTTTAAGTTTACAGTTTGATGCATTTTGACAAATGTCTATAGTCATGTAACCAACACAACAATCAAGATATAGAGCATTTCCATAACTCCAAGAGTTGCACAGAAATATTTATAGCTTTTTCATAGTAGCCTCCATCTGGACCCCAAATGTCCATTAGTAAATGAGTGGATTAAAAAAAAAAAAGTTCCTTTGTGCCACTTCCCAGCCAATCTGTCCTTCCACTCCTGGACTCCAAACCTTAGGCACCACTACCTGCTTTCTGTCAAGACATACTAGACTTTTAAGTAGAATTTCATATAAATGGAATCATATAGTATGTACTCTTTCATATCTGGCTTACTTTGTTCAGCATAGTGTTTTTGAGATTGATTTATGTTGTTGCATGTTGTATAGTTTAATGAATTTCATTCCTTTTTATTGCTGGATAATATTCCTTTATATGGATATACCAAAACTGGTTTATCTGTTCACCAAGCCATGGACATTTGGAATTCAGTCTGGGGCTACTACGAATAATGCTGCTATAAACATTCTTATACAATGCTTTGTGTGATCAAATATTTTCATTTCCCTTAGGTAAATATATACAAGTGGAAAGGTAGGTTAAAATAATAAGTTTAACTTTTTTAAAAAGTACCAAACTGTCTTTCAAAGTGGTTGTACCATTGTACATTCCCACCAGAAATGTATGGGTTCCTGCCAACATTTCGTATAAGCTTTTTAAATTTTAAGCTATCTAGATTTGTCTAGTAGTATCTCACTGTGGTTTTAATTTGCATTTTCTTAATGTCTAAAGATGGTAAACACATTGTTAGTGCTTACTTGCCATTAGAATATCTTGTTTTCAAAAAGTTTTTTCCATTATTACATGGTTTGCCTTCTACAGTTGTAAGACTTCTTTATAATACAAGTCATTTGTCAGATGTATACATCACAAATATTTCCTCTCATTCTCTGGCTTCCCTTTTCATTTTCTTGATGGTGTCTTTTAAAAGGCAGAAGTTTTTAACTTTGATAAGGTTCATTTTTTCCTTTTTACTTTTTTTCATGCACTGGGGGCCCTGAAAAATCTTTGCTCATTCCATGGTTGCAAGGATTTTCTCCTATGTTTTCTTCTGGAGGTTTTATATTTTCAGTTCTTGTGCTTAGGTCTGTGATCCATTTTGAGTTATTTTTCAACATGATATGCCCAAAGTTCACTTTTTCCACATTCTAGTTCTACTGGTGCTAGAACTCAATGTTCTAGCATCACTTGTTGAAAAGACTACCATCCTCCCCATTAAAGTATTTTGCCACTTTTGTCAAAAATCAATTCACCCTATACATTGAATCTATTTTTGGTCTCTCTACTCTGTTCCATTGATCTATATATGTATCCTATGTCAATACCACATTTTCTGGATTATTTTAGCTTTATAATAAGTCTCAAAATTTGTACTTGTCCAACTTCTCCTTCTTTTTCAAAACTGCTTTCATTATTCTAGGCTTTTGGCATTTATAGGAATTTTAGAATCAGTTTGTCAATTTTTTTAAAAGCAGAGATTTTGGTTGACATTGCATAGAATTTATAGAGCAATTTGGGGAGAACTAGCATCTTAACAATATTGAATTTCCCAAGCAATGAACAAAAAATATCTTTCTATTTATTCAGGTCTTATTTAATTTCTGATAGCAAAGTTTTATAGTTTTCAGTGAACAGGTCTTGATTTTGTTAAATCTATCCCTAAATATTTCATATTTTGATGTGTGGTAAATTGTACTGTATTATTTTAATTTTTGTTATCACCAGTATATAAAACAATTGATTTCTGTATATTGATCTTGTATCCTGTGATGTTTCTAAACTCACAAGTTTCATGAGCATTTTTGTAGATTCCACAGGATTTTCTACAAAACTAATTATGTGAGCTATGCATTAAACAGTTTTACCTCTTTCTTTACAATATGTATGTTTTTTATCTCTTTTTCTTCCCTTACTACACTGGCTAGGTTCTCTAGCCAGTGATGAGAAGTGATGAAAGTGGTTATCCTTGTGTTAGGGGAAAAGCATTCAATATTTGATGATTAAGTATAAATGTAAGCTGTGGGTAGAGGGGTTGAGACAAAATTCACATAAAATGAAATTCATCACTGTAATCATTTTAAAGTATATAATTTAGTGATTTTTAGTATATTCACAATATTGAGCAACCATTACCACTATATAATTCCAAATTTCAGAACATTTTCACCAACCCCATACTCATTAAGCTGTCACTCCCCATTCCCCTGACCCTTAGCCTCTAGCAAACACTAATCTACTTTCTGTCTCTATAGATTTGCCTACAGCAGACATTTCAACTGGAATCATACAAAATGTAAGTGACCTTTAGTGACTGGTTCTTTCACTTAGCATAATGTTTTCAAGTTTTAGCCATATTGTAGCATGTATCAGCACTTCATTCCTTTTTATAGCCAAATGGGTACTCCACTGTGAAAATACCACATTTTCTTTATTCATCAGTTGATGGACATTTGGATTTTTTCCACTTTTTAGCTACTATGACTACCGCTGCTATGAACATTAGTTTACACATCTTTGTGTAAATATATATATTTTCAATTCTCTTGGGTATATACCATGAAGTAGAATTACTGGATCATGTGGTAACTCTATATTTAATTTTTTGAGAAACTGCCACACAGTTTTTCACAGCAGCTACATTTTACATTCCCTCCAGCTATGTATCAGGGTTCCAATTTTTACCATGCCTGCCAACAATTATTATTTTCCATTTGTTTTTATCATAGCCACCCAAGTGGGTGTGAAGTGATATCACTTTGTGCTTCTGATTCAAATTTCCCTAATGACTAATGATGTTGGACATCTTTCCATGTGCCTATTGGTCATTTGTATATCTTTTTAGGAAAAATGTCTTTTCAAAAATTTGCCAATTTTTAATTGGGTTGTCTTTTTTATGTTAATCCATAGAATTCTTTACATATTCTGAATACTAGACCCTTATCAGATGCATGATTTGCAAGTATTTTCTCCCATTGTGTGGGCTGCCTTTTAACTTTCCTTTGAAGCACAAATGGTGAAGTCCAATTTATCTCTTCTTTCTTTTCCTGCTTGTGCTTTTGGTGTCATAGTTAAGAAATCATGGCCTTATCCAAAGTCATGAAGATTGTCTTAGTCAATCTGGGCTGCTATAGCAGAATACCATAGACTGGGTGGCTTAAACAACAAACATTTATTTCTCAAAGTTCTAGAGGTTGGAAGTCTGAAATCAGAGTGCCAGCATGGCCAGGTTCTGATGAGGGCTCTCTTCAGGGTTGCAGATGCTGACTTATCATTATATATTCATATGGCAGAAAGAGGGCAAGAGAGTTCCCATGGTCCCATTCACAAGGGGTCTGTCCTCATGCCCTAATTAACTCTCACAGGCCCCACGTCCTAATACCATCACTTTGGGGGTTAGGATTTTAAAATGTGAATTTTGTGGGGAACGCTAACATTCGGCCCATTGCAAAGATCTACATCTATGTTTCCTTCTAAGAGTTTTACAGTTTTAGCTCTTATATTTAGGTCTCTAATCCCCTTTGAGTCAATTTTGTTATATAATGTGGAGTAGGGACCCAAATTCATTATTTTTCATGGAGCTAGCTATATGTCCTGGTAGCATTTGTTGAAAACACTTTTCTTTCCCCCTTGAATGGGCCTTGGCATTGTTGTTGAAAATCAGGTGACCACACATGTATGGTTTTATTTCTGGACTCTCAATTCTATTCCATTGATTTATGTGTCTATCTTTATGCTAGTGCCACACTGTCTTGATTACTATAGCCTTGTAATAACTTTTGAAATTGGGAAGTGTGAGTGCTCCAAATTCGTTCTTTCTTTTCAAGATTGTATTAGCTATTTGAGACGCCCTCATAATTTTGTACGAATTTTAGAATCAGCTTTTTCACTTCTTCAAAAACAGCTATTGGTATTTTGATAGGGATATATTGAATCTATATCAATACAGGAAGTATTACCATCTTAACCATATTAAGTCTTCCAACCCATGAACATAAAATGTCTGTTTATTTAGGTCTTTTTCATTTATTTGAGCAATGTTTTAGAGTTTTAGTCTTTCACTTCCCTGTTTAAATTTATTCCTAAATACTGTATTCTTTTTGATGCTATTGTAAATGAACAATTTTGGATTGCTCATGACTGATGTAAAACTAGCTTTTGTGCATTGATTGCTTTTGTATTCTACAATCTTTCTGAGCTTGTTTATTAGCTCTACTCATTTTTTTGTAGATTCTTTAGAGTTTTCTAAATACAAGATCATGTAATCTGGGAATTTATTTTTACTCCTTCCTTTCCAATTTTTTTGGAAAGAATTTTCCTAATTTTCCTAGCTGGAATTTCCAGTACAATGTTTAATAGGAGTGGCAAGAGCAAACATCCTCATCTTATTATCAGTCTTAGGAGGAAAGCTTTCCGTCTCTCACTATTAAGTATGATGTTAACTGTGGGTTTTTTGCAGATTCCCTTTTGCAGGCTGAGGAAGTATCTTTTTAGTCCTAGTTTTTTGAGTATTTGTATTATGAAAATGTGTTAGATTTTGTCAAATGCTTTTTCTGTATCCATTGAGACAATCATTTAAATTTTTTCCTCCATTTTATAAATATGGTGTATTACACTCATTGGTTTTCACATTGTAAACCATCTTTGCATTCTTGGAATAAATCTCAATCCCTCATAGTGTAAATTTTTTTAATGTGCTACTAGATTTTTTTTTTTTTTTTTGAGATGGAGTTTTGCTCTTGTTGCCCAGGCTGGAGTGCAATGGCGCGATCTTGGCTCAGTGAAACCTCTGCCTCCCAGGTACAAGTGATTCTCCTCTCTCAGCCTCCCAAGTAGCTCGGATTACAGGCATGCACCACCATGCCTGGCTAATTTTTTTGTATTTAATAGAGATGGGGATTCACCATGTTAGTCAGGCTGGTCATGAACTCCTGACCTCAGGTGATCCAACCACCTCAGCCTTCCAAAGTGCTGGGATTACAGGCGTGCGTAACCACACCTGGCCACTAGATTTTGTTTGCTAACATTTTGTTGAGGATTTTTGCATCTGTATTCATAAGGGATGTTGGTCTACAATTTTCTTGTACTGTATTTGGCTTTGGTATCAGAGTAATATGGACCTCATAGAATTAATTAGACAGTATTCTCCCCTCCTCAATTTTTTGGAATAATTTGAGAAAGATTGCTCTTAATTCTTTAAACATTTGGTAGAATTCACCATTGAAGCCATCTGGTGCTGGGTTTTTTGTGGTTGGAGGTTTTTTCATTATTAATTCAATATCTTTACTTGTTATCACTCTATCCAAATATTTCCTTTTTATTCAGTTTTGGCAAATTATGTGTTTCTAAAAATTTGCACATTTCAACTATGTTGTCTAATTTGTTCGGCATACAATTGCTTATACTATTTTCTTATAATCCTTATTTCTGTAAGATCATTGTAAAGCTCACACTTTCAATCCTGATTTTAGTTATTTGAGTCATCTCTCTTTTTTTTAATAGTCTAGCTAAAAGTTTGTCAATTTTGTTGATCACTTTGAAAAACTGGTTTCGGTTTCATTGATTCTCTCTGTTGTATTTCTATTTCCCGTTCTGTTTATCACCACTCTAATCTTTATTATTTCCTTCCCTGTTTGCTTTGGGTTTAGTTCATTCTTCTTTTTCTAGTTCTTAAGGTGGAAGATTGGGTCATTTATTTGAGATCATTCTTCTTTCTTTTTTGTTTGTTTGTTTGTATTTTGAGATGGAGTCTCGCTCTGTCGCCCAGGCTCAAGTGCAATGGTGTGATCTCAGCTCACTGCAACCTCCACCTCCCAGGTTTGAGCAATTCTCCTTCCTCAGCCTCCTGAGTAGCTGGGATTACAGGCACCCATCACCACACCCAGTTAATTTTTGTATTTTTAGTAGAGACGAGGTTTTGCCATGTTGGCCAGGCTGGCCTCAAACTCCTGACCTCAGGTGATCTGCCCTACTCGGCTTCTCAAAGTGCTGGGATTACAGGCATGAGCCACCACACCCAGCCTCTTCTTTCTTAATGTAAGTATTTATAGCTAAATGTTTCCCTCTGAGCACTGGTTTAACTGCGTAAGTTTGGTATGTTGTTCTGTTTTTTCTTTATTCATCTTAAAGTATTTTCTAATTTCACTTGTAAATTCTTCTTTAAACTACTGGTAATTTAAGAGTGTATTATTTAATTTCAACATATTTGTGATTTTTCCACATTTCCTTCTGTTACTGATTTTCAATTTCATTTCATTGTGGTTGAAGAGCACACTTTGTATGATTTCGGCCTTTCAAACGTGAAAAAATGCTCATTATCATTAATCCTCAGAGAAATGGAAATTAAAACCACAATGACCTACCATCGTACATGAGTCAGAATGACTACTACTAAAAAGTCAAAAAACAACAGATGCTGGTGAACCTGCAGAGAAAAGGGGAAGCTTATATGCTGTTGGTGGGAATGCTTATACACCGTTGGTAAATTAGTTCAGCCATTGTGGAAAGCACTTTGGAGATTTCTCAAAGAACTCAGAAGCACATTTGGCCCACCAATCCCATTACTGGGTATATACCCAAAGGAAAATAGATCACTATACCAAAAAGATACATGCACTCACATTCATCACTCAGAGCACAGATGGACATAAACAAAGGGACAATAGGCACTGCAAACTACTAGAGGGAAGAGGGGGACGTACGAAGTGGGGCATGGGTTGAAAAACTACCTAGTAGTTACTACGCTCACTACCTGGGTACAACATATTCATGTAACAAACCTACATATGTGCCTCCTGTATCTAAAATAAAAGTTAAAATGTTTTTTAAAAAAACAAATTTTGAAAAACTTGCATCACCCACTGTAAGCTTGATAGTTTTCCTATATATGAGATGGATGATGATATTAATAAATGTGGTTATCTGATATTATATAATGAAATATGTCAACATTTGGAAGATCTGAAAAAAATTCATTGAGACTTATTTTGTGGTATAATCTATGGTCTATCCTCAAGAATATTCCATATGGACTTGAGAAAAATATGGATTCTGCTGTTATTGGTGGATTGTTCTATAGATGTCTGTTAGGTCCACTTGGTTTACAGTGTTGTTTGGTGTCACTATTTCTAATGAGAAATCAATGGTTAATCCTATTAGACTCCCTTGTACTAATGAGTTGCTTCTCTCTTTCTTCTTTTAAAATTCTCTTTGGCTTTGGCTTTTATCAGTTTGATTATGTTGTGTGGATCTCTTTGAGTTTACTCTACTTGGGGTATATTGAGCTTCCTGGAAGTGTAGGTTAATGGTTTGCATCAAATTTCAGAAGTTTTCAATTATTATTTCTTCAAATACTTCAAATGTCTTTCAAATACTTCAAATTTCCATTTCTCTGTCTCTTTCTCTCCTCTCTTGATAATTTCATTATGTGTATGTTGGTACACTTAATTGTGTCTCACAGATCTCTATGGCACTGTTCACTTTTTTCATTTGTTTCCTCTCTGTTCCTCAAATTGCATAATCTCAACTGATTTATCTTCCAGTCGCTGAATTTTTTTCTCCTACCTGTTCAAATGCTGTTGAGCCTCTTCAGTAAATCTTTCGATTATTGTACTTTTCAAACCAGAATTCCTGTTTGATTTCTTATAATTTTTAATATTCTTATTAATACTCTTTATTTTGTGAAATATTGCTCTCATGGTTTTCTTTAGTTTTTTTAACATGGTTCAATTTAGTCTTTGAACATATTTAAAACAACCGATTTAAAATCTTTGCCTAGTTAATCCAATCTCTAGGCTACCTAAGGACAGTTTATATTCATTGTTTTTTCTCCTGTGCATGGGCCATGCTTTCTTGTTTCTTTGCATGTCTTATAAATTTTTGTTTAAAATTGGTCACTTAAAATATAATGTGGCAACTTGTGAAATGAGATTTTCTCACCCTTCCCTAGGATTTGTTGTTTCAGGATGTTCAGTTGTTTTTGTGTATTTGTTTAGTAACCTTTTATGAACTAATTTTGTAAAGTTTTTTGTATTCTTTGTCATGTGTGGCCTCTGAAGTTTCTTTTCCCTTTGCTTAGTGATCAGCTGATGATTAGACAGAGATTTCCTTAACCATTAGAAACCACAAATCCTCCTGTCTTTGCAGAAAAACTCTTGTGTATGCTAGGATACACCTTCAACCCTCATGCAAGCAGTTACAACTCTGCCTTAGCCTTCATATTCTGATTCTGCAGAGGCTCAAAGTCAGCCAACAGGAACTTTGAACTTGCTCAGATTAAACTTGCTTAGGTTTCTTGGGCATGTGCACAGCCATCCATACACATGCATTTGGTCTCCCAATTTCATAAGAAAAAGTCAGAACTTTTCAAAGCCTTTATCCCCAAAGTATCTTATTACGCAGCTTCTTCCCAAGAATTTTAGTTAGTCTTTTGCTCACCTGAAGTGTTATCTATTGCATCCAATGAAAGCAACTAAAATATTTGCTTATAAATGCTTTTGACTAATGTACCAGTACTGGGTTTACTATTTTAGTACTGTGTAAGTTCTGAGTTAGGTGAGATAAAGATAAATCTTTTGAGCTGGTCTTTCAAGAAGCTACCAGATATATTTATCTGTTTTAATAGATATACCCGTAGCAGAAATGCAGGTTTTATTTCCAGGGGTAATGCTGATCTGGGAAACATAAGATAGAACCAGATTAAGTTTTTTTTAATCCATAAAACTCACTGTCCTTACAGAGATTCAGCTTCTTTCTCTTGACAAAGTGCTCTTCTAATCGCTACAAGCTTTTGGTTAATTTCCAAAGTGCTGAGAAAGTTGATTCTGAAAGTTTTGGCCAGTTTTTTATTTGCTTTTATGGAGGGGTGAACTTTTAAAAGTCCTTACTCTGCCATTTTTCCAGCTGTAGGTTTTCATAATGTTTCTATATTTAGGGTTCACTGAGCTTCTGCGATCTAGAGATTTATAGTTTTCATCACATGGAAAATTATAATAACTATTGAACACTGTTGTTGCAAGGCTTATCAATAGTTTACATAAGGAGCCCACAACAAGACCTTGCAGATGGCACTCAATGAAAATTATTATTGGATGTATGCCAGACACACAGTGAGAAAAAGAATCACAAAATTTGCTTTCTGGGAACTCAAAATGTATTTCATTTTTATTTCTTCCAAAAAATTCCCATGTTTTCCTTGTCACAGTTTGTTTTATTTCCATTCCTTATTTTCCCCAAATATCTATATTTTCCTCCTTGTCCCCTATGCATTTATCTTTCTTTGCATACCAAGAAGTTGTATCCCATTCAAGTCCCTATTCAAGATTTCCTTCTGGGAAGCCCACCCACAATTTTCTTTGTAAGAAACATGAGATGAATGCAGGAAACTGCACCCATTTGAACCAAGTAACTGAGAAATACACAAAATTCACACATGCACGCAACTCAAACCTACTAACTTCCTAAGTTCACTGCATGTGTTAGGGACACATTCATCCACATCTGCTATTAAGTTTCTGTCTGATTTCAAATAACCTTTGATATAGTTTGGATGTCCTGCCCAAAGCTCACGTTAAACTGTAATCCTCAATGTTGGAGGTAGGGACTGATGGAAGGTATTTGGATCATGGGGGCAGATCCCTCATGAATGGCCTGGGCCATTCCCTTGGTGATAAGTGAGTTCTCACTCTGAGTTCACACAAGACCTGATCATTTAAAAGTGTGTGGCATCTCCCCTTCCCGTACACTCTCTCTTGATCCTGCTTTCGCCATGTGACATGCCTGGTCCCATTTCACCTTCAGCCATGAGTTAAAGCTTCCTGAAGCCTCTCTGAAAGCTGAACTATGTAGGTGTCATACTTGTACAGACTGAAGAACCATAAACCAATTAAATCTCTCTCATTATAAATTACCCAGTCTCAGGTATTTGTTTATAGCAATGCAAGAATGGCCTAATACAACCCTCCTTCCACCACTTCACAATAACTCACAAGCTACAACGTTTATGGCACCTATTTTTACAAGCAAACTTCAGTTCTTTTTCAAGGTAAAGTGCTTTATTTACATATTTATTAAACAGGCAAGGACTTTTACCCTCCACAGAGTGAATTAGGAGTACTGGGATGGTCAAAAATAATTCATGGTGACTATAGTAGAATCAAGAGTGTAAGGCACTGTGATAAGTGTTAATGAGTCAGAGTCCAGTAGTGTAGTGGCTAGTAGCCACTGGTGACAGCCAAGTGCCAGTGTGCCAGTATCACACTCTTTCTGTGGAGAAATCTTGACTGTGCTTTGTGTTTCTTGGTTCCTATTTTCTGAGTCTGATCTCCAGCCCTCCTGTAGTTTCTGTCAACTAACTTATATCCCCCCAATAAATCCAATAAGTCCCGTTTTTATTTAAATTACATAGTTTCGTTCTGCTATTTGCAGTCAAGAACTCTGACAATTTCAAAAGTCATCTATTTCTAGCCCTAATCTCTGTCACATTAGCAATGATCTTGATAAATCAATTCCAGAAGACTCAAAAGCTAAATTCATGTGTGTTAATAAATCATGTAGAACCTTAAAATGCTTGAATAACATGACCTCTTTTAAATTTGAAATTGAATCACATATTGCTACTATTTACAGAAATTAGAGCTCAAGTCAGTTAGACTAAATTTCTTATCTAGAAATTGACATTTTCAAGAAATTGGGAGATTAATTTTTTAATTTAAAAAAGGTAAAAGCTGATAAAAAAAAGCAGTGCTATATTCAACTAGCTGGTTTCAAATGAAATATTAATGAAACTATTTTGCATAACATTTGGCAAGAAAATAATGTTAACTACCTCAGTTGTGAATATTATCAAGCTTCAGAGAATTTAATAAAAATTTTTCATATTATTGCGCATTTCATGACCTCTTCTCCTTCAAATATCATGGTTTTAAAAACACTGATACTCTGCCTTTTCTCCCAAATTTAAATTTCTAACCTTGATATCTCCCTGGTACCCCAAATTTCTATATCAAACTACTTACTTAATATAGCCTGATTTTCTACCCTACCCCCCAAATATGCTGCTTTCCTACACTTCTCCATCTCTGAAAATAAGAATGCCATACCTCTAGCTGCTCAGGCAAAAAAAAAAAAAAAATGACTCCTCCTTGACTCTTCTGTTATTCTTATACCTGCCACCCAATCCATTAGCAAACTCCTTAGCTCAGATATAGTTTGGATATTTGTCCCCACCAAATCTCATATTGCTATGTGATCCCCAATATGGGAGGTAGGGCCTAGTGGAAGATGTTTGTGTCATGGGATGAATCCCTCATGAATGGTTTGGTGCCCTTCCTGTGGTAATGAGTTACTGCAAGATCTGATTGTTAAAAAGAGTCTGGGACCCACCCCTCGTCTCTTTTGCTCCCTCTCTCAACATGTGACATACCAGCTCCTCTTTCCCTCTGCCATGACTAAAAGCTTCCTGTGGCCTCACCAGAAGCTGAGCAGATGCGGGTGCCAGGCTTGCACAGTCTGCAGAACTGTGAGCCAAATAAACCTCTTTTCTTTATAAATTACCCAGTTTCAGGTATTCCTTTACAGCAACACAAAACAGACTAATACAGTCCCTATCTTCAAAATCTAGAATCTAACCACTCTCACTATTCCCACTTCTCCCACACCCTAATCTAAACCATAACTATTTCTCACCTGGAATATTACAGAAAACCTCCAACTCCTCTCCTACATTTTCTTCCTTGCATCCTCTCAGTCAATTCTAAATATATAATGCAGAGATGATCATTTTAAACATAAGTCAGACCCTATTATTATTATTCTCAAAATCTGGATTCCTACCTCATTCACAAAAAAAAAAAAAAATCTTTATAATGGCCAAGAAATTCCATAATCTGTCTTCCCACCAAAACTAAGCATTTCCTACTACTGTTTCTCAATCAGGACTGATTGAGGTCAAGTGCAGTGGCTCACACATGTAATCCCAACACTTTGGGAGGCTGAGGCAGGAGGATCACTTGAGCCTGAGAGTTGGACACTAGCCTGGGCAACATAGGGAGACCCCATCTCTATGAAAAAATTAAAAATTATCCAGGCTTGGTGGTGTGCGCCTGTGGTCCCAGCCACTTGGGAGGCTGAGATGGATGGGAGGATTGCTTGAGCCCAGGAGGTAGAGACTGCAATAAGCCATGATTGCACCACTGCACTCCAACCTACATGACAGAGTGAGATCCTATCTCAAAAAAAAAAAAAAAAAAATAGTGACTGAGTACATCACAGTGTGCTCCTGGTATTCCTGGAATGATCTGGGCATACTACTACCTTTGCATTTGCATTGCATTTGCATTTGCTTTCTCCTTTGCAGATAACTATACAACTCACTGTCTCAGCTCCCTCAAGTCTTTACTCAAATGTCTTCTTAAATAGGACTTTAATAATTACTCTATTTAAAACAGCAACTCTTCTTCTACTTTATGGTGCTCCAGATTACCCTTCCTGGCCCTATTTTTCTCCATACTATACATTTGTATATTGCTGATATCTACCATGTAACTACAAATTTCATAAGAGCAGGAATATCTGTCTGACTTTAACATCTAGAACAGCATTTGGCACACTATAGGTGCTCCATAAATATTTGTTCTATTAACAAGCAAATTAATGAAAAGCTTAGAAAAATATAATGAATAATTGCATCAATAAGAATACTTTTTAATGATAGTTTTACATTTGTTGAGACAGCTGAGATTCAGTCAAGAATTCTAAAAGAAAATGTTCAAATATGTAAGAAAAAATGTATCTCAGAAGTCCTCTAGATTAAACACTAGAAGCTAAGTCATACTATTAAAAGAGATCCATATTTTTATTCTGTCAAATTGTCATAGTATTGCAAATATCATATTTTTATATTATCAGCAGTAACCTCAAAAAGGAACAGAACATGTAAACAAGTAAAATTTGCATACTTTAATAGGTCTATCAATTTTAAATGATGCTGTTTTGATTGTTGCATACCAGCAAACTCCAAGAGATTGCCTAGCAATGCAATAGCATAATTAACCTGATGTACTTTCCTGACCTCATAAATCACACTTTCTGATCCTCTGAGCTCTTGGCACAAAGACCCTGGAAAGAATATAAAATTTCTACTGAATTAACTATAAATTTTTGTAAACCCAAAGATCCATTTTAAATGGATTTTTTGAACATAGTACTTTTCACAAAGAATCTAATAATTTTGATTTAAAAGAAAAAGCAAAAACAAAGCAACTGTTAACGTACTTAGCTTGTCAAAATTTAAAAGTCAACAGTCAGTAGGAAATTAGCTTTTCCCTCAGTCACAAAATTGTATCAGCTTATGTTATAGTCCATGAACTCTGCTAAGTGTTAGGATTAAAAGAGTGAACAAGACAACCAAGTTCTTTCCTTCAAGAAGATGACATTACAGTTGGGAGGGAACACATCACAAATAAATATAAATATATATGTTGATAAGTACAATAAATAAAAATTATCTAGAGTAACAGAAAAAAGAGTAACGGGAGAAGGGTGGCTATTTTAGATGGAAGTAAGGAAAGGCTTAAGATGGCAATTGAGCAGACACATAAACTAGTAAGAAAGTGGGCAAAGAATTCCACACAGAGGAGACAGCATGTACAAATGCTCTGAAGCAGAAAGTTTATTCAAGGAAAAGTTCAAGTCCAACATAATTGGAGAGGAGTAGGCAATGGGGGGCATGTTAGTAGAAGAGGTGGGAGAAGTAGCTAGGATTCAGATTATGTAAGGCCTTAGAGTAATAAGGACTTTGATTTTGTTTAGAAAGTGACAGGAAGCCAGTGAAAGATTTTTAAAATAC
Source organism: Homo sapiens (assembly GCF_000001405.40). Classification (NCBI taxonomy): domain Eukaryota; kingdom Metazoa; phylum Chordata; class Mammalia; order Primates; family Hominidae; genus Homo; species Homo sapiens. Next base: position 85,577,156 of record NC_000011.10, read on the forward strand.
TGAGATAAACTAACTTTTGCTTTAAAATATCACTCTGTATGCTATGCAGAGAACAGATTGGCATAAAAGTGAAAACAAATGGATACAGTTAAGAGGCTACTGCAGTAGACCAGATAAGAGACTATAGTTGCTCAGGACAGTATGGCATGATGGAGATAGTAAGAAATGGTAGGATTCCGGACTTAACTGGAAATTCTGCCAACAAGATTTGCAAATAGATTGTATTGGGGTGCAAAAAAAAGAGAAAAATCAGTGATGTTGCCTGTGTTCTGAGTGTGAGTAAACTGGATAAATGATGATATTTATTGAGATAGTGAAGACTAGGAGAAAAGCAAGTTGAGTGTGAGCAAAGGGAGGAATTAAGAGTCCAGTTTTGGCCATGATAAGTTTCAGAATGCTCGACAGACAACCAAGTGGAAGATGCTAAATAGGCAATAGTATATATACAGGATACAAGTCAGGGATACAGATATAAATTTGGGAGTCATAAGCCAATAGATATTTAAAACCATGGGATTGAATGAACCTACCTAAGTACAGAGTATAATTTTTTTAAAAATGAGGTAAGGAAATCAGAGATTACATAAACAAATAGAAAAACATTCCATACTCATGCTCATGGATAGGAAGAATCAATATTATAAAAATGGCCATACTACCCAAAGCAACTTATACATTCAATGGTATTCCTATTAGACTACCACTAACACTCTTCACAGAACTAGACAAAACTACTTTAAAATTCATATGGAACCAATAAAAAGCCCAAATAGCCAAGGCAACCCTAAGCAAAAAGAACAAAACTGGAGGCATCATGCTACCTGACTTCAAACTATACTACAGGCCTAGAGTAACCAAAACAGCATGGTACTGGTATAAAAACATACACACAGACAAGTGGAACAGAATAGAGAACCCAGCAATAAGAGCACACACCTACCACAATCTGATCTTCGACAAACCTGACAAAAACAAGCAATGGGGAAGGGATTCCCTAATCAACAAACAGTGCTGTGATAACTGGCTAGCCATATGCAGAAGACTAAAACCAAACCCCCTACTTATACTATATACAAAAATTAACTCAAGATGGACTACAAACTTAAATGTAAAACCCAAAATTATAAAAACCCTAGAAGACAACCTAGGCAATGCCATTCTGGACATGGGAATGGGCAAATAATTCATGATAAAGATGCCAAAAGCAATTGCAACAAAAGCAAAAATTGACAAGTGGGATCTAATTAAACTAGAGAGCTTCTACACAGCAAAGGAAACTCTCAACAGAGTGAACAGACAACCTATACAATGGGAGAAAAATTTTGCAAACTATGCATCTAACAAAGGTCTAATACTCAGCATCTATAAGGAACTTAAACAAATTCAAGAAAAAAATACATTAAAAGGTGGGCAAAGGACATGAACAGGCACCTTTCAAAAGAAAACATACATATGCCAACAATTATATAAAAAAAGGCTCAATGTCACTGATCATTAGAGAAATGCAAATCAAAACTACAATGAGATACCACCTCACACCAGTTAGAATGGCAATTACTACAAAGTGTTAAAATAACAGATACTAGAAAGGTTGCAGAGAAAAACAAAAGCTTATACACTATTAGTGGGAGTGTAAATTAGTTAAACCATCATGGAAGACAGTGTGGCAATTCCTCAAGGACATAAAGACAGAAATACCATTTGACGTAGCAATCTCATTACTGGGTATATACCCAAAAGAATATAAATAGTTCTATTATAAAGACACATGCATGTGTATGCTCATTGTAACACTATTCACAATAGGAAAGATATGGAATCAACCTAAATGCCCACAGATGATAGACTGGATAAAGAAAATATGGCGTATATACACCATGGAATACTACACAGCCATAAAAAAGAACATGATTATGTCCTTTGCAGGAACATGGATGGAGCACTGGAGGCCATTACCTTTAGCAAACTAATGCAGGAACAGAAAACCAAATATTGCATGTTCTCACTTATAAGTGAGAGCTAAATGATGAGAACACATGGATACATAGAGGGAATAACATGCAATGGAGCCTTTCGAAGGGTGAAGGGTAGGAGGAGGGAGAGAATAAGGAAAAATAACTAATGGGTACTAGGCTTAATACCCAGGTGATGAAATAATCTGTACAACAAACCCCCATGATACAAGTTTGCCTATCTAACAAACCTGCACATGTATCCTCGAAATCAAAATAAAAGTTAAATTTAAAAAAAAAGAGAGAGACCTGAGGACTTAGCCTAAGGTGCTTCTACATTTAGGTTAGAAGAAAAAAGTGAACGAAGTGGTATGTACAAGAAGGTGGACACGATCAGGTATGTCAAATGCTCCTGAAAATAAAAATTCGCCAATGAAATTTGAAACATGGAGGTCTCTATAACCTTGATAAGTATGTGCAACTTTACTTGTACCTTGGGTGGAGAGTGAAGGACACAAAAGCATGATATGGGGTAGCTTCAGGAGAAAATAGGAGATGAAAAGGCATGAACTGTGAGGACAAACAACTTTTTTTTTTGAGACAGAGTCTCACTCTGTTGCCCAGGCTGAAGAGCAATTGTGCAGTCTCAGCTCACTGTAACCTCTGCCTCCTGAGTTCAAGCAATCCACCCACCTCAGCCTCCCAAAGTGCTGGGATTACAGGCGTGAGCCACTGTGCTCAGCCATAAAGAACTTTGTATGCATTTTGCTGTGAAGGGGTTCACAGAAATAGGAGAGAAGCCTGATATGGTTTGGCTGTGTCCCCACCCAAATCTCATCTTGAATTGTAACTCCCACAATTCACACATGTTGTGGGAGGGACCCAGTGGGAGGTAATTGAATCATGGGGTTGGGTCTTTCTCATGATGTTCTCATGATAGTAAATAAGTCTCACAAGATCTGATGGTTTTATAAAGAGGAGTCCCACTGCACACTCTCTCTCTCTTTGCCTGCCACCATCCATGTAGGATGTGAATTGCTCCTCCTTGCCTTCTGCCATAATTGTGAGGCCTCCCCAGCCACATGGAACTGTAAGTCCATTAAACCCTTTTTTCTTCCCAGTCTCAGGTATTTCTTTATCAGCAGCATAAAAACGGACTAATACAGGGCCACATGACAAGAACTGTGGCTTTATGTAGAAGAATGCATTCACTGCCAAATCATGGCCCAGAAGTAAGGCAGCCAGGAGAAGAAAGATCCCAACTTCTCTTTCTTCCCACTCACTAATGACCCACTAGTACCTTGCATTGGCCAAACTCAAACAGAAGTCAGAGAACAACAGAAGACAAGGTAAAGGGAGATGATAGATGAAGGGAATGGATTTTAAAGATGACAATAGTAGCAAACACTTATTGAGCATTTATTATGTGCTAGGCACAGTGAGAAATGCAATACACATATTAATTTATTTTTCCTGACAGCAATCTTATTAGGTGAATACTTTTATTATCATCCCCAATTTACAGAAAGCAAAACTGGGGCATGGAATGGCTATAAAACTTTCCTAAAGTCATACAACTTGCAAGTGGCAGAGGAGCCAGAACACAAACCCAGGCAATCTGGCTCCAGAATCCATACTCTTAACCCTTACACCAAACTGTTTAACAGAAGATGTTTGTGTGCTAATGAAATAATTAAATAGGAAAATAAAAATTAATTTCAAATAGAGGAAGAATGATATTCTTTGAGTAAATAAGGAGAAGTCAGGACATAACCTGCCATGGTTCTTCTCCATTTGTCCTTACAGATTATGTTTCTTCCATTATCTACCCTGTTCTGTGCCCCAGGAGGCTGACCTCAACAGACTGTATCATCTAGCTCCCTTATCCTCTGGCTTCCAACTGGGGTCCACTAATGGGGGGGCACCAGCAGGAAATCAGGGAAGGGAAGAAATAGGGGTTGGGATGTTCATTCCCCCAGCTCTCTTCCTACCGGGCCCTGATTTAGCAGTGGCTGTGCTCCTCTTCCTAAAGCCATAGCTTCTGTCAGGCAGCCCCTTCAATAATACTGTACTGTGTTACAGTAACAGCTCGCTCTCCATGCTCCTTAAGCAGTCTCACCGTTCCTAGCCCACCAGTGCTTCCATCCCTGGTTGGCTCCCTTAACTCCGCTCATACCTTTGTAATAGATCTTTCACTTAAATCTCTTTGAGAACGCCTTCTCTGGCCAGGCACAGTGGCTCATGCCTGTAATCCTCGCACTTTCAGAGGCCGAGGCAGACAGATTGCCTGCACTCAGTTGAAGACCAGCCTGGGCAACATGGTGAAACCCCATCTCTACTAAAATACAAAAAAAAAAAAAATTAGCTGGGCGTGGTGGCGTGCACCTGTAGTCCTAGCTACTCGGGAGGCTGAGGCAGGGGAATTGCTTGAACCTGGGAGGTGGAGGTTGCAGTGAGCTGACATGGTGCCACTGCACTCCAGCCTGGTGACAGAGTGAGACTCCGTCTTAAAACAAACAAAAAAACAAACAAACAAACAACAAAAAAAGAGAAGGCCTTCTCTTACCTGCTAGGACTATGACTGATATTCTAACCAGGTGGAACATTTGACAGATAAGAGGAGAGACCATTTGTTCACTTTAATAAAAGGGAAGGCAGAGTATATGGATGCAGATGTAGGTAAGTTGGTAGATTGAGTCGTGAGACAATGAGAAAGTTCTCTTTTGTTTGTTTTTATTGTCTCAATAAAATAAGAAGAAAGGTCAGCAGCTAATGTTGAAGAAGGTGAGGTATATTGCATTTGAGGAGAAAGAATGTACGAAAATGTTCCCTGGGAGAACAAGTGGACTGTCTGAGGAAGTGTAATAGGCATTTGGTCATAAATTTAAAGTGAAAACAGTTAACAGTATTTCTCCAGCTATATTTGTCTGCCTTGATGTAGGCATAGAGGAGACATACACAGGTTGATGAAGAGGCTGATTTTTGCCCCCCAATGAAGAGAAAAACAAAGAAATTGAAGATGCATGCAAATTGAGTAATCACAGTAATGAACCATGTATTCTAAGTTTGGTGAGGTAGGACATGAAGACTTACGGTAGCTAACAGGCATGAAAATGTGTAGAGCCAATGATTTAGTAGTAGTTGTGGGATCAATGATTGATATGGGAACTATAGAAATGAACTGGGTCAATAAGAGGAAGTGGTAAGTGGTGGTCAGAGAGTGGGACGTTTTAAAGTGAGATGTTAGAGCCTATGAACAATAGTAAGATATAGCATAAAACATAAGAGTGGGTGGCTAAGATGCTGTGGAGGAAGAAATTATTACTGGATAGGCAATCAAGGAACAGATCCAAAAACTACATAATCCACAAAGACAAAATAATGATGATAATCCAAATTTGAGAGTATAAAATCATGTAGAATATTAGTGTCCAGGCTGGGCACGGTGGCTTATTCCTATAATCCCAGTATTTTGGGAGGCCGAGGCAGGTGGATCACTTGAGGTCAGGAGTTCGAGACCAGCCTGGGCAACATGGTGAAACCCCATCTCTACAAAAAAAAAAAAAAAAAAAAAAAAAAAAAAAAAAAAAAAAAAAAACTCGTGCAGCAACTATTTCTGAAGCACAAGGCTTATTTTGGAAATTATTTTTGAATAACTTTTTTTTCAAAACTCAAGGCTTTGCTGAAAGCATTTAATATGCAGTATAATTTGTTTCTGTGTGTTTTAAACTTTTAGGGACTCATGATTAAGGCATTTTGTAAGGACTGGCATACCCTCTGGAGTTTGCTGGCTCTAGGTACATTAGATGATTCAATTTGCAAATATATATTCCTGCAAAGAGAGTTCTAACCTTATGATTTTGTGAAGGCTTATTGTTTTGACAGCAAACTAGAAACAATATCAGCTAGAACCTGGGGAATCAAGAACTAGAAACCAGGGGAAAAAAAAAATATATATATATATATATATAATATATGTGATGTGTGTGTGTGTGTGTGTGTGTGTGTGTGTGTGTGTGTGTGTATATATATATATATATATATATATATATATATATATATGTTTTGTTTGTTTTTAAACAGGGTCTCACTCTGTTGCCCAGGCTGGAGTGCAGTGGTGTGATCAGAGCTCACTGCAGCCTCAACCTCCCAAGCTCAAGGAATCCTCCCACCTCAGCCTCCCAAGAAGTTAGAACAACACACATGCATCACCATGACCAGCTTTTTGTTGTTGTTGTTGCTCCTGTTGTTGTTGTTGTTGTTGAGACAGGGTCTCACAATGTTACCCAGGTTGGTCTTAAACTCCTGGCCTCAAGTGATCCTCCCACCTCAGCCTCTCAAAGTGCTGAGATTAGGGGTCTTAACCACCATGCCTGGACTGAAATATATTCTATATGGTATATCTGTAGGTTATTATTGAAATGTTTGGAATTCCTAACACAGTCTAAGAAGTTCTGTGGCTTCTGAGCAGAGAGCACTTTCTGATGTAAAAGTGAAATGTTTCCTTAAGAAACTCTTAGGACTGGCCCTTATAGATGAATACTCCTCATTCTCTAACTCTTCTATCTTTCGCTAGGAGCCAGAACTGACAGGATAAAGGAGAAGCCTATGAGATACTCATGAGATACTTTCTCTTCCACTGCTCTTTCTTTTGGTTGGTCCTTTTAGTCAATACCCAATACCAAATTGGAAAGGAGTATAAAGGTGAAAACCAGCATTGAGATCTACATGCCTCAGTGTATTGGGGTTGCAAATCTAAGTTGCGTCACACCACATATCTGCAAAGAAAATGTGGTTTTTTAATGTGTTTATGATTTTTTTAGATGCTTCACAAGCTCTCAACCCCTGGTTAATTGGGAAAAGTAACCATCTAATCCAGTTTATTTTTTTCTAATTTTAATTTTTGTTTTTCTTTCAATAGTTTTAGAGAAACAGGTGGGGTTTACTGCATGGAAAAGTAATTTAGTGGTGATTTCCAAGATTTTGGTGTACCCATTACCTAAGCAGTGTACTTGGGTACACTGTACCCAATGTGTAGTCTTTTTTCCTTCACCCTCTGCCCTCTTGATGCCTCTCCATCCTTGTAGCTTGGTTCCCACTTATAAATGATAACATACAATGTTTGGTTTTCCATTCCTGAGTTACTTCACTTAGAATAATGGTCTCCAACCCCATCCAGGTTACTGTGAATGCCATTATCTCATTCCTTTTATGGCTGAGTAGTATTCCATGGTGTGTGTGTGTGTGTGTGTGTGTGTGTGTGTGTGTGTGTGTATCACATTTTCTTTATCCACTCGTTGGTTGATGGGCATTTAGGCTGGTTCACAGTTTTGCAGTTATAAATTGTGCTGCTATAGACATGCATGTGCAAGTGTCTTTTTCATATAATGACATCTTTTCCTCTAGGAAGATAACCAGTAGTGGGATTGCTGGATCAAATGATAGTTCTACTTTTAGTTCTTTAAGAAATCTTCATACTGTTTTCCATAATGATTGTACTAGTCTACATCCCCACCAGCAGTGTAAAACTGTTCCCTTTTCACCACATCCATGTCAACATCTGGTACTTTTTAAATATGGCCATTCTTGCAGTAGTAAGGTGGTATCTCATTGTGGTTTTGATTTGCATTTCCCTGATCATTACTGATGTAGAGCATTTTCTCATATGTTTGTTGGTCTTTTCCATATCTTCTTTTGAGAATTATCTATTCATATCCTTAGCCCACCTTTTGATGGGATTACTTGTTTTCTTCTTGCTGATTTGTTTTCATTCCCTGTAGATTTTGGATATTAGTCCTTTGTCGAATGTATAGACTGCAAAGATTTTCTCCCACTCTGTGGGTTGTCTGTTTACTCTGCTGATTATTTCTTTTGCTATGCAGAAGCTTTTTAGTTTAATTAAGTTCCATCTATTTATCTTTGTTTTTGTTGCATTTGCTTTTGGGTTCTTGGTCATGAGGTCTTTGCCTAAGCCAATGTCTAGAAGTGTTTTTCCAATGTTATCTCCTAGAATTTTTATGGTTTCAGGTCTTAGATTGAAGTCTTTGATCCATCTTGAGTGGATTTTTATATACGATGAGAGATGAGGATCCAGTTTCATTCTTCTACATGTGGCTTGCCGATTATCCCAGAACCATTTGTTGAATAGGGTGTCCTTTCCCCACCTTATGTTGTTGTTCGCTTTGTCAAAGATCAGTTGACTTTAAGTATTTGGCTTTATTTCTGGGTTCTCTGTTCTGCTCCTTTGGTCTATATGAGCCCTACCTAACTTTTTAATTCCAATTTGGATGCCCTTTCTTTTTTCACTTGTCTGATTGCTCTAAGTAGGACTTCCAAAACTATGTTGACTAGAAGTGGTGGAAATGGGCATCCTTGTCTTGTTTCAATTCTCAAGGGGAGTGCTTTCAACTTTTCCCCATTCAGTATAATGTTTGCTGTTGATTTGTCATACACAGTTTTTATTACCTTAAGGTATGTCCCTTCTGTGCTAATTTTGCTGAGAGTTTTAATCATAAATGAGTGCTGGATTTTGTCAGATGCTTTTTCTCCATCTATTGAGATGATCATGTGATTTTTGTTTTTAATTCTGTTTATGTGATATATCACAGTTTTTTTTTTTTTTCTAAGATGGAGTCTCACTCTGTCACCCAGGCTGGAGTGCAGTGGCATGATCTTGGCTCACTGCAACCTCTGCCTCCCAGGTTCAAGCTATTCTCCTGCCTCAGCCTCTGGAGTAGCTGGGACTACAGATGTGCACCACAATGCCCGGCTAATTTTTTTGTATATGTTTTTTGTAGTGACAGGGTTTTGCCATGTTGGCCAGGCTGATCTTGAACTCCTGACCTCATGATCCACCCTCTCAGCCTCTCAAAGTGCTGGGATTACAGGCGTGAGCCTCCACACCCAACCTGTATCACATTTATTGACTTGCAGATGTTAAACCATCCCTGCATCCTGGTATGAAAACCACTTGATTATGGTGTATGATCCATTTGATATGCTCTTAGATATTGTTAGCTAGTATTTTGTGGAGGATTTTTGCATCTATGTTCATCAGGGATATTGGTCTGTAGTTTTCTTTTTTTGTTATGTCCTTTCTGGGTTTTGGTAAATCCCAGAATGATTTAGGGAGGATTCCGTCTTTCTCTATCTTTTGGAATACTGTCAATAGGACTGGTACCAATTCTTTGAATGTCTGATAGAATTCAGCTGTGAGGCCATCTGGTCCTGGACTTTTTTTTGTTGGTAACTTTTTAATTACTCTTTCAATTTCGCTGCTTGTTATTGGTCTGTTCAGAGTTTCTATTTATTCCTGATTTAATCTAGAAGGGTTGTATATTTCTTGGAATTTATCCATCTCCTCTACATTTTCTAGTTTGTCCACATAATGGTGTTCAGAACAGTCTTGAATGATCTTTTGTATTTCCGTGGTATCAGTTGTAATAGCTCCCATTTCGTTTCTAATTGAGCTCATTTGGATCTTCTCTCTTCCTTTCTTGGTTAGTCTCACAGTCTATCAATTTTGTTTATCTTTCAAATAACCAGGTTTTGTTTCATTTCTCTTTTGTATTTTTTTGTTTTGATTTCATTTGGTTCTGCTCTGATCTTTGTTACTTATTTTTTCTGTTAGGTTTGGGTTGGTTTTTCTTTGTTTCTCTAGTTCCTTCAGGTGTGACTTTAGATTGCCTATTTATGCTCTTTCAGACTTTTTGATGTAAGCATTTAATGCTATGAACTTTCCTCATAGCACTGCTTTTGCTGTGTCCCAGAGGTTTTGACAAGCTGTGTCACTACTATTGTTCAGTTCAAAGAATTTTTTAATTTCCATCTTGATTTCATTGTTGACCTAAAGATCATTCAGGGGCAGATTATTGAATTTCCAAGTATTTGTATAGTTTTGAGGGTTCCTTTTGGAGTTAATTTCCAATTTTATTTCACTGTGGTCTGAGAGGGTACTTGATATTATTTTGATTTTCTTAAATTAATATTGAGACTTGTTTTGTGGCCTATCCTATGGTCTATCTTGGAGAATGTTCCATGTGCTGATGAGTAGAATGTATATTCTGCGGTTTTGGGGTAGAATGTTCTGTAAATATTTGTTAAGTCCATTTGTTCTGGGTATAGTTTAAATCCATTGTTTCCTTGTTGACTTTCTGTCTTGATGACCTCTCTAGTGCTGTCAGTGAAGCATTGAAGTCCCCCACTATTATTGTGTTGCCATCTATCTCATTTCTTAGGTCTAGTAATAATTATTTTATAAATTTGGGAGCTCCAGTGTTGGGTGCATATATATTTAGGATTATGATATTTTCTTGTTGGATGGATCTTTTTATCATTACATAATGTCTCCCTTTGTCTTTTTCAACTGTTGTTGTTTTAAAGTCTGTTTTGTCTGATATAAGAATAGCTACTCCTGCTCACTTTTGGTTTCCATTTTCATGGGGTATCTTTTTCCACCCCATTACCTTAAGTGAGTTCTTATGCGTTAAGTGAATCTCTTGAAGAGAGCAGATACTTGGTGGGTGGATTTTTATCCATGCTGCCATTCTGTATTTTTTAAGTGAGCATTTAGGTCATTTACATTCAACATAAGTACTGAGATGTGAGGTACTGTTTTATTCATCGTGCTAGCTGTTGCCTGAACATCTTGGGTTTTTTCTTTTTGTTAGTGTTTAATAGGCCCTGTGAGATTTACACTTTAACGAGGTTCTATTTTGGTGTATTTCGAGGTTTTGTTTCAGGATTTAGATCTCGTTTTAGCATTTCTTGTGGTGCTGACTTGGTAGTGATGAATTCACTCAACATTTGTTTGTCTGAAAGATGACCTTATCTCTCCTTCATTTATGAAGCTCAGTTTTGCTGGATACAAAATTCTTGGCTGAAATATACTGTGTTTGAGGAGGCTAAGGATAGACCCCAATTCACTTCTGGCTTATAGGGTTTCTGCTGAGAAATCTGCTGTTAATCTGATAGGTTTTCCTTTATAGGTTACCTGATGCTTTCGCCTCACAGCTCTTGAGATTCTTTCCTTTGTTCTTGACTTTATATAACCTGATGACAACTATGTGACTGGGTAATGATCTTTTTGTGATGAATTTACCAGGTGTTTTTTGAGCTTCTTGTATTTGGATGTTTAGTTCTCTGGTGAGGCCAGGCAAGGTTTCCTCAATTATGTTTCCCAAACTTTTAGATTTATCTTCTTCCTCAGGAACACCAATTATTCTTGGGTTTGGTTAACATAATCACAAATTTCTTGGAGGCTTTGTTCATTTTTTTTTCTTTGTCTTTTTTGGATTAGGTTACTTCGAAAGCCTTGTCTTCAAGCTCTGACATTCTTTTTCCTACTCATTCAACATCATTGTTGAAACTTTCTGGTGCATTTTGTATTTCTCTAAGCGTGTCTTTCACTTCCAGAAGTTGTGATTGTTTTTTCTTTACAATATCTATTTCTCTGTAGCATTTTTCATCCATATCCTGTATTGTTTTTTAAATTTGTTTAAATTGGTTTTCCCCTTTCTCTGGTATCTCCTTGAGTAACTTAATTATCAACCTTCTAAATTCTTTATCTGGCAATTCAGAGATTTTTTTTTATTGGTTTGAATCAATTGCTATGAAGCTAGTGTGGTCTCTTAGGGGTGTTGTAAAACCTCATCTTGTCATATTTTCTGATTCCTTCTCATTTGGGTAGACTATTTCAGTGGAAAAATCTGGAACTCAAGGGCTGCTATTTAGATTCTTTTGTCCCATGGGGTGGTCCCTTGATGTGGTACACTGCCCCTTCCCCTAGGGATGAGGCTTGCTGCAAGCCAGACTGCAGTGACTGGTATTGCTCTTCTGAGTCTAGCCACCGAGTACGGCTACCAGGCTCCGAGCTGGTGCTGGGGAATGTCTACAAACAGTCCTGTGATGCGATCCACCTTCAGGTCTCCCAGCCATGGATACCAGCGCCTGCCCTGTTGGAGGTGGCAGGGGCGTGAAATAGACTCTGTGAGAGTCCTTGGTTGTAGATATGTTTAGTGTGCTGGCTTTCTCAAATGCTGGTTATGCTAGCAGTGACACTGTCACGTGGACAGATTTAGGACCACTGGTTAGCCAGGATGTTGCAGGGCACACGGAATTAGCTGTTGTTTTCCTCTTCCTTGGAGCAGCGTTATTCTGTCATTGAGTTGCTGCAACGTCCTGAGTTGGTCAGACTACAGGCAGAAGGTGGTGCTTTCAAGAGAGCACCAGCTGTGATAGAAGAGGGGGGATATAAGCTTGCCCTAAGTTGACCAAGATAAGTGTTCAGGTTTCTCAAGTAATGGGCGGGGTCATAAAGCTCCCAAAAGTTTATGTCTTTCATGATCCACTACTGGGTATAGAGAAATACTGTCAAGTCAGGGCAGGGTTAGGCAGATCTGAGCTCAGACTCCCCTTGGGTGGGGCTTGCTGCAGCCACTGTGGGGGTGTGGGAGGGGTGGTTCTCGGGTTAAATTCCAAAGGGGATTATGGCTGCCTCTGTTGCCAGGAAAGTGAGGGAAAGCCAGTAGCGATAGGCCCCACCCAGCTTTTACCCAGTTGGTGAGGCCTGTCTCACTCCCACTGTGCCATCTAAAACCACTGAGTTTGTCTCCAGGCAGCCTGCACATGGGACTCAGACCTAGCCCCAAGTTATAAGTTTCCCAGCTGAGAAAGCAAGCAGGGCTTTCAGGTTACACCCCTCCCCATCTGCCCACATTGTCCCCCATGACTCCTCCTCTCCTTTCTGCCGCAGTTCCTGCTTGCCCCCACATTCTGCTCAAGAGAGTTTGTGCCCAGTCAAAATTATTGTAAAAATCACAATTACTTTTGCGTAGTATCTAAACATTTTTTAATATAGTATAATAATATGAATTTGATCAGCTCAAGAAACTTCTAATGATTTTAACTGTTTAATCCAAATAACCATTTACTTCAAAGGACTCATCACAATTATACTTATTTAATATCTTACTTGTTTAATGTAGTAGACAATGAGCTCCATGAAAACAAGGTGTACATCTCTCTCATCACTAAAACCCCAGAGCCTAATGTGGTGTCTCTTTGATAGTGGGAGATCAAATGTATTTTTTCAAATGAAAGAAATTTAATGAAGAACTGTTCATTCCATGCCAGATTTGGCTGAATTAGAACTGGTCCCTGCATTCAAGAAGCTCACAGTCTGCTGAGGGAGAGCAACATGTAATCAATAAACAATAGTACAATATAATAAGTGCTGTGCCAGAAATATAAACAAATACCATAGAAACATAAGGGAAGAAGTGATTAATTCTGCTTAAAGGTAGAAAATATTAAGAAGTTTTTGACCAAGTAATAAATACTCATTTCCTTGGGATGGATGTTTATACTAAGAAATAATGTCTATATCACATTCTATTAACTTGATTAGTTCCACAGTTCAGTAAAACATATTCTATATTGAAAAATTTTTTTAGATATTACTACGCTATTTCAGGACATCTTGAAAGGGCTTATTCCTAAAATAATCTTTTAGAATTTTTTTTATATTCTCTCTCTCTCTCTCTCTATATATATATATATAAATTCCCTGAAAGTAGTTCAACAACAAAAAGTAAAATTCAAGGCTATAATATTAATAATACTAGTTTGCTTGCTATAGGAAAACCTAGATGAGAAAGCCTATTGCTTTTTTGCCAGCTACCACATATTAGTTACAGTGATCATCACCAAATTTTCACTTATTATGTACTTAACAGAAATCACCAGATCCTTTCACACTCCCAACAATAGCTTTGGGGTTTCACTATCTCACTATATAGGGAAATCTCATATGCACTCAAAATAAAAGATTTTTTTCCTATATTAGCTACAGCACAAATAATAGCATCCTTCATTTAGAAACAACCAGCCTCATACTCATCTAAAGCACATAAATTTAGTTAAATGGTGCCATCTGGTGACATAAATCTTGCAGTAAATATAAAAGTCCTGAGTCAGAGTCCAGAATGATACCCAACCCTCTTGATGGCATCCAATCCAAAGTGTCTAATTTAACTTAAGAAATACTTGATCCTGCCTGACATGAAACACACAACTAATCACACTCAGTATATGGCCGTTTAACAAAGGGAATTATAACAATTGTTTGAGCCACATTTTATGCTCACCACTCTTGTTTCTCAACTCTTTGGAAGAGACTTGTATCTAACAGGATGCCCTATACAACTCCTAGAAGACATTTTAAAAGCATAAATATCAAGGACATTTTGAATCCCTGTTCCAGGCAGATCCATTTCCTCACTCTCCTTTGAACGTACATCAATGTGTATAATTTTCAACACTTCAAAATGTCACTTCCTTAAGAAAGCTGTCGACCAGGTGTGGTGGCTCACGCCTGTAATCCCAGCGCTTTGGGAGGCCAAGGCAGGCAAATCACAAGCTCAGGAGTTCAAGACCAGCCTGGTCAACATGGTGAAACCCCGTCTCTACTAAAAAAAAATACAAAAATTAGCTGGGCGTGGTGGCACATGCCTGTAGTCCCAGTTACTCAGGAGGCTGAGGCAGAAGAATCCCTTGAATGGGAGGTGGAGGTTGCAGTGAGCCAAAGATCAAGCCACTGCACTCCAGCCTGGGTGACAGAGCTAGACTTCATCTCAAAAAAAGAAGGAGAAAGCTGTCCCTGTTTCTACTGTTAAGGTTAAGCCTCTCATTCATAGCCAACTCTACTTCTTCTTTGTATATAAACTCTTGACGAAATTTTGTTTAATGCTTGTCTCCCCAGTGTGTATCATAGCGTTTGGCAAAGTGTTCAATAAATATCCTGTGAACGAATTAATGTGTAAATGGATGGTGAAAACATCCTTCTCTACTCTCTCTTCTAATGCAAATCCTATTAATAACAAGGCTCAGCTCAAGTTTACATTTTATATAAAACCTTCTCTAGCAACAACAATGTACAATAAGCCCATGCTTCTCCTATGCCATTTTAGTCTAGCCCCAAAAATTTAGTCCTCCACTATATGATGTTTTGTATTGTTTTTCATGTACATAAATATTACTTTCTTAATTGACCTTAAGCTCCTTAAGTGTAGGCATTTGGTCTTAATAGCATCCATCTGCATAAGTCTATGTAAATAAGTAAACACTTCATAAATACTTTGATAACTATTATTATTCAATTGCAATAACTAAAACACTTGTACTCTTTTTATTTAAATAAGTATTGTAAACAAATAAGTAGAAACATAATAGACCTTAGCAACTAAGAATTTCACCTTCACTGTTTTGAACAGTCAAGACTTATTTAAAGATCCATGATATGTAATTTGTTTGTTTCAACTGAAGCACATGCTTTGAGATTGTGAGTGGCAGCAAGCATTACCTAGGAAATGCCTCTCTCACATGGGCCAGCAACAACATATCAATGTAGCTTTATCCATAGAGATACTTATTGTAACAGAATTCTATCCATAGAATAATTATTGTAACATAAGTAGAAACTATCTTGTAACATAAATAGAAACTATCATTAATTATCCAAAGAGAAAAAAATCCCTTAAATGTTTTAGATATTCTATTGTAAGGCTGGGTGTGGTGCCTCATGCCTGTAACCCCAGCACTTTGGAATGCCAAGGTGGGAGAATCACTTGAGCCCAGGAGTTCAACACCAGCCTGGGCAAAATGGTGAAGTCTCCTTTCCGCAAAAAAAATTCAAAAATTAGCCAGGCATGACTGCGCATACCAGTAGTCCCAGGTACCAGGGAGGCTGAGGTGGGAGGATTGCTTGACCCCAGAAAGCAGAGGTTGCAGTGAGCTGAGACTGCACCACTGCACTCTAGCTTGGGCAACAGACAAGACTGAGAAAAAAGAAAGAAAAGAAAAAAAAAGAAAAGAAAAGAAAAAAGAAGGAAGGAAGGACGGAAGGAAAGAAAGGAGGGAGGGAGGGAAGGAAGGAAAATAAAAAGAAAATTAAAAATAAAAAGATATGCTACTATATTTTAAAAAGAAAATTGGACACCATAATGATAATTGTGAGTTTATGGATTACAAAGTACTCAAGATATGTCCCAGAATGATAATGGCTCATTATAGTCGTTACAGATTAAATCAGATCCTATAAAACACAAGAAGGAAAAAATGCCACTGTCATATTCTCCCAAGTTTAGTAATAATATTCACACACTGTTAATATATTACTTTCCCTGAATGGCCAAATACCTAACCATTTAGAACATAGGTTTTCAAATTTTAACATGCCTCAGAATCACCTGAAAGGATTAGTAAAGTACCATTTGCTGAGCCCTACTTCCAGAGTTTCTTATTCAGTCAGTAGGTCTAGGGTGAGAACCAAGAATTTGCAATTCTAACCAAGTTCACAGGTGACTAGTGCTGAGGTCCAAGAACCACATCTTGAGAATCTCTCTTTTTGAAGATTACAGCCAGGTTGTTTCACCATTAATCTTTAAATGGGTTAACAAAAAAAGATATAAATAAACTAAAAGAATAATAAATACAGCCAAGTTGCTCCAAATTCACACAACTGTAGGGGCCTTCACACCCACTATTTAAATAATCCTTCACTTCCTTATGATCAGATGGCAAAAAATACACATTATGATTAATAATTAAGACCAAAATAGCCGTGATATATTCAAAGAGATGTTATTTTGAAATAAAATTACTACATTCGAATTACTATTAGGAAAATATGTAGGGTTTTTTTTACTCAAACTAAAACTCTTATACATATTTATTTTATAGACCTTACCATCATTATAATTGAATAATAATTAATTGTGTGTTTAATGTCTCTTTTCCCCTACTTGTCCATAAGGGTATTGACTGTCCTCTATAGCTTACTGTTGTATCCCTATTGCATAGCACAATGTCCAACACATAACTGGTATTTTTAAAAGAAGTGTTGATAAATGAATAAAAATTTATTAAAAGTCTATTATAATTATTAAAGGTCCACATTATGGGGATATAAAAAGGGGCAGAAGTATATTCGATTTACCATAAGGCAATGTGATAAATGCTTTTTAGTAATATGAAAAAAATGCTATGAGATACAATGAAAGGGCTAGTTAAAGCTGCCAGCAAGTAGGAATGTGTTAGAAGGCTTCAACAAAGAGATGATAAATCCCAATATGTAATACATCTGCTGTATCACCCCTATTGCTAGTAATCTCCAAAATCCACAAGGTTCTCTGTTAAGATTTATGGAAATGAAATGTACTCTATTCTAACACAAAGTCTAACATGTAAGGTTTAACTGCCTCCATTAAACAAGATAAGCCCTTTTCTAAGATTTTGCCACTGGTAGAGTTTTTTTAAAGTATCATTTACCGCTTGTTCTCCTCTAATTTCCCTCTAATTCCTCTCCAAAAAATTCCCCCTCACACACTGGGAAGAAATATAAGGCAATAAGTTAGATAAACAAGACTAATATGATTTTAGAAGGGGTTGAAATCTGTGAAATATATCTATAGTTATTTCCATACTTTATAAGTAATGACTAAAGAATAACACATAATTTTCAATAAGTTACAAAAAACATTTGTGTTACATATCTAAAATTTAACTAACCCATAATATTATTTATTTAAAGTCTTCAAAAACAATTATGGTGGTAATATAGTTGTTTAAAAATTAAAAGTCAATTTAGAAGTACAAAAATAATTTTTAAAAATGATTCAAGGCCGGGCACGGTGGTGCATGCCTGTAATCCCAGCACTTTCGGAAGCCAAGGCCAGCAGATCACAAGGTCAGGAGTTCGAGACCAGTCTGACCAACATGGTTAAAGCCCGTCTCTACCAAAAATAAAAAAATTAGCCAGGAGTGGTGGTGCATGCCTGTAATCCCAGCTACTCGGGAGGCTGAGGCAGGAGAATCGCTTGAACCAGGAGGCAGAAGTTGCAGTGAGCCGATATCGCACCACTGCACTCCAGCCTGGGCAACAGAGTGAGACTCTGTCTCAAAAAAAAAAAAAAAAAAAAAAGATAAATCTTGCTTCTTTATCACCTAACTGAAGAACTGAAGAATAAATAACCTAATAAAAGTGCCTTGAAAATCTTAATGTTTTATATATTCTAAATAAAAGAGATTTACATATTCTAAATTAATTTGTAAAATATCACAGAATTCCAATTCCATCTAAATGTGCAGCTTCTAGTATATTGCCATTTTAGGTTTGTTTTGTTTTGGAATATTAATGAACACTGATTATTATTATTTTATTTAGCTATTCTAAACAAAGAGACATAAATTAATCATAAAATATTATGGAATTCCAATTCTCTTATATTCAAATTCTGGAAAGTGTTGATGCTGTAATCATCTTAAAACTTTATTCATTTGGATAAATGTTTCCTTAGTATTACCACAAGATGTCACCCTAAGCCTAGCATCTAAATGTGCAGCATCTAGCATATTGCTGTTTCAGGGTTTTTTTTATTTTTTGCATTTGGTTTGGGCACACTAATGAACACCAATTGCTGTCTTTCAAAAAATTAAAGTGACTTTTTCTACTCTCAGTTATTGGCAAATAAAAAATCAAAATAAATAATACAGGGACTCTAGAAGAAAGGAGGAAGAAAGTTAATCAAACAGTTCATTCTCCATGCTTATCAGGTATCTTGTTACTTACCATAAAAGCAATGTATTTAACCATTGAATTTTATATGATTTTACTTTATTTTCAAAAATATTAAAAATTAATAAATGTTACTTTTATAATCAAAGTTATGTTACAAAATACCAGTCACAGTTATGTACACAGAATTCCTCAAAGAAGATACCATTTAAAACATGCTAGTATTTTTTTAAGCATATGATGAAGGACCACAAAAGGAAGACATTATTCATTTTATGGTGATGCTTTTCAGCTGGGGGCAGTGGCTCAAGCCTATAATCCAAATACTTTGGGAGGTTGAGGTGGGAGGATCACTTGAGCCCAGGAGTTCAAGACCAGCCTGGGAAACATAGCGAGACCCCATCGCTACTAAGAATTGAAAAATAAGGGTCAGGTGCAGTGATTGACGCATGTAATCCCAGCACTTTGGGAGGCTGAGGTGGGTGGATCATGAGGTCAGGAAATCAAGACCATCTTGGTCAACATGGTGAAATCCCATCTCTACAAAAAATACAAAAAATTAGCCAGGTGTGGCAGCACGCACCTGTAATCCCAGCTACTCAGGAGGCTGAGGAAGGAGAACTGCTTGAACCGGGAGGCAGAGGCTGCAGTGAGCCCAGATTGTGCCACTGCACTCCAGCCTGAGCGACAGAGCGAGACTCCATCTCAAAAATAAATAAAACAAAATAAAATAGAGTGATGATTTTCATCTGTAGAGAGAGGGACTGGCTTCCTTGTCACATGTAAATATTACAGCATGTTCTGCAGTAATGGTATTTTATTATCCATTTGTGTTTTCTACATTATGATTCTCTTCTATTTCTACAGCTAATGAGAGTCGTGCGAGGTACTATTTCAATGTGTTGGCTATGTATTGGCCAGAATAATGGGTGAAACCACTATCTTGCACTACTTGTAACAGGAAAAAAAAGGGTAGGATGGGGTGGGGGAGTTGGTTCAAACAGAATGCAAATTATAGACCATAACAATGCGCTATATTTCAATGGCTCCCTACCTATCCTTTACAAAGATATAAATCTTCTCTAGGATGCACAAGTCTACATGGCTTTTCTTCTTTTGTGTCCTTAAAGAAAATGCACAGTAAGACCGCCCAAACATTCAATAATAATAGATTACTAATCAGTACATAGGTGCCCACATTGAATTCAAAAGAAAATTATGTTTTGTTGTATAATGTTGCTCTCTTGTTTGCACTCTGGTTTATCCTAAAATGACTTTTAACGACCAGCTGAAGTAAATCTATCCATTCAAAGCTGGGCACTGGGATTACTTACATAACAGCTTTTTACAGATTATTGTTGCCTCTAATTTTACTAGAGAAATTCAAACTACATTATTGGCGTTAAGCCAAGATATTTATCATTCACTTAAAATAATGGCAAAATACAATTGTCACTCATTTGTCTTTGTATTCCCTGGGTAATGGTGTTACATTATCAAATGATTATATTATTAAAAATATAGTAGAGTTATCTAAATTATCCAACAATACCCTTTCTAAATCAAGTTCTCAAAAATGCAAATTCTCAAAAGACTTAGCCAGTCTTAAGTAAACACATCATACAAGTCTGTTAAGATACATTGCCATTTAGTTAATGACCTTTACTAATTATCAACTATTAA
Source organism: Homo sapiens (assembly GCF_000001405.40). Classification (NCBI taxonomy): domain Eukaryota; kingdom Metazoa; phylum Chordata; class Mammalia; order Primates; family Hominidae; genus Homo; species Homo sapiens. The sequence continues at coordinate 85,597,364 of NC_000011.10, forward strand.
TAAATATTAATTTTATCAAAAATTTGATGTTTAAAAATGTTCTCAAAAATATTATCTTTGCTGAATATAAGGTTTATTCAAATTCTGTAGGACTCCATTTAGAGTTTTTATTTAATACCAGCTAAGATGATTACAGTTATGTCATTAATTCTTGCTAGCCACAATAAAATATTTTTTAAAAGTTAATCCACAGGCAAAATAATCCTGTAAAGCTTTACACTTCTATTTTTATTCAATAGACCGATTTTCAAATTTTCAAAATTGAATAATTTTTAAAATTACATTCAAACTATAAAGTTGGAGTTTTTATCAAAAAGTACAGATATTTATAATGAAAACAAAGTATTTTCATAATTAAGCCTTATAAGTTCCTATTTTTTGATTTTATATCAATAATAACCAGCATGAAAAAGCAATGAAAATATCTAGGAGACTCAGTTATTTCTTTAAAATTATTTAAAATCAGTTATTTATTTAAATCTGGCAAAATATATTGTATAATTGAGTGGGTTTTTCATTGTTTAGTTAGTTGGTTGTTTTTTTGGGAAAAGTATTTGTTTATTTATATATTTTGTTAATTTATTTTACTTCCTAAAATATAAAAAAGAATTAAAAGCTATTTGCACAAATATAAGAGATGTATATAAAAAAAAATATATAAATAAACCATATCCTTAATTTTCTTTACAATCTTTAATAAATAGGAGAATAAACATAAGTTTAAACATTATATGGTTAGCTTCATGACAAATTGCTAAGAATTCCAAAGCACTGAGATTTTCATCAATAAACTTTTCAATTCTGGATCATAAACTTTCCTAAGACAAGCAAGAAAGATGAAAAGATGTTTTTATTTTTGTTTTAAGAAGAGAGTAAAAGTGTAACTTTGATTCTGAGTAGAATGTGAACCATCATTTTTATGTTACACAATTCCTTCCCTGAAGGAAGACAACTTCCTTCTTTAGCATATTTGTCCTCAATGTTTTATAACACACTACTCAGGGTTTTCTTCTGTGTAAACTTTTCTTCCTTTATGAAACATTCTTTCAATATTTATATCTTTCAATAACCTCTTTTTATTTATATTTTCAAACAATTCCTTTCTAGGTTAACCTTATATAAGGAAAAGGAAAACAAAAAACAAAATAAAACAAAACAAATCTTCCCTTCCAGTATTAAAGAAAATTATCCCAGTTTGAAACTTGGTTAACATCAGGTTCTTTGACCACATTATTCAAACTATCAAGCCCAATTCTGACCATTAAAATGATGAATAACTTTCATAATACATACCTAGCAAAGCTTGGAATAAGCTGCTCTTAAAGATACCCATCACCTTTTTAACCGCATTTTTCAACAGCTGCTCCTCTGGTTTCCTTAATTTTTTGCAGTATTCTTCCAGTAATGATAAAGCTCGGTCAGTATCTGAAAAACATGATATTATTATTATATTTTATGGTCTTAGCAAAATAGAAAACTAACATTAAACTATTCTATAATTGTGTTCCTAACTTAATGACATGAAATAACTTAATAAAATAATCATAATTTCTATAAACTACCATATGAAAATAATTATACTCAATGGCCAATTTCAACAATCCAGTTTTATTTCTATAGTCTTGTCTTCCAAAAGAATCCCTAACTGTAAAACAAAACAAAGAATTCAATCCTGGCCACGATGTTCAAGTTAGATATAACTCTCTCTTGTCAGAGACACTGACCTTAAAATTGATGACTTCCTGCAAAATAATATCCAACTTCCTTAACATGACCCTTGAGGCCTCCCTCCCATGATCAAATATTTTCAGCCTTATTTCCCACTATATAGTCCACACTCTCCAAACACACATACAGTGCCTAAGTCATACTGGATTACTCACTTTTCCCTTCCATTTTCCTCTACACGCATGCATGCGCAGACACCCACATACATACACACACGCATGCACGTGCACACTTGCTCTCTCCCCCACCTCTCTCTTTCTCTCTCTCTCTCTCTCTCTACTTTTTCTCACCTCTGTACTTTTCTTTGCTCCTACTGTTCTCTGTGCTGGTATTTCTTCCCCTATACCACTGTATATACTCCCTAGAATCAGCGTGCTATCTTGAAAAGGGGTTCTTGTCAGGCAAATCTAGGTATGACCCAGATCTTACTTACTAGCTGTGTGTGACCTTTAACACGTTCCTTAACCTCTCTGAGCTTCAGTTTCCTCACAGGTGTTATGATTAGACAATATATGCACAATCCCTAGCACAATATCCAGCACACAGAAAATAATCAAGTAAGTCAACTGAACACCTACTTTCTCTTCATTCAGATCTAACTCAAATGCTCTCTCTTCCATAAAGCCATCTCTGATGGTTAAAATTAATCATCATTCCGTCTTCTTCTAAACCACTTTGCCTATACGAATTTGTCGGCAGTCTTAAACCCATATCTTATTATTTTATGACTTCTTGAATAATGTCTTCATCCTTCACAAGACAAAACATCCTTGAAAAAGTCACTAGAGTTATACAACCTTTGTGTTTAGGTGATAATTGTCTTTGAATTTAAAAGCCCTCCTTCCCTTCCAATCTATCACTTTCAAAAAAGCCTAAATACCAATTATAATAACAATAGCTTATATTTATTTTCTATTTCCTCCTTTCTCTTGAACCTTCCAACTCTTCTTCCTCATGGCCATTCTCAGCTGATGGTATTACTTCCTATTACATGGAAAATCAGAAGGCAGATTCCACAAGCTCCTAACATAACATCTACTGACTTACCTGTAACTGCACCCACATAGTCTGCCTTCCCTTATATTACTATGAATAAAGAATTTGTTTCTAAGGTCAACTCCTCTCTTGAGCACTGGAATATATCCTCTCTTGCTTACTCAAGGAAATTGTTCCATTATCAATTGCTTTCTTTTCCACTCAATCATCCCATCATTACTAAATCCAGCAGTCAATTATCAATCATTTCATTTGGCCCATAAGCATCATTTGATATTGTCACACTCTTGAAAACACTTTTTTCACTAGGCTTCCACACAGGTGTGCTGGTAAATACTTAAAAACTAGTTCAGATAAAAAGGAAAACATGGGCACCTACACGCACATGAGTTTGTTATAATTTTACTGACACAAGGATGTATAGCAACCAGTCTACAAATAATAATAAGATATACAACCTTTAATTGTAAATTCCATTAGTCAGTTGATTCTCAATAATATTTTTATTGGTTTTTACCAAATTCTTGTATTCATAGCCAACTTAGGGTTATAACTGATGAATGAGTAGTTCCAACATATATGTGGTTTGATTATGTTGTCATATTAATAAAATGAAAATAAAACAACAAAGATAGTTTTTGTGAAAACCTCACTCAATTATGTTATTTGTTTACTGAATCAGATAATAATTTTTGAATAGTGGACAAATATTTCCTCAATTTCTGTACTAATATCAATGTAACAGCAACAGACACAAAATGCTTTTAACTTGCGCTTAAATTATTAGTATTTACTTTATCACTTTCTTATCAGCAAAACAATAAATCAAGCCCAAATTTGTAGCATTTGCAATTTCCAAAGTCTAAATATTCCCACCATGGCCAATTTCAAGGTACCAACATGATGTCTCTGAACATGGATCTGAGAAAAGATGCACAGCAGCATACCATTATGTAGCTTATCCACCGCACAAATACAATCAATGTAAATAACTCAAGAGCAGAGATGGTATGAAAATGAAAAATAATTAAGAATTGATGACTGTTGAGTATTTATTACTTTTTAATATAATTTAGTTAAGTTTATGTGTAATTATTTTTGTTAGTGATGGGGTCTCCCTACATTGCCCAAGTTAGTCTTGAACTCCTGACCTCAAGCAATCCTCCTGCCTTGACCTCCCAAAGTGCTGGGATTACAGGCATGAGCCACCATGCCTGGTCCATAGTTTATGCATAATTTTTAAGTGGTTGAGTTTAACTTTTTTTTTTTTTGAGATGGAGTCTCACTTTGTTGCCCAGGCTGGAGTGCAGTGGCGTGATCTCGGCTCACTGCAACCTCCGCCTTCTGGGTTCAAGCAGTTCTCCTGCCTCAGCCTCCTGAGTAGCTGGGACTACAGGTGTGTGCAACCACACCCAGCTAATTTGTGTATTTTTAGTACAGACAGGGTTTCACCACGTTGGCCAGGATGGTCTTGATCTCTTGACCTTGTGATCCACCCACCTCGGCCTCCCAAAGCACTGGGATTACATGTGTCAGCCACCGTGCCAGGCTTTAACATTTTTGAAATGGCTGTATTGTCTTGCAAATTTGCTGAAAATTTAATGATAAGCTCTTGCAAGCTGACATGAGCCGTCTCCAGCACACCATTATTTCCAGGGCAGCACTCTCTCCCAGATTGTTTTCCCACTTCATGGATGCCCTTTCTCAATCACATTTATTAGTTCCCTCTAATTTCTCAATGAGGGCTTAAGATGTTTAGAATACCTCTGAACATGGTAAGACTTCTTTAATCTTACTCCCTGGATAATCTTACCCAGTTTCCTTGATAATCTTATCTAATTCCGTAGTTTTAAATATTACCAGCACCCTCAAGACTTCCGAATGTATATCTGTAGCTCAGAACTTTACTCTGAATTCCAGACTCATATCCAGCTGAATGCTCAACATTTCCATTTGGATGTCTAATAAGCATCTCAAACTTCACTTGTCAAAACTGAACTCCAGATCTTATCCACCCACCCTCAGTCTGCTTCTCCTCCAATGTATCTCCATCTTTCACCCTTCCAATTATTCAGACCCAAATTCCTGAAGTCAGCATTCATTCTTTTCTCTAATTCTCTACATCTATCCATCAGTAAATCCTGTGGGCTCCAACATCAAATTATATGCAGAATCCCATCACTTCTCCCTACCTCCAGTGCCACCACCCTGGCACAACCCATCATCATCTATCCCCTACATTACTGCAATGTTCTACTAGTTTACATGCTGTCACCTTTGCCCTCCTACAGTCTTTTCTCTTTTTTTTCTTTTTTCTTTCTGTCTTTGTTTGTTTGTTTTGTTTTTTGTTTTCTTTTAAGCAGGATCTCTCTCTGTCACCCAGATGGGAATGTAGTGGGGCAATCACTGCACATTTCAGCATCAGCCTCCCAGGCTCAAGTGATCCTCCCAAATCATTTTTTGAATTCTGATTTTTTTGTAGAGATGAGGTCTCACTATGTTGCCCAGGCTGGCCTACAGTCTTTTCTAAACCCAATAGCCAAAAATATCCTTTCAAGTCATCAACTAGATTATGTCATTCCTCAACTCAAACCCTCCAGTGTCTCCCCATCCCACTCAGAGCAAAGGCCCACCTCTCTGACTTCAGCTCTTAGACCTCTCCTCTTGCTCAATCTACTCCAACCACAGTATGCTGTTTCTCAAATATATCAAGAACTCTCCTATATCATGGCCTCTATACTTGTGATTCTGCCTATAACACTCTTCTCTCAGGTATCCATAAAGCTTGCTCCTTCACTTCTTTCATATCTCTGCTTATATATCATCTTAGTAGTAAGGCCTTCCCTAATACTCCTATATAACATAGCAAACTTCAAGCTTATCCCCTTGAAGGAAATGAGAATTTCAATTGGGCAATAAGAGATGGAGGAGGACATTGCGTAACTACTCCTCTTCTATCTAGTAAGATTAGAAATATAGAAATAAATGTGGATGAACAGAGAGCTCACTCCAATTTATATTAACAAAGAATGGTGATATAAATGTGTGCTAATATATTTGCATAAACTTTAATTTTTAAAAATGATTTCACACTTTACTTGCGTAATGTTTTAACAACTCTGAATCAAGGACAAATATTTTAATCCCCATTTTGTCAATAATTAAACAATCAGCAGTTTCCCCAAAATGATGGTGGCTCACTTTCTAACCCATCCCTACACACTATTTACAAATATAAATAGTTACTTTACTTACCACTGTAGGTGATCAACAATACAATAATTATACTATACCTCTCTCTCTACTTATATGTATCTGTGGGCTCTAATCACGTGATTACCTCTAGTGCCCAAAGCTTTAGTCTTTTTCATTTCCTCATTAAAGTCTGCCGACATTTTTCGGGAAACCTACAAGTGCTGAGCACCTTTTTCTTTTCTCTCTCTTTTTTTTTTTAATACAATTATAACTAAAGCCTTTTTTTTTAAGCTTCTGTGGCATTGTTGTAGGTATTACCCTAGTCGTTTATTCTTTTAAAGGGCAATTCTTGGCCAGGCACGGTGGCTCACACCTATAATTCCAGCACTTTGGGTGGCCAAGGTGGAAGGATGGCTTGAGACCGGGAGTTCGAGACCAGCCTGGGCAACAGAGCAAAACCCTTTCTCTACAACAAAATTTTAAAATTAGCCAGGTGTGGTGGTGCACGTCTGCACTCCCAGCTACTCAGAAGGCTGAGATGGGAGGATCATTTAAGCCCAGGAGTTCGAGGCTTCAGTGGGCCACCATCCTGCTACTGCACTCCAGCCTGGGCTACAGAGTGAGACCCTGTCTCTAAATAAATAAGTAAAATACCCTGTCTCTAAGTAAATAAGTAAAATTAAGAGCAATTCTCAAAAATGTATTAACAATATTCCCACAATCACATCTACAAATATAATTAGATAAGTAAGGGGAATTTCACTCACTCATTTAGCATATATTTATCCAATAACTATAAAGGGAAAATACTGTATTGATTCAAAACAGCTAGATGTTTTCTAAACCAGCAGAGCTTACTATGCCTCTCATCGCTGTAGGATAAAAATTTGACACATAAAAAATGCTAAAATATTTTTAAAAGGTCGTATATAATCAAGTCTCCAAGTTAGGCTTTCACACACCAGCATCTAGGGCTGGAATTGTGGCTGCCCTTTTATGCTGCTTTTGATTATTGAGAATGATCATCACCTGGAGTCAATTCTATTATGCTCTTCAACTCTCTCTACTCAAATCCTTATTTCTGGTTAATGAAAGTTTGAAGGTAATCTAAAAATGACAAATTAAACAAATGAGACAAATGGCAAGGATCTTTTCATACAAATTAAAAATCCCTAACCTAATCTCCATAAATTGAATAAAGTGGAAAGCTGAGATAATTATCCAAGCAAGTCAAGATTCATATTTTAATTGATGTTCAAATAACCAAGTGGAGAATTTTTCATCTAAATTGCCTCAATTCTCCTGTTTTCTTCATTAAACTCTACCTTCATAAGACTCCTGAGTCTACAGGAAAAAAAAAAAGCTAAATTTGGATTACTTGAGGGCAGGCACAGGAGGAAATGGGGGGGAAGGGAGAATCACTTTTTAAAATAAGAAATTTTTGCATGAAATATGCAACCAAGGGATAGTGAATGTTACATAATTAGAACTGTAGGTAATCATGTGTCTGTTAATTAAGGTTCAACTCTATATTGTACATGGTTTAAGAATAGCATCACCAGAAAGTTATAAATAATTTGGGACAGGTAATTTAAATTTGAAACAGTGATTGGCAATAGTGCTAACAAATGAACTTTTAGAGAAAAGAAAATGATGATACATAAAATCATTTGCCATGGCTTAAAAAATGAAGAATTACAGAACATACAGTGGTATCATTAGGAAAACTCAGATCAAAGTATAATAGAGAAAAGGTGAATTTAACAGGCAAATTTTGGAAAATAAAGCATTTAGAATAGTGAAATTATTTTACATAAATCTATTCAACATTTTTACAGTTTAAAAAGAACTTTTAAATGCATTATCTTATCTGATTCTCACCACTGAGAAGTCATACCTATTTTACATGAAACTGAAACTCAGAGTGGCTTGTCCAAGATCACACAGCTACTAAATAACAGATTTGGAGCTTAATCCAAAAGCTTTTGATTCCAAGTATAGTGTTCTCTCCACAATACCACCCTTAATCCTCCAGAAATGGAGATGAGCATATTTTTATGGAAAAAATAAAATAAAACTTGACCAATCAGACATAAATCGTATCACTGAATTTTAGAATCTAGGGTTAAATGTTGAATCACAAATGTTCAAATTTAGTCTTTTAATTTGTATTTGTAACATATAAATAAAAATGGTCCTACCTTTATAAGTCTGGTAGATAGAGAAAAAGGTTATTTCAGCCATTAATCAAGTATTTATTGACTATCTTACTATATCCAGACACTGGGAACACAGTACTGAACAAAATAGGCAATAGTCTACCCTCACAGAGATTTTAGTCTCAAAATAAAGATAATTAACTAGGAAATTCCAACAAAGTGAAAGATTAAAACAGAGTATAAGAATGCTATCACGGCTGGGAGCGGTGGCTCACGCCTGTAATACCAGCACTTTGGGATGCCAAGGCAGGCAGATCACCTGAGGTCAGGAGATCGAGACCAGCCTGACCAACATGGTGAAACCCCGTCTCTACTAAAAATGCAAAAATTAGCTGGACATGGTTGCGGGTGCCTGTAATCCCAGCTACTTGGGAGGCTGAGGCAGGAAATCACTTGAACCCGGGAGGCGGAGGTTGAAGTGAGCTGAGATCGTGCCACTGCACTCCAGCATGGGTGACAGACAGAGATTCTGTCTCAAAGAAAAAAAAAAAGAATGGTATCATAAGGTACCAGGTACCATGGGAGTAGAGAATTAAGTTGATGGCATACGTACAATGTTAACAAGTTTGGCCTTATACCAAGGGTAGAATGTCAAGTCATGGAAGATTTTTAACTGAAGAGGAATATGACCATTTTTTAGATTTAGAACGATTAACTATAGTATGATATGTATCCATTAAAACAAGCAATAACAATTAGACATTTTTCATATTTTAAATATATACAAAATTGAATGATCACAATTTTATCATTACTTATTAGACATTAGGACTAGAAAATGAAAGTGAGAGGTGAAGCCGGCTGGCTTCTGGGTCAGGTGGGGACTTGGAGAACTTTTCTGTCTAACTAAAGGATTGTAAATGCACCAATCAGTGCTCTGTGTCTAGCTAAAGGATTGTAAATGCACCAATCAGTGCTCTGTGTCTAGCTAAAGGTTTGTTAATGCACCAATCAGCACTTGGTAAAAACGGATCAATCAGCACTCTGTAAAACGGACCAATCAGCACTCTATAAAATGGACCAAGCAGCTCTCTGTAAAATGGACCAATCAGCAGGATGTGGGTGGGGCCAAATAAGGGAATAAAAGCAGGCCACCTGAGCCAGCAGCAGCAACCTGCTCAGGTCCCCTTCCACACTGTGGAAGCTTTGTTCTTTCGCTCTTCACAATAAATCTTGCTGCTGCTCACTCTTTGGGTCTGCGCCGCCTTTATGAGCTATAACACTCACTGCGAAGGTCTGCAGCTTCACTCCTGAAGTCAGCGAGACCATAAACCCACCAGGAGGAATAAATAACTCCAGACGCGCCACCTTTAAGAGCTGTAACACTCACCGCAAAGGTCTGCAGCTTCACTCCTAAAGTCAGCAAGACCATGAACCCACCAGAAGGAAGAAACTCTGGACACATCCAAACATCAGAAGGAACAAACTCTGGACACACCATCTTTAAGAACTGTAACACTCACCACGAGGGTCCACAGCTTCATTCTTGAAGTCAGAGAGACAAAGAACCCACCAATTCTGGACACATTTTGGCGACCATGAAGGGACCATCACCTTTCGCCAAGCAGTGAGATTATCGCCTATCGCCAAGTGGTGAGTACCATTGGACCACTTTCACTTGCTATTCTGTCCTATTTTTCCTTAGAATTCAGGGGCTAAATACCAGACACCTATTGGCCAGTTAAAAGTGACTAGCACAGCCGCCGGACTAAAGACACGGGTGTCAGGCTTTCTGGGAAAGGGCTCTCTAACAAACCCCGACTCTTCAGAGTTGGGAGCATTGGTTTGCCTGGAACCAGCTTCTGCATTTCCCGTACTTCTGGGCTGAGCCAAGGGTCGACAGAGGGGAAAGTCATTCAACTCCAGGGTCCCGACAACAAGTTGGTTGACCCTGCAGCCATGAGTGAAACTCAAAGTCATGTCGCCCAAGCAAGACTCATCCATCTATCTTGATCCTTGCCCCCGGGTCCTAACGCCTGCCAGATAAACTTCCTCTCACCTGTCTTCTCCAAGGCTAGTCCCGCTTATAAAAACCACTCGCTCTCTCTGGTGCTTTTCTAGTTTCTCCTATAAGAATGATTTCTAGTATAAACTCCAGGACTCTGTTACCTTCTTTTGGCACCTGGGCTCACCAATCAAAAAGACATAATTTTTGCCCAAAGCCCCGTCATAGGGGAGACTATCTGGAATTTTAGGATCCCTCCTCAGACAAGCAGGCCTAATAAAGGCTATTCCTACAGCTAGGATATGGGGAGCCTCAGAAATTGTATCCTTCCTATTCATATAAGTGAAGATAAAAGGCATCAGTCTTCCAATTCTGGAGATCCCTCCCCTCCCTCAGGGTATGGCCCTCCACTTAATTTTTGGGGCATAACATCTTTATAGGACATGGGTAAAATCCCAATACTAACAGAAGAATGCTTAGGACTCTAACAAGTTTTCGACAATGCTTCAGTAAAGGTGACTACATTGGATTTTTCTCGGTCCTCTTTGTGGTCTAGGAGGACAGGCAAGGGTGCAGGTTTTCGAGAATGCATCAGTAAGGGCCACTAAATCCGACCTTCCTTGGTCCTCCTTGTGGTCTAGGAGGAAAACTAGTGTTTCTGCTGCTGTGGCGGTGAGCACAACTATTCTGATTAGCAGGGTCCAGGGACCGTTGTGGGTTCTTGGGCATGGGGAGAAACAAACCAAAACCATGGGTGGTTTTGTCTTTCAGATGGGAAACACTCAGGCATCAAAAGGCTCACCCTTGAAATGCATCCTAAGCCATTGGGACCAATTTGACCCAAAAACCCTGAAAAAGAGGTGGCTCATTTTTTTCTGCACTATGGTCTGGCCCCATTATTCTCTCTCTCTCTCTGATGGGGAAAAATGGCCACCTGAGGGAAGTATAACTTACAATACTATCCTGCAGTTTGACCTTTTCTGTAAGATGGAATGCAAATGGAGTGAAATACCTTACGTCCATGCTTTCTTTTCATTGAAGGAGAATACATAACTATGCAAAGCTTGCAATTTACATCCCACAGGAGGATCTTTCAGCTTACCCTCATATCCTAGCCTCCCTACAGCTCCCCTTCCCATTAAGGATAAGCCTCCTCTAATCTCCCCGGCCCAGAAGGAAATAAGCAAAGAAATCTCCAAAGGACCACAAAACCCCCCAGGCTGTCAGTTTTGTCCCCTTCAAGCTGTAGGGGGTGGGGAATTTGGCCCCACCCAGGTACATGACCCTTTCTCCCTCTCTGATTTAAAGCAGATCAAGGCAGACCTGGTGAAGTTTTCAGATGGTCCTGATAGGTACATAGATGTCCTACAGGGTCTAGGGCAAACCTTCAATCTCTTTTGGAGAGATGTCATGCTATTGTTAGCTCAAACCCTGGCCTTTAATGAAAAGAATGTGGCTTTAGCTGCAGCATGAGAGTTTGGAGATACCTGGTATCTCAGTCAAGTAAATGATAGAATGACAGCTGAGGAAAGGGACAAATTCCCTACTGACCAGCAAGCCATCCCCAGTATGGATCCCCACTGGGACCCTGACTCAGATCATGGGGACTGGAGTCATAAACATCTGTTGACCTGTGTTCTAGAAGGACTAAGGAGAATTAGGAAAAAGCCCATGAATTACTCAATGATGTCCACCATAACTCAGGGAAAGGAAGAAAATCCTTCTGCCTTCCTCAAGTGGCTACGGGAGGCCTTAAGAAAATATACTCCCCTGTCACCCAACTCACTACGGGGTCAATTGATTCTAAAAGATACATTTATTACCCAATCAGCTGCAGATATCAGGAGAAAGCTCCAAAAGCAAGCCCTGGGCCCTGAACAAAATCTGGAGGCATTATTAAACCAGGCAACCTCAGTGTTCTATAATAGGGACCAAGAGGAACAGGCCCAAAAGGAAAAGTGAAATCAGAGAAAGACCACAGCCTTAGTCATGGCCCTCAGACAAACAAACTTTGGTGGTTCAAAGAGGTCAGAAAATGGAGCAGGCCAATCACTCGGTAGGGCTTGTTATCAGTGTGGTTTACAAGGACACTTTAAAAAAGATTGTCCAATGAGAAACAAGCTGCCCCCTCGTCCATGTCTGCTATGCTGAGGCAATCACTGGAAGGTGCACTGCCACAGAGTGCAGAGGTTCTCTGGGCCAGTAACCCCCAATAAGAAGACCCAACAACAGGACTGAGGGTGCCTGGGGCAAGCACCAGCTCATGTTATCACCCTCACTGAGCCCCGGATACGTTTAACCATTGAGGGCCAGGAAATTGACTTCCTCCTGGACACTGGTGCGGCCTTCTCAGTGTTAATCTCCTGTCCCAGACGACTGTCCTCAAGGTCCGTTACCATCCGGGGAATCCTGGGACAGTCTGTAACCAGGTATTTCTCCCACCTCCTCAGTTGTAATTGGGAGACTTTGCTCTCTTCACATGCCTTTCTTGTTATGCCTGAAAGTCCCACACCCTTATTAGGGAGGGATATATTAGCCAAAGCTGGAGCTATTATTTACATGAATATGGGGAACAAGTTATCCATTTGTTGTCCCCTACTTGAGAAGGGAATCAACCCTGAAGTCTGGGCATTGGAAGGATAATTTGGAAGGAAAAAAATGCCCGCCCAGTCCAAATCAGGCTAAAAGATCCCACCACTTTTCCTTATCAAAGGTAACATCCCTTAAGGCCTGAAGCTCATAAAGGATTACAAGATATTGTTAAACATTTAAAAGCTCAAGGCTTAGTAAGGAAATGCAGCAGTGACTGCAACACCCCAATTCTAGGAGTACAAAAACTGAATGGTCAGTGGAGACTAGTGCAAGATCTTGGACTCATCAATAAGGCAATAATTCCTCTATATCCAGTTGTACCCAACCCCTATACCCTGCTCTCTCAAATATCAGAGGAAGCAGAATGGTTCACTGTTCTGGACCTCAAGGATGCCTTCTTCTGTATTCCCCTGCACTCTGACTCCCAGTTTCTCTTTGCCTGTGAGGACCCCACAGACCACACATCCCAACTTACACAGACGATCTTGCCCCACGGGTTTAGGGATAGCCCTTACCTGTTTGGTCAGGCACTGGCCCAAGATCTAGGCCACTTCTCAAGTTCAGGCACTCTGGCCCTTCAGTATGTGGATGATTTACCTTTGGCTACCAGTTTGGAAGCCTCATGCCAACAGGCTACTCTAGATCTCTTGAACTTTCTAGCTAATCAAGGGTACAAGGCATCTAGGTCAAAGGCCCAGCTTTGCCTACAGCAGGTCGAATATCTAGGCTTAATCTTAGCCAGAGGGGCCAGGGCCCTCAGCAAGGAATGAATACAGCCTATACTGGCTTATCATCACCCTAAGACATTAAAACAGTTGCAGGGGTTCCTTGGAATCACGGGCTTTTGCCGACTATGGATCCCCGGATACAGCGAGATGGCCAGACCACTCTATACTCTAATCAAGGAGCCCCAGAGGGCAAATACTCATCTAGTAGAATGAGAACCAGGGTCAGAAACAGCCTTCAAAACCTTAAAGCGGGCCCTAGTACAACTCCAGCTTTAAGCCTTCCCACAGGACAAAACTTATCTCTATATGTCACAGAGACAGCAGGGATAGCTCTTGGAGTCCTTACGCAGGCTCATGGGATGAACCCCCAACCAGTGGCATACCTAAGTAAGAAAATTGATGTAGTAGCAAAAGGCTGGCCTCACTGTTTAAGGGTAGTTGTGGCAGTGGCCATCTTAGTGTCAGAGGCTATCAAGATAATACAAGGAAAAGATCTCACTGTCTGGACTACTCATGATGTAAATGGCATACTAGGTGCCAAAGGAAGTTTATGGCTATCAGACAACTGCCTACTTAGATACCAGGCACTACTCCTTGAAGGACCGGTGCTTCAAATACCTATGTGTGCAGCCCTCAACCCTGCCACTTTTCTCCCAGAGGATGGGGAACCAATCAGCATGACTGCCAAACTTATAGTCCAAACTTATGCCGCCCGAGATGATCTCTTAGAAGTCCACTTAGACTGATGGAAGTTCATTTGTGGAGAATGGGATACTACGGGCAGGTTATGCCATAGTTAATGATGTAACCGTACTTGAAAGTAAACCTCTTCCCCCAGGGACCAGTGCCCAGTTAGCAGAACTAGTGGCACTTACCCGAGCCTTATAACTGGGAAAGGGAAAAAGAATAAATGTGTATACAGATAGCAGATATGCTTATCTAATCCTACATGCCTATGCTACAATATGGAAAGAAAGGGAGTTCCTAACCTCTGGGGGAACCCCCATTAAATACCACAAGGAAATCATGGAGTTATTGCACTCAGTGCAAAAACCCAAGGGGGTGGCAGTCTTACACTGTCGAAGCCATCAAAAAGGGGAAGGAGAGGGGAGAACAGCAGCATAAGCAGCTGGCAGAGGCAGGGAAAGACCAGCAGAGAGAGAGAGAGAGGAAGAGACAGAGATATAGAGAGAGAGAAAAAGAGAGATAGGAAGTCAAAGAGAGAGACAGAGAGGAAGAGACTGAAAGTCAAAGAGAGAAGGAAAGAGAGGAAGATACAAAGGAGTCAAAGAGACAGAAAGAAATAGAAGTAGTAAAGAAAAAACAGTGTACCCTATTCCTTTAAAAGTCAGGGTAAATTTAAAACCTATAATTGATAATTGAAGGTCTTCTCTGTAACCCTATATCACTCCAATACCACCTTGTTGTCAGTGTCAACAAGGGCATAGCCCGAAAGCACTGAGGCCACTGACAACCCATAGCCTTCCTATCAAAAATCCTTAACCCAGCAGGTTTCCCAACAAGGGATCTAAATCTTAACTAATTATCATACGAAGGTCTGACCAGACCTAGGAGGAACTCCCTTCAGGACAGGATGATAGATGGTTCCTCCCAGGCAAGTAAGGAAACAAAGACACAATGGATATTCAGTGAGGAAACTCTTGTAGAAGCAGAGTTAGGAAAATTGCCTAATAATTGGTCTGCTCAAATGTGCGAGCTGTTTGCACTCAGCCAAACTTTAAAGTACTTACAGAATCAGGAAGGAGCCATCTATACCAATTTTAAGTTAATATGGACTGAACGAGGTCTTACTAATAGCAAAGAATAATTGAAATCCCAAACTTACAAGGTTTTCAACAAAAGTAAAGTTTGCTAAAAGTTTACAGTGTAACATATATTATCCTAACTTCTAATCTTATGAAAATCAGACCTTATCAGTACCCCTCAAAGCTCAAGTCCATCAGCGCAGAGCCATACAACTAATACCCCTACTTATAGGGTTAGGAATGGCTACTGCTACAGAAACTGGAATAGCAGGTTTATGTACTTCATTATCCTACTACCACACACTCTCACAGGAATTCTCAGACAGTTTGCAAGAAATAACAAAATCTATCCAGTAAGGATAGTAACCACAACCCCAAACAGACTCTTTGGCAGCAGTGACTCTCCAAAACTACCGAGGCCTAGACCTCCTCACTGCTGAGAAAGGAGGACTCTGCACCTTCTTAGGGGTAGAGTGTTGTTTTTATACTAACCAGTCAGGGATAGTATGAGATGCTGTCCGGCGTTTATAGGAAAAGGCTTCTGAAATCAGAAAACGCCTTTCAAACTCTTACCAACCTCTAGAGTTGGGCAATATGGCTCCTCCCCTTTCTAGGTCCCATGGCAGCCATCTTGCTGTTACTCGCCTTTGGGCCCTGTATTTTTAACCTGCTTGTCAAATTTGTTTCCTCTAGAATCGAGGCCATCAAGCTACCGATGGTCTTACAAATGGAACCCTAAATGAGCTCAACTAACAACTTCTACTGAGGACCCCTGGACTGACCCACCAGTCCTTTCACTGGCCTAAAGAGTTAACCTCTGGAGGACACCACAACTGCAGGGCCCCTTCTTCACCCCATCCAGCAGAAAGTAGCTAGAGCAGTCATCGGCCAAATTCCCGACAGCAATTGGGGTGTCCTGTTTAGAGATGGGATTGAGAGGTGAAGCCAGCTGGGCTTCTGTGTCAGGTGGGGACTTGGAGAACTTTTCTGTATAGCTAAAGGATTGTAAATGCACCAATCAGCTCTCTGTGTCTAGCTAAAGGATTGTAAATGCACCAATCTGTGCTCTGTGTCTAGCTAAAGGTTTGTAAATGCACCAATCAGCACTTGGTAAAAACGGACCAATCAGCACTCTGTAGAACAGAACAAGCAGCGCTCTGTAAAATGGACCAATCAGTAGGATGTGGGTGGGGCCAAATAAGGGAATAAAAGCATGCTGCCCGAGCCAGCAGCAGCAACCCGCTTGGGTCCCCTTCCACGCTGTAGAAGCTTTGTTCTTTCGCTCTTTGCAATAAATCTTGCTGCTGCTCACTCTTTGGGTATGTGCCACCTTTATGAGCTGTAACACACACTGTGAAGGTCTGCAGCTTCACTCCTGAAGTCAGCAAGACCACAAACCCACCAGGAGGAATGAACAACTCTGGACATGCCACCTTTAAGAGCTGTAACATGCACCGCGAAGGTCTGCAGCTTCACTCCTGAAGTCAGCGAGACCATGAACCCACCAGAAGGAAGAAACTCTGGACACATCCAAACATCAGAAGGAACAAACTCTGGACACACCATCTTTAAGAACTGTAACACTCACCACGAGTATCAGTGGCTTCATTCCTGAAGTCAACAAGACAGAATCCACTCATTCCAGACACAAAAGTATTTTACTAAGAAGTATTCACATATGCTTAATTCTTATTGTTGATGTTATTGCTTTTTTACAAATCAAGGACACTCATGAGAAAGTAATAAAGTAATGAATAGCAACAGAAAAGTTAGTCTTGAACCAGGTTTTTTTTTTTTTTTAAAAATTAACATTAAAATGTATAGTTCGGCCGGGCATGGTGGCTGACACCTGTAATCCCAGCACTTGAGGAGGCTGAGGCAGGTGGATACCTGAGGTCAGGAGTTCAAGACCAGCCTGACCAACATGGAGAAACCCCGTTTTTACTAAAAATACAAAATTAGCTGAGCATGGAGGCCCATGCCTGTAATCCCAGCTACTCAGGAGGCTGAGGCAGAAGAACAGCTTGAACTTGGGAGGCAGAGGTTGCAGTAAGCCAAAATGGCGCCATTGCACTCCAGCCTGGGCAACGAGAGTGCAACTCCATCTCCAAATAAATAAAACAAACGTACAGTTCAAGGTGATACCACAAAGGTGTCATTTTATTACTAATAATATTAGCTAGCATTTGTGGAACAATGCTAGGCATTCTGCACTGATCACCTTATTTAATCTTCAAAAGAATCCTAAGAACTACTACTATATACATTTTCACAAATGGGGAAATTTTAGACTGAGGGAAATAGAGTACATTTGCCCAAGGCTACATAACAGTAAGTGCTGGAACCACAATGCAAATGCTGATCTATCTGCCACCAAAGCCCATACAAAGCATTATGCCATATTGAAACTTGATTTACTAGGAAAGGATCACAATGCTTCTTTCTTCTATAATTATTCTTTGCAATTATACTTTACCCTCCCTAAAAAAGAATTGTTTGAATATACTTCAACTAACACCTGTTGATCTGGTTATTTTCCCTGTTGAAACAAGAAGATATTATTAATAGTATAAAACGGTAAATTTATATCTCTCCTTTCAGACAAGCCATGCTTTCAAATTTTCTATAAACTTGTTAAAGGGGAATGATAGAAAATGTGCAAGGCTACGCAGCAGTAAACAGAAAGTAAGAAAACAACGAATTGGCCAGGCATGTGGCTCATGCTTGTAATCCCAGCATTTTGGGAGGCCGAGGCAGACGGATCACTTTGAGCTCAGGAGTTCAAGACCAGCCTGGGCAACATGGCGAAACCCCATCTCTACTAAAAATACAAAAATTAGCTGGGCATGTGGTGGGTGCCTGTAATCCCAGCTACTCAGGAGGCTGAGGCAGGAGAATCGCTTGAACCCAGAAAGCAGAGGTTGCAGTGAGCTGAGATCATGCCACTGCACTCCAGCCTGGGCAACAGAGCAAGATTCCATCTCAAAAAAAAAAGATTAAAAATTGCATCTTCAGCTAAATACTGATTTTTGCATCATTCCAGATTTATTTATCTAGAAAAATAAATAAATAAATAAAATTTGGAATTTAAATAGTGAAGAATATGTATGGCAAGACTTAAAGCAGACCTGAAGACTGCAATCATTTTGTATATATTAGATGATTTACAAATTACTTTAGCATCTTTGGAGGAGAAATAATCTTAATAAGAAATGTTATAACCTGTTTTTTTTAAAAACACGCATGGCATCTCCTATCTGTGATCAAATGCATCATTGCCATATCTGGACAGGCTTGTTCCAGAAGCTGACCACGAAGCTGAACCCAAACCACTGATGGAAGGGGACTCTGACATTTCTCCTCCTTGAACCCACCCACCCCCCTAAAAAAAAATGCATTCAGATGATAAGCTTTTGTACAGCAGTTTCTTATCTACAAAATAATTTTTATATGGTCTAGGTCTCTTGATTTGATCCTCACAATAATCCTAAGAGGTATTAGTACTATACTTAAGTTTTAACAGGAAAAATTTGAAGCTCTATCTGTTGATTTGCTTAATGTAGTCAACTGATGGTAAAAGCTAGATTCCAATCCTGGGCTCTCCTCTACTGCACTATGATGCCATTCACTTGTTCAAAGACTACCACACTCATACAGTAAAAAGGAAAGCATCAGACAAGCTTCTGGTCCTAATTCCATCACTAACTAGCTTTGTAAAAGTGAAGTTCATGAACATTATCATATTTGATGGGAAAAAGAAACAGTATATAGTAAGGGGGAAAAAAGCATTAAATCCCTTTTTTAAAAGGAAACAAGTTCAGAAGGATTACATGATTTTCACAGGATCTTGGTGGCATCATCATAAGAAGGCAAGTAACCTGTATTTTACACATGGGAGATTGGTACTTTGAGATATTAAAACTTTTTTCTACCTAAATTTTCCCATTTCCTTTTTTCTCATTCCAGCGACAACTGGTTCCCTACTTTATTGCCTCAGGGGCGCTATATGCCAGGACAAAACCCAGAAGGAATTTTTCAGTAATTCCAGTTTTGCTTTCTAAAAACCTAAGCCCTCAGAATAAAATAAGAGTTTGTCAGAGATGAAAAAGAGATTCTCGGGTACAGGCAGAGAAAGGGACTTCTCCTAGCCCCTTCACAGCGTAGAAAAAAATTTTCCCAGCTGAAGAAAACATAAAAAAGTCTTTGGATCTCAAGGGATCAGGGATCTAGGCTCTTGTTATTGGCAACATTGCTTGGAAGGCAGCAAGACCCAAGAGGAATGGCATTGTAACGCATCTAGGCAAACAGAAACACAGACATTCTAGAAAAAGGTAAAAGTCCATGACTCGGACATATCAAATATCTGTCAAACCAGACGAGAAAGAGCTATCTAGACACAACAACTCATATGTCAGAAGTAAGCTGTTTTATATAGATGATCAACAACCAGAAGACACTCCCATTCCAGGCAGAACCCCACCTTAACCCCAGGGAAGTGGGGAAAACTTCAAAAAGGATAAGTTATTTTGTCTGTTACTCAGTTACTAAGAGTAAAGGTGAATTACAGAAAATAAATGGATACTTCTAACATACCTAAATTTACAGACCAAGTCCAGCTCACGGATTACCTGATCCTGTCCCTTCTTTTAGTAGCCAAATCTTCTGACTACTGTTCTAGGTTTTTTCCACCATGTCACTGCTATCGATGATGATGATAACACAGGATGTGATTATATAGTTCAAGGCCAAAAAACAAGAAAAATAAATAATGATCTGAAACAGCCTCTTGCCATTTCCCACATTGTCTGGTAAACTTCTATTCATCTTCTGTATCTCATCTTAAATATTACATCTTCCCTAGTGGGATTGAGTGTTCCTTGTCTGTTTTCTTGACAAAGAGCGTTAACCTCACCACACAGCATTGAAATTGCCTGTTTTTGCATCTGTCTTCCTAATATATTTTAAGATTCATACAGGCAGAGATTGAATATCATTTGCTACTTCAAACATGCATCTGGCACTATGCCTGGCACATAGCAGGCACTCATAATACACCTTTGTTGAATGGATAAATGATTGAATAAATAAATGAAAGTAGAGTCATTGCCTTAAATATATACACCAGTTTACACCATATATACACCAGTTTACCTTTTAAAAGAATTTTAGCTTGTTTATTACCTATGAGAGATGTTTAAATAGAACAGAACTTAATAGGTTTATTCCAAGTATTACCATGCTTTTAATGATAAAGATGTCACAGTCCTTCAAAATGATAAGCCCCTGATAGAAGCTTCAAAATTGTATCCTAAATTAGGGCCTCAGTGGCTAGCAAAATGGTGTTACCAGAAGAAATGGGTTACAAAAATCTTACCCATAATCTTTGAAAGTTTAAATTTAATAATTCATTTTCACAGGATTTTCTACTTTATTATACTATACCATTCCTCTTGATCTTAAATCCTAAAATAAAGGAGGTCAGGAGAATCGTTTCATAATGAAGGTGATTTGGCCATAATTCTTGAAATAGCTTTGAAAACTTACTAAAAATTGAACCCATGCGGAAAGCTTATTAGTTGGAATTCAGAATGACTAACTGGACAGAAGAGACTGGATAAAACTCATGATCCTTTGCTGACAAAGCAACCTACATTGAGGATATAGAAATACTTGTGTCTTGACTGCCATAAATTCCTGGGCAAGAATTGTAGCTGGAGAACACATTCCCTTATCCCAATCAAAAAAAAAATCTCTCCCTTATACTAAAAAATATTTTGTAATCACTGACATGGTAACATAGTATTAAGAAATAAGCATATAAGGAGAATATATATTTAAGAAAGTATAGTATTCGTATAGTTCAGTAAATGTATTTTACAGAACAGTGAGAAATTTACTTATTGACAAAGGCATGAATGAACAGAATGCCTTAATCCAACATTTTAAAAACCCAATGTTTATCCCAGGCAAATTAACACAGAAACAGAAAACAAAATACCGCATGTTCTTACAAGTGGGAACTAAGAATTGGGTATACATGGACATAAAGACAGGAACAATAGACACTACGCAAGGGACTAGTGGGGCAAGGGCTAAAAAACCACCTATTGAGTACTATGCTCAATACCTAGGTGACAGAATCATTCATATCCAAAACCTCAGCATCACACAATATACTCATGTAACAAATCAGCACATGTACTCACTGAATCTAAGAAAAAGTTGAAGTTTTTTAAAAATAAATAAGTAAAATCCAATGTTTTGTGCATACCTCACTGACTAGATTCTTCTACCCACAAAAGTAAACAATAATAGGCCTAAGGGAGAAATCAAATATTCTATCATAAATAAAAACACTTGAGCAGATTTCCAAAAACCCAGAAGTTCACACATTTTCTAGTATCAAGTCATTAGCATATGCTTTGTACTCTCCCAATAGATATGTAAAATAAAATCAATTAACAGATCATTTTATCTCTACGTCTTCCTCACTAAGTTGCTTCATAGCAAACTCCTAATCAGTAGTTAAACACAAAAAGTATTCTTCTATTTCTCATTCTGGAATTCATTCTATTTATGCCTCCTGGATTAATTAATATTTTACAATATCAAGAGTCTATAGCTTATCCAAGGTCAAAATTGTCCCTACGGGGAATTTCTTTTAAAATAAAAAAGATATGGGATACCCAGGCTGGAGTTCAGTGGCACAATCACAGCTCACTGCAGTCTCAAACTCCTGGGCTCAGGCAATCCTCCAGTCTCAGCCTCCCAAGTAACTGGGACTATAGGCACATGCCAACAAGCCCAGCTAATTTTTTTAATTGGGGAATTTTAAATTAAAAAAAAAAACTTTAGTAAATTGTCTATTTTACTTTGACTTACAGAAAATGCAAAAGTTTGAAAACTGTGTTTTCCCATCTTTCTCTAGGATGATTCAGTGCTTAATTCTTTTGAGTTTTATGGCTGTGAAGAGATTAAAAAAAAAACTTGAAGTTTTGGAAAACAGAAAAAACATGTGCAGCCATATGCAGTGGCTCATGCCTGTAATCCCAGCACTTTCAGAGGTGGAGGCAGATGAATCACCTGAGGTCAGGAGTTTGAGGTCAGCCTGCCCAACATGGTGAAATCCCCTCTCTTCCAAAAATGAAAAAATTAGCCAGGCACAGTGGCAGGCGCCTGTAATCCCAGCTACTCGGCAGGCTGAGCCAGGAGAATCGCCTGAACCCAGGAGGTGGAGGTTGCAGTGAACCGAGATTGCGCAACTGCACTCCAGCCTGGGCAACAGAGCAAAACTCCGTCTCAAAAAAAAAAAGACAAGCTCTCCATATATTACTGGTATGGCAAACATGAAAATTCAAATACAAATTTGGTAAAATGCTTGCAAAAGGAATAAAATAACCACACAAGGCCACTCAATGAAGTCAGGTACAGGCATAGCTCATTTTATTGCACTTTGCTTTACTGCACTTTGCAGACAACACGTTTTTCACAAATTAAGTTTGTGACAACCCTGTGTCAAACAAGTCTATCACTGGCAATTTTCCACAGGATATATTCACTTCATGTCTCTGCGTCACATTTTGGTAATTCTCACAATATTTCAAACTTTTTCATTAGTCTTTTATTTGTTACAGTGATCTGTAATCAGTGATCTTTGATGTTCATTGTAATTGTTTTGGGGCGCCACAAATCATACCCACATAAGACAGCAAACTTAATCTGTAAATGTTGTGTGTTATCTGACTCCTCTACCAACTGGTCATTGCCCCATCTCTCTCCCTCTCCTCAGGTCCCCCTATTCCTGGAGACACAACAATATTAAAGTTAGGCCAATTAATAACTCTACCATGGCCTCTCAGTGTTCAAGTGAAAGGAAACGTTACACATTTCTCACACTCAAAGCTAGAAAATGATTAAGCTTAGTGAGGAAGTTATGTTGAAAGCTGAGATAAGCCAAAAGCTAGGCAGCCCTCTTGCACCAAATAGCCAAGTTGTGAATGCAAAGGAAAAACTCTTGAAGGAAATTAAAAGGGCCACTTCAGTGAACACACGAATAATAAGAGAGACACGCTTACTGTTGATATAGGGAAAGTTTTAGTGATCTGAACAGAAGATCAAACCAGCTGTAATTCCCCTCAAACCAAAGTCTAATCCAGAGCAAGGCCCTAACTCTCTTCAATTCTATATAGGCTGAGAGAGGTGAGGAAGCCACAGAAGAAAGCTGGAAGCCAGCAAAGGTTGGTTCAT
Organism: Homo sapiens; assembly: GCF_000001405.40. Taxonomy (NCBI): domain Eukaryota; kingdom Metazoa; phylum Chordata; class Mammalia; order Primates; family Hominidae; genus Homo; species Homo sapiens. The sequence goes on from NC_000011.10 coordinate 85,620,780, forward strand.
GAGGTGAAAGGAAAGAAGTCATCTTTACAACATAAAAGTGCAAGGTGAAGCAGCAAGTGCTGATGAAGAAGCTACAGCAAGTTATCAAGAAGATCTAGCTGAGATAATTGATGAAAATGGCTAAACAACAGATTTTCAATTCAGACAAAATAGCCTTACATCAGAAGAAAATGCTAGAGAGAAATCAATGCCTCATTTCAAAGTTTCAAAGGACAGGCTGACGCTTCTTAGAGGCTAATGGGTGAATGTAGCTGGTGACTTTACGTTGAAGCCAATGCTCATTTACCCTTCCAAAAATCCTAGGGTCTTTAAGAATTATGCTAAATCTATTCTGTCCATGCTCTAAAAGTAGGTCAACAAAAGCCTGGGTGACAGCACATCCGTTTACAGCATGGTTTACTGAATATTTTAAGCTCACTGTTGAGAACTACTACTCAGAAAAAAAAAAAAAAGATTCCTTTCCAAATATTACTACTCATTGACAATGCACCTAGTCACCCAAGAGCTCCAATGAACATATACAAGGAGATTAAAGTTGTTTTCATGCCTGCTAATAGTACATCCATTCTGCAGGCCACAGATGAAGGAGTAACTTCAACTTTCAAGCCTTATTATTTAAGAAATAAATTTTGTAAGACTATATCTGCCACAGTGATTCCCTGATAGATCTGGCCAAAGTAAATTGAAAACCTCCTGGAAAGAACTCATCATTCTATATGCCATTAAGAACATTCTTGATTCACAGGAGGAGGTCAAAATATCAACATTAACGGGAGTTTGGAAGACATTCATTCCAACTTTCATGGATGACTTTGAGGGATTCAAGTCTTCAGTGGAAGAAGTAACTTCAGATGGAATGGAAATAGCAAGAGATCTAGAACTAGAAGTGAAGCCTGAAGATGTGACTGAATTGCTGCAATCTCATGATAAAACTGGAATGAATGAGGAGTTGCTTCTTATGGATGAGCAAAGAAAGTGGTTTCTTCAGATGAAATCTACTTCCAGTGAAGATGTTGTGAACATTGTTTGAAATGGCAACAAAGGGTTTAGAATATTACATACACTTAGTTGATAAAGCAGCAGCAGGGTTTGAGAAAACCAATTCCAATTTTGAAAGAAGTTGTACTGTGGGTAAAATGCTGTCAAACAGCATCTCATGCTACAGAGAAATCTCTCATAAAATAAAGAGTCAATTGATGTGGCAAACTTCATTGTTGTCCTATTTTAACAAATTGCCTTAGACATCCCAACCTTCAGCAATCATCACCCTGATCAGTTAGCAGCCATCAACAACGAAGCAAGATCTTCCACCAGCAAAAAGATTACTACTCGCTAAAGGCTCATATGATCATTAGCATTTTTTAGTTGTAAAGCATTTTTACTTAAAGTACGTACATTGTTTTTAGACATAATACGATCGCAAACCTAATGGACTATAGTATAGTATATACTGTACTGTATACAACAAATATTTTGGTTTCCCAGTGCATATATACCGTAGTATACAATATATTGTATATATGCATCAGAAAACCAGAATATTTGTGTAGCTTGCTTCATTGTGATAATAGGCCTTATTTCAGTGGTCTGGAACCTAACCCGCAATATCTCTGAGATATACCTGTACATATTCCCCCTCTTATTGATTCTGAAAAAAAAATGATTTTAAGAACTTAAGAAAAACTAGAGATGAAAACAGAGTATACCCGATAACAAAAAGCAAATGTAAATTAGTAAGATACTATAAAACAAGAAGTGGAGCCATAATGTGCAGGAAACAACAAAAGAAGAAAACTTTGAATAGGGAAAAAATAAGCAGGAGAGTCATAAGGTCCTCTTCCCCAGAGGAAAAAAAAAAAAAAGAAATGACACTTTTATGAAGTATACAGTCAACCAAAAGCAAAGAGATAATTTAAGAACTGTGAGTCCAGGAAACTGTAATCTCAGTTTCAAGGGTGCCTATGAGATATATGGCAATATCATGTCTTAAGATTCTAAGGCCAGGCGCACTGGCTCATGCCTGTAATCCCAGCACTTTGGGAGGCCAAGGTGGGTGGATAACGAGGTCAGGAGTTCGAGATCAGCCTGGCCAACATGGTGAAACCCTGTTTCTACTAAAAATACAAAAATTAGCCAGGTGTGGTGGCACGCACCTGTAATCCCAGCTACTCAGAAAGCTGAGTCAAGAGAATTGCACGAACCCCGGAGGCGGAGGTTCCAGTGAGCCGAGATCACACTACTGCACTCCCACCTGGGCTACAGAGCAAGACTCTGTCTCCCAAAAAAAAAAAAAAAGATTCCAATTATATAACATTCTTCAGCTTCCTTTGAAAGCTATAATGTCAAAACATATACATATAAAAAAGATAGGACTTAGCTTTCAGTACATGATAAAAATGTTTATATATATATTATATCACTGAGAACCACTGCAAAAAAATAATTCAAAGGAAATAAAGGGTCATATAAATAAATAATTTCAGACAAACTTCTACACCAGTTTAAAAGAAGCTCCGAAGACAATAGGACAATTTTTTTTTTTTTGAGACGAAGTCTCTCTCTGTCGCCAAGTTGGAGTGCAGCGGCACAGTCTTACCTCACTGCAACCTCCACCTCCTGGGTTCAAGCAATTCTCCTGCGTCAGCCTCCCAAGTAGCTGGGATTACAGGCACGCACCACTATGCCCAGCTAATTTTTGTATTTTTAGTAGAGATGGGGTTTCACCACGTTGGCCAGGCTGGTCTTGAACTCCTGACCTCATGATCCGCCCGCCTCGGCCTCCCAAAGTGCTGGGATTACAGGCGTGAGCCACCGCGCCTGGCAATAGGACAATTTTTTAAAACACTGAAATGAAATGAACATTTATCTCAAAGTAATAAAGGCATTGATTTCTTCCACATATTTAATGACAATGAGAACAAAAAGCCATTCAAAAAAGAAGCTGCATTGTACTAGAAAATTCTGTTAAAGCATATTTTTATCTTTAAAACAGCAACTTTCTGCTGTAAAACATGGCAAATGACGTACCTATCATTAACTTTTATTTCTTATGTTAACACAGTAGGAAATCATATCAGATCAATTCAAGAAGACTTGTTAAAACAGACCCTTATAACACACTATGGTCTTGCATCATATCAGAGAATACTAATACAACTTATCCTGAATTGGTCCTAAATTTTCACAAATTAAAATATGTCCAAGATTGTCCCAAGGGCTCACCTGGGAGCAAATAAAGTTACTACTATAGATAAGAAAATCTTGAATGAAAAGCAACTGCTGAGGAAAAAAAACCTTCTATGAGGAAACAGAAGAGTCTTCTGTTGATAAAACTGAGATCTGTAAAAATGCGAAGAGACTAGAGTGAGAGAAGTAGAAAGTAATGTCATAAAGCAAACGAGCAGTTAATATGGGGTTTGAGGCACAGTAGTTTCAGCTTATCCAAGGGCAGTCCAGAATGGCACCTAGAAATGGGCTTAGTGAGATGTCACACCCATTCCCAATTCCCACCATGGTTGCATGGTATCAGTAAAAGAATCTCCTCTCTCTTTGACAAAAATATACTAACTAAATACCAAATGAAAATCCATCTTATGAAAATTTCATACTTTAATGAGAATATGTTCAACAATGAATAAACACTTGGCTCAGTGAGGATAGTTATTGTTTAGAATCACATTAAGTCTAGCTTTTTCGTCATGTCTACCACATGAAACAATGAAGAGAGAAAAAGACTCAAGGTGACAGAGGACAGTGATCCCTGCAGAATAAATCTAGGTTAAACTTAAAAATACTGTTCTTATATTATATAAACAGTAGAGATAGTAAGCATAGCCAATGAAAAATACAATATACACATAACTTGTTTGGCTAGTTGTCTATAATATTCAAGAATATGTATCATAATACTAGCAGTTTTAAGAGATTAAAAGCAAGATACATTGTTTCTCTAGATCAGTTTATAAGGAAAATATACAACATATACTCTGGTATCATAGAAATATAAACTGGTTTTTCTAATAAGAACTTGTTGATTCCTTTAAAAATTCAATCCATTAGTCAATTCATTATTGAAGAAGGAAAGAAGAAAGGGAAGGAGGGAGGCAAAGGAAGAGAGGAAGAAGGAAAGAAAGGAAATTCTTCTAAAGTATTATAATTTCACCAATGTATCAGCAATTTCTGTAACAGTTCTTTAAAGGGAAGAACTTTTAAGAAACTCGGTTTATGGGGTTTAGAAACATTAAGTTCTAAACTTTCTAACTAAACCTGCTTAGTTAAGTTATACCTAGAATATCAATTGACCTTCCTCCTCTTCCTTCCCACATACCTTTTTATCTCTTTCTCTGTCTCTCCTCCTTCCCATTCTCTCTTCCTTTCACTCTTTTCCTCTCTGTCTCTCTCTCTCTCACACACACACGTAATGTGTTTAATTCCATTATTAGTTCAAAATAAGGTAATCCAAAAGAAACTCTCTAGAGAAATGGTAGAAAGAATAAAAACACACATCAACTTAAATATGTCAAAGAGCCATATCATTTATTGGCTACATTCCCAAAACCATTCTTGTTCTAGATAAACCAATTGTGTCTGGTCTGGACAAGTGTGGCTCCAAAATCTCAGGCAGTTTACTTCTGTCAGTGGTATTATTAGAAACAGCAGGGGGAGGAAACAATCCCAATCTTAAATCCCAGTGTGCAAATATCACAGTTCTAGGTGTTCCAAAAGTTTTATATATCATTGTCCATCTCTACAAATATCAGCTTGGATAAGGCATCTCAGTGATTATAAGTTTCCTCAACATCCCTAACAAATCCACAGGTAGAAGAATTAAACACCATGCAGAGATAAGTTCCACTTTAACCTGCAATTCACCCAGAGCTTTAGTTTCAGATTGTAGCAACTCACATAACTGGACAACATTTGGATCTATATTAGTCCAGTATAGCAGAGTTCAAGGCTGTTCATATAAGTTTTGATTCAAAACTCTTGAGAAACTCTTTACAGTTGATCTCACCTTCCATATAATGTCAAAACAAAACAAAACAAAAACAGTCCCAAACTAGGATCCTTTGGAACAAAGTTAACCTGGGGTGCATCTAAGCTAAACTGAATCCCCAAGTTCAGAATATAATCAACTATGCTTCAGGAATTCACTAGATCTTGATCAATTCCAATAATAAAAGTTGTTGAGGAGGGAGGAAAAAAACAGGTGTTTGCCCCATTTGGGGAACTTGACAATCATGTTATTGGATAATGCATATATCTGGAAAAGCACAATAGTCACGAAAGTTGTGCTTTATCACAAAAGTGAAGATTTACACTAGAATAAATCCAAATAATAAGTCTATTTTTTAACCAAAAGATAAATTATAAAGCTGTAATTTTGTTCAGTGCAAATGAAATTACTTTGCTACCTTTCACAATTCTGTAATTAGTTTGATAAATATTAAACCCATGAGGAAGAGCTCCACTGCACAAGTTTCTTTTTTAAAGACTGCTTAAAAGTAACCTTCAACAAGCTAAGAAAACAAGCTAAAGGAGACTCCAAATCTGCGGTACTGAATCTATTCTTATTACCAACGGTGATATAAACAACCTGATTTATGAAATCATAAATATCTATCAATAAATACTATAGTCTTGCTTCCTTTTACTTTAGTAAAATAATATTACTGAATTATGTACCACTGAAACTATATTACAATAAATATTTCCCCCAAACTGAAGCAAAACTTTACTCTCAAATGGAATATAATTTAAATTACAAGTACCAGAACCAACAAAAGGGAGAAATATTATATAGCAACCTTATGGCCCACCTGTCTTCTTGACTGGCATTCTTGGGTCTTTCCACTGCCACAGGAGTCAATATCTCTTTTCAGGTCTCAGTTTGATCCAGCTGGATTGAGGCCAAGAGCCAGGTAACTGTTGCAAACCACTTCAGTGTTCAGTTTTGAAATCCAGGCTGAGTCTTCTATGTCAGACAAAGAAAATAATGATGTATTTTTTCCACAACTAAACTTTTTACACCGCCCACAGAGTTTACAGCAACGTAATTTTTTAGTTTTTCAAGTTTTTCAATTTTCAGAAAATATTTAGACTGTTTTTACAAACTGGGAAAATTATTGTAAACATGAAGAACGTTACTGAAATTCCTCTTCAGGCAGCAACATTTTTGGAAGTTCAATGACTAACTCAATTAAGGCACAAACCAAATTTAGACAGGTCTCATTACTTTATACATGGTCAAATTCAAAGATGATGATAAAGATACTCAAATCTGTAGAGAAAAATGTAACCCCACCTCCCCAAAAATACTTTTAAAAATCTCTTTGACTCCAGTCTCTAAAAAGATAGGTGAGTTTGAACAGTTTTCTGTGGCAGAACACACATTGAAAGGCCCCCTTATATTTACTGATCAGAAGTTCCGGATCTCACCCCCTCAGTAACTCAGAATCCAGCTTGCTGTCCCTTTCATTTTTTTCTTCTGTGCTCTCCAAGCCCCCAGGCTTGATCCTTAATGCCCCTCTGATTCTGATCCTCCCATGTATTAACCGAGAGGATTGAAAAAAAAGGAAAGCAATCCCTTGGCATGGAGACATTAAAGTGACAGTGCTACTCAATGGGCACTTGATGCAGGATGAGTTGGCGAAGCAGATTTCTTCACACTGGAGTCATTCACATCATGCCATCTCTTCGCATTCAAGCAGCTCCCTATCCGGCGAGGAAAAACACTGAGACTTCGAGAGAAGCCAAACCTTCCCCCAAAGGTGTTTTCAGAGACGCCGTAGTAGTATTAGACATGTAAGCATAAGCTATGTAAACGGTCCGCGATTTCCTAAATGAGAAAGTGCAGCTGCTTGGCTTTCACATCCACCTTTTCTCTCAATCTCTCTTCAAACTACCCACCTTCCTTTTGCAGAAAAGACAAGACATTTCTTTGCCACCGCTGGCCACCCCTGCCCAAGCCCCGTTCTTTTAGGGAAGAGCACTGAAATGTCCTGCACCCTCCACGCGATGAAGTGTTTCCTCAGGCAGGAGCAACAGCAGCACTAGAAATTATATAACTCTCGAATTTGGCTTCTGTAAGACATGGAGACTGGAGGGTCGGGGGTTGCCGGTCTGGGAGATACTGCTGGGCATTTAACGTGCACAAAACAGCGCCAGGCCTTGCAGTGCCCCCCACCCCGAGACACGGCTGACAAGTGGGTCTTCTCGCGGGGGTAGTGGGCAAATTTCTCTCCGGTCTCTTTCCAAGCGGGGCTAAAGGATGCAAATTGAGGGGACTACAGACTGGGGAGAGGAGTCAGACGGCTGAGAGGAGAGGAGGCTAGTCGGGGCTGCTCTGACGGCGCTGGGCGGCTGGTCCGGGGTTTGGAGGAGGAGGTGCCCGAGAAACAGAGCTTTAACACCACACAGGCCAGGGCAAAGGGGCGAGTTCCCTCAAGGACTGAAAGGGGCAGGCAGCTAGTTCCCAGCTGCCCTGAGGAGAGGCAGGAGCGCAGTAACATTACAACATTCGGGCCGCCCCATCTTTCCCGCAGGACGCGAAGAGATCAGGGAGCTAAGCTGATAAATAGTCAGGGAAGGAAATACTCGGCTGGCGAGGGGGGCAGGCCCACAGGCGCCTGGACCTCCTCTAAGCGAATAAGTGGCCGTAATTTCTAGACGCCGCGCCCAATCACAGTCAGGATGGAGGGCGCGGCTTTTGACTGAGTGGGGGCGGGCCCGGGCTGCAATCGAGAGGCGTTGAGCCGTAAATCAGCACCACTTCCCGCCCAGGGCGTTCTGGGTCCCCGCCCACCGGCAAGTCACATGAGCCACCAAAATGGTGGTGTTCGGGTATGAGGCTGGGACTAAGCCAAGGGATTCAGGTGTGGTGCCGGTGGGAACTGAGGAAGCGCCCAAGGTAGGCGGAAATCCGAAGTGGTATGGGGGGTGATTTCTGCACCTTCAAAGTGTTGGCAGACTCTTCTAAGATGATACCTTTAAAGGAGATTTGAAAAGTTAAAACAGCTCCCAAGTCCATGCAAGGAGCAGTCGATTAAGTCTCCAGTTGCTGTGGAAAGAGGCGGAGAGAACGTAGATGACCTAAATTCTAGTCCTCATTATCTGCAGTTTGTTTTCTCTTGTCTCCAGGCCTTTGCACAGGCTTTTTCTTCAACTTGGAGTATTTCCCTGCTTCTATCCGTCCCAACTCCCCTGCCAAACTGTTCTCTTTCGGTTATTGATTTAAATGTCACTTCTTCCGGGAAGCCTTCCCACGCTTCCTCTGGCTAGATTGTTTGCTTTTTCTTAGGTTGTTGGGTTTTTCGTTTATGTCACTCTCTCATTCTGTGTTTAAATTGCCAGCTTTTTTGTTCTGAACTCCCACTGCGTTGTGGATTCCTGAGGATGGGATGACTGTATCTTGATTACCCGGAGGTCTGGCATATACCACGTGCTCCCTAAATTATGAGCGAATGTTGAATAAAATTCTAAAGGTGAAATTTATTATTAGGTGAAAAATTTATTATTAGGTAAAATAATACACATGAAAGCACTACAAAACCGTTAGATGATTTGCAAACTATAAACCTACATAAATGCACTCTTACTGGTATAAGCGTGGTGACTAGTTGAGTGGCCTTAAGGGGGAAGGGGTGTAATGAAAGCACTGGAGTCTTTGACAGTGCCTTGCAAAGCTTAAGCACTCAAATATTTCCTGTGTTCTTTCCAGTATTTCAGTATTTGCTGTCCTGTAATCATAATCCTGGGTGTCTGTTTTCCCTATAGAGACTTTAGGGTGTAGACTAGGTAGGAGATTAGTAGAAGATATTGCCTGGAAGTTTGTTTTGTTTTTTGTTTTTGGTGGAAGGTGGAGGATTTCAATGAATTGGATGAGAGCAAAACAAAAATTTATCTATGGTTTATGGTTACTCATGTTATTGACGTCTGCCAAGACAGCAGATGTCTTAGTACAATAGATGGGTTAGGTATAGAATCTCCCTTAGATGTTACTATCCCTTATACTTTCCATTTGGGTGTCAGGGAGAGGGAAAAGATGTAAGTCTAGTCACTGAAAAATTGTAATTTGTAAAATATTTTACCTTTTTTTCCCCCTGCCCTCTCCAGAAATGTTACAGAAAAAGATTGAGTACATTTCTGCCATGATGCAGAGAAAGAAACTGGTCCATTATTACTCATTGTGTAACACCATAAGAAGGTTCAAAGGAGCTCATACCTTCTGTATGTTGATGCCAGGAACTGTGTATAATGAACTGGCCTTCTATAGTTAGGATTGGTACATACCGCTCATTCAGCAAATGAGTATTACAGTGATATTCAACATGTGTCCATTGACTACAGCATCAGAAGCACTAAGTGCTATTAAAATGCAGATTCTAGGCCTCATCCTACTCCTGCTGAATCCAGGTATCTCAGGAGGGAATTCATGAGACTGCATTTCAAATAAATACCCCATGTGATTCTTGTGCATGCTGAAGGTTGAGAACCACTGATTTATTAAGTATCTTGTGTGTTCATTATGCTTTATCCCCTCTAATCCTCTTGTCTAGGACTCCTTAAATTTGAGATTTAGTATTTCCCTTTAATATAAACATTAAAATTGAGATTAGTGTAAATTTGTAAAGAGACTATTTAGCTAATCTGGAGGAAAAAGAGTAAAAAGCACTGAATTTAGCAGCAATAGACCTTCCACTTGGCTGCTGTAGTAGGTAAACATTTGCAACCACGTGTTTGGATTTAACAAATGTTATTAAGACTTTTCACAGAGACTCTAGAGTCTTGCCCAGAGCAAAACATTCAGAAACGATCCTCTCTGAGAGTGCAGGGTTTGTTTTTTTGTTGTTGTTGTTTTGTTTTGTTTTTTAACCTGTCTAGTTTCTGTTAAGATGCTACTGGCCAGGTCTTCATGGTCCCTTGACATTGGCAGCTGTCTGTTCATCACACTTGGGACACAAGAACCTTCCGACCAAGGAGCCCAGTGCCATGGGTCTCTGGGGCCGGGCACGGTGGCTCACGCCTTTAATCCCAGCACTTTGGGAGGCTGAGGCAGGTGGATCACCTGAGGTCAGGAGTTCGAGACCAGCCTGGCTATCATAGTGCAATCCTGCCTCTACTAAAAATACAAAAATTAGCCGGGTGTGGTGGCAGGTATGGGTCTCTGCTATACCACATGACCATTTCTAGCAAAGGCTCTGCTTCCACCACAGGTGGTAATAGGGAACTGGATATATAATTTATGTACTCCAAAGTAGTAGCCACAATCCACTGCCTGTTCCCTTCCTGGAGCAGTGTCCCTCTTTCTGATTTTTCTCTCTCACTATTCTCCAAGGCAATCCCTGCTCTCTCCTACCTCTCTAGGAAATGAAACACGATTTCCAAAATGAACTTAATCTTTCATGAGAAACTGAGGATAGAGATGTCAATAAGCAGCCACTGTTTCCACCTCCCCACCTGAAGAGCTAGGAGGACAACTACAAAGAGCCTGACTGCCTTCTCGGAATGAGGAGAGAGGAAAACAGCAACAGTATCAGTATGTTAGCCTTCTACACTAAATCTCAAGCAAGCCAACCTTTCAGACCTTCAGTTTGCTCATATGTATAGAAATAATCATTATACTACCAATTTCTCAAGTTAGTGTGTAAATCAGAAAGCCAATGTCTGTATTGTAGGATGTTTAGCAAGAAAATAAAAAATAATAACAAAAAGCCAATGTCTAACAGATAATAAGAGCTCAGTAAATGTTGATTGAATTACTAACAAAGTATGTGAAAGCAGACGACACAGTACCTGGCACACTACTAAACTGTAAATGTTTTCAAATCTGAATCTGTAGAATTCTGTAAGGTTTTATGTAATATGAATATCATTAGCTATTATGGCTCTGGAATTTTTTTTTCCAGGTTTTCAAGATGGCAGCATCTATGCATGGTCAGCCCAGTCCTTCTCTAGAAGATGCAAAACTCAGAAGACCAATGGTCATAGAAATCATAGAAAAAAATTTTGACTATCTTAGAAAAGAAATGTAAGAGAAATGCCCAGGCTGAAAATCAGTCATTTTATTTGCAAGTCTTTTGTATTGCCATTGTTTCTAAGATCCTATTCTTTCTTACCTTTTCTGTTATCTAAGATCCTATTCTTTGAGTTGGCTATGAAGAACACATCTTTAAAAAAAAGAATGGGGGAAACAAGAACAGATGAAAATGGTGGTTTGTTGGAATATTTCGGATTGTGGATAATTTCTTTTGTTTCTTAAAAAGTATCCAAAAGTATTGCTAAAACTTTTGTGCAGTAAATGTATTTTAATTAAAAGTAATTAGGAGAAAACCATTGAGGGGGGTACTTATATTTAATTGGTGAGTAATTATAATCAGTTTAGGATTGATTATCTCAGCCACAGTACTTAGTACAGCAAAAGGGAATACAGATTTCATGGTATAAATATAGTCTCACATTAACATATTGACTTTTTTTTTTGAGATAAGAGTCTCACTCTGTCACCCAGGCTGGAGTGCAGTGGCACAATCTCGGCTCACTGCAATCTCCAGCTCCCAGGTTCAAGTGATTCTCCTGCCTCAGCCTCCCAAGTAGCTGGGATTACAGGCGTGTACCACCACAACCAGCTAATTTTTGTATTTTTAGTAGAGATGGTTTAACCATGTTGGCCAGACTGGCCATTTTGACTTTTAAATGAACAAAGTTCAAGAAAAAAATCAAAGGACAGTTGATGTTATTTCCTGGATTTACATATGGGTCTTAATAAGAAAACTAAATCAGATTTTTTTGGATGAAGTTTTATAAATCTTGGACAAATTATTTTATTTTATTTTATTTTATTTCATTTTCTGTTTTATGGCTTTATTGAAGTATAATTTATATATCTTGACATTCATCCATTTAAAGTGTACAGTTATATGAGTTTTAGCAAATTTATACAGTTATGTAACCATCACCACAATTAAAATTTGGAATACTTCCAACATCCCCAAAAAGTTCCCTCATTCCCTTTTATTTTTTTTTATTTTATTATTATTATACTTTAAGTTTTAGGGTACATGTGCACAATGTGCAGGTTAGTTACATATGTATACATGTGCCATGCTGGTGTGCTGCACCCATTAACTCATCATTTAGCATTAGGTAGATCTCCTAAAGCTATCCCTCCCCTCTCCTCCCACCCCACAACAGTCCCCAGAGTGTGATGTTCCCCTTCCTGTGTCCATGTGTTCTCATTGTTCATTTCCCACCTATGAGTGAGAATATGCGGTGTTTGGTTTTTTGTTCTTGCAATAGTTTACTGAGAATGATGATTTCCAACTTCATCCATGTCCCTACAAAGGACATGAACTCATCATTTTTTATGGCTGCATAGTATTCCATGGTGTATATGTGCCACATTTTCTTAATCCAGTCTATCATTGCTGGACATTTGGGTTGGTTCCAAGTCTTTGCTATTGTGAATAGTGCCACAATAAACATACGTGTGCATGTGTCTTTATAGCAGCATGATTTATAGTCCTTTGGGTATATACCCAGTAATGGGATGGCTGGGTCAAATGGTATTTCTAGTTCTAGATCCCTGAGGAATCGTGACACTGACTTCCACAATGGTTGAACTAGTTTACAGTCCCACCAACAGTGTAAAAGTGTTCCTATTTCTCCACATCCTCTCCAGCACCTGTTGTTTCCTGACTTTTTAATGATTGCCATTCTAATTCATGTGAGATGGTATCTCATTGTGGTTTTGATTTGCATTTCTCTGATGGCCAGTGATGGTGAGCATTTTTTCATGTGTTTTTTGGCTGCATAAATGTCTTCTTTTGAGAAGTGTCTGTTCAGGACAAATTATTTTAAATGTATCTGGGACTAATGAAGAAATAGAAGGCCTAACCAAATGTAAACAGCTTTTTTTTAGATGAACTTAAGCAAAGTAAATCTTTTAGTTGCAGGAAAGGTATTCTTGGATTTGGGTAGCTCATAAAATTTGGCTGCATTGGAACATATTTATATTTATTTGTGGCCAAAATTATTTAAAAGAGCTCTATTTTAGAATTACTGTAAATATTCTTAGAAAGAGAATCATGTCCTCTCATTAGAATACAAGTTCTATGAGGGGTGGGAAATTTCTTTTTTTCTTTTGCTTTGTTTACTGTCCTATCTTAAGCACTTAGAAAATACTTTTCACATATAGTAAGTGCTCAAGAAATATTTGATATTGATATGCAATAACAACTTTTCAGGAGAGGCTGTATCCATTAAGTTCAATGGTATAGTGAACTGAATTTTTCTTTTTTTCTATTAGGACACAAAATATATATCAAATGGCGACATTTGGAACAACAGCTGGTTTCTCTGGAATATTCTCAAACTTCCTGTTCAGACGCTGCTTCAAGGTTAAACATGATGCTTTGAAGACATATGCATCATTGGCTACACTTCCATTTTTGTCTACTGTTGTTACTGACAAGCTTTTTGTAATTGATGCTTTGTATTCAGGTGAATTTAAATTCACTAATGTATAACGTAGTTATGTCTAAGTAAAGTTACTTATTAACATATACTGTTGCTACTGCTAATAATAATTCTTTACATTTATATATTGCTATACAGTTTACAAAGTCCATATACCTTGTCATATTTAATCCCTGCAACAATCCTCCTAATCAGGTAAACTGTATTTTTTTATTTCTGTAGATAAGCAACCCAAACTGAGGCATGTTCAAGTACGCTAATAAGCAACATACTGGGAAAAGAATTGGCTGTGGCATACAACGCACATCATTTCAGTATGCTACCTCCTGCCACTTAAGTTTTGTGACATTCAGTAAGGCATTTCATCTCTGAGCCTCCGTTGTCTTATCTATAAGTTAGGACTAATAGTACTTACCTCACAGGATTGTTGTGAGAATTAAAAGATACTGTAGGTTAAATGACTACCACAATATCTGTCATATTATGGGCTTTTAATGTTATTTCCTGCCCCTCACCTTACCTTGAGTTTCACAACTAGTAATTGATAGAGCATCTATCCCTTGTTCATTCTTCAGGTTCCTGCTTAAGTATCTTTTCCCCAGGGAGACCTCTGATTGCCTCATTGTACACTAGGTGTCTGGATACATTCTCTATATAGTTTATCTTCAAAGTATTGTGTACACTGATAATTATCTATTTAAATATTTATCTCGTGTCTTTCATCTCTGTAAACTGGCCAGAAGGTCAGAGATCAGGTCTCTTTTATGTACCACCGTATTCCTAGCTCCTAGCACGTTCCTGATATATAGTAGATAATAAAAATGTATTAACCTAGAATCCAGGTCTGGTTTGCTAGTTTAGTATTGTCATTATAAAATTGTTTCTGGCTGGGCACGGTGGCTCATGCCTATAATCCCAACACTTTGGGAGGCCAAGACAGGCAGATCACTTGAGGTCAGGAGTTCGAGACCAGCCTGGCCAACACAGTCTCTACTAAAAATAGAAAAACAGTTGAGCATGGTGGTGCAAGCTTATAATCCCAGCTACTTGGGAGGCTGAGGCATGAGAATTGCTTGAACCCTGGAGGCAGAGGTTGCAGTGAGCCGAGATCGTGCCACTGTACTCTAGCCTGGGCAACAGAGTGAGACTCCGTCTCCAAAAAATAAAATAAAATTGCTTCTACAACAACCACATACGTTAGAGGTAATTCTCTATGTGATAAAGTATAATAAAAACTTTTTAAAATGTGCTGCATTTGGCCTGTTATATGCCACAGAGTTTGAATTTCTAATATTCTTTCTATGGTTTAGTTGTGGTTGAGGATAGTGCAGATAACTACTCTGTGAGGTACAACACTGTCTTAATAGCTCTTGAGTTTTAAAGGAAAACCAAATTTACTTTTGTTTTCCAGATAATATAAGCAAGGAAAACTGTGTTTTCAGAAGCTCACTGATTGGCATAGTTTGTGGTGTTTTCTATCCCAGTTCTTTGGCTTTTACTAAAAATGGACGCCTGGCAACCAAGTAAGTTCTTCCTTTTCCTTCTTTTTTCTTTTCTTTTCTTTTCTTTTTTTTTTTTTTTTTTAGGTTAATAAACTCTCTTTCTTCTTTAGCTGTCTATGATATATTTGAATCAAAATGTGGTAGTTTGGTATTTCAGATAGCTAACTTTTAACTTTTTTGCTCTCTACATTATAGATCTAGAAAGGCAATTATCAATTTAGGAGAAGTCAACAAACTTCTAATAGCATTCATATCCAGGAGAGGTGATTAACTCTTTTTTCTTTTTAGGTATCATACCGTTCCACTGCCACCAAAAGGAAGGGTTTTAATCCATTGGATGACGCTTTGTCAAACACAAATGAAATTAATGGCGATTCCTCTAGTCTTTCAGATTATGTTTGGAATATTAAATGGTCTATACCATTATGCAGTATTTGAAGAGACACTTGAGAAAACTATACATGAAGAGTAACCAAAAAAATGAATGGTTGCTAACTTAGCAAAATGAAGTTTCTATAAAGAGGACTCAGGCATTGCTGAAAGAGTTAAAAGTAACTGTGAACAAATAATTTGTTCTGTGCCTTTTGCCTGGTATATAGCAAATACTCAAAAAGTATTCAATAATTCAATCAATAAATATAAGTTTCATCTTACACGTAAGATACAGGTCTTATCTCCTGATGGTGTGTCCATTTTGCCTGGTATATAACAGATAATAAATATCCAGTGTCAATAAATGTAACAATAAAAGTTTCATCTTTCCTCTTTGTATGTGGAAATGGGTTTGGGCTTTAAGGTCTCATCTGTGCAGTTATATATTCATTCATTCATCAAACATTTATTGAGCTATTTCTCAGGCACTGTGTTAAATATAATAAGAAACATTCTGGCTGGGCATGGTGGCTCTCGCCTGTAATCCCAGCACTTTGGGAGGCCAGGGAAGGCGGATCACCTGAGGTTAGGAGTTTGAGACCAGCCTGGCCAACATGGCAAAACCTCGTCTCTACTAAAAGTACAAAAGAATTGGCTGGGCATGATGGTGTATGCCTGTAATCCCAGTTACTTGGGAGGCTGAGGCAGGAGAATCGCTTGAACCCAGGAGGCGGAGGTTGCAGTAAGCTGAGATCTCACCACTGTGCTCCAGCCTGGGCAACAGAGCAGAACTCCATATCAAAAAAAAAAAAAAGAAAGAAAACAAACATTCCTTACCTAGAAGGAACTCAATTGAGGAGGAGTAAGTGTGAACACATACTATGAGAGGATTTGAGAGGTATACACATAATTCTGTAAGGGCACTGAGAGTATGTATGTTAACTAGGCAGAAGGAGAAGCTGTGGTGGAAAAAAGTAACAATTGAGCTAAATTTTGAAGGAGGAATTGGAAGTTCTTAAGAAAGGAAGATATGGGAATAACATATAGCCCATTTCTCTGCATTGATACTATCTTCTCATTTACAAATTGTCTTCACTATGTAGTTCAAAGAACTTGTTTTTAACCTTCAGTTCTGGTTTCCAAGAAAGAATATTTATTGAGTGCCTATCTATCTGCCATGCATTGAGATAGGTACCAGGGGTACAAAGATTCGTTGCTTGTCGCTAAAGAAGCTTAAAATCTAAAGAGTTTACAGCATGTTTCTTTAGAGTCTGCCAAGGCATCCCAGAGCTACACATTTATCTTAGTTCAGAAAATGAACATGGATGAGAATTACAGAATGGAACTGCACATCTCATTCTCCGTATCCTAACCATATTCATTTTGAGATTAAAAACGTGGTAATCTTGGAAGTATAGCAAAGTTGACTTAAGTTCACCTCTCTTACCACCAGAAAGCTGAATAGATTTGTACCTTACTCCGTGACTTCAGATTGTCTTTGTAAAGCTGGCAAGGCAATCAATATTTCCTTTAGCTTTGGAAAGCACTGCTTTCCAAAGTGACTATAAGAGGCCTGAAAGGAGAAATTAGGGAAACCTTGACCTTCTGGGCCTGAGCTCAAGGGTAAAGCCAGGTGAACCAGTGAAGAAAAGCAACATGTGCATAGGTGTGAAGTACAGCTTGGAGCTCCATTCAAGTTTCAAATCCTGGCCTCATTACTTACTAACAGGATAATCTTGAATAAGCTACCTCATCTCTCTGCACTTAAGTCTCCTTATCTATAAAATGAGGAATTAAAAACTGTACTCAGTCTCAAAGTGTTATATTAAATGAGTTAATATATGTAAATCAAAACAGTACCCAACTCATAGGAAGTCTATATGTATTAGCTGCTATCTTAGTCCACTTGGGCTACTGTAACAAAATAGCATAGACTGGGTGACTTATAAACAAGAGAAATTTATTTCTTATAGTTCTGGAAGCTAGGATTTGGTGTCCGATGAGGGCCTGCTTTCTGATTCATAGGTAATGCCTTCTTGTGTCCTCACAGGATGGAAGGGGCAAAAGAGCTCTCTGGAGCCTCTTTTATAAGGGTAATAACCTCATTCACGGGGCCTCTGCCCTCATGACCTAATCACTTCCCAAAGGCCTCACCACCTAATACCATCACCTTGGGGTTAGTATTTCAAAATACGAATTCAGGGGGCACAAACATTTAGACCACAGCCGTGGCAATTATTGTTGCTATTGCTGCATATCAAGTATTATGGTCCTTTTCCTAGTCTGTAGTTATCAGTCTAGCACTTCTGTAGAGAAGATTAGAAAAGTCCACCAAAGAGCATCCACAAGACATCTTTCATTTGAATAAATATGTATTCAGCCAATGTTGATTCAACACTCAATACTACAGGTTGAGCAAGTTACGTAAACTTTCTGTGTTTTCTCTTAAAACATATTAATAACTGCTTTATAGTGTGGTTATAAAGAGTAAAGTACATAGAACCATACCATACCACACCTGGCATGTAGAAGTTGCTCAGTAAATGTGTTTACATTGTCTGTTTTTCCTGATAGGTGTATAATAATAACTAAGATATGGTCCCTCTTATAAGAACTTACCTTCACTCTTACCTCTTCATTTCCCCTGACTCCCTTCACCATGTGATTTTCCCCCTGCTTTTGTGTTGTTATTGCATTGCACTGCATTGCTTTGGTTGTATTGTGTACTGATTTTCTCTCTGCTTTTGTACAATTGTTTTATCTTGCATTAACTATTCAGTTTTTGAATTTTCAAGTTTAAACAGTAATCTAATAATGAAGAAAGTGTTTTACACATGAGGTTGAATTTCATAGAATTTGTTCAACCACCTTCCTCAGCTTCATTAAAAAACAAAAAAAGAGTCTTCCAAAGATGCATAACCCATACTCCCCTAGCTTCATCATTCTAAAAAACAGGCAAACTAACATTAATAAACATGAATAATTGAATCTTGGTAGCCGTAAACCCCACCAGCTTCACTACAGGAACAAAGAAATCCACCCCAAAGTCTCCCCAAGATTAGACATTGCAGAAGAAAAGATTAGTGAACCCAAAGATGAAGCAAACTACAAAACTACCACAAGAAAGCTTGGGGGAAATTCTTCAGGACATTGAATTTGGCAACTATTTCTTGGATACAACATCAAAAGCACAAGTAGCAAAATCAAAAACAAGCAAATTGGGACAACACACTGAAAAACTTGTGTCTCAAAATAAAAAACAGCATGAAAAGGAAACCTAAAAAATGGAAGAAAATAATTGCAAATCATACATCTGATAAGTGGTTAGTATTCAGAATATATAAGGAACTTCTACAACTCAACAACAAAAACCAAATAACTTCAAAAACAAGCAAAGGACTTGAATAAACATTTCTCAAAAAAGAGATATCCGCTATCCAAAAAACAGAATGGCCACTATCCAAAAAACAGAAAATAACAAGTTAGAATCCTTGTGCACTGTGTTGTGAATGTTGCCATTATGGAAAACAGTATGGTGGTTCCTCAAAAAATTAAAATACCATGTGATACAGCATTCTCACTTCTGGATATATATCCAAAACAGAACAAGATCTTGAAGAGACCTTTGCACATTATTCACATTTGCACATTATATAGCCAACAGGTGGAAGCAACTCAAATGTCCTTCAACAGATTAATAAAGAAAATGTGGTATAATACCCACAACGAAATACTATGCAGCATTAAGGAAATCTTTCCACATGCTACAACATAAGTGAAACTTGAGGACATTACACAAAATGAAATAAGCAAAATAAGCAGTCACAAAAGGACAAATACTGTGTAATGCCACTCATACGAGGTATCTAAAGTAGTCAAAGTTAGAGAAATAAAGTAGAAAGATGGTTACCAAAGGCTGGGGGAAATGGGGAGGAGGAATTAGTATTGTATAGAGTTTCAGTGTTGCAAGTTCTAGAGATCTGTTGCATAACAATGTGAATACACTTAACACTACTGAACTACACAGTTAAAAATGGTTAAGATGGTAAATGTAATGTTATGTGCTTTTACTACAACAACAACAACAAAATCCTGCAACCAAATACTGTTTTAGATTTACACAATGTGAAATAATTAATCACCAGAAGGCTTGCATTCTAAGAAATCTTAAAGGAAGAAGTACTTCAAATAGAAGGAAAATGATATCAGATGGAAATCTAGAAAAATGAGGAACACTAGAAATGGCAAATCTGTGGGTAAATATAAATGTCCTTATTTTTAAAAATTCTTTCGAAGACAAATGACTATTATGTGGTTTATAACAAGTAGAAGTAAATGTATGACAGTAACTCAAAGACTAGGAGGGAAGACATGAAGGTATAAAATTCTAATACTATACATAAAGTGACATAATACTATTGGAAAGTAGATCATGATAAAGATACTCTTGTGGGTTGAATTGGCCTCTCAAAACATATGTTCAAATCCTAAGCTCAGTACCTGTGAATATGTCCTTATTTGGAAATAGGGTGTTTGCAAATGTAATCAAGTTGGATTAGGATGAATTTTATCCAATGACTGATGTCTTTACAATACCAGGTAAATTTGAGCACACAAACACAACAGAGAGGGAAAACGGCCACATAAAGCCACAAAGACATAAGGGGGAACACCATGTGAATACAGAAGCAAAGATTGGAATGACACATCTATAAACCAACAGACACCAGGGATTGCAGGCAACTACCAGATGCTAAAAGAGAAGGATCGAACAGATTCTCCTTCGGGGCCTCCAATAGAAACCAACCTTGCCAATACATTAATTACAGACTTAAAGCCTCCAGAACAGTGAGAGAATAAATTTGTTGTTTTAAGCCACCCAGTTTGTGGTACTTTCTAAAGATAGCCTTAGGAAACTACGTGTGTACTATATATGCTAAAGCAATCATGACAATTTTTTAAAAGAATTATCACTAGTAGGATACGAAAGGACATGAAATGGAAAAAAATTCAATTAGTCAAAAAAAAGGCAGAAGGAAATGTAGAACAGATAGGACAAATAGAAAACAAATAGAAAGCTGATAGATTTAAACTCTAAAATATAAAAATCATATTAAACATAAATGGTCTAAACACTCACCCCATGAAAAGTCAGCAATTGCCTAATTTAGATAAAAAGCAAAATCCAGCTATATAGCCTAAAAGAAAACCTGCATTAAATCTAAAAACTCAAATAGGTTAAAAGGATAGGAAAAGCTGTGTTGTGTTAACACTAATCTAAAAAGTTATTGGAGTGGCTATAGTGATATCAAATAGGCCAGGCACAGTGGCTCATGCCTGTAATCCCAGCACTTTAGGAGGCCAAGGTAGGAGGATTGCTTGATCCCAGGAGTTCAAAACTAACCTAGGCAACATAGTGATATCCCGTCTCTACAAAAAATAAAAAGTTAGCTGGGCATAGTGGCTGTAGTCCCAGCTACTCAGGTGTCTAAGGCAGGAGGATCACTTGCCAGATGGTTGAGGCTACAGTGAGCCATGATTGTGCCACTGCACACCAACCTGGGTGACAGAGTGAGACCCTGATTCAAAGGAAGGAAGGAGGGAAGGGAGGGAGTGAGGGAGGGGGTGGATTTCAAAGCAAAGAATATTACCAAGGAATAAGGAGGTTATTTCACAATTATACAGGGATCAATTCATCCTAAGTGTTTCTTCATACAATAATGGGAGCTTGAAAATAACGTGAAGCGAGAGTTGACAGAACTGAAAGGAGAAACAGAAAATCCTCATAATGGTTGGAGATTTCAATAACCTTCTCTCCGTATTAATAAAACAAGTTGGTAGAAATTCAGAAAGGATAATGACCATTAGCCAACTTGTGCTAATTGATGTTTTTACAATTCTTGGCACAACAGCAGAGTATACGTTCTTTACAAGCACACATGGACCACTTACCAAGATGGACCAGTATCTACTTTATAAATCTCAATAAACTTAAAAGGATTCAAATCATACAAAGTATATTTTCTGACCAGAATGGAACTGAATTGGAAATCAATAGCAAAATGGTATCTAGAAAATTGGAACTATTACTAAATTAACACACTTCTAAATAATCCACAGGCCAAAGAGGAAAGCAAAGTGAAATTAGAAATTCTTTTGAACTGAATTAAAATAATACAGAACATTTAAAAATCTATGGATACAGTTAAAGCAGCACTTGGAAATTTGTAATGATAAGCACATATGTTAGAGGGGAAAAAGATCTCAAATCAATTACCTCAGGTATGTTTTTAAGAAACGAGAAAAAGAGGAGCAACTTAAATCCTAGATAAGAATAAGAAAGAAACAATATAGAACAGAGGGGGGAAGAAATAGAAAACAGAAACCAATAGAAAAGAACCAATAAAACCAAAAGGTGGTTATTTGAGATTTTCAAAAATAATAAACAATTAGCATAAAGAAGGGAAGACATAAGTGACCAATATCAAGAGAGATGTTTCACCACAGATTCTACAGATGTTAAAATATAACAAGAAAATATTTTTGAACAATTTCAGCCAATAAACTTGAGAACTTAGGTGAAATGAATAAATGAATATTTGATCTTGTTTTGTGAAGATTTGTGAAGTTCACTCAAAAAGAAATAGATAATCAGGGTAGCCATATATCTACCATGAGTATTGAATTTATAGTTAAATCCTCCCTACAAGGAAAACTCAGATCCAGAAATCTTCACTGGTAAAGTCTACCAAACATGTAAGGAAGAAATAATAATATGATGCAAACTCTCCAAAAAAATTGAAGAGATGGGAACACTTGCCAACTCATTCAATAAGTCCAGCAATATCCTGATATCAAAGCCAGATAAAAACATTTTGAGGAAAGAAACTACAGCCTAATACTCCTCATGAACATTGATATAAAAACTTTTGACAAACTTTTAGCAAACCAAATACAAAAATATATATAAAGAATAGTACCTCATGGCCAAGCGGGGCTTATTCCAGGATTGCAAAATTGACTTAACATTTAAAAAAATCACTCAATGTTTTGTTCCACCAAACCCACAGCAGGAGTCACCCCAAAAGTGACAGCAGGGGAGTTTCCACAAGGGAGTGTCCAGAGTTATCCTGAGACTGGGCTGGTTGGGATTCAAAGAAAGAAGCACTAAACACCAGGGTCATCAGTCCAAAGCATTTATTAGGGGAAATTTTATATGACTGAACTGCAGCAATCCTCACCACAAACAGCAAGAGAAAAGGCTAGCAGTTCACAACAAGGGGATTAGGATATGGAGTTTATATGAGGGCTTAGGAATTTGGCTCAGGGCCAGGGCCAGTTTATTTTAGTGTTTTGGGCAACAACCTAGATACCTTTATCAGTGCCTGGAAATGTTTCAGGTCTCGGTTTGGATTCAAGCCTGCTAAGAAAAATCTGCAGCTGGCCAGGTCACAAAGCAGTCAAGGCGCTCTGTGATTTTTGGTCAGGACACGGAAAGATGGCTGGGGAACGTGGAGCCCCTACACAATATAATTCACTGTATCAACAGACTAAACAAGGAAAAAAAACAATCATCTGAATAGATACAGAAAAAGCATTTGACAAAATCCAACATCTGTTCCTGATAAAAACTCCCAGCATGAGGAAAAGAAGGGAACTTCCTTAAGATTTTGAAGAGCATTTACCAAAAAACCTATAATTAACATGATGATGGTGGGAAACTGAATGACTTCCCCCTAAGATCAGGGAAAATGCAAGAATGTCTGCTTTATTGCTTCTAGCCAACATTGTATGGGAGAGTCTAGCCAGATTGGAAAAGAAGAAATAAAATTATCTATGTAATTTTTAAAATCCTATTTGATTTAGCAAGGTTGTAGGTTATAAAATGTAAAAGAAAAAATAAATTGTAACTCTCCAGATAAGCAATTAACAATAAGACCAAGCAATTTGTCCATTTTGTCTAAATTGTCGAACACAGTGGGTTAAAGTTGTTCATAATATCCTCTCCTTATCCTGTTAATGTGTGTAGAATCTGTATTAATGTCCCTTCTTTCAGTCCAAAAAGATTTAGTTGTTTGGTCTCTTTTTCTTTTGATTAGTCTTATTAGGGCTTATTGATTTTATTAATATTTTCAAAGAATCACAGTTGGTCTTTTCTCTATTGTTTTTGTCTTTTCCCTTTCATTTATTTCCACTCTTACCTTTATTATTCCTTCCTCTTTGATTTCCTTTTTGCTTAATTTGATTTTTTTAAAAAAATATTGATTTGGTTGATTTTGCCCTTGATTCTAGGGCATAACCCTTAGTCATTGGATGTAGTCATTAATTCTAAGATGCTGCTCAGTGGAATGTCCAAAGTTTTCACCCGGTCTGTATAACTTGGAAATATTTAAATTTCCGATATTTGAATTTAAATATTCAAAAATACACTGTCTTCCCAGCATCAGATGACTGCTGAAATTTCACTTTATCTCTTCCAGTCTTCCAACTGTTGCTGTCCATTGGGTTCTTTGGGTCTTACCACATGCATGTACTGTTATAATGTCAGCCAAAAATTTGAGGGGATTTTTTAGACAGATTTTGGGGTTCCCTTTTCAAGGTTCCTGCCCCAATTTTCAGTTGATCTGGCATTTCCAAATTTCAACTTCTGAGTGTTTTAGAATGGGAAGAATGCTGCTTTATACTGACACTCGATATTCCCCATGTACTGCACAGACTAATGCCCTCATGAAAAAAAGCTGGATAAATGTGGATCTTACCCACTATTTTTCCCATCTTTCAAGAATTGTATACCTTCCTGTGTTTTCATGCTATTTTGGTTGCTTTCCAGGGTCTTTGAAAAGAATCTCTTCCTTGTCCAGAGTTTATAGTTGTTATTTGCAACAGGGTCTGTCCAACATAAGCTACTGTGTCACTTCCAGAAGCTAGAAGTCCCTCTTTTATTTTTTGATTATTATCTTTGAAAAGTATGGAATCTTCCTGGATCAACTATTTTCAGCAGATTCATGCAGCATTTAAGTCAAAGCCATATCCCAGCAATTTTTCTGTGTGACACAGGATTTTATAGACAGTCTAGGTAAGAGATAATAAGTAGTAGCAATAAAGGTAGTGACAAGTGGTCAAATTCCATTTTCTTTTATTAACTATTTTATGTGCCAATATTCTGTTGTTAGAGAGTTCAGACAAGCTATAAGAAACTAAATTATCTTTTCTCTTTCGGCATTTCTCAAAACTTTTAAAATCAAAAGAATGGCATGTATTTTTAGTGACAGAAAAATATGCTTTGACAAATTGTTCTTTATTTCCTGTTTCCAAAAAGAGCTTACGGTTGTCTGGTGCAAGCATCATAGACATTGCAGATTTCTGGCTACATTTCTATCCCCTCTCTTCCATGCACAGCCCAAGTTCAGCTAAATTGTCTGACAAAAATTTTCATAGATGCTATGTAGAGAATTGCTGAAAGGAAGATGAGTGGAATCTGTGAGAACAGAGTCACCTCCAGTGCCTAAATAAGAAATGATTTCTGTAAAGAATATCTAGGAAGAAAATCAATAAATTGTTCACGATTGATTAGTCTGCAGGGAGTAATGTGGATGAACTTAAGTTTCTGGCTTGTGCAATGAAATGGATGGTGTTGTCAAGCCCTGAGACAGGAAACAGTAGATATAAGAGAGGAAAACATATACGATTTTCAGCTTTGGAGTATGAGATGTCCTTGAGATTTTTATTTAGAGGCACCTATCTAATCTCCATCTGCAGTATTGCCTCCATTTTTTTCTACATCATATGCATCTTATCATAGTGTAACTATGAATTTTTTAACTCCCATTTTTAATAACTAACGTTTCCCAGAAAATAAAGCAAACAAAAGGGAGCAAATTCTTAGTCTGGCATTTGAAGTATTCCACACTCTGGCTCTTTTTTTTTTTTTTTTTTAACTTTTCAACCTTATTGGCCATTATTCTCTACAAGATGGTGGTTTATAGTTTCTACATAATTAGGAAACACAGACAGTTACAGAGAAGGCCTAGTGAAATTCCATTAAGGCAAAGGTAGTAAGCAGAATATTGTGATTTGTTTGCTTAAAACCTTGAGATGAAAAGCAAAGTGAGTAAAAGACTAGATGACCAGGCACGCTGGTTCACGCCTGTAATCCCTGCACTTTGGGAGACCGAGGCGGGTGGATCACCTGAGGTCAGGAGTTCGAGACCAGCCTGGCTAACGTGGTGAAATCCTGTCTTTACTAAAAAATAAGCCGAGGCTGGGCACGGTGGCTCACGCCTGTTATCCCAGCACTTTGGGAGGCCGAGGCGGGTGGATCACGAGGTCAGGAGATAGAGACCATCCCGGCTAACACAGTGAAACCCCGTCTCTACTAGAAATACAAAAAAATTAGCCAGGCGTGGTGGCAGGAGCCTGTAGTCCCAGCTACTTGGGAGGCTGAGGCAGGAGAATGCTGTGAACCCAGGAGGCGGGGCTTGCAGTGAGCCGAAATCACACCACTACACTCCAGCCTGGGTGACAGAACGAGACTCAGTCTCAAAAACAAAAAAAAAAATCAGCTGATCAGCTGGGCGTGGTGGCACACGCCTGTAATCCCAGCTACTCTGGAGGCTGAAGCAGGAGAATCGCTTGAACCTGGAAGGCAGAAGTTGCAATGAGCTGAGATCAGGCCATTGCACTCCAGCCTGGCCGACGAGAGCAAAACTCTGTCTAAAAAATAAAAAATAAAAATAAAAAAAAGACTAGGAATTTTCCTTCTTGTACACCTTCGTGAAAATAAGTCTTTCTATTTGTGCAAGTTTAGAAACTGCAATTACAGACTTCTTGGCACTATGGAGCCTAATGGTCAAGCAACCCTGCAATGGAGAGACAGTATAAAAATTATCTGGACAATGCAACACTTTATCACTTGTTCAGAAATTTGAGAGGATGAGAATAATTAAGATTTCTGATAATGTGTTATGATCATGTATTTATTGCTACAGTTAGTTATATATTTTTTGGCACAATGTTTACCTGCTAATCTTAATGGAGTTAAGATAAAATTCAATTGTAGGCATTTTTCCCTTCTATTGGGTTAATTAGTCCAAGCGAACTGAGCAAAGGTTGCAGGGAGCCCCAGCATGGCTGAGGAAGACCTGGTGAGGCATCCACTGGCTGCTGGGAGGAGAGCATTAGAGGTACCTTCTGAACAGCACTGTCCAATAGAAATATAATGCAAGCCACATATATAATTCTAAATTTTCTAGTATTTATACTTAAAAAGCAAGAAGAAATAAGATGACTTTCACCCAACACTGCTTCCAAATAAGCAGTACTCTGGAGAACACGAGAAATCCTCAGAAAAATAAGCTGCAGCTCTGAGGTGCTGATTATGGTAGGGCAATCAATACAGATCAAAACATGGCACAGGGAGCTTAAGTTCCTAGGGAGAGTAGAAAATCGATAGAGCCAAGAAATAGCTCACCTTTGACTTATTTTTAACCTGAGTAGCTATCATATGCCAAGAGCTGTGCAGTTTTCATTTACCCCATGCCAAGAACGTAAGTAGGCTCTACTGACCAGGAAGTTAAGTAATATGCCCGAGGTACGTTTTCAATGGAAGAGGCTGACTGAGGGTCACCCAACTTATATCTCGAAATTTCACAATTTCTACAAGTTCTGTCCTGGGAGGCAAGAGTAGGTGAAACGAGCACACTCTACGCCAGGCAAACAAACCTCAACGCTTAGCCTCCCGGCACCTCCTAGGGCCGGAAGCTTCTCAGCCCAAAGCCGCTGCTGGCTGCAACCTCCGTCCCGCAGTCCAATTAGCAGCCGCGACCCGGCGCCCGCCCACGCCGCGTCACGAGTCAGCCAAAGATGGCTGCGCCCAGGTAATTTGAGCAAAGGCCACAGTGAACTCCGGCGTGGCTGAGGAAGGAGGAGGCACCCACAGGCTGCTGGGAGGAGAGCATAAGGTACTGGTATTCCGGGGGAGGGGGTGAAGTAAATGTCCCGGTGTCAGGAGAAGCACGACGCGGTGACACGCTAGCTACCAGCAGCGCTGCGCGTAAATGAGAGCAAGTAGAAGTGTAGTTAGCTCTTCCTGCTGTCTTTTCACTTTGCACTCTAGAAGGAAAGACCTTATATTTAAATTAACTCAGTAGAAAGGAGAAATGCCTGAGATTGAATTTAATCCCAGGTTTACTGTCAATTTACAAGGTGACCACGGCCAAATTTGATTTTCAGAGGTCCCACTTTACTTCTCTTTCAGATAGGCCCCACACTGCCTATCTCTCAGAGCTCTTCCAAGAATGACATGAGATAGGTAACACAAAAATCTTTCGAAATATTTGTAGTTTTTACAGGCGGCGTTGTCTTTGATAGATATTTGTTATTAATATCGGAGACAAAATGCCCACAGGGGCTGCCCAGTCAGCACTTATACTGAATTGAGTGACTTAATTGCCCTCAGTACAATATATACATACTAAATTTGATTATATATTTCACCACCCCATACACAAAATCATTCAGAGCTCCTGTACAGCAGAGATTGTGTCTTATCATCTTATCGTAGCCAAGGCCCTCAAAAATTTGACTACCAGAAACCTAGACATAAATTTCTAAGGCTGCTTTGTACTTATTAGGTTAGCTTTAAGTCTAGAGATATGGAATGTCAAGGTAATCAACATTTCCAAATGACCTCTTATCGATATAAAACAGGTAGCAATAAATATTTAAACGAGTGCCTGTAATGTTGTAGGAAATGAGAAAATCTGGTTTCATAAAAGCATGTTTTCCTTTGTTGTTATCCCTGAACTGTTTTTTTTTTTTTTTTTGTAGACCGAGTCTCGCTCTCACCCAGGCTGGAGTGCAGTGGCGAGATCTCGGCACACTGCAACCTCCACCTCCCAGGTTCAAGCGATTCTCCTGCCTCAGCCTCCCGAGTAGCTGGGATTACAGGCAGCTGCCGCCGTGCCTGGCTAATTTTTGTATTTTTAAAAGACAGGGAGTTTCACCATGTTGGCCAGGCTGGTCTCGAACTCCTGACCTCAGGTGATCCGTCTGCCTTGGCCTCCCAAGGTGCTGGGATTACAGGCGTGAGCCACTGCATCCAGCCTTTGTTTTTCTTAACTGTTACCCTGAAACCTGAGCCAAATCTTCATCATTCACCATTCCCTTCACATTTTCACCCTAACTAGTGCAGACATCAACAAACTACTGGCATGTAGGCCATATGCAGCCTATAGCTTGCCTTGGTACAGCCACCCAGCTAAGAATGATTTTTATGTTTTTATAGTTTTTTTAAAAACAAATATTCAACAAAGGCTGTATGTTACCTGCAAAGCCTACCACATTTACATCTGGCCCTTTAAAGTTTGCTGAGCCCTGATCTCAGGTATACCTAGAAATGAAATTGCTAGCTATGTGTGTCTTCTATCTGCTAAATAATACCAAATTCTTTCCCAAAGTGACTGTACAGTTTGGGTAAAGCTACCCCACAGAATGTACACAGAATGTAGTTTTAGCTACCCCGCATTCTTGCCAATAATTGGAATTGTCAGATTTTGATTTTAGCTAACCTATGGGTACCTATTGGTATCTCACTGTGGGTTGTTCCCCCAGTTATAATGAAGGTGAGCATATTTTCATGTTTATTGGCCATTTAACTTTCCTTTTTGTGAAGTGCCTGTTCAAATATTTTGTCAGTTTTTCCGTAGGGCTGCTTACCTTTTTCATGTTGATATGTAGTTCCATGTATGTTCTGGGTACTAACTACTCTTTTGTCAGTTCTATTGCATTTTCTCCCCCACTAGCTTATCTTTATGGTATATGTTGATAACCATAGGTTCTTAACTTCAATACTGTTAGTTTTATAAGTCTTTTATGTTTAGTGCTATTTGTGAATTGTTTAGGAAATACTTTCAAGGATTATGAAGATATTCTGTATTTCCTAAAAGCTTTATGTGTTGCTTTTCATGTTCTGGTTTCTGTTTCACTTAGATTTTTTTTTAATAATATGTATGCAATGATTTTTTTCAGATTAGCTCTACAGTATTATTTTTAGTCTTCAGAAGGTTTTTAAAATTCTTTGTATAAATTCTTGAGAAATGATATCTTCATGTTTTTTAAGGCTCAAAATGGAAAATCATAAATCCAATAATAAGGAAAACATAACAATTGTTGATATATCCAGAAAAATTAACCAGCTTCCAGAAGCAGAAAGGTAAGATCCCTTCTTAATTTAAAAACACCTTTTATCAGGTGGATTTTCACCATTGATTCATTATCTCAAGTTTATCTGGTTTGAGTATAAACAACATGGAATGTGAGAAGGAAATTGCCCTTTTCTTGCCTGGATGAGAGCGTTTAACCATTTTGCTCAACATCACATAGCTAATTGTGGAAGGTGAGGCTGGAACTCATGTCTTTGGACATACCTAATTGTATAATGTTTTGAGTTTTTCCATTAGGCTTGGAGTATAGTAAAATGTAAACATTTACAGACCCATTTAAATAACAAAACTTTAACTTTTAAAATGTCTTTTTTTTCCCAGTTCATTCTGTCAGTATGCTTACCAGTCTAAGAGTACCATAGAACACACATAGCAAGATAGAGAATGTCAGAGAAATAGGATCATGGCTAAAGATCTTTAAGATATTATTAAAGAGGGCCAGGCATGGTGGCTCACGCCAGTAATCCCAGCACTTTGGGAGGCCAGGGTGGGCAGATCACCTGAGGTCAGGAGTTCAGACCAGCCTGGCCAACATGGTGAAACCTCATCTCTACTAAAAGTACAAAAATTAGCTGGGCGTGGTGGCAGGTGCCTGTAATCCCAGCTACTTGGGAGGCTGAGGCAGGAGAATTGCTTGAACCAGGGAGGCGGAGGTTGCAGTGAGCCGAGATCACACCACTACACCCCAG
Organism: Homo sapiens; assembly: GCF_000001405.40. NCBI lineage: Eukaryota > Metazoa > Chordata > Mammalia > Primates > Hominidae > Homo > Homo sapiens. The sequence continues at coordinate 85,651,041 of NC_000011.10, forward strand.
CCTGGGCGACAAGAGTGAGGATCCGTCTCAAAAAAAAAAAAAAAAAAAAAAGATATTAAAGAGAAAAACCAATATAGGGAACATACTAATCTTTGCCAGGCAGCTAATGTGTACTTCCACAAAATGTCTTACACTTTGTTGACAGTCAAGAAGGTCTCTCTGACTATAAAAGGATGAAAAGCAGCCACCTGGGAAGGAGAGAGGGACAGTGTCTTAAGTAGAGGGAATGGCATATGCCTAGCCACAAGATAGCCAAGGCTTGTGGTACTTGAGTAACCATTGTTACCGAAGTACTAAGGAAGTGGGAGTAAGGACCAGGAATAGTTTTGAGCAGGGGGATGATGTTAGCATTTCTAAAGAACATTCCAGCTGCTTTTTGGAAAGCAGATTTGAGGTAGGAAAGAAAGGAAACACAAATACCAGTAGAAAAAATGGCACAGTAATCCTGGTGAGTGGAGATGGTAGGGGTGGTGACAGCTGAGATGAAAAGAGGATGCATTTAAAATACATTCTGGAAGCATAATCTTGCTATCTTCAGGAATAGAAACTGAACAAATCCCCATCTTGCTGCCACTTACCATCTTAATCAGGGAGAACCCATAAATCAAGACCAGTAGTGTTCAGAACAAGGATCTCCAAGGGGAAGAAAAAAAAGGCCAGTAGTAAGAACTTGGTGAGATCTTAAAAGCTCTTTCACCCCCCCTCCCCACACTCCAACTCCACTCCCTTCTAGTTGTTTTCCTGAGGTAACGGAAAACCTTTTAAAGCAAAAAAGGAACTATGTCCATGTTTCCAGGCCAGCAAGATAGGGAAAGTGAGAAAGACTAATAAAAGAGTAGTAGGCTGGGCATGGTGGCTCACACCTGTAATCCCAGCACTTTGGGAGGCGGAGGCGGGCTGGTCACCTGAGGTCAGGAGTTTAAGACTAGCCTGGCCAACATGGCGAAACCCTATCTCTACTAAAAATACAAAAATTAGCCAGATGTGGGGGCACGTGCCTGTAGTCCTACCCACTGGAGAAGCTGAGGCACGAGAATTGTTTGAACCTGGGAGGCGGATGTTGCATGGAGCTGAGATCATGCCACTGCACTCCAGCCTGGGCGACAGAGCAAGACTGTCTCAAAAAAGAGTAGATGGTGGCAGCTTTGAAGAGAAGAAAGCAGTCTGTCACTGGGTTCTTTACCAAATTAGAAAGAATACCTGGAACTGCAAAGTAAAATTTAGTTTAGAGGCAATAAATGTTTCAATCATTGGCATCTAAACTAGGCAGATTACAGTGTCCTGTTATCTTTGCCTTGTTCCTATTTTTTCTCTTCATTCCCATTTTATTTTCTAAGTTTAAATCTTCATTTCTTCTTGGATTATTAATCAGGTATTTAATGGTTACTTGGCATGTCCTTCAGTGTATGGAGCTTTCTTAATATCAAAAACTTCATTTTCTGATCTACAGCAATACTTTCACGTACATGTTTGTCATTTGTTAAATTTGGGCTATTTCATGTCTATTTCTTGTGTATGTCTTATCAAAAAGTCATGAGTTTTTAGTTGGTATAGGTACTTTTTTGGAAAACTGGCAAGGGGCTGCTAGGTAACAATTTTGTGCTAACTTTTAATTAACTAAACATTTTGACCTTAGCTATGGGAAAAATCTGGTTGGGAGAGAGCAAAGTTTGCTATGCAGATTTCACTTGTACTACTTTTTATTTATTTGTATATGTAACATACTTGTAAACAAATGGACTTATATATAACATGTATATATGTATTTTATATATATTATATATACATACAGGCAAATTGTTTACCTGAGCATTGGGATTTAAAATGGGGATAATATACATTTCACATGATTTTTATGATGAAATATTTTAGAGGAAGTGTTCAAGTTTTTTATTCCAACCCCCACAAAAAAAAAATAGGCTTTTCACATTTACATGGTTTTTGTGGTTGGTAGGTTCTCCAGACTGTCATCACTAATTATAATCTATGTACTCCAAGTTCCTGAACTGCCACTGTCTTGTACCACCATTACCATTTTCATAGACTTCTGTTATATCTCGTTTACATCTCTTTCTTCTCCAGTAATATTTAACTATGTTAACCTTGAAGATAGAAGGTAATTTTTTGTGCCTTTAGCACTAAGTCTGCTGCATACAGTGGGGTTCTCAATGAGTGACAGGCATCATGATTGCAAAGTGTCAGATAAGAAAAGCAATACCTTATACAACGTAGGAAGCTGAGTTCCTAGAAAAGCTATTTTAAGATGAGTGTAAGCCATAGAAGTTAGAGGAGGTACTCTGTGGCTACTTTGGCTAGTTAAGAGTAATGAAAATCTTAAGACTGTATTGTAGATGGCAATGTAAGTGGTAAAAAAGCTAAGTCGTAGTCTGAAAAGTTTGGAGTCAGTATTTTCAATATTCAGCAATCATGTTAGGTATTACTTTTTCCCAAAACTAAAGAATGCATAGGACATAAGTTAAAAGTTCATACATAACCTGGCTTCAAATCCAGTTCTACCACTACCTGAAAACATCAGTTTATTTCTCATCAATGGGTTGTTATAAAGTACCTAGCATAGGGTATTGCTTAAATGTTAATACTCCCAATCCTGACACTAATGTTTCAGGGAAGAGTGAAAGAAATCACATTAACTCCACATTATTGAACATCTTCTGTGTCAGGCTGAATACATCTTTGTATCCATTGTCTTCTGGTTGTTTAAAGACTAGTGTAGAAGCCTGACATGTAAATCGGTGATTATATAAGATAGTACTGTCTTGTAATGTGTTGTGCTAGAGAGGTTAAGTATTAATTATTATGGGAGCTCAGGAGAGGCACCCACTGGCTGCTGGGAGAAGAGCAAAAACCTATATATAAAGCAATTTTTAAGATTTTGGTTCTATAAGGGATAGATGTCGTATCCAGTTAGTGTATTCCCAAAGTCCTATAACACATGTCAAGATCGGGAAAGCTCACACACACAATAATGCCAAAGAAAAGTTCTTTCTTCTCACCCTTTCAGGAATCTACTTGAAAATGGATCGGTTTATGTTGGATTAAATGCTGCTCTTTGTGGCCTCATAGCAAACAGTCTTTTTCGACGCATCTTGAATGTGACAAAGGCTCGCATAGCTGCTGGCTTACCAATGGCAGGGATACCTTTTCTTACAACAGACTTAACTTACAGATGTTTTGTAAGTTTTCCTTTGAATACAGGTAAATTCTACTTCACTATCACCAAAGAGTTTGCCTTAGTATATGTTATTTGCAGCTTTAGTCCATACTTATTAATATCAAGTAGCTGTATGCTGTAATGCAGTTAAGATTAAATCTTGCTAGCCTATATAATGTGGCAAATAATTCATATTAGTATGGTCTACCAACCAAGATGCACATACACAGCAGTTCTAAATACTTTTTCTTTAATTGAGATGGAGTTTTGCTCTTGTTGCCCAGGTTGGAGTGCCCTGGCGCAATCTTGGCTCACTGCAACCTCCACCTTCTGGGTTCAAGCAATTCTCCTGCCTCAGCCTCCTGAGTAGCTGGGATTACAGGTGCCCACCACCATGCCCGGCTAATTTTTTGTATTTTTAGTAGAGACAGGGTTTCACCATGTTGGCCAGGCTGGTCTCAAACTCCTGACCTCAGGTGATCCACCCGCCTTGTCTTCTCAAAGTGCTGGGATTACAGGCGTGAGCCACTGCACCCGGCAATACTTCCCTTTTTCTAACATATCTTTCTCACAGTGCTCATTTAGAGTAAGAAATATTTGGAAATCCATATATACATATATATGAAAATTATATATATGGAAATATTATATATATACAAATGTATATAAATAATATGTTGGCTACCTTAGATTTTTTATTTATATTTTATAGAGAAGTTCCTTAAAGGGGGAAAATATTTTTATGGGAATAACTCTTTATACAGTAAATCTCTTAAAGCACTAAATGCATATACATTTATCAAATACATGGAGATTTGATTTCCTTTTGAAAATCTACCATGTGTGCTGAATACTTTGAGTACAGTTAATCATAAAAAAAACTTTTGATTAATTATTTCAAATAAAAATATTACCATGGGTGCTAGGGAAGGCAGTCCATCTAAATTTTGTTAAGTGCTGCTCCAAATTTGTTTAAATTTGACGAGTATTTTGTTTTAATTCCCATGACCAGTGGAAACAATTTCTATGATCAAGGAAGACCTATCGCCCATTTAATTGAACAGACTGAGTGAAAATATTAGCCTAGGTCTGTTGATAAAAAACAAGGCAGAAAGCTAGCAGTAGCCCAAACCATGAGATTATTATATCTAAGTTGAGAACAAATTAGAGAACTTTTTTTCCTAAAATAGTTTTACCAATTATTCCTAGCTATTTTAAGTTACTCATAGATGTAATTATACCTTTTAACAGGCTTTGTACAATTACATTTGATATATTACCTGAAAAATACCTGTGATACACAAAAGAGGATCTTACATTCTTTAAATCATGTTTGCTTGACTATCATGACCTTCATTTCTATGACTAATTTATTTCCTAGGTGATTTGGATTGTGAAACCTGTACCATAACACGGAGTGGACTGACTGGTCTTGTTATTGGTGGTCTATACCCTGTTTTCTTGGCTATACCTGTAAATGGTGGTCTAGCAGCCAGGTAGGAAATAAAAAACTTTTTATAATATGTGATTACCTATAAAACTCACAACTTAAAGCAGCAAATATATTTTGTTTTTAAGGCATTTAGACCAAAGGCAATGTTACCCTCTTGATTAGAAGTTAGCAAGACCTGTTTTTTCTTATAATGAAATTCTACTTATCAAGAATTTCAAACAGTTATACTTGGTGTGTAGTTAGGCTATTAACCTTAATTTGTGTACTGAATACTAAACTAACTACAAAGCTGCAAACAGTATTATGCATGAAACTTCTATCATATAAACAATTATCTTGGATGAGTTTGAACACTTGCACTAAAGGAAAATTCCATCAGAAAATGTCTAGCTGTTATATTAGCCTTCTATTCTAAAATAATTCTGGCTATTCTCTGTTGAACTCTTGCATCAGCAATCTATGCTATAGCCTTGAAGCAAACTGGATAAAGAAACAAAAGTTTTTAGGATTAATAGACACTGAAGACCTTTACTTTAATATTCAGTTTTATCTTAAGACTTCTAGGACTAATATGTATCACAGATGGGTTTGCCATTTGATGCAACAATCTTTTCTATTGAACTATCTCAATGTTTTCTTACAGGTATCAATCAGCTCTGTTACCACACAAAGGGAACATCTTAAGTTACTGGATTAGAACTTCTAAGCCTGTCTTTAGAAAGATGTTATTTCCTATTTTGCTCCAGACTATGTTTTCAGCATACCTTGGGTCTGAACAATATAAACTACTTATAAAGGCCCTTCAGTTATCTGAACCTGGCAAAGAAATTCACTGATTTTAAACAAATATGTAAACAAAAATAAAATGGTAAAAACAGTTTATGTCTAATGTTATGTCTAATGTTATGCATAAACATAGACTTGTAATTTATCACGAGGTATAATTCTGGGACCTACAACAAAAGGCTACACAGGGCAACAAAAGGCTGAATCTAAGTAAAAGCTACCCACTTAAACAAGTTTAACTTCACGAGTTTGCCCAGTATTGTCTCTTCTACCTTGCTTGTTCTACCTTAGGCGTTGAGTTTGGTCTGTAACACAAGAGGAAAAAGTAACTATATAGTATTTTACACTGAAGACTTCATAATGACAAACAGGAATAAAAAATGAAAAAATATCTATCAATATACTATACCAAATGTTACTCACAATTCACTTTCTCAATTCAAATTATTAATCCATAGATTCTTAGAACTGATTTAACAACCTTCCTCAAATCAATCATCTTCTTGAGTCATTCAGGCTCAGCTTCAGCTATTATGATATAGACCTACCTACTTCGAGTCACCTTATTTAGAAAGCTGTATTTTTAGTTTAGGTAGTCTTTCAAGCTTCCATTTATTGTGGCATATTTAGAATCACAAAATTAACTAATCTCTCTGACCCTCAGTGAAATATCCTAGTTGGTTCATTTCCTAAGATCATTTAAATTTTTGATGTGCTTTCTTCTGTTCTCCTAACATTTCTCATCCTAGTTCTCTAAACCATTTTATTTTGTGACAGCAACTAAATCAGCATTCTCCAACAGAGCGTTCTGTGATGATGGAAATATTTTCTATCTGCACAGTCAATATGTTAGCCACTAGCCTATGTAGCGGCTGGGCACCTGAAATGTGGCAAGTGCAATTGAGTAACTGAATTTTTACTTTTAAACCATTTAAAATGTTTAGCCACGTGACTAATGCTTACAGTATTGGACAGCGTAGATCTAAACCAACACTTATGAAGCAAGCCAATCATCACAGAAAAGTACCAAACAAAATTTTAAGTGGCATCCAAGATTATTCATGAATCTCTTAATTATTACTTCCAAATAGTGACATATCTGTTAAGTCATCTTATGCTACTTAAAATTATAATTTAGAAAAGGCATCTTTGTGAGTGAAACTGGCCTTTAGCTTCTGTTTAAAGAAAAACATAAAGCTGTGCTGCCAAAGATGAAAAACTCATGTGAAATTAATAAAATACAATCTCAATTTTTCAGAAAGCAAAGATGATTTGTTCTTTCAACAGGCACATAAAATATATTATCTACCAAACTTATATAAAAAATGATCCCAGTTATGAGGCAAAAGAATCTATGTGCACAAGAGACTGAAAGGAAGCATGCCAAAATGTTTACTGTGGATATTCTATGGCTTATAGAGTTATAAGGGTGATTTTTCTTTTCTTCTTGATTCCTTTCAGGATATTCCAAGTTTTCTATAAAGAATATGCTTTACTTTTACAACTAGGGAAAGAAAGACAGAAAAATATATATAACATTTAAAGGGCAAAACAATATAGCTGTTTATTTTACAGGCTAAAATATCAAGATGAAAAGCTCTGATCCCAAATCATCCATTTTACCTATATTCTGTCACTTTTACTAAAAGCAGAGTTCTACTCATCCCAGTGAAAAAAACAATGAATTAAAAGTAATTTCTGGCGTTAACCCAAGTACCGAGTTAAGACTCCTTAAGAATATAGAATTATGTAATCAACTTAGATAATTCAAAGCCCAATGATATAACTAAGTTCTTTGACGATTGAGCACACATTGTTTCCTTACTTATCTTTAAACATTCCTAGTCCAATTACTCCCTAGCATAATACCATTTATAAATGAGGATGAGTTTACAATGGTTTCTGTAACCAAAAAGTATTTCTAATATCTGTCCTCTGCCACATATTTTTAAATTATCTTTTCCATTAGCAGAAATGGGCAACATAAGCAATAAATCATGTTAAGTCTGTTGCTACAAATTTACTTTGCCAAAATTTTTGTTCAGAGGGCAGATATCTGCATTATTTAAGGACATTTAGTCATTTGTAGCTAACACCTGAAGTAAACTACCCTCAATCAATTTTTATATTTCAGTCTAGTCACTGTAGACAAACTATTTAAATCTTTTATAATTTACTTTGTGTAGTTATTTGGCTTAAAAAAAAAAAAAGAGGGCTCACATTCTATTTAAATTAAGACAATATATTTTATAAAGCCCAAATTATAGTACACTAAGAGCCAGAGGGGTCTAGGGAATTGATCTCAGTGGGTATACAGCAAAGACAAAATTTGGAGGCAGACGCTAAAGGAAGTTGAGATAAATAAAATTCAAATCAGTGTATTAACAGAACTACACAAATGTTTACAACACAGTAACTACACTTTTCAATTAGTTCATTGTGAAAACTGAGCAAAATATTTTCAACAATTTTGGGTCAACAAAAAGTATGGAATATTTTAAGACAATAAAGAGTGACTGGTGTTGAGAGTACTGAGGCTACACAGAGGTACTGAAATTCAAATCTGAAAAATACTGTGCTGGCCACACAACACTACAAATTTCTAATGGAAGAATTCCCTTTTTGATCCGCAGCTTAGGTGGTAAGTAAATAAAAAAACAGCTCAGAAAAACAGCAAAAATATTAACATTTAGGAGTCTCAAAACTTTGTATTGGCTGTGAGTCTGGGGGAAAAAAACATAAATGTCATACTACCAATTAAACTTTCAAGAGTCATCAGATTATTTAGCTTTAAAATTTTACTAAATCAGACCTTAAACTACACATTCAAAATGCTGAACTAGATAATCACATATTAAAAAGGTAATGACTCATTATCAGTGAATTACCCAGTCTGTTCTATCAAAGTAGTAGTTAAGGTCACCAAATAATGTTGGTGCCTTTGGTTCTGGAATTATAACTAGCTGTACTGTAGGAGCATCAGCGCCTAAGTTTTAAGCCAGTGGGAATACTCTGCTGCCTGGCTTCACAGGCACTGAATACACTTAAAATGGTAAGAAACTGAATGGATTTAATAAGTTTTGAATAATACAATAACCAACTGTATATTTATTATGAAGTAAAAGCCAATCTCCTACCCAATCCCTCTTCTATCAGCTGCACATTTCCAAGTAAGTGAGATAAAATGACTCAATCTAAACCACGTGAAGGAATGTATTAACATAATCCAACAAAAATGAAATAAAACAATCCAGAGTTTTGAGTGTTTTTTCACACTTGTAATAAACTGAAAAAATATTTCAATTAAAACAACCATATGCCACAAAAAGCCACTCCCATCATCCACAATACTAAAGTCCTTATACAACACTAGATAAATTTTTATATAAAACAGTAGAAACTAGCATACCATTAATTAGAAACCTCAAAATATTCAGAAAACAGTATCAAGTACTCAAGAGAAAGCTCAAGAAGCCAAAACCTCAAGAATCCATACATCCTGGTTGTTACCCTAAATTGTAATTAACTACCCACACATTTAATCATAATCAACTTTTTCAAAGATATACAAATCAATGCATCTATTTAAAAGGACTACTCTTTATAGTTCAGAACTTTACATTAACTTTTATATTCTACTCAGCAGGGTGTCTGTCTGTACTCCAAATTAGCTCTCATGTTCCAGGAAATAAATACAAACTCATATGCCTTGTGATCACTGATGGCCTGCTTATGTAATTCTAGTCCACTAAATGTTAATTCCATAGAATATGCTCTTGATTATGTAAAAACTCTAATTTCTTGATGAAATACTGTAATTCTCCAAAGGTTACAATTTTGTAAAGATATGCAATAACTGAGTATCACTCCCATGAAAGACAAAAAAAGTATAATTTTGTTCCAAGATTAACTTAGTCTCATGTATCTCTATTAAGTCTTTCAAGGATTCCAGAGAATCTTTTCATATCTCCATTTCTGGAAAGTGAAATCAGTATAGAAGTAATTTGGGAACTTGAAAATGGCATTCATTTTTTTCAGCAGATGCCAAATTTTTGACCGACATGGTTCTCACAATTACTTTGTTACCAACAGTCCAGTCAGTTAACAGGTTGTAGGAAAAGATTCGTTTTTGCAGACACTGCTAAGCTGTTCAAAGAGAAGAGAGAGAGATTAATTTAGTGATTATAAAATGCACAAATATTTAAAATATTTTGAACACTTCTTGTTGGATTATATCAGAGGTGTGACTACATTTTAACAAAAGTGGACTTTTTAAGATAAGTCTGGTCAAAGAAGTGCAGAAACAGTAAGTCAATATGATAGAAATAGTAGGTCAAAATATGATGTGTTAGTTCAATTAATGTATGAACTCCTGCCACCATCAAAAGACAAATATTAAAAAGCTACATCTTTAGTCTAGTTCTGTATTTTACCAGAGGCACATTTAGAAGAAAAACAAAAGGGTCACCCAAATACTAAATTGTTTTCAACCATTACAGTAAATAGAGCCAAACCTAGAAATTTCAAAAACAATCCATTTTATATTCCAGAAATCTCCTTTATCCATGTGCTAATCATCCAGAACACAATTTTCTAAAAATAGTAAGACAACAGTTTCACATTAATCATAACTTTTTTAATTAACAAGTAGTGAATCGGACACTTTAAGATATTGTTTACTACATACTGAAATAAACAGATCTGTTTAAATTCAGAAACCCAAACATTTACAGTAAAATGTGCTTACACATAAATATGACCAAATTTATTTAAAGCCCCTATTAGATAGATCCTAAGTACATGCAATTACCATGTAAAAACAAGACCATGAAGTTGATGTAAAAAATGACAAAATCACTAAGTCACCAAAACTAGAAAAAAAAAAATGAAATGGAAACTGAGAAAAGACAGTTAATAAAACATAAGGAACCTAACAAAGCAGCTTTAAAAATAGGCCATACTAATCCTTCCATTTTCAAAAGTTCTTATCAAGTAATTCCAAAAACTGCCATTTATAAAATGACATTCTAAAAATCTACACTTGGAATTTCAAAGTATCTCAATTCAGAAAGCTTTGACTACTGTTTCTCCCCAGCCCACAATTTCAAATAATGCAGGAAAAGTATTGACGTAAGGAAGAAAATACTCCAACAGAATGTTATAGTTTTTAGAAAAATGAACTTACTGCTTTCCAGAACCTTTTAAGACCCACAGTCAGCATTAACAATCATTTTTCCTATTTTCATCCATTATTTTCCAATATCATGTTAGAGATGAATAAATTCTTTGAGCCCATAACTAAAAGATCAACAAACCTGGTTTTATTATGACACCATATTTTTGTCATTGGTACTGCACAAAATTATATACAAAGAAATATATACAAAATGTTCAAGTATTAGTTAAATTTCAATTCAAGGCTTCTGTTTCAAAAAAGCTACATTTAACATATTTCATAAAGATAGCACAAATTAGTCATTTCAAATAATCTTTCCAACTACTTTTGGTTTATATATATATATATATATGTATATATATATATAATTCAGTAGGCACTAAAAACCCATGCAGCTGCATTGTGAGGGGCTTGCTCCTGCCCTTAGGTATAAGCAGGTTCATCACTCCAATTTGTGAGTTTGGCTACTACCCATTCATGCTCAAGTGCAGTAGTAGATGATTTTACAAAATATGCTGTGATGCACTGGAAACCAAAGACCAATTCAGGTCTCAAATCGTATTATCTAGCAACAAAACATTTACAGTTGTGCAAGAACAAGGATTCCATTTTCATAACCAAATAACAAAATAAAACATTTTATGTGTAAGATAACTTACATCTTTGGACTGCTGGAAAATACTTTTTAATTATGAACATGTTAAAAATAAAAAACAGCAGAAGCCCTGATATTACCTCTTTTTCCTCATTTCTTATACTACCTTTTAAAATAAAGCAGGAAATGTGGCCAGCAGCTGGTCCCGTCTCTTCTGCCCCAACAGCTGTATCCACTTTAGCACAAAGAAAAACAAGGATGCTAAATACGTATATACTTTATCAAGCAGTGATGTTTCACAAAGAATTTCTTAATGCCTCTTACACTGAAGGACACCATAATTCAATTTATACAACTGGTTAATAGATTCAAGGGAATAAATCCCACCTTAGGAAAATAGTACCAATCGTGTCATTTAAGTGGCCAGAACCACTCAATTTAAAAAATTATTTTAAAATAGGACAAATACTTTTGAAACACAGAGAATAAGATTCTTTGTGAAGCCTCACTTTACACGTTTTCATTCACATTTCACAACCTTCAATATCTAATCATACATATATAAATTTAACCTAAAATTTTAATACAACAAAAATAAAGATGTTCAACAATTTATTCAATCTCAGTGATAGGGTAATCACTGCTGGTCCTCAAAGAAACATTAGCCATTCTTATTCTCCAATTAACTAAAACGCAGGAGTCTCATATGTATGTTAATTTCCAACTTCTCTAATGGTGAGACATTAAAATGTTACTCCATTATAGACTGTTTCTATATCTCATACTGAAAACTAAAAGGCATTGTTGATATTTAAGAGATACCTGTCACCTCCAGCAAAATAACTATCACATTTGTGCATGCCCCAAATACTTAACTGTCAACCTCTGAAAAGTTGCCCTAAAATCGGAATTCCAATTTGCACCTTGTACAACTCGGAACTTCCATTCAACTTCACCTGTTTCACTGTCTCCAAACTGTCTCTCTATAAGCAGGTTTCAGTGTACAGTTGGAACCGATGTCATCCAAGGCCATGTCCACACTGGGGACAGAAGAGCTAGGTACACGCAAGTCTGAATAAGGGGACACATTAATAGCTATTTCAACCAGAAGAGGCATCTTAAATACATTCTTGACCAGCACAAGTCTGTTTCCAGGGTGGACAGGGCCCAAATTAGATTTCCCTCCCACCTTCCAAAACAGAAAAAAAAAAAAAAATCACACACACACAAACTGAGATGTTGCCCATTAAAGTAGACAAAGCAGCAGAGCATGAGCGTTACGGGAAGAGATGGATCCTTACCAGGTTGTGAGGCGGGAACGACTGTTCTGTAACCCCTACAACGGAGCCTGGCAGGAAGGAAATCACCTAAAAAAGAAACTGTCAGAGAGATTTAATAGTCACATGTTATCATTAGGAGTTGGTTACTGTGTCACATTCATGCTTTTAGCTAAACACTTTAAGATTCAATATTACTTTTTTTCTCTCCTCTGAAATGTGTCCGGTGAAGATGTCCCACTAAGGTAAGTTTGACATGGTGTAAGGGAGTTGAAAGGGGTAAACGCGGATAAAGAGCAGATTACTTGACCCTACATTTTAAGAGAAGACGACGCCTTCCGGGCGCACGCCGAGCAGAACTCCACCGACACCTTATCCTTGTCCACATGGAGACAGACTCCTCCCGCCGAGTCGTCCTCTTCCAGCAGGTCCTGCTTCTGCTTTCCCACCGGCAGAGCGTAGTCGTGGTCACCGGCGGGCGAGTCTCTGAAGAGCGAGGTGGTCAGCCGCAGTCCCACGCCGCTCAGCCGGCTCAGCAAGCGAGCCAGTCCAGTCTCGTTGGCTAAGACTGCCCGTAGGTAGCGACTCTCCTCCTGCAGTGCCTGTACGCGTTTGCCCAGCTCCCGATTCTCGGCCCGCAGCTCCTGGTTCTCGGCTGCCAGACCCCGGACTCGACTCTCCAGCCCCATCACGTACTCCTTCTTCTTCAGTCGATTAAGGCGGGCAGCGGCCGCCGCCGCCTTCCGGGGACTCTTTGTCGCCGCCTGGTTGTTGTCGTTACCGCTGCCGCCACCGCCGCCTCCTCCTGGGGACTTTCTCCGCCTCTTTTCGGCGCTGCCACTGTCACTGCTGCTGCTGCAGCCTCCGATACCGTTTAACAGCCTTTGCAGCAGGTCAGAGAAGCGCTGCATTTCAGCAGCCGCGGCCTCATCGTCATCGTCCCCTCTCCACAGGCCGCCGCTATCCGAGCCTCCGCCAGACGAGGAGAGAGGCCCCGGCGAGCTAAGCCCGGGGTCCAGGTGCCAGTCCGGTTGCCTGGGGTCCAGGAGATCCGCCAGTTCCAGCCCAGACAGAAAGTCCATATCCTCCGTCTCTTCCCCCGGGAGGCTGGCGATCGCCTCCTCCTCCATCTCCTCGGGGGAGGGCGCGCGCACGGCCACGCCGCCGCGGCTCCCCCTCCCGGCTTCCAACTCTCCTTCGTCGCCAAACTGCTGCTTGCGGCCGGGAGATCCGGCCGCCGCCGTCTCCTCCTCCCCCGCTGCAGCCCGGGTCAGGTCAGAGGGCAGCGAACAAGTTGCAGCCGGCTCCGGGCTCTCACTGCGGGTTGGGGAGTTGCTGCCCGAGGCTGCCAGCAGCTTGGTCAGGCTATGCCTCATGAGGGCCAGCGGCGGGCCGCGGTAGGCCCCGGCCGCTAAGAGTGGGCCTCACGGGCCCCAAGGATCCCAGGCCCCAGGGCGGGTAGCCCCCGGCACTGGCCGAAACGAAATGCAGGGAAAGGTCCGAGTCGCCTCCCGCCTCACTTGGCTAGTCGACCCCCCGCGCCAAGGCGCGGGGAGGGACGGGAGAACGAAGCGGTGAGGCCCTGCGATGACTCGACCGCGCCACCCAGACAACGGCGTAGCCGGAAGTCAGTGGTTTTCGCCCCAGTCCCGCCCACCGCGTTTCGCGCGCCACCAGGCCGTAGTGTCGCGAGATTTCAGGGTGCTTTAGAGTGGGAATAATTCCAGCTTTCTAGTGATGTCATAATAACAGCGGCAAAAATAACAAGTCTCTAGATTTATCCACCCTAATTCAATACCACCCAATACCCAGACTCAACAGTTCAACACAACATTTTGCTATATTTGCTTTATCTTTACATAAATGCTTGTAAATTTTTTTTTTGCTGAATCATCCTAAAGTTGCAGATGAGACACCACACCCCTGCGTACTTCAGTGTGCATCTCTAAAAATAAGGACTTTTTTTTCATAATCATAATACTATTACCAAGTCTTCAGAAAATTAACAATCGTTTACTAATACTATTTAATACCTGGGCCATACTAGATGTCCTCAGTTGGATAATGGATATGCTAGTTACCCTAACCTGATCACTACATTCCATATGTATAGAAATATCACTATGTACCCAATGAATATGACAGTTATTATTTGTCAATTAAAAAAAATTAAAACCAAAGCAAAATGAATGTAGAATACAACATTGCTTACAAAAATTGTCTTCAGTTGTTCTTGCCATTTTTGTAAGTAGATGTTTTCACTTGAGCCAAAATCCAATCAGTACTGACTTACTGCATTTGGGTAACAAACAAACAAAAACTCTGACAAATAGAGCCAGGAAAGGCTATGAAGAGAGGGTACTCATGCTTGTATGCCTGAAAACAAAGACTGTAAAAACCACAACGTTGCACAAAGACCATCACGACCTTATACAAAACCTCTGCAAGGATGTCTGCCCAGAAACTGCCTGTCCAACCTTTAACTGACGTCACCCTTGTTATTGACCTTTGTAGCTAAGATAATTAGTTCAAAACAATGTGTAACCATCCTCATTTTTTTTTCCTTTAAAACTCTTTGTCTTCCTTCGTCTTCCTGAATACACACATAGTTTACTATGGCATGCGTTTTCCCACTGAAATGCTCCATTCTCAAAACATGTCTTTTATTTTAGAGACCTTTTCTGTTTGTTATTTAGGTTCACATCCCACAAGGGATTTCAGATTTGAAGCAGTTTACAAATACAGATATTTAGGTTCACATCCCACAAGGGATTTGAGATTTGAAGCAGTTTACAAGTACATTAGAATATAGTAAAACAAAACATTTTGAATTTTTAAAAAGCAAGGCCAATAAAAGATGAACTAGGAAGAGAAGGATTTCTGAAAGGGGAAAAGGTTAATCTTGGAATTGGATGGATGCAATATCTTACTCAGTTGTTTGAATTGGGCTAAAAATTGTTTCCTGACAGCCCAAACAAAAAAAGAGAAATGAATTTTCCTTTGTTCATGAGTAAAATATACATGAATTCTTTAACTGCTCTTCTAGTTCTTAAATCTTAAAGAAACTTCTCTATAGGATACTGAATAATGTAGTAGATATCCTCGAGGATAGCTGCTTCTATACAGTATTTCTTAGAGACACAGAAAGCAAGGTCCAGGGAAGTTGAACACTGACAGGTCCCAAATATTGAGAAACGTGCCTGGTACTGCATAGGCTTCAACAAATATTGAGTGAGTGAGTGAATAAAGTCTACAGTTTTGACTGAAGCCATAACACTAAAGCTCACCTGAATGAAAACAATTATTTCAAGGTGTGAAAAAAGTATGACCTGTGGTATCTAGAAGAATAAATAAAAGGACTCCTTGTCCTGCTTAACATTCCATTAGGAAAGATTTTGCCAAAGTACAAGAGCACACAGTTCAAGGTGATATATGTATACTCTGGCCTCCCTTGAGTACAGGTGTTTTGTATGGCTGGTAATCCCATCCAACTACATTTTCCCCTTAGGCAAAATTCAATATTATTAACTGATTATATTTTTTAAATTACGAAATTTTGTTTTAAATACACATGATTTGGCTGGGCGTGGTGGCTCACACCTGTAATCCTACCACTTTGGGAGGCCGAGGCAAGAGGATTGCCTGAGCCCAGGAGTTCAAGACCAGCCTGGGCAACATAGAGAGACACCAACCCCCCACCCCCCGCCGCCAACCCCCACCCACTACCATGCCTGGCTAATTTTTTGTACTTTTAGTAGAAATGGGGTTTCACCATGTTGGTCAGGCTGGTCTCGAACTCCTGGCCTCAGGTGATCTGCCCGACTCAGCCTCCCAAAGTGCTGGGATTGCAGGCGCAAGCCACTGCAACTGCCCAGATTCGCTTTTCTTTGATTATTGGAAGGTTGAATGTTTGTCACATGACCAATTGACATCTAATGCGAATAGGATTTTCACTTCCCTAACTCATTTTTCTTTGAAGTAGGGAAAAAATGTTCTTCAGGGAAGATGTTTGTCTTTTTTCTTCTTGATTTATGTGAATTCTTTACATTATAAGGAAAACATCCCTTTGTCTCTTACATTTTCCAACTTTTTTTAAAAATCATTTTACCATTTACTAGGGGTGGAGTTGTAAAGCTGCTTCTCAGGCTGTAATTTTTAAATAGTCAATTTATCAAAGACCAGGCTCAGCAGCTCACACCTGTAATCCCAGCACTTTGGGAGGCCAAGGCAGGTGGAGCACTTAAGGTCAGGAGTTCAAGACCAGCCTGGCCAACATGGTGAAACCCCATCTCTATTAAAAATACAAAAAATTAGAAAAAAATTAGCCAGGTATGGTGGCACATGCCTGTAATCCCAGCTACTTGGGAGGCTGAGGCCCAAGAATCACTTGAACCTTGGAGGCGGAGGTTGCAGTAAGCCAAGATCACGCCATTGCACTCTAGCCTGGGAGACAGAGTAAGACTATGTAAAAAAAAAAAAATCCACTTATCAATTCATTGAATAATCCGTACTTGTCCCACTGACTTCCCAACATGCCATATATTAAATTCTTACATACACTTGGATCTGTTTCTGGTCTTTATCTATTTTATTGATCAGTTCTGCAATTCCAGAAGCAAAATCACTCCACTTTTTATTGGAGTTTATATTACATTCTCATATCTCATATGGCAAGTCCCTCTTTGTTACTTGTACTTTCTTAGAATTTTCTAGCTATACTTAAGTATTTATTTCTCCACATAACTTTAGAAGACTTTCCAAGTTCAAAAAAGCTAGAATTTTTATGGAAATTGCATTAAATTTATTCATTTCTTTCACCTAGTTTTTATGCAAACTTTACCTAGTTTTTATGCAAACTTTGCATAAAATTGATTATTTCTTCCGTTCTATTTCTAAATGGTTATTGTTACTATGTAGGACAGCTATTTGTCTTTTCTGTTAAATTTTTAACTGACTAGTGCACCAAACTTTCTTGTTTTAATTTTCAGCTTATTTATCAATTTTTAATAATTACATAACCTTATACATAATAACTCTTTTGCTTCCTGCTTTGCAATTATTATTATTATCTTGACTGATAATAAAATAGCACTTCCAGATTCATGTCTAATAATAATGTTTGTAGCCAACTTCCTTATCTTATTCCTGACTTTAACAGGAATGCCTTAACTATCTAGCTATTGATTTGAGATTAGTATTTTTATTAGATTAAGAAACATGCGGCCGGGCGCGGTGGCTCACGCCTGTAATCCCAGCACTTTGGGAGGCCGAGGCGGGCGGATCACGAGGTCAGGAGATCGAGACCATCCTGGCTAACACGGTGAAACCCCGTCTCTACTAAAAATACAAAAAATTGGCCGGGCGTGGTAGCGGGCGCCTGTAGTCCCAGCTACTCGGGAGGCTGAGGCAGGAGAATGGCGTGAACCTGGGAGGCGGAGCTTGCAGTGAGCCGAGATCGCGCCACTGCACTCCAGCCTGGGCGACAGAGCGAGACTCCGTCTCAAAAAAAAAAAAAAAAAAAAAAAAAAAAAAAAAAAAAAAAGAAACATGCTCCTATTTGTATTTTACATGGAGATTTTAACAACATGAATGGCTATTTTATTAAATGACTTGCAGCATGTGTCAGGATTCAACTATACTCCAAGTCTTTGGGGGGAAGGAGCCATAAAGCTATGTAAAAACTGTGTGAGGTTCACTAGCTTAAGACAATTGTGAGAGAAGCCTAAACTTTATAACCCTGTACATTGGGTTTTTTATATTGGGGAGGCAGTTTGAAAAACATCTGTTCAGCTTCTCATAGCTAAATAAAGGTTATACAAAACTTATCTCACGTATCTACATTATTCTGCATCTGTCTAGAATTGCAAGACCAAAGCAAGAAAATAATTTATTCAGTCATTCTACACACACACACACACACACACACACACACACACACACTCACACACAATCTACTTTGAGCTAGATCTTGTTATAAGCATTGTGGATATAATGATGGGCAAGGTTGATAAAGTTCTTGTGGAGCCGACTTTGTAATGAGAGAAGATAGCAAATAGGAAAGTTTTATAAAAATGCTATACAGAGATTTGTTAAAGGGTCACCCAATTGAAAATAAATCTATAATTATTTTAGATTGGATAGTCAATGGACAATTCTCTGAGGAAATAAGATTTCAGCTGAAAACCTCAATAGTGTGTTAAGAAATAAAGACAAAAAGTTGGAGCAGAGTGGGTAAGAAGAGAAATCATAGGACATGTGTTCGTATACACACTATTTACAACTGAATTAACTAAATGTTTTTTGTTTGTTTGTTTGTTTGTTTGTTTGAGACAGAGTCTCACTCTGTTGCCCAGGCTAGAGTGCAGTGACACAATCTCAGCTCACTGCAACCTCCACCTCCTGGGTTCAAGCGATTCTCCTGCCTCAGCCTTCCAAGTAGCTGGGATTACAGGTGCCTGCCACCACACCTGGCTAATTTTTGTATTTTTTAGTAGAGACGGGGTTTCACCATGTTGGCTAAGCTGGTCTTGAACTCCTGACCTTGTGATCTGCCTGTCTCGGCCTCCCAAAGTGCTGGGATTACAGGTGTGAGCCACCGTGCCTGGACTAATTACATGTTGTAAATACACAAGCATTTCATTGGAACTTGAAGGAAGAAAAATCCTGAAAGTTTCTAGCAAGCATGTAATACAAAATGAAAATTAATTTCAGACATGTAGAGGGCCATTGATACTTTGTTTCGTATTCTTTATTTCCCCCTAACACTTTAATCCCCCCCCCCCACAATAAGATCTCAAGTTCTTTTTTTTTTTTTTTTTTTTTTGAGACGGAGTCTCGCTCTGTCACCCAGGTGGAGTGCAGTGGCGCAATCTCTGCTCACTGCAAACTCCACCTCCCGGGTTCACACCATTCTCCTGCCTCAGCCTACCGAGTGGCTGGGACTACAGGCGCCTACCACCACGCCCAACTAATTTTTTGTAAATTAGTAGAGCCGGGGTTTCACCATGTTAGCCAGGATGGTCTCGATCTCCTGACCTCGTGATCCACCCGCCTCGGCCTTCCAAAGTGCTGGATTACAGGCGTGAGCCACTGCACCCAGCCTCTCAAGTTCTTTAACCATAGATTTTCCAACCATAGGAAAAGAATGTCAACTCATCCCCTGAGACATGCATACATAAATTTTTCAGCTGGAGCACCAGAATACAATGTAGTGTCAATATCTCGATAGATTAGAAGAAGAGGTTGTCAGCTGAGACTGAAGAGGAGGATAGGAATTCATATAGATTAGATTGCGTCCCTCAAAAATGACATGTTGAAATCCTAATCCCTAGTACCTTAGAATGTGACCTTACTTGGCAGTAGGATTTTTACAGAGATAATAAAGTTAAAATTAGCTTATTAGGGTGGGTTCTAATTCAGCACAACTTTTGTCCTTATAAAAAGAAAACATTTGTATACAGAGACAATCACAAAGGGAAGACAATGGAAAGACACACAGGTAGAGGATAAGCATGTGTATTAGTCCATTCTCACACTGCTACAAAGAACTGCTCAACACTGGGTAATTTATAAAGAAAAGAGGTTTAATGGACTCACAGTTCCACATGGCTGGGGAGGCTTCACAATCATGGTGGAAGGCAAAGGAAAAGCAAAGGCATGTCTTACATGGCAGTAGGCAAGAGAGCATATGTAGGGGACCTGCCCTTTACAAAACCATCAGACCTCATGAGACTTATTCACTACAGTGAAAACAGCATAGAAAAATTTGCCCCCATGATTCAATTACCTCCCACTGGGTCCCTTCCACAACATGTGGGGATTATGGGAGCTACAGTTCAAGATGACATTTGGGTGGGGACACAGCCAAACAACATAATTCTGCTCCTGGCCCCTCCCAAATCTCATGTCCTCACATTTCAAAACCAATCATGCCATCCCAACAGTCCCACATTCAGCATTAACTCAAAAGTCCACAGTCCAAAGTCTCATTGGAGGCAAGGCAAGTCCCTTCTGCCTATAAGCCTGAAAAATCAAAAGCAAGTTAGTTACTTCCTAGATACAATGAGGGTACAGGCATTGGGTAAATACACCTATTCCAAATGGCAGAACTTGGCCAAAACAAAGGGGCTACAGGCCCCATGCAAGTCCATAATCCAGCAAGGCAGTCAAATCTTAAATCTCCATAATGATCTCCTTTGACTCCATGTCTCACACCCAAGTCACATTGACATAAGAGGTGGGTTCCCACGGTCTTGGGCAGCTCCATCCCTGTGGCTTTGCAGGGTCCAGGCCCCCTCCTGGCAGCTTTCATGGGCTGGCATTGACTGCGGCTTCTCCAGGTGCACAGTGCAAACTGTTGATAGATCTACCATTCTGGGGTCTGGAGGATGGTGACCCTCTTCTCACAGCTCCACTAGGCAGTGCCCCAGTGTGGACTCTGTGTGGGCATTCTGAACCCACACTTCCCTTCCACACTGCCCTAGCAGAGGTTCTCCATGGGAGCCCCGCTCCTGCAGCAAACTTATGCCTGGACAGCCAAGTGTTTCCATACATCCTCTAAAATCTCGATGGAGGTTGCCAAACCTCAATTCTTGACTTCTGTGCACCCACAGGCTCAATATCACGTGGAAGCCGCCAAGGCTTGGGGCTTGCACCCTCTGAAGCCATAGCCTGAGCTGTGCCTTGGCCTCTTTTAGCTACAGCTGGAGCATGCGGGATGCAGGGCACCAAGTCCCTAGGCTGCACACAGCACGGGGCCCTGGGCCCTGCCCATGAAACCATTTTCTGTTCCTAGGCCTCTGGGCCTGTCATGGGTGGGGCTGCCTCGAAGGTCTCTAAAATGCCCTGGAGACATTCTCTCCATTGTCTTGGTGATTAACATGTTGCTCTTCGTTACTTATGCAAATTTCTGCAGCAGGCTTGAATTTCTCCCAAGAAAATGGGTTTTTTCATTCCTACTGCATCATCAGGCTGCAAATTTTCCAAACTTTTGTGTTGTTTCCTCTTGAATTCTTTGCTGCTTAGAAATTTCTTCTGCCAGATATCCTAAATCATTTCTCTCAAGTTCAAAGTTCCACAGATCTCTAAGACTTGAATTGTGCTAAAGAATCCACTTCCAGGTGGCTCATTCACATGGCTAACTGGTTGGTCATGGAGGGAGGTTTCAGTTCCTCCTCCATGTGGGCCCATGTGTGAGTGTCTACACTTCACGATGGCTGTCTTCACCTAGAGCAAATGATCCATGAGACCAAGGAAGAAGCACCAATGCCTTTTATGACCTAGCCTCAGAGATGATGTACCATCATTTTTGTAAGATTCTTTTGGTCACATGAGTCAGACCTTATTCATGGTGGGAGAGGACGAGACAAAAATCATTAGAGAGCCTATCTTAAGGGGCTGGCTACCACATCCTATAAAGCTAGTGAATGGACATCGAGATGCTGTTACTGAAAAATCCAATGTCTCCACAAGAATATACTTAGCAGCTACAATGGCCAAAGGAGGAAACCAAGGGTCCTTGCCTCATTTGCACCTTCCAAATATGGCTGCAGAGGAGTCTGGCAAATATAGTTTGCTTTTGTGTTTCTTTTGTTTCAGCTTTTACGTTTTTGCAACACAGAAAAGCACATTGAAAGGGGGATTGGAATAGATGAATCCAAGTCTATCAGATCCTCCCCAAAGACCATGACTTCATGGTACTCAAGCACCCATATACATTTACTGGATTTTCTATAGCAGAGAATTGGAGCAGTGATAGCAGGGAATGGGTTAGTGTTTTTCTGAGTAGATATAGTAGAATGATAAATGTACAGGCATACCTCGGAGATACTGCAGATTTGATTCCAGACCACCACAATAAAGTGAATATCATAATAAAGTGAGTCATGTGAATGTTCTGGTATCCTAGTGCATATAAATGTTTACACTATACTGTAGTCTACTGAGTGTGCAACAGCATTATGTCTTTGAAATGTGCGTAACTTAAGTTAAAAATATTTTATTGCTAAAAATGCTAACCATCATCTGAGCCTTCAGTGAGTCACAATCTTTTTGCTGGTGGAGGGTCTTGCCTCAATGTTGATGACTACTGACTCATTAAGGTAGTGGTTGCTGAAGGTTGGGGTGACTGTGGCATTTCTTAAAATATGACAGTAAAGTTTGCAGCATCAACTGACACTTCCTTTCATGAAAGATTTCTCTATAGCACGTGATGTTGTTTGATACCATTTTGCCTATGGGAGAACTTCTTTCAGAATTGGAGTCAATTCTCTCCAACCCTGCGGCTGCTTTATCAACTGAGTTTATGTAATATTCTAAATCCTTTGTTGTCATTCAAACAATGTTCACAGCATCTTCACCAGAAATAGATTCCATCCCAAGAAACCATCCATTTTTCTTGGCTTATCCATAAGAAGAAATTCCTCATCCATTCAAGTGATATCATGAGACTGCAGTAATTCAGTCACATCTTCCAGCTCCAACTTTAATCCTAGTTCTCTTCTTACTTCTATCACATCTGCAGTTATTTCCTCCACTAAAGTCTTGAATCCTTCTAAGTCATCCATAAAGGATGGAATCCTCTTCCAAACTTCCAAACAAACGTTCTCAATGGCATCTAGAATGGTGAATCCTTTCCAGGTTTTCAATTTATTTTGCTTAGATAGATCAGAGGAATCACTGTGTATGGCAGCTTTGCCTTAATGTATTTCTGAAACAATAAGATTTCAAAGTTGAAGTAACTCCTTGATTCATGGCTTGCAGAATGGATGTTGTGTAAGCAGGCATAAAAACTTTAATCTCCTTGTAAATCTTAATTACAGCTCTTGAGTAACTAACTGCATTGTCAATGAGCAGTAACATTTGGAAAGGAATCTTTTTTTCTGAGCAGCAGTTCTCAACAGTGGGCTTAAAATATTCAGTAAACCACACTGTAGATAGATATGCTGTCATTCAGGCTTTGTCATTCCACTTATAGATCACAGTTAGAGTAGATTTAGCATAATTCTTGAAAGCCCTAGGATTTTTGGAAGGGTAAATATGAGCACTGGCTTCAACTTAAAAGTCACCAGCTGCATTAGCCCATTAGCCCCTAATAAGAGAGTCAGCCTGTCCTTTAAAGCTTTGATGCCAGGCATTGACTTCTCTAACTACTAAAGCCTTAGAGGGCATCTTCTTCCAATAAAAGGCCTTTTTGTCCACAGTGAAAATCTGTTGTTTAGTGTAGCTACCTTCATCAATTATCTCAGCTGGATCTTCTGGAAAACTTGTTGCTGCTTCTCCATCAGCACTTGCTGCTTCACCTTGCCCTTCTTTGTTACAGAGATGGGTTTTTCTCTCTAACTTGGCTGTGGTGCTTTTACTTCTCATTGCTAATTCCAAATCATTTCTTCTCCTCTCTCCTTCAGAATACCCAAACCTCATGAACCAACCTCTGCTAGCTTCTGCTAGCTTCCAGCTTTTCTTCTGCAGTTTCCTCACCTCTTTCAGCCTTCATAGAATTGAAAACAGCTAGGGCCTTGCTCTGGGTTTGGCTTCGGCTTAAAGGAATGTTGTGGCTGGTTTGATCTTCTATCCAGATCACTAAAACTTTCTCCATATCAGCAATAAGGATGTTTTATTTTCCTATCATTCATGTGTTTACAGAAGTGGCCCTTTATAATTTCCTTCAAATTTTTTTTCTCAAAAATATTTCCTCTGCATTCACGACTTGGCTAACTGGTGCAAAAGACCAAGCTTTCAGCCTGTCTCTGCTTTCAACACACCATCCTCACTAAGTTTAATCATTTCTAGCTTTTGACTTAAAGTGAGAGATGTATAACTCTTTCACTTGAACACTTAGAGGCCATTGTAGGATTATTAATTGGCCTAATTACAATATTGTTGTGTCTCAGGAATAAGCAGACCCAAGGAGAGGGAGAGAGACTGGGGAATGGCCAGTCAGTGGCACTCAGAACACACACAACATTCATCAGTGAAGTTTGCCATCTTATATGGGTGCTGTTCATAGCACCCCCAAACAATTACAATAGTAGTATGAAAGATCAATGATCACAGATCACCATGACAGAGATATTAATAATGAAAAAGCCTGAAATAGTGTGAGTTACAAACCACAGAGACACAAAGTGAACACATGCTGTTGGAAAAATGGTGCTGATAGACATGCTCAACTTATGGTTGCCACAAACCTTCGATTTGTAAAAAATGCCATATACGTGAAGCAGAAGAAAGTGAAATGCAATAAAACAAGGTATGCCTGTGGTACAGAGACGAGGGTGCTCATTTTACTTTAGTTTGCCTGTCTACCCATGAAGTATAATTTGTAAGGGGTAGTGAGACCATGAGGGGACATTAGGACTGGATGAAAATTGAAGAAATCAGGTGATTGACCGTGTCTAGGGCACTGTTGGATTATGTTTACAAGCACTACATACATATTTGCATGAAATGTGCAATTCCCAGTGTGCTAGCTGTATTATATTTCCACTCCTCTAACTCCTTCTCAAGAAAGCGTTTCTGAACGCAACTGAATGAGAATTATACTATTGTGGACTAATCTGGAATATATTTTATTTTAAAATTACCATCATTTGTAACCAACTGAAATAGTGAGAAATTACTAGTGTATGTCCTAACTAATCAAACCTCACAGTTGCTGCCACTCAAGTTGAGAATTGCTGCTTCAGTGGAGGAAAGGGAGCAGGCATAGAAGTTTGAGCATGAAAGATTTGGAAGGGTAGGAAGAAAGCTTTTCATATTCTGATAGCAAGGACTCCACTTCTCAAGTGGAAGTTGTTTCCTCTCTCACCGCAATGGGCACCTCGGAGCCAGAACTTGGCTGTTGTGCTCTTACTTCTCATTGCCAATTCCAAATCATTCCTTCTGCTCCCTCCTTTAGGAACCCCAAAACTTTAAAAATTTTAATTTCTTAAATACTGAAAATTTGTACTCTGACACAAAATGAGGAGAATAGTACACAGAATCCTTATAGACCCATCGTCCAGATTTAACATTATCAAGATTTTTCCACACTTGATTTATCTCTTTTTTATTGCTGAAATATTTTAAATAAATCCTAGACATCATGTCGTTTCATCCCTATACATGGCAGTGTACATCCTTAACTATAATGTCACTTTTTTTTTCTTTTTTTTCGAGACAGGGTGTCACTTTGTCACCCAGGCTGGACTGCAGTAGCTCAAACATGGCTCACTGCAGCCTCGACCACCCTGGGCTCAGGTGGTCCTCCTACCTTAGCCTCCTGAGTAGCTGGGACTACAGTTGAAAGCCACCACACTGGGCTAATTTTTCTTTTTTTTTTTTTTGTAGAGTCAGGATTTCATCATGTTGCTCAGGCTGGTCTCAAGCTCCTGGGTTCAAGCAATCCGCTTGCCTCGGCCTCCCAAAGTGCTGGAATTACAGGTGTGAGCCACTATGCCTGCCTGTAAAGTAATTTTTTTCTTTTTCTGTCTTTTTTTTTTTGAGACAGAATGTCACTCTGTCACCCAGGCTGAAATGCAGTGATGCAATCTCGGCTCACTGCAACCTCCGCCTCCCAGGTTCAAGCAATTCTCCTGCCTCAGCCTCCTGATTAGCTGGGATTATAGGCGCCAGCCACCACAACTGGCTAATTTTTTGTATTTTTAGTAGAGGAGGAGTTTCATCATGTTGGCCAGGCTGGTCTCAAACTCCTGACCTCAGGTGATCCACGCACCTTGGCCTCTCAAAGCACTGGGATTACAGGTGTGAGCCACCACACCCGGCTTAAGTCATTTTTTTGTGTAGCCACAATGCCATGATTACAACTAATAAAATTATTATGGATTTCTTGATATCATTTAATCCACATTCAGTTGTCTCAAAAATGTCTGTCTACAGATGACTTGACTTAATCGGGATCCAAACAATTCTACACATTCCAGTTGGTTGTTATGTCTCTTAAATTTCTTTTAATCTAGGACAGCAATCCCCCACCCCCTTTCCCAAATGCCTTTTGTGTGAAACCAGGTCAATTGTCCTATTGAATGTCCCATATTCTAGATTTGCCTGTTTGCTTTCTTGTGGTGTTATTTTACTTATCCCACTAGCCCACATATTTTATGTAAATGGGAAGTTAATTCTTAGGGCTTAATTATCTTAAGGTTCAACATTTTTGGCAAGAATACTTCCTAGGAGGTGCTGCTCTGCATACTGTATTGCACCAGCAGGCACACAATACTTAGCTGTCCTGTTTTTAGTGATGCTAAGATTGATCAATGTTTTCAAGTGGTGACAGTCTAATTCTCCCACTGCAAAATTCCCCATTAACCTCTCTCCTAATGGTTTCATCTAATGATGATCAGTTCCTAAATTATTTCAGTCAAGGTTACAACACAATTATTTCCAAAATGCCTTTTTACTTTTATCTGGAATTATTCTGTGAAAAGCAACTTTCATTACTTAGGAGCCAATATGTTTTCCTGAAATACAGAGAACAGGCAAAGTAGAATAAATGTTCAATTAATTCTCTTTAATTATAATTAATCTTTTTGGGGGGTATATCATGATATTCAGTGTTTCACTCAATTGTGGTTATATATTTTTCATCTTTGGCCATTGAGAGCCCCTCCAATTTAGCTCTCTTGTCTATTTGACAGAATTCCATTAGTCTCTGATAGTTAATTTGTTTTCTGACACACCTAGATTTTTCAGGTTTATCTTGTACTTTTCCTACACCAGTTCTGAAGTCAGCCTCTCCTCCAGGGAGCCTTTCTTCAATTTAGTGGAAAACAGTTTTGGGAGGCAAGAAACAGGCCCTAGGGATGCTCACTGCATTGGATTTTTATTGCTTCTAGGCCTTTCAGTTGACAGAGCTAGGGAATATGTATTTTTTTTTTTAACAGAAAAACTGTCAGGGGTTTAGACTGGTATTTTAAATTTGATTAAACATTAAATAATTTTTTTACTTAACTTTTTAAATACCTGCATTTAAGTCTTGAAAATTTTCTCCCTAGCAACATTAACATAATTATTTTTTGCTTTAGCATCAATATATAGAAAAATGTTCATATAATGCCAATATTACAACTAACAAACTAACGAATGAAATTTACTAAGATTTCTTTGCAGTTCTATTTGTCCTTGGAATATACTCCATTAAGGATATTCATTGAAAATACTGTTTTCTAAAGCCTTTTGGATAATTCTTTTGTTTGTATGGTTATACCAATTTGAAATTCATGCCATGTCATCCTTATATCTCTTCCTTACTGAAGATTTTAGCTTTCTGGGTACCTCTTCACCCACTAAGACCTAATTTAAGGTCACCCAGTAACAGCCAGGATTTAAATCTAGGCAGTCTTATGCCAATGCACCCTTTTGCTTACTGCACTAATACTTCAGCTGGTTTGCTGATCATAGATCTGAGTTTCCAAAGGGCTCTCTCAAAGAGTTTGCATGGGAATGGTGGTGGGGGAGGGGAAGGATTGAGTAAGATTATGAAGGCTCAGACTTCTGGAAAGGACTAAGGTAAATGTGGATGTGAGCATAATGGGATTAATCTGGCCAGAGAATCTCTTGAGTCTATTTGGAGCTGCTTATTCTGCAGCCCTGAATGGTACAGCTGTTGGAAAGGCAGTTTTCTTGATCAGGAACAGGAGGTACTGTGAAGCTTTCGAAGCTACTGTACTCTCATGTTTTCCTCTTCTCTTGGACAGTCTTTACACATTCTACAGATACCTTACATCCACTTCCAGGAAAAGCGTCCTCTAATCACTCCTACATTAGGCTGGAGGAACCTGCTATGCACTTCCATGTCCTCCTATTGTTCAGCATGTTTCTCATCCAGAAGGATGCAAAGTCAGTGAAGATAAGGTCTCTATCTTGCTCACATTGTATCCTACCACTTAGCATAGTGTCTTGGCTAATAGATTCTCAATAAATATTTGTTAAATTAATGCAATATATTCAGTGAATGAGTTAGCAATTAGGATCAGAAAGATCAGAAATGAAAGATCAGAATGGCTGATCTACCTCCACTACCTTTTGTTGGTATGTCAGCATAAAAACAAAAATGAATACCAAAATCCTAAAAGCTTGAGTATATAAGAAAACCGGCTCTCTAAAATCTAAGATTTATACAGACACGTGAAAATCCATGAGAGAAGCTAACACATCCAAACCTCTAGGAGAGAAATACTAATCATTGGGAGGCATTCTTTAGGGACGAAAAAGATATTGTCATTAGCCATATGTGGTTGAACATTTGTGGAAGCAGCAGCTTCCAGCTGAATGTCCTGACCCAGATCTGTCAGGCCATATTTGGCTTTATCTAAAATATGCCGTGCCTACCCAGTTCTTGGAGAGGGGAAAATGTGCAGGCTTTTGAATTGCCTAAACAGAAATATAGCTTATTGGGAAGTTAAACAGATATGTGGAAGATTCTTTTATTTTTGTTTTCAATTTTACTATATTTTGAATAGGTAATATATTCACATAGTTCAAAAGTCAAATGATATAAAATGGTATACATTAAGAAGTTTCTTTCCCATTCCTAACCCTGACCACCTCATTCCCTATATGCTTCCACACCACTAAGAACAACTTTTTTCCCAATATTCATTTATGCAGCTGGAAATGTTTGCATGCTAATACCCCTCTCCTCCTCTCCCCCTTACACAGAATATAGTATAATATGGATATTGCTCTATAGCTTGTTGTGTTTTTTTCTGCATATATCCTGGAGATAGTTCTATATCAATACATTAACAGCTTCCTTTTCCTTTTGTTTTACAGTTGCACTGTGTTCCAAAGTGTGAACCTGTTCCCTATTGATGGTATATAACCTGTTCCCTATTGATGGTATGTAAGCTATTTCCAATCTTTTGCTGTAACAATGATGTAATGAATAACCTTAAACATGAAAGTGAAGATTATTTTAGACTAGTACAAATAAGAGTGGATTAGATCATCAAGTGGGAACTGTCTGGCAAGTAGCTAAGGCAGGAGTCCCTCTGTGGGACTGGGGAGTAAGGGTGTTGTGAGGGCACCGTAGTCAGTTGAATGTGTAATGAATGACCAGACAGATCTGTGCAAGAACAAGTTTTTTCTTGGATTCATTTTTCCCAAGTGGAATAAACAGAAGGTTTTAGAGAGAACAGCATCAAGTAGGGAGACTCATCTGTACAGCTCTAGGTGTCCCTAAGTTTAATGTTTTTAGTGTTTAGAAAATAACATCCAATTTGTCCTTAGGAATACACAATGATTAGAAAAGCTTATTCTCAGCCACTTCCCCAAATTCCAATAACTTTTTTAAGAGGCCAAGACTTGTGATTAAGGATTTAAAAAGGCTCCCTGCCTGATAAGGCTCTGGCAGTCTAAATAGATGTAGCACAGAAGGCACTATTGATGGTCCATCCAATATCCATCCTCCATCATTCCTGCTGGCAGAGCCCTGCCTTTGCCAGGTAGTCCCGTCCACTATGTAGCACAGACTGGCCTCATTCCCATCTCAGGGTGGATCCTGATTGGTCTAAATCAATCATGCTGGCAACATGCCCTATGAAGAAGCTTGGCTGAGGTATTTGCATATGACCCAATTTTGGCCAATGACACTGGCAGACAAGCTGTCTGGAGGGGGAGGGTAGGCTTTTAGGGGAGCAGTTAAGAGTCATCATCCTCTTTTCTTTGTGGACCAAGAGGTGATATCTCAAGTCTGCCCAACTCTGCTGGTCTTGTCACAGTGGAAAGCAGAATATCCCTGACCTGACTCAGCCCACAGCTACCTCATGGGTATCTGGGGAAAGGAGGGCTGAGTAGAACAGCAGGCACCTGGGCAGGTACTCCTTCAAACAACTTTCTTTAAATAATTATTTAATATATGGAGTCAGGTTGACAAAGATTTTCTATTAATATTTTGTTTACTAGAAACAAACTAACTTGAATTCATTTTCTCTAACTGAAGCAGAGTCAGTATTCTGAAAATACCAGTCAGTTCATTTCTCCTGTAGCTCTCCTCTTTTCAAGCTCTCTTTCATAATTTTTTGGAACCAGACAAGTTCCTTAGGGCACCCTGAAGAGCTCACAGTTTAAGGAACAAAAAGTCACACCTATCAGCTACACGGCACTACTCATACATTATTTGCTTTTAGGATCTCTGTTCTGCTTTTGTTTGAGAGCTACTGTTTGTTGATGTTGCAGAAAAATTCAGCAGGGATATAGGTCTGCTTTAGAAAACAGTGTTGTTGTTTAAATTTCCCCTCAAAGGCAGTAGTTTGGAGGAGGCCGATTTACATTTTGTCAGTTTGTTCCAGTGATAAGCATCACTTAATAGAGCAACATACCATAATAGATAAACTGGTTGCTTATCCCCTTAATAGGCTCTGGGTCACAGATTAAATATGAGGACTGACAGAGTGGAATACAAAGTACCACGGAGCACAGAGGAAGAAAACAATGCCTTTTTAAGGCTCTTAAGAAGAATAGTTTGTATACTGGGAGAAAGCACGGGTTTTAGAGCCAGAAAACAGGCCCAGCTACTTCCTTGATAGTACCCAGAACAAAAAATAAAATATGGGGCCGCTTGTTAAAAAATAAATAAGAATTTCGCGACAGCAACAGTGAGCATTAAACCAGGTGTGGGGGCCTGTGTAGGCGGCATACCCAGGGCCTTAGGTTCAAAACTCACTTTTGCCTCTCCAAACCTTCCTGGCTTTGGACAAGTCATCCTCTCTTAGTCTCCCTTTTTTTTCATCCGTAAAATTGCGATAATTGAACCTCCCTTGAAAAGTTGTTATGAGGGTGGAATGAAAAGCACCTTGACACATGATAGGTGCACATTTCTCTTAGTCTATGTTGTGGGCTCTTCTTCGGTTGTTCTTCAGAGGCATCTATCTTTGGCTTTCTACTCTCATTTCCCACTTTCAAAATTTTTCGAAAGGGCATTAGGGTGAACCTTATAAAATGGCCCATATCTGACGACTTAGGATCTCCAAAACGGCAAATAAGGATCAAACGTACACAAACTCCTCAGCACAGCTTGGAACAGTACCGTCCTCAGACCAGGGCAACTGGGCTCGTTCCCCTGCGCCCGAGTTTTAGGGGACACGCGCCCCTACCCCCTGCCCTACTCCCCCCAACGCGATCTTCCAGACGCGCTCTTCCCCCATATAACGTGGAGTCCCTGGAGCCCACTCCCCTTGTAGACCACACTCCAGTACCCGGAATTCCGGGATTCATACCCAAACGGCCCTCAGCCCGCTTCCAGAACCGTCCGGCCTCTGCCCATGGGACTTCTCCCCGCAGGCTGGGCGCAAAACTTAGGCCCCAAGGATTACCACGGGGCCGCAATTTGGGATGGATGAGCCGAGCTTGGACGTACAGGTTGTGGGAGGGAGGAGGAGCGGTAGAGAGGCTGGAGGGTCGGCACGCATGCGCACCAGGCCCCTCGCAGAGCAGCACGGGCCCGGGTGGGAAAAGGCGGGCTGGGTCCGTGGCTTAAATTTGTACGTTTGCCTCTCCTCTCGCGCCCCTCCCTCTCTCTCACATAACGGGCCAGCCTGCCTTTCAAGGTCACCTATATTATGACCCCAACCTACCATAACCGTTTACAGTTTTATCTGTACACATGCTTCTCTTCACCTCTTCCCAACTGCTATGATTCCCCCAAGTATTCTGGGCATTTAAATATATCTCTATGCTTTCTACTTGATGCTGTCTCAACCCCATCACCCTTTTCTCCACCTGAGGAAATTAATCATCCCTAGGAGTCCTCCCCGCCAACCCAACCCTTACCACCAGGCAGGGCTAGATGCTGCCTATGTTTTCCCTCTGTGATCACAGTATATAATAACAATAATAATAATAATAATAATTATTATTATTATTTTTGCCCTTAGACTGTATGGGGGCTCTTCCAGGGCAGTAAAAATGCTTCTTTATGCTTCTTCTTAGTGCCTACCCCAGCACCTGGCACTTGGTCGCCAAAAATTATCTTTCAGTGTGCTGTAGTCATCAAAATCCAGCTCCCCCAGTGACCAACTGGCCTTAAGCAAAATTACCAAAACCAGTCTCCTCTTCCTTAAAATAGAAATGAACACGCTTTCCTTCTTGAATAGTCCTAAGAATTAAATAAAGTAATTCATCCAAATTGCTTCAGCGCAATGATAAATAGTATGGGCTCAATAAAGGATATCCATGATTAACTTAGCTCCTATATTCTGATTCTTGGTAACCTGTAGAAGGAAGTAAATAGTCCTTTGAAGCTAGCAGTGTGGTTTCTATTTTGATGAGAAAAGTTTGTATTTAATAGCATAATCTTAATAGAAGTGTGAAAAAATGGGTGTAAAAAATTACCTGAGGCAAGGTAACACTTGCTTGGAAATGGTTTTACTAAAAAGGCACCAAGTCATATTTTTTAAGTAAATTCATTATGTAACTTGGTAGCCTTCAGCAAAATGGGTGAGAAAAATATTACATTACAATCTATTTTGAGAGGTATTCATAATAATGTTTATATATCAATACCTAATTACAGGAAGATAAGAAAATATAACTACCTTTGAGAACTTTTTTAAGAACTTTACATATATATATATCATGTTTTTATAACTATTCTTACAAAATGTAGGTATTACTACAAAAATGCTGCAAGCATACATACACACGTTCAGCTTAGATTTTTTTAAAAAAGGAAAATCTTAATTACAAAAAATATGCTAATAGAAACAAAACAATTTCTGAGTTACTCTATAGATCACGTCTGCTATGATTTGTTACCCCAAATTGTCTAATTGTCTATTAGCATATCGTGCAATATTAAATTAAGCTACTGATATTTGCATTATTGCACATCTAAATCCTCTTTTTAAAGAGAAAACCAAAAAATGGAATATTATCTAAGCTTGCAGAAAAAATAAAAGTTGTTTTGTATAACTTATTTGAATCATATTGCTCATACAGAATAAAATTGACCTTCTTTGTTAAAGAACTTGATCTCAATCATTTTCCAAGCTAGCGCAAAATAAAATAAAGTCAGACACTTTTTTTTTTCTGCAAAGCATTCATGCTATTATGCTGATACATGTTTGCTTACAATCTCAACTATGGGAGACTATAAGCCTAACTATCTACAGTGGGTAATTGTGCTAATTATTTTTCACAATGGCACATCTCACTGCACTTAGATTGACTTAAATCATAGAAGCTGCTAATTTAAAATCCTAACATAAATGAAGATATCTGAGGTTGAGAATTAATAACTTATGGGTAGGAGAAGATACTACTAGTAAATTTAAGATTTCTAAGGCACAGAAGGAAATCTGGCAAATCTTGTGTATTCTAGGTGTAGAAATGAAAATTAATAATGGCTTTACAATAATAACAACAATATCATAGTAAAGTAGCTTTTCTTTGAGTTGCCTTTTGTGCTTGAAAGTATAATAAATGGGATATCATCTTTACTCTTGCCATAATGCTAAGACGCAAATATTTGAATTCTGAATTGCAGGCCAGAGGAAGCAGAAACTTCCCTATGGAGAGAGATGGCGGAGTTTGCCATTGAGTTCTCTCTCCTTGCTTAAAAGATCCAAGCTGTGCTTTTTGAAGGCTTCAGACTGCAGCCTGAGTTCATCGTAGGCCTTCTGGATCCCATCTACTTTGCGCTGAAGCTCCCTGACTCTCAAGTTGCTGTCCACAGCCACTGCCTCTTGCTCAAACCGCTCCAGCGCATGCTTCCTGTCTTCATTTGCTATCTCCAACTTTTCCTCAAGCTGGCAGATCTCTGCCTGTTTGTTCTGAAGCACTTTGCCCCTTTCAATGGACAGCTGCAGCAACTCCTCTTTCTCTCTAGTGACGGTCTGCAGCCTGGCCTGCAGCTCCTGGCTCAGGCTGCTGTGTGTCTCCTCTGCCTTAGCTATCTGCTCCACAGCCTGCTGGTGCTGCTGCTTGAGGGTCTGCAGCTGGCTGCGCAGCTGTTCTGTCTCCTTGGTGTGGGTGCAGGCCTGCTGGCTCTGTAGCTCCAGCAGCTCCTTCTCGCGCGCCTGTGCCTGGCAGGCATCCTGAGCACACCTCTCCTTCAGCGTTTCTAGCTCCCCAGTGAGGGCCTCACACCGGACTGTGAGCTGTAATACTTTCGCCTCCTCATCCTTCAGAGCCTGGCTGAAGAGGCTGCTATTCTCCAGCCTCAGCTTCTCATTCTCCTCCCTCAGCTTGATGTTCTCACTCTTGTATTCATCCTTGAAGCGGAGCATCAACTCGTGGTTGGCTGCTAGGGTCATAAAGCGTTCCTCTAGTTTCCGACTGTACTCACCCTGGGCCTTGAGCTTCTCAGCCTCCTGCATCATCTTCTCCTCCAGCTCTGCATTGAGCAGCTCTAGGATCTGGCAGCGCTCCAGGGCCTCATCTGACCTCCGCTTCAGGATGCAGATGAGCTGGGACTGCTCTTCAATGCGGGAGCGAAGCATAGCCTTCTCGCTCCTCTCCTCCTCTGACAGTCCCCGGAGGTTTGCCAAGGCTTCCCTCAGACCGTCCAGTTCCTTAAACTCCGTCTCCTCTTCCTGGTTGTTCAGTTTTTCATTTTGCTTCTCTAAGCGTTCTTCAGGGGGCGGGGTGTCCATCCTGGGAGCCTGCTGTTTCTGGAGCATAGGCGCTCTCATCCACTAAGGGCTGACTACAGTCTTTTCCCCTCAGATTTCAAACGCTGCAGGGTGTTGCTAGGGACTCTTGGCACTCCCCAGCAGTTGGTTTTTCCAGTAAGGAGCCCTGTAATTGGTGGACAGGTCTTCAGAATGCTATGAAGTAACAACAGGGGAATCTGGGGGAGTCCAGAGCCAATCTGGTCGGGTTACTTTTGCCTTTCTAACCAATCACAGCTCTCAGTTGTCAACTGTCTCAGTGTCTGGCCTGTACAGCACAGAGATGCCAACCCCACTCAATCTCCAGCCAGCATCAGGGGAGGAAGCCTGACTCCACCTAATTTCTGGTAGTAGTAAACAAATGAA
The DNA here is from genome assembly GCF_000001405.40 of Homo sapiens. NCBI lineage: Eukaryota > Metazoa > Chordata > Mammalia > Primates > Hominidae > Homo > Homo sapiens. The sequence continues at coordinate 85,686,476 of NC_000011.10, forward strand.
GCAGGCAATGATATATTTATCCTCCCTCTCCCCTCTTCAGTTATCGTTTGAATAAATTACTGTTTGTGGAAACATGGTTGGCTCCTCAAAAAATTTCAGTCTATGAATACAAAGTAGTAGTGGTATTCTGAGAGCCAGGACCCTAAAAGCCTGCATATCTGCACCCGTGATGTTTGGCACAGCTCCCTTTTGGTATTTAAGTATTAAAATAGAAAACACCAGTGAAATTTCTTTTGTTGTTCTTAGCATTGTCCCCACCTGGGCATAAATACTCTTTATTAGATATTTAACACCCCCTGTTTTTACCCATTAGCAAAATAAGGTTACAGAAAGAAGCTTAGTGAACCACACAGATAAACATTAAAACAGAAAAAATAAGATTCAAATGAAGCTTGCCATTATATGCCAAAGTCAACTCCTGATAGATTAGTTAAATGTAAACAGAAACTAGAAGAAAATGAAGGTAAACATCAAATCTCTGGGGCTAGGAAGGATTTTTTTTTTATCTTAAACATTATGTAAGATCAGAAAGGGAAAGCTTACTCAAAAAGTTATGTATAATTTTTTAAATTATGTGACTTCTGAGGTCTCTCCAGCCCCTTCTTCCACTGGATTTTCTTGACATTTTACTCCTCAAACCCAAATATTGAAGCCAAACCCAAATCCACTAACCAGCTCTCTCGCCCTATCTTTAGGTGTTCCTCTACTTGGAATGCCTTTCCTACTTTGTCCCTTGTCACTCTAGTAAAGCTTTTTATTCTTAGTTAAGAATCGTCTCTGAAGCCTATTCCTGGCCCCTACATGTCCAATTGGTCACTCACATCTTTTAGTGCATCCGCTATAGCTATTTGTACTTCTGGTGGAGGATGTGAAAATTTTATTGCAGTCACTGTTTATCTGCCAGCTTCCCTCTGTTAGACTGTAAGATCCTTAAGGGCAGGGACTGTGTCTATTTCATCCTTGATGATTAGACTAGTGCCTGGCACATGGGGGAGATTCAGATAAATGTGTATTAAGTGGATGTTGAAGGTAAAAATCAAATTGAGAAAAATATCCCTAATATGACAGACACTACTTTTTTTTTTTTTTTTTTTTTTTTTTTGAGACAGAGTCTCCCTCCATCGCCCAGGCTGGAGTGCAGTGGTACGATCTCGATTCACTGCAACCTCCGCCTCCCGGGCTCAAGCAATTCTCCTGCCTCAGTCTCCTGAGTAGCTGGGATTACAATTACATACAACCACACCTGGCTAATTTTTGTATTTTTAGTAGAGACGGAGTTTAACCATGTTGGTCAAGCTGGTCTTGAACTCCTGACCTTAAATGATCCACCCGCCTCAGCCTCCCAAAGTGCTGAGATTACAGGCATGAGCCATCGCACCCAGCCCAGACACTACCTTTTTTAAATAAATATTTTATACATATCAACGAAACATTAACATCTAAAAAATAAACAATTAAATTCACAAAAATGGCCAAGAACTGAACGTCTACAGTGATCCAATAAATACAAGTTAAAATTAGACATAATTTCGGCCGGGTGTGGTGGCTCACGCCTGTAATCCCAGCACTTTGGGAGGCCGAGGCAGGCGGATCACGAGGTCAGGACATTGAGACCATCCTGGCTAACACGGTGAAACTCCGTCTCTACCAAAAAAATACAAAAAATTAGCCAGGCGTGGTGGCAGGCGCCTGTAGTCCCAGCTACTCAGGAGGCTGAGGCAGGACAATGGCGTGAACCCGGGAGGCGGAGCTTGCAGTGAGCCGAGATCGCGCCACTGCACTCCAGCCTGGGCAACAAAGCGAGACTCCGTCTCAAAAAAAAAAAAAAAAAAAAAAAGATATAATTTCACGTATCAAATTAGTCAAAAAATTTTCTCTTAAGACAAGCCAGGACTAGAAAGGAGTATTGAAATAGGCACTCTCTTAAACTGTTGGTGAAAGTCAGTTGACAGTAGGTACTGAGAAATTAAGATATTTTTATGGCTTCCGAACTAGTAATTCTTCTGCGGAGATCTTTGCTTAGGAAATAATCTGAAAGAAAACATTTTGCTCAAAACTTTTCATTGTAGTGTGGTTTGTAACAACTAAAAGTTGGAAACCCAAGTTTTCAAAAAAAAAAGGGAATGGTTACAAAAATTATGATATATTCATACAAAAAATATTGTACAGCCACTAGAACTTATTACATTTATAGGTAATTTTTAATAGCATGGAAAAGTCTTATGTTAGAAATACAACTGAAAAAGGCAAAATACAAAACTTAAAATTCAGATGATTTCAATCCTGTGAAAATTAAGGGTAGGGAAAAGAGTTGACTATTCTTGTGGTCACAGTTTCTGGTGATCAGATTTACTATCTCCCAAGTCATGATGATAAGGAAAAACCCTGGGTGTCATTATAGATATGAGATGAATTTTTAAATGCTTCAGATTTCACTGGGAGCGAAACAAATCTGAAAGAAGAGTTTCAGGTTCTTCCCTCACTGTCAAAGATCAAGGTCTCATGTTTCAAATCCTGAATTTCTTGTCTATATATGGAAACCAAGATTGAAGACTGGGGAAATTTCCTAAGCTGAAATTTTAACAACTACATAAACAGTAGGATATTGAAGTTTTGTGAAAGTGAATTCCAAAGACTTTAAAAATGTGAATTAAACTTATTTGTAATTTTCCCACATTTCTCTTGTCCTTTTCCTTAAATTTCAAGCTTCATATGCGTAAATGGAGTTCGTCTAGTTATTTTCAAGGCAAATGACTAGAAAATTAGAATGGTCCTCTTAAATAAAAGGGTCTTACAAACATTGAAAATTTTATTTGTTGATTATATGGTTGTCTGATATCATAAAGTGAATTCACAAAATATATTTCCTGAAAGGAGGAAAAGAATTCAGAAAAATACGGAAAAAAGATACATACACATTTGTTTTTTTACCAGTCAGGGTCTCTGTTGCCCAAGCTGGAGTGCAGTAGTGTCATCATAGCTCACTGCAGTCTTGAATTCCTGGGCTCAAGCAATCTTCCTGCCTCAGCCTCCCAAGCAGCTAGGACTACAGGCATGTACCACCATGTTCAGCTAAATTTTCCACATTTGAAAAAGCTTATATTTCTTTTTTGCAAATATATTTTAATACACATTTCTATTAAATTTATATTTACATTATTTAAAATAACACACATCTATAGATTACTTATCAAGACCAAGAATCTGATAAGATCCTAATCAATATTCATTCATTTATTCAGTAAACATTTGCAAGGTTATTTGCAATGCTAGGTGCTAAGAATATATTAATAAAATAAATACGATCACTGTCCTCAAATAACTTAGTTTAGTAATCACTTTGGTTCCTTTCTGCCGTGGTTGTCTTCTTTGCTCAATCATTTTTTTTCTAGCTCCCCTCCTAAAAGTATCCCATATATTCCCTTCCCAGAGATCCAAGGTGACCAATTCTCTCCCTTGTGGTGATCAATGAGTCGTCTCCACTTATCTTTAAGTCTTTCCATGCCTCCCTCCCTTTTAAAGCTACCATTTACAGAGCTCTTCTAGGTAGTGGGCATTTATTTGTACATCTCTCACTTAATTCTAATGATATTCTTGAAGGGTAGGCATTATTATCCACATTTTATCAATTACAGGTAACAAAGACACCAAGGTTGAGAGAGGTTAAGCAAATTATGCCACCCAGAGAATAAGTGATAGAGCGAGAATTCAAATCTAGATCTTTTTGATACCAAAGCCCATGATCTTAGATCACATTTCATTTGTCCATTTGATCATTCATTCATTCATCTCACATAGACTGAGAAACTATTATATCCAAGAATGAAGTCCCAACTCTCAGGATGATTACAGTTTAGTGATAGACACAGATAAATGGATAACAATAATTCAGTGTGAACACTGCTAAAGTAATCATAGATAAATTAGACATCACTCTTTTCAAAGATACAGTGGTAAACACTGGGTGTTACTGAAGGCACAAAGAAGGGATACAAAACCAGTCTTGGATGGAAGGGGCATATTAGTCAAGATTGTTTTAATAGAAACCCAATTCAATTTAGCTAAGCAAGTGGAAATATATTGGCTCACAGAAAGTGCACAGCGGGAGCTCATAGAGTCAAAGCAGGAGAGGCAGGAACTAGGTAGAACCTCAAGAACCAAAACTGCAGATGCAAAGCCACACACAAGGACTCTTTATTTCTCCATCTATTTCTCATTTCTATTGTAGACAGGGTGGATGTGTGATTTTCTCCAGCCACAGTTTGCACCAAGGACAGGGTAGTTCCACTGAATTTATGTGGGGATGGGAACTGTAATAGTGCTGGTGAGTGGGTATTCAATGGAAAAAAAAGAAAGCAAAAATTTTGAGGCTAGTGGCAAGAGAGTGGTTGACTGGATAGAGGAGTGATAGTGGGAGGTGACTGATAGGGGTTTGAGGGATGGTGTCCACAATGACTTTTAAAAATAATATTACAGAATAATGAACTGAAAGCTGAGAGCATAGGAGATTTTGGTCAGAGTGGGATGTTTACATTTAATGCTTCAAAGGTGGAACTTCTCAGTTACAAGGAAGTTCATGGATTTGTGTGGCTGAAAAGGAACAGAGGTTAAGGATATTCAAATTGAGGAGGTCAAGGAACTAAGAAGCCAGGGTGTCTGATGAACATTCATATGCTGTGGAGCCAGGGGCCAGGGTCATCAATGAATGAGTTGAGAAGGATGGTAGAGGACAAGAATGAGTGGAAGGAATAATCATAATAGCAAACATTTACAGAATGCTATCTGTCAAAAGTGAGCACTATATTGATTCATTTATTTTCACCTATAGAGTAGGCACAATGTCGCCCCTTTCTTTCTTTCTTTCTTTCTTTTTTTCTTTTACAGATGAGACACAAAGAAGTTAGATAACTTGTCCAAGGTCACACAGCTACTAAGTGGTTTAACTGAGATTCAAATCCAAGCTACCTGTTTCTGGAGGTCACTTAACCATTACACTGTACTCCCTTCCTGATACAACTGGACAACACACATCCTTAGAAACATTTACAGGAAAAGAGAGGAGCAATGATCTGAAATCTGATCCCATATCCTGATTGAGGTACTGGGTGTGAGAGTGAGCTTTCTTTTTGTAAGGCTGAAGGAGAACCAGTTCTTTTGGAAAAAGCCAGCCAAAGAAATAGAGGGAATATATTGTCTGTGATTGAATCAAGTATGTGGGGACTTTTTTTTTTATAAAACAAACTAGTGAATAAGCCTGGGAGAGAGTGAAGATGAGAGTAGATGAGAGACCAATCCCAAAGCAGAATGGGAATGAAAGTACAGTGGTAAGAGATATTTGGGGCTTTTTACTTGTATAGTGAGTATGGATGCCAGGGATCTGCAAAGATGTCTAAGCAAGTTCCCTGGAAAATACAGCTGAGGAGAAGGGTGGTAGGCATCTCTCTGAAAGAAGCTAGCCTAGCCTAACAGTAACCATGCTTTGGGTGGACTGCTGGACCATGTGAGAAGTCCATGGAGTTCCCAGGATCCTCACCACCCACTTAGAAGCTAGAGTAGTCAGGGTAAATGGAAGAATTTAGGCCTCTCTGAAAAGAGTCAGCAGTGACCCTTAGAAATTTTACTTCTTTTTAAAAATAATGGTATTTTGAAATATTTTCACTTGAGGTAGAAACAAATTGCATGTATACCTAGCTCTTGATTTCACCAGTGTCTATATAACATCCCATTCTTCTAATAATGAACCATTTTCCTTTGGCCACAGGGTGGGCACATTACCCAGGCTAGGTGAATCATATTACACCATCCACAGTGAATGGTCCAATAGGTGGGCATATGACACAGACCTGGCCAGTTTCCACCATAGGTCTCTCAAGCTGAACCTAGGAAAGAGAAGTGCTTTAGCTGAGAGGTTGTGATGTTGAACCTGGCTGAGGTGCTATTTCTCACTCCCTGAAGAAAAGAGACCACATCTGAGTCTCTAGTTCCAGCCTGCAAGTCCCCAAAATAACCTAGGTTCCCGCAGTACTTCTTTACTCTGTGAGCTAACCCAGTATATTTCCAATAAATCCTCCTTTTTGGCTTATTACCAGTTGGGCTTCTGAAAAAAAAAAGCCCTAAAATATGCAGTTCAAGGAATGCCTCTAGCTTAGAAAAATGTACTTTGAAGTTTTAGGAGGGTCTTTGCCTAAAAGTTACACTGACTCAAAAGCATGTCAACCTGAGTTCACTAAAGAATTCAAGTTGCCTACATTTTTTTAAAGAGACAGGATCTCCTTCTGTCTCCCAGGCTGGAGTGCAGTGGCACAATCAAAACTCACTGCAGCCTCAAACTCCTAGGCTCAAGCAATTCTCCCACCTCAGCCTCCCAAGTAGCTAGGATTACAGGCACACACCACCATGCCCAGCTAATTTTTTTAGTTTTTCTAGAGATGGGATCTTGCTATGCTTCCCAGGCTGGTCTTGAACTTCTGGCCTCAATCAATGCTCTTGCCTCAGCCTCCCAAAGTGTTGGAATTACAAGCATGAGCCACCACACCCAGCCGTGCTTACATTTTATAAAGCATGAAGCTCACACTTAGCCTTCCTTTTGAACCAGGGAAGATTAAATTTATGATTTATATTTTTTTTTCATGTGAAACCTCTCCTTGGACTTCTTGAGGCAGTCAGAAGTGCTGTGGATAGATGCAAAGAAGGTGGGGGGTTCTATTTCCCACTTTGGTGTTTTGAAGATGAGGGATCGGGGGATAGGATGAGACAGGCAGTCCTGGTCCTAGATGGGGAGATAATGGAGCCAATCTCATTATTGCTCCAGAGCTGGCTGGATGCTGGTTTTACAGGTAACTGAAAGAAAGCCTGAGGAAGTAGCTTGTACTATGATCTGGCACAAGCCAGAACAGGGTTTGTGCTTCTACCGCTGTGCTCTAGAAGCGTGACTCTAATTAGCTCATTTTGCCCTTCCTTAAGGTCAGAGCGGGAATGATAAATAGAGCTAGACTAAGCACTCTAATAAAAAACCTGGGTTGGGAGGCCGAGGCAGGCAGATCGCAAGGTCAGGAATTCTCGAGACCAGCCTGGCCAACGTGGTAAAACCCCATCTCTACTAAAAATACAAAAATTGGCCGGGCATGGTGGTGGGCACCTGTAATCCCAGCTACTCAGGAGGCTGAGGCAGGAGAACTGCTTGAACCCGGGAAGCAGAGGTTGCAGTGAGCCGAGATCACGCCAGCGCACTCCGGCCTAGGTGACCAAGCGACACTCCATCTCAAAAAAAAAAAAAAAAAGACCTGAGGAGACAATGGAAAGGGCATTGACCTAGATTAGTCACTCTTATTGACAAGTGGGTAGAACGTTCTAGTATCTGTTCAGGAAGAACAGGCAAGCATTCTAGTTGTTTTCAATGACATTTATGAGATGCTTGTTGTAAGATCCCATGTTCGCCTGTCACTCAGGCTTTCTTGAACCTACATTAAATCAGTGCTTGTTTTCAGAAAATTAAGCTGGTTGGGTCCTAAGGGAGAGTAATGTGCTTCATATACTAAAATCATCCCCAAAGCATTTTAACTACTTAAAAAAAAATAAAAATCCTTGAGATCTGCTATGTCCTTTAAAACAAAATAAATAAAAATAAAAATCCTACTCTTAATAACATAGCCAAAGTTGCCCACTTAGGGGAGATGATGCCCAGAATTGCAGTGAAGACTGCAGAAACATTAGCCCAGAAGAAGTTCATTAGCCTTGTTAGGAAATTTAGATGTTTAGAATTCCTAAAATATTTTATTTAAAATGAGAAGTCACGCTAATTTTCTAATACAATTTAAATCAAATGATAATTTATTCTAAGGGTTTTTACAAAATACGAAAATTTTACATACATAAGAAGAACAGTATAACTGAGCAACTTACATTCTAATTAAAACTTTGTTGCAAAACATGTTTGTGACTACTCTTATGCTGCTTTCATATAGTAAAGTTATAAGAAAAACAATCATATATATGCAGGGTTTTAAAAAAATAAACTCATAAAAATACAGGCTTGAGACCTATTTTAGAATTAAGTCAAAACAAGCCAACAACTGAATTGTACCTATGGCCAGTGGGTGGCACTAAAATACATTTGAGGCTTGTTTTAACTGTTTGTTTTCTCAAGGCAGAAAAACACCAGTAGTTTCAGTCTCATTGCCCTAATATGGAATTCCATATTTTATTAGAGATTACAGAGTAAATAGTTTCTTAAGGTCCATTTTTTTTTTTATCATCACTGATGTCTGTCTCCATTCCCTGCTCCACTTTGAGTATCTTTCTGCGACTTTTTCCCACAACCTACAAAGGTCCTGCAAGGGTACCAGACCCTCTTAACTGTGGCACAGAATTGTGGTGTGAAACACATGATGGCAAACAAGAACATTTTGCTTCTTAACAATACCCCATGTTTAATGCTCTGGGGCAGCTTTTTCTTTGAAGCAGCAGCAGAAATTCAATTTTCCTAGCTTGTTCAAATATCTTATTTAATATTAGAGTCACAAATTACACATTTTGTTATATTTAAATCCCTTGGGCCTTGTAATCAAAGAAGCACATGCAGATTGACTTTTACATGCTGTGTAGTATTCCTTAGGTGCAATAGATAGAAAGTGAGGATATTTGTCCACCTACTCAGATTTTCAAGATCAGATTCCACCGGTTTAGTAGTTTTCAGTGGAGGAGCCAGTGGAATTTGGGCTCATTTGGAAATCTTGGCAATCAAAAGCATTCTGAGAGGCAGTGTTGCTTCAATCCAAGTATTGGGGGAGTTTACCATCTTCTCCCAGAGAGCAACTTCCTCTGAAGTAGAGTCCATCCAGTCCACTTCAGTCCCATAACTTTTACCTGAAAAAAGGAAGCTTTGCATTTAGAAAGAAACAGCTCATTGGGGGTAGGGGAAAGAGGGAAAGTTATTCCCTAATTATAACCACCAGTGGAAGCTAGGAGGAGCTTTCTTCACTGGGAGGGCAGATGTGAGACTCAACATAAGGAAGAACTGTTCAATTGTCTGAGTGACTTCATGTTTGTAATCATTACCATAATTCCTAGAGCAATGATTTTTCTTCAAGTTAATGTAAAGGCCAGATGAAAATTCATCAGGGAATAAGGGAGTTGGGAGGACTCCTGCACTGGGTTGGAGATGACACTAGATAATCTCTAGGTTAGTGTGACTAAGGCTTTAGTGTCTAACAGACTCAATTTTGAATCTTGGCTCTGCCACTTTGTAGCTATGTTACTTACTTTCTTGGACTATCAGTTCCTTTGGGGTAACATTAGTAACTACCTCATAGACTTGTGAGGATTCAATGAAATAATGTAAATGAAGCATTTAATACAGTGACTGGTGCTCCAAAAATGTTATTGTTATTACTCAAAGCATATATTTAGCCTTGAAGGACCATAAATGTTTTTGCAGGGCAGACTAGTGATGAAGGCTTTTCTGTCCCTGCCACTGCCACAATAACTTAAACTCTATATGCAGAGACACTTCACCCTGTTAATCCTCATATCTGGAGCCCTTGGCATACAACCTGACATTTCTTTACTCATTTATTTCACTATACTTAAGAGATATCTGTTTTCAGGATATCTCGGTTTTCACTGGGAAGAAGCAAAGCAACAAACAAACCTCTAGTATCTCTAGAAAAATTTGGCTCATGGAGAATTAAAAATGTAGCAAACAGTACCTGTTCCAAAGCCAATACGAAGACCTCCCAAAAATTGGTTGGTTAATTTGTAATGGTCCCAGACAGTAAGCTCTACACAGGCTTCCATCAGATCTTCAGGCCTGAACCCATCATACACCATAGTGTGGTTGAAGATAGGGTTGGTGGTTTTCCCTACAGCTCTTGTCTTCTGGCGACTTTTCCTACTTGTATCTGGAAGGATGGTACTACAAAAAGAGGCATGATTGTGGGAGCATTTTAGTAAGATAGTGAACATTCATGCTTTCAATACATAACAACACAGCTATTAAAGATTGACAATGGAGGAAAAGATGTGGAGAGATAGTGGTGGTGGTGGTTTGGCAGACAGTGGGGTAGGGGGTAGGAACACATCATGCTGAAAAGACTCTGGACCTAGAGTCAGCTATACTTGGTTTGAATCCTGACTCTGCTACCTCCTGGGTATGCATTTTAGGGAAAGTTACTCAACCTTACGGACACTTGCTTCTTCATCTATAAAATGGGAATGGTGATGCTGATTTCATAAGGCTAAAATTAGAATTAAATAACATATGCAAAACACTTAGCTCCATGCCTGCATTTAGTAAGTGCTTAATATGCTAGTAATCATTTGAGGATTCCTTTAAAATTTGCAAGCACAGGCTATCCTGATTAGCTGTGATAGCCTAAGACATTTGTGTTATACAGAATAGAAAAAGAAGAGAAACCTCTCCAAATTGCTAGATTTGACTTTGGAAATAAATTATGTAATTTTTTTTTTACAATCACTTACATTTCATTTATGATAACAATTAAATGAACTTTAACCTACCATGCCTCTTGTAAGTGGCAATATAAGACAATACAAGTGGCAACACAAGGCAAGAAGGTCTGTGAATGGTCTCAGAATGTGACTGACTGACTTGGTCTTAGAATGAGGCTGACTTGAGCCAAAAAAATCTTACCAGCTGACATCTATAAAGATAATGTGTAGGGAAAATCATAAATAATATCATCTATGCTACTTAGATATATGTCACATATATATTTATTTATTTAATAGAGAAGGGGTTTGGCTATGTTGACCAGGCTGGTCTTGAACTCCTGGGCTCCAGTGATCCGTCCGCCTTGGCCTCCCAAAGTGCTGGAATTATAGGCGTGAGACACCTCGCTGTACCAGATATATGTCACATATATTTAAAAAGCTACAGTTGGTCTTCTGGTAGACTATATATAAATAAAATTAGAGAAACTAGGAGAGCATACTAATATCTGTTTAGTTATTATTTACTAGATGCCAGTCACTTTATATGTATAACAGAGAGAAGAGTTTGCCACTTAAAAACCCAAACTGTCTCAAGCTCTTAGTAAGGGTTGATTAGCAAATCATTTTCCAAATATCTGCAGTCTCATACAATGACCGTTTGCAAATAGGCCACAAAACAGGTGGGACAAAGGAGAGAAGGAATTCTCCCTGCTCCATAAAGGAGTCAAGGGGTGTGACATCTTACCATTAGAAATTTAATAAACTCTTTTGAACTGATTATTGCCCTCACCAACAGATGTTTTCCCTAGAACACATTACACATTGAGTATGAGGTCTCTAGTTTCATTTGACCTCTTACTTTATGATTTTAAAGCCAAATGAAGCCTTGAGAGTTCATGATATAGATTCCTCCAATTCATGTCTCCATTATCCCAAGTAAATTCATTTAAATTATGAATGATGAGTCAGTATTACAGATATAGAGAACCGAAACTAACCAGCAAAGACCAGGCTACAGAACTGTTGCAGACAGAGTCATCAATACTATTACCATTTAACAAAAGAATTTAGATGACTTCCCCTTAGCAGTGGTAGATCAAGGCATTCCTTCACCCAGATGTGCACTTCTCCAGTTGTAGGAAGCTTTTTACCTACAATAGAAAAAGAAGAGAAAATTTTCACTGCCAGTTCTCCCTTGGCAATACTGCGTCCAAAGATGTCAGCCTAAAAATGTTCTGGCATGGAGATACTAGCTAGTATTTGATGATATCATCTGAACTGATTAAATCTATACAGTCTTAACTAAGTCTTCATAATCTGGTTTTACTGAACTCGATAGCTCTATAAAAATAATTCATATTGGCTTTAAGTACCAAGTATTACATCATTAGCACATCATTCATTTGGGGTTTTGCTTGATTCAACAAAATCAAACACCAGGAATGTGAATCATCCATTTACAGTTATATTCAAAACATTTCAATGAAATGCATATACCTTGCAAACATTAATACCAGTATCAGTTGGTGCTAGTGGAAGACATTTAAAACATATTTGGGTATAAAGTAACCAAAACAGGTATTGGCTAAGGTATAGTCATTTTTAAGAGTAGTTATACTTTTTTTTTTGAGACAGGGTCTCACTCTGTCACCCAGGTTGGAGTTCAGTGGCACAATCATGGCTCACTGCAGCCTCAACCTCCTGGGCTCAAGTGATCCTCCTACCTCAGCCCTCCCAGAGGAGCTGCAACTACAGGCATGTGCCACCACACTTGGCTAATTTTTAAATTTTTGTAGAGACAGAGTTTCGTCATGTTGCCCAGGCTTGTCTTGAACTCTTAAGCTCAAGGGATCCACCAGCCTCAGCCTCCTAAAGTGTTGGGATTACAGGCGTGAGCCACCACCCCCAGTCAAGAGTGGTTAAACATTTTATAGGGATACTGTATGTACATACGTAATAGTTAATATTATGGGCAGATAGTTACTAAGAAGTTGGCTTAGTCTGAAATTGTTGTCTAGGCTGGGTTCATACGAACAGAGGAATGCCACCAGATTTTTCTGAATGGGTTAGCTCAATCAGTCAACCAAACAGTACTTAGTGAGGATCTATCATAAGCTCATCTCTATGCTATGCTAGGAACATCATTAGATATACAGAGAATACATGAAATAATCTATGCCCTTGGGAAATGTTTATAGTTATGTTGGAGAGAATAATTCAAATAAAATGATAAAAATGTAATATACAGTGAAACTCCAAGTTATTACTGTAATGTTCTAGAAGATGATATGATCAGTGAGATCTAATATAGTTAGGGAAAGCTTTATGGAGGAGATGGGGCTTCATCTAAGACTTTGGTAGGTTGAGGAGAAGAGGAAGCCATTTCAAAGAAGAAAAACTACGTGGACAAAAATTCAGACATGGTGGCACCCATCACAACACACAATACCCCTGCCCTCTACTACCAAGTGATAGAAGGAAAAAGGGAAATGGGATTTCTATGAATGTTGACTTTAAATGATAGGATACAAATTATATGCAAAAGAATCTACCTTTTAGGAAAATCCAGAAGTTCAAAGGTGGCAGTCTGACAGCAATCCAGCCTGAAAATATGCTTTACTTGCCCTCTAATTCTTTCTTTTTTGGGGGGCGGGGGGCGGTATAAACTACATCAGAATGCTTTTCTTTAGTTCAGTCACTATCCTCACCATCAATTATTTCTTCCATCTCACTAGCTTCACTGCCTGGTTACTGAAAGCATTTGAGTTTACAACCTCTGATTTCAGCCATAACATTCATACAGATTCTTAAAGAGACTAACTTGGGGAACTTGCTTGGGAAATGGAGCAAGGAGCTGGCTGGCATTCATTTCCTGCTAGTCTCTTGCTCCTTAACTGGGCTGAAGACCTGACAAGGAGGCAATTAATAATCTTGAGGGAAAAGCTTTATCTCTTAATGAGACCCTGAGAGTGGAGGGTGAATGAGCTTTAAGTTCTCTGGAGTCCTCTTAATTCCCACCTGTGAAAAAGAACACTCAGGTTCTATTCTTATAGCACTATCAATAAGTCCAAATTCCAAACACAGGAATACACAAATTCTGAATACAGGCCATTCACATTGTGCAGATACAAATTTTTGGAGAGTGAGGTGAAACCTAATGACTATAAACTAAACTAAAAAAAAAAATGAGAACTTTCTTATAGAAACAGAAAGTAAAATGATGATTACCAGAAGCTGGTAGTAGAGGAAAAGGAAATTGTTGGTTAATAGATAAACAGGTTCAGATTTGCAAGATGAAAAGGTTCTGGAGATCTGTTTCCCAACAGTGTGAATATACTTAGCACTACTAAGCTGTACAGTTAAAAATGGTGAAGATGGTAGATTTTATGTTTTCTTTTTTTTTTTTTTTTGCCACAATAACAAAAAAAGAATTTTCTTATTTACAACTGTGAATAGACTCATTTGGTCTATACGTTACTAACTTGATAAGTTTCTTTAGGGCCTCACCTTTGAAAACGCATAGTAAATACTGTGAGAAGGGAGGGATAAGGAAAGGACATAAATCTGAATAGAAAGTCATTACATACCAGGGACTGGCTCTGGGACATACTGGAGAGCTAGTTTCATTTCACCTCTGTTTTCTGCTTCAAGGGCAACTGGTGCTGTCTGAAAAGTGAAGAAATGTCAGCAGGTGGGAGACAAACTTTTCATCCTGTTTGTTGGTATAGGTCTCATTACAGAACCATATCTGTCCCATTTCTGGGACCATGTGTCACTCATGAGTGCTCTGGATTAAAATTTCTCTCTGCATCAGAACTAGACTGTTGCCTTAATACCTGGGAAAACTAGGTTGTATATCTTGAAAAATCTTGCAGGATACCCAGAAAATATTTCAAGGCCTTTAGTCTCAAAGATGGTGAAGAAACCAGAATGGCTTTCTTGGAGATGGGAGAGGTTTCTTTGAATGCTTTAATTTTGATCAAAACACAAATATTTTGTTAGCTATTCAGCCAGCATATAAAACAATTTATTTGTATTCCCTTTATTTGAAGGAGTATGAGATAGTGTGTGAAAGTAAGGGGGGAAAGGCCATATCTTACATTTTCAAAGCTGCACTAATCTGATTATTTTAGGCCAAATGCATAGAAGTCTGTAAGTATAACAAAGACTGAACAATAATTTTTTAAACTTCTATCTGTTATTTTCAAGTACACGTTGAATATTCCTTATCTGAAATGCTTGGGATCAGAAAAGTTTCAGATTTCGGATTTGTTTTTTGAAATTCGTAATATTTGCATATACGTAATGAGATATCTTAGGGATGGGACCCAAGTCTAAACACAAAATTCATTTATGTTTCATATACATCTTCTACACATAGCCTGAAGGTAATTTTATATAACATTTTTAATAACTTTATGCAACCCATCACATGAAGCAGGTGTGGAATTTTCCACTTACGGCATCATATCGGCACTCAAAAAGTTTCAGATTTTGGAGCATTATGGATTTGAAATTTTTGAATTAGGGATGCTAAACCTGTATAAGAAACCTGCATAAGATAGTTTTTTACTTTCAAATTCTGGCTCTTTAGAGCTTTATTTTCAAAATATGGGTATGTATCAGAAACGTAATGGTAGCCAGTTAAAAATGAGATGCTTTTGATATCTTCTGAGGAGTTCAGGTCTTGGGTAGGGCTAGAAATAAGTGCTTCAAGTGATTTTGATATAACATTTGAGAACCATTTCTTTAGTGGAACTAAAACAGTTCCACTGTTGTGTAGACACTAAGTTATGGTTTGTATTAGTTATTTATATTTATCACTTCCTACTATGATGGACTAGCTTGGATCACATCAACCCCTAAACTAATAACAATTTAAAAGGTGGGATTTTAAATATCAGTTTGAAAGTGCTAAAGAATTATTAACACAGACAGGACTCAAATGAACAAGATCTTAGAGTCTGACATTCTTCTCTGCTTTTCACTTTGAGACATTTAAGTAGTGCCAAACTGAGCACATAAAAAGCCTAACAGAATGAGACTGAAAAGGTAAGCAGGACTTTTAGCAGTTTCATGAGGCTGGGGAGACAAAACTTGGAGCCCACGGCCTGTCAAGAAGGAATGGCACTGGAAAAACACTCTAGACCAGTGGTTTTCAAAGTACCGTTTCTAGGTCAGCTGCATTGACAGGGAACCTGTTAAAAATGTATATTCTTGGGCCCGTAAACCTTGGGAATAGGGCTCAGAATCTAGTGGGTCTATTTTTTTTTTTTTTTTGAGACAGGGTCTCGCTTTGTTGCCCACACTGGAGTGCAATGGCGTGATCTCAGTTCATTGCAACCACCACCTCCTGGGTTCAAGTGATCCTCCCATTTCAGCCTCTTGAGTAGCTGGGGCTATAGGTGCATGCCACCAAGCCTGGTTAATTTCTTTGCAAAGGCAGGGTTTTGCCACGTTCCTCAGGCTTGTCTCCATCCAACTCCTGGACTCAAGCAATCCACACCTCAGCCTCCCAAAGTGCTGGGATTAAAGCTGAGAGCCACCGCACCCAGCCCCAGAATCTGTGATTTAATAAGTCCTTCAGGTGAATCAGATGCATGCTGATTTTGAGAACTATTTCCCATGGCTTTCAGTTGGAACCTCTGAAGGGCCTTAGCCTAGGAATATAAGCAAACAAAAACTAGACCAGATCACATGAAAACTGGGCTTGTGCTTCAAAGTCAGTTTATTCCCAGATTAAATGAAGGTGGTCTGTGCCTGCTGTATCAGAAGCAAAAGTAAATCCTCCCCAATTATTCCTAGAACGTTCTCATATGCAATACCCCACATATGATCAAAAAATGAACGGGCATACCAAGACAAAGAACTAAGTGTCCAAACTAAGATTTTAAAAAATAGATAAGCAGGACTCACAAATGTTTAAGATACTGGAATTTTTAAGTACATACATTAAATAACTTTGCATGCTATATTTTTAAAGACAATGTTAAGATAGAGAATTTTAGGAGAGAAATGGAATCAAAATAGTCAAAAGAAAATATGCTTTCGAAAATATAAGCTTTATATTATAGATTGGCTTAAATTGTAGATGGTTTTAACAACAGAATAGACATAGCAGATAAAATTGTTGAATTGTGAAAAGGTTAGCAAAACATGGACTGAAATATAAGAAAAAAAGTATACAGAAAAGACCATAAGAGACATGTTGGACAGAATAAAAAGGTATAACATACTTGTAATTGGAGTTTCCAGAAGGAGAGGAGAAAATAGTGGGGCAAAAGTAATATTTGAAGAAATAGTTGCTGAGAAATTTTCAAAGTGATGAAAGATACCAAAACATAGATAGATTCAAGCAGCTCACTGAACCCCAAACCTCAGGATAAATTAAAGAAAACTACACCTAGGCTCATTATAGTACAATTGCTAAAAATCAAAGACAAAGAAAAGTATCCTAAAATCTGGAAAAGAACACATAACCTTCAAAGGAGCAAAAATAAGACTAACAGCTGACTTCACAACAGAAATGACCAAATACTATGAAATGACATCTTCAAAACACTGAAAGAAATAATTGTCAACCTAGCAACAGAGCAAAAATATCCCTCCAAGATTGAAAAAGATGTTATGATACCAAGAAAATCTGAAATAATCTGTTGCCAGGAGATATTCACTAAGAGTAAAACTAAAGGAGAGTCTTGAACAGAAGAAACAACTCCACGGATAAATCCAGGAAAGGATAAAGAGCAAGGGAAAGGCAAATATGTGGTTAAATCTAAATTAATAGACCGTATAAAACAATAACGGTAATGTCTTATGGGACTTAAAAATATATACAATTAAAACATGACCAAAAATAGCACAAAGGATGAGAGAATGGGTAAATGGAGTTAAAATGTTCTTGGTTCCTTCCACTGTTCTGAAAGTGGCAAAAGTTCTAATTTATATTACAGTTTGAATTCAAGGGTGCATATTATAATCTCTACAGGAACTAATAAAGAAAAATGAAAATAAACTATGACTGACATATTAAGAGAGAGAAAAAATGGAATAATAATCCCAAAGGAGGCAATTACGAAAATAAGAAAACAGGACAAATAGTAAGATACTAGATTTGGACCCAAATACATCAATATTTATATTAAGTGCAAATGGACTAGATAATCCAATTAAGAGACAAATATTTTAAGACTGGAAAAACATCAAAACTATTGCTTATAAAAATATATCTGAACTATAAGAATTTTAAAAGGCTGAAAATCAAAAGATAGAAACAAACTTCTAATCAAAAGGAAGCTAATAGAGCTATATAAATACAGGCAAAGTAGATTTTAAGGCAATAAGCATTACTAGAGATAAAAAGGGAATTTCAAAATGATAAAATGGTTAATTCATCAAGAAAATATAACAATTACAGTTGTATGTATATGTAATAAGACAATCTCAAATATAGTGAATCAAAAATAATAAAACTAAAAGGAGAAAAAGACAAATTCACAATTGTAACTCTCCTAGTAATTCACAGTACACACAGACATAAAACCCATGAGGATATAAAAGATTTCAGGAACTAGTTTTGACTTAATTGATAAATATAGAACATTACATCCTTTAATCATTGAATACACTTTGGTCTCAAGTAACACATGGAACATTTATCAAAATTCAGCCAAATATTAGGCTAAAAGTCAGTATCAAATTTCAAAGGACTGAATTATTTAAAAGACCTTCCTGAAGTCTCTGAAACATTTGTGTTAAATGATTTAAACATGTTCCCAATAACCTTTTTTACCTTTCTTTTTTTTCCTCTAGTTTAAAATTCTCCCAAACTACAGATCTGTACTCTGAATTAAATGCAATTAAGCTTTTTCCTATACACTAGGTACCACATCAACCAACCAAATAAACAAACAAAAAATTCCGGACTCACCTTCCGCTTCAGAGGGTACCATCTCAATTGTTTATTCTGTTTGTTATCCCAGTCCCATGTTTCCAAATCAAGTTCCACCTCCCCTAGGAAACTATTGCGCTTAAATGTATCCCGATGCCAAATGGACAGGTTCAATTTCTGTGTCTTTAAGATTTGTTTTTCAATTTTATACTGAAGTTCAAAGAAGAAAATTAAATGATGAAAAACATTACTTGATGCCAAAGTTATAACACAGAGATGAAGAGAAATTCATCTGTATATAGCAAATTTTCTTATCTGTTAGGTTTCGAGTCCCAAAAATATTGCAAAGTCATCTTATTCTAAGCATCTTGTTTCAAAGAGCTAAAATCCATCTTTCATAAAAGCTGATTTGCTTCCCCACTCTGGAAAAGCAAACCAAGGCTCAGATATCATAGTTGGTAATAGCTCTCTAACAATAAAAGCCAGTTTTTCAATTTTCGCTGAATATTTTTAGACTAGATGTAATACAAAATTGAGTCTAAAATACAAATCAAATGTAACCGAATTCTCTGTTTTCTACTTAAGAACAAGGTCTTTTTTAAAATAGTCTTTTTAGAGCAGTTTTCGGTTTACAGCAAAACTGAGCAGAAAGAACAGAGTTCCCATATGCCATGTATGCTGCCACATACACACACCTCCCCCACTATCAACATCCCACACAGATGAGGTATTTAAAATAAATAAATAAATAAACTTGTCTTTTCCTGCTGCATATGGCCAAGTAGAAAAGGTCTGGCATCCTAACAGTTTTTCATCTCAAATGTAGTCAATCTTTAATTACATATAATCATGGAAAGGACAATAGTACTTCTAATCTAAAAATAATTTCCATTTGGCTTCATGATGTACTACTTGAATGTCCACTGTGGTTGTAGTAAGTCTGCCTTTCTCTGAGCTTAACATTTAAATTATCTGGCTTTTCCTGAGTATAGGGTTGAAGTAGCTGACCCAGAAATAGCCAGGGTACTAGGGTATATCATAGTCAAACTGTAATTAAAAACTTGGTACAAAAATTCTACAGGTGGTTAATTCAGACCATGGATGACTGAGTGTTGATTTAACTGCTTATTTTTCCAGAGGATGATCAAATACTTGGACAGAGTTTTCAGAAAGAGGGAATGAACAACACTTATTTTTAGTTTTAAATGATCTGTTAGTCATGACTAAGGCAGCATGATGTAGTTTTGGGAAGAAAAAGAATATGAGCCAAGTATACTTTCTATTCATCTGTCCATTTATCTTTCCAGTAAACATATTTTGAATACCTATCCCAGATTAAGGATCAAGATTTATTAAATGCTTAATGTGTGTTGATCTTTCACACAAATTAACTAATTTACTGTTCTCCACTGCTAAGGTAGGTAGGTAAGTACTATTATTATCTTCCTTTTGCAAATCTGAAAACTAGCATTAACCCGACTTGGCAGATCTGAGGTGCCCAAAGACACACAGTTTACAAACAACACCAAGTTGGTCCCTACCCTCATGGAACTTACAATTTAGTGGCAAGGAAGACAATAAAACCACTAGTTAAACTGCTGTTAACATATCCTGCTATAAAGCAAGATTACTGAGGCAGCAGACAGCAGGAGAACTTAGGGGTTAAGCACAGCCCCTCATAAGAGGAGGTATTTAAGACAGTACAGGAGGCAGTTAGGGAAATAATGTGTGGAAGAATATTCCAGCCTGAAGGAACAGAAATTCACAGAATTGTGAGAAAATGTACTTCCTTAAAATAATGAAAAGAATTCAGGGTGACTGGAACAAAGACTATGAGAGAGGAAAGTTGAGGCTGGAGTTCAGGTTGTGAAGGGACTGGTGTGCATGTTAAGAAAGATGGCTTTGACCCTAAGGGTTATAGAAAGCAGAAAAATAGCATAATCAGAATTGTGCTTTTATAAGATCATTCTGGTTGCAATGCTCAACTTTATCAGCTGTGGGTTTTTTTTGTTTTTTGTTTTGTTTTGTTGTTTTGTTTTTTGAGACAGAGTTTCACTCGTCACCCATGCTGGAGTGCAGTGGTGTGATCTTGGCTCACTGCAACCTCCGCCTCCCTGGTTCAAGTCATTCTCCTGCCTCAGCTTCCCAAGTAGCTGGGATTACAGGTGCCTGCCACCATGCTGGCTCATTTTTGTATTTTTAGTACAGACAGGGTTTCACCATGTTGGCCAGACTGGTCTTGAACTCCTGACCTCAAGGGATCCACCCACCTCGGCCTCCCAAAGTTGCTGGGATTACAGGCGTGAACCACCTCACCCAGCCAAGCTGTGTGTTTTTAAATAAGTTACTTCATTTCTCCAAGTTTCATTTGCCTCATCTGTGAGATGCAGATACCAATACCAGCCTGGCAGTTTATATATGGGGAGTGAATGAAATAACGTATACAACATTCAGGTTGTTTTGTCTCAAACAAAACAGTCTCAGAACATTTGTATTCCCTTCCTTCTCCTCTCTTGGTGACTGACTTTATCCTGTAGAGCTACTACCCAAAGAAGACATGGTAAACAGGTCACCATCTAGGATTTTCCTATAGAGAGAGTTCATAGATACCCGCAGTATTTCGTTATACACAGGATTCAAGGTTTTCTTCACTACGAGTGTTTTCTTCTTGCCCATTTTGCCTTTGTCTGGTAGCAAATAGGCCTTTACATATCTGAAAAGGAGAATTGAACAGACAAAGTCAAAGAAAATAAAAGTTATGTTTCCACCTCTAGTTTTTTAAATACATTGAAAACTGACAGCAGAAATAATTATTTCATGACACTGAGAAAAGCAGTGAATAACAAATTTTCCTACCAATACCTTTATACTTAAATGTGTAAAGGGTTTTAGTGGAATTGATCATTTTATATTGTTTTGAAGATTTTTAACGGGCATTTCCTGCATTCCTTTTTTCCTTTGGCCTTAACTAATATGCAGGGGTGGAAAGGGGCAGAAAACACACTTCCAGGCCAGGCACGGTGGCTCACACCTGTAATCCCAGCACTCTGGGAGGCCAAGGTGAGCAGATCACCTGAGGTCGGGAGTTCAAGACCAGCCTGACCAACATGGAAAAACCCCATGAGCCAGGCTGGTCTCAAAAAAAAAAAAAAAAAAACCACACACACACACACACACACACACAGAGCTACAAAGTTAGCTGGGTGTGGTGATGCATGCCTGTAATTCCAGCTAGTCAGGAGGCTGAGGCAGGAGAATCGCTTGAACCCGGGAGGCGAAGGTTGCTGTGAGCTGAGATCGTGCCAGCCTGGGCAACAACAGTGAAACTCCACCTCAAAAAAAAAAAAGAAAAAAAGAAAACACACTTTCAGCATAGAGCTTAAATCTGTTTGTTCCCCTAGTTTGTTCCCCTCTGAGAAAACGCTTTGGTGCTTGCAGTATTTTTAAGTTTTTGTTACCGTCTTTTGAAATAAATTAATCTTAGTAAATACCTAGTCAAGTTATCTTCAATGTTAAAAAAATAAAGGATGTTGAGCTCAGTTGTTTTTATAATAAGAATAAAAGAAAAAAGGATTGCACTTGTCTCAGCAAAATAATTAAGAATCAGACTTCTGTATAGGGATAAGTAGGGAATACCATTCAGCGTTTGCAAAAAAAGAAAAAAAACTGAAGTGCAATTAAACCTGTGATTTAAAACAATAATTTTAGTAATTTCCCCTAAAGTTCTGTAAGATATAATTTAAATATGAAAATTCTCTCATTCTAGAGTCTTAACTATTTTTATACCACTGAGCTTTATGAAGTGTGTCCCATGTATCCCTAATTTTGTAAAAAGTTTGAGAGTGTGGTGGAAAGAGATGGGTTCAGGTCCTCATTCCTCATTTTGCTTCTATCTGAATTCACATATATGGGTTACTTGTCTTCTCTGGTCCTTGCGTTCTTATCTGTAAAATGAAGGAACTGAACAAGATGACCCCAAAGGTTCTTTCCAAGTTGAAACATTTTGTGCTTCTCTGTGATTTTTTTTTTTTTTTTTTTTTTTTTTGAGATGGAGTCTCACTCTGTCGCCCAGGCTGGAGTGCAGTGGCCCGATCTCAGCTCACTGCAAGCTCCGCCTCCTCGCCATTCTCCTGCCTCAGCCTCCCGAGTAGCTGGGACTACAGGCGCCCGCCACCACGCCCAGCTAATTTTTTGTATTTTTAGTAGAGATGGGGTTTCACCATGTTAGCCAGGATGGTCTCGATCTCCTGACCTTGTGATCCGCCCGCCTCGGCCTCCCAAAGTGCTGGGATTACAGGCGTGAGCCACCGTGCCCGGCCTTTCTCTGTGATTTTTATAATTTAATGTTTGACATATGAATTTATAGAATAAAACAGCATTTCCCCCCAACTTTTCAAACATTCCTCTTAACACATACCCTCCCTCCTCTTGATTACTTTATTTCCTTCCAATTCCTGTAAGATTGACAGTTGGAGAACTAAGAGAAGGTAGGTGACTCTAAAATGTACTTACGGGTCTGAACGCTGTTTTTTTACATCCGCTGCTGCTAAGTCCTTACACTGGGCCACAAAAACATGCAACTCCTTCAGTGACTCCACATATTCAATTGCAAACTGAATATTTCCTTTAACTTCCAGATTGCCAAAGTCTCCACTATAAACACTCATCACACTGCCACTCACCTGAAAGCATCAGAAATACATAGTGTTTGTCTCTATCTCATTCTTAAACCTAGCACAAGGATCATGGATATAATCCCTGCTGGCATTATTTCTTTAGCTTGCTTATAAAAGCAGTTAATTCAATATAGCATAAAGACATATCTATAAAGACAACCTGACATGATATACATGACTAGAGTTTTTTGTTTCATTTTGTTTTTGAGACAGAGTCTCACTCTGTTGCCCAGGATGGAGTGCAGTGGCTTGATCTCGGCTCACTGCAACCTCCACCTCCCAGGTTCAGGCGATTCTCCTGACTCAGCTTCCCAAGCAGCTGGGATTACAGGCGCACGCCACCATGCCCAGCTAATTTTTATATTTTTAGTAGAGATGGGGTTTCACCAGGTTAGCCAGGCTGGTCTCAAACTCCTGACCTCAAGTAATCTGCCCACCTCGGCCTCCCAAAGTGCTGGAATTACAGGCATGAGCCACCGCGCCCAGCCGACTAATGTTTTTAAATAATTTTCCCTATAAGACATAGATGAAAAGTGAAATGCAATGTTATTTAGATGCTGGCTCATTTCAAAGCAGGGTGATTTTATGCTAGGTGGCATTCAAAGGCATCCATTTTCTGGCATGCTTAATATTTAAAATCCAAAAGAAAGAAGATGTGAGAAAACCCAGACACTCTAATCATAGTGACACACTGCTGTATCGAATTTCCAAGGCACTAAAAAGGAATTTTACCATGTTACCCATCCACTGAATCTAGAAAAATGCTTACTGAGCCATGCGCTTTTAGAGGTCAGGAAGGGTAGAAAATGGATGATTGATGAAGGGAGTTTAAAACCTTCCCAAAGGCAGATGTTAGATTTTTATCAGCAGAAACTCAATTTAAATAGGTTTTTAAAAAAGGTTTCAGAAACACAAGGCTAGCAAGAATTTAAGCACAGTTTTATCATTTCTTCAGCATACTTGGGTGAATATATGTATGTGTATGCACATCTGATACTCAGATAAGTGTATGTGGATATATTTACATATATTTTTACATACATACTACATGCACATACAACTTCACCTTATGCAAGAAGTTCTATGTAAAGTCAAATTAGTTAGATTCCCTTAAATCAAATCTGAGTAACTACACTTAAGGATATTTCCTTTTAAAATGCTGCTCAGATGCCTTCTAAAAGGCAAGGAATTACCTCTCATATTCTTTCATGTCAACCAGTATATTGATTGCTCAGGATTACTAAAAGAGAGGTTCAATTCTATGCCTGCAAATCATATATAAAAGCATATCTGATACAAGCAGATTTTATCATAGTTACCCCATTTGTTGCACAGAAAAATTTAGTGGTTCATCTTCTTGGCAATTTAAGTTTATTTGTGAAGTACTTACATCAACAACAACAAAAAACCCCACAAAGATTTGTTTATGATGGATATGAACCCCGTTAGTCTAAAAAAAAAAAGATAGATGTAGCTAGCCAGAAGCTAATTATGGATTAGAGAAACTGTTTGTGCCCTGAGAAATACAGGAGGAGGCTGTTTTACAATGAGCATGAGCATGTCAGAGCAAGGTTCAGAGACGCGGAGAGATATTAATATGGAGCCTTTGTTTACATACAGAAGACAAGGACGTCATGCCAGAGGAGCTGCTAAGATTGGTTAAAGAGCTCGGGCTCTTCTTGTGTCTGCTGAGCTGGTAACTGCTTTCTGATGCTGTATCTGTTTCTCTGTCATCACTCTACAAAACAGCATATAATATGCACAATATTTAAATTCAGAATGAGTCAAGATCAGAATCTCTGTTTAGGCAAAGATGAGATTTTGGTATTCCACTGACATTTACGCAAGGTCAAAGGATGCTAGTGCTAATTGCCAGGGTATGGGATTCAGGATGGAGTGGGTGGTCTGCCTTGACCTCACCTAAGGAGGAAGGCAGTGCTTAGCTACCAAAATAACGAAGTGATTTCTTTTCACCTACAAAGTAGTCTTTCCCAAAGTGCTGCAGAAGACAGCACTATTGTGAGCTTTCTTGCCAGTCTTTTAATATTATATATTTATTTGCCTGGGGAACTCTATTGGTATATATGAGAAATTAACTTTACCCAGATAATAAAAAGATTTACTGTTAAAACCAAAACATCATGTTTAATTCCTCTTATTAGCACAGCCCCTAACTTCTCTAAAAATCAAATCTTTTACTTGACACACTATTAAACTAGGAAAAAAGAAATGCTAGTCTCATCTGTTTCAACTCAAGGCCATATATATATATTTTTTAATGTTTAAAATTTTTAAACTTCCCCTTACATATTCCTGTGTTATTATGCTTATCTTTTTGTTCCTAGAGTTAAGTATATTAAATTATACATTCTACCCACATTAGATTTTAACACATTTTTTAAAAAGAAGTAAAATACAGGTATTTATTTTAAATATGTCCGAGGAAGTATTTACCTGGGACAAGAAAGAAAAGTGACAGTAACAAATTTTGTTATATTTGAATCTAAAGTTTATTAAATAGTAGCTTTAAAAATTTATGATTCAGAGTGAGCTCCTTTTAGGGTTAGAGAGCTTATGGAACAGTTCAGTGGCACCAGGGGTTAAGGGACACCTTTATGGAGTAGTTAGTTCATGCCAGCATATTCCAGGACCATGCAATTATGCATCAATATAATGGATGCCAATTGTAATGCAGATTAATAAAGGAGTTAAAGGAAAGCAAAATTAATGCTTTACGTGGATAAGAATCCTTTCTCAAGGATTAAAAAAATTCATATCTTTTAAATGTCTCTGTTGTCACACTCTCTCCCCACATGCTGATAGTCATTTCCCTCTATTTTAGCGCCTACTGCATTCTACCTAGTATATCAGATCATTAGTGAATTATTGGAAGGATAGGACTCTGCCTTGTTGATCTGGAATGGTGTTTTACATGTAACTGGCACTCAACAAATGTGACTGATGATAAGTCTCAAAGGGAACAGATGAGCAAGGCCTGATTGCATTTCCACTTTCTTTAATACCTAGTTCAACCCTATACCCCATGCAAAATGATAGAGCTTAATTCTGGCATCTCTGATACACAAACCCAGATGATTTGAACTCTCTTCTGTGTGGAGCTATGAGACAGCAGGTTAAAACTGAAGGAAGGAGAAAAATTAAAAACCAGGAACTTATATAATTTGCCTCGAAAATACATATACACACACACACACACACACACACACACACTTTTTTTTTCAATTAGAGTCTCACTCTATCGCCTAGGCTGGAGTGCAGTGGCACAATCTCGGCTCACTACAGCCTCTGCCTCCCGGGTTCAAGCAATTCCCCTGCCTTACCCTCTCAAGTAGCTGGGATTATAGACATGAGCCACCATGCCCGGCTAATTTTTTGAATTTTTAGTAGAGACAGGGTTTTGCTATGTTGGCCAGGCTGGTCTCAAACTCCTGGGCCTCAAGGGATCTGCCCGTCTCAGTTTCCCAAAGTGCCAGGATTACAGGCATAAGCTACCATGCCCGGCCTCATATTATTATATGGTTGAACTGCATGGCATGCCTACTGTTGGCTTCTAGCTAATGAATTACTTCCAAAGAATGAGTGATTCTTTCCAAAGGAAACTGTAACATGTGCTCTTAACCATAGGCAAGGGCTGAATATTTGCAGATACAGTTCATCAAAGGCCCAAGAATGGACAAAAGGATGCCCAGGCCAGTGACAGAATATAATTTATGTGTTGCCCAGAGCTTTCCTCAACATTCCATCTACTAAGAGAATTCTTGATAATGAAGCCTTTTATTTCACCGTTAGAAATCAGACCAAAACTACAAACAGTAGCAGCTAACATTTACCAGGTACTCATTATATGCCAAGCACTGTGCTATGTGTTTTCCCTGCATTATCCTACCGATACCCCACAACCTCACGTGGTAGGTGCAAGGAAACCAGACTCAGAGAAGGTACTGAATGTGTCCATGATCACACAGAAAATTAGTATCATAACCAGGACTAGGGATATCTGGCTCCAAAGCTTAGGCTCCTAACTACCTGACTGCAAGAACATGGAATCTTAATTAAGTCAAAGGACCTGAGTTAAAGTCCTAGATCTACTCTTCAGTAGCTATTGGATTTGGGGAAAGTTATTTAACCTCTCTGCGGCTCTTTCTTCATTTGTAAAATGAAGAAAATAGTCCTTACCACATATAGTTAGTAAGAGTGAGATGACAGAATGAGTATTAGGTACCTGGCACATATTAGGTACTCAATGAATAGTAAATTATAGTCATGTGCTTTCTTAAGACCGTACAGTATATAGTATAGTCATTAACAGCAGGCAACTTGGATCTGTGCTCCAGTCCTGGTTGAACCCCCTTCTAGCTGAGTGAGGTTAATCTCCCTTAGTCTCAGTTTCCTCACCTGTAATGTGTGGGGATAATGATGGTGCCTGCCTCCTAGGGTTGTTGAAGGATTAAATGATATATGTAAAGTGCCTGGCACCCAGTAAATACTCCTTAAAGCTTGATGTGTCATTGTTACTTTATTAACAAACACTTTCAAACTAGTCATGCTGCCTAAATTAAGTTTTCACAAATCAAGTCTACTCCAAACTACAGAGGAATAATCAGTTCATATACCTTCCTGGATTTCTTATTTTGTACTAACTTTGAAACAAAAGTCACATTCCCAAATCTATGCAATTTGACTTCACTAACCAAAAGGAGTTACTGTTTGAGTCAAATGAGATGTGCCTTTCCCTGTTCCAGGATGAACAACACTACTTCTATTGACTTGAAAGGCAAGGGCCAGTCCTTCTGACCTCTTTGATCTCTGCCACAGTGGAATACAAACACACCAACCTTGGCATAGCAATTCCAACCCTCTGTCTCCATTTTTCTGAAGGTACAAAAGACAAACTTGCCTCATCTTGGAGAAATGCTGGAACAGACTTGCTCATCCTTTTGAGTTTGTCAGGGTGAGAAAATGGATTATCAGGTTGTGTAGGCACTGTGGAAACTAAACAGCAGCATTTCCATTTCAAAATTATTCTTACAATTGTCAGAAAACATTAGACATTAAGTTGAAAACATACTTTTATTTAATCTATGAACAAACATGTTTTTGTAAAAAAGTTAAAGGCAGAGTAGTCCACATGCACAGGATCATGAGATTAGCAACATGCAGTTTTTATAAATTATATAGAGAGAGAACTAGCAAGGAGTTGAACCAAATACAAAACAAAGTTAATTTTAAAAACATTAGTTTTTATTGAACTGGAGCTGCACTTGAATCAAATTATACTGTCAGTGTGAATTGGTTTAGCTTATTTTTTCACAACAGAGCTTCAGACCACAAAGTCTGTACTTTATTGGTTCATCTCCTTGAGATATATCACTAACACACTGCAGGCTGAAAAACTATTTCATCTGGACAGTCAAGATTTTTGTACACAACTCAATAATAAAACTGTTCTGGTTGTTGAGTGTCTTAGAGTAGGTTTGTTTAGTGAGCATGAGGATTACTTTTCTGATAGTGTTTTACACTCAGAATTATAAAATAAACATTATTTTTTGAAAATATAAATTATTTAGATACCTCACTGATTCAGAATTTTCAATATCCCAAGGCAAAGTTAGAATGGTTAAAGTTAGGGTACTCTAAGAATTTAATAAGAAAATGTAGCATATGTCTTCTTTCTGATATAGAAAGTATATGTGTAGAAGGTACAAGAAGAGGATAAATTATAATCCTAATTTGCATACACCTAGTTAGAAAACTATTTTCTTCTTTTTCTAAGAATCACAACATCTAAGCTTTTCTTATGGTGAATCACAGCTCTTATAATGAATAAGTTAATATTTTCCAAGGCACTTAGTGCCTAGCACAGAGTAAGCTCTATATAAGTATTTTCTAATCTAATAAATATCATATGATAAAGAATCTTAAATTATATTGTGAATGAAACAGATACATTGACTTTATCATTATAAGAGATATTAAGAAAATAGGTAAAAATCAAATTATATTTATATACATAACACAAAAGACTCAAATTCATGCTTAAACATTAAATTCATCTTTAAAGAAATCTAATGAAGGAAAAACTAAAAATTTAGCTACACGTACTAAAGATATCCTTGCTCACATAACAATTTTCACCTATCCTTAGGCTCCCATAGGTAAATGCACATCAGAATGCATTTATGGTGTCTCACTAAAATGACACCTACTTTAATCACTTCCCATGAAACAACAATGTGTGTGTATTAGGGAGAGTTATACTGGTAGCAGTGTAAGATTAGGTCCCACAATATGGTCCAATGAGAATGCAAAAACTTTTTTGTTATAACATTGCACCCTACTATTTTCAAAGTATATTGTTGGATGATGCTATGAAGGTCAAATTCAATTATACCCACTACTCAAATGTAATCAATTTTAGATTTATGGGCTTTCATCATTTGTGTTTGGATCATGTATTTGATTTTTGTGGTAAGAATATACTCTTTACCAGTGAAAAGGCACTAACAGTCATTTTGGAAAATATCACAAAAAAGGGACAAATTAATTTACCCAGAGTTCAGCACAGGAGTAGTCTATGTGCCTTGACCAATAAACTAAGCCAATTAGGAGATCATGAATAAAGATACAGATATTTAGGCATATATGTCTATGTGTGTTTTGCTTTTACTCCACAGACTAAATTTTGAACAAAACATAGCAAGATATTATAAGATGCTCAAAATTAAATATGTCCTAGTTCAAAAGTAACTGGAAAAGCCCCTTTACCTAACACCCCTTAGGGGCAGAAGGCTTGTTTCATCTGCAGTAGTCAGACAGAGAGCACATACTCACAAGAGCTGAAGCCTGGACTCTCTTCTTTCCTAGGCAGTTCTTAAGAATTTGTCAAGTCATGTGCCAAAGTTCAGCACCTTCACTGCTGGCAGGAGGACCTCATAAGCAAAGTTTCAGGTTTCCCACTACATGTCACTGACTTTTAGCCATCAGCACATTGGTTTTCTATCTAATGGCTCCTCCGTTTAGCTGCTTTCCTCATTAAGCCCTATTAGCATATCCAAAGACTGTTGGGAAATTATTATTTAAAATATTGTGGCCCTGAGGGTAGACATGTGTATCATTATCTTCATACCCCCAGTGCCTAGGGTTTATGAAACAGAGTGAAACCAAGAAGCTAAAAAATCATACACACACACACACACACACACACACACACACACACAGAGCTGCATGCTTTACTAGGCCATCTGAGTACTTTTTAAATGTGTTATTTGTCCTTAAGATAGTAGTCACAGCTAAGTAGAGTAATCTTAAGATTGAACAGAAAAGATCGAACAAACATTATCTTTGCTTGATGATAGACATTAATTAGTAGATGGGCATTAGTCACCACAGGTATACATTTACTTCTTAGATTCACTTGTTCACTTGGTTTATACTTAGAACATTTACCATTCAAGGCAGTTTTGAAACTCAGAGTTTAAACCCTGGGCATAATAAGATTTGCTTTTATGGATATGGAGAGAAGCACATACTCTAACAGTTCTTTCATAGGTCCAAATAAGTTATAAATGAATTCACATCTACAGTTTCGTACAGAGGCCACAAGAGATCCAATACTCAAAATCATACTGCAACATAAAAACCAAATGAAATCAGAAGGTGCCAACTTGCTTTTAAGCAGAGATTCAAACAGCATAGAGACTGACAAAAGCACAATAATATCAGCAATAACATATATATATATATTTAATATACAACTCTCCCTCAGTGGAACCACAAATCATTCTTTCAACACAGACAATAGTAAAATGTTTTCAATAAAACCCTTATCGTAATGAAATAGCTTTGCAAGCTGCAGGAGTTTAGTGCCAATAATAAATACTGTGTTATTAATGGGGTTAGTTATTTCAGTATATTTAATATGTAAAGTGGAATGTTTAGTCATTTGTGAGAAAGATCCTGCTACTCACTTCTTGGTACGCATTCATTTGTAACTGGCTTCTGATCTGGTTTCTCATCTACTCAGGAGGGCAACATTGAGAATAAATACCATTTTAACAGAAGGATTAAAGAGACATGAAAGTAAAGCTCAAATGTCAGTTTCACAACTGAGACAGCAGAATACATCTGACAGGTTTTCATCTTGCTTTCATCCATTCCTCACTGTGACTCTTCTTCATTAGCCTCTTTAAGGTCTCCTGTTCAACTAAAAATCTGGGATCAAACAAAAGAGATACGGAGCATCCTTCCTGTAATTCACTAGACCACAGTATGGAAAATGGGAAGGAGCACTGGACTAGGAGTAATGAAGCTGAGATTCTATTTCCTGCCCTCCCAGTGACTGACTAACTATAGGATCTTAGAAAAGTCACCTAATTTCTCTGAGTTTTTCTTATCAGCAAAATGAAGATAAAAATCCCTGCCCCATCAACTTCAGTGAGGTTGTTGTAAACATAAAATAAGAAAGACAGAACGATTACATAAAAGTAAAGAATGACCTTTAAGGAGCTCTGTTGCTGCATTTATATGGGAAAGCTCAGTGAGTACACATTTTTATGATTATAGTGAAGGCAAATTTAACAACAAGTAAATAAAATCCAGCATGCAAATACAAATTATACATTTGCATAAATTCTGCAATATAAAAATCAGACTCATTTCTGTCTCTCCCTCAACCAAGGCACCACTATACTATTCATCTTATAACAGAGCCAAGTAATACCTGATCCACTGACAAGCTTCAAGATCTTCTGGCTCCATTATATTCAGAATCAACTTCACCCTCTGTCTATATTTAGTTATTTATATAAGCAGAGGCACGATTTCCCACCCTTGTTCTGGGACTCTTTCCTTTGAATTTAAGATTTTACCAGTTGTGCCCAGAGAGATCTAAATGCTGAGACTTGAGAATCAAACAGAAGAATAACTTAACCCAGGAATTCACTCCACTCTTCCTGCCTTTACAAAGAGTTCTGCAAGTCAGAGTAGCAAAAATCAGCTCACATCCAAAGAAATACAATTTTCTATTTATAGAAACCCTTGCTTCACAAGGGTCTCTGATGAGATCCTCATGACAGTATCACCAGAAGAAGCCTTAAGAATACAAACTATATTAAATGTACCAAATCAGAACTGTTTTATAGTAACTTAGGCACTATTCACCACATAGTGGCAAATGACGTTCTTCTGTTTACCCAACAGCTGCGTCCCGGAGACTGCCCAAATCACCCCAGAAGTTAATACAAAGACAGACACGCAAATACATAAAGATATTTACCATCTTCAGCACTACGCACTAATTCTTCTGGCTGATTATCTACTTTTGCTTGATCTGTTCAGAAGAAATTAACAAATGGTTAACATGGCTGACCCTTGGAGAGAAAAGAACAATGAGATTGTCCCTGGAAGCCCCCGGAGTTGGAAGCAATTAGTCAAGATGCAATGAGGGGTGCAACCAAGATGTCTTCCCCAAAATACTTTCTCTTTAGATTAGCTCCTTGAGCCAGTGCCATAGCGGGAGCTCCCATTTCAGCCCGGATGCAGCTCACATCACTGCTGCACACAGACTCCCAAGGGTTAGAGGGTTAGTTCAGAGCAAGCAATCGGCCAGCAGCAGGAGAAAGCACGGGGCTGCAACAGCCTCTCTATTCTTCTGTAAAGGGTATGATGCTAGCCATGACTAACACCTTCCCAAACCCATGGTCATTAACAAATATTTGTGTGTGTGCATCATCATTCACATATGCCTCTGGGAGGCTTGCTTGGGAAGTCAACTGAAGAGATGTAACTGGGGACCAGCTGCTAAGTGGAATCTTGGCAGGCTAGTGTGAGAGTGGGTATCAGTATTTGGAAGGGAGCGTGCAGGAATACCCGTCAGCTGATGGTGATTTTTTTTTAACCCTATACATTCCTGAGTACTTTAAAGCTGCACCATGGAAATAGCCCCATGTTTCACAGGCAAGAGGTTTGCTAAATGGGCCAATTGTTCTGAGATTTTTTTTTTCTTTTTTTCTTTTTCTCAAGGCCCATCACCAACATCAGGAAAAACAATCAGGGCTGTCCAACAAAGGATTCGACTCGCCTTCTCTGGAAGCATTCAGGCGGATATGGGGGTTGGCCGCCTGTTGAGGAGGCTTTAGAGAGAATTCCTGCATTGAGGGGAGGTTAAAATGGGTGATTTTTAAGATCCCTTCTAACCCTGAGATTCCAAGATCCTTGGGATAGTCAGGACTACATTCCAAATTGGGAATACTGTCTTCAAACCCCTGGGAATCTGTGAATTTTAGGAAATGTTTGGTGAAGTGGCTTTTTCTTTTCTTTTTTTCATTTTTAAATTCTGACTTTTTATTCTTAATTGCAAATGCACAAAAAATATTCTAAACATAACAATGGCCAATTTTCAATCATATGAGTTTGGCAGTGGTTAACTTTTCACTTGATAATTTTTCTTATGACCATCTGCAATCCCAGGGGTGCATTTTAGCTTGAAAATAGCAAGAACAAAACCCCAAGAAATCATGGTTTCTTAGTCCATTTGTCTAGCACACAACTCTCTTTATATATTATGTTTTCTGCTAGTACTCAAGAAATCCTTCACCATTAAAGCAGCTGCCAGTGGGGAATCGTGTACCTAAAGTCTTTCATGTTAAGTAGTTTTGGGCTTATAGTTCCAGTATCTAGAAGAAAAGTGTGAACAGAATAGAAGGGATAAAAGAGAAAGGAAAGTCCTTGAAGCCAGGGACTAATTCAACTCCGTATCATGCAAAATTCACTGGACATCCAACGCTGTCATATATAATGTGGTCCCTTCATAAATGTTCTTGATAATAGCCTGTTAATTTTGAGTCCCAGATCTTCCGTGTAATACTAAAAAGGTCATTTCACATTTCTGAGCTTCATTTTCCTCATCTTTAAATTTGGATAACAATAATTCACCTCTCATAGGGTTGCTTGTGCTGGTTAAATGAGATAATACATGTAAAATTGTTAGGCACGTTTTGGCAAATAATATTCAATAAATGCTAGTTATGACTATTTTCACTAATACTACTAGCTACCACTATCCTTTGAAACTCACTGTACTTGAGAAACACTCAAACTGGGATTCTTCAATTAAAGGAAACCTAGTGTTTTAGTAACCAAATGTAATATATTATTTTATAAGCAAAGTTCCAGCCACTTTAGGTTGAGCCTCTTCAGCGCACTTTGGAGAGGTTATTTTCATCTGTTAACTGCCCCCATTAGAGGGTGCAGTGCACAACAGCACGCAGTGAGGCTACAGGAGAGCACATAGGCATTTTTAAGCTTAGATGGGGCATGAACAGTGAGGCGAACTTTATTCTCACTTGATGAATCTGATGAAATGTCTTCTAGACTTTTGGAAGGCATTTTCCTAGCGGCACTCCTTTCCAAAGTTTTCAAAACAGGACTGGGTTCTTCTTCTGAACCTGTTATAAAACAAAATCGATGAACACTGCACAATACCAAAAAAAAAAAAAATCCTCTAACATATGGACATAGAAATGGTAGGCTGAAAAGAGACATTATGCTATGAGTTTCTACTTTAAGAAGCACTTATTTCACAGAAGAAAATAAAATTTCTCCACTATTAATATGCTCTTAAACATAATTTTCCTGGTCAAGAAATATTTGCAAACGTAAACCCTACAAAAACAAGATTACCACATTAATAGAAATGTGATCTCTTAGTTGTTTACTCCTATTTTAGACATATGATTTGTCCTATGCCAGACATTGACTCTTCCCATTTAACATTCTAGCTTTTGAAGACAGCCATGAAATACTTCTAGGAGCATTAATAAAATTAATTCAAAACCGTGGAAGGCAGGATTCAGATGTTTAACATCTGTGTATAATTGGGTACACATATGAGTGCATTCTCCAGATCAAAGGTTGTAGACTTTCTGGGTTTCATGATCTAGTATAATTTCCAATGAAATGTTGGGAAATAACATGGGATAGTCAAATTTTTATTTTAGTAAGGCATTTTAAAGTTGCGGGAGGGAGGCCTCTATCATTTACTAATGCCGTTATTTTATAAAAGGAATGGCTGCATCATGAATAAGCTTAAGTACTGACATTTATTACTGCTGTATTCTCAGTGCCTAGAACAGTGGCTGGAAATAAACACTTCAAAATATTTGCTGAATCAATGAGTGATTCGATTAAGGAATCAATTAATTTAAGAACCACTTCTCTAGACAATAATTTCCTGAAATACATTCCAGTTCTGCCTAGTACATTCCATAGCAAATGGATTCTAAGATGAATTAGATTTGGATGTTCTCTGTTCAAATTTAAAATGTTCCTTACTGCGGACCTTCTCTGTGCATAATGGCCCAGCATTTCCAAAAGTATTTGACTACTGAACCTTTAATTTTTCCCAAAGGAGCATACTGAGGTATTGCTTAGTTAAGAGCTCAGCCGCAAGTCAAATGTGTTAGCTTGCTCCCCAAAATTACAGTACCCTTATAGTAGGTTTCTCTTCATTTTTCACCCCACCCCCACTGCAGTTTGCTTTAAAATAATAATTTAGGTTAGAGTATATAAACCTAAATTAAAAT
Source organism: Homo sapiens (assembly GCF_000001405.40). Lineage (NCBI taxonomy): Eukaryota > Metazoa > Chordata > Mammalia > Primates > Hominidae > Homo > Homo sapiens. The sequence goes on from NC_000011.10 coordinate 85,722,097, forward strand.
CATGACTATACCATTTGATACTTCTTAATTGGCTTGTTATTCTAAAATGTCTTCTCTGGGCTCTGTTTAGGTGATTTTTTTTTTTTTTTTTTTTTTTTTTGAGATGAAGTCTTGCTCTGTAGCCCAGGCTGGAGTGCAGTGGCGTGATCTCGACTCACTGCAAGCTCCGCCTCAGGGTTCACACCATTCTGCTGCCTCAGCCTCCCGAGTAGCTGGGACTACAGCCACCACCACGCCCGGCTACTTTATTGTATTTTTTAGTAGAGATGGGGTTTCACCATGTTAGCCAGGATGGTCTCGATATCCTCACCTCATGATCTGCCCGCCTTGGCCTCCCAAAGTGCTGGGATTACAGGCGTGAGCCACCGTGCCCAGCCTAGGTGATTATTTAACGCTGCCTTTTTAGATAGGCTTTTTACTATTCAGTCAGTTATGCTGGGATACACATTAGATGATAGTCTCTAACATAATTGCAAATTTGCAAGCGCTCCTTCTCCTGTGGGTCAGTTTACACTAGCAACTCATGGGCAGTTTAGTAAGAGCCTACCTCAACAAGTTTAACATGCTGGCTTTATTCTTGCCATTACATTAATTAATTATTAATTAATTAAATTTATTTACTTTAGAGATTAAATAAATTTAGAGATTTAATTAGAGATTTATAAATAAATATGTATGGTTTTAGAGATTGATATTTCAATTTCTTTCTTTTTTTTATTAACAACAAAATTTTTTAGAGGGGCTTCAACTTAACTGAATAGGATTAAAGGTGGATTCTTTGGTCAGTGTTCAAGAAGAGACCCTATAGCTACTTACAAAGGAGTCCACACCTCAAAGTAAGCCACTCAGTAAAGCTTATCTATTTTCACTGGAACGAAAAGGAGCTAAACAAATGACAAATTCTACTAAACTACAAGGAAGGCAATCAGCATCAGTTGTGCAACTTTGGTTAAAATGTCCCAGCCAAAAAACATTCTCTATCATTTCATCATTTTAATCAGGTAGCTTCTCATTCCTATTTGCTCTGGGGTTTCTCTGCTAAAATGTCCACATGTTGATTAAATAGCAAACTGAGACAAGCCCTACATTTTACAGCCTGGCCGCCAAAACCAACGCCCCCACGTTCATGTAGATGAATGTGGAGATCGACTCAGGTCATCAACTTAGCCAAGGCTGGAGCCAGAGAAATGTACCTGGCCAGGCAATGCCCTTAGGTGGCATCAGGTGAGTCATCTGGCCAAAGTCATACTCTAGAAAGGGAAGATTGTGCATATAATTGAAAATGAGAGGGAGAAAGTGGCAACAAAACACCACAGCACAAGGTATCTGAGGGAAGGAAAGTTCCGGCCTTGTATTTTGTCCCTAGCATTTAGCCACCACTGTGGTAAGATATTGCTCCCGAATGGGAAATTTGTGTCCATCTGTGGCACATCTTTGCGACAAATCTTACCAGACTTCTATAAAGGTTGCCAATTAAGGAAGAAATTCTAAATATTTCCAGGAGGAAAACTAGCTTAAATGTATTAAAGGTACTTTCCAAACCCAAAAAGTCATTTAAAAAGTATTTTTTGAAACCTAAAAGTTCTATAGGTAGATTAAAGAGAAGTCAACTCAGACTCTGAAACAGCCTTATAGGAAAGCTGTTTTACGTAATGCATTTGATTAAAAAATATAAATAATTTTTTTAATTAAGAAAGTCTCAGGAACACAGAAGTGGTAAGAAGAATTTAACATCATTTAAGAATTATGTAATGCATTTGATTAAAAAATATAAATAATTTTTTTAATTAAGAAAGTCTCAGGAACACAGAAGTGGTAAGAAGAATTTAACATCATTTAAGAATATCAAATTAATCCCAATTAAAAAAAATCATCCTTTACATCAGCATTCCATAAAGCAGACTCACTGTGAGTTAAAAAATTTTAAATGCTCACTGGAAGGATTTCTCCAGCTCTCTGCATTAGAACTGGTGTTTCCATCTGAAAAATCAGACTCAGAGAAACCTTCTTTTTCTTCCTCTTTCTCTTGTTTCATATATGGCGATGCTAGAGTCAATTCAACTTTACTTGTTTTTGTAGAGTTTTCTTTGTTCATCAGGAGAGGAATGGGTTGCCTATTTCTGGACACACTAATTGCTTCAGAAGCCTCTCCAAAGCCAGGTTCCTGAAGAGTCCCTTGTCCCCCTGCAACCCCACTTTCACTGTCCCTGTCCTCTGGGGGGGTTACAGTTTTAATGGTCCCTATTTCATGAGCCACATAAAGTTGTGGGGTTCTAGGGATCTCAACTCCACTTCTGGAACCACAAAAATCTACCAATAAATCAGTCACAAGTGCGTCTCCTCCCAACATTTTATCACATTGGTTGACTTGAGATTCCAAACCATTACTTTTATCCTTCATTTCAGAGGTCTGTGAGGCTGCCCTGTAAAAATGGGGCACTGTCCCCAAGAACCTGGTCTGCTCTGACTGTGAGGACTCCTTCTCGTGAGTTTCTTCTCTCACTGACACCTGGGGCTGATAAGGAGGAGCTTCAGTTATTTCTTTAAGAAGTTTCTCAAAACCAGCATCAAAAGCACTCTCAGTTATTAACGGAGCCTCGGCCTTTTCTACTGTTTCTTTTAATTCCTCAGGATGGCATTCAGAAGTGGCTCGCCTGGGCTCCTCTGTACTACCTATTAACTTTGATGGAGAAAGATTCCCTGTATCACTTTCATATTTTGAGGGGAAGGTTTCAGTTTCTTCCTTCAGTAGTTTTTCTAAGCCAGCACTGAATTCGAGGAACTCTGATTTGGGTTGAACAATTGTTTCCCTCACAATTTCTTCCACTTCCTGAGGGAGGCCTTTGCCATATTGAGCAACAATGGAAGCAAATGAGCTAAGCGTCTGGTCTGATGGAGACATTTGGGCAGCTAAATAAGATCCAACTTCATGAGTTTTATCAGGAACTACATTGGAGGAATAAAAATCCTTCCTGTCTGGAACTATGGTGTCCATCGTAGCCCATGGTGATATCACTCCTGGAGGATTTAGGGGGCTACATACTGGCTGTACTGCTTCAGGAAATTCTGGGTTCACTTCTCCAGGACCTACTTCCCTTCCAGCTGGATAACTTAACCATACTTCTCCACACAGCTTCTGTAATGCAGCACTTACATCATTCAATACAGGTCTGGGTGGAAGAATGACTTTCTCTACAGTCTCCGAAATTTCCGTTTGAGAAGGGTGTACCCTAGCCTGGGGAACAAGATGAGCATCCTGGGGAAAAAGCATATCTTGGGGAGGGCTGGCCACATCCCCAAAAGAACCCTTTCTGGAAAGCTGGGAAGTTGGATCCAATGGATGAGAATCTTCTGCAGCCATCTGAATCAAATTCTGTGTGCTTAGCTGGCACTCACCACTTTCAGCTTTCTTGAGGAGAGCTGTATTTCCAAAAGTTTCATCTCTCACTGGAAAAGGAGCTAGTATTTCTCTCTTATCAGCTGAAGTATTGTGACTCTGTTCTATCCCTTTTCCAAAAAATCTCCCCTCTTCCAGCTTAGAGTTGGTTCCAGTGATAACAGGCGCCAACTTGGCTTGCAAGGGAGAGGGTGAAGTTCCAGTTGCTTCCTTCAGGAGTTTGTCTAGACTAGCAGTCAAAGAGTTCCGTTTAACCTTTGGATGAACTACTGTTTTGTCAACATGCTCATTAATGATCTTCTCAGGTCCTTTGACTTCTTCCTCAGTATCAGCAAAATCTGTTTTTTGAGGCCATGTCCTATTTTCAGAAACACTTGGTTCAAGCACTTGTTTTCCATGAACTTTTCCACCAGAGGGTTGAATTGCTGGTGTTGAGGTTTCTGAAAGCAGTTTCTGCAAGCTGTCATTAAAAGTGTCTTTGCAGTCTTTAGACAAAACATTGGTTTTTATTATGGATTCTTGAATCTCTTGTTCTGAGTAATCCTTTTCTTCCTTAAACACTGGAGTAACAATCCCTTCCGTATTCTTTTCCACATTTTCCTTTGATGACTCATTTCCTGGCAACTGATAAGTATACTTTCTAAGTGGACTCAAAGGAAATGTGATTTCATCTGGTAGCACCTGGAGTATGCCCTTTGAATTTAATTTCTCCATTTCCTCTCTTGCCATAACTTTTTTTGGGCTTAGAAGCACCTCTGCTTCATGGGTATTTTTACCTGATAATTTAATGTCGCTGAATTCCTTGTGTTTCTGCCTATTAAAAGGTGCAGAATTTTTTTGGCTTGTGGTGGTAATATTCTTGTCATTATCCTTACTGTTTGAATTAGCTTCTAAGTCCCAAAACTTTCTCAAATTCTCAAACTGAGAGGGATTATAGACCTGTTCTGCATTGGGTTCATCCATTCTTTCTTTTAGGGACATAACTTTAAAGTTGGCATTTGATTCACGAACTAGAGGTCTGTCTTTCTCCAATGGAGCATGTCGTTCACTCCCGACATTTGAGGGAGGTTGCAGTGCTGGTAAAGTAATGTTTCTTCTAGAAGGCAAACTGTCTGCCACTTGTGATCTTTTTATAGGCTCATTTTTCTTATTCTGAAACAGAGACACTTTATCTGATTGCTCAGCTGAAAGATAGTATCTGGATGGACCTGCTATTTGTGGCTTGGTCTCTTTAGATTTATTTGAGGAATAAGAATTGGAGAGCTGGGATGCTTGATCATCCTCATCTAAGACCACTCGTTTGGGAATGGCCTGATTATATTCACTCTGGTCTGTAGATAAACTGTCCATGGATGATACACCCTGTGACTTCTTCACAGGCTGATATGCTTTAGCAGAAGGTTGTTCCTGGCTACATGAAGATGTGGGTTTTTCATGAGTTATCTTAGCACCAGCTTTCTCTCCTTCCCAAAAGGATATTCTGTCACTCACTCTTTTGTATTTCTCTCTCTGCACTTGGTTCTTGGGAACCTCACCAGCTTCTTGCTGGAATTGGACCTCAGGCTTCTTCCAAGGAGAGCCATTGTTGGCAACCCCAGGTGTTGACTTAATATTCTCTGGCTCTAAGGAGGCTTTCAGGATATAGGTATTTCCTACTTTGCTCTTTCTCTCTGCATTCATGTTATCTTTCAAACCTGGTTCTTTGACAACTGTTGAAGAGTCAAAATTCACTTCTGAGTGTCCTCTATTTTCTTCATGAGCATGAAACTTGGGTTCTTCTTCACCCAAGTTGCCAATATTATTAGTGTTGCATGGAACTTGGTTTTCTGCATCAGATTCCTTGAGAACACTGTAGGAATAGTTACTATTTGAAGGAGATGCCCCATTCCCTTTTCCTGGGCTTTTTGAATCTTGGCTATAGTCCATATTTTTACTCCCTTGACTTGGGGTGCCATAGCTTTCAAATGGTTGCAATATACCTGGGCCTTCCTTTGGGGTGCCTTTTTGGGACAAATTCATGAATTTGGATTTGATATTCACATTATTATCTTGGCAACTTTCAGAAACCAGCATATCTCCCTCTGCTTGGAATGGTGAGTCAGATCTCACAGGCTTCAATTCAATTTTGCTGGGTGATAGGGTCTTTGAGCCATTTTCTCTTAAAGTAGTGTCATCTGTCACCAAGTCAACAGCAACCTGTGATTTTGAGTCTGTTTTTTCTTTGGACTCTATTCCTCGGGGATGTTGGAGGAATGACTTATTGTCATCTGAATAAGAACTTCGGTTAAACCAGTCTAGAACTTTAAATATGGAATCATCAGTTGACTTCTTTATCTCAGTGGCATATGGACCAGAACGTGAAGATGTCTTAGCTTTTAGAGCCGGGAGAGGAGGGGGCTTACCTTGCTGACGGTCTCTAGAACTGCCACCTGGCACCTGAGATGGCTCAGGCTCAACACAATGAGACAGTTCATCTGCAACATAGAAATACTTTTCTAAATAAGAAAAGAGCATGCTTAAAGAACTGTTAATCATTCACATCATCATCTTTATAAAAGCACTTTGTATTTGCACTTTCTATACCAATAGCTGTTTATACCAGCATTTTTCAGGGGTTAAAATGTAAGTTGTCCTAATTAAGGTATTCTACCAAAGGTGCCCTATGACAGTAAAGGAAAGGAAATGTAGAGACCTGGAAGTACATGGTATAGACCTAACCGAAAAATTTCTTTGTAGTTCCTTCTTTATTTTAAAAATACATGTGAATTTTGCATTCTGTTTCATGTTACATTTTATTTTATTATTTTTTTTGAGATGGAGTCTCGCTCTGTTGCCTAGGCCAGAGTGCAGTGGCGGGATCTCGGCTCACTGCAACCTCCGCCTCCCAGGTTCAAGCGATTCTTCTGCTTCAGCCTCCCAAATAGCTGGGATTACAGCCATGCACCACCACGCTCAGCTAATTTTTGTATTTTTAGTAGAGACGGGGTTTCACCATATTGGCCAGGCTGGTCTCGAACTCCTGACCTCATGATCCACTCACCTCAGCCTCCGAAAGTGCTGGGATTACAGTCATGAGCCACCACACCCAGCTCCATGTTACATTTTAAATGTTAATTTTCTCTTACTTTTAAATCTTTGTATAAAACTGACACTCCAGGAAGATATGCCATGCCGATTTTATGACTTCACCCATCCCCTGGCACATATCATAAACCCTAGAGGGGGCTTAAACCCAGGTTTGAGAAGCACAGACTTAAGTGATTTCAGGAGTTAGAAAAATAACTTTCAAATAAGACTAAACAAGGAATTTTATCCACAATATTTAAATGGGAAAATGAGGATATTTCCATTCCTGGGCCTTACTATTGATGTATTGAATGAGAAGAATTTCTGAAGATTGGGCACAGTAATCTTTACTAACAGCTATTCTAGTGATTGTTCTGCATACTGGGGTTTAAGAACCGTGTTTTCAATCCAACAAAGATCAAAAAGACAAAGAAGGGCATTACATAATGGTAAAGGGATCAATGCAACAAGAAGAGCTAGCTATCCTAAATATATATGCACCCAATACAGGAGCACCCAGATTCATAAAGCAAGTTCTTAGAAACCTACAAAGAGACTTAGACTCCCACACAGTAATAGTGGGAGACTTTAACACCCCACTGTCAATATTACACAGATCAACGATACAGAAAATTAACAAGGATATTCAGGATTTGAACTAAGCTCTGGACCAAGTGGACCTAAAAGACATCTACAGAACTCTCCACCCCAAATCAACAGAATACACGTTCTTCTCAGCACCACATCGCACTTATTCTAAAATTGACCACATAATTGGAAGTAAAACACTCCTCAGCAAATGCAAAAGAATAGAAATAATAACAAACGGTCTCTCAGACCACAGTGCAATCAAATTAGAACTCAGGATTAAGAAACTCACTCAAAACTGCACAACTATATGGAAACTGAACAACTTGCTCCTGAGTGACTACTGGGTAAATAACGAAATAAAGGCAGAAATAAATAAGTTCTTTGAAACCAATGAGAATAAAGACACAGCATTCCAGAATCTCTGGGACACAGCTAAACCAGTGTTTAGAGGGAAATTTATAGCACTAAATGCCCACAGGAGAAAGTGGGAAAGATCTAAAATCAACACCCTAACATCACAATTAGAAAAACTGGAAAAGCAAGAGCAAACAAATTCAAAAGCTAGCAGAAGACAAGAAATAACTAAAATCAGAGCAGAACTGAAGGAGATAGTGACACAAAAAACCCTTCAAAAAATCAATGAATCCAGGAGCAGGTTCAGGTTTTTTGAAAAGATCAATAAAATAGATAGACCATTAGCCAGACTAATAAGAAAAGACAGAAGAATCAAATAGACACAATAAAAAATGATAAAGGGGATATCACCACTGATCCCACAGAAATACAAACCACCATCAGAGAATACTATAAACACTTCTATGCAAACAAACTAGAAAATCTAGAAGAAATGGATAAATTCCTGGACACACACACCCTCCCAAGACTAAACCAGGAAGACGTTGAATCCCTGAATAGACCAATAACAAGTTCAGAAATGGAGGCAGCAATTAATAGCCTAGCAACCAAAAAAAGTCCAGGACCAGATGGATTCACAGCCGAATTCTACCGGAGGTACAAAGAGGAGCTGGTACCATTCGTTCTGAAACTATCCCAAACAACAGAAAAAGAGGGACTCCTCCCTAACTCATTTTGTGGGGCCAACATCAACCTGATACCAAACCCTGGCAGAGACAACACAAGAAAAGAAAATTTCAGACCAATATCCCTGATGAACATTGATACCAACATTCTCAATAAAATACTGGCAAACAGAATCCAGCAGCACATCAAAAAGCTTATCGACTATGATCAAGTCAGCTTCATCCCTGGGATGAAAGGCTGGTGCAACATATGCAAATCAATAAACGTAATCCATCACGTAAACAGAACCAATGACAAAAACCACATGATTATCTCAATAGATGCAGAAAAGGCCTTCGAAAAAATTCAACAGCCCTTCTTGCTAAAAACCCTCAATAAACTAGGTATTGATGGAACGTATCTCAAAATAATAAAAGCTATTTATAACAAACCCACAGCCAATATCATACTGAATGGGCAAAAGCTGGAAGCATTCTCTTTGAAAACTGGCACAAGACAAGGATGCCCTCTCTCACCACTCCTATTCAACATAGTATTGGAAGTTCTGGCTAGGACAATCAGGCAAGAGAAAAAAAAAAATGGTATTCAAATAGGAAGAGAGGAGGTCAAATTGTCTCTTTTTGCAGATGACATGATTGTATATTTAGAAAACCTCATCGTCTCAGCCCAAAATCTCCTTAAGCTGATAAGCAACTTCAGCAAAGTCTCAGGATACAAAATCAATGTGCAAAAATCACAAGCATTCCTATACACCAATAATAAAGAGCCAAATCATGAGTGAACTCCCATTCACAATTGCTACAAAGAGAACAAAATACCTAGGAATCCAGTTTACAAGGGATGTGAAGGATCTCTTCAAGGAGAACTACAAACCACTGCTCAAGGAAATAAGAGAGGACACAAACAAATGGAAAAACATTCCATGCTCATGGATAGGAAGAATCAGTATCATGAAAATGGCCATACTGACCAAAGTAATTTATAGATTCAATGCTATCCCCACAGAGCTACCATTGACTCTCATCACAGAATTAGAAAAAAGTTTAAATTTCATGTGGAACCAAAAAAGAGGTTGCATAGCCAACACGTTCCTAAGCAAAAAGAACAAAGCTGGAGGCATCACGCTACCTGACTTCAAACTATACTACAAGGCTACCATAACCAAAACTGCATGGTACTGGTACCAAAACAGATATATAGACCAATGGGACAGAACAGAGGCCTCAGAAATAATGCCACATATCTACAACCATCTGATCTTTGCCAAAACTGACAAAAACAAGCAATGGGGAAAGGATTCCCTATTTAATAAATGGTGTTGGGAAAACTGGCTAGCCATACGCAGAAAACTGAAACTGGACCCCTTCCTTACACCTTATACAAAAATTAACTCAACTAGATTAAAGACTTAAATGTAAGCCCTAAAACCATAAAAACCCTAGAAGAAAACCTAGGCAATACCACTCAGGACATAGGCATGGGCAAAGACTTCATGACTAAAACACCAAAAGCAATGGCAACAAAAGTCAAAATTGACAAACGGGATCTAATTAAACTAAAGAGCTTCTTCATAGCAAAAGAATCTATCATCAGAGTGAAGAGGCAACCTACAGAATGGGAGAAAATTTTTGCAATCTATCCATCTGACAAAGGGCTAATATACAGAATCTACAAGGAACTTAAATTTACAAGAAAATTTACAAATTTACAAGAAAAAACAACCCCATTAAAAAGTGGGTGAAGGATATGAACAGACACTTCTCAAAAGAAGATATTTATGCAGCCAACAAACATGATAAAAAGCTCATTATCACTGGTCATTAGAGAAATGCAAATCAAAACCACAATGAGATACCATCTCACTCCAGTTAGAATGGTGATCATTAAAAAGTCAGGAAACAACCGATGCTGGAGAGGATGTGGAGAAATAGGAACGCTTTTACACTGTTGGTGGGAGTGTAAATGAGTTCAACTGTTGTGAAGACAGTGTGGTGATTCCTCAAGGATCTAGAACCAGAAATACCATTTGACCCAGCAATCCCATTACTGGGTATATATCTAAAGTATTATAAATCATTCTACTACAAAGACACATGCACACGTGTGTTTACTGCAGCACTGTTCACAACAGCAGAAACTTGGAACCAACCCAAATGCCCATCAATGATAGACTGGAAAAAGAAAATGTGGCACATATACAGCATGGAATACTATGCCACCACAAAAAAGGATGAGTTCATGTCCTCTGCAGGGACATGGATGAAGCTGGAAACCATCATTCTCAGCAAACTATCACAAGATCAGAAAACCAACCACCGCATGTTCTCACCCATAAGTGGGAGTTCAACAATGAGAACACACGGAAAACAAGGAGGGAAACATCACACACCAGGGCCTGTTGGGGTGGGCAGGGGGTGGGGAGGGACTGCATTAGGAGAAATACCTAATGTAGGTGACAGGTTGATGGGTGCAGCAAACCACCATGGCATGTGTATACCTATGTAACAAACCTGCACGTTCTTCACATGTATCCCAGAACTTAAAGTATATATTTAAAAAAAATTTTTTTTAAAAAAGCAAACTTGATTGTTGCTATTGTGAATTATCCTGACTATAAAGAAACTATCATAGGGTTCGATGCAGGCTTACTGAAGATGGCAGAGGGTACACAGCATGTTTTTTTCTATTGTTTCTGTTTTTTTAAAAAACATAAGAAATTATGATTATAAAACATTATGATTACTTCATGATCATATAGGTATAAAAGTAGTTTCAGGCATCCCCTGAGAGTGGTAAGACCTTCAAGACAAGGCTAGTTAGCAGGGAAAAGCAGTACCCTCATTGCCTCTCAACTCACACAAGCTGAAGGAGAAAGTGCCTTCAGGGCTTTTAAAGCCTAAGAACAAATGGCTGGAGGCCTGAGCAGGCCAAAGTCTGAGGCTTTTGCATAGTAAGGCCTCAAAGTCTAGTTTCCCATCCTTTGACACTAAGAAAGTGAAGGTTCTCTTGAGATTACAAGAGAAACCAAAGTCTGGTAAAATTGTAATTAATAAATTTGCATTAGGTGAGTAATAATACATTTACCCTGTACAAAGGTATTAGCTAATGAAAGGAAGTCTTTCTTACTCTATTCCACCTTGATTTAACTAAAAACATTGTCATTTGTTTAAATAGTTGATATGGTTATATATATTTTAGGGTAAAGCATAATGGGCCAGAAACTGTGCTATCCTGGTACTTTTAGTTATTGGTGATTGAGGAAAATCTCCAAGCCCATTAAGAGGTATAAACATTTCCAGTGGCATCTGTCTGAATTGTAGATGGAATGCCTAGAAGGTTAAATTGGGCTTCTACAGGACTAGCTGGCCTGGGCATTTCAAGCCCACCAAGTTTTTTTTTTTTGTTTTTTTTTTTTTTTTGAGACGGAGTCTCGCTCTGTCGCCCAGGCCGGACTGCGGACTGCAGTGGCGCAATCTCGGCTCACTGCAAGCTCCGCTTCCCGGGTTCACGCCATTCTCCTGCCTCAGCCTCCCGAGTAGCTGGGACTACAGGCGCCCGCCACCGCGCCCGGCTAATTTTTTGTATTTTTAGTAGAGACGGGGTTTCACCTTGTTAGCCAGGATGGTCTCGATCTCCTGACCTCATGATCCACCCGCCTCGGCCTCCCAAAGTGCTGGGATTACAGGCGTGAGCCACCGCGCCCGGCCCCACCAAGTTTTTATAATCTAGTAGTGACAACTCTCTTACCAGCAGGGCTTCTGGGTAATACAGATTCAAGCCTTGTTAATTCTGATGATTTATCTTTGGGTTCATTGATGGTTGGTGAATTCTCCATAGACTGTGGTCTTGCAGTTAAAACTTCTGAATGAGAATGCAGCCCATTAATTGGAAAAGAACCAGAAGTCATTGGCTGATGTGTTTCACTTTTTGATACATATGGGCTTGAGGTTGATTGATGAAAAAGCGAAGGCTTTCTGTATTGAGAAGGCTTAGGGTCACTCTGAAACTCTTCTGTGTCCCCTGCATCTTCCATTCCATTTTTCAATCTGTCAGATTCTAAAACACTAAATTCTCCTACTTCCCGACCATGGATTAGCCCAGGACTCTGTGGAAGCTCATCCTTCACTGCAGAGAATCTCACATGCTTTAATGGCTCCAGGGAGTTTGGGGAAGAGTTGTCTTCTAAAGAATGCTCCTTCTCAGAAATTCTCTCATGGATGGTTAGGCCAGGTGACACAATTTTGCTTTTGGGTTCAAAGTTGTGATTATAACGAAGGGTTTCTGAGTCTGTGCTACTGGAACTGGAGTTGCGCTTGAGGATCCCTCTCGGAGCCCCTCTCGCTTTCAGGGAGTCTGTCCTTTGTCTAGGAAAAGACTGGTTATCATCTTTGTTTAAATCAGTTGATTTGTAGATCATCTTCCTGGCTTTGGGGATTGGAGCCTTGATTTGGGACCCATTTGAAAGGCCTGGCAAAGTCTGCTTTGATTTCTCTAACTTTTGGATTGAAGTATCTGCGACAGTTGACTTTTCTTTTGACTCTGACAATTCATCTGAAAATTAAAACACAGTAGGTGATATATCATATAGAGAGTAATATATAATTTAAAATACCTGTCATAAACTTAACCTACACTTAGTGAAACTATTAAAATATTAAAGACAGTAAAGTATGTGGCACAACTACAGGCCTAATGTGAAAAGCTTTTAAAAATTCATGCATTGGAGCACAGAGGACTTTTAGGGCACTGGAACTACTCTATGACACTACAATGGTGGCCGCACACTATTATACTTTTGTCTAAACCCATAGAATGTACACCATGAAGAGTGAACCCTGATGTAAACGATGTACTTTGGGTGATAGTGATGTCTCAATGTGGTTCATCACGTGTAACAAATGTACCATTCTCATGAGGAATGTTGATAATGAGGGAGGCTATGCCTGTGTGGGGAGAGGGTGTATATGGAAAACGTCTGTATCTTTTGCTCAATATTGTGAACCTAAAACTGCTCTAAAAAATAACGTCTATTCGAAAAATCATGTATAAACTTCATTGCACTGTACATTTAAGATTACTGTGCTTTATATAGTTTGTGATTATTTTACACCCAATACAGAAAGTTTTTTTAAGAATGAAAAGAAAATTTCTCAAAAGAGGCTTAAAGAAAAACATAGAAGTCACTTAAATTCACCTGCAGAAATCAGAAAAGGAAATTCAGTTTAAAAAAATAAAACCCCATTACCTAACACAAAATTTATTTTTGTCAGAAAGTTAAAAACAGGCCAAGCGCAGTGGCTCACACCTGTAATCCCAGCACTTTGGGAAGCCGAGGTGGGTGGATCACTTGAGTCCAGGAGTTTGAGACCAGCCTGGCCAAAAGGGTGAAACCTCATTTCTACTAAAAATACAAAAATTAGGCGGGTGTGGTAGAGCACGCCTGTAGTCCCAGCTACTCAGAAGGCTGAGGCACTAGAAGCCCCGGAACCCGGGAGGCGAAGGGTGCAGTGAGCCGAGATTGCACCACTGCACTCCAGCCTGGGCAATAGAGTGGGACTCCATGGCCAAAAAAAAAAAAGAAAAGTTAAAAACAAACATCTAACATGTTCCAGTGATTTTCTTCTACAAAATATTTTATGTAATCTAAAACGTGCCCAGTGGAAAGTATTTTAATATTCAGACAGGCTAATTGAAAACCCCAGCTCCACTGTTTTTTAATTTTCTACCCCTAACCACTCTTTAATGCTTGTGGAATCTTCTTCAAGTTGCTTTTGAAGAGATTGAAATGTTTAGCATTTCCTCTTAACAGTATATAAAAATGATAAAATTCCATAGCAGGCTGACTTACATCAATTGAGCCACAAACCTGATCAAACGCTTTTGGGCGGCTGGGCTGAGAATTACAGATTAGAGGATCATAACATTGTCAACAGGCTTTTTCTTCTTGAGGCAAGCCCTTTTAAACAGAACTTTGTGAACACACAGTAGGCATCTAATAAATACTGTTAAGTGGAAGACTGAATGTCTTGGGTCAAAAAATCTCCCAATTTACTGATGAGGGAATCCAAGACACAATGGAAGTCACGTAACAAGTCACAGCTCTGAGACTGGAATGCGTGAGCTATCAGTTTCTCAAATTTCTGCTTCCTCTCCCTCAGGAAGGAAACCAACAAGCACCGTAAAATAAGAAAACCATCAGGACTTTTCACTTTCTCTTGGAAGTTATTTGAGCAAAAGGAACTCTGAGAATTTCCCTTAGTCCACAGATAACAAAGATAAAAAAATCAAGTTCATAAAAATAATATTTACCCTCTTTTGAAGTCTGAAATAAACCAGTTCTTCCATTTTTTGACTGTTCATTTTTAGTTTGTTGTGATGAGTGACCTTCTGGCAACTTGGAGCTATTAAACGGATTCTTCCTCTGCTGGGGACAAATATTGTTTATTAAACTTATTTTAAATGTCATGACAGCAACTCAGTGTTGGCAAATGCCTATTATCTTCAATTTTGATAGTTTTATCCCATAAACTCCATTATTTGGCATGTTTGAAAAACAGTTGTCCTGATTAATCTGCTTAGCACAGAGTTACCATATATGCCATTTAAAAATTATATAAAATATATGCAAAGCCAGAGTCCTACAAAGTTAGCTCAGAATCAGACACTTAAATCAAAATCCCACATTTTACAGGTGAAAAAACTTGGCCCCGGATATAGCAAAGACCAGATCAAGGTCAAAGGAAACTTGGGTCTCTAATCAGGTCAGAGTCCCACCAGTGATTCTTCTACCATACCAGACTCTCAGTGTGCTAGATCACAAGTGTACAAAATACAACTGTAATTGACCTTTCCTAAAGATTTTGGAGACATTTTAGGTATCTTGAAGTGCTTCATAGTCATTATTATTATCATCAATTCTAATGATAAAAATGGTATCAATAGAGGTTTTAAAAATTAATATAGGAATCAATAACAATGTTTACTGTCTATAGTTTAATAAATTAGCAATTCTCTCCCAGAAGCAGATCTCTAACAGAGATTTAGGAAGCTATGCATAGGAATATAGGAATAAGGACTGACATGGAACTAACAAGCCTTATTCCATATGCTAAAAAGCAGCAGCACCAAATAGCTTCAGACTTTTTACCCTCTAGGGCAAGAAATCTGGGTCTTCAGCAATGCAATGACATGGTATCCATCCACTTTTTCCACCATGAGAGTGACTTCTTAAACTAGTGACTTCTTAAAATAGTGAAAATTACCTGTATTTGGTACCAAAAAACTGTACTACAAAATTCTCTTTATTTTGTGGTGCTTTGACACAATGAGGAAAAATGGCATTCCTAACAAATACAAGATTTTCAAAATCTGGGCTCAGTCTACCTTCTCTGGAGACACATTTGGTTTCCTTGTGTTTTCCTGGGACATATCAATCACACTGGAAGCTGGATTTACCACACTGGAACTGCAAAAGAAACAATAATTCAGAGAATAAAACCTCACCTTTTGAGGAATCATAAATTATGCCTCTGAAGTGGAAAGCTATCAGCAGGCTAGGAGAGGAAGCTGGTGCAGAAGAATAAGAAGGATTCTCTAGAGAATTATTCCCTATCCCAGGGACAGGACAGCACCAGAGTGAGAGTAAGGCAAGAGTGAGTGGAGACAAGTGAAGTGAGCAGGCTCCCTCCAGAACCACCACACCCTTGACTGTTGATTGAGAAGGGCAAAAGAGGGTCACGGAGGCCCTGGGTGGGGAGAGGAACAACCTGCTCAGACTTCCTGTTCCAGTGGTCTTGCCTCAGGCACAGGAGGTGAAGTTGCTATTGGCTGAAGCCTTCGTGTCCTGTTACCACCACCAGTTCTCTCAGTGGCATCACAGAGTCAGGAGCTTGGAAAACACCTTAGTTTGTGGAGGTAGGGGTAAGATTCCTGCTTTTCCCCATGAAGTAAGGAACCAAAGGCCTGGAGAGGAGGGGAATAATTTGCCCCCAAGGCCACAGAACCTCAACCAAGATTGTTGTCACTAAAACCATGGGCTAGATGTTCCTGCAGCCTCATTTCTTTTCTTTATCTCTGTACTTCAATTGCTATTTTTACACAATTACTCCCAAGAAAAGGCTGAGCTCTTGAAGAAGCCATTCTTCCTTTCATTACTTCCTTTCATTGTTCCAGAAAGGCATTATAGCAGATGAGCAGAAGGATATAAAATACAGCCTGATTACATAGAGGCGAGAAAGGGGGAAAATAGAGGATGGGAGGGAAAGGGGAGGGAACAGAATAGGAATGTATAATGGAGCCCGAATTAAGACTAATAGACACATTACAGGAGTCCTCCATTCCTGTAATAGGTGTGCACAAACTTGAATCAAGCTATCTAGAAACAGTGAAAAAAGAAACCTAGTCACTGATATAATTCAGTCTCTATATAATAAAAACAACCAATAGCTCAGAACCAGAAAGCAATTTCTCTTGAATGTCATTTTTAGAAGCCAGTGGGTGATATGAGGAACAACATCCCTATAGTCGATGCTATGCTCAGTTTCTCAGAGTGTTCTGCATAATCTTCCTTAGTAAATAAAGCAGTTACATAATCAGAAGACCTGAGCCAAGTGCTGATGGTTGGGGGTCTCTGTGGAACACCTGTCTTTTTCCACCATCTTTCTCCTTTCCCCTTCCCACTCACCAAGCCCAAAGGATAAGCAGAGTGTCTATATCCTTCTCCCTCTGCTCCCTGAAATTCCAGTTCCTGTGCCTCCAGGCCGCCAGCCTCAACAGCCCATATTGCAAATCATGTAGTCCCTACCTCCTAGAGATGAGGTCTCTCCCTTACTGAGCTGTACCTAGCTATGTATTTCATGTCTACTATGCAACCTCCTCTGTGTATACATATCTTACCTCGCATAGTAAAGTGGGAGATCCCTCAAGAGTATCTCAAACATCTTTATATCCCCTGCAGTGCCTTGCACAGTGCCTGGTACATAACTGGTGAATGGCTAAATAAACGAAGGCCAATTGAGCCAGTGCCAGGAGAAGCAGCAACAGATAGTAAGCAGGAGGCTGGCTTTTTTTTTTTTTTTTTTTTAATCCATGTTATTTGCAAAACTGCAGTGAGGCAGACTATTCAGGTATTAAACAAAATGTCTGTTTCCGCTATTCGGAAAGAAAAAGAGAGGAAGAAACAAAACAGTCAGAACACATAGTCAGACACTAAAATATTAGAAACACACAGGATTCATTCAGTTACCTTGTGGTTGGGATAGGGGCAAACTGGGATGAGGGGGGATACTCAGTTAAAGTTTACAGTCTGCTTAATAGGAAAAAATTAAAACAAGAGTCTTATTTCCTCAAATTTTGTCTGAAAATGCAGCTACTTCCTAGTAGCTTTGTTTCTCTCAAGGGATACTATAATGTTTTGCTTGTCTGTCTTTTATTGGGCAATCAGTACTGCAACCACCTTATTCTCAATTGATCCTTGCATCATCTCTATGTTATCTATCATTTTATCTATCATTCTCTCCATCTCACTTATGAAAAAACTGAGGTTCACAGAGGTTAAGTCACCTGCTTGATGTTACAAAATTGGCAAAAGAGCTGGGGATTTGAACCCAGGTGTGTCTGACTCCAAAGACAATCATGGTAATGGCTAGGCTATACTGCCTCTGGTTTCTTGCATTAAAGCAGTGGCTTGTGGCAAGAGGACTGGAGGCAAGTCTGGGTGATTCTTCCCTCCCAGAGACTCCCACATCTGTCTCTTCTACCTCTACTGACACCTCCTTTATTTGTGTCAACTCTATTGGCCTCACATTTGGCTTCCTGACTCCCAAGTTCCACTCTCCTAAACCATTCTACGTTCTACCACTACGCTGGAGTGGTCCAAAATGCAACTTTGGTGGTGTCTTTCTTCTGTTCATTACCTTTGCAGGATCCTCAAGGCCTGTGGAATGAAGTCTGAACTCCTTGGCAAGGTACTGGAGACCATCCACCATCTGCCCCAATATACTTCCCATTCTTCCTTTCTATTGACCTTTCATGCCAAACAAAATGGTCAATCTACTTACTGCCCCAGAAACTCACCTGACTCTGCTATTTCCACTTAACCTATTCCCAGTCCCTCCTTGTAAGTGTTCTTTTTGCTTTCTTTGTCTACCCAAATCGTCCCTATCCTCTTCATGCCCAGTCCAAATCTCACCTCTTATATCAACCTGGCTAGGAGTATGTCTCTCTTGCCTCAATTATTGCAGCACATTTTATTGGTACTTTGGATTAGGAATTTCCTTTCTTCCTGGCACTATTTGCTATCATGTGGTCATATCTTCATAAATCGGTGCATTATTTTTCCTAAGAGAATACAGAATAGAGCCAGATACTGTGTCTTCTGTTTCTTAGAATTCCTCTCAGAGGGTAGCAGACTGTGTCCTGAATATAAAAGATACTCCATACATTCCACATGATAAGATTTTTAAACTATGAAGCAAGCCAAATTCCATACCCTGTGTTCTGTAACCTTCCCTCAGGCACTCTTCAAAAAAGGAACTGCAACATTAGAAGCAGCACTCAGACAGAATTAGTTTACTTTGTTAAGAAGATTATTAAAATATTAGACTATGGTATTGGCATCAGGGTGCCCCTCCTAAAAGCATCTTCATTTTAATACAAGTCTTTGAAATCTTAAATAAAAAGAATAAATAACATCAGGAAGGGCCACTGGGGGAAGAGGTTTTACAGCCGTTTTAAAATTATACCACACAGGCAGCTGCCTGCTATACCCAGCCACAAGGTGCTTCTATGCACATGCAGTCATTTAAAAAAGGTTTTTAACGTTCACCAGCCTTTCTCTCTACAACAGTTAAAAATAGTAGCAGATATGCCTTTTTCTGAGGTTTTTTTTTTTTTCTTAGCTTAAATGTTGTTTATAGAACCAAATTCTACAAGTGTTGTTGACTTGTTTTTTGTTGTTTTGATCTCTCCCTTTGTACTGTGACTTCCTTGGGGGCTCAAGCTGTGTCTCATCCCCAGCACCCAGAACTGTGCTGGCATGTGTTGGCACTTAATGAAGCATGAACAAATGAGCAAACAAATGAAGAAACGGCTCAGGGATGGAGTGAGGGAAGCAAATTAGAAAATATCTTATCTGAAGCACCTCAAGTCAGTATTTCTTTAAGTAAAATATTACTTGTGAGTATACATAGTTCTCCAGTGTTCCCACTGTTCAGGCTACAGAGTTGTTGAACATGCATATAAAAGTATGAGGCATTTTTATGTCACAGTGAAACTATTCTTACTACAACTGATATGAGTAAATCTGAGCTCTTATAGAATTAAGAATTATTATTTTAAGAGTTCAATATAAATGACTTTGTAGGCCAGGCCTCCAAGAAATGAAATCTTCACATTACTAGATTTGCTATCAATCCTGGGAAAAAATATCAGATGCATTATCTCAGATTGGCTCATCTCTACCCTGCCTTTGGGAGCAAGCTAGGTACCTTACACTCATCTTAATACTAGGGGTAAACGCAATAGCTAATCCTTCTGGGAGAGGGAAATTAATATCTACGAAAGACTTTCAGGAAAAAGAGCATTGTGGGGGAAAACTAAGAGCTAAAGATGTGGCTTTAATTGATTGGTTCCTATTCAACAGACGGTAAGAAGGAGACTGGTGTCAGAAGCATCCCTAAGGCACAGGCAATGAAGCACAAAGACTTACCAAATAGTGTTTTAATTCTACCAAAAACAAAGTTAGGTGTAAATGCACAGTTTTTCTTGCAAGGAAATTTATCATTTTCTTGCGATTTTACAGGTAAGTGCCCAGAAGAAAACCTGCCAATGCCATGGACTGAAATACAACAGTGAAGGGTTGATCTTGTTCTCCCTGAACTCATTTGGGAGACATTCTCTAGAGATGTTTGATTACTAGCCATTACAAACCTCTGCAGCAGCCAAGCCTCCTTACAAGCCAAGGACAGGGCATGGCCACGCAGAGGTTTATTGGCTACCTCCTGCAGTCTAGTTCTCCATCTTGAATGCTCTTCTCTCATAGCTATGCAAATCTGAGAGGGCCCTCAAATTCTCCTCTATTTTTCTATAATTGCCAGGGCTTATGGGGACACTTCTGAAGTGACAGCTTCTTAGTAAAACCAGAACAGACCTAATTTGATAGTCAGGAAACATTATACCTCATTTACGGACAGGGTCCTGACCTTCATGGGATGAGTCTTCATTCTGTACTCCCCACCTTGGCTCAGCCATGTCCTGTGGATTACTGTGTACATATTCAAGAGTTATTTTCTGTTGTGGGGGGCACACAATGTGCTATCAGCATATGGTTCATGGACCAGTGCCCATCCATGCACTGTTTGCCACTGGTTCACAATGAGATAAGTACAGAAACGGAGGCTATGTGCTGAAGAACTATTTATAGCAAACATGATCGACGGGCTTATCTTTTGCATGCCACTGTTGTTTTCTGTATTTTATTTTTCTAGTATTTATTTTCATTATATTTTACATAAGATATCAATCTGTGATGATTAGAAATAAAAACTTTAAAATGAAACAAAACTAGTCCTTCACTACAAAGGGTTTATGAAGTGCTGGTCCAACCAACACTGCCCACCTGAAAAGTCTGTAACCAGAACTAGAAATGTGAGCATTCAGGGTTTTCCTTTTGCTACTCCAGAACAAGCCTTATTTTCTTCTCCTCTGCTCATAAACCTCTCTGCTTCCTTGTACTCCAGGTGCAAACAAAGGTGAGTTAAGAAAGAATGCAGTCAGCTGCCAATGCTTGACTACATGCTGGGTACCCACAGTGTTTTACTTCTTCATGTGTGGAACCCCACAGAATCGTGCCCACAACAGAAAGAAAGATGTTGCCACAGAGCCTATTAGCAAAACTCCAGAAACTACAATAACCAGCCTATCACCTTACACTCCCCAACTTCTGACTCCTGGCTAAGGAAATACTGACAGGTATTGAGTCATTCTATTAAAGTTCACTTAGTCTAAAAGTACAGGCCCCAAAATACACTTAACACACCCAGTTCACAAAGGTTAAAGTATAGGTAAGAAACATTGCAGGAACTTGATACTGAGTAAGGTAGTAGTTTCTAATATAGAAAGAAGGAAGTAAAAAATAGCTCATTCTAACTTTCTGGATAATTACCACCCATGGCATGTGTTATAGGACTGGCCTTTAATGAGCAAAGCATCCTGGATACGCCTAACATCTTTATTCTTGCCTTCTCAAACATACTTCATCCATGTAATAATAACAATTTTCATGCCACCGGAAAATGGCCAATTTTCTTTCTTCCTGAGAAATGCTGACTGATTCTCATACCTTGTTTCATTTAATCTCACAATGTCCTGGTGAGGAAATTCTGTTCTGATTTACAGATGAGACCTGAAAGACTTGCCTGAAGTCACACAAGGAATGCAGAAAATAACGGAGATGCTAATCTTGAATACTATGTTATTAGCCTCAAGTTGAGGAAGAGTGGGAGAATACCCACCAGCCCCACGGTTCATGAAGAAAAAGTTAGGCTATGAGGACAGTGGCACCTCTGACCCTCAGGCCCACTGAGATAGAATAAGTTCCTGGAAGAAGGATGGAAAGTCTGACCCAGATAAAATGGGGCAATGAGCTATTTGTCTCTGATGCTCCCAAATCATCTCCTTTCCCCTTCTGTGGCACCTGCTCCCTCCTCCCTCAGCTGGTCAGTGTTCTAGTGCTCCCCAGTCCCCATCAAAGCCAGCTCTTAAGAGCTTCTCTCAGCTTCTTGGTGGTAAATATAAATAACTATGTTCTCTCTCTTTGTGTTTCTTTAACATGACAATATTTTAGGTCTCATCTTTCTTTATGAAGGAAGGCCTTCATTCCATTAGAGAGATTATAGGCAGGTGGCAAGTGGGGAGTCACCCAGGGGGACAGAATAGTGTGTCCTTCACACTCCTTCCTGGTGTTCCTGAAATATCTTATATGTAGGCAAGAGCTCATGCTTCCATTTCTTGAGCACTTACTACGTGCTAATGGGCTGCACTGGGAATTCTATATTCACTGGCTAATTAACTTCTCAGTAATTCTGCTAGCAAACTATTAATATTATTGTTCCCATTTTAAAACTGAGGAAATAAAAGTCCAAGGAGTTAAGTCAGTACTACTGTAAGGTCACATTATCAATTAGTGACTACTATTAAGGTGTTTTATCCCCAGCAAAGATGGCCTCTACAGATATAAAAGAATATTACAAATAGTCCCAGAGGGGAAACAGTGCAGCCTGCCATTCATGGGAAACAGAATGATCCCCTTTCCAAATGGGAAATAGATAAATAAAGGGTACCCTTAGAGTACCCATAGAGTCAGTATTCCATTATCCACATGATATAACTTTACTCATATTTGACTTTAAAATACCTATTGGTACTTATATCATATACCCTCCCTGACACCTATAAACTATGCTAGAAATATCCCTGTTTCCAGGTGCCTCAGCCTTAGACCCTGATTCAGTGACATCCCACCAGTAAATTCATCAACTTCATCCCAATTGAAGACTCTGAATTGAACTAACTTAATTGAGGAGCTACAGGTAAAAGGCAACTGCCCCTCTCACTAAAGGGTAACAACTATGCCCTCAAGGAACAGACACCCATGAGAAGATCCTTAAATACCTAAAAACAAATCATTATGGCTCAAAAGGTTTATAGCAATGTAGGCCCACAATTGGCTGCATCTCAGCAAAGATGTACAAATGTACATTTTGATTGGTCAGATAACAACATGTAGGAAAAACACCAAAAAACCCCAAGACTATAATATTGAAGATAATCTATATCCTTAAGAGGCATTTACTGAGTATCTATCATGCCAGGTATTCTACATACCTTATCACTAATTCTTGCCATAGCTTTTCAGGTATATATTATTGTTCCTAGCTATAGTTAAGAATATAGACTCAGAAAGGTTAAATGTCTTGCCCATAGTCAAATGGCTAATAAATCGCAGATTCGGCAATTGAATTCACATCTATCTGGTTCTTGTGCTTGAGCTTCTTCCATTGCACTAGGCTGTTACAATCTGATCATAGTTTATCTTTTCCCTGAAATGACTTATTCCTTGATATTCAAATTGAAGTACCTCTTCATTCTACTCTAAGGAGAAATCCATGGGAGAAATAAAAACGGCTCTTGCTGGTACTGGAAGAAATCACCACTTAACATTTTTATTTTATTTAAGATATAGATTTGTTGGAAATTCTGGAAGCTGAGAAAGAGTACCACTTGGGCTTTATCTGCATCGGGGCCCAGAATTCTCTCATACACTGCCCCTTCCCCATGCCCATGACCCCAGTCTGGCATCTGTACTCATAGCCTGCCATTCTGCCCATGTGACACCCCAGGCCATGAAAGCCACATGCAGCAGCTCTCCCCAGAAGCTTTGCCTTACCTCGGGCTTGCTGGTGCTGCATCTTCTTCTGGCTCTTCTACAACGCCAGCCAGCTCTGGAGGAAGGAAAGCATCTTTGTTGACATTATTCACCCAGCTTTCCTTTGCCCCATTTTCTCTGTCTTTACTCTGCTCAGCTGAAACAGGAAACAGTAAAGACAGGAAGGTTATCTCTCACCTCCATGACCTACAACTCTCTTATCAGCTCTTATCACTGAAGCCTTGAACCTGAACCTCAGGCCTTCCCAGTGCCAAGGCAATCACTGGGTCTAAGTAGTTGATCAGAATTACATCTAAGAGAGAAGTCAGTAAATTCCCACGACATTAGATTTCCCCAAGCAGAGTCTCTTGAGAGAATGAGCATACCTTTAAATGTGAGAGTAACTCCAGAGACCATTAAAGCAAAATTCTGACTGCCTCTAGGTTAATCTGAACTGAGTTGGGGTCAGGTCTAAATGTGCATGGCCAGGGGATGCTCAGGGCAGGAAGTCCTCAGTGGGATAGAAGCACCATCATTACCAAGCATTTACTGAATAGCTACAATGTGTTCAAATATCTTGTATGTGCTCTAAGATACAAAGGGGAACAAATGATTATGGTCTAGGAATGTCTTCCTCTGCTGCCTTCTCCTCCTCCCCACAGTCTCTACAAATCCAAAACTACATATTCTTCAATCCCAGCTCAGGTGTCAGAGCCCCCATAAAACCTCTGTGCTCCTGCTTCAGAAAATAACCTCTTTTGCCTCTGAACATCCAGCACTCACTCTTTACCTGAACATCTCTGATAATTAGCAGCAACTGAATGATAACTAACTACCAGGCACTGTGCTGAGTTCTTTGCATGCATTATTCTATGAGAGCTATTTTCCAAGTACACAGATTTGAAAACTGAGGATCAAAAAGTTCAAGAAACTTGCCTAAGGCCACAGAGCCAGTAAGTGCCCAGAATACTTTCATCAATATTAGGATGAAGCAGTGCTGGAGCTTCCAGTTTCCAAATACCCATATTCCAGGAGAGTATCCCCCCACAGGTCCTGTTACATGTAAGCCTAGTTTCTTCAACTGCAAAATGGGGTCACCTGGTACTAACCAGTACCCTCAAGATTTCTGAAGGTCTGGGTGATTTTGAAAAGCAAGAGGGCTACAAACAATGCACTGTACGTACTAAGCAGTCAGTCCTTTTCTGCAAGGAGTATGGCACTAATTCAGAAATATTTTGAAATCCTGGCTCTGCCATTTGCCAATTACATAATCTCGGGCAAGTTACTTAACTTCTCTGAGCTTCATATGCCCCATGTATAGAATGGGGGAAATAATGCCTACCTCACAGGATTACTGCAACAATTAGAAATAATAGAAATTAAATGCCTATCCTATATCACATGCTCAAAAGATGATGGCTATTTTCCTTATTGAGTACAGGGTAGACCTTGACAAGGCTTTACATGGACTAAGCCAGAGTTAATTAGAGAGAAGGCAACCAGTAAGTATTTAATGAACTTGATAGAATTTTAAACAAGCCCTCAAAAGATTGCCTTTGCCAGGCATGGTGGCTTATGTCTATAATCGCAGCACTTTGGGAGGGTGAGGCAGGAAGATTGCTTGAGGCCAGTAGTTCGAGACCAGCCTGGCCAAAATAGTAAGACTCTATGTCTATTAAAAAAAAAAAAGACATAAAAATAATGCCATGATATAAGGAATACGCACTATCATAGTAACCTCCCTGGCCACAGAAACCATGCTACAAGCCCATCTGGGGTGGGATGCTGGCTGCCTTTGCCACTTTTAAATGGGCATTGTCATGATAGTATAAATCCCATCAATTCAGTAGATGGGTGGATAAGTAAAGATTTCCCCCCAAACCTTTAGGCAGAAGTGGGTTTTTGGTTGGTTGGCATTTTTATTTCCCCCCTCTTTTGACTTTCACTTTTAAATGTTACTATTGTAGGCCACAGGCATGACAGGCAATAAGCAGGTGAAGAACCAATGGAAAAGTGTTTTAAAACTCCTGTGTTAGCTAACAGGCTCTTGAATATATCACTGTGGTCCACAGAGAGGGCTGGAGTAGGTAGCAAGGAGATGCTGTGTCAGCTACTACAGCCTCAAAACAAAGTTGATGTCTGTCTGGACTTTAAACTTGTTCCTATACAGCTTAATTTATTTTTGTTTAATCAAATAAACAAGAAGGTTTTTCCATTAAAAAAATGTCTTTACGGTCTCTTAAATAATGTACTTGGTTAATTAAGAAAGTACTACCATATGTTAAGATCACTGAAAAGAGAGGCTGATATCTTTTTGTCTAAGCCCTTCATTTTACTCAGAAGATTCTGAATCTTCAGAGTTAAAAGCCAAAGAAGAGGTGGTAGATCCTTTACAGGCCCCAACTATCTATGCTACTATAATTCAACAGGGCACCTAAAGGGCTTCCTATGTTCCTCTACACCACACTGAGTCACTTAGCTCTGCCCTCATCCATCCAAATCCAAGGCAAGGGAAATTTAAACTAGAGGGCCACACATTATGAAAAGTGTACATCCAAATGATTTCCATCAGCAGATTTCTGACACCATTCCCTTCTCCCCGCTCCTCCTTCCCAAACGAATGCTTGTTGTAAATGCACTAGCCAAGTCAACTCACCTGCTATCTGGGGCCTCTTCTTTCTCATAGATGCTCTGATGATATCTGCGCCATGGATTTTGTCCCTGTGCCTTTTTGCCTTGGCTTCATAAAACCATTGGCCACTCATATTCTTCAGCTGCTGGTCATCCTTAATTTTTTCAGGCAAATGTCTACAAAAGGAAAAGATCTTTAGTTTGCTGAGAACCCACAGTAAATAAATGAGTTCATTATGACACCGCATAAAGACATGTGTAAACACACAGATAAAATGAAGCTTTAATATTTCAGATGATCCCAGAAACTTCCCAGATGACTAACAAGTGTATGTTCACCTTTGAAAAGTCAGAGAAGACAAGGCCAACATTTTTTCAAATAAAGGTTTAATCCACGATTCCCGTATGATGCCTGAAATTTCTCAAGAGCAGATTCACTTTTTGGCTGCATTCTTCAGTGTCTGCTGTTCAAATGCAAATACCCCAGGGAGGGATAATACGGTAGGCTTCCCTAAGCCTTGGTTTCCTTATCCGTAAAAAAGCATTAGTAATAGTAACCTTTGGACTTTAAAATTGGGGTTTCTTTGAGGTTTAACCGAGTGAATTCATTCAATAGCTCTCTGCACCTCCCTGGCACCTAATAAACACTGGATGGGGTAGTCATTAGCTCATCAGTCCTTTCCATTTTGGGTGATATGAGTTTATTAGAGACTTTCCTGGAAGCCTGTGGAGGAGGAGTGATGTCTCTGATGCTTATTGTTAGGGAAAGGCATCTTTAAAAGGCTGCTGGAATCAGGGAAGACCAAAATTGAGGAGGAGTGTGTACAGGCAAGTTCCATTTGTGCAGATCCTGCATTTAAGAGTTTCACAATTATTCATGCTTACTGAAAAGCTAAAACCTAAAGAACAAACAAGATAGTCTGCCCTCCTAAAACTTCCCTAAAAACTTTGTTCTAACTGACAAGTCTTAACCTCTCCATCTCTCTATCCATCTCAGTAAAATAAAAAAATCACAAAATCTCTCTTGTTTATAGAGATGTACTTAGAATAAAGTGGAATAAAAGCTGTAAGGGAACACTATACTCTTGGAAGATAATGTGCTAACATAAATCCAAGAGGGTTTTAAGATAGTCATACAAACTAATATGCACTCTTCCTCAATTAGCAAATCAAAGTGCTTCAGGCAGAGAATGTGAATGGGCCAAGGTGGTAGCAGCGCTGCATGTAAGGGTTGCACACAGGCATACCTGGGAGTGGGAAAAAGAGGGGGAGCAGTTATCCCAGGTCTAGCAAGAATGTCTCCTCTCTCCCAAGCGTGCCTGGAGAGTGTCCTTCCACCCAGAGTAAACTCTTACAGGAACTTCCTCTCTTTGTCATGACAGCCCCATCTATAAACCCTAACAGGGAGAGCATCATTGCTTCATAGTTCTCAGTCAGCAACGATATCATGGTTTTTATTAAATGTTCCTAATGGTTTGACACTGCTTTCAACACTGTTTTCAGCAGAGCAAACAACTGCTGGACTGTTGGTGAACCTTTGCCTTCTCCTCCCAAAAGGACCAAGTTTGAGTTCAATTCCAGAATGGAGAAGTTCTTCTACTTCTCCCTGGTGAGTTCCTGGGGGCAGGGTCTGTACTCAATACATCTTTGTTTAGTGTCTGGAAAATACGGGGTATTTATTCAGATCTTGCAGAGTGGAGGAATATCAGATGAGGCTCCTGACCACCTAAAAAGGCTTCAGGTTACCTTTTCAGATTCATTTTTCCAGCACTCACGCCCATACCCCACTTGCCAGCAGGCTCAGCTTCTTACAATTCTCCAGTGCTCTTCTGTGACCTCTGTAGATGACAGAGGCAGGAAGTTGTGGCAGAAAGACTCTGGGTTTTCAAGGCTCCCCAAATTACATCCAAATCTCAGTTCTGACCCTTCCTAGATGGGATCTTGGACAGTTTACCAAACTCCTCTAAGCTTTAGTCTCCTTGTTTTTAAGGATCAGGGAAAATAAGACCTACCCTCCAGGACTTCTGAGATGATTGAGATGTTTAACTGAAAGTACTTAGTACTGCCTAGATCTTGGTACAAGGCCAGTTAATGTGAAGTCTCATGGGATGTCTTTCCCTCACTTCTCTGTCCAGCCCGTTGCTCCTCATCCTTCAAATCCAGCTCAAACACTGCCTCACTGGGAAGCTTTCCCTAACTCAGGAGGGCACAGTTATTACAGTTTCTCCTTTTCCATTGCTCCCACAGCACCTCCACTTCAGTCCTTACTATATCATATTCCAGTGATCTGTTTGCACATCTGTTGTACTCACTAACCTGTGGTCTTTGCAAACTCCTTGAAAGTGAGGACTATGTCTTAACCACCTTTGTAATGCCAGCACCTAGCACGGAGCCTGGAACAGAGCTGATACCCAATAACTGTCTGTTGAGTGAATAAATCAAAGAACAAATAAACGCTCAGCAGCCATCCTGAGTCAGGCAAGAGATCAAGAAGATCCTGTCACTGCTGTGATTAAGTGAACCTCAGACCCCATCACAATGAATGGTGTCTCCTCCTGATGCAGCAGGACATGCTCATCTCTCATCAGAACAGGAAAAAACATCATGAAATGTGGTGTCGGTCAGCATTCTTGTTGAAGGAGGCCACAAACCCTTATAGCAGAACAACACCCAATTTCTTTTCATAAGATTGTTTATTTTTGTTTTTCAACTAAAATGCACTTTGTGGGGATTCTTGTGCAACCCTTGATCTGTTCCTGCCTAAATGACTGTCTGTAAGCCCACGATCAATGCACAATGAGCACAGGTTTTGCATCGACTCCCTGAAACACATGGTCCCTACAAAGGCTGATAGCCATTATAGTAAGGAAAGGGTTTCTGGCTCACTTGTTTTAAAGTGGCAAAAGAACAGGAAATTCTTTCAAATGTAGTTAAGTGCCACTTACATATTTCCTTACATGACTATCACTACTAGGTTTAATAATCAACTTCTTTTTCTATCTTAGTCACTTGTACTATTTCGTAGATAAATCCATATGTATAACATCAAAGTTTTGTAAAGATGTAGATCATTTTTAGAATCCCACTATCTAGTGCTGCTGTTAAAATCTTCTCGTTTTCCAGCCCACGTTCATCTCTCATTTTTTTCTGAACTCTAATTACATCAACAAAATGAGCATTTGATTCTCTAATTATCGTACCATCTAGATGAAGAGAGAAAGGGGTAAGTTTCTTGGGACTGACATTTATCCTTTACCATCCTCTCCACACACACACGTTATGTTTAGCAGAGAGTTAAGTAGAGAGAAGACGCTCAGTAAACACCGGTGGGCTGGTGGGCAGAAGTGAGGGCTGAAGAAGAGCACTCAATCCAGAAAGTACACTGGCCTGCTGGCCTCCCAGGTGGGATGTCCTGGTCATTCTCTCGTTCATTCTCCCATTCCTTCAGCTAGCACACAGTATCTGCTTTGTGCTGAACCACACATCTGACACTTAACAAGCCTCTTATCATTTCATCCTTACAATTTCACCATGCTGTTCAAAGAATTTCATCCATTTCAAAAGATGGCCATTTTACCTCTTCTGTATGCTAAAAGCCATATCTAAACCCTGTCTGGCTATTTGTTCACTGACTCATTAATTCCCATACCAGCCATCTGCTTCAAATTGGACATTAAAAATTCTATCTACAGCCCTAACTGTCAATGTCAACTCCTTTTCATGCCAAGAGTGTGAGCACTTACAGAGGAAAGCCAGAAGAGCAGAAATGCCCTCTGGGCTGGATTCAACACATTTGCCCTCAGCCTACCCCTTTTCTCCTTGTGCTCACTTATGTACACCTCAGCTTCCAGCTACTCAACAGGACTAGGCAAAGCTCGAACATCACCTGCAGGACCTGGTTCATAGTATTTAGTCAACTGTGGACAGCTGCTGGCCAGATAGGTTGACTGGTCTATTCTCCAGCCTTTCTTTTTTCATCTTGCCCAGAATATACTGGGCAAGATGTTTAGACTGTGTGATTTGGAGGTGCTCTCAGATGTTTGTTTTGAATGTGAGAGCTGAAAGGTACCTTAGATAGTTACAAATGACCTCACTTTCTAGATAAAATGATAGAAGCCCAGAGAAGTTAAGAGGCTTGCCCAAGGTCACACAGAGCTGGCAGCAGAAGCCAGTCTGACTCCCAGCCAACACACTTTCTACTACCCGATCCTGCCTCAGAGAGCCAAACATGATTTCGGTTTCTAAGATGGCTGTCACACTTCACTCTTTCTCCTAAGGAACTCAATCTTTGATGAAGAATCTGAAAACCAACATGTGGAAAACAAACTACAAACCTTCCTTAGAGTAGAAAACAAGAAATATCCACCTTTTACATGACACATCGTAGATCTCTGCAGTCTGCTGAGAGGCAGCACAGTGTAAGGGAAGTGCACAGGCCTTGATGTTGGATCAACAAGGCTTCAATCCTGCGGGGCACTTACCCTCTTCAACCCTATCTCCTCATCTGTTAAGTGGATTCAGCTACACTGTTTTGAAGATGAAATAGGAAAATCTATGTGAAGATCCATGTACAGTCCCTTGACAAATGTTAGTTCCTTTCCCCTTTGCTTTGACAGAAAAACACCATGAGAGGTCCTGGAAATTAGTCCTTCAATGACAACTGCCTTCATTAAAAAAAAAAAAAAAAAAAAAAAAAAAAAAAAAACACAACTAGGTCTAAGGAGGCAGCTGAGAATCATAAGATGTGGTGGCGGTTGAGATCGTATCTACTGCAAAAACACCCATCGCTGTAGATGTGGTTGTGTGTATATGGGGGTGGGGGATGCAGTGCTGGTGGTGGTGTACAGACAGACATGAGCAGCAATTTCCTGCTGGCAGTGTGACGCAAAGCACAGGAAATGCCACCTTTTGAGTATGTGATTTTCAAACCATAAAAGACTAAAATTACATATGTGTATGTATGGTTATGTTTCCTTAAAGGTGGGTCAGGGCAGCAGGAGAGAAGACACAGGATAGGGGTGGAAGAGAGAGAAAGAATCCACCCTGATGTCTCCTTCACTGCTGGTCTGTGAAATGTCTCCACATGGGAGTTAGGGAAGCAGGCTGTGTAGCGATACATGGTAATAACTGGGTCCAGTACTTGTGGCTACAGGTAGTGGAGCAACATAAAAGACAGTGTGGTAGCAACAGTGATCTGGAACCGTTATTGTCTCAGCTGTACCCCAGAGACACCCCAGTGACTATTTCCTTGGGTACGAGTCCATGTTCTACCATTAACAGACCAAGTGATTTAGGAACTGGATATGTCTCTGTGCAACACTCACTTTTCCTATCCATGAAATCAAGATGGGAAGTAACAAAACCTTTTTTTTTAATTAGCTGGATGTGGTAGTACACACATGTGGTTTTAGCTACTTGGGAGACAGGAGGATCACTTGAGCCCAGGAGTTGGAGGCTGCACTGAGCTATGATTGCCTCACTGCACTCCAGCCTGGGTCACAGAGAGAAACTCTCTTTTTTAAAAAAAAAAAAAAAAAAAAAAAGATGGGAAGTGACATATAAACTAAATCATCTCCAAAGTATCTTGAATGAGCTTGGCTGTGAACAAGTCAAAGCACTGGACATATTAGGAATGGCAACATTTCCATTTGAATGCCAGATCTCATCTACCGCCATACTGAAAAAGATTCTAAAGTGATATCTGGTCTTGCAGGCAACAGTGGTGTATCCATTAGTGATGTCCTCTTGGCTACGGGAGAGTTATACTCCAAAGTCTATAAAACATTAGTATTTAAAAGAAAAGTCTGAATTTTAGTAATAAATTGGCCTTTCTAATGATGTTTTGATTGGGCTGATATAATTATATAATGTGTTTCTAAGCCAAATAACACCTAGGAGGAATGAGGCATTGTAAAGTCATGTTAGGGAAACAAAATTGAGATTTTAAATTTGCAACTGATAATCCATTAAATGGATAAAGGTCATTAGATAGTAAATTCCTTGAGAGCTGGGGCCATGTTTTCAATCACCCTGGAATTCTCTTCATATCATTGTCCAGAGCAGTTCCTTGTACTTAATAGGTGCTCAATTAACTTCTACTACATTAAATAATTAAGAGTTTTAGGAGTAATTTCCTTCTAAGGAATCAGTCTACTAACTAGAATCTCCTGCCCCTTTTTGGAGGTATAGGTAGAGTGGTGAATAAAGGAATTAAAATGAACTATCACATATTATGTGCCAGGAAGATTAAAAATTATTTTTAATTTAATTGACAAATAATAATTTTGTAT
Source organism: Homo sapiens (assembly GCF_000001405.40). Taxonomy (NCBI): domain Eukaryota; kingdom Metazoa; phylum Chordata; class Mammalia; order Primates; family Hominidae; genus Homo; species Homo sapiens. The sequence continues at coordinate 85,754,537 of NC_000011.10, forward strand.
ATTCATGAGGAAACAGTGATGTTTTGATATACATAACATATAGTCATCAGGTCACTGTAATTTTGTATCCTTTATCAAATCTCTCGCTATCTCTTGCTTCCTAAAAATTATTTTACTTAATCCTGACATTAATCTTTTGAATTTAAATGTAGTATTATGATCATGCCCACTCTGAGTTGAGGCTCAGAGAGGTTAAATAACTTGCCCAGTGAAACACAGTTCATTAGTGGTAGGAATGAGATGCAAACGCATGTCAGTTTCATCTCCGGTTCCAAGCAGCAGAGTTTTTTGTGTCATGATCAAACCCTTACTGTTCCTTTCTGAAAGAATAACAACGATGAGCAGAATAGAGCAGAGGGAAAAGCACCGGCCCAAGAGATTTCTCATCATGGCTTTGGCACTGACTTAATGTGTGGCCCTGGGCAAGTCATTTACCCTTTCTGGGCTTTATCTTTTTTTCTGTAAAATGACTGATATGGAACAACAACAAAAAAAAATTTCATAGTTATTAGGCTATAACTCTGGTAGAAGAGGCAAAGACAAACAGCAATGGAATGGAAAAGGCGCTGACAAACAAAAGCCCATGGAGTAACATTTTCAGAGATCCAGTTCTGGTTCCACCATCCGAGGAGCAGAACAACCTCCAAACTATCCCCACAAGTCCCTTCAGGCCTAAAGCAAAGAGGGGGTCAGGCTATGAGTTGAGCCTTTTTCAGGGTCCACAAGCCATAGGTCTGCCATCTATCTGTGCACTGTCACTGCTCCCTAGCTCCAGGGTCCTGAAACTGTCCATGGCCAAGTCCACATGAGGTACATGGTGCCTAACTAGAAAGTCTCTTGGGAAAATGATGGTAGGTAGGGCTTGACTCACACCAGGCTTTTCACCAATCCAAGCCTTCTTCCTGCCATTTAGTCACAAAAGCAAAACACAAAGGCAGCACCAGTCGCAGCTGCTGGGGCACCTTCAGAAACAACAGACAGAAGGAGTGTCTGCAACACCAACACTAGGAAGGGACTCACACCATTTTCGCTGAAGTTGTAGATTGGCTGATGCCAGAGGGTACACACTCACACCCCTTATAAGGCCTAATTTCAGGCAGAACTTTGCATTTTTTGAGGATATTTTCATCAACCAATGCAAGTGCCCAAGAAACACCTTCACTCTATTCAGACAGAATCATAGAACTACAGACAAGACTCAGCAGCTTGGAATCCCAGGTGCCAAGAAAAGATAGAAGGGAGGGAGGAAATGAAAGGAGGCTTTCTCCTCGTAAGCTGACTATCTAGAGGGGCAGAATTGCAGACCATAAATAACACCTCCTGAGCAGAAGGAATCAAAGGTACTTGCACCTCTCCAAAATGCAGGGGCCCACATCCTGAGGTAGAAAGAGAGACTCAGTGCAGTCCCAGCTCTACTGCTTTCTAAGTCCTTCCCCCAATCTTTTCTTTTGGGAGGGTAAAGGAAATACCATTTCCCCTTATGCTTAAAGAATCAATATTTTCTCTATGCTCCCCCACCTCCTGCCCTTACTCCTCAATGGTTGCAATAGTCCCTGCTTTGCCAAATGTCAGGGTTGCTGTGAAGAACATAAGAGGATAACATTCATAAAAGGGCTTTATAAACTGTCAATGGGTAGAGGATTAATGCTACCAAGAGGCTCTAATGCCTGGGTTAGTGACAATCCTTCACCTCTCCTGGGGACACTGTTTAAGGCACACCATTTGCGGAGAAGGCACAGCAGAGCCCCATCCAGGTGTGCATTGCAAGGGACCTTTGAGGAACAGCATGATCCCCACTACCTACAGCCACTGCTTGTCATCATAGCTCAGTGTCCTACTTCACACCATGACAGCCAGCCCCTTCCTCCATTGCCAGGTCCTGGGATGGCCTGTCTGTTATTGTTTTCTCAGGGAGAGGAGGTGGAGTTAACAAATGAGTACCTAAGACTGGGATTTGATTCTCACTTCTGACACCTACCAGTTGTGTGATATTGGGCGAGTCACCTGACTTGTCTCAAAGTCAACTTCCTGACACATCAAATGGGGTAATTATATCCCACTCCACCCACCAACCGCAAAAGAGTATGTGAGCTCATAAAAAATAATGGGCATGTTAAGCCCTTTGCAACTTGTTAAATACTGTCTATATAGAAGTTATTTTAGTAGTCATAATCAGACATTCTGTAGTGGTTGAAGTGAATTCTAGCATGTTCTTTTATAAATCATCCACGTTAAATCAGTGTCAAGATACGGAAATGGTAAAAATAAAGCCATTATTCATGGTCCTGTGTCCCAGGAAGTAAGAACATATCTTATGCTCCTTTTGGATAACTCCTGGAGCGAGAATCATAAAATTAATAATACTAACTTACATTCAGGAAGCCTGTCGCTGCCTTCAAAGCCCAAGATTACACAGGCAGTAAATGGCAGGGCCTGGACAAAGTCAAGTTCTTCAGCATCCTGGCCTAGTGCTTGTTTGACAACAAAGGTGAATGAAAGTGGCAGGAATGTTGACATGGAACATTTGGGTTCCACCCAACAAGAATAGTGTATCAAAGTTGCCACTCCTCTTTATGGGACCCAAGACAAATGAAAAATTGGCTCAGAGAATACTTTCAGTTGCCATTAAAACCAATTCCAACATTTCTGAAAGCATGCAGAAATGTGAGCTAGTTTAATTTATTTTCTTTTCAAAATTCTAAAAATTTTTTAAAATTCTAATTTGGTTCATGATTCAGTTAAAAAAAAGTAGATCCAGTTTTTTTAAGTGGATAGAAATACACACACACACACAAATGTAGATGTATGTGGTTGTATACATTTCATTTTTATCTCAGTATTTAATAAGTTAAAGGAATTTAGTTAGGTTTTTAATCAAGACCCTATTTCTGGTAGGAGTCCAGTAGGATAAATTAAGAGGCACCAAGAGGAAAAATGTTTTGTCCAGGAAGTAAACCTAAAATTGGAATCCATAAATTCAGTCTTCGAGTCAGAACTACCACTTATAGTTGAAAAAAACCCCAGTGTCCTATTTTCGTACAGACTGCCTCTTCCTTCCCTCATGCCCAAGGCTTCTCTGGCCTCTTACCTGACTCTCTCTTCTTCGGCCCTCTTCAGAGCAGCATCCCGCTGCAAAACCTTCATGATGGCCTCTTGTTCCTCTTCAGTCAGGAAGCTTAAGTCAATCATTTTGAAAAGTGCATGCAAAAATAATAGCAACAAATGTGGCTCAAAATTCTCAGGGCTGAACAACTAAGACTGCAACCAGGAAGATTAAAACACACAAAAATGAAATATCTTGTTCAGTTCTGCATCAAAGTCTTATTTTGGCTCAGCAAAAGTTTAGGGCAGCTGATAGCAAGATCCTAAGTGCTCTTTCCCATGAGGAAGTCCTGGTCTGTGGGATAGTGTCGAGAAGAGGCTCTCAGAAGGATGCTGTATTCCTTGCCAAACAGGTCGCTTGTTCCTATGGTGGCTTCCAGCACACTCACTCTCTGGTCCAGTCTTAGACACAGTTTATTCTCTCTCTGCACCTGTCGTCAATTCATAAGAGGCAGCAGCATCAGAGCATCACCTACCTGGGGAATCATGAGACAGCAAACACCAGACAGTGAGAGGCAGTTCCTATAAGCACTACTCATTACTACAAGATTTTTAAATGGCCATGCGAGATGGTCTCTGAGATCAAGGAAACCAGTTCAGCCAGCTTCCTGAGCAAATGGTAAATGGGTCATGAAACATGCTTCAACCCTATTCCAGACGGCCAAGATGGAGAACCCACAAAAATGCCTGTCAGTGTTTAACGATCCACCTGAGTAAAGGATGGTTGCAAAAATGAACTGGTTCTCTCTCTGCAAACTCTGGGGATGCTAGGCTAAAAAGTCATGTTAAAGGTCAGTAAGATCAGGGATATGTGATTCCAGTGGTCAAGCAAGAATCTAGAAATAAAAATTTTAAATGCTCACCTCTTCACAAGTAAGAATATTCCACTGTACTATATATGTGCTCCATATTAACAGGAGAACTAGTATTAGATAGAGATAGTTTGCAGAAGAGTGAGAATTGTTATTCTTCATCCAGTCTCACTGCTAACCTTTGCTGGACCTAGAGGAACCTAACAAGCTTGTCTACTTTCATTTCTCAGGGGAAAAACACCTACCTGTGTGTGTATATAAACTGGAGGAAAGGAAGAGGCAGAGTTTCAAAACACCTCACCATCCAAAGTGAGGATTTTTCAGTTGCACAATGTGCAAGAATCCTATTTTCTTTGAGGCATCTTCAATACATATGTAATGGGAAGGAAGTGAGAAGTGAAGAATGACACAGCCCTACAGAAATTCGGAGGTGATCCACTCAAGGTTGGGGCACTTTTAACAAGTGCAGTGCTGAACATACACACTAAAAACCTTTAGTAAATTTTAAAGCAGGCTGGGTGCAGTGGTTCATGCCTGTAATCCTAGCACTTTGGGAGGCCAAGGTGGGTGGATCACCTGAGGTCAGGAGTTCGAGACCAGCCTGACCAACATGGTGAAACCCCGTCTCTACTAAAAAATACAAAAATTAGCTGGGTGTGGTGACACACGCCTGTAATCCCAGCTACTCAGGAGGCTGAGGCAGGAGAATCTCTTGAACCCGGGAGGCGGAGGTTGCAGTGAGCCGGGATCACACCACTGCACTCCAGCCTGGGTGACAGAGTGAGACTCCTTATCAAAAAAAAAAAAAAAGAAAGAAAAAAAAATTTTAAAGCAGCCCCACTTAAGAATAAAACAGTATGTACATTAGTGAATAAAATTTATAAAAATTAATTACTTGAAAAACAGAATTACTGGGAAGTTATCCTTCTACCACTTACTAGCTATAAGTCATTGGGCAAGTTACCGACCACTGTGAAGCTGTTTTCTCATTTGTGCTTGACATTAGGATGTCCCTCACAGATTGTAAGGATTAAATGAAATAATGAATATAAAAAGAGCACATGTCTTGCATTCTGTACCAAAAATAGCTACTAAAACTATATTCTAGCTTCCGCTCTGAGTTCACACTTTTTTTCCATCCAGCTGAATAAGACTATACTTAGTAATATATTTCTCTTTTGTATTATGTCTCTTTCTGATCTCCCCCCATGAAGTTTGGGCTTCATTGACAGGGAATCTAATGACCTTTGTTTTAATTTCCTCTAGCTCTCTGCATACTGTCCACAGTAATTACTCAAATAAATATTAAGACATTACTTCATTTTCTTTTTAATTTGCATGTGCTTGCATATGCTACTACCTGCTTGTTCATCTTGAAAACTACTTACCCTTCAAGACAAATCAAAGTTACCACCTCCATGAAGCCTTCCATAACTTCCATACCCCAAGTTAAAGTTGCAGCAGATTCAATGATTATTCCTAACTCTTCATTTCCTCCCTGTAACAGAACTATACTATCATGTTCCCACCAGAGTAAGCAAAGAATTCATCCCTATCCTCCTAATGTTGGGCTTGGCCTGTGACTCGCTTTGGCCAATGGAATGTTAGCAAATGTGATGCAAGCATAGGCTGTAAATGTGCTTTTGTGGTTTGATCTGGCTTCTTGTATTCCTGCCACATGCCATGAGAAGAGCTTGTCCCAGTTATTCATTGCCTCTTCATCCTGGGTTCCAGAAAGAGATAAAAGGACAGACCTGAACCTGACCTCCCTGAAGCAGGTATCCCTGCTGACCTATAGATATAAAAGAAAAAACTAAGTATTTGTTGTTGGAAGCCACTGAGGTTTGGGAGTTGTTATACGATACTCCCGCAGCAGGAACCTGCTAATACAAACACTTTCTCCTCCAAATACACATCCACTGCTGTGATGATCTACTCTCAGTCTCTCTTGATTGTGAGTCTCTGAATGTGAACAAATAAAAGAATGAGCAAATGAATAAATGAACCTGATTCAAATATACAATATCACCAAGAGATGGCTATCTCAATTATTTCCTTTCTTTCACGTGCAGTAACTTCCTTAGATCTCAAAAGCTGGCAAGAAAATAGATTTAGGCCACATTCTGGGACCCAGGTTCCCAATGAGGTCTTACACTGCCATTTGGTTGGTTCGATGTGAGACTTTAAATTCAAGGAGTGGTGGACAGGAAGAAAACAACAACAATGAAAAACTTAGGTCGTCTAGCAGTGGTAACTGGCAGGGTTGCTGAAATGGGCAACATTGGCTTCCACGCCTTCAAGCAGAATACAACCTAACAAGTGCTTCTGTGTCAAAGCTCTGAGGGTTAAAATTTCTCCCTTAAAATAGGCTGTTAGTGAGGCAAAGGGCAATGTTTCCACTTTACAAAGGAGTGAAGGGCTGGAACCCTTCCCTTTTAATTGGGTAGGTAGGAATCAGTGCCCAATCAAACTGTAAGAGAGCCCTCAGAGGGCAATCAAGATTCTGCAGTATGAGGTGCTCACCCAACTCCTAATATTCTGGATGATGTCCAGCATGGGAGCTAACTGAACATTTCCCTCACTCACTTGACAAAGATTTATTGAGAGACTGGCACTATTCTAAGCACTGGAGGTGCAGCAAGGGAACAAGACAGAAAAACTTCCTGCCTTTGTGGAGTTCATATGGCAATGGATGGAAACAATCAAACTAAATAATAAAAATAAGTTTTTGAATACCAAATAATTAAATTATAACACATTGGAAGGTGATGAGAACTATGGAGGAAAACAAAAAAGGGAAGGGAGGAGAATAATAACTCAGGGAGAGTAGGAATTTTAAAGAGAGTGGTTAGGGTAGGCCTCATTGAGAAGGTGATATTTGAACAAAAACGTGACAGCGATGAGGAAACAAGCCATGCAGATATCCCAGGGTTCTGAGGTGGGAGTTGTCTGGCACATTCAAGAAATGGCAAGGTGACCAGTGCTGGTACACCAGAATGCCCCCAGGAGAGCAGGAGGAGAGGAGGCCGGAAAGGACACGGGTAAGACTGTATTAGGCCTTGTGAGGACAGTAAGACTTCTGGCTTTTACTCTGAGATGAAGCAGCATTAAAGAAAGCCAGACAAAAAGGCAGCAAACATTTACTTGGTCCCTTCTACACATGTGGCGCTGTACATACCTCTCATGGAATCCTCACAAAGACACTCTGAGGTAGGTCTTATGTATTGAGACAGGGTCTCACTCCATTGCCCAGGCTGTAGTACAGTGACACAATCTCGGCTCACTGCAACTTCCACCTCCTGGGTTTAAGCAATTCTCATGCCTCAGCCTTCCAAGTAGCTGGGATTACAGGCGCCCACGACCATGCCCAGCTAATTTTTGTATTTTTGGTAGAGTTGCAGCTTTGCCACGTTGTACAGGCTGGTCTTGAACTCCTGGCTTCAAGTGATCTGCCGGCCTCGGCCTCCCAAAGTATTGGGATTACAGGCATGAGCCACCACACCCAGCCCAAGGTAGGTCTTATTATCTGTGTTTTTCACATGAGGAGAGTGAGGCTGAGGGGGGCATTTGCCACCAAGCTTATGTCTGACTGGCATTTGCTGATGGTTGTGTCAGAATAAGCCAACCCAACATTGACATTTCATTTAATTCTTCTCTTCACACAGATTCCTCCAATCAGCGAGGCAGAACAAAACCCCTGTCTCTGTGGACCCTCATTCTCTGCTTAAGTATAAGAGACTCACCGACCCAGACCCGGCAGTCAGAACGGGGGCAACCTCAGTGCTAAACTGTGAGGGAAGAATTTTGGCTACTACAGTGTCTTGCATTCTCACCAGAGCCTCACAATAACCTCAGTAAAGAAGGGAGGGTAGGAGTGAATATACCCATTGTTCACAGATATTATTGATGTGTTCACAGGAGGAACTCCTGGGGCAAGTTCTCCTTGGGTTCAGCCTCTCCTACCCATCCTCCATTCAGCATGATGCTGAGTCATTTTTCTAAAACTCAGTTCTGACCAAGACACATTCTCAGGCTTAAAATCCTTCACCAACTTCCCACTGACCATTGACTAAAACTCAAAATCCTTAAGCGGCCTGTAGGACTCTCCATGAACTAGCACCTGCTTTACTCTCCAAGCTCTTTTCCTTAGGCTCCAGCCATTCTGAAATTTTCCAGTTCTTCTTGCCTTCAGGCTTTTGCATGTGCTGTTCCTTCGTCCTGGAACAGCATTTCCCTGGTTAATACTTGTTAGGTCTCAAGTTACATGTCACTTACTGCACAAAAGTCTTCCCTAACCCCTCCAAGCCAGCTTAGGTGCCCCTCCTATGTGCTCAATTAGCACCTGACTTCATCAGTCACAGTACTCATCACACGGTCTCAAATCCCTACTTACTCATGTTTGTCTCTTGCCAGTTTATGAACAAGGCTTGTGTCTCCCAGTGATTTGTATTCCCAGCTCTTGCCACTGTCTTGCATCTACTAGGCACTCAAGTGTTCATGAAAAAAAAAAATGATGAACACAGGTGGAAGGGGATTGAGCTTCTATTTCCCCCTGAACATGAACATAGCTCTAGGGCCCATAAATGAAAAACTAGGTCAATATTATTCAATGGGTTCCAGCTCCAGATCTTTCACATCATTCTGTGGTTTGAATAAGTTGAATGACTTCTCTAAGTCTTGGTTATCTCATGCATATGATGGGTATATTCTCTTCCTTGTGGAGATTACTGTGAGGCTCTGGTGAGAATTCAGGACACCGCAGAGGACAAAGAAGGATAAGGAGCAGCGGTAGAAATAGCAGCACAAAGGGAAATTGGAGGACTCCAAATGTGGACTCTGCTTAATTCATATTTTCCATGTGTCAGCCCTACCATGCCACATCTATGAATACTAATACTCTTCTTGTCAATTGTCCAAAAGTTAAGCTAGAGAGAAAAACTAAGGCCCCACATAGTTGGTGCTTGCCTTTGATAGGCAGCAAAGAGTGGATCTGGGCTTCTAACTCTAATTCCAATTAAAATTCTAATCCCAGGTTAAAGTCTAATTAACAACCAAATTTCCTTCCCAGCAGGCTCTGCTGTGAGGAGGGGCCCAGATAACACAGATAGCATCTTCTGCTTTCCCAGACAGTATTGTTGTACCAAAGGCAAGGAGTGTAAAACTTACATAAATGGTGACTCTCACATGATGAGGATTTCAGAAGACAGGCAAATTGTCCTGACAGTCCCATGACATCAAGAATGAAGGCTTCAAAAAAAAAAAAAATCCAGGCAGCAACAGAAGAGCAGTAATATGCCTGAGTTGGGGAGAATGCCGCCAGACAAAAAGGCCCTGATCAACAAGAAGGCTCATCCCCACCGGAACACTTACGAAACCATTGTGCATAAAACTAAATGCTTTGTAAACTTCCTAGGATCACAGCAGCATCAAAGGATGGAAGGAAGGAGAAGCCAAAGACGGAACAAGTTGAATGTGACAATCAGAGACTCTTTGCTCACCTCCCTCTCAGCAGAAAGATTTCCCTCCAGTGTACCAGCCCGATGATCATCAGATCACACTGCCAGGGCATCCATGCCTAAAGCTGCTAACTGCACAGCTGGGCTGCTCCGCTTCTCAGGCTCACTTGGTTGGACTTGCCCCTAAGTTCTTCACATTGGCTACATTTTACCCTGCCCACTTGAACCCCATTTAATTTATTCTCCCTTGCACATAATAGTTTACAAAAAAGATGTCATGCTCTCCCCACCTCTTCTTAGTTGAGGGGATAAAAAACTTTGTTGTTCCCTCAACTGTTCCTCACATGTTGTTCTCTAAGCCTCTCATGATCTTGGTCATTTCCCTCCAGACTGAAAAAATGCGCAGGCGGTGCTAAGCCCTTTACACATATTTTAGTTTAACCACTCTGACCACCATGCAGATAGGTATTCTCCACATCCCATGGAAGAGAACACTGGCGCTCAAGTTAAATAACTTGCCTAAGGCTACTCAACCAGGATATGATTTGAACCCAAGTCTTCAGATTCTGAAGCCACTATTTTTCATCTTTCACTGCATCACTAATCCCCTACTTCTCAGAGAGATCACACAGCTGGTTAGGGGCAAAGATGACACTAGAACCCAAGTTTCCTGATTCCTAGACTGTTCTCTTTTCACCCTGCTGTTTCTCCCTCTGTACATTTGACTTTGTCATTTCTTATGGGCAACATGCATCAGCCCTCAAGGCATGGCATGCTCTTCTAAGGACAACTTGTTAGGAATTAGAAAATGATCAGTCCCTTTGGATTTGGTTTATGGATAGACATGGAAAAGAGGATATGCATGAGATAGAGGGGAAAAAAGGCATCTGTGTCAACATGCACCTATTTATATATGCCTACTAGCCTCTTAGAATGGTATCAATCCCTCGAACCAGAAACTATTACTGAAAGAACCTACATTTTATATGCTTAGGCTCAATCAAAATGTTTTGTAATATGCGTACACAGAAATGTGTTTATACGAAAAGCAAACTTTGTCCACGCACAGGTGGGTAACAATGCTACATGAATATTTTGTTTCTGTGTGGTCAGAGTCTTCAGTGTTCTATTTTTAAAAAACACATAAATTACTCAATGTAGTGGGTGGCTTAAGTTGGGCTTCTTGAGAGGAAAGAATTGTCTTGTGACTGGTTCAAGGTAGCCTCTTAAAAAATAATAGTTGAATGAACAAATAAAATGAACTTCTTTATAAAGAGGTGAACAAATGAAAGGATATAGATAGAATAAGAAAGGATAAGCTATCCAACAATAGGTTGCCTTTTTTTTTGAGACAGAGTCTCGCCCTGTCACCCACGCTGGAGTGCAAGGGCGTGATCTCCGCTCACTGCAACCGCCGCCTCCCAGGTTCAAATGATTCTCCTGCCTCAGCCTCCTGAGTAGCTGGGATTATAGGCACCTGCCACCATGCCAAGCTAATTTTTGTGTGTTTAGTAGAGACGGGGTTTCACCATGTTGCCCAGGCTGGTCTCAAACTCCTGACCTCGTGATCTGCCCACCTTGTCCTCCCAAAGTGCTGGGATTGCAGGCGTGAGCCACCGCGCCTGGCAGTTGCCATTTTTTATAGAGCCAACTGAAAATTAAAAATGGACAGCATCTCAAAATACAAAGCTTTCACTTTTGTAAGGATTCTTCCAAAGATGGAAGCCATCTTTCTACTTCATTCATCTCCTCCAGGTCCAGGCTGAGTAGCAGACAGCTAGTATCTTCTGGAAACTGGCTTGGTGGTCTCAAATTATGAATGAAGAGGGAAAGACAGGTAGAAAGACTACCTTATCTGACAATTCCCCCTACTCCTTAATCTCATATTCACACCTAACAATAACATCCCTGGGTTTCTGAAAAGCTCATTTTCTGCAATTGCTAGGCCACAGGTTTAAACTTACAATACCCCTAGGAATAAAATATGTTAACCAAGCCCCAACCAAGCGCAAGATAATGGGCTATGTGAGGAGACAGCATCACACATGACCAACCATAATACAAGTATGTCAGCTACTAATAAAGGAGGCACACACCAAGTGTCAGGTAGGCCACAGAGATTTAGGAAGGAGATAAAATGAGGTGAGCCTTGAAGGCTGTATTAGAGAAGGAGGTAGGCATTCTGGGCAAGAGCGCTGGACCCTGAAACCATAAAGGTATTCAAAAAGAAGGCTGGTAACGGGAGTACAGGGTGTAAATGGGGCAAGTGACCAAGGTTGGACCCCAAGAGGCCTAAAGTGTCAAGGGGGGGAGTTTGAACCTGAATTTTTCATGCTTGCCAGTCTTGATAAATGTGCTAGAACCATCCTTTTAATCTATATTTTCTTGATCAGCATTCTAAGAAAGAAAAACAGTAAAGAAAGAAAAGATCTGAGGAAATGGGCAGCTGAAAGTTCATTTTAAACTTCATACCTGAGCTGAAAATTCAAATCATATGTAGAAGAGAGACGGCAGTCTACAAAAGGGGTGACTTATCTTTGACAACATATCACGAAGGACTTTAAGCCACATAGAACAGAGTTCTGATATTGCATGAAGCTGCTGCAAAAGCCACCATATCCATGGGCTTTTATTAACTACACAGCTTGGGAAGCACCAAGAGGCTTGCCTAAGTTCAAAATACCAGAGAGAAACTTCCTCTCTCCTTGGAATGGCAGCATCCACCGCAGGCCCAGATCTCATTCTGGAAGAGGGTAATTTGTATGCGCCAGAAGTTCTGATAATGTATGCCGTCCCCTGCCTCAGAGAGTTTAGATTCTGGAAAGGAGGGCAGATACTGAACAAGCCCAAGAAGTCTCACAGAGCAGAAAGGCAGTGGGCTATAAAACTTTTAACCAGAGGATTTAATGTACTCTTGGGGAGCCAGGGAAGGCTTCCTTGAAGAGAAGTACGATCTCTGTCAACAGCACACTCTACAGTGACATCTAAATTGGGAGTGCTATCACTTTCATTATATTCATGATTGCTTCAATAAACAGCAGTATTCAAATCTGGCTGATCAGCAGCAGATTCCCAGACATTGCTCAAGGCTTACTGAACCAAACTCTTCAAAGCTGATGTCCAGCAATCTGCATTTTCTAAAATGTTCCCACATGATGTGGATACACAGCAATTAGCAAAGTTAAACACGCATATTTGTATATCAATTGTTTTCAGCTGTTACAAGAGAAAACACATGAAACAAAGTAACAGTCAAATCAGAGAGTCATAACTAATTCTTTGCGTGGATGAGGAATCTGTGATGAAAAAGGGTTAGACCAATTGCTTAAGGTCACACAACTGCCTAACATTGGAGCTAGGACATGCAGAGAAGATCTCCTTTACCCTCTAGGACATACACAATTTCAACGTAAATAAGGATTTGCAAACTGGCTAATAAATGGTTTGGGCTGCATTTCACAGCACCCCTAAAAGCCAAACACTGATAACAGCCCAAATTACAGATGAATATCAGATTTAATTATTTTCTAGGTTTCAAATTCAAAGGAAGGGAGTGGAAGAACAAGCTGATTTATTAACTAGGCTGGAATTAAACTCAGGATCATAAAGTTAACTGAACTGTAGCCATCACCAGCCCAGACTTTAAAAGGACCACAGAAAAACTCAAAGTGAGAAAGCCTCACTTTTGGTACAATCACATACACTCCTAACCAGACTGGGAATGAGGGACTCTCCCCAAATGTACCAACTTGGGGGTTCCAAAAATTGGCTGTACATTAGCATCATCTGAAAAGATTTTTCTAAAAATACCAATGCCCAAGTCTCTTCATCCTCCCTCTCTCCCCCAACAATTCTGATTTAAATGGCCTGGGGTGAGACTCCCACCTAGGATATTTTTCAGAATGGTGCCTAGATGATTGTAATATGCAGCCAGAATTAAAACAATTTAACCGGTTCTCTCCCACTTCTAGCTTCTGCTCAAATCCAGGACCTATAGGTGAAGCAAGCAAGGCACCCAGAGCACAAAATACAAAGAGGCAAGGTCACGTGAGCTCAGCACTATGCACCTGCAGCACTCTGAGAATTAGTGTCTCCTTAAGAGCAAGACACCCAGGGCACATAGTTAGACACTCACTATCAGGGTACTACAAGTGAGCATCAGCACTTGCATGACCTTGTCTCCAAGGACTTTGTGCTCTAGGCACTTCACCTGCCTCAGCCTAGTCCCAGACCTGCTCAATTCCATCTGGTCAGGCCAAATTGCCCCACTAAAGATGCACTGAGCTCCTACTGTGTGCAAGATCTTCCTTGATCCTTACCATCCTCTAAAGAGACACTGATTTTGAAACTAATACAGGTAAATAATGTCTACTATATTCATTTTCTATACCCCCAATAGAAGAAGTGTTGTGATGTAGTAGAATGCACTTGTAGCTTTGGAGTCAAAAGATAATTGAAAGTGGATTAATCTATTAGTTCTTTGGCAGTTTCCCTAATGACTCTCGTTTGTTTCTTCATCTATTCAACATGGGCAGCAAAACAGATCTACCTTACAGGGTTACCATGAGGATGACATTATGCTGTAAGTAAAATGGCCTGGGACACAGTAAGTGCTCCATAAACACCTAATGACAATACATAAATCCCCAACATTTCACTAACTCAATCCCTTTCCATGCCATTATAAGGTTGGAGAACTACTTCTGCTACCTTTTCTATTTACCTCACTAGACTGTTTCCTATCCTCTAACCTCCTACACCATTTTAAGAATGAGTCAAATTCTTGGTTTCTGCAAGCACACACACTCCCACCCCCTGCTGCAGAGACCTTTGAGGAGGGTTTTTTAAATCTTCTAAATTTGAGATGGGGTATTGGTAGGAGAAAAGTTGGGTGAAAGGATCTCATTCTTCAAACACAAGAATTCTCCTAAATCTTTCCATCTTAGGCCTGGACCCCAATCTCAGAGAATCAAAAGCCAAGAGTTTGATATCTTGGTCTCTGGTTCTGCAGTAACAGCCCTCCTCTAGCTTCCTCCAGCAGTGGGCAGAAAGGCTTTGGTAACCTGTGTCTCCAGCATATAGCAGGCGCCTCATTTATTGAGTAAATGAAGAAGAGGAAAAAAAAGATCATTAAGAAAAAAAGCAAAACAATTCAATGGAATACAGAAAAGGCCAAAAAAGGGCTGTGCAAAAAAGTTTGATAAGTTATGTTCCATAAGTATGTTAATTCTATGGTAGGCAGAATAACAGTCCTCCAAAGATACCCACATCCTAATCCCTGGAACCTGAAGATATGCTGCCTTACATGGTAAAAGAAACTTTGTAGATATCATTGTTAAGAATCTTGTGGGGAGATTATCCTAGATTATCTAATGAGGCCCAATGTAATCACAAGGTCCTTATAAGAAGGAATTAGAATAGTCAGAAGGAGAGAGAGGAGATATGAGGCTGAAAATGTTGGAGTGATGTGTTTTGAAGATGGAGGAAGGGGCCATGAGCCAAGGAATGCAGGCAGCCTGTAGCAGCTGGAAAAGGCAAGGAAACAGATTCTCCCCTAGAGCCTCCTGAAGGAATTCAGCTCTGTTGATCTCTTGATTTTAGCCTGTAAGATCCATTTCAGACTTCTGACTTCTAGAATTATATAAGTTTGTGTTGTCTTAAGCCCCTAAGTTCATCACAGCAGTAATAGAAAATTAATACACAGTCTGAGGACACGATGTTACTTATTCATCTCTGAGTCCATCTGTGAGTTGTGCCAAACCCCTATTGACTCCAACAGGGATGGCACCCAGTTTAAGAGGCTGAAGAAGAGACCCAAAGCCTGCAAATGAAACATGGGGTTTTATCAGCGGCTTACATACAGGGAAGAGAGTCCAGTAGCGGTGGGCTGGACAGGAGAACCACCAGTCCAGTGGCAGCAGGCTGGACAGAATAACCGCACAGGCCCGTGGTGGTAGGCTGGGCAGGAGAACCACAACCACTTGCAAAAACACGCAGTTTATGTAGCATTTTCACTTGGCACCCTTCCCCTAACAACCTCCACCTGGCAACCATCATTTAACCCAAAACAAAGGGCCTCATTTCACAGGACAGCTGGGGGCTCAGATGTTCCTCATAGATAAGGAATAGATCTCCAGGTTGGCCACTCCCAGATTCATTAGCTCAGAACTCTGAACACACATTCTGGTAAATCTGCCACACAGTCATGCTCAGGGTGTGCTCAAGTCAAGTTATTGCTGTTGGATTCGTATTGCATCTGCTATACAAATCCCTAGCATGCTGCCTGGAACCTGTTAACTAAGTACATCCTCATAAGTAACTCTGAGGTGACACTATGGATGCTTTCCTCTCCTCATCCTAAAAACCAATCATTGCCAGACTGAACCTGTGCAATCTCCCTCCAGTACAACTCTTTCTCCCCTTGTCTACCACTCATGTAGGCGGATGTAATTTTCTCTGAACATGGCTTCATTCACTCCTGGTTCTCCCTCATTTCTGTCTACCATACACAATCCAGCTAGACTCATATCCAAAGCACCACTCTCATCATGCCATGCCTTGACTCGAAAACCTTCCCAAGCACTTCCCTGATGGCAGAGAAGTCCAAATTCCTTACTCCAGTATTGGCATCCTTCTCATTTCATTCCAAGTTCCCTATCCAATCTTCTTTCCTACAGGACCATTCCTACCCCTTGAACTACAGCCCATCCATTCCCCACATATCACCTGTACACTATCATCGCCAGACCATTGTTTAT
This sequence comes from Homo sapiens, assembly GCF_000001405.40. NCBI lineage: Eukaryota > Metazoa > Chordata > Mammalia > Primates > Hominidae > Homo > Homo sapiens. Next base: position 85,770,665 of record NC_000011.10, read on the forward strand.
GCCATTCTCTCTACCTGGAATGTCTTTACCTTTTATCTGCACACATCCAACCCTTTCCTATCACTCAAGTCCCAGTGTAAATGACACCTCCTCCATGAAACTGCTCCTGCAGCCCATTTCCCCTCACAAATACCCCTACCACAAGCAGGCAACATTTTCTCTTTCACTGAGCCCAATAATACTTATCCGTACATCTCTCATCTGAAGTAGGAAAGAGCCCAGGCTCTAGAGTCAGATAGACCCGAATATAATGTGGCCCTATTATACAAGTTACTTAGCTTCCCTGAGCCTCGGGTTTCTCATCTGTAAAATGGGCATCATACCTATCTTACTGAGTTGTCAAGAAAATTAATGCTTATATATAGGTACCCAACACAGTAATTATTCAATAACTAACATTTTGTAACTTATAGATATATCAAATTCCCACTTCTAGACTCTTTGAGGGAAGGATTTTTGTCCATTTTTAGCCACACTGCACCTGATACATAGTAGTGGAAAAAAACATAAATAGTTACCAAAGTGTTGAGAGCATCTCTCGAGACTTCCTGACCGGTGTAGTCTAAGGATGGTTTCACCTTTAGACACTTCAGAGAGCAGGGGAGAAGCACACTGGATCTCTGCGATCATCAGTGTTCAATATAATTCTTAAAATGGAAACTTGGCAAGACTCCCTGTCTTTGGTTAATTAACGTAAATGAATGTAAACAACTATTCATCCCAACCAACAGTAATAAAGTAATAAATCAGTATTTCTTTCATTAGCATAAGTTACATACCGTTAGTTTAATGTCACTGAGTTCTAGCTCAGACAACTGTTGTTTCAGAGCTGGGGGGACAAAGCTCACGTTTATTCCATCCTGTTTAGAAACCCCATGCTGTGGATTCTCCTTCATTCCTTGGTTGTGTATGCAACAGAATTCCCTCGCTTTCAAGGCATTCCCTGAACCACTTTTACACTGTAGGAGAAACTGGCCCTTTTTCCGCAGTCTAGTTGGCAGTGTCATGAAGGAAAAAGAACGTAAGATTTAAAGTCACAAGATCTGGTTTGAAATCTGATTACCCACTTACTAGCTTGGTGACCACCAACAGCATTTGCTTGAGCCTTAGTTTGCTCATCTCTAAAATTGAGACTAACCACTGCCTACCCTCTTTGCTGAATCACCACAGGGAGCTGATGAGACCCTGCATGGAAAGACATTTTATAAAGTGCAAAATATTATATATAATTATAGTTATATATATATATATTTTTTGAGACAGGATCTTGCTCTATCACCCAGGCTAGAGTGCAGTGGCACAATCTCAGCTCACTGCAAACTCCGCCTCCTGGGCTTAAGCGATCCTCCCATCTCAGCCTCCTAAACAGCTAGGCCTACAGGCATATGACACAACGCCTGGCTAATTTTTTTATTTTTTGGTAGAGACAAGGTTTCGTCACACTGCCCAGGCTGGTCTCAAACTCCTGAGCTCGAGCCACTCGCCTTGGCCTCCCAAAGTGCTGGGATTACAGGCACGTGCCTGGCTGATCCATTCTCCTTCTAACATAGCATGATCTCTAAGCAGATACCCATAAATTTGGTTAAGAAGAAAGGTTCATAGTACAGTCTAGAAGAAATGAAGAATGCTTTTACTTCGCCTATCTTCATATATATAGTTCCTGAGACACAATAGGAAGTAGTATTCTACTTGTAGAAAACAAATAGCCACAAGCATGCTCCCATTGAATAAGTCTTAATGAATATCTGACTTGCTATCTATGAAGTCCTATAAGGTTGTATTACTAAATAAAAGGTGCTATTACATGGTAGTTACACCAGTCAGTCAGCACCAACTCTGCCCAGGCATTATGTCTCTGAATCTGCAAAATCCAGTCATCCTTCATGATAGCTGTCATATTCCAGAAGGACCTTCACTATGCGTATGAAGGCAGAATGACCAACCATATCTAAAACTCCATTTAACATTAGATATCAAAATGGGCAGCAACCAGCCCAGCCCCAGTTTTGTTTTCCCCAAACTCCAGTCCCCTTACTTATATCTCAGGCCAGCCTGAGCTCAGACTCAGTATAATGCCTCACAGAAGGATAAAAACCCTAATGAGCAAATTTCATAAAATATTCAGCTGGCCTTTTGGAGAAAAACAGCTGGAGCTAACCTTAGGAATTCCACTAATTCCCCCTACCACACAGCCTAAAAATAGCCAAAGAGCATTTCTTGCTAGTGATGGCCTTTCCTTTAAAGGAAATAATATGCAAAAGGCATGCTGGGGTCATTAGCCCAAACCATGCAGTCCCCATGATAAATCCTTGGCCAAATGTTCCTATGAGAATCTGCCTTCATAAGGTCAACACTGAAATTTCCTTGGGAAGGTTCCCTTCTCCCTACTTCCCACTGTATAAAAGACATAGGTTATCAGCCACTAATTCCCTGTATGGCCATGAGTGTTTCACTTTCCTTTCCTTTCCTTGGCCTCAGTTTCCACATCTGCAAAAACAAGAGGGCTCAGTTCTGACCTCTAAGGTCTTCTGCCATTGTAAGACTCCCTGGCAGGTACAGTCAATGGCTTCACTGCCTTCAGGATAAAATTCAAACCACTCAGCGTTACATTAGCCCCTCCAGATCTACACCCTGACTTCCTTTCCATTTCTCCCGACACAGTACCTTGAAGTTAGTTCTTTAAACTTACCTTTCACACCTCTGTCTTTGGAACATGCAGCTCCTTTTGCCTGCAAGGTCTTTCTCCAGCTTCTTAAACTCCTAGTCATCTTTCAAGACAGAGTCCAGGTGTCACCTCCTGTCGGAAGATGAGTCTAGCCCCTTCCTGATAAGTGGAGTTAGAGTCTCCTCCTCTTTGGTCTCACAGGACTCGGCATTATATAGCAACTGTCTGTTTCCTTATCCGTCTCCTTTATCAGCCTGAGCTCTCCTGGAAGAAGGAGATGCCATGTTCATCTCCTCTGTATTTCCAACACCTGACCTGTGCCCGCCACTCCATGTTTGGTGATATTGTTCCAAATTCCATCAAAGTACCACATTCATTTTATAGTGTTATTCCAAAAGACCAGAAATTTATTTTTTCAATAAATGTTTTCTCTATTCAAAAAAGAAAGTAAACTGTCTCTAAGCCTTTGCCTTATTAGGAAAAAATATATAGCTATTCAGATTTATAATGTAATCTTTGCAGAGCTGAAAAATATATATTAAATTTGTCCCTGAAAAACCTCTCTTTAAACCAACTAAACCATAGTTCTTAAAAAGGCAATTCAAAGTTAGAAATGATGTCCAGCTATGTGGTTTTTTCTTTTACCAAGAGGAAGGAAAATCTCTAAAAGGAATAAATTATACACTAAACTTTCTGAAAATCTCAAGCCCTGGAAATTCAGATGAAAGCCAGCAAGAAAGAATGTGATATTACACAGAAAACCAAAAAGCCTTGTTCACTACTAATAACATTAAAAGTTATGTGCATATATTATAGAAAATAAAAAACTAAATTAATGCAATTAATTGGTAGGACTTGAATTTTATTGAAGAATTAGAGAAGGAACTGACATTTAATCTTTCTCCAATACCTTTTTTAATCTTTACACACATTTTCTCTACACCATAAGGCAAACCAGCAAAGTAGGCACCATCACCCGCATTTTATCAATGAGGAAACTGAAGTTCATGGATCTTAAGGGACTTCATTAAATTCAAATTGCTTCCAAGTAACACAGTTGGGATTTGAACTCAGGTCTACCTAGCTCCAAAGTTCTGACATAACAGGAAGAGCAGCAGTAAAGGTGGAAGAAAAGGCCAGGTACACAGTGCCCTGCAAAGGAACCCCAAGAGGCAAACAGGAGCTGGGGTTTCCCTCAAACCCCTACACACCCCAAATACCGAGCTTTGCAAGATAGAATGTTGTTAAACTTGATGTGAAATGAGACCAGTTAAAAAGGAATTTTTATTTTTTACGTGATCCCAATTTAGAAGCTTATATAAATAAACTCAAAGTGTGGAGAGCAAGCAGGAAGTATGAGGTTATAGCATCAGCAAATCTATTTCTCCTATACCCTCATGAACAACAAAAATCCTTGCACTGATCTGGACAAGAGCTTTATAGTATTAATCAAACCTTAAACCCTTCCAAAGGCAGGCACAAATGATCATTAGTACTTCATTAATTAGGGTCAGCCTGTGCCCTGCCTAGAGCAGTTGAAGATCTGGGTTCTGGTCTTCGCTCTGCTACTGAAAACTGAAACTCTTTGTTTCACTCACCTCTCTGGGTGACTTCACCTGTAAAATGAGGCATTTGGACTCTGATCTCTCAGGTGCCTTCCTGTTTTTTTTTTTCTCATGGACATAAAATCAAATGACAAAATGAATGCCAACACCATCACCAAGCTAGCTTAGGGAGAAAGAGATGAATAGGCAGACTACTGGAGAAAAATGTCACCCTGCTGCCCAGTGCAAAGCCTTTTTAGAAACTAAACACTTTTCATAAGACATCACTACAGTGAAGGAGAGAATAATTAGGAAAATAGGGTATAAAACCTAACAAAAGTCTTTCTTTTCTTCTTTCTGTCCCTCCCTCCCTCCTTCCTGAATGACAGTATCCTCTGTTTGGGATTAAGCTAGGCACAATGGGTACAACTATTAAGTCCTAAGACCTGGTTCCTGTTGTGAAGAACATATTGGCCCACAGCAATAATAATAGCTCCCATTTGTACAATGTTGGGGGTTTACACTGTACTGTAGCACACGTACTCTTCACAACCCTTCTTGGGAGGTAGGTAGAGCGGATAGGAATAAGTATCTTCATAATCCCCCATTTATTTATTTATTTATTTAGAGACAGAGTCCCACTCTATCATCCAGGCTAGAGTACAGTGGCGCTATCTCGGCACACTCCAGCCTCCACCTCCTGGGTTCAAGTGATTCTCCTGCCCCAGCGTCCAGAGCAGCTGGAATTACATGCATGTGCGACCACGCCTGGCTAATTTTTGTATTTTTACTAAGACGGGTTTCACCATGTTGACCAGGCTGATCTTGAACTCCTGACCTCAAGTAATCTGCCCGCCTCAGCCTCCCAAAGTGCTAGGATTACGGGTATAAACCACCATGCCCAGCCCACCCTTTTATTGATATGAAAACTGAGGTTCAGCAAGGTCAAGTGGCTTAGCCAAGATCACACAGGTGTTAAGTGACAGAGCTGAGAACACATTTGTAAAGGAAGAGAAGAACTAAAAGCAATGGGTGCTATGGTTTGGATGTTTATCCCTCCAAATCTCATATTGAAATTTAATCCCAATGATGGAGGTACGGCCTAATGGCAGGTGTTTTGGTGATGGGGGTAGATCCCTCACAAATAGATTAATACTCTCCTTCAGAAGATGAGTGAGTCCTCACTCTATTAGTTCCCTTGAGAGCTGATTGTTTTAAAAAGAGCTACCCAGTTCTCTCACCCTTTGCTTCCTCTCTTGCCAAGTGATCTCTGCACAGCTGGCTCCCCTTCTGCCTTCCTCTAGGAGTGGAAGCAGCTGAAGGTCCTCACCAGATATAGATGCCCAATCTTGAACTTCCCAGCCATCAGAATCATGAGCCAAATAAACCTTTTATTATTATTAAGTTCTGGATTACATGTGCAGAACATGCAGTTTTGTTACATAGGTATACACATGCCATGGTTTGCTGCACCCATCAACCCGTCATCTACATTAGGTATTTCTCCTAATGTTATCCCTCCCCTAGCCTCCCACCGCGCAACAGGCCCCGGTGTGTTATGTTCCCCTCCCTGTGTCCATCTGTTCTCATTGTTCAACTCTCATTTATGAGTGAGAACGTGTGGTGTTTGATTTTCTGATCTTGTGATAGTTTGCTGAGAATGATGGTTTCCAGCTTCATCCATGTCCCTGCAAAGGACATGAACTCATCCCTTTTTTGTGGCTGCATAGTATCCATGCTGTATATGTGCCACATTTTCTTAATCCAGTCTATCACTGATGGACATTTGGGCTGGTTCCAAGTCTTTGCTATTGTGAATAGTGATGCAATAAACATGCGTGTGCATGTGTCTTTATTGTAGAATGACTTATAATCCTTTGGGTATATGCCCAGTAATGGGATTGCTGGGTCAAATGATATTTCTAGTTCTAGATCCTTGAGGAATCACCACAAACCTTTTTTAAAAAATAAATTACCCAGCTTCGGGTATTTCTTTATAGCAACACAAAATGGAGTAAGACAATGGGGTGTATTTAAGTGTCAGCTCTGTGGTTAGAGGGGTAGTGAAGAGATCAGGGCAAAAACCAGGGTGAGGTAAGACTTAACCTGAGCTTTGGACAGGGGGAAAGATTCAGACAAGTCACATGCCAACTCACTGAATTCAATGCAGAAGACAGCATAGTACAGCTTTGGAGAGGGTGGAGTACAGGAAAACAAAAGGACATCTATTTTCCTACATACACAAAAGAGCATTGTCTTTCATTGAAGAAGTGGACATTCTTTAGTCACCTCAGTAATTAGCATGTGTATGCTCTGAGTATTTTTCTTGGTAGCAGAAATGGGTGGCCCCAAGCCCTACTTTTCCCTTGGCAGTAACAGTAAGTATCAGGAAGAGGGCTAACATGGGGTTAAGAACATGTAATCTGTACCACTGAGTGAAGGTGAAAACAACTAATCTTGGCACTCTTGACCATTACCAAAAGTGTCTGAGCTAATTGGCCTTTTAGTCAAGGTATTCCTCTCTGCAGGTGTGACTTATCACATGCCTGTACAGCAAGCCTACCTTCCCAGACTGCATTCATTGCTACCAACACTCAAGAATGTAATTAATGAGCACCCTGAACCTGCTTCTGAGGCACGAAGGGAGAGGAGGGGAATGGCTAGAAAAGATTTCAAGGTGAAGATAAAGCATCAAAATTATAGAAGGGATTATAAAACAGGCCCAGGCTCTGTACACTAAAAGAATGGGATTTAATCCCCCCCCAACCCACACCCCCTGCCAAAAAAAAGAAAAAGAAAAAAAACTACCAAAAAACAGGAATTGGGACTCTGGAATCAGGTAGAGGTCCTTAACAGAGTAGGCTTCAGACACAAGAAGAGTAAAACTTAGGTCATAGGAATCCTAAGGTTTCACTTACCAGAATTACAGGTCTTACTTCTTTTTTTTTTTTTTTTTTTTTTTTTGAGACCGAGTTTTGCTCTTGTTGCCCAGGCTGGAGTGCAATGGCATAATCTCGGCTCACTGCAACCTCTGACTCCCTATTCAAGTGATTCTCCTGCCTCAGCCTCCCGAGTAGATGGGACTACAGGTGCCCACCACCATGCAGGCTACTTTTTGTATTTTTAGTGAAGATGGGGTTTCACCACGTTGGCCAGGCTGGTCTCCAACGCCTGACCTCAGGTGATCTGCCCGCCTCGGCCTCCCAAACTGCTGGGATTACAGGCAGGAACCATCATGCCCGGCCGGTCTTCTTACTAGTGAGACTTTAGTCAACCTGCAGATTCCAATTTATTTTCATCAAGTAACACTTCAAACAATTTCACCAAGGGTTCTGAGATGAAATTCACAGGTGTAATTCATACAATGTAGGTTATGATAAGATTAAACAATCCTCCCTCACCCTTACCCCATCCCCTCACCCCCCAAAGCAATTAGCAAGCAGTGGGGATGGGGTAGAGCCCAGGACTATTTGATAGTGTTACCCAGGAGTGGTTTTGGAGTTTGGACTCGAAGCTGAAAGTGACTTTCTACCAAAGAGAATTTAAACCGTCTTTTCCATCACAACAGTACCCGGTACTAATTGCAGAGTGAATGCAGTGACCAAAGAGAAGCAGAGCTCCCAAGTTAGAAAGCAGAACCAGTTCTAGCATCTTTTCAGCCATTCTGGCATCTTGAGCAACTCAACAGAAGGCAGCAAGACCTGTAGACATGCACCACTGAAGTCTTGAAGACTTATCCTTGAGCAAGTGCCTAACAATGTCTAAGCTTAGTGAAGAGGAGTAGCATAGACACATGCATGCACTATCTATTTAAAATAAGGCTGGGCGTGCAGTGGCTCACACTTGTAATCCCAGCACTTTGGGAGGCTGAGTCAGGCGGATCACTTAAGCTCACAAGTTTGAGACCAGCCTGGGCCACGTGGCAAAACCCTATCTCTACAGAAAATACAAAAATTAGCTAGGTGTAGTGGTGCATGCCAAGTAGTCCCAGCTACTTGAGAGGCTGAGGTGGGAGAATGGCTTGAGACTGGGAGGCAGAGGTTGCGGTGAGAGGAGATTGCCCCACTGCACTCAAGCCTGGGTGATAGAGCCAGACCTTGTCTCAAGAAACAAATACATGAATAAAATAAAAACAAAATATAGAATCTATATATTCTGTAGTGTACTATACTATATATATTATATAACATATACATCTATATACATAAAAACTACTATACATTTAGTTCTCAGTCATTTGCAACCAATTTATGAAATCGTGAAAACCTCTTGACCTATTATTACATAGAAAATTAGGCTCGGTGGCTGCTAAGTGATGATAAAACCAGGATCCTCATCCCCAGGTAGTAAAATAAGGCATCCCTTTGCCATAGAAGAGTGTTCTAACAAGGGTATTTTGGTTCAGATGTGGTTGTTTATTGGGAGGGGGACAGCAGGATTACATGTGAAGTTATTGCTATTGCTATTATTTCTATGAAGAGCCACCAGTCTGGAACACTTACACGGGCTATCTCCCCAAATCCTCAGTCCAACACTGTAAGGAAAGTGTCATTATCATTCCTATTTCACAAAAGAGGAACTGGGTTCAGAGAAGCAGAATAATTTCACCTCCATATGTGCTCTTAATTACTATGTTGTGTATAGATATGTGTATATATGGATATATTATAGATATAAGTTACTATCTACAAACTGACATAATGGAATTTCAAATGTTCATTTCAAAAGCTATAAACATATGGAACAGATAAAACTCATCAAGTGTTTTTTTTTTTCCCTAGCAGAAGTAGGACTTAAAAAAGGTCACACTATCATGGAAAACTGAAAATATTTAGGTAAAACAATCTTCAGTTTCAGAAGAAGAAAAACAGTCATTTTATAAATTTTTAATCAACAAAGATCAATCAGTAAATACTTCCTAAGGACATACTGTGTGAGAAGACTTGTTAGGTACATCTCACTGAAGAGAGGGGCCATGATTTTAGAAAACTGGTGTGTACTAGAGAAAGAACACTGTCCAGGGATTAGGCAAGGTCAACTTTGCTCCCAGCTCAGTCTCTCTCTCTTGCTATGTGATGCTGGGCAAGTCACTTAACCTTCTGAAGCTTCTATCTCCTCATCTGCAAAGTGAGGGAACTAAAAAGGATGATCTCTCACATAGACTCCTTCTGACGATAAAATGCTGTGACTCACACTGGTGAAAGAAGACAATTCAGGCCACAGCAGAATTTGTCTACAATGAACTATGGCCCTATACCTCTTATTGCATTTCAAAGCCCAGAGTAAAACCATCCCAAAGTCTGTAGTCAAGCAAGCAACAGTCATTCTTTCAATAGTGCTTATGCTCATCTAAAGAGTAGGATAATTTTCCACCAAATGAAATGTCTCTCTGTGATATTGTGAAATATCTTTGTTCTCTTTTCCTGGTACATAGCTCCTAAAACCCTTGGAATCTCTGGAGTGATAAGAGTGTCTTTTGTATGCTAAGGTGATAACTGGTGGCTGGCAGCCACTAGGTAGCTTCAGAATGGGGGCTGGTCACAATAAAGACTAAAGCATGATTAAACTTTTCAGTCCAAAGCCCCAGTCTCTGGGGAGAAGAGAGGTCCCTGCCAGCACAAAGGTTAAGCTAATCACTGTGTCCATTGGTTTAATCAGTCACGCCTATGTAACGAAGCTGCCATAAAATCCCAAAGGGATTGGGTTTGAAGAGCTTCTTGTTAGCTGAACACATGGAAGCTCCATGCCCCTTCTCCCATACTTTGCCCTATGCATTTCTTCTATCTGGCTGTTCATCCATATCCTTTGCAATATCCTTTATAATAAACTGGTAAATACAAGTAAAGTTTTTCTCTGAGTTCTGTAACATTCTAGTGAATTAGTCAAACCCAAAAAAAGGAGTAGTGAGAAATCCAATTTACAGTCAGTCAATCAGAAATATAGGTGACAACCTATTACTTGCGATTGGCATCTGAATTAGGGACAGTCTTGTGGGACTGGGCCCTCAGCCTGTGAGATCTGATGCTATCTTCAGTTAGGCAATGTCAGAATTGAATTGAATTAGAGGATACCCAGCTGGTGTTTGCTGTAGAACTGATTGCTTGCTTGGTATGTGTGGGGAAAACCCCTGCACATCTGGGGTACAGAAGTGTTCTGCGCTGTGGTGAGTAGAGAATAGGAAGAACACTGCAGTAGTCCATTCCAATGCTGCTAATGAAGACATACCTAAGACTGGGTAATTTATAAAGGAAAGAGGTTTAATTGACTCAAAGTTCAGCATGGCTGGGGAGGCCTCAGGAAACTTACAATCATGACAGAAGGGGAAGCAAACACATCCTTCTTCACATGGTAGCAGCAAGGAGAAGTGCTAAGCAAAAGGGGAAAAAGCCCCTTATAAAACCATCAGATCTTGTAAGAACTGACTCACTGTCACTAGAACAGCGGCATGGGGGTAATCACCCCCATGATTCAATTACCTCCCACCAAGTCCCTCCCACAGCACACAGGGATTATGAGAACTACAATTCAAGATGAGATTAGGGTGGGGACACAGCCAAACCATATCATTCTGCCCTGGCCCCTCCAAAATCTCATGTCCTCACATTTCAAAACCAGTTATGCCCTCCCAACAGTCCCACAAATTCTTAACTCATTTCAGCATTAACTCAGAAGCCCACAGTTCAAAGACTCATCTGAGACAAACCAAGTCCCTTATACTTATGAGCCTGTAAAATCAAAAGGAAGTTAATTACTTCCTGGATACAATGAGGGTACAGGCATTGGGTAAATACACCCATTCTAAATGGGAAAAGTTGGCAGAAATGAAGGGGCAACAGGCCCCAGGCAAGTCCAAAATCCAGTAGGGCAGTCAAATCTTAAAGCTCCAAAATGATCTCCTTTGAGATCTCCATGTCTCATATCTAGGTCATGCTGATGCAAAAGGTTGGCTCCCACAGCCTTGCGCAACTCCACCCCTGTGGCTTTGTAGGATACAGCACCCCCTCCCAACTGCTTTCACAGGCTGGCATTGAGTGTCTACAGCTTTTCCAGGCACACAGTGCAAGTGTTGGTGGATCTACCATTCTGGGGTCTGGAGGATAGTAGCCCTCTTCTCACAGCTCCACTAGGCAGTGCCCCAGTGGGGACTGGGTGTGGGGTCTCCAACCCCACAGTTCCCTTCTGCACTGCCCTAGCAGAGGTTCTCCATGAGAGTCCCACCCCTGCAGAAAACTTCTGCCTAGACATCAGGCATTTCCACACATCCTCTGAAATCTAGGTGGACGTTCCCAAACGTCAATTCTTGACTTCTGTGCACTGGTAGGCTCAAAACCATGTGGAAGCTGCCAAGGCTTGGGGCTTACAACCTCTGAAGTAACAACTTGAGCTGTACCTTGGTCTCTTTAAGCCATGGCTGGAGTAGCTGGGATGGAGGGCACCAACAAGTCCTAGAGGCTGCACACAGCAGGGGGGCCCTGGACCCAGCCCAGGAAACCATTTTCCCTTCCTAGGCCTCCAGACCTGTGATGGGTGGGGGGGCTGCTGTGAAGGTCTCTGACATGCCCTGGAGACATTTTCCCCATTGTCTTGCTGATTAACATTTGGTTCCTCATTACTTATGCAAATGTATGCAGCCAGCTTGAATTTCTCTCCAGAAAATGGTTTTTTCTTTTCTGTCACACAGTCAGGCTGCAAATTCTCCAAACTTTTATGCTCTGCTTCTTTTTTAAACGTAAGTTCCAATTCCAAACCATATCTTTGTGAATACATAAAACTGAATGCTTTTAACAGCATTCAGGTCACATCTTGAACACTTTACCGCTTAGAAATTTCTTCTTACAGATATCCTAATCATCTCTCTCAAGTTCAAAGTTTCATCTCTCTCTAGTTCAAATCTCTAAGACAGGGGCAAAATGCCACCAGTCTCTTTACCAAAGCATGATGAGCTTTGCTCCAGTTCCCAACAAGTTCTTCATCTCCATCTGAGACCACCTCAATCTGGACTTCGTTGTCCACATCAATATCAGCATTTTGGTCAAAACCATTCAACAAGTCTCTAGGAAGTTCCAAACTTTCTCACATTTTCCTTTCTTCTTCAGAGCCCTCCAAACTGTTCCAACCTCTGTCTGTTACACAGTTCCAAAGCCGCTTCCACATTTTTGGATATCTTTACAGCAGCAACCCACTCCCAGTACCAAATCACTGTATTAGTCCATTCTTATGCTGCTAATAAAGACATACCCGAGACTGGGTAACTTATAAAGGAAAAAGGTTTAATGGACTTACAGTTCCATGTGGCTGGGGAGGCCTCGGGAAACTTACGATCATGACAGAAGGGGAAGCAAACATGTCCTTTTTTACATGGTGGCAGCAAGGAGAAGTGCCAAGCAAAAGGGGGAAAGCCCCTTATAAAGCCATCAGATCTCGTGAGAACTCACTCACTATCACTAGAATAGCAGCATAGAGGTAACCACCCCCATGATTCAATTACCTCCCATCAAGTCCCTCCCACAACAGGTGGGGATTATGGGAACTACAATTCAAGATGATATTTCGGTGGGGACATAGCCAAACCATATAAAACACTTTGATTTTTATATATAGAACTCTGGTTCTTCATATATCCTAACACCCTTGTTCTTGATGGTATATAGCAAACTAGGCAAAAATAGTTAATATTAGTTAATAAAAACAATAAGACTATCAAAGTCTTACATAACAGAATATTCTAGGCACGGTTTTAAGTACCTTACATATATTAACTCATTAATTTCTCACAGCAACATGAAGTAAGCATTCTACAGATAAGAAAACAGGTTTAGAGAGGCCAAGTAACTGCTCATTACTCAGTTAACTGCTAGTAATGGCAGCACAACTCCAGCCAGATTGTCCAATTCCAGTGTCCATGCTCTGTGCTTCCACCCCATGCTGCCTTCTTGGACAGAAGTGTCACAAAGCACAGAATCATTCTCCAGGTGGCTTGGGTTGTACATTTTTCAGTCCTTGGCTCTTCTTGCTCCTTTCTCTATGATCCCTGCACACTCTGTGGCCTGGCTCATTTTCTGATCTCTGGCTCAGATTCTGGCCACAGATTTCCTCAGACTGGACTTCCCCAGGCAGCCCAGGAAGAGGAGGTCTTTACCTATCTGATGGGCATTACTTGGCCACAACAACCACGTGCCATGTGCCCATGGCAGGCTTCCTAGTATGACCCAGAACAGAGTCCTGAAATCAACCTTCACAAGGTAACTGGAAATTCATCTTTCTTAAACCTGGCAGAACCCTCACCTTTCTAGAGACCCTGACAGAGGAGAAAAGCAGCATTTCCCCCAGGAAAGACATTCAGTGAATTCAGCTGAGACTATGCTTTGCAATATTTAATGACAGAGACGGTGCAATGCAATGGTTTGAAAACAGAGCTTTCTAGGCTATGAACCACTAACGCCTCAAATTCCTTCTGCTGTATTCTCCCATTAGGAAACCAAAGCCACCAAAATAGAAAAAAAAAAAATTATGGTAAACCTCATTAATGTCTTGCAAAAAAGAATAAGTAAAATAACAGAGATGTGAAGAAAAAAAATCCCATCTAAAGATATGATATTCTCTGTCTTACTGGTTTTCTTCCTTCCATCTTAGATAGAAGAGAAGAAGAAAAACAAGTGGAAGTAAACATCAAAGGAGATCAAGGAGAATAGTAAGGCTGAATTGCTTTACTTCAAATTCAGGGTCCATAATTATATTATTCTCTAACATAATGGCTTTCAAATGCCACTACTATTTAGGCTGAGATACAAGGGAAATAAATGATATCATCATGCAGCTTAACTTTATTACATGTTCGTTTTATTAAATCTATGCACATTAGAAGCATAGGAAATTGCCAGCCTTTAACATTCACACACACGCAAAGAATTATACAAAAAATACATCATCTTGAATCCTGGTCTTCAATTTCTTTCCACAATTCCACAGAGCTGGTAAGGGGTAAAGAAAAAAAAATGTTCCTATCATTGAGATTTATAAACTGATTTCTTTCATCCTCGGAATCACTAGTTACTCACACCACAGCCTGTGGCTGCCGGCAGCAACACATCAGCACTTGCATGTATTTAATGCGGTATCTTCTTATTTGGGTATTATTTCTCATTAAACCAATCAGAAGAGGCTTCAAGGTAGAGAGGGAGAAGTGGGAGGTGAGAAAGGGGAAATTTGAGCCAAGAGAAATGCCACACCCATTCCACATGGAAACCACAACCATGTATGGTCGCTGAGTGAAAAGGACTTGAGTGCCCAGCTAAGAGCTGGAAGGCAAAACACCAATGAGGTCCCCTCTGTGGAATTCAGTCTTTCACCTCAGGATAAAGGTTTTTGTAATTCTCAACAAAACTAAAATGAAAAGACATTAACTAAATACCAAAATGGATAGGACAGAGTTTCAGGATGAGCTCAAGCAAGCAACACAGCTGGACCCAGGACAGCCAGAAATGAACCCCCGTCAGGTACGGAAAACAGAAGGAAAAGTGGGATTTTGCCTTTTCCCTTAACTATTATTCAGAAAGTGTTTACTATCTTCCTAAAAGTAAAAATCCTTGTCTAACAGTTTTATAAAAAGAAAAACAGATCTTAAAACAATTGTTGCAGAAACTTCTTCCATTTCTGTTTCTAAAATAATTCAAAACACTAATTTTTAAGATTTTTAATGAGAATTTGAATCATCATGAAATCTTACAGAAAATATGAGTTGGCTCAGGAGAATTAAAGAAGGTATACTCCCCAAGTTTTAACTCTCAAGGTCAATCAGAGTCCGCAGGAGCTTAAATGAGGCTCATGGTCTGGACTGGCTGTTTTCCTCCAAAGAAGCTACATATTAAGATGTATGAAGCCTGAGAGTCAACAGATTTTCACTCATCTATTTCTCAGTAGAATGTAAGTAGCACAATGCCTAGCTCAAAAAATACCTGTTGAATGAGTGCTAAATGAAAGAATAAAATATTCCCAAGGAAGGAATGACAGTGACTTCCACTTCACGCTCTGCCTAAGGTTAGACCTGACTATGTTACATAATACTATGTTTAAAAAAGTCCTGTTCATTCCAGCTTTATTTGTAATAGCCAAAAATTAGAAATAACCCCAGTGCTCTTCAACAGGTGAATGGTTAAACAAACTCTGGTACATCCATACCGTGGGATACTACTAAGCAACAAAAAGGAAAAACTCTTGATAGACACAACTTGGATGAATCTCAAGGGAATTGTGCTAAATATAAAAAGGCCAATCCTAAAAGGCCACTACTGCATGGTTCTGTTTATATGACACTCTTGAAATGGCAAAATTATAGAAATGAAGAACAGATTAGTGGTTGATAGGGGTTAGGGATGGGGGCTGTGGAGGCTGTAGGGAGGTGGGTGTGATTATCAAAGAACAAATGGAAAGAATCTGTGGTGGTGTAACTGGTCAGTATCTGGCCAGTGATGGTTGACACATGTGATAAAATTGTATACAACTTAATACACACAGGCCCATATGCACACACACATTAGTAAACTGGAAAAAGTCTATGCCAATATCTGAGTTGTGATATACTATAGTTGTACAAAATGTTACCATAGGGGAAACTGGGTAAAGGGTACACGGATCTCTGCACTATTTCTTACAGCCTCATGTGATCTACAATTGTCTCAAAATAAAAAGATTAATTTAAAAACATTCTGAAGCGACCTCTCCTCTGCTACCATCAGCACTACCAGTTTGAGAGTGTGTGTATGTGTGTGCATGGCAGGTCGAGAGAGGGGGCATCAACACATAAAACTTAACCACCTCCACAGAGCTCTCTATGGGGAGTTTAGAGGCATCTCTAACTTCCTTTAAACTTCCAATGCACCAATTGTTTTTCACACAACCTAAATTTTGCTCTTATATTAAAAACAAATATTTCAGGACTCTTATCTCCATATCTGGGATAAAAGGTCATGAAGTAAGCATTCTTACTTACCATGAGAGCCCATGTTTTATACCTGTTTGATACCCTCTCAGTGCCTAGCACAATGCTCAACCCAGAGTAGAGCCTGAATAAAAGTGCTTTTAATAAATGGATAAGCAAATGAATGGATGGATGAACTTTCTCATCATAGTAGAACCAGATAAGCTGAAAATTCACAATGTTTTTGCTCCAATTTTCTCAACTTCAAAAGGTCAGCAATAGGTGTGCCCACCTGCCTCACAGGCCTGGGGAGAGGATCCGAGCCTGCTGTAGTAGCAAGTGCATACATAGCTTTGTTTAGAGATCTGCCCTAATTATTTCTTGTGTGTTCTTGTGCCAGCTTATTTCTCTGAACCTGCGATTTCCCATTTGTAAAATGTGGGATAATATTTATTTCTGCAAGGCTGCTATGTGAAGGAGACATGGTGTTCATAAAAGGCCTTGCTCAATGTCACCCTCACTAGATGATCACTAAATGTTTTCACCCTTCCATAGATACTTCCAGGAACTAGTGCTCACCTCATAGCTCAAAATAGCAGCCATTTCTTAGTAACTTTATGGTTTTTTATAAATAAGTAACCAGTGTTGTATTCATGTAGCATCTTCCTCTAAAGATCAAACTTTGCTTACATTTCCAGTGGCAAAGTAGTGTGGACAAAGTAAATGTAGATAGAGGATGGAGTAAATGGGAAGAGACAAGTTCAAGTGGAAGATGACAAGGGCATTTGTGGGTAGCTGTTAGGACTGTACCGCAAGTCCTCTCCCACTACATCACTTCAGAAAGCAACTTGTCTTGGGCTTGGTCTCCTCCCCAATGGTTTATTTCTTTTTTCTGTTTTTTTTTCTTTTCCTTTTTTTTTTTTTTTTTTGTATTTTTATGGTATTTAGTATATTCATACCCAAGGCAGCCTAGATAATGGAGGAAGACACCTGAAAAGTCTACTGGCCTCTAAGAATGGTGGGCTAGAGGTATGGAAAGGAAGGAGAAGGGGCCTCTGTTTATTTTCTCTGCTGTGAAAGCTACTTGTACTCAGGAAATATCTACTGCTTCCTTCTCAGGGCTGGGAATGCCCTAGTCTGTTCTTACCCAAGGGTGGTAACTTTTCCTCCAAGTGTGCAGCTGTCTGAAAATATATTTGCTCTTGATGTGTCACCGGGTCATGAGTAGTTATCTGAGAAATACTTTACACATGGGTGTCTCCTGAGCCCAGGCAGTGGAGATATTTGCTTACCCATGGGGCAGGGAAGGACAAACAGGGGATATGGTTCCAGGGTCCAGTTTTTAAAGACTATGCTAATTCAGTCAGTTTGTCAACTGCATTTTGAACCCTAACTATGTGCCTGGCCTCTGATGAAAATGAGAAGGACTTTTTCTAAGGTAATAATGATACTGAGAGAGGTGACATTTTTTATTAGTTACTAAATGCCATGTCTTCTTCTTAAGACTTTGCACGCTTTATCTTATTCAGTCTTCGCAACAAGTTTGTGAGATGAGTCATATTATTAACCTCCTTTTAGGTAAGAAAATGGGGTACAGAAACAGTAAGTTGCAGAGTTAGTGTCAGATCCCAAAGATAAGGGAAGTAAATAGCATGTTTTCTATTAGTTGAACCAATTGCTTATAAATATGTTGTGAAGCTGTGAAATATACACAAGTTGTGAAAAAGACACCATGCAAAAGTCTGGAAACTTGCCAAAGTAATCACATCACCTTTAATAATGAGTGTGGAAATGTACCTTCTGGGTTCCAGAGACCCTTAGTTCATCCAGGTTTCTAAGGCATCCATTACATCATAGTAAAATAGCTAACATTCCTTTTCCCTTCCTCTTTGTCAATAGCTGCTCTGACCTTAATTATCTGTAGAAGGCCTCTAGGATGAGATTTTTGACAATATGCATTACAAGTAAAATTATTCTATAATTATAAAAAAAAAAGAAAGGAAATGAGAAGGAATCATCCATGACTGAGACACAGAATGTCCCCTCCCTTTATAGAGCTCATGGTCTCATTCTGCATACTCACATTTGGTTGCTTTACTTCTATCATAATAATCTTGTGTGGCACACAGCACATGTGTCAAAGCAACGGTCTCAAAAATAGAATATCATTCCACACATGTTCCCTATAACAAGCAGAAGAATATGAAATAGAGATAATATAAAGATATGTCCCTGTTAGACAACAAAGGTTTGGCATATCTTGCAAACCTCAAAAAGATGAATGTTCTTTCCAGAAAAATTACACATTTTATTTATTTATATATTTATTTATCATTTTGAGATAGGGTCTCACTCTGTTGCCCAGGCACAATCCTAGCTCACTGCAGCCTCGACCTCCTGGGCTCAAGCAATCCTCCCATCTCAGCCTCCTGAGTAGCTGGGACTACAGGCACACACCACCATACCTGGCTGATGTATGTGTGTGTGTGTGTATATATATATATATTTATTTATTTATATGATGTGTGTGTGTATGTGTGTGTGTGTGTGTATATATATATATATATATATATATATATATATATATGTATATATATATATATATATATAATTTTTTTTTTTTTTGTAGAGACAAAGTCTCCCTATCTTGCACAGGCTGGTTTTGAACTCCTGGGCTCAAGCAAGCCTCTCACCTTGGCCTCCCAAAGTGTTGGGATTACATGTATCTTCCACCGCCCCTGGCCAAATTATACATTTTGAAAGCCTTATCAGTTTTATTCTCTTCCTTTTTGATACAATTAACAATAGCATATACTTATTAGGTACTTACTATGTGCCAGGTACTATACTAAGCCCTTCAAAGAATCATCTCAATCTTTTAAACAATCTTATGAGTGATGCACATAATATTATTCCTATTCTATTGATGAGGAAACTTCAGCTTAGAAAGAACAAGGGATGTAAACCCAGGATCAACAGATTCCGAACAAATGTGGATCTCTACATTAAGCTGTAATATTATATGCTTGCTTGGTTTAGAGAGAAGGCCAAAGTTATGATTTCTATTATTGAAATAAGAATGTATACAGTATAGATCCTTCAAAACATATTAGGGTGAACCAGTATTAAATTGCCAATACCGGTTGAGTATCCCTTATCCAAAATGCTTGGGATCAGAACTGTTTGGGATTTTTGGATTTTTTTTCAGATTTTGGAATATTTGCATATATATAAGATATCTTGGGGATGAGACCCAAGACTAAACCCAGATTCGTTTGTCTCATATACACCTTATACACACAGCCTGAAGGTAATTTTTTATAATATTTTTAATACTTTTGTGCATAGAACAAAGTTTGTGTACACTGAATCATCAGAAAGTGAAGATGCCAGGTGTGGAATTTTCCACTTGTAGGGTCATGTCAGGGCTCAAAATGTTTAGGTTTTGGAACATTTTGGATTTCAGATTAGAGATGCTCAACCTGTATACAACTGTTTTGACCTACAGAAATAGCAATTTCACTTGGTTCAACCTAATATAATATCAAGAGACAGAATGACCTAAGCCTATCCCAAGCACAACCCCTGACTAGCTGTATGAATTTTAACAAGTCACTTAACATTTCTAGACTTCACTTGCTTTACTGCATAATATAAAGCATAACTATAAAAGTTAGACTGGATTTGTCTTTAGGTTCCCCAGCTCCATAATTATAAGAGAAGAGGTGAGGAGAAGTATAATTTATTTGTTCAACAATTATTTATTAAGTACCTACAATGTGCCCAACCCTGTGCCTTCTCTCCCATTCCAGGTTCACCTGTATTTCAAAGACAGGCTCCCAGTAGCTTCCCATGATTCCAGGGATTCTACATGTTAGAAATAAAGAACAAACTTGAAGATTCTCGCTTGTCTGTTCAGGATAACTGGGATGTGCCCTATGGTGCTGGCAGGTCCTCCCAGATCACAATTCCACAGCAGAAGAGATAAACATAGGACCTGGAAACCACTTTAATGTGAAGAGATGAAATGCAGCAGAAGAAATGTTCATGTGAACAAATGTGTATCTTCCAATAAAAAAGAAATATCAGTAGGCTGGGCGTGGTGGCTCATGTCTGTAATCCCAACATTTTGGGAGGCTGAGGCAGGTAGATCACCTGGGGTCAGGAGTTTGAGACCAGCTTGACCAACACAGTGAAACCTCGTTTCTACTAAAAATACAAAAAAAATTAGCCGGGCATGGTGATGCACACCTGTAATCCCGGCTACTTGGGAGGCGGAGGCAGGAAAATTGCTTGAACCCCAGAGACGGAGGTTGCAATGAGCCAAGATCACGCCACTGCACTCCAGCCTGGGCAGCAGAGCTAGAGTCTGCCTCAAAAAAAAAAAAAAAAAAAAAAAAAAAAACAACCTTAGTAAATATTCTGGCTCACAGAAAATATCTTACTTTACTTGTACCTCCCAGGAAGACAATGATTTAGACTTTTAACTTAAAAATATACAAAATTCCACAAAGAAAGAGCCCTCACTCAGCTTTGCTGGGTACAGCACCTTAGCAACTAGCCACAATCTTTGCAATGATTAAGGATTGGGAGTAGAGAGATACAGAAAAACATTAAACAGCAAGTTCAAAGACACCAATTCAATACCTAGCTATGTGACTCACTAGCTTTGTGAGCCTGGACTTAACATTCAGCCAGCCTCAGCCTCAGTATCTCATCCATATAATGAGGATTGGGATGATGAACTCTAAACATCTTTCCTGTTCTAAAGGTCAACCAGTTCCTTATCATCTAAGTTTTTACCATCTAACTGCCATCTGTTCCCTTTTGTACTACTATCCATTGTGAACACAGCAAACAGTTGTTTTCCAATGTGCCTGCAATAGCTCTTCAAATACGTACCTGAAGACTCTTTTGACTCCCTCTCTTCTAACATAAGTCAATGGCCCAGATGGAGTCATGTGGTTAGCAAGATGTTTGGAATAACTCATGTGGAGTCATATGTCTAAACTTGGAGCCATAAGGAAGGGAATACATGCAGCAAAGAGCTGCTTGCTTTCTCAACATCTTGTAACTGAGAAAGGCCCATAACTCCCAATCTCATTTCCTGGGAATTCTACCAGCAGCTGCGATAGGATTACAAAAGTTGCAAGAGAAAGGGATTAATAACCTTGATGAGCTGACCATCTAGCTGAGAAAACTGAACCTATAGAAAGTATATAACTGGCGAATTGTATAGAACAGATTATTACTACATACAAAATTTGGGGATGTACCCAGTAAGAGTCACAGGAAGTTAGACAAAAAAAATGGTTAGATGAGGGGTATAGTCTGCTCCAGGGAAAGCCTATTGCTCTGTAGGAGGTCAGACTTTGAATCACTGAAGAGGACATGACTTACTTGGGAAACCATGACACCAACCCAGCCTCTAGTGGGTGGTGATCTTCAAATTAGGGGTGACTTGGGGCTCTGCCAATAGAGTTCTCTCAAACCCACCCTAACGGGGTAGTTAAGAATAGACTATCTGACAGGGCAGTGGAGGCAATTGCAAGCCAAATGTCACTTGGCTTTTCTATGTTCTAAGTCAAGGATGTTCATTTCTCTCTTAACTTGTAGATTAACTTTGGAGCCCATTTAATGAAAACCATCTCTGAATGGGGGACCTATGAAATGTGTCACTCTGAAGTTGCAGAAAGTTATTTTTTCTTCTTCAAACAAGCACTCCTTGGAAACAATAAACCAGTAAGTAAAAATAATTCCACAAAAGAAATCACAGAAGCAAATGATTAATAAATACCACCCCCACCTAAGATTCTTAGTTTCAGAGCTTTTTTTTTTAATTTTATTATTATTATACTTTAAGTTTTAGGGTACATGTGCACAATGTGCAGGTTAGTTACATATGTATACATGTGCCATGCTGGTGTGCTGCACCCATTAACTCGTCATTTAGCATTAGGTAGATCTCCTAAAGCTATCCCTCCCCGCTCCCCACACCCCACAACAGTCCCCAGAGTGTGATGATCCCCTTCCTGTGTCCATGTGTTCTCACTGTTCAATTCCCACCTATGAGTGAGAACATGCAGTGTTTGGGTTTTTGTTCTTGCGATAGTTTACTGAGAATGATGATTTCCAATTTCATCCATGTCCCTACAAAGGACATGAACTCATCATTTTTTATGGCTGCATAGTATTCCATGGTGTATATGTGCCACATTTTCTTAATCCAGTCTATCATTGTTGAACATTTGGGTTGGTTCCAAGTCTTTGCTATCGTGAATAGTGCCGCAATAAACATACGTGTGCATGTGTCTTTATAGCAGCATGATTTATAGTCCTTTGGGTATATACCCAGTAATGGGATGGCTGGGTCAAATGGTATTTCTAGTTCTAGATCCCTGAGGAATCGCCACACTGACTTCCACAATGGTTGAACTAGTTTACAGTCCCACCAACAGTGTAGAAGTGTTCCTATTTCTCCACATCCTCTCCAGCACCTGTTGTTTCCTGACTTTTTAATGATTGCCATTCTAACTGGTGTGAGATGGTATCTCATTGTAGTTTTGATTTGCATTTCTCTGACAGCCAGTGATGGTGAGCATAGTTTCAGAGCTTTTATCATGTCTTCTTTATTTCAAAATACAAATACCTTTAAGGAAGGAAATAATTTGAGAACTCTTATCATAATATTTTATGTTTTAAAGATGAACAGTTTTCTTTTTCCTGTTCAGGGACTTTGAATTTAAAAATTTCTCAAAGAGGCAGACAGGGAGAAAAGTTTCAGCCACCTCAAACTCTGATAACATCCATGAAATTTAATTTGAGATATCTCATAACCAATATTTTATAACCTGTCCTTAAAAATGAAGGACATGCTCTCAACACTTCCTGTCATGGAAATTGTTCCAACAGACAAAGAAATAGGCATATCCATGGTTAAAATCTCACAGCTGTCACATTATTTAGTTCTGCACAAATGAAAAATCCTATTACCCAAAAAAGGTTGGAGAATCTGTAGCTTTAATTTGGCAAGCAATTGCATTTCCACATTGTTTTAGTCATATCTTCCCTCATACAGATATGAACCCTGGAAAATATTTAATTAAATATAACTATGTGGTATGAAAAATAAGTCAAAAAAAGAAGTTAATGCTTTGCCATCTTTAATGCTGTTATGCAATTCATTAGAGAAAAGAGCACACAATCCCTCAATCCCCATCCTCCAAAGATTCAAAAGAGCAGATTCAGTTTTTTTTTCTTGTAGAGACAGGGTCTCACTATGCTGCCCAGGCTGGTCTTGAACTCCTGGGCTCAAGCAACTCTCCCACCTCAGCCTCCCAAAGTGCCAGGATTACAGGCATAAGCCACCTTGCCTGGCCAGATTTAAATTTTTTTTTCTTTTTTTAGAGACAGGGCCTCTTTCTGTCACCCAGGCTGAAGTGCAACAGCACAGTTATGGCTCACTGTAACTTCAAACTCCTGGGTTTAAGCAATCCTCCTGCCTCAGCCTCCCAAGTAGCTGAGACTAGAGGCACATGCCATTACATCCAGCTAATTTTTAAATTTTTTTTCTAGAGACAGGTTCTCCCTATGTTTCCAGGGTGTCTCAAACCTCAGGCCTCAAGTGATCCTCACACCTCAGCCTCCCAAAGTGCTGGGATTACAGTCACGAGCCACCACGCCCAGCCAGTTTTAAATTTTAAAGGACAACAGAACAAATAACAAAACCTCCCACTTTCTCAAGGTCACAAAAGAGACTTTCATATCACCAAACTCAAAAGAATCCAGATTCTCAAATGGGCATCACATCTCTCCATGAATTATCCCTTGGTGAGGAAACTTGCATTTATCAAGACTTTTCTACTTGCTTGGGCTTGATTTCTGCTATTTGTCTGGTATTTGAAGGGAGGAAAAAAAATCATTATATTGCTGGGGACGTACAGGAAGTAAGTCTCAAACATGAAATTGAATTTGTATTTCTTTCTGAAAAGAAAAGTTCATTTGAGGTTTATACAGAAGTAAAAGAAAAGCAGAATTTCCAGGAATTGCTCCAGGAATTCATGGAAAGTAGATCCCTTCATCATTTTTTTCTAATAAAGAAAACCAAGAAAAAACAATAAAGAGATGGTCTTTCAAAATGCCTAGCTTCCCATTCCTTTACAATATCACTAAGGAGAGGTTAAGTGGCTGTACTTCGGTCTCCACATTTACATTTCAGAAGTATTGCCCACTGTGTGGCCTTGGGCAAGTTACTTAGCTTCCTCACTGGTAAAATATCTACTTAAAATTGTGTTATAAGGATTACATGCACTTGTATGTATAAAAGACTTAGTCTAGCATGAGTCCATAGTGAACCTTGTATTAGCTGTAATACTTATATTAGCTAATATAAGTATTAGCTGTTATTATTACTACCACCACCGCTAAGTTTATTTTCAGCCCCCCAAATAAAGTCACATCCCCCCAAGGAATAATGCTTGCATTTTATTTTCTGAAATGATGATGGCCTGGCTCCAGGCTCACCATCAGATCTAAAAAAAAACTGAACCCTCTCAGCCAGAGCACACTAATGTGAACTGGGGTCTGGGCTGCTCTGTGATTTGGGCAGCAGAAAAGGCCAGATACTTACGCCCAGTAGCCTGAGTTGCACTCATTTAACAAATGTTAATTGTATCCCTAGTCTGTGCCAGGCAGTGTACCAAAAATTTATTTGTTCATGATCAGCACTTTCACTGTATTTTCTAGAGCCCAAGGCCGTGTTTTTTGTTTTTTACTATAATGTGCTGCTTATGTTAAAAAAAGAAAAAGTTACATAGGAAACATTTTCCAGGATGAAACTAACAAGAATAGTAAAAGCCACTCCAAACCATCTATTTCTATCTTCTTCCTTATATTTCTACAATATAAAAATTTTCACCTTTTTAAATTTGATAAAGCAGATTATTCCCAGATGAGTTTTTGCCAAATATCTGCAAGAAAGGATGACTTCAGGTGAGCTGGCTCTGAAATCAGCAAACTGACAGAGCAGGCCACAACTCCCCTTCCCTCATATCTACCAAACTGCAAATAGTGCTGGGAAGGCTGCCACTCTGGAAATCCCAAAGGACTCAGGAAAGGTGACACACAAGCACAGAGCATACACATAAGCCATCATCACCAGGGGAATCTCCTGCTGTAAAAACTCTGAGTAGGCACCAGAAGCTTAAACTTCTTCATAGAAGAGCCTTAACATTCACTGAGGCTCAGGTTAGATTTAACCACTTACATAAGAACTGATCTAATGATTATTATTTTATGAAGTTGCATCATTGTGTTCAGGCAGCACAGGGAAGAAAAAGAGCACTGACTTGGGAGTCGGGCTTGAGCTTGAATTCCAGGGCTACCCCTTAAAAGCTGTGAGACTCTGGGCAAATATTTAACTTCTCCAAGTCTAATTTTTCTTATCTAGGTTATATGGCATCAAATTTCTACCTTTGAAGATCTTTGTAAGAATTAAAAGGATGATTCACGTTAAACACCCAGCTGATATCTGACACACCATAGAAACTTAACACGATATATGCTCTGACCAACTCTTATTTTGGGGCAGGAAAAATGTCCCAAGAACTCCTCCCCTGATTTAGAGAAATAATGAAAGTGAATCCGAGGCAAATATTGCCCCTCATTTTTCTAAGAGTCTAATTCTGATAAGTGATATTTTTAGGACTCTGACAGTATCTGAGATATTATGAAAAATGCAACCAAACCTTCTCCAATAGCTCTTTGTCACCCAGATCTTACAGTGGGCAATCAAGAAGGCTTCAACTTTCTCCTGC
This sequence comes from Homo sapiens, assembly GCF_000001405.40. Classification (NCBI taxonomy): domain Eukaryota; kingdom Metazoa; phylum Chordata; class Mammalia; order Primates; family Hominidae; genus Homo; species Homo sapiens. The sequence continues at coordinate 85,796,606 of NC_000011.10, forward strand.
AGAGTACCATGAGCTTTGGAACTGGAGCCCACATCCTCCCAGCTCCTCTGTTCTAGTCTCTTTCTATCCAAATCCCAAATGCAGCTTCTAAAAAGAAAGATCAACTGTTTCCCCACAATCTATACACAGGATGGCACAGAGTGAAAGTAGGCAATTTGCCTCAACTTCTTTTCATTCATTCAGTAATATCTGTCAGGTCTGAGACTTGACTGATATATACTTTTAAATAAACTTAAATATATCAGGAAGCTAAGAGACTTTATAGTTCTTATATTTCCCAGGATCTAGGTTTAAAATCAAAAGGATTGAATTTGGGCTCACGCCTGCAATCCCAGCACCTTAGGAGGCCAAGGCTGGAGGATCGCTTGGGCCCAGGCATTCAAGAGCAGCCTGGGCAACATAGCAATACCCCATCTCTATAAAAAAAAATTTTAAATGATCCAGGTGCAGTGGCATGCACCTGTAGTCCTAGCTACTCAGAAGGCTGAGGCAGGAGGATTGCTCGAGCCCAGGAGGTCAAGGCTGAATAGCTAGGACTACAGGTGTGCAGCTCAAACCGACCATATTACTCTGGGCAAGCTATTCAGTTCTTCTGAATTATAGTTTCCCTAGCTGTGGAAACTAATAATACTTCCTACCTTATAGGATTATTTTAGCATTAAATGATATTGTATGTGAAAACATTTTGAAAACTGTAAAGTTCTATACAAATGTTATATTAGAAAATGTTAGTCTTTTTTGGCCAGGAGCAGTGGCTCACACCTGTAATCCCAGCACTTTGGGAGGCTGAGGTGGGAGGATCCCTTGAGGTCAGGAATTCGAGACCAGCCTGGCCAACATGGTGAAACCCCGTCTCTACTGAAAATACAAAAATTAGCTGGGCATGGTGGCAGGCATCTGTAATCCCAGTTACTTGGGAAGCTGAGGCACAAGAATCATTTGAACCTAGGAGGCAGACATTGCAGTGAGCTGAGATCAGCCACTGTACTCCAGCCTGGGAGACAGAGCGAGACTCCTTCTCAAAAAAAAAAAAAAGAAAAGAAAAAGAAAAAGAAAACATTAGTCTTTATTATTATTGTCCCTTTTGTCAGCTACAGCCTATGTGATCTAATAAAATCTTAAGAAGTCTGTGTTTATACACAGCTTCCCCAGCTGGCCATACCCCACCTGGCCACTCATCTATCTCATACCATACCTTAGTCTATACCCACTGATCTCAAGACCACAAAGTTTTTGTTGTTGTTGTTGTTGTTGTTCTTGCTGCTTGAGAAGGAGTCTCACTCTGTCACCCAGGCTGGAGTGCAGTGGTGCAATGTCGGCTCACTGCAACCTTTACCTCCCAGGTTCAAGAGATTCTCCTGCCTCAGCCTCCCGAGTAGCTGGGATTACAGGTGCACACCACTATGCCAGCTATTTTTTTTTTTTTCATTTTCAATAGAGATGGGGTTTCACCATGTTGGCCAGACTGGTTTCAAACTCCTGACCTCAAGTGATCCACCTGCCTCAGCTTCCCAAAGTGCTGGGATTACAGGCGTGAGCCACTGCACCCAGCCTATACCCACTGATCTCAAGTTCAGTTTTTTTGTCAGCCCTCCCATTCCCTGTTCATTTTCAAACAAACGGATCATCACAGCTTCTGACACTCTCAAAGTTTGAAATTTTAAAGCTTGACACTTATTTCTAAAAGGTGAAATGTGATTTGGTTTACGGAATGACAAGAGAAACCCGTGAAACTTTCTTAAGCACCTTCTTCACATGCCTAAATACATAGCGTCTTGAGAAATGGGCCCTTCTCTTATGTAAAGACCAATAACTTCTCAGAGTCTTTAATATCTTCAGAGTCTTAGCCAAAAACAAACCAAAAATAAAAAACAATTGGCTTCACATATGTGGCATTTCATGGTGCGTTGAAGGGATCTCCAAGTCCAGTCCCAGGTTTGATGATTCACTAGGATAACTCAACAGGACAACATACAGTCATATTCACAGCTATGACTTATTACAGTGAAAAGATACAAAGCAAACTCAACAATGGAAAAAGGTGCGTGGGGTGAAGTCTGCATAAAACTGGGTGGGAGCTCCCACGGGTCTTCTCCAAGAGGAGTCACACTGGACACACAAGTTGTGACAATGCATCTGAAATGTTACCAACCAGACTGTTCATTAGAGATTCAGTGCCCAGAGTTTTTAATGGGGACAAGTCATGTAGGCACCCCTTCCCTGGCATGTACCCAAATTCCAGACTCCCAGAAGAAAAGCAGGTGCTCGGCATAAACCATATTGCTTGCACAAACAGTTTAGGCACAGTGAGCTACTCAATCATTTAGATTTGTGGGAATCCTCCTGAAATCCAAGTTCCCTAATGCCAGCCAAAGGCCAACTTGCAAGCAGGCCTTTCTATGGACAGGCAGTTTCACACCCACTATGTTAATTCTTTTCTGCACACATGAGAATAAAAAGCCAAATATCTAATTAATTGATAACTGCCCATTGACCACTAAATTCTTAAAGCCCATCAATGTACTAAAAACCTTAAAAAGACAGGGAACATAACTTAGCACTTCAAAATATATTCATTTAACACACTTGTACTATCTCAGCCTTCTGGGCTTTGGGCATTAAGGAAATAGTAAGTCCCTTTAGTCCCAGCGCTCTAAGAACTTTTGGAACAAAAGGGAAGATAAGATGAGGACATAAAGAATGATAACACACAGTGGTATGTGATGATGGCCATAAAAGAGGTATAAGCCGAACACTAAACCAGTTAGAGGAGGGAAAGAAAACTTCCTGCCATGATGAACCAGGAAGATTTCAGGAAGAATTAGCATAGAGCTGCAGTTTTAAGAACAGCTAGGATTTCAGAGTTAGAAACAGGGTTAGGAAGAGCTCAACAAAAGGGACTAAAAGTCCATAAAAAGCATCCAATCTCCTTAATAACATGTACTACACTCTTCATGATCAGCCCACTACCTACTTCACTGGCCTCAGCTCCTGCCAGCCTTACCTTGAACATGAAACCATGCTTGCCATGCTATTTCCCAGCCTTTTGACCTTCTGATTCTTATTCACCCAGATCGCCTCTCAAATGCCACCTCTTCCAGGAAGCCCTACCTTGGCACTTGATCTCCCTTCCCTCTTACCACCCCACCTCCTTCCTCTGTGCTCACATCTGACTATGAACATCACACTGAGTGGTAATTACAGATATCTATTTTCCCCACTGGACTCTGAGCCTAAAACAATTTGGCACACAAACATAGAAAACACTCAGTGAGTATCTATCAAATAAATTAACTCTTGCCTCTAAATCTGATATTCTTCCCACTACAGCATGCTGACCCTTTTATCAACAAATGTTCACTGTTTAATAATAGTTTAAAGAGAATAGCAAGAGATTTTCTGTAAAGATCAATCATACCATACTTAAGTATTAAACTAAGCTCACACCCTTGGTCACTGCATCTACAGGTAGTGATGCACACAAACACACCCTCAAGGACCTAACCATTCCCACACACAGTTCATCAGTTTTGGTGCTTTGGTCTCAAAGTAAAGAGACCAAACCAGAATCTATCAAAGGACTAGACTGAGACTTGACTAACACAGTGAAAGGGCTTGGGGATTGGCACATGAAAGAGTCCAGGTTCAAAGGTCTAGTATTCCAAAACCCCAATGTAGGATGTCTCCAAGAGTTTCCTGGGTTTCTGCCGCCCAGGCTGGAGTTCAGCAGCACAATCATGGCTCACTGCACCCTTGATATCCCAGGCTCAAGTGATCCTCCCACTTCAGCCTCCTGAGTAGCTGGGACTACAGGTGTGCACCAACATGCCCTGCTAATTTTTTTCTATTTTTCTGTAGAGATGGGGTCTTGCTATGTTGCTCAGGCTGGTCTCAAACTCCTGGGTTCAAGCAATCCTCCCACCTCAGCCTCCCAAACTGCTGAGATTACAGGAATGAGCCACTATGCCTGGCCCCCAGGAATTTAAAAGGTACAACTTACTCCCTATGCACTGAATGTCAGCCCAAGACTTGCTTTTAGTTCCTGGCTGCTGAGAGAGTGGACTTGGAAAAAGTATGCCAGAGAAGGAAAAAAACAAACACATCCACTCCCTCCTCACTTCCTCACACACCAAGCAAATACCTGTGCTCAGTTCCACAACAGGGTCACATCTGTCCCCTGCAGAATCTGACCGGTAGAGCCACGTCTCCTCCACACCCTTGGCTCCTGGCCACACATTATTAATAGTTCAAGTGCAGATGCAGGTGACTGTCTTCACATTGAGGCACCTCTAGTAACCAAGGCTAATCTCCCCAGTGGCTTTCCCCAAGGAACCCAGGTAATGTCGGGTTTTCCCTCCAGCATAGATAAAGCAGGCAACTATCCGGAAAACATAAACACAGGGCTAGAAACACAGAAACACACATCTGTGTGTACCTGGGTCTGATCCTGACTGCTTAGGGAGAAGGGCCACCTAGCTTCTTGCCATTTCCCATAGATGATAGTTTTGTAGTCTGAGCCTCTCTGCTCCTCCCTCTAAGAAACTCAACAGCTGCTAACCACAATAGTGCATGCTAAGCACAAGAAATTCTACAAAGCACTAACCAAATTCAGCATGCATTAGGTATCTACTATCCCTAGAACCTTAAACTCAATTTTGGAAATACAAAAAGGGGCCTTAAACTTTTTTTTTCTGGATTCAAGCTTCAATCATTTTGCCAGAAACACACCTGGTCCTTTGTTGAAAAGTGGTAAACATGCTTAACTCAAGGTAAGACATATTTATATTTTTGGAACAATTTGGCTCCAATGTGATCCAGTCCATAAATTAGCATATGGAGTCACCATTTTCCAACACATTATGTACTCTCCTATAGAAGTCTTGAATAGCAGCACCATCTCTACAAGTACCATTACCTTTTACCAAAAAAGCTTTAATATATGTTATCTCCTCTGTACACACAAGTGCAAACAAGTATGCCAATCAACCCCAAACCCATCTTTCATACTGTGAGCAGTGTTATTATCCTAAAGAGAAATTTCATTATCTCACTTACAATATTGAGAAACTTCAAAGATAAAGGGCAGCCTCCAAGATAAAGGGTCAGATTGTAGCCTCATTTCACCTTTGGTCTTTGGTGAAACTCCACTACATTAGCAGCGCCACCAACCATAATTTACCTGTCCTGTGTGCCAACTCAGTAGTCTCTTCCCCGTTCTTTTTTTTTTTTTTTTCAGATGGAGTCTTACACTGTCGCTGGAGTGCAATGGCGCGATCTCGGCTCACTGCAAACTCCACCTCCCAGGTTCAAGCGATACTCCTGCCTCAGCCTCCAGAGTAGCTGGGATTACAGGCACCCACCACCATGCCCGGCTAAGTTTTTGTATTTTTAGTAGAGATGGGGTTTTACTATGTTAGCCAGGCTGGTCTTGAACTCATGACCTTGTGATCCACACGCCTCAGGCTCCCAAAGTGCTGGGAATACAGGCATGGGCCACCGTGCCTGGCCTCCCCATTCTCCTGGTATCCCTTCTCTCCCTGCCTCCATGGCTTTGAACTTGAAACATCCTTCAACGTTTCCTCCCCACCACACTCTCTTTTCTTCTTTTTCTTTTCTTTTTTTTTTTTTTTTTGTGAGCCGGAGCCTTGCTCTGTCACCCAGGCTGGAGTGCAGTGGCATGATCTCAGCTCACTGCAACCTCTGCCTCCCAGGTTCAAGCAATTCTCCTGCCTCAGCCTCCCAAGTAGCTGGAATTACAGGTGCCCACCACCAGGCCCAGCCTCCCAAAGTGCTAGGATTACAGGCATGAGCCAATGCACCCAGCCCTCAGTCTCTTCTTAACCTAGCAAACTCCTACTCAGCCATAGGTCTAGCTTATCTGTCACCTTCCTACTTTCCCTGGCAGTTGCTCTCTCAGCAATCTCACAATAAGCTGTATGCATTTCTAACTAGAACACTTACCACACTGTACTGTAAGTACTACTTCACCATTGTCACCTTCAATAGCCAAGAGGAAGGGAAGGAAAGAGAAGGAAAGAGAGGAAAGAAAGAGAAGGGAAGAGAGAAAGGAAAGGAAGAAAAGGAAAATGAATAGAACTGACATTTATTGAATAGTGACTCTATGCAAGACACAAAGTCAGAGGCTTTAATATATTTATTACCCCATCTTGTGAGAAAATGAATGCAATTTTTGCAGAAAAGGAAGTTGAGAGTCCTATCCCAAAGAAACTCAAAAGCTGCTAACCACAGTTAAATTAGTTGCTTTATAACACAACTAGTAAGTGCATTCATGTTTAAATTCAAGCTTATCTTATTCCAAAGCCAAGTTTATTTCCACTACAAAGTGGCCTCTATGGGAAACATGGACACTAGCCAGAAACATCTTCTTAACCATGACCCCTCTCCCATCACCTTGTTGGCCACTATGCTTCATAACTCTGGCTTCTGACCTTCCACCTATGATTGCACCTCAAAATCATCTGCTATAACCATCAGATGGCAAGGTGTTGCTAGGAATCTGGCAAGAACACAGTGAATACATTTGCAGAAAGGTAGTATGATACTATTTCAAAAAGGTTCAAGAATGCATATTATAAAACTGTAAAAATGTGTCATATCTAAGTGGTCCTGCTAGGACAACTCATATAAAAATTCTTTATCTTTATAAAATCCTCATATCATGCACAACATGAAAATCAACTTCATTTCTACTCAAGTTCTTCAGTATATTCCCTCTCACTTATCAAGTTGTGATGCCCCAAAATAAACTGTAATTAAGGTCTTCTTGCCAGTTCTCCATAGTATTTCAGTTGCTCTAGTCCTGGGTGGTGCTGCTTCATAACTGCAGGAATAAGTGGCTGACTCCTTAGGCCATGGAGCGCTGGGAGAACCCAGTTGTTTTTCCTGGAAGATTATGTTAAGCCCATCATTACATCTCTATGGTAACAGAAATATCCTAGGTTTTCTGGAACAGTCCTAGTTTTGAATATTTATAATCTGTTTCAAGACTAGTGACAAACATATGTCTTAACACAGGATTCAGTAAGCATGAATATAACATCTTTCCTTTAGAGAACTCCCCCCAAAGAGGCAATACTGGGTTGTGAAAAGAGTACAGGTTTTCCAGTCAAAGTAACCTGGGATCAATTGTTTGTTTGGCCATTTACCACCTCTGTGACCTTGGGCAAAGGACTTGTCTGTGCTTCCATTTCCTCATCAGTAAAGTGGATAATTATCACCTACTTTAGAGAGTAGTCCTGCCAATTAGAGGAACAAGGACATAGCAAAGGGACTGACACAGAGTATGCACTAGATAGATAACAGACATTCTGTTTATTATGTTGTTGTTATTTGTAGCATCCCTAAAAGGAATGGAAAAGAAAGATACTATTTTTGCTTTTCTAAGTAAAGGACTATAAATTATGTGATTTACCTGTATTCAACTTCCTAAACACAACACTTCAGTTACTACATTCCAGGTAGTGTTGATTCTTAAATAGTATACTAAGTTGCTGACTCATCACTTTGTAGTCTGGTGTCACCCCCTAATATTTCCTGAAATACTTAAACTTTATTAATTATTACTATCTCTGTGTAACAAAATTTTCTAAATTTTTGCAACAAGCCCATTTTCAAGGGTTATCCTGTGTAGTCAAAACACTATCGCAAGCTATGTACCCTCATTCTGCATCTAGAACTCAGTTTGCAGCTTCGTACGTAATTTCATGAACAGTAGAGCAGAATACAAGTAGGGTACAGATAGCGTACAATTATATCAGATTATCTTCCAAAGATCCAAGGCATGGGCTCTGGAGTCAAACTGCCTGGATTCAAATCTCTGTTGTTGTTCTTATTGGCTGTGTCACCTTGGGCAACTTATTTAAATTATATGGGCCTCAATTTCCTCATCATAAAATAGAAACAATCATAGTACCAAAAATAGTATCAATAATAGATTATTGTGAGGATTAAATAAATTGATGTAGGTATAGTGCTTGGAATACTGCCTGGTACATAGTAAGTGCTCAATAAATGTCAGACATCTTCATCATTCACTTGCTTCAGACTGTTTTTCAGTCTGAAGCAATTAGACGTGATATAGTATGTTACATTAGCAACCAAAAATACCAGATCAGGTAAAATACCTTTAAAATAACTGAATAAAATGAATCCTACATAACCAGTTACTACCTCTAGGTGCCATAACAGCAGTAGATCTATCATATTTGCATTTGAATGCCGGTGGCTCCAACTATTCATAACTTACCTTGAAGACGTCATGTAGAAATTGTAGCTAAATCAACAGTAGCACCAGAAAGGAATGAAGTCGTGAGTCCTTGGCTGGTAAGTCTTTGGTCAACCACCCAGCACAGCATCTCAATCTGCTTTTGCTGGTTTTCATTAAATACAGGACCTCATTTAATCCTCTAAACAATCTTGTCAAACAAATCTGATCATTCTCATTTTATAGACACATGGAGGGAATTACATGCTATGACAATAGTTGCAGTCTTGGGGATAGCAAAGGTCTCAGGATGAAAACCCTGAACGTGTCCCAAAATGGCATAACTGAAACAACCCTAGACTATAACTAAAAGAAAAAGGGCCGAGTGTGGTGGCTCATGCCTGTAACCCCAGTGTTTTGGGTGGCCAAGGTGGGAAGACTGCTTGAGCCCAGGAGTTCAAGACCAGCCTGAGCAACACAGTGAGATCCCATCTCTACAAAAAAAAAAAAACAAAAAAACTGAAAACCTAAACCTTTTACTTATAAAACTCAAATGCTAGTCTAAAACCAACAGTGGTAAAGAATCTGCCCTAAGAAATCTAACACAATACAGCTCAGCCTTCCTCCCAACACAGATCACTGGCAAAGGGAATGGGAATTGTCAGGCAATAGATTTGACTGAGGAACTTAGCTTGCCTGGGATCCAGCTAATGCCCTCAGCCTCAAAGCCCTGTGTTTTAATCAAGTGACTCAGCCAGAGGCAGGAGAGTCCAGGCTCCTGTGGCCGGGAGGGATGGCAGCACAAAACACATCTGTCTAATCAGAAGCTAGTGGTGCTGGCATCCATTCTGTCAAGACTTACAGTAAAACAATGCTTCTGCAAGGGAAAAAAAGAAACTTATATTCACTCAGAAATCAACTGATACCTTTCTTTCCCCCTCTAACTCAGAAGGCAAATACGTGGAATTGTTTGCTACGTCTTATATCTACCTACCCCCAAATATTTACTGATGCATTTATAGAAAGAGGACAACTTATCTCGGAATAATAAACCAAATCTATACTAGTAGCTACAAACTGTTTAGAAAGTATAAGATTAGGAAATGCTCTTATTTTGGCCTTCTTTTATCTCAATCATCAATACAAGGGATAACACATAGGAAAGTGGTTTTGTAGGTTGCAGGTAGTTCACATAGGTGAAGAAGTCACTGCAGTAATCTGAGGACACTGCACCACATTTCAGCAGAGTGATTCATTCATTCTTTTATTTGTTCATTTATTAATTAATTTAAATTACTTATACTAAGTTCCCATTGAGTGCCAGGAACAGTGCCAGGCTATGTGGATACAGAAATAAACCACAAAGTCTGAGCCCTCAGGGGCTCAATCTTTTCCTAAATTGTTCTTTTCATCTCCATCCTATTCCAATCATAGCTGCACATGTCTTTGCTCCCTTTTTCCTTCTCTTTCTCCCCCTCTCCAGTTCTGAGCCACTTAAGAGTGAGGTCATGTGCTTCTCCCACATTCTGCAAAAGTCCTAGCACAGGTCCAAGTGCCCAAATGGGCACTAGGCAAAAATACTGTATGTAGTGACTTTAGAGGCAAATACTTAGTGAAACACATGGCTTTATTACCATTTTTTAAACCTGCTTTCATTATACTGTATTTCTGTCAACCTACCTTCCCCAAAATTCCCTTAAAGCAGTTTTCCTAACAATCTCAAGAGGTTATAGATTAATAATAAAAAATAAATAAGCAGAAACCACTCTCCTCTCAATGATCTGTGGATCATGTGTTCTGCATGAAGGCAGTCAATAGAGGAGGCCCTTAGAAAATCAGGAGGAGGCGTCAAAAGCTTGAAGCAACAGAAAGTAGAAACATTTTCTCATATCTCATTCATCTGGATGTGGAAATTCTCTACCAGACTTCAACTTGGGAAACCATGAATAGAAAACAACCCAGAATCAGACTTTTAAGACAAGAAGGACCCTCATCTGGTCCAATTCTCTAACTTTATAAGGAAACCAAGGCTCAGGGAGAAAGTGTGACTAAACCCAGATTGCACAGATTGTCTTTGCCAGATGCAGAAGTTGAAACCAAGCCACCTGCCTCCCAGTGCAGGGCCCATTGTTTCCTCAGAGCATCCAGGAGCACGGCGTATGCCTGAGAGCAGTCCTTGAGGCAATGGCTACTGGCACTCACATGCCCCCATGGGTACACTGCCTTTCCAGTGGCTCTCATTGCTTCCTCTTAGCAAGCCTCTGCCTTGCTTAGGGCAAGTCAAGACAGCTCCCAGGAGCTCTGAGACTCCCTGTGTAACTGAACAATTCCCTTGAGTGGCAAGCCTGCTTTCATTCTATAAAATGGGACTATCTTCTGTCCTCTTCTGTTCAGGATTGTGATGAGGATCAATGAGATACTAGCCACCAAGGAAACCTACATTCTTTGAAGAAAACTTGAGTCCCAATAGAGCATTTACATCATGATTAAGTCCTACTAATACCAAGAGTTGGATTCCAGGATTTTATAAAGACTGATAATGTTTTATTGCCTCTATGTTTAAACATTTTTAAAATATTAATAGCATACACACATGCATGCAATCCAAGTAACAAACAATAACACCTGACACTTGATCCTTATAGTGATTCTGGTAAGTGAGGATAGAATTTGTTTATTATCATCAATTTATAAAAGTGGAAACCAGCTCAGAGAAGCCATCTGTCTTGCCCAAGGTCACACAGGTAATAAAATGCAATGCTGGGGCAATGACTTTCTCCAGGACCCTCCTGAATTTTCTGCAAATTACTGTGCAAATTAGTTTTTTAATTTTCTGCTCAAATTTTGCACATCAGCAACACTAAAGAGCTACCTTTTCTGTTATATTTGAGATGTTTAGCAAGAGTACAGCTTGACCCTGCATTTTCAACAGCAGCCCCATGGCCCAGCACTCATCTCTCCCACAAGATAAATACAGGGAAATTATGAGGGGTGAACTTCGGGGCTCACAAACAAGATTAACCTTCATGATGCTTTTAATTATTCATGATTTTTTCTCTACATTCTGTCAAAAACAATCTGAGATGGCTCTTAGCTCTGACAATAATTCAGTCAAAAGGGCTGTATTTGTGTGTGTGTTTTTAAAATTTGTTAATATAGATGCAAAGAAAAAGATTTGGAACGCTATATCCCAAGTTTTGCTTTAATTATTTGAGTATAGATGTATTTATATCATTATTATTATTATTATTATTTGAGATGGAGTCTTGCTCTGTCACCCAGGCTGGAGTACAGTGGCATGATCTCAGCTCACTGCAACCTCCGCCTCCCGGGTTCAAGAGATTCTCCTGCCTTAGCCTCCTGAGCAGCTGGGACTACAGGCGCATGCCACCACGCGCAGCTAAGTTTTGTATTTTTAGTAGAGATGGGGTTTCACTATATTGGCCAGGCTGGTCTCGAACTCCTGACCTTGTGATCCACCTGCCTCGGCCTCCCAAAGTGCTGGGATTCCAGGCATTAGCCACTGCACCCGGCCTGATATTATTATTAATGTTAATCTGGATCTTATATTTTTTTCTACAATGAATATGTTTAGTTTTGGTAATAAGAAAATAAAGGATATTTTTATTTTTAAAACATTCTTCATTCTGAAAAATGGGAAAAAAGTGGATGTCTCCCCAGGGACTAGAGAAGCTCTATTACTGTGAACCAGAGAGTGGAAAATTCAAACAGTAGTCTAAGCCCTCTAGAACCTTGGTCCTACTTCTCCATCTGGGTACTCGAAGCCCCTAAGAATATATAACAATCTGCCAGGACACCAGTTTTATTCAGATATTTTGAAGAAAAAACTTTATATTTTTAAATCAAAGTCCATATATTATGAAATCAAATGAAAAAAATTGCATAAGCACAGGAGCATGTGTTGGTCTTCTTTTCCATTGCAGGATCTTCTATGGAAAAGTTTGGTAAGCCCTAAGACAAACATTATAATCTTATCCCCCCAACTTTTGAGAGAGTGACAACCTCATTAATACCAAGTAAGTTTTCCTCTTAATTTAAAAAAAAAAAAAGCCACATTTTTCTTCATCTACTGTATGTTTAAAAATTCTTTGTAAAACAGGTGACAAGCAAACATATTTCCAGGGAGCTCTGGAAGCCTATACAGGCACAGTTCACCCTACCTCCCTTGCCCAAAGAGGAGAAACACCTAGACTAGCATCTGGGTTTTGAAGATGGTGGAACCTGGGCTTCCCCTAGGCTGCCTCACATTTCTACAAGGCAGCAGACCACTCTGCACAAGGTGCTAATTCATTCATTCCACAAATGTTTATTGAGCAAAACCTGAAAAAGGCCTCTTAGGGGACAGTGGAATCATTCACCAGCCAACGGTTAGGGCTAACGGGTCAGATGTGGACAATCAATCTTTCATTAGACCCCAAACCACCTCTAGGATAAAGCAAACAGGGCCCTGCCCCACCCACGCACTAGCAGCTGGGCAGGATTAGGGTAGGCCTTCTAGAACAGTACTGCTGCTGAGAGGCTAAGGCAGTCACAGATTACCTCCAGAATAACGGAAACTCCTGCACCATAAATGACATAATAGCTCTAAGATGTTTTGCATAGTGCCTGACACCTGGTGAGAACACAATGTTAGACATTTTTGCTCTCCTTATTCCAGCTTGCTCTTACTTAAGGAGCACAAAGACAGTGTAAAGAACACAGGTTTTAGAATCAGAGATTGGATTTGAATTCCAGCTATGCTACTTCCTAGCTAAGTGACTAAAGGAAGCAATCTTTCTGAGCCTGTTTCTCACCTATAAAATAGGGTATAGTACATCACCCCTCATGTGGCTTTGTGAGAATTAAGGATATATTACATACAAAGAAGTGTCTGGCCCATAGTAAGTGCCCACTAAACAGCAGTCAACATTGCCCTGCTGCCGTCCCCACACCTCTTCTCCTTCCTAGCTGCTCTTGATGGGTTCTGCAATCTGATTTCACCTGGATACCACACTAAGGGTGAGAAGGGGCAGAACTTCAGGGGTGGAGGAAAGTGAGGGAAGGGAAATGCTGGAGACCTTCCATAGAAATCCAGCCAAGTCCTCAGCTCCTTTCAATCATCCTACTCTATCTGGCTGCTCCATCCAGCAGACAGCAGGGGTCACCATCCTGGTGGGGAATGGCTGCCAACAAGGGGACGGGAAGCTGGATGGCAGTTTGCATCCACCCCACCTTCCAGGGTCTATCTGTCTGAAGCCCCACCGGGCTTCCTCTGCACATCCCTGCCGGGCTGTGTGGCTCAGGGGGCTGACAGGGTGATTCATAGCCTGTTCTTATCTAGGCTTCTATCTCAACCCTGCGCCCAAAGCCCTGGAGGCTGCTGGTCACAAACCAGCACTAAATGAAAAGAAGAACTTTTCATTAAGGCAGGAAGTGGAGCCCCTCAAGGTCAAAGGGGATTTATAAAGAGAGGAGGAAAGAAAGGGAAGACGCGGCAGGATGGGTGCAGAGAAAGAGAGACCCACTTCCTATATGCTGGTGGAGCCCTGTGTCTTAGACGCTAAAAACAGTCGCTTTTCCACTTCAAAGGATGATAAAGCCCACTCGTGTAGTTTATAGCTCGCCGTGGGACGAGGTGTGGGTATGGAAGAGAATTCCAAAACACGTCTTATTTTCAAAGGAGAAATCATCATCCCCTGGCCGGCCCTTCCCAACACCCCACCTGTAAACAGGTGCTGACGCTCCTACCTTTCTGCACCTGAGCAATCTGGGGGCAGTTACTCTGCAGCCAGGTCTCCCCAGCACCCAGCCCCAAGCCCAGGTCAGTCCCTGAAAGCCCTAGAAAACGCGATAGCTCAGCAGAACCCTCGCCTACCCGGGCATCCCAGCTTCCTGGCCGCCTGGGCAGCGGAGGTGGCTCTGGAGTAGGTGGGAAACTGAGGAAAGGAGCTTTCCCCGTGCCAAAACGCAGTTCCCATTTTAGAACTGGTTAGACTAAGGAACAACATTCTACACCACCTCCCTCACTTAACAGAGGAGGAAGCAGAGACCAAGAGAGGGAAACAAAGTTGCCCGAGGTAACACAGCGAGTGGGCCAAGTAGAGACTGGAACCCGAGTGCGCACCTCCGAGTCGCTGCCGGGCAGGGAGCGCGCCTCGCCGTCTCTCTTGTCTTCTGGCCCCCAGCCCTCGGCCTGGCGGTGCAAACCGCGCAGCCCCGGGCGCGGCGCGTTACCTTCCCCCGGGCAAGGCGTTGCGAGCCTTCACTCTCCCGACGGACGCTGGCGGCACGGCCCGGGTGTCGCCCGGCACTGTCAACGCAGAGCGGCGTGCGCGAGTCCCTCCCCGCTACCCCCGCCCCCGGCGGGCGGTGCGGTGGGGCCGGTCCCGGGTGCTCGGGCCAATGGCGCTTCGCCCGCTCCCCGCCCCGGCCCGCCCCGGCCTCCTCGCCCGGCACACAGCGCCTGCCAGCCCCTGCCCTCTCCCCTTCCCTCCCTTCGCCCTCCGCCCCCGCCTGCTGCTTCTCTCCGGTTCCTAGCCTCCTTCTCAAGTGTACCTTGCCCCGAAACAACCTGTTTTCTGTGCAAATAAAGCAGCACTGTTGTTATTGTTATTATTATTTTTATCACGGCGCGTTAGGGGGCCTTGGAGCCCGAGAGTGTGGAGCACTAGGAGCCTCTGCACTCCGAGAAGGGACAGCCACCGCGCAGGGAAAGGGGCGCGGAGGGTATGGAGCCCGGTCATGGGGTAACTTGCTTTAACCCTCGGGACGTCAATTTCCTCACATGTGAAATAGAAGAAGGGGGGAAAAAAGTTGTTGAGAGGACTAAATGAAGTGATGCTTTAAAATACAATAATACCTAGAGAAAGGTGAGGGCGTCATGCACTGCCTGAGCTACTTACTGGGGTATGCACAGAGGACTGGTAAGCTCCTGGAAGACGCTGTGTGGCAGGGAGGCAGACAATGCAATACAGTAAATACAATATTGTGGTCGGGCGCGGTGGCTCACACCTGTAATCCCAGCATTATGGGAGGCCGAGGCAGGTGGATAACCCGAGGTCAGGAGTTCGGGACCAGCCCGGCCAACATAGCAAAACTCTGTTCTAATTAGAAAAGAAAAAAGAAAAATTAGCTGGGTGTGGTGGCGAGCGCCCGTAGTCCCAACTACTTAGGAAGCTGAGGCAGGAGAATCGCTTTAACCCGAGAGGTGGAGGCTGCCGTGAGCCAAGATCGCACCACTGCACCCCATCCTGGGTGACAGAGCAAGACTCTGTCTCAAAAAAATAAATAAAATAATTTAAAAATTGTATCACGACCTATTTTTTACAAGTTACCCATGATGGGGCCAGCCCAGGCAAACCTCTGAAGGAGATGAACCTTAAAGCCTTTTTCCTTATCATTTCCTGGACTAGTGTTGTCCATTTAACTGAGGGTGGCCCAGGTCTGCCTTTGGTTCTTCCAAAGGTCTTCCTTCTCCCAAACTTACAAATACTTATCCCCAAGGGCTTCAGTTAGTGCCCAGTGCAGGCTGCTAGCCTGGCCCAAGAGTCCTGGCACTGTGCAGAGATGTGTATTCTGGCTTCCTTCAGCCTTTGAGAGCCTGGTGTGTCCCTGTGCTGGGTGAGCATGCCACATGCAAAAGAGGAATAAGCCACTGGTCTTGCCTTTGAAGAAACAAATTTGTAAATAATTTCATTTTAGGGTAAGTGTTATAATAGGTTGACAAAGTGTTGTAGAGTCACTACGCTGAAGGAGGGGGACAATAAAAAATACAAATGTGACCAAGGTAGGTCTTGAAGGAGGGCTACAAATTAGGTCAGATTGAAGGGGTGACAGAAGACTGGGCACAGAGAGGCAGGCAGAGACATGGAGATGCCTGTCATATGTCACGGCTATTGCACAGGATTTGGGACAATGAGGCAGAGATGAAGCTAAGGAGGTAGGTGGGCAGATGTTGGAGGAGTGGCTGTACCTGCCTTGCTGAGGGAAGCAGGCTGTGTCCTGTTGGTGATGGCTGTTGGCGAATGATTTTAGGCAGGGGAGTAGCGTGACCTCAGATGCTTTTGGTACTTCACTTTTATTGTTGATTGCACCTGCCTTGGTTATCCCCTTCCTGCCCCTCTCTAGCTCTGGAGGGCAGGCACTGGGTCTTGCTCACCTCTGGGTGCCTTGTATCATCTGGCATAGGACTTTGAAGGAACTAAATACATGCTGTTCCCAGTATCACTCGTCCCCTGGAAACAAATAGCAATGCCTAAATGCTAGAGAGGGTCACAGGATCCTTGCTTCAGGTTGTGGGGCAGGCAAGTGGGGGAGAAATTTTAAGGCAGGGTCTTGTTATGGCTCCCAATTCATCTAAATCTTGTATGGCTCAGAGACTAAATCTTAGAGCTCTTGGCCAAGATCCAAATGCTGTTAGAAATGTCAATTTCTAATAAGACCTTAGACCAATTACTCAACCTCCCTGTGCTTCAGTTTGCTCATTTGTTAGAGAGAAAATAATTGCACTGCTCTCTCAGGCCTACTGTGAAGATTAAAAGAAGATGCACATGTTTAGCATGATGCCTTGCACATACAGTGCACTGAAAAAGCCTTGGTTAACACGATCATATCAAGTCAGCAATGGCCTGTTCCACTTATCCCATAGGAACCCTTCAAAATGGTTTACATATAAGTGACACTTAAACTTTAGAGAATTCTAGGTTGACATTGAAGGGGAAGGCAAGAGGGTAGGGATAGCATGGTGTAAGGTTAAATGCACAGACTTTGGTGTATCTCCTGGCTCTACCACAGAACTCGCTGGTTGACTTTGGACAAGTCACTTAATTTCCTTCTTTCTCTGGGTGACTTTAGACAAGTCTCCTCCCTCCCTCCCTCCCTCCCTCCTTTCCTTCCTTCCTTCCTTCCTTCCTTCCTTTTTTGGCAGGGTCTCACTTTGTTGCCCAGGCAGTGGCACAAACACAGCGCACTGCAGCCTCAACCTCCCAGGCTCAAGCCATCCTCCCACCTCAGCCTTCCAGGTAGCTGGGACTACAAGCACACACCACCACGCCCAGTTAATTATTGTATTCTTAGTAGAGACGTGGTTTCGCAATGTTGACCTCTTGAGCTGAAGCGATCTGCCCGCCTCAGCATCTCTAAGTGTTGGGATTACGGGCGTGAGCCACTGCACCCAGCCTAAGTCACTTAACTTCTGTTAGCGATTGTTCTTCTATAAAATAGAAGTAGTCATATTACCTGCCCCATGCCAAGGAGATAACACATAACACATATAGCATATTGCCTGGCCCAAGGTAAGATCTCAATTCCTGTTAGCTAATGGTGTGATAATGGTTGGAAGAGAGTTATTATAGTTTTTGGAAAGAATAATCTCCATGCCTCTGCCTGCCTCTCTGCACCCCAGTTTTCTGTCACCCCTTCCAGATGACCTAACTTGTAGCCCTCCTTCAACATCTACCTTGGTCACATTTGAATGTAAGCTTTTATTGTCCCCCTCCTTCAGTGTATGTGACTGTAACTAATATATTGGAAAGGGGAAATGTAATCCTGGAAAAAACTAAACCTACATGTAAAGGTTGGTGCTGGATCTGTGAAAACTAACTGGGACAGGAGTAGAAGTGAGCTTAGAAAACTGCAGGTAGGGCATGGGCCTGAAAGAGTTTTGTAGGTAGACTTATTTAAGTTGAGAACCCCTGTCTGAACAAGGATAAGATTCTTGTAGCTCTATGGAACTGAACAAAATGGAATATTGTTTGCAGAATTGAGTATGACCACTCTCTGAGCTGCCTTCTTGGAATGGTGGAAGGCTGGTGCTTTTAAATGATAATCTGAAATTTAACCCCTAACACCACCCAACACCACCTGTGACTTTGTAGAGTCACAGGCACATTGCTAAATCGTTTAGTTTTATCAGCTAGTAAGTAAATATTTATTGGTAGCATAAGCTAGGTGTGGTTCCTTCAAGCTTGAAATATCCTTCCCTCTGTTTCTGACCCAAGGAATCCTTCTTATGCATCAAGGCCTAGGACAAGTGTCACCAGATTCACCCTCCTAGACTGAAAAAATTAATCCTTGCAACCTCTCCAATTCCCATGGTGTATTCCTCAAGCATTTTCTTGGCATCGATTTCATCCTGTCTTTATAGTTACTTGTCACAGGATCTGCCACCCCCTACTAGTTTTAAAGCTCACCCACTTCTGGGACCCCTTCTTTCTCTTGTATTTCTTCTTACCACCTCCATCCTTCTCCCCACCTCATTGATACCCAAAATGACTTATACACAATAGGCACTAAATAAATGCTTGATAAGTTGCATTGACAAACAGGTCTCTCATAGTATGCATGTTACAAAGAGCAGCACTTTTGCCACAATGAAAAAGTAAAAGAACCTTTCTCTTAAAGACATGACTTTGTCTTTAAGCTATGTGAATTTATAACTTCTTAACCACCAGAAATTGTAGATATTGCTAAAATGCTATATAATTATATCTGGCATGGTAATGTGGTTAGATGACTTATACCAGTTACGTATCAAATGTACAGCATTTAAAACACAATTTAGTCATGGTACTGAGTCACCAAAGCAAGAATTTGGTTTTTTAAATAATTTGTAAATACTGAATATTCTTTTAACTTTCAAAAGTATAAAACTTTGGCCTTGAATCAAATTGTGTTAGCAATCTCTCCACAGTCTTTAATAATGCCTTGAACTTCTACAGCTCTTTGTATTTTTCAAAGCCCTTTCACTTTGATTATCTTGTTTGATCTTCATTCAACCCTATGATGTAGGAAGCGCAGCTATTAGTGTCTGCATTTTACAGATGAAGATAGGAGGCACATGAGAGGATCAGGCCCTTAAACCAAGGCCAAATTGCAAATGACAAAGTCAAGGTTAGGACCCACGGATCTACTACACCAGAGGTATTTCATATATTCATGAAAACTGTGGCATCATTATGTATCATCTTTATGAGCAACAATCTCATATATTATAATTTATAACCCTGTGTATGTATTTTCATATGGCCTTCCTTTAAAAAGTAAAGAAAAACTGGCTGGGCACGGTGACTCATTCCTGTAATCCCAGCACTTTGGGAAGCCAGGGCTGGTGGATTGCTTGAGCTCAGGAGTTCGAGACCACCCTAGACAACATGGTAAAACCCCATCTCTACCAAAAGTACAAAAAATTAGCCAGGTGTGGTGGTGCATGCCTGTAATCCCAGCTACTCGAGAGGCTGAGGCAGGAGAATCGCTTGAACCTGGGAGGCGGAGGTTGCAGTGAGCCGAGATCACGCCACTGCATTCCAGCCTGGGTGACAGAGTGAGACTCCTTCTCAATAAATTAAAAAATAAGGAAAGAAAAAGAAAAAGTAAAGAACAACTTTTGTAGTGATCACTTCCCTCAGATATGTATGTGTCATCATCATTAGTTATTACTTCAGTGTCTTTCATCTGTGACTGTCAACATTACACTTTTTTAAAAACCTCTAGGTTTCCTCTATAACTGTTTTAGAACAGATTTTGTTATTTTGTTTAATGAAAAAAACAAATATTACTTCAAAAAATAGAGGACCTCCACTTATATGAGGTACCTAGAATAGTCAAAAGCAAAGAGACAGAAAGTAGAATAGTTGTTACCAGGGGCTAGGGAGGAGAAGGTAATAGGGAGTTACTGTTTAATGGATACAGAGTCTCAGTGTGGGACAATGAGAAAGTTCTGGAGATGTTCTGCATACACGTGCAAAACAATGTGACTGTACTTCATACCATAGAACTGTACATTTATAAATGGTTAGAATGGCTGGGTACAGTGGCTCACGCCTGTAATACCAACACTTTGGGACGCTGAAGCAGTAAGAACGCTTGAGCACAGGAGTTTGAGACCAGCCTGGGCAGCATAGTGAGACTTGTTCTCTACAAAAAATAAAAATAAAAAATAGCTGGACGTGGTGGCACATGCCTGTGGTCCCAGCTACTCAGGAGACTGAGGTGGGAGGATCACTGGAGCCCAGGAGGTCAAGGCTACAGTGAGCCATGATCATGCCACTAAACTTTCCAGCCTGGGTGACAGAGCAAAACCCTGTCTCAAAAAAAAAAAAAAAAAAAAGACCATCTTATAAGAGAGTCTTTCTGGTAGAAGAAGTCTAGTTATAATGTCATAACCCATGACCTTTTTAGTTTTATTTATTTAATCTTTGAAATTCATCTTACCTAAGAGCCCCTCTGCACCTACTGCAGAAGAGAAAACAGTAATCTGTGTAGTGACTCTTACTAACTTTTTAAAATAATCCAGAATGGGGTTGAGCACTTGTGTGACAAAGTGAGATCCTGGTAGATTATTACAGCTACTACTATTTGAGTACGTCCTACCTGCCAGGAACTAGACTAAATTCGTGTATACCCATTATTTCATGTAATCATCTAAGCAGCTCTCAGTGGTTACAGATGAGAAGCTGAGTTATATGAGGGTAGTTACTTACCCAAGGATACACAGCCTGTGCTGTTTAAAATGGTAGCCACCAGCCCCCTGGGGCTAGTGACTAGTCTAGATTGAGACGTACTGTAAGTGTAAAATATATACACACACACACCCCTCATCAGTAATTTTGTATTGATTACATGTTGAAATGATATTTTGAATATATTAAATGAAATATGTTATGAAAATTAATTTCATCTGTTTATTTTTACTTTTTAGTGTGGCTACTGGAATATTTTAAATTAAATATGTGGCTTATATTATATTTCTTTTGTAAAGGCCTGCTTGAAGCTGACTGGGTACATTCCCTACCTCAGTTTTCCCACTTGGGAGAAGAGGCAGTCAGCTCTATTTCTCATTGTTTCAGTGGCAAGTTCTCCCATCACCTCCTTCCTACCACGGTGCCACATCCAGAGAGGGACTTGTGAGTTATTGTATACAGGATAAGAGAGTCATGTTGAAAGATCTTACATCTGTGTTAGTTACTCTGCTTTAGAATTCAAAGCACAATAATTACAAAATGTTATCATTGCTACTGACTGGGGTTTTTATCCCCTGTTTATTTTCAAGTACAGAAGGACCTTTGTGTCTTTTCTTTTTTTTTTTTTTTTTTTGAGACAGAGTCTCACTCTGTGGTCCAGGATGCAGTGCAGTGGTGTGATCTTGGCTCACTGCAACCTCTACCTCCCGGATTCAGCGATTTTCTTGGCTCAGCCTCCCAAGTAGTTAGAATCACAGGCATGGACCACCATGCCCAGCTAATTTTTGTAGTTTTAGTAGAGACAGGGTTTCACCATGTTGGTCAGACTAGTCTTGAACTCGTGACCTCAAGTGATCCACCTGCCCCAGCCTCCCAAAGTGCTGGTATTACAGGCGTGAGCCACCGTGCCTGGCCAGAGGAACCTTGATTAACCATACACTTCAAGGATGAAGTGCGTGGTGCACATGAGACATACACATGAAACATAATTTTGTTACATCCCTTGTTTATTAAATTACTCATTCATGTACTTATTTCATATTATAAATACTTATTGAATGACCATTATATATGGTATATTGCTATGAAGAATTCAAAGATGAATCAGATTAGGGTTTGCTGTTGATTCTCTTTCAAAAATAGTTTATTTCCTTGCTTTTTATATTGAATATCACAGACAACGTAAGTAAAAAGCCCTGGACCGGGGGTCATATGGCCAAGAATCTAGTTCTGGTTTTATGTAAAAATCAGCAGGTCTCTTCAACTCTGAATCTCAGATTTTCCATCAATAAAAATTGGAAAGGATGGAAAAAAATATCCACTTGCCTATAGTAAAAATGTAAATAAGATCATGGTAATGTATAAATTACTATCTATCTATCTATCTATCTATCTATCTATCTACCTATCTATTTATTTATTTAAGACGGTCTCGCTCTATCACCCAGACTGCAGGGAAGTGGTGTGATCATAGTTCACTGCAGCCTTGACCTCCCGAACTCAAGCATTCCTCCCACCTCAGCCTCCAGAGTAGCTGGGACTATAAGCATGCACCACCATACCCAGCTAATATTTTGTATTTATTAAAAGATACTGAATTTGAAGTCAGAGATTTGTCTTTTCTTCTGGACCCTACTAACAACATACTGTGTGGCCTTGAATAGGTCATTTAACCTCTCCTGCCTCGGTGTCCTTATCTCTAAAAATAAGAAGTCAGGCTGCATAGATTCCAAGATCTCTTCAGCTCAAAATCCCAGGTTTTAAGAGTTTATGATTTTTAAGACAGTCACTCTCTGAAGATCAGCATTTAAATTTACCTGTCATAATTTTCATATCAATTCTCTAGTCATAGATCTTATAGGGTTTAAACATATAAAATACTAGTAGCTTTTCTGAAAATTGTGCTTACTTGTTTGCAAAAAAATCTCTGCTTCAGATTATGTTACCCTCTGCATCTTTAAAAGACAAATGGAAAAGGAAAAATATTAAAGAAATTTAAAACAACTGTTTCAGTTATCTATTGGTATGCTTGCTGCAAACCACTCCAAAATGCAGTGGTCAAATGATGATTTATAATTTCTCACGATTCTGTGGGTTGGATGGTTCTGTTGCCGCACTCACTACTTGGGATTCCTTATGCGGCTGCACTCAGCTGAGAGCTCAGCTGAGGGTGGAAGCCCCAAGATGGTCTCTCCTTCTCCTAGGCCTCTGCCCACATGGCCTCTCATTCAGTAATTTAGCCTAAGCTTTTCACATGGCTGCTGGATCCCAAGCATTGCAAGAGTCAAGCCTCAATGTGCAAGTGTTTATGTCATGCTTGCTAATGTTCATTTGGCCAAAGCAGGTTTTGTAGCCAAGTTCAGTATCAATGTGGGAGGGCCTGAATATCTGGAAGCATGTTTCATCAGGGACCACCAATGTAACAGTCTGCTGCCACAACTTCCATTCAACTGGATTCTAGTTAACTGAGATCTCATCCCTCTCTCTCATGCTCTAACATAAATCATTCCATCTTCTACTTACATGCTTTGTGCATTCTTGTATTTCTGCATATGTAACACTCCACTTTAATTATTGTTTATATTTTGGTGTTCACTCTCCAAAATGGAAGTTTCATGAATAAGGGAAGAGACAGTATCTTATTCCTCTCTCTCAATGTCCAGCATCACTGTCTCTGCATGAGGGACACTGCACTGAATTGAATTTTTGAGAACTTCACCAAATACAAAGCGCAGATCATTTCATTTTAGATTGCAGCATGGCAAGGATTCCTAACCTAGGTTCTTTATTTTCATCAATGCCTATTTGAAATTTAGCATTTCCTTCCATTATAAATGTAAGCAACAACCCACAGTAGTATTATCAGTAGATGCAACTTTATCACCAATAGAAATCTCACATTTTTATTTAACACTACAGTTGACTTGTTGCAGATATTGTAAATACTAAATTTTTAAAAATAACTTTAAAATAATTTGAACAACGATTTAAATATAATTGATTTTCTATGTAATCCTGGGTATTTTATTTTATTTCATTTAGAAACATTATTCTGAGAAGGAGCACATGGGTTTTACCAAACTTCCCAGACTGCCCATGGCAAAATAAAGATAAAGAACCCCTGCCTAGAGTGAGCACCTGATTTGGAAGACATTTAATACCCAGAAAAAGAATCTATTTTCCACCCCATAGAAGCAGCATCAGCATCACCTGGGAACATGTTAGAAAAGCAGATTATCAGGCTCTACCACAGACATTCTAACTCTGGGGGTGAGGCCAAGCAGTCTGCACTTCTGTAAGCCTTCCAGGTGATTCTGGCATGTACGAGAGTTTAAGAGCCATTAAACTAGGAAAAATAGTTGCATCTGAGGTATACAGGGGTTGCTAAAGCCTATTTAATCAATCAGTAAGTATTGATAAATACTGATGTGTATCTCCTATTCCTCAGCACTGGGAAACATACCACAAGAAAACGTTCTACATCTTCATTTGAGAGATGTATACATACGTAAAAAGACTTTAGGCTGCACACTTAAGATTTGGGCACTTTACTAAATGCATGTTATATCTCAATTTTTAAAGTAAGTATACTGTAGGAGACATATAAGAGTTCAGTGCATAATCCCTGCCTTCAAGGAACTTTTCAATCACTTTAGAAATCCATTTATCCAATCATTTATTGAGTGCCAGGCAGGGTGCTGCATGCTGGGGGATACAACAGTGAATGAGCCAGGCATGAAGTCTGTCCTCATGAAGTGTACTTTCTAGTGGGTGAGTCAGTGAAATAAACAGGCAACTCTGAAACAGTGATAACACCTATTAATTATGAATAATATCCATACTAGTTACCATATTTCATTGATTCTAAGATGCACATCTTTTTTTATAGCTTAACATTTCTGAAATAAGGATGTGTTCTGCATTCTACAATTGCCAGTTTAATTAGAAGTGTTTTTCTAATGGTACATAAAGTAATGGTTTATCTTCAGTTTAGAGCATCTTATAGATTCTAAAATATTAAGTATCACAGGAGTTCAGAGACATGTAGACCAATAAGGACTCCAGGAGTCAAAAAAGGGAAAGGTGAGACTTGAGCCACGTTAAAGAAAGAGTAGGATTTTTAAAAGAGGAATAACAGGGACAACTGGAGGTGAAGGCACCAGAGCTGGGAGAAGCAAGCCGTGATTGAGAGACACAGGTTCCAGTGGGACAAAGAAGGCGAGTGTTAGGAAGCAAAGGGAGCAGAATGGCCAGACATGTTAAAATCAGATTATAAAAGGCCTGGAAAGTCCAGCAATGGTACAGTTAAATATAACAAGCAACTGAAGATTTCTGAGCAGAAGAATGAAAGAAGCTTAAGTATGTGGAACGGACTCAGGGACAGGAGCTATATATATGTCCATTTTCAGTTTTTGGTCAATGTTTTTTGAGATTAAAGGAAGTAGATTCAGTACCCAGAGAGGTAATGTGCTCACAGCAGAGCCAAGACAAACATAAGATGACTATATACACATGAGCATGTGGCAGAGATGAATGAGCCAACATCCAACCACTCCCCAGAATCCAGTGGGAGAGCACAACCACTGGGTGTTGTTGCTCTTGAATAGCTCTACCTGAATGACTGTGCTAGACCCTGCCAGTGGCAGCAGAGCCAGCCACACCAGCACTGGGGCCCTGGCCATTTCCACCCTTAGTTGGGCCTCATAGAGAGCCCTAGGTGCTCAAAGACTCATTTATCTGCTTTCCATTTCAAAGAGATCTAATAGTTATACCAAATTCATTGAATCCTTACCACATCCCTGTAAGGCAGGTGTTACCACTCCCATTTTACAAGTGAGGATACTAAGGATCAGAGAGGTGAAGGGATTCGCACCCTAGTCTGTCTCCTCTCAAAGTCTGTTCTTGCAGCCAGTTTTCTCTGTGAGTCTCAGGTGTAAGCAGACTACCAGATCAATGATCTCGGACTCCTAGTCATGGGGTCTGGAATGGCTACTGCTAACAAAAAATGAGCTTGGAGCCCACCCCTTGCAGCAAGGTACAGCCTTGCCCCAACCTTGGCCATGCTCAAGCATCTATAAGACTGGATCTTACTATTTGCTCTACACTTTACTTATTCTGCCAGGGCAGAGAACCTGTCTTGAATCCCTGAGCCATTGACCTTCTCCTGTCAAACTCCTCCTCCTAGTTGTGGTCCTATTCCAAATTAGATGAACCCCTGCAAACTCAGCCTTGCTGCCTGCCTGGATCTGAGAGCCATCACTGTCTGGAAACTGCTGCTGCTAAGTTCCACTCCCTGACATCTCATTTCCCATTAGGTCAGGGAGTATCTAAGGCTTCAAATCAGAAACTATAGCTGTGCTCAGATTGGGATAGATCTGGCCATTAGCTAGGGGAAGTAGTAGATAAAGACAAGAAGGAATCCCAAGGAAAGTATTTAGGGACAAAGGCAAGAAGAGGAATCCACAGTCAGGCCAAAGAAGTATCAATCCAAAGAGCCTGGCAGAGAGGACGGACAAGCTGACAGGGAGTAGGACCGTAACTAACGCCAACATTAAGGAACAAGTGCATGCAAAAGGGAGGATGGAGGTGCAAAAAGCAATGACTTCCCAAGCAAGCACTTGAATATGGAGACAGGGCCTCCTTGTAGGCCTCTGAGTGTGAAGAGAATGGTAAGGTCGCCATGCTGGCTTAAACACTTGGACCTAACCTTGTGGCTGTGACTAAGCCCTCAGGCATTATCATGGAACATTGGTTGCTTTCACCACAATCCAGCCTAGTCCCAGCCTCCTCCCTCTTGCCACCCTCCTTCATTTATTCACTTACTCAACTAACAAACATTTGAGCCTCCACTAGAATATAAGTTCCATGCAGGCAGAAACATTGTCTTTTTCATCATTTTAAGGCTTAAAATCCAAAGCAGTTTCTGACACATAGTAGGCACTGGATATATTTGTAGAATGAATAAATAATTGATGAGTGTTTGGGAAATGTGCTGAGTCCTAGATTATCTTCTAGTGTGCCAATAGCCTTAAATAGAATATCAAGTACATGTTGCCGGCTGACATTCACCAACAGTAAAATTCAAGATTTTAGTAGTCTAGCAGCTGCCAGCTTGCACAGTCTTCAGTCAGATACTTTCTACATTAAGATCATTTACAAATTTCTAAGGCAAGAAATAGCATGTGGACTTGAAAGAAGGTAAAGATATAGTTTACCCATTATGCTTTATATTAGTACTTTAATCCACTTTTAAAACATCTAAAATGTACTAATTTATTTCCCTTTTTGTTTCTTTAAGTTTCCTATTTTTAAAACACTTGTGGTCAATTCTATCAATACTACTAAGTATCCGTTACTGGGTTGAAAGGAATTTTCCATAGAAAAATGCCTGGAAATTGCCAAAATTATACAGTCAAAAATTATAGAGTTGGACCACAAGACCTTTTATACTTGAGTGGAATACCAAAAAGAAAATATTGATGCAAAGCTTTAAGATTTTACTCCGGGTTACTTCTTAAGGCACTAGCTCAAATAACACTCAAAAGTTTTCAAGATGCATGTAAACTCTACGTAAGCTCCAGTCATCTATGTGCTGACTACAGGATGCTGTGGTTAGTCAGGTTGAACTTCCATCAGCCACCTTCATGTTCAGAGTAAACAAGTAACAATTCTGGGACTTGCAAAGAAACCATGGGAAACCCTGAATGGGACTTTAACTTTGAATTAAAGGAAACCACAGGCCACCACACTGCCACCCATGAACATGTTTACATTTTGTCTGAGTGCGGGTGAGTGCAAATGGAGTCTCAGTGACTTACAGAGCACTGTTTTAACTATGATGTGGTTAAAACAGTCTAATAATATAACTCCTCCAGCAGGCTGCTGAGTAGTATATGCTGGGGCCTCAGCAATACAGACAGAGGTGGGGAAGAAGATTGGAGAGGTTAGGATCAGAGCATCCAGCTGACATTAAACTACAGGGTCTGAAGGTCCACGGCAAACTTGGGTTTGTGCAGGATGGGTATTACTGACTGTTGGGTGTGTGTGAGGAGGGAAGGAACATTTATACAAGCAGGAGGCATCATTCAAAATGACATACCATCCACAGAAGATTTACCTAAGATCAGCTTTATGATCATCTTCCTTGAGGATTAGAATGTGAAAGAAAGGATCAGCCTGGGTATGGTTTATAGAATTTCACTGAAGATTTCCCACTAAAAGTCACACTGAGTGTCTTGGGGTAGAATGGTTTGTATTGAGTAACAGAAAATATTGCAATGGTCAGTGAGAACTGGCAATTATACATTTCTCAATTCCTATTTCTAAATTCTGCCATTCTAAAATAAAATAGTTGAGGCCATAGCAAAGATTTCTCCTTTTCCCTGTCCTCCAGGAAAACTAAATGAGTAAGGGAGCCAATAGAAAGTAAGCTCCTTGCTTGCTTGAGAAGCAGGTCCTGCTTAGCAGGGCAGGGGAAAAGAAAGTGCGGGCACTAGGAGAAGTCAAAGCCATGACCACAGAGGAGAGCTGCTATGGCCTGTGTAACATTTATCCTGCGAAGACGACTCCTCCAGAATCTATCCCACCCTTTCTGCTCTCCCTAGAGCGCTGGCAGAGAGACTAGCACAGCTGAGATAGGGTTTGGGACAAGCCACTTCAGGAGCTCCACTAGCTGCTACGTCCATCCCTAGGAAAAGGATGTCTGGATCATTAGTGCATTGCCCTGGGTTAAGAGGCTGGAGAATGAATGCTGCATAAATCAGTGTCACTTCCTTCTTTGTTCACTACGCCTAATACATAGCTTACTTATGTTTTGAAGTGCCTGATGCTGAGTGTGCAGCTCTAAAGGACCATGAGTTGGGAGGCCGAGGCGGGCGGATCACGAGGTCAGGAGATCGAGACCATCCCGGCTAAAACGGTGAAACCCCGTCTCTACTAAAAATACAAAAAATTAGCCGGGCGTAGTGGCGGGCGCCTGTAGTCCCAGCTACTTGGGAGGCTGAGGCAGGAGAATGGCGTGAACCCGGGAGGCGGAGCTTGCAGTGAGCCGAGATCCCGCCACTGCACTCCAGCCTGGGCGACAGAGCGAGACTCCGTCTCAAAAAAAAAAAAAAAAAGGACCATGAGGTTGAGTTATAGAGGGAAGAGAACATTTTCCTGGCTAGTTCCTAGAAGCTATTTTGCAACATGGAGCAACGGTTTGTGTTTCCAAGCAACTGGACTATCTATAGGAAGACCCCACAGGGGATGGGTAGGTGAGGAAAGACTGGAAAGAGCTGGGTCCCTGATCTCTAGCAAGATTTGGGGAAGAGGGTTGGAGCATAGCTCAGCCTAATCCACAACTAAAGTGTTAGGCAAGGAAACTGAGGCAGAAACACAACTGTATGGATTTGGGCAGCACAAAAATATCAAGAAAAAGGTGCATGAGATATCCTAGAAAGCATGAAGGCCCAGAGCCAGAGCAATGTTTTAACTGGAATCCAGGCTGTCATTTCCCGTTAGTGTAATCTTTCACAAATCTCTTAACTTCTCTAAGACTGTTTCCTTATGTATAAAATGGCACTAATCATGATTTCATAGGGATCTTGTGAGAATTAAGCAACGGAAATATTATTTTGTTAGATTGTAAGCTCCTTGGAAAGCAAAGAATGGGTCTTAGCAGCATAGCAACTGCCACGGAGAGAAAGAGTGTTTAATAAATGTGTACTAATAAGTGAAAAACTCTTAAGAAACTAATTCCAGATCCCATTCTCAGGTGAGGCTGAGGCTGCTAGTCTATTCACATTCTCTTTCTTATTACTCAAAGTGGAGTTCATGAACATTGATATTCCCTGGGAACGTCTTAGAAATGCAGGCTGTCTGGCCCCACCCCAGACCTATAATTTTGGCCAGATCCCCAGGTGATTCTTTTGACATTAAACATTGAAAAGCACTGCTTATGTCAGGATGCACAGGAGGACTGAGGAGGCCTGTCTCCTGCTGGAAGACATCTAGTGGCTGCAGCTGGGAGTGGCTGGGGAAGGCAGAGCTGTCAAGTAGTGTCCAAACTGATTCCCTAAATTAGGACCACTGTCTGTGAGGGTTTGGGCAGATGGCCAGGCTGCTCTGCATCAGAGGAGCCAGGCCCTCAATCCATCTGTGCAGAGACAGTCTGCAGATTCCATGTGTATGTGAGCAAAGGTTGAATTTCAGACCAGGAGCCTGGTCTTGAGGCAATGTCCAGAGGTCAAGGAGGCAAGAAATCAAGTCCAGGGGAGTCAGGTGAGAGAGAAGCTAAAACAGGCTGTGCTGGTCTAGGGAGCCAGCGTCTGGAGGACAAGGGGCTGGGGAGAAACAGAAAGCAAACAATTCTGCTGATACTTGCTGAGCCTCTAACGGTATGTCAGAGAGAGAGCTCTCACTTTAGGAGAAGTTGCTACCCATGCTCGTTTAACTCCCTTCAGCCTGGAGGTGGATGTGCTATAAAGCTCTAGTTCACAGTCGGCAGGGACTCAGCATCACAACATATTCACTCCTCGTGAAGGCAGGTATGAATCCTGCCGAAAGGTCTTCTCTCCTGCTGACATGAAGAGATGAACAGTGAAAGTGGGAAAGTGAAATTTCAGGGACCATTTCTGAAAGTTCTGTGAAAAACAGGCTAGCAAGTCCCAGGACCTTTGCTCACACCATAACCCTGAGTGTTTTCAGTCAGGAATGGGCTCCTCCTTAGGAGATAATAAGCCGAAGGACCCAGTAACCCAGAAAGCATAGTCTCAGGGAGATCAGCATGGAATACTATTATCCAAGGATGTCAGAGTCAGAGGGGACCTGGTGGCTTTCAATCATTTTTTTAATCCATGGAGCCCTGTCTTCCAATGTGATCTTACTCAGATCCCCAACATTTGAAATGGATATTAGCAATGCTGTTGTTACTGAGGCAGAAGTTGGATCCCAGAGCCATTCCCTTCCCACCTCTATTCCCCAAGGCCCTCTGAGGCCCCTAGGTGGACCCCACTGGATTCCATGGAGCAGTTGGGAAGCACTGCTCTGCACCGGTCCTAGCTTTAAAGAAATGAGGAAAAGGGATCCCATGATGACAAGGTCCTCCAGCATCTGGCACCAGCTCACCTCACTACCCCTATGGCTCCCTGTACTTTATCTATTGTGGTCTCTCTTCAGTCTTCACAATATGCCATTCATTCTTTTCTGGGCCTTTCCAGGGGCTGTTCTCTCTGCTGGAAGCACTCTCTGCTCCCCTCCATGCTTCTTTGTCTCCCCACCCCTAATTCCTGCCTGCCAACTCCTCCATATTCTATGGATCCTAGCAAAGGCCTGTTTTGTCCACTGTGGCCAGCACAGTGCCTTATAAATAGTAAGTTCTGGGTATCTGTCTCTTTTTTGAATGAGTGAATGAGCACACTTACAGGAAGCTTGTTCCATGTCTCCTAGCTAGCTCCAAGGTTCAGAAATGTTGACAGCCCCTCCACCCAGATATGGGGTAGTCATAAGAAAATCCTTGTCAAGTCTGTGTTGATTCCCACTCAGAGAGTTTTGACTGGAGTACAACAGTGTTAGGTTGAAGATCTAGGTAGTGATAAGAATGTGTTTAGCAAATGCAAAGTGAAACACACTCACAAAAAGTTGCTAGGCAACCTCAATGTGGCCATTGAGAGTTACTGGCAAATATCTGTTTCTTAGGATGACAGTTTTCAGACTTTATCTTAACCCTCTGCCATCCTGAGGGTTTGGAAATAAATAGGTCTTCAACCTCACTACTAGCTAACTGTAGTGACTACGTTTGGCATTCCTACTAGATTGTCTTCTAAAAGTTCCACAAGGAATTATTTATAACTTCCCTGATGGCAAAATACAGCCATAAAACATGCTGTTTGGTATTTCTCAGGCATCTCTGTGGTGGATGAATGAGTCACTCCCAGAAGACTTATCTGGCAGAAAAATGAACTAAATAAATATGAATTAATGTTATACTAAATTTTTTCTGCATATGCAAGCAGCTGCAAACACTAAGGTCAACATATTCCAAAATATGTTTGAATTATTAGTATGTAGGCAGTAAATGGTTAAGAAAAATGATCTCTTTAGATAGTATTACTCAAACATTACTTTTACAAGCTTTGTAGAATGATTCAACCGGTTAACTCAAGTCTCTGCTTAAGTGACTCATCATAGTAAACAGGTTTTTAATTAAAAAGGAAAATTATATTTGCATCCCTCTAAGATAAGGCAGAAACTACAGACCATTTAACTATTTACATTCTCTGTCTATCTCTACCTATCTTTGGCACCAGTTACAAAGGAAAACTACCTGGAAGGATAATTTCTCCCACAATAATCCCTTTCAACTAAACAAGACTTAGCAATTTATAAACTATAATCACATGCATGATTTCATTTGATCCTCTCAACAGCCCTCTAAGACAGGTTTGACAAGAATCAGAGTCAATGCCATTTAATAAATGAGGATGCTAAGGCCACGGAGACTACATGATTTGTCCATGGTTGTCCTGCTAGTAGGGGTACAGCCAAGGCCTTGAACCCAAGGTTTATGATCCCAGGTCTATGTTAATGTCATCATCAAGTAAATAGTGGTTAAGTCTGCCTGCTGTCTCAGATCATATTGCAGTAGGACCCTGGTCTTCTGTGCAGTAGCTCTCAAACTATACTTCTTGAAACCCTGAAGATCCACAGTGGTGCTTGGGAAGCCACCTTAGGGAAGGTAAGAAGACAGGATACTGGGCCACCATACCCAAAAAAGAGCTCTGTTTTTTTTTTTTTGTTTGTTTGTTTGTTTTATAGTTTCAACTTTTATTATAGATTAAGGGGTAAATGTGCAGGTTTGTTATGGGGGTATATTATGTGATGCTGAAGTTTGAGGTACAAATGATTGGGTCACCAGTTAGTAAGCATAGTACCAAATAGGTGGTTTTTAAGCCCATGCCCTGCTCCCTCCCTCATCTGGTAGTCCTGAGTGTCTATTGTTCCCATCTTTATGTTTATGTGTATTCAATATTTAGCTCCCACTTATAAGTGATAGCATGCAGTTCTTAGGATAATGGTCTCCAGGTCCATCCATGTTGCTGCAAAGGACATGATTTTGTTCTTTTTTATGGCTGTGTAGTATTCCATGGTGTATATGTACCACATTTGCTTTATCCAATCCACTGTCGATGGGCACGTAGGTTGATTCCATGTCTTTGCTATTGTGAGTACTGTTGAAATGAGCATACAAGTTCACATGTCTTTTTGATAGAATGAATCACTTTTCTTTGGGTATACACCCAGTAGTGGGATTGCTGGGTCAAATGGTAGTTCTGTTTTAAGTTCTTTGAGAAACCTCTCAACTGCTTTCCACAGTGGCTGAACTGGTTTGCATTCCCACTAACAGTGTATAAGTGTTTCCTTTTCTCCACAGCCTCCCCAGCATCTGTTATTTTTTAATAATTGCCATTCTGACTGGTGTACTATGGTATCTCATTGTAGTTTTGATTTGCATTTCTCTGATGATTAATGATGCTGGAGCTCTGTTTTTATATGTCTTGTATACCGACATTTTAGTATATAAGGGTTGATGTTTCAAGTAAAATTTCTTTGGAAGAAGGTAGGTATTCCACTTCTTTAAAAAACTTTGAAACAGCAGTACACTAATCCAAACTTCTCATTTTACAGATTGGAAACAATTTCTAAATGTCAACTAATTGGTCCATATTCACATCCAACTAAGACCAGAAACCAAACAGTTCTCTTTATACACAGTTAACTACCCTGTGGTTGGGATAAAGTTACGTCTCACAGTACAGTGTTTTGTCTAATATCAATCATTCTCAAACTTCAGTGTGTATCAAGATTTCTTGGAGGGCTTGGCACAGATTTTTGAGTACCACTCCGGAGTTTCTGAGTCAATAGGGCTGTGGTGGGCCCCTATTCATTTCATTCCTAACTAATTTTAAGTGATGTTGATGTTGCAGGACTGGAGACCATGCTTTGAAAACCAATGGTCTACTGGATACCAAACAACTGAGTTGACTAGCCAATTGTGCACTTCATCAATTTTCATTCTGAGAAAAAAATGGTGAAGGACTCCTTCAGAGTTTATAAACCCATTGCTTTAACCATGCCACTACACATTCATTGACACCTTGCATTGAAAATCTGTCACATCAAAGATCCTAAACCTTCCATGCAGCATGTGGTGTTTATGCTCCAGACATATCCCCTTGTCCAACCTCTGAGTTTACCTGCAGCTCTATCTCAATGGCTGATGTCTCTTTGTGTCTTTGTCTAGGACTTTCTTCAGCTCACAAGAGTTTGCTCAGCCCACAAAGGGGTGGGAGAAAGGGACAGATGCCCCTAATTCTCAGGGACATATTTCAAACAATGAAGATAGGAATATGTGGATAAATACTCTAGCTTCTCTATCCTGTGGTGGGACAATTTTGGAGCTTCTTCCTTCAGCGTCCTTACAGCATCCCTAGTGAGATGGACCCCAGTTTCCTGCAGCAGAAACTTACTCATTAACACATTTTTAAATTAACATTTCTCCCTTCCCTCTCCACTTCCCCCACTTCCTGATTTATGCTTCCTAGGATCACTTCCTTAAAAAACTACCTACATCCCAAGTTCTTGCATTAGGGTCAGCTTTGGGGCAACAAAAACTAGGCCACTATATCTCAAAATTCTTCGCCAGATTCATGGAAGCAGCACCTGCTCTTGATCAACTTTCAGTTCTACGCCCTGGGGTTTTATTCATGGGTCTTTGGGCTGGCTAACCCAAGTTGAGTGTATTCAGTGGGTGTTAATAAATAAATAATAAAGATTGTTGCTGCCTTAACAATAGCAGAAATACAGACTATTGAGTCATGTGTGGATACTCATAATTCATCAATTGTGTGCTTAAGTAGTCACTCTTCAGAAAAAGGCTCAAGTTCACCAGTATCAGATCTATGAAGGATACTAGCTTTAAAAGAAACTGGCATTATGCAGATTTTTCAGGGCACCACTGTGAAAAGCACCTGCCAACTTTGAAATGTAGAAAGTTTGCTTTTGTACTATCAAAGCAAGATTAACCTTCAGCAAATATTTACATTTGAGGAGTGGAGTTTCAGCAGTGATGGTCAAACTGCAGAGCAAATCTCAAAGAGAAAAACCCATCTGAAAAACAATTAAACTGTCCTCAAGTTGAAGCCAAATAATGGAAATAGATCCTTTTGGTTAAAAAAAAATTAAATGATCAAACTTGCTCCTAAATAGCAGAACTAATTCACATAGTTCATTATACATGATGATGGCTTAATATTTTTCTATTTTAAAAAACAGATTTCTAAAAACACAAGAAAAATTCTGGAGGTGATGGATACGTTTAGTACTTTGGTTGTGGTGATAGTATTGTAGGGTATGCATATATCCAAACTCATAAAGATATATACATTAAATGTGTACAATTGTTTGCATATCAAGACACTAACTGCAAAAGCCATAAAGGAAAATGATGGACAGATTTGACCACAACAAAAAACTCAGGAGTGATAAGAAATAAGCTAAACATAAGGAACAAACTTGGAAGCTACACATAATAAGCTGCACATACTTAAAATGTACAACTTAATAAATTTTGACATAGGTATACATCCATGAAACCATCATGCTGGCTTATTTTTAAAAAGTAAATTTTACCTAGTTTTAAGTCTGTATCACTTTTAAATGACAATTTCTGGAATAATTCATTAATTATTATCTTTATATAGTGACTCATCAAGGGCTGAAAGTTCTTTACATTATTCTGTATTTGAAATGCTACAGGAGTATGCTGAAATTGCATATGTGCAAAAAACTGGTTGGCACAACTCTGCAGAACTTAGGAGGCATATCTGGCAAACAATAATAAAAGCTACCACTTATTGGGCATCTATCATTGCCAGGCTCCATTATGTCAGTCTTTGGGTACATCATTTGTTACCCTCATAACAACCATATGAGGTGGGTATTACTAATTCTATTTTATAAATGAACAAGACTTTGAGACATTAAATAATTTAGACATGTTTACATAGCAAGAACATTGCAGAGCTAGGAACTAAGTTTGTTCCATGGTAATATTTCCCAAACTATTAATTCATTTTTGTATTCATTCAACAAATATGCACCAGGCCCTACGTTAGATGTTAGACATATAGCAGTGAAAGTTGTTGACAAAGTTCCCAAAAACAGTAACTTTACAGCCAGTGATGAAGAGAGTCACTGAAATATAACTACACAAATAATTGAATTCAAGTGTCATGAATGCTATGAGAAGAAGTACAAGGAGGTATAAGAACATGCATTGGAAATCTGACTTAGTTTCACGATAGGCAGTTAGTGGAGGTATTTATGAGGAAATAATGTTCAAGCTGAGACCAGACAAATGAGTTGGTCTATAGGTTTTTAAGGCCTAGTTTAGTGGTCCATGCTTCTAATCTCAGCAGTTTGGGAGGATGATGCAGTAAGAATTGTTTGAGCCTAGGAGTTCAAGACCAGCCTGGGCAACATAGTGAGACCTTGTATCTACAAAAAAAAAAAATTTTAATTAGCTGGGTATGGTGGCATGTGCCTGTAGTCCCAGCTACTTGAGAGGCTGAGCTGGGAGGATCACTTGAGCCCAGGAGGTCAAGGCTGCAGTGAGCTATGATTGCTCCACTGCACTGTAGCCTGGCCAACACAGGGAGACCCTGTCTCAAAAAAAAAAGAAAGAAAAGAAAGAAAGAAAGAAAGAAAGAAAGAAAGAAAGAAAGAAAGAAAGAAAGAAAGAAAGAAAGAAAGAAAGAAAGAAAGAAAGAAAGAAGGAAGGAAGGAAGGAAGGAAGGAAGGAAGGAAGGAAGGAAGGAAGGAAGGAAGGAAAGAAAGAAAGAAAGAAAGAAAGAAACAAAGAAAAAATAGGCAGCAATGTAAACAATCCTTTAAAAAAATTATATCATATAACATATTGGGCATCTATCATTGCCAGACTCCATTATGTAGGTATTTGGGTACATCATTATATCATATATATCATATATATACACAATATATATCATATATATCATATATATACACGATATATATATGAGATATATGATATATCTCATATATATATCATACATACCTATATATCATATATATGTATATCACATATATATGATTATATATATGATATGTATATATGTTTTTAAGTAGAGGAAAGTGACATGATCAGATTTGCAAGACTAATAACGGGAAAGCCATTTGGACACTGGGGAGAAGTGAAGGGGGAAAATTGCTAACTACAAGTTCAGCCCTCAGGCAGGTTTGGAACCAGAATCCACAAATCTGTGTAGCATAAGAAAACCTCACACATAAATATCCTTCAAAGTGGTTCTGGGTTGGTAATGCTCTGAGGCAATTAGTTAGTAAAAGCAAACTTTCAGGAAAAGGACCTTTGAGTCGAAGATTTCTTTTTTTTTTTTTTTTTTTGAGACAGAGTCTCACTCCGTCATCCAGGCTGTAGTGTTGTAGTGTAGTGGTACGATCGTGGCTCACTGCAACCTCCGCCTCTCGGGTTCAAGCTTTTCTCCTGCCTCAGCTTCCTGAGTAGCTGGGATTACAAGCATACGTCACCATGCCCGGCTAATTTTTGTATTTTTAGTAGAGACGGGGTTTCGCCAAGTTGCCCAGGCTAGTCTCAAACTCCTGACCTCAAGTGATCCACCCATCTCGGCCTCCCAAATTGCTGGGATTAAAGGTGTGAGCCACCACAGCCAGCCAAAGTTTTAAAGAGTTCTCACATATAAGGTTTCAATGAACATGAACTTGCAATTAAAACACAAGGAAACAAGCTACCATGCACAAGAGTTCACAGAAAAAATAAAATATAGAATCAGAACTACAAATACTGCAGATATTATCACATTCAGAATATAAAATAAGACAGATTGAAAAAGAACAAAATGGGACTACTATTAATAAAAAGTATATATGTAGCTAGATAAATAATATTAATCCATTATTTCTTAAAATATGTTGCACATATTTTCTTCCAAGTTTGTTGCTTCTATTTACCTTGTTTCTTATTACTTCTAAGTTTTTCATTCTTTTGAAGTCAAATCTGTCCATCCTTTTTCTTTATGGTTTTGCAGCTTGTTTCTTGCTTAGGAAGGCTGTTTCTATTCCAAGGTTATTTTTAAAGCCCTTATCTTAAAATGTTTATTACAGACAGTCCTCACCTCATGATGTTCAAATTAATAATATCTATCTTATAATTTTATGACTTTATGATGGTGTGAAAGCAATACACCTTCGGTAGAAACTGTACTTCAGTACAGTATTTAATAGATTACATGAGATACTCAATACTTTATTATAAAATGGGCTTTATATTCTGTGATTTTGCCCAACTGCAAGCTAATGTAAGTGTTCTGAGGACATTTAAGGCAGGATAGATTAAGCTATGATGTTCAGAAAAGCATATTAAATGCTTTTCTTTTTCTTTTTTTTTTTTCTTTTTTGAGACAGGGTCTTTCTCTGTCACCCAGGTTGGAATGTAGTGGCACAATCAGCTCACCATAACCTCAAACTCCTGGGCTCAAGTGATCCTCTCACCTCAGCACCCCAAGTAGCTAGGACTACAGGTACACACCACCATGCCTGGCTACTTTTTAAAATTTTTGTAGAGACTGGATGTCAGTATGCTGACCAGGCTGGTCTTCAACTCCTGGCTGCAAGCAATCCTCCCACTTCGGCCTTACAAAGTGCTGGGATTACAGGACTGAGCCACCATACCCAGCCCTTAAATGCATTTTTGGCTTATAACATTTTCAACTTATGATGGGTTTATTAAGACATAACACCATCATAAGTTGAGGAATATCTGTACTTTAATTATTTAAATATGGGTTTTATATTAAGATAAGGGTCTAATTTTTATTTTTAATAGATTCCATTTGGAAATTCCAGCACTGCTTATTAAATATACCATTCCTTCTCACTAATTTGAAATATCACTTTTAACAAAAACTAAATTAATTTCTCGTTATGGTAGATGAGAATTAAGTTATCCAACAACTTCTAACTTCACTTACTCCATCCTCTAGCCTCCCAATTTTTGGTTAAATAATTAGTCACTATTTATATAACAAAAATGCATACAAATATTATGCAGTGTTGAGCCAGGTAGTATACTATGATTATTTTTCCTTTCTTGAACAACTTTTTATTTTTCCAAGTGTTAATACTTGCCTTGTTATTTTCAGTTGCACAGTTTTCTGTGAATCTATACAAATGCTTATTTGGGCCTGTCAAGGTCCTATTATTATTGTCCAAATACTCAGATATATCCAATAATCTTTCTACTCCATTGTTTTCCTGGCAATATCCCTCTCAGAACCCTCCAACTCTCCTGCTCCAGTTGGGGTGATTACTGTCTAGATCTACTGCACAACTATCATAATGGGATTTCCTTCACTGCTTTCTTGTATTGGAGGCTTCAAATGTCAGTATGTAGACGTGTTTTCTCTTGAGAAAAAGCCTCCAATCTCCTGCCTGCAGGGGAGGGCAGCATATGTCTAGTTGCTATTTGGTAGTAGGGTCTTTCTGGGACAAGGTTTGAGAAAGAAGGCTGAGGATCTCACTGTTCATTACTCGAATTTTCCCATAATCAGCATGTTTCAGCCTCTTGCTATAAATTCAATTCCACCTCACCCCTACATGTGTGGCATCCCTGAGTCTGTCTGGGCTCTCTCTGGTTCATTGTCTCCAGAGAACTTGTCTTCTGTCACCTGCGGAGGGTAGCTGCATAGCATCAAGAGATGGGGAAGAGGTCCTTTGGTGCTAATAGCTCCAAACAAACATATAACTAATCCCTGCACCTCACTTATCTTCCATGGTATTGGTACCACTTTAAGTCCTGTGTTCTCTATGCGTTCTCACATAGTAACCTCTTCTGCTCAAAATCATTGTTTCTCTCCTCTACTAATTTTCTACCTTCCAAATTTTTTTTTCTGAAATTTCCCATTTGCTGATGTCTCCTTTCCAATTCTCTGTCTTTTTGGATTTACACCACACCCCACACCTACCCAACCCCACCATACACGTATACATTTAGTGAGGTTTCAGTAGGAAGAGGAGATAAACTTTGCCATGTTTAACTGGAAATCTCTAATCTTATAGTCTCATACATGTATATACGTATGGCACTATGAGGTATGTAAAATTATCATGATAATAATAATAATATATTAAGAATAATGGTAATCAACCCTAAATGCCCCCTTCTACCATTTCTCCCAAAGCCCCAGGGCCCTCTGACAAACAGGCCTCTAACATCCCAGAGTTTCTCAGGGTAGATATGCATGATGGCTCTTGACACATATGATATAACAAAGAGATATGTTGAGAAGTAAAAAATAATTACTTAGTAATTGAAAGAAAACATATTTCTAGCTAATAAATATGAAATATATTACATATTATATTTT
Source organism: Homo sapiens (assembly GCF_000001405.40). Taxonomy (NCBI): domain Eukaryota; kingdom Metazoa; phylum Chordata; class Mammalia; order Primates; family Hominidae; genus Homo; species Homo sapiens. The sequence continues at coordinate 85,836,748 of NC_000011.10, forward strand.
ATTACAAACTTTGTTATACTTAGTATACTTTATGCCTCCAAAGTCATAATGTGACCTTAGATCTGTTTGGAAATGTGTATACACACACACACACAGATACATAGATAGATGATTAATAGATAGACAAGGTAATTTAGAATTTAGATACATAGACATATATTCCTTCTGGCATTTTTAACCCTCAGAAATGACTATTTCTCCACCCCATTCCATGGCTTCACTGTTACAAAAGTTGTTTACTATGTTTTGGTTTCAACCCTTTGCTCCTTTCTGTAATTAACCCAAAAAGTAGTGAGGAGAGAAAATTCCAAATGTTCTCCTCAAGCAATCAATATGCATCCTTTTTCTAACATTCCATTTACAGAATCAGGCTCCAAATTCAGTCATCATTATATCCCACACTTATTTGTAATGCTCCTCTTAGAGACAGAATTGTATCCTCCCAAATTCATATGTTGAAGCCCTAACCCACAATGTGATTGTATTTTGAGGCAGGGCCTTCACGGAGGCAATTAAGGTAATGAAGGGTATAAGAGTGTGGCCCAATTCAGTAGAACTGCTATCTTCATAAGAAGAGGAAGACCTAGCAGCGATCTCTCTCTTTCTCCACGTGAACAGAAGAAAGGCAATGTGAGGACACAGTAAGGAGGCAGCCATCTGTAAGTCAGGAAGAAAGCCCTCCCCAAGTCAGGAAGAAAACCCAACCCTGATGGCACCTTAATCTGGACCACTTTCTACTGTTTATATCCAGTCTGTGGTATTTTGTTATGGCTGCCCTATCAGAAGAATATACTTCCCCCTATTTTTCCGAATACATCCTTTTTAAGTCAAAATGATGAGGCTGGGAAGCCATATGATGGAGCTACTCTCCTGATGATTGCTGACAACAGAATTAAGCCCTAGTGACAGCAGAACCAGGGTCTCTGGCTACTGCTATGACTCCAAATCTGATTTCTACCCTGGAGGAACACACATTATAATGACTAGTCCTCCCTCAGAATGGAGCCTCTTGATTATTTATAAGAGCATATGAAGAATAGGTGAATAATGATGGAGCACTTTACTTTCTGCAATCCCACAATGATATTAACCCTTCTGTAACTGGTCTTTTCCAAACCACGCTTTCTCAATCTCAGTACTGTTGAAATTCAGGCCAATTGTTGGGGGCATCCTGTACACTGCAGGATGGTTAGCAGCATCCCTGGCCTCTACCCACTAATTATACTCACAAATGTTATAGAACGTTTAAAAGCAAGTTTTTATTTATTTATGCCGGTAGCACCCCTTCCCCAGTCATGACAATTTAAAATGTCTTCAGGCATAGCCAGATGTCTCCGGGGGAACAAAATCACTCTGTTTAAGAACCACTGTTAAGCCTTTAGTGGTTCTGGGTTACTGTTATTAAAACCTGTCAACCTCTGACAAACCTGTGTCAAAAATAAGTGATAATGAAAAGTAATACTGTATTTCCCCCTCAAATATAAGCATTGGGACAAGAATTTGTGAAGAGAAAAAAATTCTTGTGATACCAGCAGGAAATATATTATTTCTTGGGAGATAGTATGTATCCATATTTTGCGTTACACAAAGGTATTTTCTCTGGAGATATAGATATGGATGTAGATATAGACATAGGTGTATGTATTAGGACGTTCTTGCTTTGCTATAAAGAAATGCCTGAGACTGGGTAATTTATAAAGAAAAGAGGTTGAATTGGCTTACAATGCTGCAGGCCTTACAGGAATCATGGTGCCAGCATCTGCTTGGCCTCTAGGGAAGCCTCAGGAAGCTTCCAAACCCAGCAGAAGGCAAATGGGAAGCAGGTATCTCACACGGTGAAAGCAGGAACAAGTGCGAGAGAGTGCCAGGGGAGGTGCCATGCACTTTTAAATAACCAGATCTCAAGAGAACTCACTATGGCAAAGACAGCACCAAGCCATGAGGGATTCACCCCCGTGACCCAAACACCTCCCACCAGGGCTCATCTCCAGCACTGGGGATTACAATTAAACATGAGATTTGGATGGGGATAAATATCCAAATTATATCAGCAAAGATATCTCCACATATATAATAGTCATATGAGTTTTCACATATCTATACACTCATGAAACCAACAGCACAATCAAGATGTAAAACATTTAAAAGCAAGTTTTTATTTGTTTATTTACTTATTTTTAGAGACAGGATCTCACTATGTTGCCAAGGCTGGCCTCAAATTCCTGGGCTCAAAGGATCCTCCTCATCCTCTAGAATACTAAGACTATAGATGCCCACCACTGTGTTGGGCCTTTTTAAATTTAAAAATTTAAGGGAAGCACAAAGTTTATTAGTTTCAGAGAAAGTCATATGATGTACATGGGGGATATTCATGAGTTATCCCATGAACATACAAAAATAAATGCCACTTTACCTCCTTTTTAAACTTAAACAGCTATAGGAACTTGCATTCTTGATTTTTTTCAAATGTACAATTAAGTTATTATTGACTGTAGTCACTCTGTTTTGCTATCAAATAGCAAGTCTTATTCACTCTTTCTAACTATGATGGAACACTTTACTGTCTGCTATCCCACAGTGATATTCACCCTTTCGTAACAGATCTTTTCCAAACCAGGCTTTCTCAATTTCACCATCCCCACCTCCCAGCAGCACATCTGAAGCCCATCTGAAGGATAGTTACCAGAGGATGGGAAGGGTATGGGGGATTGAGGGGAGGTGGGGATGGTTGAACTCTCATGAGTTCAATTGTTTTCATTTCTAGACCCCACAAATAAGTGAGAACATGGAATGTTTGTCTTTCTGTTCCTGGCTTATTTCACTTAACATAATGATATTCAGTTTCATCCATGTTGCTGCAAATGACTGAATCTCATTCGTGATTAAATAGTACTCCATTGTGTATATATGTTACATTCTCTTTATCCATTCATCTGCTGGTGGACACTTAGGTTGCTTCCAAATCTTAGCTATTGTAAACAGTGCTGCAGTAAACATAAGAGTGTACATATCTCGTCAATATACTGATTTCCTTTCTTTTGAGTATATACCCAGCAGTGGAATTGCTAGATCATATGGTAGCTCTATTTTTAGCTTTTTGAGGAACCTCCAAACTGTTCTCCATAGTGGTTGTACTAATTTACATTCCCACCAACAGTGTACAAGGATTCCCATTTCTCCACATCCTCGCCACTATTTGTTGTTGCCTGTCTTTTGGATATAAACCATTTTAACAGGGTGAGATGATGATATCTCATTATAGTTTTGATTTGCATTTCTCTGATGATCAATGATGTTGAGCACCTTTTTATATGCCTGTTTGCCATTTGTATGTCTTCTTTCAAGAAATGTCTATTCAAATCTTTTGCCCATTTCTTATCAGATTATTAGATTTTTTTTCCTATAGAGTCACCTGAGGTCCTTACATATTCTGGTTATTAATCCCTTGTCAGATGGGTAGTTTGCAAATATCTTCGCCCATATTGTAGATTATCTCTTCACTTTATTGATTGTATTCTTTGTTGCGCAAAAGCTTTTTAACTTGATGTGATCCCATTTGTCTGTCTTTGCTTTGCTTGCCTGTGCTTGTGGGGTATTACTCAAGAAAGCATTGCCCAGTCCAATGTTCTGGAGATTTTCCCCAATGTTTTCTTGTAGTAGTTTCATAGTTTGAGGGCTTGCACTCAACTGGGTATTGTCAAAAAATATCAGAGATCTGCTATCCAACTTCAAACTATACTACAGGGCTACCAAAACAGCATGGTACTGGTACAAAAACAGACAAACAGACCAATGGAACAGAATAGAGAGCTCAGAAATAAGGCCACACACCTACAAATACCTGTTCTGTAACAAAGGTGACAATAACCAACAATGGGGAAAAACTCCCTATTCAATAAGTGGTGCTGGGAAAACTGGCTAGCCATATGCAGATTGAAACTGGACCCCTTCCTAACATCAAAATTAACTCAAGATGGATTAAAAACTTAAATGTAAAACCCAAAACTATAAAAACCATGGAAGGCAACCCAGGCAATACCATTCTGGACATAGGCACAGGCAATGATTTCAAGATGAAGACACCAAAAGCAATTGCAATAAAACAAAAATTGAGCTTCTGCACAGCAAAAGAAACCATCAACAGAGTAAACAGACCAGCTAAGGAATGGGAGAAAATATTTTCAAACTATGCATCTGACAAAGGTTTAATATCCAGCATCTATAAGGAACTAACAAATTTACAAGCAAAAAACAACTCCATTAGAAAGTGGGCAAATGATATGAACAGACACTTCTCAAAAGAAGACAGACATGTGGCCAATAAACATGAAAAAAAGCTCAACATCACTGATCAGCAAATCAAAACCACAATGAGACATCATCTCACATCAGTCAGAATGGCTGTTACTAAAAAGTCAAAAAATAGATGCTAGTGAGGTTACAGAGAAAAAGGAATGATTATACAAGGTTGGTGGGAGTATACACTAGTTCAACCATTGTAGAAGACAGTGTGGCAATTCCTCAAAGACCTAAAAACAGAAATACCATTCAACCCAGCAAACCCATTACTGGGTATATACTCAAAGGAATATAATCGTCCTACTACAAAGACACATGCACGCATATGTTCGTTGCAGCACTATTCACAATGGCAAAGACATGGAATCAACCTAAATTACCATCAATGGTAGACTGGATAAAGAAAACGTGGCACACATACACCATGGAATACTATGCAGCCATAAGGAAGAATAAGATCTTGTCCTTTGCAGGGAAATGGATGGAGCTGGAGGCCATTATCCTTAGCAAACTAATGGAGGAACAGAAAACCAAATACCACATGTTCTCATTTATAAGTGGGAGCTAAATGATGAGAACACATGGACACATAAAGGGGAACAAGACACACTGGAGCCTATCAGAGTATGGAGGGTGGGAAGAGGGAGAGGATGAGGAAAAATAACTAACGGGTACTAGGCTTGGTACCTGGGTGACAGAATAATCTGTACAACAAATCCCCATGACACAAGTTTACCTATATAACAAACCTGCACATGTACCCCTGAACTTAAAATAAAAGTTAAATTTTAAAAAATCAAGTGATTTATGTGAATTCAGATGTCACAATAACATAGAGGTTTTATTACACAGGTGTAACTTATTTGTCAGGTACTACTTTCTGGCATTCTCACAGTATGGCATGCCTGGTTTACTTTCTGGAAAGAATAATCATTTATTCATTTATCCAAACATTCGCTAAATATCTCTGACCACCTTTTACATGTCAGGCCCTGTGCTAGGCAATGGTGGTATAATGGTGAAGCAGAGAGACATGGTCTACACCCTTACAGAGTTAAGAGATTAGCTTGAAAGACTGACACTGAATGAGTTCATTTCAAGGGTAAGGAGAGCTACAAAGGGGAGGTCAAGTGCATTCTGAAAGCTGTGGTCACTCCAGTGGCTGCCCATATCCCCTCAGCATTCACCAGGCAAACCCTTAGCTTCTTCCTGTAAGCACCTCAATACTCAGTCCTGAGTGAGGACTTCTCTGACCTGCAGTGGGTAGGGGCATGGTTAGCCCCTGTAGGCTATTGGGGCCGGGGAATCGATGCCCTCAGGACCATCCTCAACTGATGATAAATGAGAGTTAACCACCCAGCTTCCTCACCCTTTGGGTAAGACAATTCTGAGCGTATTTTCTCCTGTCTCCCAGGGTTCTCAGTGAAACCAAGCCCCAGTTACCCATCTCCCAATAACTTGTTTGTTAGCGTATCCTGATTGGCTTTTCTTCCTCCCTCATCTCCCCATTTTCCTACCATAGCTTTCTAAGACTCCCTCCCTAATAAACTACTTGCACTAAAACCCCCATATAAGGGTGTTTTTGGGGGAACCCAACTGGAGCATATAACAAGGGGACCTGACCTAGACCTGGGTGGGCCTGGATCTTGGAGGGCCTTATCAGCCATGTCAGAAACTCTTTCCTAAGAGATCTGTGGAAAGTCATTTATGGTCTTAAACAAGGGAATGGGTCTGTGGAAGAATGCGAAGACAGGAATGAATTCAGGATAGCTGGGTAGGAAGCCATCTCATCAGTCAACTCAGGAAAGATTGGGACCTGTACTAGGGAGGAGGCAGTGAAGAGAGAGCCTACCATAGTGCCTAGCTCATAGTAGCTGCTCAACAAATATCATCCAAAATACTTTTGGATGAAAATTAATGACTCGGTTAAATCTACTGTAGAATGTGTTCAGTTCCAGCTGTGGCCAATGGAATCTGTCAATAGACTGCTGAAACTTGAAGCTTGTTTAGATCTGGAGGTGAGGAAAATTAAAGAGTCTAAAATGGGCCAGGCATGGTGGCTCATGCCTATAATCCCAGCACTTTGGGAGGCCGAGGCGGGCAGATCACTCGAGGTCTGGAGTTCAAGACCAGCCTGGCCAACATGGTGAAACCCTGTCTGTAATAAAAACACAAATTGGGTGTGCTGACACACTCTTGAAATCCCAGTTACTTGGGAGGCTGAGGCAGAAGAATTACTCGAACCTGGGAGGCAGAGGTTGCAGTGAGCCAAGATCATGCCACTGCACTCCAGCCTGGGTGACAGAGCAAGATTCTGTCTCAAAAATAAAAATAAAATAAAAAATAACAGTCTAGAATGACTCCTAATCTTCAGGTTTGAAAAGCTAAGTGGAGGCTGGTGTCATTTACTAAATACGGAACATAGCCTTGAGGAGGAGGGGCAAATTGGAGGGGGTGGAAGATAATGAGTTTGGGGCATGGTGCGACTGTGAGCCATCTAACTGATGCTGAGTGTGTGTGTGCAGGCTTGGAGCTGGGTCCAAGATGCATATTTGGGTCCCATCAAATTTAGACACTAACTAGGTGGAGAAAGCCCTCTCTGGTTACATGGGAAATGTGACACAGAAAAGTTTCACATTCTCCTACTTTCCAGCATTCTCACATAACAGTTAAAAGGCTACAAGGAAGAATTAACATTTATTGAGAACCTACTATGTGCCAGGAATTGTACCCAGTAATCTTCAGAACAGCCCTGAGAAGTATGCAATATTATGTCCATTTTATAGATAAGGAAATTGAGACACAGAAAGGTAGAGTAACTCATCCAAGGTCACACAACTAGTAAGCAGCTTCAGAACCCTGAACTGACCCCAAGTTCATGTTCTTAAACAAAATAAGCATCAACAAAGTGTGGTTACAGAAAGTATATCTCTCAGTCTCACCAGATGCCTCAGTGGGTAGTTCCCAAAGTCAGGGGCATTCGATAGAAGAAGGATTTTTCAATTTCAGGGTCAAAGAATATTCTTCTCTGCAATACCCCTTTCAACTGTTGATGGCTTCACTTGGACAGCCTCCTCTCCAAGCAGTCCCCCTGTTGGTGACTCTATCGTGTAAGCCCTAGCTGAAGCCTCTCAATTTCTGTCTCAGTAAATTTGCCTTTTGTAGACATTTCATTTACATAGAATAAGAAAGTGGTCTTCTGGCAGTGGGTGTTCTTAGCTAGTGTGCTGTATAAAGGGTAAAATAGTATGTCCTCAAAACCATATGAAGCGTGTAGGGAGTAATTCACAACCTTATTATTCCCTTATTTAAAAATGGAGCACAGTACCTTGGGTTTGCTAATATTGGTACATATTCCTGAAAATGTCATTTTATTTTCCTTTCCATAAACACAGTTCTTAAAATATGGAAGTTAGAATGTATACTGCCTCATTCTCCAGATGTGAGGTAGTGTTACTCCACATATTCTCTGGTGGTGTGGTAATAGTAGTTTCATAGACTACTTCCTGGTGTGGAGGTGGGCATCTCACCTGAGTCATAGAAGACTTCAGAGATTAGGCAAGCTGATAACTTGAGCCAAAGAGATGAGGTCATTCTTTTTGCCAGTCACTGCAATCTTGCAAAGGGCAGAGCCTGAGACAAGCTCCTTGGACCAGAAACTGGAACCAAGTGAGTGACCCTTAGGCAAAAGAAAGATTGAAACTGTGGTCAGTGGAACTCATTCTGGAACCTGACCCTGTCCTGCCTGTTCCCAGCCTCCTCTACACTTGCCAGAGTGAACTTCTGTCATCATCACAGAGCCTGTAATCTTCTGTATGGCTCAGAGGACCCGCCATGATTTGTCCCTACTTGCTTCTCCAGCCTCCTGTCTCACTTCTCTCCTATCCCTGGGAGCCTATTATCCAACCATGGTAATCTCTTCTGCTCCATTAGAAACTCATCATTTTCGTTTTTACCTCTAGGGCTTTGTGTTTGCAATGCCCTCTGTCCCAGGCCCTCCCACTCAATGTTCCAGTCTTCCTGCACATTGTCAAGTTCCTGCTCATTGTCAAGTTTTAATTTAGATCTCAATTCCTCTGGAAAATTTTCCCTGACTCTCAAGACTGGATTAGGTTTTCCACAGCACCTTGCTTTTACCCCTTTTCTGGAAAGTATCCAACTGTTTTATAATTGCAGAATAACTTGATTGCTCATCACTTCCCCTAAAATGAGAACTCCTTCAGGCAGAGATAGAATCTGTCCAACATCTGACCTCATGAGTTACAACAAGCTACAACTGCCCAATGAAGTTGCTCCCAAATTCCTGATCCACAGAAACTGGGAGATAATAAATGATTATTATTGTCTTGAATTGCTAAATTTTGGAGTAATTTGTTGTGCAATAATAGACAACTAATACACTAACAAAACTAATTAGTTTAAAACAACAACCTGGGCTGGGTGCAGTGGCTCATGCCTGTAATCCCAACACTTTGGGAGACTGAGGCGGGAGGATCACTTGAGCCTAGGAGTTCAAGGTGAGCCTGGGCAACACAGAGAGACCTGGTCTCTACAAAAAAAAATTAAAAATAAATAAAATAGGCCAGGCGTGGTGGCTCACACCTGTAATCCCAGCACTTTGGGAGGCCGAGGTGGGCGGATCACGAGGTCAGGAGATCGAGACCATCCTGGCTAGCACAGTGAAACCTGGTCTCTACTAATACACACACACACACAAAAATTAGCCGGGCATGGTGGCAGGCACCTGTAGTCCCAGCTACTTGGGAGGCTGAGGCAGGAGAATGGCGTGAACCTGGGAGGTGGAGCTTGCAGTGAGCCAAGATCGTGCCACTGCACTCAGCCTGGGCAACAGAGCAAGACTCTGTCTCAAAAAAAAATAATAATAAAATAAATAAATAACATAAAACCACCACCACTTTATTACAGCTCACAGATCCTGTAGGTTAGTAATTGGTGATCTCTCGCTCCTGTGGCTTCAACTGAGATTAACTCAGCTATACTTAGAGGATGGATGGGCCAGCTGGGACAGTCCAAGATGACTTTGTTCACATGTCTGGCACTTTGTGGGTTATAAGGTGGGGTCAGCTAGAATGGTGGACCACAGTACCTATACTCAGCCTCTCCAGCATGGTTGTCTCATAGGAGATAGACTTCTTACATGGCAGCTGGCTTCCTCTAGAGCAAGTATCCCAAAAGAACCATGGGGAAGCTGCATGACTTTTTATAACCTAGCCTCAGAAGTAACACAGAGTCATTTCCATACTCTCTTGCTTACAGTAGTCATAAGACCACCAGATTCAAGGAGAGGGAACAGAGATGCCACCTCTTGAAGAGAGGAGTGTTAAAGAATATGAAACCTTTATTTATTTTGTTGTTGTTTCATTTCGTTTTGTTTTTTTGAGACAGAGTTTTGCTCTTGTTACCCAGGCTGGAGTACAATGGTGCAAATTCAGCTCACTGTACCCTCTGCTTCCAGGTCCAAGCGATTCTCCTGCCTCAACTTCCCAAGTAGCTGGGATTACAGGTGTGCACCACCACACCCAGCTAATTTTGAATTTTTAGTAGAGATGCAGTTTCACCATGTTGGTCAGGCTGGTCTCAAACTCCTGACCTTAGGTGATCCACGCACCTCAGCCTCCCAAAGTGCTGGGATTACAGAGGTGAGTCACCACGCCCAGGTTGAAACTATTTTTTTTTTTTTTTTTGAGATGGAGTCTCGCTGTCGCCCAGGCTGGAGTGTGCAGTGGCACAGTCTCGCCTCACTGCAACCTCCGCCTCTCGGGTTCAAGCGATTCTCCTACCTCAGCCTCCCAAGTAGCTGGGATTTACAGGCATGCACCACCACACCCAGCTAATTTTGTATTTTCAGTAGAGATGGGGTGTCACTATGTTGGTCAGGCTGGTCTCAAACTCCTGACCTCAGGTGATCCACCTGCCTCGGCCTCCCGAAGCGCTGAGATTACAGGCATGAGCCACCGTGCCCAGCCTGAAACCATTTTAAAAAAATTAACTTTGTTAAAGTACAATTTATATACAATAAAATGTACCCATTTTAAATATATAGTTCAATGGGTTTTAACAAATCTATACACCCTTGTAACCACCACCACAATCAAGATACAGAGCATTTCCTTTATTCCGGCAAGTACTCTCCTGCCCCCTTGCAGTCAATCCCACACCCCAGCCCCTGAGCTCAGGGCCATCACTGATCTGCTTCCAGGCTTTTCTAGAATTTCATATGATACAGCATATAGTTTTCACACTTGGCTTCTTCACTTAGCTCAATTCTTTTGAGACCCATCCAGGTTGTTGCATGTATCAATAGTTATTCCCCCCACCCTTTTTTTTTTCATTCCTAAGTGCTGGCAACATTCCTTTTTTTATTAAGTAGTATTACAAGCAGCTATGAACATTCATTTTCATTTGTCTTGAATAAATATCTAAGAGTGGGTTTGCTGGGTCATACAGTATATGTGTTTAACCTTATAAGAGACTGCTAAACTGTTTTCCAAAATGGTTGCACAATTTTGTTTTTCCATCAGGAATATATGAAAGTTCCAGTTACTCCACATCCTTGCCAACACATGGTATTGTCAGTCTTTTAGGGTTAGCCATTCCAGTAGGTGTGTAGTAGTATCTCACTGTGGTTTCAATTTGCATTTGCCTGATAACTAATGATATTGAGCATCTTTTCATGTGCCAATTGGCCATGAATATATCTATTTTTTGGAGCATCTATTCAAATCTTTTGGCATTTGTAATTAGTTGGTTTTTTTCCTATTGAGCTTGAGGAATTATTTATAAATTCTAGATCCCAGTCTTCTGGCAGGTATATGTATTGCAAACGTTTTCTTCCAGACTGTGGCTTGCCTTTTCATCTTCTTAAAACTAAAGAACAGCCTGGGCATGGTGGCTCACACCTATGATCCCAGCACTTTGGGAGGCTAAGGCGGGAGAATCGCCTCAGGTTGGGTGTTTGAGACCAGCCTAGGCAACAAGACAAGACCCCCATCTCTACAAAAAATAAAATAAAAAACTAAAAAATCAGTTGAGCATGGTGGCACGTGCCTGTGGTCCCAGCTACTTGGTAGGCTGAGGCAGGAGGATCACTTAAGCTTGAGAGTTTGAGGCTACAACGAGCCATTTCCATACTGCTGCATTCCAGCCTGGTGACAGAGCAAGACCCTGACTCAAAAAACAAACAAACCAAAAAAAGAAAAAAGAAAAAAAAAAAACCAAACCCTCAAGAGCAGATATTTTAAATTTAAATTTGATGAAGTTCAAGTTCTTTTTTTCTTTTTTGAATCATGTTTTTTGTGTCCTATATAACACTTGGCTGATGCAAAGTCAAAAAGATTTTTTGTCTTATTCTAGAAATTTTATAGTTTTCACCTTTATGATTCATTTTGAGTTAATTTTTTGTATGGTTTTTGGTCTGAGTGAAGCTTCATTTTTTTTTTCCAAATAGATATCCAATAGTTACAGTCACATTTGTTCAAAAGATTATGCTTTGCTTATCGAGTTACTTTTACAATTTTGTCTGAAGCAATTGATCCTATATGTACAAGTATGTTTCTTGATTTTTTGTTATATTCTATTGGTCTATATGTTTGTCCTTTTGTGTTCATATTTTAAAACTATAGCAAGCAGGCAGCAATTCATTGTTGCTAAATACTCTTGTGATGTCACATGCTAAAGCCCTCAGGCACAATTCAAATCATATAGTCCAGGTTCCTGGGATAAGAAACCCTGGCTCCAGCTTACTGTCCTGGGCTCCTCTTATATCTGAGAAAACAAAGAGATCATAAGAGTAATTTCAAACATTAATTAGGCAGACGAAGTAAGAAGGAAAAAAAAGACATGTGGTATCTTTTTGCCAGAATTCTGGTTATTTAAGTTAAACTTGGTTTGGAGAGACAAAGAAAAAAAAGTGAACTGCAGGTATGTGCCTCTGGCTTAAAGTGAAAAAATATGACCCTTATAAACAGTGAGACACCATCCCATTTTATAATACAATATTGCAACGTGACAATGGACGTTGGGTTAAAACAATCTCCTTCTTAAAGGTAGCATATACTTTCTTCCTCTTAAGAGAATATTTTCTTGTAAATTTGTTTGAGTTCATTGTAGATTCTGGATATTAGCCCTTTGTCAGATGAGTAGGTTGTGAAAATTTTCTCCCATTTTGGAGGCTGCCTGTTCACTCTGATGGTAGTTTCTTTTGCTGTGCAGAAGCTCTTTAGTTTAATTAGATCCCATTTGTCAATTTTGTCTTTTGTTGCCGTTGCTTTTGGTGTTTTGGACATGAAGTCCTTGCCCATGCCTGTGTCCTGAATGGTAATGCCTAGGTTTTCTTCTAGGGTTTTTATGGTTTTAGGTCTAACGTTTAAGTCTTTAATCCATCTTGAATTGATTTTTGTATAAGGTGTAAGGAAGGGATCAAGTTTCAGCTTTCTACATACGGCTAGCCAGTTTTCCCAGCACCATTAAATAGGGAATCCTTTCCCCATTGCTTGTTTTTCTCAGGTTTGTCAAAGATCAGATAGTTGTAGATATGCGGCGTTATTTCTGAGGGCTCTGTTCTGTTCCATTGATCTATATCTCTGTTTTGGTACCAGTACCATGCTGTTTTGGTTACTGTAGCCTTGTAGTATAGTTTGAAGTCAGGTAGGGTGATGCCTCCAGCTTTGTTCTTTTGGCTTAGGATTGACTTGGCGATGCGGGCTCTTTTTTGGTTCCATATGAACTTTAAAGTAGTTTTTTCCAATTCTGTGAAGAAAGTCATTGGTAGCTTGATGGGGATGGCATTGAATCTGTAAATTACCTTGGGCAGTATGGCCATTTTCACGATATTGATTCTTCCTACCCATGAGCATGGAATGTTCTCCCATTTGTTTGTATCCTCTTTTATTTCGTTGAGCAGTGGTTTGTAGTTCTCCTTGAAGAGGTCCTTCACATCCCTTGTAAGTTGGATTCCTAGGTATTTTATTCTCTTTGAAGCAATTGTGAATGGGAGTTCACTCACGATTTGGCTCTCTGTTTGTCTGTTGTTGGTGTATAAGAATGCTTGTGATTTTTGTACATTGATTTTGTATCCTGAGACTTTGCTGAAGTTGCTTATCAGCTTAAGGAGATTTTGGGCTGAGACAATGGGGTTTTCTAGATATACAATCATGTCGTCTGCAAACAGGGACAATTTGACTTCCTCTTTTCCTAATTGAATACCCTTTATTTCCTTCTCCTGCCTAATTGCCCTGGCCAGAACTTCCAACAAATTTACAAGAAAAAAACAAACAACCCCATCAAAAAGCGGGCAAAGGACATCAACACACACTTCTCAAAAGAAGACATTTATGCAGCCAAAAAACACATGAAAAAATGCTCATCATCACTGGCCATCAGAGAAATGCAAATCAAAACCACTATGAGATACCATCTCACACCAGTTAGAATGGCCATCATTAAAAAGTCAGGAAACAACAGGTGCTGGAGAGGATGTGGAGAAATAGGAACACTTTTACACTGTTGGTGGGACTGTAAACTAGTTCAACCATTGTGGAAGTCAGTGTGGCGATTCCTCAGGGATCTAGAACTAGAAATACCATTTGACCCAGCCATTCCATTACTGGGTATATACCCAAATGACTATAAATCATGCTGCTATAAAGACACATGCACACGTATGTTTATTGCGGCATTATTCACAATAGCAAAGACTTGGAACCAACCCAAATGTCCGACAATGATAGACTGGATTAAGAAAATGTGGCACATATACACCATGGAATACTATGCAGCCATAAAAAATGATGAGTTCATGTCCTTTGTAGGGACATGGATGAAATTGGAAATCATCATTCTCAGTAAACTATCGCAAGAACAAAAAACCAAACACCGCATATTCTCACTCACAGGTGGGAACTGAACAATGAGATCACATGGACACAGGAAGGGGAATATCACACTCTGGGGACTGTGGTGGGGTGGGGGGAGGGGGGAGGGATAGCATCGGGAGACATACCTAATGCTAGATGACGAGTTAGTGGGTGCAGCGCACCAGCATGGCACATGTATACATATGTATCTAACCTGCACCATGTGCACATGTACCCTAAAACTGAAAGTATAATAAAAAAAAAAGAGAATATTTTAGTTCATGATTATTTATTTTTGCAAAACATCTATTTAATTGTTTCAAGTTTGTGAGGAACAAAGTTATTGGACAGGAAGTTGTAGCAAAAATTTTCTATTTCTCAAAAGTAACTGCTGTAGGTAAAATGTCTGATTTACCAAAAGTTTGAACTGGTTCGCAAAGGCAGTAAGTTCATTCCTAGTTCGGGTCTTTACAAATTATTGTGAGATTTAATAATAATAAGACCCTGCAGTTGTTTCTGTTTAGCAATTGCTCATCTCAAACAGGTTCTTTGTGGTTTTTCCAAAAACAGACAGCATATTTGGCTTCTTCTACTATAGATACTTTCCTACGTCTATTTCTACATCATTCAACATGGCAAGGCTAACAGAAAATCAAGGTCAAATGAGGAAACTCAGCAAATGGTTTTTATCTGGCTTCACACTGACCACCAACTGGTAAACACTATAAGAAAAACTGTGCAGGATATAAATGATAGGTAAAAGTACATTTTTTCACTATGGGCCCAGGCTCTCATAATAGAAGCAGGCCTAAGATTTAAAACAAATGATGTGGGAATCAATTCAAAGTGCTGAAGAATCACAAATTGCTTTTCTATTTAACTAAAAAATCTCCATGCTTTAAAAATTTTCCGCTGGTAGCTTTTTCTCCTGAATTTGCACTCTTAATAATTTTATCCTATAATCCCATCTGATGATGTTATTTTAGGGAAAACCAGGTTAACAGAAGAACATTTATCAGATGTGTAGATCATAGCAAATTCCTGGCACTTAATAAACACAATACTGATAGACTAAAGGGAGGTTAAAATGAGGTGGAACACGTAAGTTATCTCTAACAATGATTAATTTTTGTATATTTTACTGATGAGAAAAACTCCTTTAACCAAAAGCTGCTTAATATTTTTATTAACTGCTTCAGTTCCCTTCAAGTTCTTAATACGTTATTAATATAACACAGCATGAATAAAAAATATGATAATCCATTTTTTAAAAAACAAATTCAAGAATGCCAAACAGGTGACTTACGAAGGGAGCAGGGAAGCCTAAAGGGGCCTCATTTCTGTCTTCCTGGGACAAAAGGATAAGTAATTGACTGAAATGTAACTACCAGGACATAGACGCTCCTAGGATGTAAAAGAAAGTTGTCTGCCTCCCCCTCCCCCTCTCCCTCTCCCCACGGTCTCCCTCTCCCTCTCTATCCACAGTCTCCCTCTGATACCCAGCGGAAGCTGGACTGTACTGCTGCCATCTCGGCTCACTGCAACCTCCCTGCCTGATTCTCCCGCCTCAGCCTGCCGAGTGCCTGCGGTTGCAGGCGCGCACCGCCACACCTGACTGGTTTTCGTATTTTTTTTGGTGGAGACGGGGTTTCACGTGTTGGCTGGGCTGATCTCCAGCTCCTAACCGCGAGTGATCTGCCAGCCTCGGCCTCCCGAGGTGCCGGGATTGCAGACGGAGTCTCGTTCACTCAGTGCTCAATGTTGCCCAGGCTGGAGTGCAGTGGCATGATCACGGCTAGCTATAACCTCCACCTCCCAGCCGCCTCCCTTGGCCTCCCAAAGTGCCAAGATTGCAGCCTCTGCCCGGCCGCCACCCCGTCTGGGAAGTGAGGAGTGTTTCTGCCTGGCCGCCCATCGTCTGGGATGTGAGGAGCCCCTCTGCCCGCCTGCCCAGTCTGGGAAGTCAGGAGCACCTCTGCCCGGCCGCGACCCCGTCTGGGAGGTGAGGAGCGTCTCTACCCGGCCGCCCCGTCTGAGAAGTGAGGAGCCCCTCCGCCCAGCAGCCGCCCCGTCTGAGAAGTGAGGAGCCCCTGCGCCCGGCAGCCACCCTGTCTGGGAAGTGAGGAGCGCCTCCGCCCGGCCGCCTCCCCGTCCGGGAGGTCGGGGGCGCCTCTGCCCGGCCGCCCCTTCTGGGAAGCGAGGAGCCCCTCTGCCCGGCCGCCACCCCGTCTGGGAGGCGTACCCAACAGCTCATTGAGAACAGGCCATGATGACAATGGCGGTTTTGTGGAATAGAAAAGGGGGAAATGTGGGGAAAAGATAGAGAAATCAGATTGTTGCCGTGTCTTGAGTAGAAAAAAGTAGACATAGGAGACTCCATTTTGTTCTGTACTAGGAAAGATTCTTCTGCCTTGGGATGCTGTTGATCTATGACCTTGCCCCCAACCCGGTGCTCTCTGAAACATGTGCTGTGTCCACTCAGGGTTAAATGGATTAAGGGCGGTGCAAGATGGGCTTTGTTAAACAGATGCTTGAAGGCAGCATGCTCCTTAAGAGTCATCACCACTCCCTAATCTCAAGTACCCAGGGACACAAACACTGCGGAAGGCCACAGGGTCCTCTGCCTAGGAAAACCAGAGACCTTTGTTCACTTGTTTATCTGCTGACCTTCCCTCCACTATTGTCCTATGACCCTGCCAAATCCCCCTCTGCGAGAAACACCCAAGAATGATCAATAAAAAAAAAAAAAAAAAAGAAGAAAAGAAAAGGGCCCCAAAGTGACGTCAGCCCCATCTCAAATTCAAACCCCATAGTAAACGAACAAGATAGACCTTAACTACTGACTAATTCTCCAAAGCAAAAAGTCAGGAAAATAAAAAAATCTCGTTAAGCTGTAAAAAATAAAAATAAAAATAAAAATACATATCCAGGTACATACTCTTTCTTTCTTTGAGACAGAGGCTCGCTCTGTCACCCGTGCAGTGGCAGTCTCGGCTCACTGAGATCTCAGCCTTCCAGGCTCAAGCAATTCTTCGGCCTCCACCTCCGAAGTAGCTGGGACTACAGGCACTCACCACTATGCCTGGCTAATTTTTCGTAGAGATGGGGTTTCGCCATGTTGCCTACGCTGGTCTCAAACTCCTTACCGCAAGCAATCTGTCCACCTCGGCCTCCCAAACTGCTGAGATTACAGGCGTGAGGGATTGTAGGCGTGAGGGATTACAAGCATGAGCCACCGCGCCCTGCTATATTACTTATTTCTTAAACACCTGCAATTCATTAAAATACACCATGTATAAATTATAAATCATAATATTATCAAGAACTGTTATTTCTAAGTGCTGAATAAATGAATATTTCCACTCATTAAAAAAAAAAAAAGTTGTCCGTTCAAAGCCAGTGTCAAGTACCAAAAAAAGAAAATTATCTTGCGGCAGATAATGAGAAATAATGCAGGAGAGGAAAGAGGAACTTTAAAGGCTGTACGTGTAGGATTTTCTTTTTCTCTCTCGGAGGAAAGAACAGCAAAAAGCGAAGAGTGGGAAATGCTGGACTTAAATTCCTTTCTTTAGGTTTACGAACAAAAAAGGAAAGCGAGAAGAAAAACAGAATCAAGGACTTATACAGCAGGAAGTTGCCCTGTAAGCATTTAGTCCAGGGACCTGCCATTCTTATTAAGAGCTAAAACCAAAGAATTAGTGCACGAAAGTAGAAAGAAGACAAGCCGCCATTGTGGAAGGAGCGCAGCGGGACAGAGGCGCGCAGAAGCCTCACCAGACAACCAGGCCCCGTCCCCGTCCCCCGAACTGTGCGGAAAGCGCCACCGAGTCCAGGCGTCTCATTTTACAGCGGAAGACACAAACTCTGAGATCCAAATGACCTGCTCACGGTCACAGCACGAAGCCCGTGGGCCCTGTGTCTACAGTCACCAACTTCCAGGCTTGCGACTAAAGGGAGCCAACGAGCGCGTGAGCGTTTGAGACCAGCTGGCTGAGGGACGCCGAAAATCCCGCGCGGAGGAAGGCGGGAGAGCGCTACCGCTGCTACCAAGGCGGCGGCGCGGGCGCTCGGCCGGGACCCTTCCCTGCGTCGCCACCAGATGGCGCGCTCGGCCCGCCGTTCGCGGCTAAGCTAGGGCGGGTGGGGAGGGAGTAGGGAGGAGGACGTCGGTTGCCTTGGAAATGCAGGGCGCAGCAGCCGCTGCAGTGGAGCCGGTAGGCCTGGCCGGCGGGCTGAAAGGAAGTGCGAGCTGTCCGCCCAGGGCCGGGTATCCGCCCCTGCAGGCTGTGGAGGGGATGTCAGGAGACTGGCTGGCCTCTTTTCTTGGCCCCCGACTCCTTCCAGTCTGACACTGAAGACTTTATAAGCTTCCCCCCGACCACCCTCCACGGGCTCCACTCTCCACGGGCCTGGGCTTGCGCCGCTTCGAGATCAGCCTGGGGGTCGCGCCCTCCTGGTCTTGTCCACGAAGCGCCGTTCTTGGGCCGTTAGGAGCTGCTGGGAAGGGCTCTGATAGGCCCACTCCTCTTCTCCACCCAGGAGATGAGAAGGAGGGCAGGCCTTTTTAATCTGATCAGAATGTTAACCCATCTCTCCGCCTTGCGGTAGAACCCCTGGATACATTATTTGCCCTCTCGAAAGGCAGGCTCTGAATTTGATTCAGGTTTGTAACCTTCACGGTGCCCTCACACAGCCCCTAGCACACAGCAGACGCAGAGCAGACTAAGAATGCCTTCCATTCTTATGAGGCTTTATCACTTGACAGTTTTCCCAAAGCGTTTGGAGCCTCATAGCCCGGACAGCAACTAGGACAGATGGAGGAGGAAACAGGTCAGAGGTTCAGAGACTTGGCCTAGGTTATACAACTCTGTGCAGGAGCTGGGACTAAGCTCGGTCTTGCTTCTCTTAGTGCCTCTCTCACCAAATTCTGAGTCTAGTGAATGCTTTCTGAGGACCTCACATACTCTTGCATCCTTCTCAATACCAGCGCAATGCTCTTCCGCTGTAGGTACTTCATATGTGCTAAGTGTGTTATTGATGTCTTTTACCCTCATATCCCAATTCATAGATTGGTTTCAACTTCTTGCTCTGGATACTACAACATTCTTCTAAAGAAAACACTTGGTTTCTTTTATGAATTTGTCACATTTGTACAGTGCCATGTTGTTGCCTCACTCCCTTCCTTATCCCATAATTTTCTGCTGGGCAAGAGAGAGAGTTGAGGAAGTGATTAAGAGATGGGAAAAAGTGCCCTATCTAAGCCAAAAAAAAAAAAAAAAAAAGGAAAAGAAAGATTCCTGTGATGACAGAGGGGAAAAATAATGACTGGGTATTTATCAGTCTATGTGATAATTGCTCATGGATTGCCTTACAGCCACCTCCAGAAGATCCTCTTTAGACTCACTACTGCTATTTGAAGGTAGAAAGAAGCCTTTTTGTTCTCTACCATTATTATTGCATATTTTTCCCTTATCCTCATAATAATATTTTCATAGTTATTTTTCTTTTCTTTGTTGATAATTCTAAAACTGAAGGACAGTAAGAGTGGGAAAAAAATGTAGTTCTGGTTACTAGAGAAGTTAGTGTAATATACTGCAGTTCAAACTATTTGATATTAGCAACTCTGGATCAGAAGACGGACTAATTTTAAAGCTAAGACTCCAATATCTTTGGGTACTGCAGTAGAAAAATGTGCCATGACTAAAGGATTGGTGAAGAAAATACATGCTAATGTAATGTACATCATCAGTCGTCCAAGTGAAACTTGAAAATGTCACTCATCTAGATATTTTTAAATACCTTGATTTTAATATATGATTTTAACATATTTCCAAACCGGGCAAATTTTACATTTTAACACTAACAATTTTGGTCCCTATCATATATACATAATCAATATGAAAAGCGGTCTCAATTTTTAAAATTAATGTTTTAGGTGGTACTATTACCACTGAATGGCTTTAAATTAATTCAGGATTTTTAAAAACATTTACTGGAGACCATTTCTAATTAAGTTAAACATGTGTTCTGTGCAATCTCATTTGCAGTAGCCACAAAACGAATAAACTACCTGGGAACCCCCTGCCCAGTGCCATACCCCCAGTGCCTGTCCCCAGATCGAGGCTTGGGCCCCTTCAGCCATGTCTATCACAAGCACCACCAGCATGTCTGACAAACTGCCCTACAAAGTCACTGACATTGGCCTGGACTTCTGGGGATGCAAAGCCCTGGATATTGTGGAGAACCAGATGCCGGGCCTGACGTGCATGTGGGAGCTGTACTCAACCCTCCAAGCCCTCGAAGGGCACGCGCATCACCAGTTGCCTCCATAGGACCCATGGAGATGGCCATCCTCATTGAGACCCTCATTACCCTGGGTGCCAAGCTGCAGTGGTCCAGCTGCAACATCACCCAGGACCATGAGGCAGCTGCCATTGCCAAGGCTGGCATTCCAGTTGTACGCCTGGAAGGGCGAAACAGAGGAGGAGTACCTGTGGTGCACCAAGCAGACATTATACTTCAAAGACGGCCTCCTCAACGTGATTCTGGATGTCGCTTGGGCCCCCACCAACCTCATCCACACCAAGTACCCACAGCTCTTGTCGGGGATGTGAGGCATCTTCAAGGAGACCATGATTGGGGTCCACAAGCTACACAAGATGATGGCCAATGGGATCCTGAAAGTGCCTGCCATCAATGTCAACAACTCCGTCACCAAGAGCAAGTTTGACAACCTCTCCGGCTGCCAGGAGTCCCTCATAGATAGCATCAAGTGGGCCACAGACGTGATGATTGCCAGCAAGGTAGCAGTGGTAGCAGGCTGTGGCGACATGGGCAAAGGCTGTGCCCAGGCCCTGTGGGGTTTCAGGCCCATGTCATCATCATCAAGATCGACCCCATCAACATACTGCAGGCTGCCATGAAGGGCTATGAGGTGGCCACCATAGACGAGGCCTGTCAGGAGGACAACATCTTTGTCACCACCACAGGCTGTGTTAACATCATCCTTGGCTGGCACTTTAAGCAGATGAAGGATGATGCCATCATTTGTAACACTGGACACTTTGACATGGAGATTGATGTCAAGTGGCTCAACAAGAATACTGTGGAGAGAGTCAACATCAAGCCCCAGGTGGACTGGTATCAGCTGAAGAATGCACACCACATCATCCTGCTAGCTGAGGGTCAGCTGGTCAACCTGGGTTGTGCCATGGGCCACCTCAGCTTCTTGATAAGTAACTCCTTCACCAACCAAGTGATGGCGCAGACTGAGCTGCAGACCCACCCAGACAAGTACCAGGTTATGGTTCTCTTCCTGCCCAAGAAGCTGAATGAGGCAATGGCTGAAGCCCACCTGGGCAAGCTGAATGTGAAATTGACCAAGCTGACTGAGCTGCAAGCCCATTACCTGTACTTGTCCCGTGATGGCCCCTTCAAGCCAGATCACTACCACTACTGAAAGCCAGACCTGCCCTTCGCCTTCCAACTGCTGTCCTTGTCCAGGCCCTGCCTCTCCTCCCTAAGAGCAAATGGCACCCACTTTGTGATTGGTTTGTCAGTGTCCCCTATTGACTCCCTGGGGCTGGTCACTCAGTTTTTGGCCTCTGCTGCATCCCTCATACTGTTCCAAGTGTGGCAGGGGGAATTGAGAGGCCCCTCCTCAAGCCTTGGTCATGATAGGGGTACAAGGGAGACAGCCACAGGGAACTATGAATTCAATGATCTTGGAACTTCTCACTAAGTCAGTCCTTCCTTAGCCTGGAAGTTGGTAATGGAGTCACAAAGCCCATATACTTTACCATCTAGGCATTCACCCGGTCTGTGGACTTATACCTGTGTGCTTGGTTCACAGGTTCAGTGGTACCTCAGCCCATGACAGAAAAGCAGCAGCTATATTGAAGGGCAAAGAGGAACTGTTGTTTGAATTTTCCTGAGAGCCTGACTTAGTGCTGGGCCTTCTCTTCCACCTCATAACAATGAGGTTGGTACTTTTAGTCTCTGTTTTATAGGAGTTAGAATAGACTGTTAAGGGACAACTGAGAAAGGACAGAGAATTGATAGCCAGAGGTTGAGAGGGGCCATAAAAACATAAAAGCAAGCATAGATCTGCTACCACTTTGTAACAAGATAATTCCTATCACAACCCTGGGTCAAAAAGAGAATAATCTGGTCCATAATGTTTATGTTAAAAAAAAATAAAAAGCAGGAAGGTGGGTAAATAAAAATCTTGGTGCCTTAAAAAAAAAAAAAAAAAAAAAACCCCTAGGAATACAGCTTACCAAGAAGGTAAATGAGTTCTACAATGAGAATTTCAAAACACTGCTGAAATAAGTCAGAGATGAACACAAACAAATGGAAAAACATTCAATGTCATTTTTCATGGAATTAAACAAAACTATTCTAAAATTCATATGGAACCAAAACAGAGCCCTAATCACCAAATCAACCCCAAACAATAAGAGCAAAGCCAGGGGAATCACACTACCCAACTTCAAACTATATTACAAGGCTACAGTAACCCAAACAACATGGTACTGTTACAAAAACAGACATATAAACTAATGGAACAGGTTAAAGGACCCAGAAATAAAGCCACACACCTACAACTACTGGTTTTGTGACAGAGTCAATGATAACAAACAATGGGGAAAGAACTCCCTATTCAATAAATGGTGCTGGGATAACTGGCTAGCCATATGTGGAAGATTGAAACTGGACCCCTTCCTTTTACCACATACAAAAATTAACTCAAGATGAATTAAATACTTAAATGTAAGACCTAAAACAACAAACACTCTAGAAGAAAACCTAGGAAATACCATTCTGGACATTGGCCTTGGCAAAGAATTTATGACTAAATTCCCAAAAGCAACTGCAACAACAACAAAAAATAGACAAGTGGGACTAATTAAAGAGCTTCTGCACAGCAAAAGAAACTATCAACAGAGTAAACAGACAACCTGCAGAATGGGAGAAAATATTCACAAGCCATGCATCCAACAAAGGTCTAATATCCAGAATCTATAAGGAACTTAATTCAGCAAACAAAAAGCAAATAACCCCATTTAAAAATAAGAGAAGGACAGGCTGGGTGTGGTGGCTCCCGCCTGTAATCCCAGCACTTTGGGAGGCTGAGGCAGTCAGATCACAAGGTCAGGAGATCGAGATAGTCCTGGCTAACACGGTGAAACCCCGACTCTACTAAAAATACAAAACAAATAAATAAATAAATTAGCCAGGCATGGTGGCACGTGCCTGTAGTCCCAGCTACTCGGGAGGCTGAGGCAGGAGAATCACTTGAACCCTGGAGGCAAAGGTTGCAGTGAGCCGAGATTGTGCCACTGCACTCCAGCCTGGGCAACAGAGTGAGACTCCGTCTCAAAAAAAAAAAAAAAAAAAAAGAAGGCAAAGAACATGAACAGATACTTTTCAAAAGAAAACATACATGTGGCCAACAAATATATGAAAAAATGCTCATCATCACTAATCATTAGATAAATGCAGATCAAAACCATGATAAGATACTATCACACAGGAATCACAATGGTAATTATTAAAAAGACAAAAAACAACAGATGCTGGTGAGGTTTAGCAGAAAAGGGAACACTTATACACTGCTGGTGGGAGTATTAAAGAACACGTGGAAAGCAGTGTGAAGATTTCTCAAAGAACTTAAAACAGAAATACCATTCAACCCAGCAATCTCGCTACTGGATATATACCCTAAGGAAAATAAATCATTCTGTGAAACAGACACATGGACTCATGTTCATCGCAGCACTGTTCACAGTAGCAAACACATAAAATCAACCAAGATGCTAATCAGTGGTGGACTAGATAAAGAAAATGTGGTACACATACACCATGGAATGCTACACAGCCATAAAAAGAACAAAATCGTGTCCTTTGTAGCAACATGGATGCAGCTGGAGGCCATTATCCTAAGCAAACTAATGCAAGAACCCAAAAGCAATACTGCATGTTCTCACTATAAGTGCAAGCTAAACATTGAATAAACATGAACACAAAGATGGGAAAAATAGACACTGTCTATTACAAGCCATAAATTGTGGGGAAAAAAAAAAGTACAAATTGTGGGGCCACAAGGCGAGGTTATTTATCACTAGTTAGGACAATAAGAAGAGGCTTCTCAAGATGAATTTAAATATTAAAGGATACAACATCTCTTTTTGAATTCCCAAGATGAGGGTTTATAGAAGTAGTTAGGTGTCACTGGCATTAAAGGAATTGTATTTTGTTGAAGATGAGTACCATGAATGGTTTTGAATATGTATTTCAGCTTTGCAATTAACATTATAGTGAGGTATGTGCCTTCTAAGTTAGATTGCTCTTTAATAAGGCTTTTGGAAGTACTGCATTACTACTACTACTATTACTTTTATTAGCCTTACAGTTTATAGCTGAGAATCCAGTATAATTTGGGAACTGCAGTTCAAAACCATGCAGTTAATGGCTCAGTTTCTAGCTAGTTAATGGCTGAGCCACAACTAGACTTCAAGACTCCTAGCACCCAAATAGAGATCTTTTATATCATGCACTCATGCCTTGATGGAATCTTATTCTGAACTTCTGTCATTGCTAATGCTGTTAAGTAAATATCTTTCATTTTAATCTACATTGTATGTAAAACATTAGCTATCAAACCTCAAACTCCATTTTATATGTCCAGAAAGGTATTAGGGCAGAACTGCCATCCCTCCCAGCCTCCACAGAATTAGGAAAGGAGTCATTGGGAGGCTTCTGGATATTCACGCCTTCACAAAGTCATTAAAATAGTCATTTTGGGCCAAGTGCGGTGGCTCATGCCTGTAATCCTAGCACTTTGGGAGGCCAAAGTGGGTGGATCCCTTGAGCTCAGGAGTTCAAGACCATCCTGAGAAACATGGCAAAACCCCCTCTTTACAAAAAATTAAAAAATTAGCCAGGCATGGTAGCATGCGCCTGTAATCCCAGCTACTCTGGAGGTGATGTGGGAGGATGACTTGCACCTGGGAGGCAGAAGTTGGAATGACCCTGCATTTTTAGCTTGGGCGACGGAGCCAGACCCTGTCTCATTAAAAAAAAAAAAAAAAAAAAAAAGAGAGTCATTTATTTTAAGCTTTCTAGATACTGAGCCAGGATGCTGAGATAGTGCAGGAAGGGATACACTGTGTGTTCTATAGGTAACTTTGCAGAGCCAAAGCAGTATGGGATAACTACATATGAAAAAAATGATTGTGATATGTCCATTTTTAGTAAATAAACTTCTGGCTTTTCACTGAGAGGCGTTTGGGAAATATTTATTGCAAGATTTTATGACAGAAAATGATGGAGTAGATTCTGGAAAGGTTGGCTGGAGTCCTGAGTCTTTCAAACCCAGGATGCTCACCTGTCCTTACATCACGGTGTATGTTTTAGAGACCTCAGACACAGTCGGGAGAGGAAAACACACATGGCCACAAAAGGGAGGTCACATGCTGGATGAAGATCTCCCTAGCATTATCTGCATGATTTTGCAATGAATTTTAAAGCTGCTCATTTTTTTAAAGTTCTGCTGCAGTGTGCTTCTGTCTTCCTATCTGTCTGAGAAGGGTCTTGCCTCATCTATACTTTATAATTGGGGGCCAGGTAAAGCACCATGCACAGAGCAGGCATTGAATAGATGTTTGTAGTTACTGACAGATTCGACGTCTATTTGTCAGATATTCTAAGTGTAACCTTCCTGGAAGATAATTGCTTTTACTTTGTGAATATTTTTCTAGGATTCTCACCCTTTACTGAGAGAAATCTTCTGGGTGGTCAGGAACTGTGAATCCTTGTAAATGTTTATGAAAGTCCCCATGATTTATAGCACATTATCAAATGCAAAAATAGATGTTGAGGTACTATCATTAGCCCATTGGAAAAATGCAGCTATTAAGCAGACAGTCCAATTGGCTTACTAATTTTCTTAAAGTGTGTGAAACAATGAATCTTAATAGAGTTTATGTATAAAGCATTTGTGCTTTAATGGGTCCACATTTTCACTCATATTTTATTAAAATCCTTTGCCATAAGCTGCAGTTAGGTAAGTAATTATACATTAGTCAGAGAGTTAAAAACATAAAAGCCAGGTAACTAAGGTAATTGAGCAGGATGAGGTCATTTTTCCTCCAGCACCAGATGGGTACCACAGGTAAAAACCGTAACACTTGATCTCTTCCATATGACTTAGAAAGAGATTAATGTTGGCATTGGTTTTAACTTTTAAATATTTTATAGTAAAAATTATTACTAAATGGTAAGTTATTGTTTTAAAATGAAACATTTGTTAGTATGCTTTTTGTGCAACAGCCAAGTTTAAAATTCTAATTCTAAAATGGAAAATAATATAAAAATTCAACTCTGCATCTGAAACAAAGAGTAATCTTCTCTTAGCTGATAATTTTCTGTGAACTGTGGTGGTATCATGATGACACCTTTTGGTGGGAGCCTATTAAATTATTCTCAATACTTTCATATTTGAGAAGACACTACTTAATGTACTAATGTATTAGATCTTTTTGTTGTGTCATCTGTGTGCTTTTCAGTTGGAAAGTATTGTGGTATATTTGCATTCATGTATATGCTCAAATTAGTTAGCATACAGAGTAGTGCAAACTTGGTTAGAAAAGTCACAGACATAAAGACAGCCTGACTGGAAGTCTGAGTGTGCAGGCAGCATGTCTACAGAGAAAAAGCGTGTTTTCATATTAACAAGTTTCTCCACTTTGGAGCTGAATGGTCTACAAAGATCTATGTGGATTGCCAATTCAGTGATCCAAATCAATGAAGGTTGACAACAGCAAACCTTATGGATTAGTCTTTCCACGCATCATCGTACTTGCAGAAGGCAGCCATTCTATGCTTTAGTTACCCAGAATTTGAAGAAGCTTGACCTGGAGCAACAACTGAAGGGAAAGAGGAAGGGGCACTATACAGAGATAGAGCTAGAGATATATGCCCTTTTTCTATATCTCAGACACTATGCTAGGTGCTTTAAATATTAGCTTATTTAATCCTTACAATAGCTCTTAGAGTAGAATTGTTATCCTTCTCCCTTGACAGATGATGCAACTGAAGTTCCTCAAAAAGATTAAGTAACCTATTCAGGGTCACAGAGATAACAGTGATGGATCTAGGATTAAAGCCCATGTCTGCCTGATTCGTTCATGCATCCACTCATGTGTTTATCTGACAAGCATTTATTGTGTGTCTATTGTGCTTAGTGAGGAAATACAGTGGTGCACAAGAATTACATTATCCTCACCCTCATGAGAGTTTCCAGCCACTTAAATAATTACAAAGGTTATATTTTATGCTTTCTACCACACTTAACTACTGATACATTTATTTAAGGCTAGGTACTTATTCTTTTAAGATTAGTGGAAATTAAAAGATAAAAATGTGTTAAGGAAGACTATAATCTGAAAAGTCTACTTTAGTACCCAAACCAAACCTATGAAAGTACTCCTGCTTACTATAAACATCTGTGAACAGTGGGTCTTGATTTTCCCTTTTAAAAGGTGTTTTTGATTTTTTTATTATTAGGTATGAAACCAGTTAATAGCTGATGAGCAGTTATTAGTACATTATTATTATTCGCATGTGTAAATCTCAACCATTTTAAAAGTACTTCAATGTGTGCTTTTATTTGCTGTTTGTAACAACCCTGCCCAAACCTAATTTTTTTGGATCCTGATTCTAATTCTTAAGTCTTTTGGATCCTAGCTTCTTCGTGCTCATAGAAAATTGTAGTTTTGTTTTCATTTTCTTTGAAAAATTAATAGACATTTAATTAATGTCTCTCTGCCAAACACTGTGGAGAAATAAAATTATTGAAAAGCTCAGTTCTTTGCTCTTAAAAGACCTAGATACGGGCAACAGATATAGATGAATAACATAAGAGAGGGAGTCTCTTAGAAAGTTTTGGGTGGAGGGAATGCTATACATGGGCTAAACATGGAATTCACCAGAATCAAGAATCCAATCATTTCATGATGTTCCACCATTGTGGTGAATGTTAGATCTGGGGACATGGAAGCAATCAGGATAGAAAGCCAGTATTAAGTCCCAGAGGTACCTTATCTAGAGTAAACAAAAGTAGGGAGGCAAAGATGGAATTTTTCACTTTCGTATGTCTCCTTTCTAAACAGGTATATTTCTTCATAGCTAACCAGCACAATGGAAAACTCAGGGAAAGCAAATAAAAAGGATACACATGACGGGCCACCAAAAGAAATTAAACTGCCTACCAGTGAAGCACTTCTAGACTATCAGTAAGTTTTTATTCTGAAATCTGAAAGTTGCCATAGATAAAAGGCAGTCATTGTTAAGACTCATATAACTGCAAATGCAAACAATACATGCAGCAGCTGCCAAAAGAATAGAGGTGGGTTTGGAGGCCTAATTGCACTCTTGTGCTATGCACATATTTTTAAAGGTTTTTGAAACTTTGAATATAACATAGTCCAAGTAGTAGCTATGACTACTTAGACTATTTTATGAAATGAAATGAGAGCTGCTATGAAACAGCTTTCATTGATGTACTATTGGCTCCTTCAGTTGTTTATTGGTTACTCTCACCTATGTATACAACAGCTTGCTAGCTTACCTCTTAAAATACAACACAGAATGGTTAGTTTACATTTATAGAGAGTAGAAGAGGCCGGGCATGGTGGCTCACACCTGTATTCCCAGCCCTTTGGGAGACCAAAGCAGGCGGATCACCTGAGGTTGGGAGTTCGAGACCAGCCTGACCAACATGGTGAAACCAGGTCTCCACTAAAAATCCAAAAATTAGTCGGGCATGGTGGCGCGTGCCTGTAATCCCAGCTTCTCGGGAGACTGAGGCAGGAGAATTGCTCAAACCCAGGAGGCAGACGTTGCAGTGAGCCAAGATCATGCCACTGCACTCCAGCCTGGGCAACAGAGCAAGATTCCATTGAGGTTCCATCTCGAAAAAAAAAAAAAAAGAGAGAATGGAAGAGAAATTTTCCCTTTATGTGACCTTTTATTTCTTAGACATTCCAACTTACATTATTCCTAAATGGCTACATATCAAATCCAAATGATTTACAGAAAATTCTTTTTAATAATAATAAAATTTTATAATGTCTCACTCCTAGGAGCTGGAGACAAAACCATGGGTAACATTTATTCCATATTTATGTTTTATTCCAACAAATAGCTCCTTGAGGGTCTGTGAACCTTAGCTTTTGGCACAAGGTAAGTGTTTTAACTTGTAATTCTTACAGAATTAATAGATAAGTGTTAGTCTTTTCTTGCATAAGGCTGAAATATACTTCATTCATGTACTTATTCAATAAATACTTGGGTGTTTACCAAGTGCAAGTCAAGTGCTGGGTACTGGAATGTAGCAGCAAACAGGACCACATGGTCCCTGCCTTGATGAAGCATGGGAGACAGACAATAAACCACTAATTTGAGCTTTAAAAAAAATGACAGGGTGGTATGGTGGCTCATGCCTATAATCCCAGCCCTTTGAGAGGCCAAGGCAGGTGGATGAGCCCAGGAGTTTGAGATCAGCCTGAGTAACATGATGAAAACTCATCTTTACAAAATAAAAATTAGTCCCTGCTATTTAGGAGGTGGAGACGGGAGGATTGCCTGAGCCCAGGGAGGTCAAGGTTACAGTGAGCCATGATTGTGTCACTGCACTCCAGCCTTGGTGACAGAGAGGGACCCTGTCTCAAAAAAACAAAACAAAAAAAAAAAACAGAAAAAAACATGGCTATAATAAAGGTACTATAAAAGAAAACTGTAGGGTGCTGTTTAACAGTGTAACTAAAGGACTTTAGTCAGAGGAGTTAGGAAAAACTTGTTTGAGAAAGCTTTGAGCTGATTTCTGGAAAAGGAACAGGCATTATGGAAACTCAGAGCAGTGAAGAGCATGACTTATGGAAGACAGGAGGGTAGGAAAGAGCTTATCACAGGCCAGAAACTGAGAAAAGGGAGGGTGAGGGAGGCAGGGCAAGAGCAGATGCTGGTGATTTAGGCAAGGGTCAGATCAAGAAGAACACTTGGGTTTTTATTAGAGGAGTATAAAGTTGAAGATGGAGAGCCCATGATGCTAGTGACTAGGTCTTTGTTTAAGAGAGTTGTTGTTGTTTAAAGACAGAGTCTCACTCTGTCACCCAGGCTGGAGTGTAGTAGCCTGATTATAGCTCATTGCAGTATCAAACTCCTGGGCTCAAGTGTTCCTCCTGCCTCAGATTTCTGAGTAGCTGGGAAGACAGGCATACACCACCAGGCCCAGCTAATTTTTTAATTTTGGGTAGAGCTGGGTCTTAAACTCCTGGCCTCAAGCGATCCTCCTGCCTCAGCCTCCCAAAGTGCTGGGATTTCAGGCATGAGCCACCTCACCTGGCCAAGAAGGATTTTAGATTTTAAAATCTAAAAGAAGGATTTATTTTAAAAAATGTACCATAAAAGATGTATGTTGTCCTTAACAACATTCAGGGAAAATCTGTCTCCTTCTTTGGAGATCCCAATATATTCGTATGAACTTTTTAGGATTGAGTGAAGGGATCAGAACACCAAGAGAGAAGAGGCTTTCACCTGTTTCCTTTTATTTTCTACTTGAAATAACATTAACTAATAACTAGATACTATTCATACTCATTTCTCAACATAACTGAAAACTTTGTTCATCTCATCTTAGGAGAGGTGGACAAAAAGCCAAGCTCTGTGAATGTAACCTGGTCTCTAATTTGCTCCCATGGTGTAACTGGTGACATCCAGTTAACAGCTGTTTTTCTCTCTTTTGGGTGGACCAGAAACCAGTCTTTCTCCTCTTTAACAAAGGTTTACAAAAAGGCAAACGTTTAAAAATTCTCATGATCTAGTGCAAGTTATAAACTGAACATCTCATACCCTTGTTCTTTTGTATTTGGTAAAACTAAATAAATAATCTCATGGACTGGAACAGCCAAGGCCTTGCTGTACCATGCTCTACTGATGACAGTTTATGCATTCCATGTGTTCCTCGGTGACAGAACTGTTGTCACATGACACATAGCCAAGACATTTCCTCTCACCATCTGAGGAAGGATTGTCCAGGAGTTCCCTGGCGCCTCTTATATCTCTCTCAGCTCCTAACAAAGCAGTGAGCACATAGTAGATAGTTAATTCATGGTTTTTGAGCAACTGAACTTTTTTCAAATTTATCCCAAGAAAAGAAAGTCATGAACTTCTATGGTTGTTTGTGAAGAGCTGATACTACCAATGTTCAGTCTATAAAATTATCGTCTCTGAATAATGATGGTTTTTATTTTCTCCTTTATACTTGTCTTGCCCCCCGTTTTCTACAATAAGTATGGATATAGATATAGAAACGGGTGAGAATATGGTCGTGAGTGAAAAAATGGAGATTATGATATAGATTTTTTTGAAAGTCAAGTTTATTTGGATCAGTGATTTGTTTGTTTTTGAGACAAGAGTCTCACTCTGTCACCCAGGCTGGAGTGCAGTGGCATGATCTCGGCTCACTACAACCCCCGCCTCCTGGATTCAAGCAATTCTCCCACCTCAGCCTCCCCAGTAGCTGGAATTACAGGCATGTGCCACCACACCCAGCTAATTTTTTGTGTTTTTAGTAGAGATGGGGTTTTGCCATGTTGGCCAGGCTGGTCTTGAACTCCTGATCTTGGCCTCCTGCCTTGGCCTCCCAAAGTGCTGGGAGCCTCCCAAAGTGCTGGGATTACAGGTGTTAGCCATGTTTGTTTATTTTTATAGAGACAGGGTCTCCCTATGTTGACCAGGCTGGTCTCAAACTCCTGGGCTCAAGGGATCAGCCCACCTCAACCTCCTGAAATGTTAGGATTACAGGCGTGAGCCACTGCGCCCAGCCCAGATTTGTGTTTTTATATGAATAAGGCAGTTAGAATATTTGAGGTGAAGGAAAAAATATGGCAGGTCATGTGTGCTTCATTCTCCCTCAACAAACTGTGAGCTCCTTGAAGACTATTCTTTACTCATCTCTGTACCTCTAGTATCTAGCACAGCCTTATAGTATGAGCTCAGAGTTTCTTTGTTGAGTAAATGTTGTCGGATCTTGTCTGAAAGCAAAATCACACTCATGAAAACAAATACAATGTTATTTTTGCCTGTTGATACAGGAAACAAATTTTTTAACGTACTAACACTCAGTGATGAAATGCCCACCAATAAACAAGCTCTTTCTTACCCACTGGTGAGTATAAATTGTTCAAATATTCTGAAAACATTTGTAACAAAGCAATCCTGCCCTTTTATCAGGTAATTTCATGGATATAGGAACTCTTTCCCGGAACATAAGGTCATGAACTTCTATGGTTGTTTGTGAAGAACTGATACTAAATCTATAAACCAATACTAAATCTATAAAGTGATCATCTCTAAGTAACGGTAGTTTTTATTTTCTCCTTTATACTTGTTGTCTCCCAGTTTTCTACAATGAATATGGATAGAGATATAAAAACATGTGGGTATGGTTATAGGTTTAAAGAAAAAAACACAAAAATATAGTTTTTTTGGAATTCAAATTTATTTGTTTTCCTTCCCAGAATTTTCAATGAAATTGCATGGGTGGGGGGAACATTGACACATTACTAACATTTTAACAATATAGAGAGTGGGGGAAAGGTGACATATTGTCTTACTAACAATTTAATATCACTGTGCTTTAGAATAGTGCCATAACCTTTTCAAACTGCTTTAATGTATATTGCTTTATTATCACCCCACTTGCTTCAGCACCTAGTGTGACATGTCAGATTCTAGGGCACTGAGTAGATGGGGGAGATATTAAAAAGGAAAAAAGTGTATAAGGAACAATGATGCTTGAAGTCCCCATAATAGTGTTGAGTTCTGAAGTTAAGCTTCATCTGCTTCCTGGTAAAACACACCTTTTCATGAAGCCAGAGAAGGCTGAAGTGGCTTTCAAAGACAGGCTCAGCTAAATTAGACCCACAGCTACCATAAGCTCCACAAGCGGGCCAGTGAAGCTGCCAAAGCATTTAGGGCATCTCAGAATTCCCCACTGAGGCCTGCTGCTGCCACTCACATCATCCTGAACTGCTCACTCCACAAATGGACAAGAGACAAAGCCTGAGGCCATTTGCTCCTAAATGCTCTGAGGGAGGGGTGGTGGGCTTAAGTGTGGGGATGCCAGTTGTAGCAAATAGAAATAAACGATGCCCAATTAAATATGAGTTTCAGATAAACAGCAAATAATTTGCTTAGTATAAATATGACCCATGCAATGGGGCTGGGGCTGCACATGGTCTCCAGCCCAATCGTTGCATGCTCAGTCATCACCAAGGAAAGCTCTCAGCTGCAGCCAGGGAATTGGTCTATTAACGAGCCCATCTGTAGACTCAGTTTAACCAATGAAGACCACATCTTGAGATTCATTTGCCTGCTCTACCCATGTAAAGAAGTAGTATTAATAGATTTATAACTGCAGAAATTATGTCAGTAATTTGCACATTTGCATAGGTTCTTTTCAGATAATTTTCATTTATAATACTTTTTTTTTAATCTCCTGAAAAACGGGAGGTAGAAAAGGCACTCCTTCAAAATTTTTGCACAAATGTAAGCTTTAGGTAAGAAGTCAAAGATGAGCCAAGTGTCGTGGTGCACATCTGTAACCCCAGCTACTTGGGAGGCTGAGGCTGGAGGATTCCTTGAGCCCAGGAGTTCAAGCCCAGCCTGGGCAGCACAGAGCCTTATTTTCTTATTATTTTGTGGAGGCTGCCCTATCTACTATAGTAGTCCCCTCCATTTATGGTCCTTCTTATATCCTGTTATTTTCCCCATGGTATTTATCATAATGTGTAAACAATATGTTTCAATATGTTTATGTGTTTACTTCTTATTATCCAGTAAAAGGTACTCCTTGAAGGCAAGGATCATGAAGGTGTTGTTCAAAATTATCTCTGTAGGCCAGGCGCAGTGGCTCATGCCTATAATCCTAGCACTTCGGGAGGCTGAGGCAGGTGGATCACTTGAGACCAGGATTTCAAGACCAGCCTGGCCAACATGGTGAAACCTCGTCTCTGCAAAAAATTCAAAAATTAGCTGGGTGTGGTGGCGTGTGCCTGTAATCCCAGTTACTGGGGAGGCTGAGGTGGGACAAGCGCTTGAACCTGGGAGGGGGAGTTTGCAGTGAGCCGAGATCATGCTGCTGCACTCCAGCCTAGGTGACAGAGCAAGACTCTATTTCAAAAAAACAAACAAACAAACAAACAATCTCTATAATGCCTAAAACAATGCTGGGCACCTTTCAGCTCTTTAAATCTACATTGTATGTATGACTGTTTGAAAGGGAATATTGGTCCATTTAAATTGCAGAATTTTGTAACTGAAAAGGAAGCATAGAGTTCATCTCCATCAATCCTCTTATTTCTGGAGGTTAAATATCCTTAGAGAACTGGAAAACCAGCTCTAAAATTCAAGTTTCATAGTATCCAAACGAGCTTTTTTTTGACCAGTAAAGGATTTTTTTTTAATGTTGCATTTTCTCATTATTGGGAAAGAAAGAGCCTAGTTTTTCTCTCTAATGAGTATACAATGTCACAAATATAATTGATGTTTGGGGGAAAGGGCTAAGGATATAAGGTTTAATTCAACTGAAATTTACTAAGCATTTATTTTATGCTAGAAACATTCACATATGATTTCTTATTTTAATCCTTACGATAATATGCAGAGCTAGGTATTTTTATCCCATTTGACTGCTTGGACATTTAGGCCCAGGGAATTGACTTGCCTGAGATCATGTAGACAAGAAGTGATAAGGGCAAGACTTAAAACCAGAGTTTCTCATTCTTTAACTACTCTTCACTCTACTACAGAGGTACTATATTTCTGTTTTTGTTTTATTTTGTTTTTAATTGAGCCAAAGGGTTTAGGTAACACACTTCTGTTGCCTTATTTTGGTCTCAGATTTAAAGTTATAAGATTTATTAGGTTATAGTGATACAAGATATACTATAAAGTTTTAAAAATTATTTTATTTATTTACTTTAAGACTGCATCTCACTCTGTCACCCAGGCTGGAGTGCAGTGGCATGATCTTGGTTTGCTGCAACCTCCGCCTCCTGGGTTCAAGCGATTCTCATGCCTCAGCCTCCCGAGTAGCTAGAACTACAGGCATTCACCTCCACACCTGGCTAATTTTTGTATTTCTAGTAGGGACAGGGTTTTGCCATGTTGGCCAGCCTGGTCTGGAACTCCTGTCCTCAAGAGATCCACCTGCTGGCCGGGCACGGTGGCTCACACCTGTAACCCCAGCACTTTGAGAGCCCGAAGCGGGCAGATCACTTGAGGTCAGGAGTTTGAGACCAGCCTGGCCAACATGGTGAAACTCCGTCTCTACAAAAAATAGAAAAATTAGCCGGGTGTGGGGGCAGGCGCCTATAATCCCAGTTACTCGGGAGGCTGAGGCAGGACAATCGCTTGAACCCAGGAGGCAGAGGTTGCAGTCAGCCGAGAACATGCAACTGCACTCCAGCCTGGGCGACAGAGCGAGATTCCATCTCAAAACAACAACAACAACAACAACAACAAAAACCCAGATCCACCTGCCACGGCCTCCCAGAGTGCTGGGATTACAGGTGTGAGCCACCATGCCTGGCACATGTTTAAAGAGATACACTATACTTAACACCTCAAATAGCTATCAAATAGCCTATAAGAAAGTCTTTCTGCACTTTTCTATCTCTCTTTCATACCTTACAGACACTCAACAAATACTTGTTGAGTGTTAAAGAAATGTATTTGTGCCAGGAAAGAAGTTTTTATTATTTGTAGAAGAGATGGCACACTAATGAACTTGAACCAATAGGCATGCCTAGTTTACCTTAGTATTTCAAGAAGGTGTGCTTGCCCTTATAAAGTCTTAGATTTGTTCGTCGTTTTTGTCTAAATGTTTTTAGAATTCTAGAAAGCATGTTTTCTGTATGCCCACTCCTAGTTTTCCTTTAGGCTAAATTATTTATAAACAATTAGAAAGTATAAAATTATGACTATAAAACATGAACAGGGATTTTTTTTTCAAAAAAAAACAAACAACTTTGAAGTTTTCTCTCCAATATATATTTTAGTGAGTAAAATAGATTCAGAAACACAAAACCGTTTAGGAAAGGTTTTTATCCCTAAATGTGTTTTCATAATACATTTAATAATTCACTTCAAATACCTTTTAAATTTTTTCTCATTTCCTAAGATAAATGATTCTAACACATTTTATCTTTGTTGATTCTCAGATGTCAAATAAAGGAAGATGCCGTGGAGCAATTCATGTTTCAAATAAAGACACTTAGGAAAAAGAACCAAAAATATCATGAAAGAGTGAGTATAAAATTTAGAACCTATATATAGTCATTAAATATTTACACTCATGCTTTAAAAAATTGTGGATTATGGTGAAATATACTCTAGGAAATTATCTTCTTCAAAGCTTGGAATTGATTGATTTACAATCTATTTAAGTTTCTTTATACATGTGAGGCAGAAGGATACTGCTGTTCCCATTATATTAGTTATAATGTCAGTGGAAGTTGGGTTGAATTATGTTATTTAGACCCTGAAGACACTGAATCTTAACTTCAAAATTTTAAAGTTTTGAAACCACATTTATCTTTTGACTTTTTATTTAACCAAACCATAAAACATTGGTTCTCCATTTTAAATCTCTTTGTCTTTTTTCTTTTAGATTTTCAGAGAGTATGCGTATGTAAATACCATTTGAAAAGCACAATCTCAGTTGTTAAAATTAGTAATTGCATATTTAAGATGATATACTGTTTTTATAAAATCAGATTAAAATGAATATCAAAAAGGTGCTATATATGACTATCGGGACTAAAGATCAACAGAAATAAAGTTTGGGAGCAATCAATGATAATTAACACAATTTATCCCTCAAGGTATCTCATGAATGATGAAATACTGAGAGTGCCCCCTTTTAACACATTTATTTTATATGGGCCCTGAAACTTTCACAGCTAACTGTTTTATTTTGGCTTCTGTCTAAAAAGAATATATCTACAAATTTTAGTAGAGCCTGGAGTCAGAGACCTGAGTTTGCATCCTGACTGTACAGCTTACTGCTGATGTCATTTTGGTCAGATTTGGTATGAGCCTCAATTTCACTCTTGTAAAATGGGGATTCCTGTCTCCCCCATAGGGCTAATTTATTTGTTCATTCAGTACATATTTAGTGGATAAGACAAGCCAGTAATATAACTGTGACTCTGACACTATCACGATTCTTAAGGTTCATTCACTTGTAATAGGGACTAAAACAGAAGCTCAGTTTGGCCTGGTGCCTGAATGCAGGCTCCACATGAGATCCAGAGCACTAAAGAGAAGTAAGTCCCATCGATGCACCCATGCACATCCTCCAGTGATCAGCACAGGGACTTGTAGATCAGGACTTGGTTGTGGAAAGTAAAACAAATCAGGATTGAGTAATCATTTTCCCCTTAGCCCATCATTTGGAGCCAGAAATAGTTAAAGTTCTTGTTTCCATGAAGATTGGCTCAAGAATGCACATTAGTGGACCCAGCAGTGAGGAGCAAGGAAAGACAGATTCTAACTACAACTCTGTATCTGAATATCATCCATTTCTTTCCTTTTATGTTGTTATTGCTGTAATTTAAACCACCATCTCTTACTCATCCTTCCCTCAAAGTACATTTTCCACAGTGCAACCAAATTACCTTTTGAATATTGTAAACCAGGTCCATTCTTTCATTCCTACTATTCTACCACGACTGCTCTAGCAAAAGTTATTAATGACTAATTTGCCAGGTCTAATAGACTCTTCTTAGTCCTTAAACTTTACCTCTCATCTCTTAACATCCTTCAGTGGCTTCCTATTGCACAGAAAATAAAATCTATCGTCTTTACTAAAGTCTTCAGCGCCCTTCAAAATCTGACCCCTGTTCACCTCTCAAACCTTGTCTCCAGCTGCTGATGGAGGATTTTTTGCTCCTTAGCTCAGCTAGGTCTGGGTTCTTGACTCACAACCAGGAAGAGGTAGGCATGCAGACATGCGAAGAGTGAGCAAGGCGGGAAGTTTTATTGAGTGATGAAACAGCTTTTAGCAGGGAGGGGATGCAGGGGTGGTCCCCCTACCCAAAGGCAGGAAAGTTCCCAATATGGCTGAGCCCAGGGATTTTTATGGGTTCAGAGTAGAGACTGTGTGCTGATTGGTTTCTGAGCATGCAAAAAATGTTAGGGTGGGCACAATAGTGTAGAAAACCAATTAGGAAAGGGTAGGTATATGTAAAATAGGTGAAGGATGAGGACCAATCAGAGGAAAGCTCGCCAAACAGGAAGGCGGGTTATCAATATGGTTGGAGGATTTACCCAGGACTGTTTCCAGCTTGAAGGTTGGATTTCACTGGGGACCGGCCCCATCTGCCTAGGCATTTGTCTGCCTCCTGCCTCTATCACTGCTCCACCTTTTGCTTACCATCTCTTCTTTGAAATCTTGAAAAACCAATCTATTTATTTATGCCTTTACTCATGCTGTTTCCTCTTCCTGGAATGCTTTTTTCTTGGTTAGCTCCTTTTCATTCCCCCAACCTAAGTTGGAATATTGTGTAAAATTATATCTCCATTATTAAACAGCAAGCTTTTTAGACAGCAGCAATCCAGTCTTACTTCTTTGTTTCTCCAGAAGAGTCCAGCTTAAGTAGGTGTTCAATAAATATTTGTTGAGT
Source organism: Homo sapiens (assembly GCF_000001405.40). NCBI lineage: Eukaryota > Metazoa > Chordata > Mammalia > Primates > Hominidae > Homo > Homo sapiens. Next base: position 85,875,677 of record NC_000011.10, read on the forward strand.
TGATTCATGCTAACACTAGTGGAAGAAAAAATGTTTTGAGGTCATAGATATTTAACATGACTCATGTTTTCTCTTCAGTTATTTCAAAATCAGAAATGCCCCTCTTCTTTCCTACACATCATCTCTTCCTATGTATATTTAGTTCTGTTTGGATTATCACCCCATTTATTATCTTTCTCTCAGTTTGCATTCATTGCTCCACCTACCTCATTAGATGTTCCGTAGTTCACTCTGTCTACTTCCCTACTCTCCATTCATTCTTTCATTCCTACTATTCCACCACAACTGCTCTAGCAAAAGTTATTAATGACCAATTTGCCAGGTCCAATAGACTCTTTTTAGTCCTTTCTTTACCTCTCACCTCTCCAGCAGCCACTTCCTTTATCTTAAAACCCTTTTCTCCTTTGGGTTCCAGGACCTCACTGCAACTTAACTACTTCACTGACCATTTCTTCTCATTTTTCATTCACTGCTCTTTGCCTAGACCCATCCCTTAATTATCACATTTAGCAGAGTTCTGATCTCAACCCTTTTCTCTCACTCCTTTTTGGGGTCATCTCACTTAACACTATGGCTTCAAATAACCATCTATTTGTTAATAATTTTCATATCTATATTTGATAAATTTCATAATATTGTACACCAAAAAAAATGAGTGTATGTACAAACGGAAATGAATAAAGTCTCTAGCTTAGTTAATAACATTGTACTAATGTCACTTTCCTGGATTTGATAATGTACTATGGTTATGTGGAATCTTATCACTGGGGAAAGTAAGGTGAATAGTAGATTGGAACTCTCTGCTCTGTTTTGGCAACTTCCTTTCTTGTTTTTTCATTTGTTTGTTTGAGACAGTCTCACTCCGTCACCCAGGCTGGAGTGCAGTGGCGCGATCTCTGCTCATTACAATCTCCACCTCCCAGTTTCGAGGGATTCTCGTGCCTCAGCCACCCAAATAGCTGGGATTACAGGCATGCGCCACCACACCCAACTAATTTGTGTACTTTTTGTAGAGACAGGGTTTCACCGTGTTGGCCAGGCTGGTCTCAAACTCTTGACCTCAAGTGATCCATTTGCCTCAGCTTCCCAAAATGTTGGGATTACAGGGGTGAGCCACCACACCCAGCCTCTTTTCTTGTTCTTATGAGTCTTAAAAAGTTAAAAGGGTAAGCATGACATGACTTTATATGAAAACAAAATCAATCTTTTTTTTGTAGCTTATTTACTGAATATCCTTTTTCCATTTTTATAATGTGATAATTATTCTTACCTTAAATAGTAATTATTTACCTCACTTTGTAGGATAAACATATTTTTAGCACATTAGTGATACAGCTAACTAAATTTCGTTTCTGTATATTACTCAAAATAATTTTTGAGACATTGAATTCTGTCAAATGCTATCAGACACATTCTCCTTCCATTCAAAATTCATATGGGGTTTGGGAAATTAATATAGATGATATTAAATTTATATATAATGTCAAATAGTGTTTAATAATGCTTATGCAGGCCAGGCACAGTGGCTCATGCCTGTAATCCCAACACTTTGGGAGGCCAAGGCAGGAGGATCGCTTGAGGCCAGGTGTTTTGAGACCAGCCTGGGCAACATAGTGAGAGCCTGTCTCTACAAAAAATTGTAGAAAGTAGCCAGGTGCAGTGGTGTGCACCTGTAGTCCCACCTACTCAGGGGGCTGAGGCAGGAAGATGCTTGAGCCCAGGAGTTTGAGGTTACAGTGAGCTATGACCATGCCACTGTACTCCAGCTTGGGCAACAGACTAAGATCCTGTCTCTAAAATGGTAAAAATTAAACAATTTTTTTTAAATTTTGTAAATGAAAAATATCACATGCTTGAAAAGAATAGTCATTGTGTTAAATATTTGATCTAGGAGATCTGGATTTATTTTAAGAAGTATTGTGTCAAGTATGGAAATAAAACTAAAATTTCTTTGTATATTATATACATTTCTTTGTCACTTGTATGTAGTGGTTTTAAAATTACCACTCTTTGGAATTTTTTGCCTGTATATCATGGTAAATATTTTTGAGCTGGGATTGAATTTAGAGGCCACTGTTGTCTTACTAAAATTAACTAACATAAGTAAAATCAGATATCTTTACTTAGGATTCAAAACATAGTTGATAAAGGAATTTTCCACTTCTACAAAAATAAGTGGAAAAGTCCATATTAAGAAAAAGTAGTAGCAGAGCAATAGTTTGGCAAGTGATATTTCCATTGCTATTATTCAAGTTTCTATAAATATTTCATTTTAAAATAACATGTCAAACTAAAATAATTCAATTTATTTATAAGCAAACAAAACATGAATCTATTTCATTTCAGAAAATAAAATATCTGAGAATTGGTTAAAGAGTAGTAAATTATTTATTTTTCAGTTGTTAATATTCATTGGCCTTCATTTTTTAGTTAAACTTCATTTTGAAATAAGTATAGATTAACTTATAGTTATAAAAATGATATAAAAATGATAGAAAGTTCCTATGTACCTACTACCTAGCTTCTCATAACATACTACAAAATCACAGTACAATATTATAACTAGGATATTGACAAGTTTAACATGGAAAGTCAAGATACAGAAGATTTCCATCACCACAAGTATCCCTCATGTGACCTTTAAAGCCACTCACTCCCCTCCCAGTTCTGCCCCCTCATTAGACCCTGGCAACCATTATTCTGTTCTCCATTATTATAACGTCACTTCAGGAATGTTATACAAATGGAATCATACAATAAGTAACCTTTTGGTACTTGGCTTTTTAAAATTCAGCATAACTCTCTGGAGGTACATCCAGGTTGTTGTGTGTGTTATCAGTTAGTTTCTTTGTATTGCTGACTAGCAGCATGGTGGGGATGTACCAGTTTGTTTAACCATTCACCTGGAGGACATCTGGGTTGTTTCCAGTTATTGGACATTTTACATAAAGCTAATATAAACATTCATGGACAGGTATTTTTAAGAACAAAAGTTTTCATTTCTTTGGAATAAATGCCCAGGAGTTCAATTGCTGGGTAGTATGATAGTTACACGTTAGTTTTTAAAGAAACTTGAACTACTTTCCAAACTGGCTGTACCTTTTACATTCCCACCATCATATAAGAGGGATCCAGTTTCTCCTCATCCTCTTCAGAATTTAGTGATGCCGCTATGCACTATTTTATGTTAGCCTTCTGGTAGGTGTGTAGTAATATCTTAGTGTGGTTTTAATTTGCATTTCCCTAGTGGCTAATGATGTTGAATATCTTTTCATGTGCCTGTCTTTTGCTAATTTTATAATTAGACTTTTTGTACTCTTGAGTTTTACGTATATATATAATCTTCTAAAACTAGTCCTTTCTTGGATATGTTATTTGCAAATATTTTCTCCTAGTCTGTAGTTTGTCTTTCATCCTCACAAAAAGGTCTGTAACAGAGTAAAAGTTTTTAATTTTAATGAAGTCCAGTTTATCAATTTTTCCTTTATGGATTATGCTTTCAGTGTCAAGTTTTCAAACTCTTTGCCTAGCCCTAAATCTCAAAGATTTTCTCCTATGTTTTATTCTAAAATTTTTGTAGTTTCACCTTTTACATTTAAATCATGGTCCATTTTGAGTTAGTTTGTGTATAAGGTGTGAGGCTTAGATCAAGATTCTTCTTTTTTTTTTCTACCTGCAGATGTCCAGTTGCGTCTGCACTATTAGTTGATAAAGCTCTCTTTCCTGCATTGAATTGCTCTCATACCTTTGTCAAAAATCAGTTCGACATTGAATAGGCATTTCTCCAAAGAAGATATACAAATGGCTAACAAGCACATGAAAAGATGCTCAACATAGTTATTAGAGAAATGCAAATAAAAACCACAATGAGGTACCACTTTCTCCTAATAACTGAGCCTCAAAATACATAAAGTAAAATTTGATAAGGATAAGTTTGAGGATTAACAATTTTTTTTTTTTTGAGATAGAATTTTGCTTTGTTGCCCAAGCTGGAGTGCAGTGGCATGATCTCAGCTCACTGCAACCTCTACCTCCTGGGTTCAAACGATTCTGCTGCCTCAGCCTCCTCAGTAGCTGGGATTACAAGCAGCTGCCACCATGCCCGGCTAATTTTGTATTTTTAATAGAGATGTGGTTTCACCATATTGTCCAGGCTGGTCTTGAACTGACCTCAGGTGATCCGCTCGCCTCAGCCTCCCAAAGTGTTGGAATTACAGGCGTGAGCCACCGCGCCCTGCCTTGTGTGCGTCTGTTTCTGAGTTCTCTACTCTCTTCAGTTGATCTCTATGCCTACCCCTCTGTCTATACCACATAGTCTTGACTACTATAGCTATATAATACGTCTTGAAATAAGGTAAATTAATTCCTCTTACTTTATTCTTGTTTTTCAAAATCATTTTAGCTATACTGTTTCCTTTGTCTTCCCATATAAATTTTAGAATTATCTTGTATATATTTGCCCCCTGACCCAAAGAAAACTTACTAAGCTTTACATAGGGATTATATTAAAGCTGTATATCAAAATTGGGATATCTTTACTATGCTGTCTTCCAATCCATGAACATGATATGTTTCTCCATTTATTTAGATCTTGTTTTATTTTTATTTATTTAATTAATTTATTTATTGAGACAGGATCTCCTTCAGTCAACCAGCCTTGAGTGCAGTGGCACAATTACGGCTCACTGCAGCCTCAACCTTCTGGGCTCCCACCTCAGCCTTCCAAGTAGCTGGGACTACAGGCATGCACCACCACACCTGGCTAATTTTTAAATTTTCTGTAGAGATGGGGTTTCACCATGTTGCCCAGGCTGGTCTTGAACTCCTAAGCTCAAGCAATTCACCTTCCTTGGCCTCCCAAAGTGCAGGGATTACAGGCAAGAGCCACTGTGCTGGGCCCAGATCTTGATTTTTTTTTTAATCAGCGTTTTCTAGTTTTCACTATGCAAGTCCTATACATGTTTTGTTAGATATTTTCACTGGGTCTAGCATTCTAGATGGACAGTTCTTTATTTTCATCACATAAAAAATAATGTGCCACTTCCTATTACCTTTCTTCTAGCTAGCATGGTTTCTGATGAAAAATATGCTGACATAGTTCGAGTACCCCTTAACTGAAATTCTTGGGACCAGAAGTGTTTCCAATTTCAGATTCTTTTAGATTTTGGAATATCTGCATATACAGAATGATATATCTTGGGGATGGGACTCAAGTCTAAACATGAAATTCATTTATGTTGCATATACACCTTATACACATAGCCTGAAGTTAACTTTATTTTCCCCTTGGGGATGCTGAATAAACTGTGTTTGGTGTGCCTGCATTTTGACTGCAACCTGTCACATGACATCAGGTGTGTCATTTTCCATTTGTGGCATCATGTTAGTACTCAAGAAGTTTCAGATTTTAGGCTGGGCACAGTGGCTTATGCCTGTAGTCCCAGCACTTTGGGAGGCCGCGGCAGATGGATCACCTGAGGTCAAGAGTTCGAGACCAGCCTGGCCAACATGGTGAAATCCCGTCTCTACTAAAAATACAAAAAAAAATTAGCCAGGTATGGTGGTGGGCGTCTATAATCCCAGCTACTTGGGAGGCTGAGGCAGGAGAATCGCTTGAACCAGGGAAGTGGAGGTTGCAGTGAGCCAAGATCCCACCACTGCACGCCAGCCTTGGTGACAGAGCAAGACTCCATCCCCCCCCAAAAAAAAAAAGTTTCAGATTTTAAAGCATTTCAGATTTTGAATTTTCTTATTTTTATTTTTTGAAACTGGGTCTTTCTCTGTCACCCAAGCTGGAGTGCAATGGTGCGATCATAGCTCACTGTAACCTCAAACTCCTGGGCTAAAGTGATCCTCCCTCCTCAGCCTCCTGAATAGCTGAGACTACAAGCACCACCATGCCTGACTAAATTTTAAATTTTTTGTAGAGACAGGGTATCACTATGTTGTCCAGGCTAGTCTTGAACTCCTGGCCTCAAGTAATCCCCCCAGCTCTGCCTCCCAAAGCACTGGAATTACAGGCATGAGCCACCACACGCTGCCCAGATTTTGGATATTCTAATTAGGTATGCCCTGTATGCTAATTGTTTTTCTCCTATAGGTAAGGTGTGGTTTTTCTCTGACTGCTTTTAAGACTTTTCCCTTGTATTTAGTTTTCAGAAGTTTGATTATGATGTGTCTTAACATGGATTTCTTTCTGCTTATCTTGTTTGGGGTATGCTTAGCTTCTTGAATTCATAGGTTTATGTCTCTTGGAAATTTGGGAAGTTTCCAGCCATTATTTATTTGAGTACTTTTTCAGTCCTGCCCTCTTTCTCTCCCTCTAATACTCCAGTAACATGAATCTTTTGTTATAGGCCAGGCTTGCTGGCTCACACCTGTAATCCCAGCACTTTGAGAGGTCAAGGGAGTTTCAGACCAGCATAGCAACATAGCAAGACCTCATCTCTAAAAAAACAAAAATAATAATAATAATAATAATTCTAAAATGTCAGCCACCTTAGTATTGGCATCTACATATTGTCATTTTTCATTTAGTTTACAATCTTCCTGGTTCTTGGTATGATGAGTGATTTATTGAAACCTGGACATTTTTTTAATAATGTCATAAGACTCTAGATCTTATTTGTAATCTTCTGTTTTACCTAGCTTTTACTGGCATTGCTCTGCCAGGGGAAGTAGGGATACCACCTCATAATGTCTGATGGAAGTAGAAGTCCAGGCTTCCCACTTGCCTTCCTGTGATACCCAAAGGCCGGGAACTTCTTGACTCTATTTTGAGGAAACATAGTGTACATAGTTGATCAAACGTGAATTACTGTTGATTTTCATGACAGAATAGCCGCTTAAAAGAAGAACAGATTTGGCACATACGGCATCTACTAAAGGAACTGAGTGAAGAGAAGGCAGAGGGATTGCCAGTTGTAACAAGAGAGGATGTTGAAGAAGCGATGAAGGAAAAATGGAAGTTTGAAAGAGACCAGGAAAAAAACTTGAGAGGTGATTTAGGAACATAGAAAACTATCATAGAGTTGTGCCAAGTTATTTCTTGAATATATTAATGCTTTATTCTTCCAATATGTTCAAAATGCTGTTAAGTGTATTTTAAACGGCATCATTACCACCGCAGCCACAAACACATGTAGGTAAATGGGCAGGAGAGGGAAATAATAAAGTGGGTAGAGGTAATGAAGCCAAGCAAGGAGGTGGAAGAAGGGTAGTGATCAGAAACAGATGAAATTTATCTGACTGTTTTTTTTGGGATAGGGTGTAGTTCAGTCACCCAGGCTGGAGTGCAGTGGTGCGATCTCAGCTTACTGCAATCTTAACCTCCTGGGCTCATGCAGTCCTCCCACCTCAGCCTCCCAAGTAGCTGGGACTCCAGGTGCACACCACTATGCCTGAGAATTTTGTTCCTTTTTTGTAGAGATGAGGTCTTGCTATGTTGCCCAGGCTGGTCTCGAACTCCTGGGCTCAAGGGATAGTCCCACCTCAGTCTCCCAAAGTTCTGGGATTACAGGCGTGAGCCACCATGCCCAGCCTCATCTGACTCTTACAACAGGACAGTATCTTGTTAAACACCATTACTCATAGTAGGGTTTTGTTCTTTTTCTTTTTTTTCTTTTTTTTTTTAATTCTGTTGTTTGGTGGTTTCATTGACTTCAGCTTCAGCTTAGATTTGGGAATGATAAGGCAAATAAAACCATGAAAAATGTTTCTCCCAATATCTCTAAGGGAGCCAAGCACCCCATTAGATGGAGGAAATAGGGATTAGCGTTGGGAAAGGGGAAGTTTGGAGAACATGGGTAGTAATGACACTAGGTGCAGGCAATGAAAGACCCAGGGCATACTCTTGCTGTAGGCTTAGGAAATACCATGGTACTGAGGGTAAATCATGCAGTTCTGACATACACATTTTGAAATTCCTATTCTTTCATTCTAAACTTGCTGCTAAGATTTCTAGGACCACTTTTGCCAAAACCTCCATAAATAACATCCCTGCTAGGAAGCTGGAAAACATGAGAAAGAGACCTAAGTGCTATCATTTGTTAGCCCTTAGGAAATCCACGTATTTCTGGATTTCTCCAAGTGCCTACTTAGCTGAGCACTTTGCACACAGCAGGCTCTCCACTCAATAGATATTTGCTGTTTTGAGTGAAATCGTTTCCAAGACCAAACATCAATAGGCAAGTTTCATTTTTAGGGGAGTCCAAAACTGTTCCCATAGACCTCCTCCTACCCAAGTCTCTTCATTGGCAATAGGGATGTCATGACATGGTAGATAGTATATTTTGCATGACTTCTTTCCAAAAGAGTTCTGCTTATATTTGGAAGGAATACTTTAGTAAGTCCCTTGAGATGGAGTGAGACCCCAAAGGATGCTCAGCTGTGCTCGCTAAACTGCCTTCTAAAGGAATGGGCCCAGTTAGTTGAGATGCGCCTGTTGATGGTTTGGGCTGAGCATGGGGATGTGTCATACAAGACTGGGCCACACGGCATGACTGAGCACAATAGAGGAGGACTGGACATGCATGGGAAGAAAGGAAGCTCACAGACATGGAGGAAGAGAGGGAAAGTAAGAGAACAGAAGTGTCTGGAAAACATTTCCGAGGTAGTCACTTTATGTCCCAGGTAGTCCCTTGCAACTCATTTTGGTGTGGAGCAGCAGCAAGTGCTTCACCTATCAGCTTGTTACAATGCCAATTCCCAGGCCCCACCCAGACCTACTGAATCAGAATCCGCATTCTGACAAGATCCCAGGGGATTCCTATGCACAGTAAGGTTTGAGAAATACTGCTGCAACCCTTTTCATCCAACTTTTAGTAAGGACTCTTTCAGTTGCAAGGATAAAAAATCCAAGTCAAACTAGCCTAAGCATAAAGGGGATGTTAGTCTTTTCACATCACTTAACACAGAAAGACAGAGTGCTTCTGACCTGGATACAAGGCTTCACATGCTGTCAGATCTCAGCTTAAACAAACAAACAAAAATCTCTGGGGCGTATGTGTTACTAGAAGGGAAGGGAAGAAGTTCTAAGAAAGTAGAAAAACAGCCACTACATCCATCTCCCTTTTACAATCTTCAGTGACATCTACCAACCCTCCCCTCAAAGGCCAAATGGGGCACTGGCCTGAGACAGTAGCAGTCTGCTCGAATGAGAGAACAACTACCCATCTGGCTTATAGTAGTACTGATAATTGTTTAATGAAAATAACCACCATTTGTTAAGAGATTTTAAATATAGTATCTTGTGGCCAGGCATGGTGACTCATACCTGTAATCCTAGCACTTTGGGATGCCAAGGCGGGCAGATTGCCTGAGGTCAGGAGTTCGAGACCAGCCTGGCCAACATAGTGAATGAAACCCTGTCTCTACTAAAAATACAAAATTAGCCGGACGTGGTGGTGGGTGCCTGTGATCTCAGCTACTTGGGAGACTGAGGCAGGAGAATCACTTGAACCTGGGAGGTGGAGGTTGCAGTGAGCCGAGATCGCGCCACTGCTCTCCAGTCTGAGTGACAGAGCAAAACTCCATCTCAAAAAAAAAAAATTAGTATCTTGTGTACATCTTTGGAAAAAGATGAGTCCTGAGTCCTTCTGGACCTCTGGACTGAAGAATATCACCCTGGCCTGATTGAAATGCTTCAGTCATTCAACAGACATTTATTGAGCGCCAACTAATTGCCAGGCTCTGTGCTAAGTGCTGGATTTACAGAGATGAATATAATGTAGTCTTTCCTTCAAAGAACTCTCAAACAAGGTGATATATGGTGATGAGATAAACAGCCATTAAGTTTGTTGTACTTGACTCTTTTGTAATGCTTCTTTTTCAAAAATATTCAGCAACATGATATTCGGCCTAAAGATTGAATAGAATATCATGTTTAGCAAACAAAGTTTATATCCCTGAAATAGTTCAGTATTTGTACACATTTAACTGGGGAACTTGCCCATCACTCTGGTTTTACCAAAGGGGGGTGGGAAAAGACATGTTATTATGACTATCAGAGGCTATCATTTCATACAAGAGAAATCCAAATAAATGAACTTTAGATGACTGAATCAAACAATTTACTTACAAAAATGGTTGCCAAGGACCTGGGAAGGACACAAGTTGAAATCACTTTTGCTCAGAGGGTATAATGGCCAGAAAAATGACAATTTCCTAATAAAGAATACATATTATACATATTATATGATACACTGTACAAAATAGGACCCTTATCAGGAATGATGTAAACTTGCAGCTTCCTAGGCATATGGGTTGTCTATTACGTCTTTCAATCAACCCTCAAACCACACATCTACTTTGTAGTCAGAAGTTTAATTTTGCTTAGATTTTGAATCAGGGGAGATAGATAAACAACAGTTTGAATAGTTTAGAATTTCCTAAATTTTAGATATAAAATAGTATTTATGAGTTAACAGTATTTTAATATCAGATCTTAACTTCTTAAAACCAGATTGCAACATATAATGGTTACAAGGAAAACAGAAATGACACAGTGTCTTTATTTTCAACAGATATGCGCATGCAAATAAGTAATGCTGAGAAACTATTTCTTGAGAAACTCAGTGAAAAGGAATATTGGGAGGAGTACAAGAATGTAGGGAGTGAACGACATGCTAAACTCATTACCTCCTTACAAAATGACATCAACACAGTTAAAGAGAATGCAGAGAAAATGTCAGGTCAGTTGCAACAAAACTAGTTCAAGTTCAGTAAAAAACATCTTTAGTAGGGCATACATTGATGGAAGAAAAAAGTGCATACTCCCTGAATCATTCATTACTCTGCTGTCAGCACAAGCAGCTGTGAGCCTAAGGGTAAAGGTGGAGGGAGGAAGCAGAAAAATGATCCCAGGACCACCTGTGAAACTGAGAAGGGGAAATAAAGAAATGGGCGGGTGGGGGGCAGTGTGCAGAAGCCCTGTGACCAAGTGACTTTAAGAAAGACGCTTCTGGCTGGATGCGGTGGCTCATGCCTGTAATCTCAACAGCCTGAGGCTGGAGGATCGCTTGAGCCAAGAAGTTTGAGACCAGCCTGGGCAACACAGTGAGACCATATCTCTACAAAAAATTAAAAAATCAGTTGGGCATGGTGGCTCATGCCTGTAGCCCCAGCTACTTGAGAGGCTGAGGTGGGAGGATCAGTTGAGCCCCGTGGTCAAGGCTGCAGGGAGCTGTGATTGTGCCACTGCATTCCAGCCTGGGTGACAGAGCAGACCTTGTCTCAAAAAAAAGAAGAAAGAATCTTCATTCAATGGATGGGGTCTGTATGTTTCCACACTGGGACAGAAGCAATTCCACCAAGATAGGAGTGTCCTGAGGCCAGGTTATATTAGAAAGAGAATTCACCTGGGGCAAGCTAAGTCAGCTTAGCCAGGCTGGATAGCCAGAATCATCATGGAGAAACGTCAAAGTCAATTAAGTTGTAACCAGGGAAAAACTGGGGAACAAACATGAGATGAGAAGTGGAGAGGCTATAGAGTAGGATGCCGTCAGGAGCAATGAAGCTTACCAGGACTAGATCTGGACACGATGAGGGCCAGCTGTCTGTTACTGAGGCAAGCATAGCAGCTTAAAAGAACACCAGAGACCCAGACACAGAAGAATCATAGGACAGAATTAATGGGGGAAATCTGGCCCAAAAGAGTTGCTGTGGGTGGACAACAGTCCAGGACTCAGCTGGAGATAGTGCCCTGCGTTGTGGAGGGGTTCCTGTGGGTGGTTCCCATGTCCCCCTATCAGGGCTCTCTGCTTGTGGACCAATTTGTATGTAAGTTTCTCAGCTTAGGGCCTCTGCACCACAGTGGTGGTGTAAACTTGGCCCCATATCAGTCTGGGCATGAAGTTCCAATTTGTCAAAAGGTTCTTCTTCTGAAAAGAGAACAAGAGTGCCAGCCTGCTACTCCCTCTGTCCGCACTCAAATCCTCTCCCACTACTACCAGTTTCTTATTTAGCAGTCAGAAATATTCTATGCATATATATATATATATATCACAAATAGCATGCTATAAATATGATGTCTTACTTGCTTTTCATGTAACAACATGAACATCCTTCTAAATCAGTATATCTTAATACTGCCTCATTCTTCCAGTGGTTGCATGGTTTTATTGTACCTTTTTTTTTTTTTTTTTCGAGACACGGTCTCACTCTGTCACCCAAGATGAAGTGCAATTGCATGAACACAGCTCACTGCAGCCTCAACCTCCCAGGCTCAAACAATCCTCCCATCTCAGTCTCCTGAGTAGCTGGGACAGCAGGTATGTGCCACCATACCTAGCTAATTTTATTTATTTTTTGTAGAGGTCTCACTGTGTTTCCCAGGCTGGTAACCATAATTTTTTGACCAGTTTCTTACACATAAGCATTAAGGTTGTTTCTAGTGTTTTAGTATTACAAATAATGCTGCAATGACTATCCTTACACATGTCTCATTTTCCTATGACAAATATTCTTGTATTTATGTCATTTCACTTATGTGTATCTCTGAAAGAAATGGTTGTGTGAAACAGACTATTTTACTGTGATAAATGTGGCCCTCCATAAAGGTTGTACCAAGTGGTACTTCTAACAGTATGCATGAGGATACCTATTTTCCCACATCTTCAGCAACAGGGGGTGGTATCCAAATTTTTGTTCTTTGTCAGTCTTATGGGTCGAAAATGGTATCTCATTGTAGTTTTAATTTCCATTTCTTTTATTAAAAGTGACACTGAATGTGTCTTTTCATAACTTCAAGAGCTATATGAATTTCCTTTTCCATAAACCATCTGTTCATATCTGTCACCCATTTTTCTAATGTGTTGTGGCACTCTTTACATTTTAAAAAAATTAGCTCTTTAACTGTGATATAAATTGCAAATATTTTTCCCATTTGTCATTAGTTTTTTTGTTTGTGGGTTTTTTAATGAAGAAATGATGTGCTTTTAAAGTGCCCAACTTATCAGTCTTTGATTTTACGTTTATGAGATTATGAATGAATTCTCCAATATTTTATTCTAAAATTTTTATGGTTTTGTTTTTATATTTAAGTCTTTGTTTTTGTGTGAGAGAGTGATCCAACTTTATTTTTTTACCAAATGGTTTTCCAGTTGTTCCAACATCATTTATCATCAATTTTTATCCTACTGATTTGAAGTGCTAACTTTATTATACTTTTATTTCTCATATATATCTGAATCTTATTCTCTACTATCTATTCTGATTCACTGATCTGCCTATGCATTTGTTAACCAGTAGAATACTTTTTAAAAAGTTATTGTTCTGGTACATTTTCAAAATTTCAAATATTTTAGCCAGTATTTATTTCACATTTTTAAAGTAGGAAAAGTGATCTTCTCATATAAACTTAACCCATTATCTTGATCAGAAGTTTGGATGATTGGGCCAGGCGTGGTGTCTCACGCCTGTAATACCAGCATTTTGGGGGGTCCACGGTGGATGGGTCACCTGAGCTCAGGGGTTCGAGACAAGCCTGAGCAACAGGGTGAAACCCCATCTCTACCAAAAATACAAAAGTTAGCTGGGTGTGGTGCCGCACACCTGCAGTTCCAGCTCCTGTGAGGCTTAGGTGGGAGGACGACCTGAGCCTAGTAGGCAGAGGTTGCAGTGAGCTAAGATTGCACCACTGCACTGTAGTCTAGGTGACAGAGAGAGACCTTGTCTTAAATTAATGAATTATTAACTAGGATGATTTCTTTGACTTAAAAATTTTCATGTGGTTGTATTCAACTTTGGGGTGGTAAAAACATTTATATATTGAATTACTTGCTGGTCAAGCCATGGGGCGCAGCCATAAGAAAATGGTTGTTATGGGCTTGTGTTATTTTCCATTAGTTTTAGGGACTTGTCTTAACCATCCAGGTAGCAGCAGCCACTCCACCAGGGGAACTATTAGAACATGTTGGGGACCACTAACTGGACACAATGAATATGAGCAAGACTCCTAAATCAATCTATCTGAAGGCTTACTACCATCATCCCCTCTTTTTCTCCTACCTTCTACACAGGCTGCCTTCTTTCATGATTTTCCTGGAATTCTCCTCCAATGATTATGGGGTTTGCGTTAGTTAGGCTGCTTTACATGCAAGGAAGAGAGATCAAGTCAGGCTATTGTTGTGGGCTGGGAGGTTGCTGTAAGTGAAAGAGGATATTAAAACTTTTTAAAGTCTCAGTTTACGCTGAGGTGGCAAAATGAGATGAGATACCACCACATAGATTTGCAATTTGATGAAGAAGAAAACCAGTTTCGCACCTTTGATCATCGAATTCCAGTCTATACAAGAAGTTAGAGAGGCCAGGAAAAGGTTGTTAGAAATTAGGGGACAACTTTTGGAAAGAGCTTTTGGTGTGCTATCAGTCCTACTCTTTCCCCCACCGAGGAGCAGGTAAAAGGTAATTCCTCCTCCATCTCAAATCTGGGTGAAAGGTCTTCAGAGAGATTTCTCAGATGGTTCAGTATGTGTCCCCTGCAGTCTGGGCATTCAGGTCTAGTTTATGACTCATCCCTGAGAAATCTAGGGAGTAAGTGGCTGAGGAGCTAACCGCACTGACAGCAGAACACAGAAGAGGTGGCTGCTGCCCTGGGCTGGGCCTGCACTCCCGAGTTTGTCAGGGCAAAGAATGGAGGAGTGTTTCTTGTCAACTTGTTATGAGAGAGAGTTGGGGAACAGTCATGTGAAATCTTGCTGGAGACAGCTGACTAGGGTGTTGGGGGCCGGTGATAGGTCCCCAACAGAAAAACAGGGATTTTGTATGTGTGGGAGGGGAGTGCAGAATTGAAAACCAGGGACCAACAGAAAAGTTGTTACCAACTTCTAAGGACAGTACTTGCCCTGGATCAAGGGAATGCAGATGAAATCCCATTTGAAATGGGGAAGCTTGTCCTCCAAAGAACCTACTAAAACACTCCCATGAGACAATGTGTCAGCCTTAAATGCCAGCTAGGTCCAGAAAGTAGACATGAGCTTGAGACAGTATCAGTCAAGTGAGAGCTTTCTTACCGTTTTCCATGTTTCCCTCTTCCCTTCAGCACTGAGAGAGGAATCATGGAAGCTCAAGGCAAAGAAAATGGCAGCAGGCCCAAGTTAGGAAAGGGGATTGGCATAACTTTGAAAGAAGTTTAAATTGTTGCAATATTCTGAACATACTAATTACTCATTGGAGGACCTTTTGTTACCACAAAGAAACCAGAAGTCATAGGATTTACCATATATTTTATTGAGCAGAAGTCAATAGCCTCACAGTATGAGTTTTAAAGGAAAGAGACAAAAATTAAGTTGCTTGACTCCCCAAGAGTAATGCTTGTTGGGTGTAACACAAATGAGGAAAGGGAAGACTGAAGACAGAATGATATCAGCGGTGGTTCTAGGCATGGCTCCTCCCCACATTTCTCTCCCCTGATCTGTGACTGTCCCTCTCATTGGCACCTCTGCTTTGCTCTGCATACCTGTCCCCCTTCTCTTCTACTTCCCACAGAACAGTCCTTGCAGTATTCTCCAGCCCATTTCTAAAGACATCTGGTGCCATCATGCACCTTATCAAACATGACCAATGGCCTTTGTCCATACCACCTCATGGGTCACCAGTCAGCCCCAGCACAAACTGTTCCTCGGTCACCTGCCTTACTCAGCAGCCTCTGCTGAAACCCAGGGGGCGAGGAGGAGAAAACACTTAGAGCTGCTTCCCTGAACTTTAGCTAGAATGGGATATTGGGATACTAGTATAGAAAACAGTCACTAACATATCCAGGCCAAGGTTACTTCTCCTCAATAAAAGGAAAAGGAACCTTAGAATAAGCCCAGGAATGAGAAGGTGAGGGGTTATTACAAGTCATTAGATAATTACAGTCACAGAGCATTTTTATTTTTGTCCTTTACTGGGGCACAGGACAGGGATTCTTAAAAGTTCTTTGTACACTAACAGTGAATTTTTTTAAATTAGGTTCAAGACTCCGTACAAAAAAGTAACATTGTTTCTTTGAATGTTAATTTTCTTGCCTATAAAATCAGAGTCCCTAGGTGATCTCCAAGAGGACTCACATTTCCAGCATTTGCTTTTCCATGTCTTGTCTAATCCTTACAAGTTCCTTTGAGTTAGATATAATTAGGCCAGTTTAAAGATAAGAAAACAGGCCCAGGGAAGTTAATTGCCCTAACCAAAGTCACAATGCTAGTAACAAATGGAACAGGGATTTGAACCTAGGTGTGTTAGGCCCCAAATCCATCTGCTTCAAATAGTCCCCCTGAATCTGTGATTCAGTGAGTTGGGGCGGCTCTAAAAAGATTACTACCTGGCCAGTGTTTCTGCTAGCTCCTGTTCAGTTTTCTGCAAAAGGGACTAAGAAGAGGCCACTGCCACAGGAGAGGGTCAACACAATGGAGCTATGTGACCCCAGAAGTCAGAGAAGAGTATATAATAAAGCTCTCAACAGGCCAGGAGGAGTGAACCAAAGCAGAGCCAGACACAGCAGGGAAGGTGGAACAGTGCAAAGCAAACTTTAGCCAGTGCAGTGTGGGGTCAGCTTCTGGGAAGGGACGCCATTAGATGGGGTGTCTGAGAAGCAAGGAGTCTTCTGCACAGTCCTAATCTGCCAAGCTCCCCCTTGCAGTGTTTCGAGCTTTTACGAGGAGACTTTTACATGCCCCACTTTCTTTGGCTGCATTCACCAATAAATGGTTAATTGTTACCAGAAGCATCATCTGAATCACAGAGGCTAACAATGAGATTCTCACATTCACCCTTGTCCTGGGTACTGTGTTTTTAAGAAGAAAAACGGTCCATACACTTTTATATGGAAGTTGGAAGAGAATAGATTGTGAATATTGCTTTTTCAGTATTAATAAGGCAATAGAGAAAGCTACATCTTTAGTCAGAGTGTATTTGATAATCTATTTTTAAATTATTTATAGCAAAGAATTAATACTTCATGTTATCAAGCTCCAGGTTTTATGGTTTCTTTTAGATGCTAAGAATGTAAAATCCATTATGCTCCTGATCCATTGCAACTTTTAGATTGATTATTGTGTTTTGTTGGGTAGAAGTTCAAATAAATAACCAACATTAAGCTGATGGGCTAGGGTAAATTGAAAAAAGAAATTCCATCAGAAATTAGTTTGGAAGGATTAAAATATTCATGAGATTAGTTCAAATAAGTAAGAAAAACGCAGGCTGTATAAACAGGAATATGTAGGTTGGAATAATAAAGGCTTCCACTTCTTATTCTCTAGATGTCAAATTAGACTAACTCCAAAAACCTAATGAATTCTTGCTTATGAACTACTGCCTCACTCTAGTCCATCTCTATTAGAGGCAGAAACTGCCCTCTCCTGACCACCTTTTCTGGCCACCCCACAAGTTAGGAGAACTCTCCCTTTCTCTCTCTCTCTACTCCCTCTTCCCCTTCCCACCCAAGCTGCCAGAGAAGGGGAAGAGCCAATATTTGCTTTCTGGTGCTGAAGCCTCAGATCACTGCCCACCAAAGACTTGCAGTTTGCCAAATTTGATTTTCTTCAAAATATTTTTTGGCACGTATTGTGTCCCAGGGATACAGTAATGAAAAGATATGGAAGAGAAGTTTTTACTTTCTGCTCTCAGCGTTTTCATCTAATGGGAGAAACAGTTATGCTAGTACAAAGTATAGACGAGGGCTGAATAACTCTTGCCCAGCTCTCTGGCCTGAGTTCTGGTGGTAGCTGCCTTAGCTGGGCTCCTGGTCAATTGAAAGACCAGACCTGCAGATCTCCTTCCCTACAGCATAAAATCCCTGAGGGTTCTGCTTTGGCTGACTTGGTCTGTGAAGAAAATTTTCCCTTTGAAACAACGCCCTAAGTCAGGGGTTCCCCAACCCCCAAGGCCACAGGCCAAGATTAGTCTGTGGCCTGTTAAGAACCGGGCCACACAGCAGGAGGTGAACAGTGGAGAAGCAAGTGAATCTTTGTCTGTATTTACAGCGGCTCTCCATCACTTGCATTACCGTCTGAGCTCCGCCTCCTGTCAGATCAGCAGAAACCTTAGATTCTTTTAGGAGCGCAAACCCTATTGTGAACTGCACATGTGAGGGATCTAGGCTGCATGCTCCTTATAAGAATCTAATGACTAATGATCTGTCACTGTCTCCCATCACCCCCAGATGGGACCATCTATAACCAAGAAAACATATCACAAGGACAGGGTTTTTTTCTGTCTTAACCAGCAATATTTGCAGTGTCTTACATACTGTTTGGCATACAGAAAGAGCTTGATAGTTACTTGTTGAAAAAAGGAATGAACAAATTGGACTCACTTGTCCAGCTTTCTTATAATGTAGAATCAGGGCTCCCACTGATTCTACATTATAGTGAGTTGTATAATTATTTCATTATATATTACAATGTAATAATAATAGAAATAAAGTGCATATGTAATGCACTTGAATCATCCCAAAACCATCCCCCTCTGCCACCCAGTCTGGGGAAAAATTGTCTTCCAGGAAAACAGTTCCTCATGCAGAAAATGTTGGGGACCGCTATCCTAAATGGAAATAAGGTTCTATAGTACTGTTAGTACAATACTGTTGTTTAGCTGTAGAATAAGTTAAGTGAGCCTCTGGACCTGCCCAGAAATCTAGCAGCCACGATTTTCAACATCATTTGTATGGGAAAATACTTTCTGAATTCCAAACAATTGCCCTGCCTATGTTACATAAATAAAGCACAACTAATGGGAACATATAACACAGAAGTAATAAAACACAACTAACTTTGATTATTCTCAGATTAACTCGTTTGGAGTAGTACAGGTTCCTCATTTTTCACATTGCTGACTACCTGACTCAGTCCCTGAATGTTACCTCCTCAAAAAAAGCTTTCTCTGATCACCCGATCTAAAATTGAGAATTTTAGTTTTTCTTCCTCATACACATCACCACCTGAAATATTATTTATTTACCTGCTTACTTATTTATGATCTGGCTTCCCCATTAGAATGTACATATCACAAGGACGGGTTTTTTTTCTGTCTTAACCAGCAATATTTGCAGTGTCTTACATACTGTTTGGCATACAGAAAGAGCTTGATAGTTACTTGTTGAAAAAAGGAATGAACAAATTGGACTCATTTGTCCAGCTTTCTTATTCTCCACTCTTTAAAGCAGCCTTGCTGTCACAGTGTCTCATAGTCCTTAAGAAGGGATATTGATTTCATGATCTCTAAGCATCTTTCAAGGCCTAAAATTTTATGATTCTTTGCTCTCTCAATAATGACATTTGTGAGCATATGAAAATCTTGAGAGGACAGAGAATCCTGTGCTTCATTTCTGTCTGTATTTCTCACCTGAGCCTAACTTATAACCAGGTCTATCAACTTTCTGAGCCCCCTTAATCCCTCTCTACTCTCCTCTCCTCGTTCTGTCTTTCCTGGCCCAGGAAACATATGCCAAGAATAGTGGAAATCTAGTTAGATGAAGTCAGACAGAATGCTACCCGAACAGATAATAAAGTCTTCATACTTCTGTTGTGGAGTAGTAAGTTGTGTGATATGAAGAGTAGACTGCCACACATAGTTTTACCTAGAATCATGCTTGATAAGGCTTTTAATTTTCTTTTTTTTTTTTTTTTTTTTTTTTAAAGAACACTATAAAATCACTCTGGAAGATACTAGAAAGAAAATAATCAAGGAAACTTTGTTGCAACTGGACCAAAAGAAGGAATGGGCCACACAGGTATAATTCAATTTTCTTAAAAACAGAACAAAACAAACATTTTCCCCCTATTTTTTCTTTGGGTATATTATAGTGGTTAAGAACTTTGGATAGATTCTCAGATTTGGGATGCTCAACCTGTAATAATGGCTGTAACATAATATTAAAAGTTTTGAACGATTTATAAAATGAAATATAATTTGTCTAAAAAATACTTTATTTTATATCCAAACCTAAGAACGTGGATTCTGAAGTTAGACAGTTTGAGTTTAAATCACAGTTCTACACTTACTGGCTGTATAATGAATTTGTTACTTAGCTTTTCTGGGCTTCTGTTTCCTAACCTATAAAATGGAGAATAATACCAGTATTTACCTTAAAGAAATAGTGTGAGGGTTAAATGAGATGATTTAAGTACTATAATCTCTCACAAGAAGCAACAGCTCAGTGAATTTTTTCTTTTTTTTTGAGGCAGGATCTTGCTCTGTCGCCCAGGCTGGAGTGCAGCGGCACAATCACAGCTCACTGCAGTCTTCACCTTTTGGGCTCAAGCAATCCTCTCACGTCAGCCTCCTGAGTAGCTGGGACTACAGGCATGTGCCACCACTCTTGGCTAATCAGTGAATTATTAATCAGTTATTTTTTTAAGTATAAGAAATATACGTTGAGTATCCCTTATCTGACACATGTTTCAGATTTTGGATTTTTTCAGATTCCGGAATATTTGTATTATACCAGTTGAGCATCTCAAATCCCCAAATCCAAAATCCAAAGAAGTCTGGCCTGGGTGCAGTGGCACACTCCTGCAATCCCAGCACTTTGAGAGGCCAAGGCGGGTGGATTGCTTGAACTCAGGAGTTTGAGATCAAGCTTGGGCAACAGGGCAAAACCCTGTCTCAGCTAGTCCCAGCTCAGTAGTGCCAGCTACTTGGGGCACTGAGGTGGAAGGATTGCTTGAGCCCAGGAGATCGAGGCTGTAGTGAGCCGTATTTGCGCCACTGCACTCCAGCATGGGCAACAAAGTGAGACCTTGTCTCAAAAAAAAAAAAAAAAAAAAAAAAAAACCAAAAAACTGAAATTCTCCACAATCTGAAATTTTTTGAGAGCCAACTTGATGCTTAAAGGAAATGTTCTTTGGAGCATTTTAGATTTCAGATTCTCAGATTTTGGATGCTCAACCTGTGATAATGGTTGTAACAAAATATTAAAATAAAAGTTTTGAATGAATTATAAAATGAAATATAATTTGTCCAAAAAGTACTTTCTTATATACCCAAACCTAAAAGAGTATATTCTACACTGCTGGCACTTTAAAAATCTGGAATATAAAATATTTTTGAGGCATAATTTTCAATCTTATATGTTCTCTAATTCCTTTGTTTTTACACAAAATATCTGATTTTTTTTTTTTTTTAACAATCTTGACCTCTCTTCAAACTATCTGCAAAATCAGTGAGGTCCCCACTAAGATTGTCTGTTCATCTGGGACATTTCTGTCTCAGAATCATAAACATCTGGTCTTTTTTCAAAAGGTTCCTTACTGAATTTCAGTTGCTGTTATTGGTTGCATCCATGTTGGTTCAGTTGTTCTTTTAGTCTTACTTTCTTATTGCATTATTTTTACTAATTTACACAAATACAGAAGGTTTTGGAAAACTGATCAGCAATTTGTTTGCTCATGCAATTCAGCTACTTTGTAAGTGAATCTGACTCACTCACATGGTGAAATCAACCATTAAGTAATCGGACCATAGTTAGACGATTCAAAGTAGATATATAGGCCAAATAAGCCTATAATTTCAAGCATATATCGTGAGGACTATTCTAAATATTCTTTCAAGCATTACACATTTAAGTCCCTCAGCAACCCAGTAAGCTGTAGAGACTTGCTAATGAGGAGACTGGAGCACAGAGAAGTTTTATGACTTGCCTAGAGCAAGTGGGAGAATCGAGATTCATTTCAGGAGGGCTCCTTCAGATCACTGCTCCTAATCACTAAACTATACATTTTCTTTTCTCCACATAATGTCGAACACTCACATGCTTGAATGAACTTTCCTCATTTTAGCTGGCTATTTTATCATACAGTTCAACATCCTATAATCCCAATGCTGTGCAACCTTAGATGCACATTAGAGTCACCTGAGAAATTTTTTTAACCCAGGTGATGCCTGTATCTCACCCATACAGAAGGCTGATATATTGCCCTGGGATGTTGTGTGGGCTTCTGGATTTTTCAAAGCTTCTAGGAGATTCAAATGTGTAACTAAGGTTGAAATCACTGATCCACTGTTAGTGAATCCAGCCATTAGCCAATTAACTTCAGTTAGGAGCAACTTCTTGCTTTTGTCCACATGAAATTCTATGTTGGAGGAAACTAGAATTATTAGTTGTAACTGGAGTATAAAAATTCCCGGCTCCTAAGAAATATAGGTCCACTTATAATGTAATAAGCATGACTTACAGAAAAATTTTTATGGCAAATCTTTCAACTCTTAAAGACTTTAATAGGGCTGGGCGCGGTGGCTCACACCTGTAATCCCAGCATTTGGGGAGGCCAAGGCGGGTGGATCACTTGAGATCAGGAGTTCGAGACCAGCCTGGCCAACATGGTGAAACCCCATCTTCTACTAAAAATACAAAACTTGGCCAGGCACAGTGGTGGGCGCCTGTAATCCCAGCTACTCAGGAGGCTGAGACAGAAGAATCTCTTGAACCCAGGAGCAGAGGTTGCAGTGAGCCAAGATCACACTATCACACTCCAGCCTGGGTGACAGAGCAAGACTCCATCTCAAAAAAAAAAAAAAGACTTTAACAGATAAATTTACCCTTAACACACTTTTAAATCATTTCTGTCCCTGTTTGTGATCTAGATTATTTTTCTTAATTTTTCTTCTTTTGATCGTGCCCTTCAGTTACTAAATATTGAATTTGTACCATAGTATCCATATAAAAGCATCTCGCAGAGAAATACAGTTGGTTATTCACTATAAAATTCTTTTCAATATCTATGTAATTGAAAATAAATTTATATTTTATGAACCTACTGACAAAGTAAGACTTTTTTGTCTTCTTTGTCTAAAATGCCTTTCTTCAGGAGACTAGCTACAGCCTACCCTGAAACTACTTGCTGTTAGATTTACAAATAAGTACGTTGTTATTACTGACATGCAAAATCTTTTCAAATTAAAAAGATAGTAATCTGTTCATGTTTTTGCTATATGTTGGATTATGTCTGTGACTATAAACTTAAAGAATGTTTGATCACTGCAGTTTAACCATCTGAATTGTGAAACATGATTTCACCATAGCAGTCAGATTCGGTCACAATGGAGGTGAATTGAATGGTCAGTTACACATTGTCCAGTTCTCCAAATCACCTGTAATAGACAGTGTAAAACAGCAAAAGCAATACAATAGGATAGTAAAGAATGAACAACCAAACCAAAAGTTCTTAAGTATGTTCCTAAAGTAATTGCAGACACAATCTAAAATGAATGATCAGAATAACTGCACATCACTATTGCTAAAATTGTGAATCAGCATGTGGCAACTCTTCCTTAATCCAGAAACTTTCTTTTAGAATGCTGTAAAGCTCATTGACAAGGGCAGTTATCTAGAGATCTGGGAGAATGACTGGCTCAAAAAAGAGGTAAGTGGAATTTATCAAAACAAACAATTTCTTCGTTCTCATTTTTTTAAGTGGAAATGACTTTTAATTATGAACTGAAGTCATGGGAAAAGCATGGTACCATGACTGACTGAGACAAAATAAAATTCAAGTGGAGTCCTCATCTCATTACAAGCTGTTACTCAAAAAATATCATAATCTCAATAATAATCAGAAAAAAATGTTGGGGTTTATAATTCACACAGTAAACTCAAATGTGCAGTTTCTTTATGTCCTAAAACTTGATTTGGTCTTCCTCATGAGCCTGCTTCCTCCTGGGTGATGGGGCAAGTCTAAAGGACCATTCTAAGCTGATTCTCTGCTGGGTTAAATTGTCTCTTTTGAATGACATGTTCTCCTTTGGTCTGTACCACTGACATTTGAACCAGATAATTCTTTGTTGTGAGGTACTGTACTGTTTTCTCTAGATTGTACATGCTGGTCCTCTGGTCTTACTTCCATATCTCCTTATCCTCATCTGTCTAGAAAACTCCAACTCACCCTCAGGCTTGGACTTTGATTATCAATTTCTTTGTGAATCATTTTGTAATCTCTCCAGGAAATCTTGGGAGCTCCTTCCCCAGTGTTTTCTTGTTTTATTGTAATTCTTGCTGAAAGATGTTGAAATTGTCTATTTATGCATCTGTCTCATTAATACACAGAGCAGGCTATATCTTTTCAACTATATTTCCATGGCACCTGATAAATAATCTGTGCTTATTAGTTATTGAATGACTGAATGTCAATGAATATAGATATATTCATTGAAGGGATTAATCAAATAAATAGCTTAGATCATAGGTTAAAACCTTTGTGAATTGTTTATTGTAGTTCAAGATGGTAGGCTGCATCCTACCTCTCCTGAGGGCTCGCTGAAATAAAATTATAAAAATTATAAAAATACAAAAAGAACTCATCCACAAAGAGAACAAGAGGAGTTAACTAGCAGGTGAGATTTCAGAAATCTTCTGAAAGACAAAAAGTAGATGTGAGAGTATGTTGTTGGATGAAACGAGAAGGTATTGCTTGGGCCAGACGTTACAAGAGAACTACAGAGGATGTGCAAAACTCAATGTTTTTGGAATCCTGGGAGATTCTCTGCTCAGAGTCTGTGTGTGCTATAGATGGTGGGAATGGGAACTGGAGCAGAAAACAAGAGGGTTACTTGATGATCTGAATAGGGAGCATCTGTATCAGTAAGCATCTGCCATCACCCTCTACAATTTCCCTCACATACCACCAAAGTGTTTACTTTTGACCTAAGAACCTGATGACTGTCCTCTGAGAACACTAAACAAATTATCAGATAAAGGCAAAGGTTTCTAGTGTAGACCTTAGATGTTTCTGTGCCCCACAGAAAATCCTTCCTATGTTGGCATTTAGGAAGCCACAACCTAATATCCCACTCTTGCCTTCTCATCCTTTGGGATTTGCCAGTTCACACCACCTGCCATACCACATACAGTCTCCAGTCCACATTCCCATTCAGAGGAAAAATTTGGTATGAAAACAGTCCTATTTACACAGTGGTGGGGAAAATCCATGCCACTCCCCAGACTTTTCTTAAATATAAATAGACATCCAAGGACCACCAGGCATTTGAGTACATTTGGCACAACAGAAGAGAAAGGCCAAGTGAATTAACAACAAAATAAAAAATAAACAATAACAACAAAAACAGCCTGTGGAAGAAATAGAAAAAATTTAGGGAACTGTGAAGGTCTTTTGTTAGTATACTCAAAATAATCTGGCCAGGCATAGTGGCTCACACCTCTAATCCCAGCACTTTGGGAGGCTGAGGAGGGCAGATCGCTTGAGGCCAGGAGTTCAAGACCAGCCTGGCCAACATGGCAAAACCTCATCTCTACTAAAAATACAAAAGTTAGCTGGTCACGGTGGCTCACACCTGTAGTCCCAGCTACTTGGGAGGCTAAAGTATGAGAATCGCTTGAGCCCGGGAGGCAGAGGTTGCAATGAGCCAACATCCCATCAATGCATTCCAGCCTGGGCGACAGAGCGAGACCCTGTCTAAAAAAAAAAAAAAAAATTCTGGCCAGACACATTGGCTCACATCTATAATCCCAGCATTTTGGGCGACCAATGCAGGCAGATCACTTGAGTGCAGGAGTTTGAGACCAGCCTAGGCAACATGGTGAAACTCCATCTCAATATATATATATATTTTAAATTTGAGAAGGCATTTTATTTATAAAACAAGATGCTTTAAGAACAAAAATCAAATATAAAACAGGAAATAGACCAGGCATGGTGGCCCATGCCTGTAATTCCAGCACTTTGGCAAGTCAATGCAGGAGGATTGCTTTAGCCCAGGAGTTTGAGACCAGCCTGGGTAACATAGTGAAACCCCATCTATACAAAAAATAGAAAAGTTAACCAGGCATGGTGGTGAGCACCCGTAGTCCCAAATACCCAGGAGGCTGAAGTGGGAGAACTGCTTCAGCTCAGCAGGTCAAGGCTGCAGTCAGCTGTGATTGAGCCACTGCACTCCAGCCTGGGCAACAGATTGAGACTCTGTCTCAAAAATAAAATAAAATAAAATAAAATAGGGAACAGAGAACAAATCTCAAAACAGGGAAGACCACAATACAAAAAAAAAAAAGGAAGAAGAAAAATAAGAGACATAGAGTACTAATGTAAGATGTACAATATCCAACTAATACAAATACACAGTAATTTCAGAAAGAAAGAATAAGAACCAGAGCAGTGGCTCACTCCTGTAATCCCAACACATTGGGAAGCTGGGGTGGGAGGATTGCTAGAGCCCAGGCATTCAAGACCAGACTAGGCAACATAGCAAGATCCCGGCTCTACAAAAAATAAAAAAAAATTAGCCAGGCATGGTGGTGCAGGCCTGTGGTCTCAGCTACTCAGGAGGCTGGAGTGGGAGAATCACTTGAGCCCAGGAGGTCAAGGCTGCAGTGAGCTATGATCGCACCATTGCACTCCTGCCTGGGTGACAGACTGTCTCAAAGAAAGAAAAAAGAAAGAAAAAAAGGGCAAATAGAGGGAAGGGAATCATCAATGAAATAATAGAAGAAAATTTCAGGGTTCTGAAAAGGACATGAATTTTCAGAACACCAAGAACAAAAGGAAAATCCTAAAAGATTCTGGCAGAAGCAGGTGGGGGTGGGGGTGAAGTTAACTACAAGGGAATAAGACCCAAACTGACATTTGATTTTTCAATAGCAAAGTTCAGATGAAAAATTATTTTTAACTTGGAGTTCTATAGTCAGCTAAAGTAGATTAAGGACAAATAAAGCTATTTTCAGAAATGCAAGGGCTCAGAATACTTCTCATGTTTTCTCAAGAATTTACTTAACCATGTATGTCAGCAAAACAAGAAAGTAAACTGATGAAGAGAAAAACAGGAAACAGTATACTTCCCAGTATACCAGGGAAGAAGTGTCTGAGGATGATAATTGTGTTGCAGGCCTAAAAAGCATCCCGTCCAAGTTGAAACTGATCTCAATTCCAGGCTCTAAAACCACATATTCAACAACCAGCTGTGCAACCGGTGCAGACATCTCAAACTCCTAAATTGACCGCATCTTCCCTTTTTCTGAAAACTGCCTCCTCTTCTACTCTATCTGTCCCACTTAAGGATCCCACCATTATCCAGTCACCCAAGCCAGAAACTTGGGAGTTAAGTCACCCCTGTGTATACTCAGGGGATTTGTTCTAGGACCCCTCCACCTTCCCCACCCTGCCACTTATACCAAAATCCAAGCACACTCAAATCTGGCAGTCAGCCCTGCAGAGCCCATGTTTATACCATGGGTCATAGTATACAGCATGGGTTATAGCATGTTTATAGTATATACCTCTGTATATGCCGGTTTTGCATCCCAGGAATACTGCATTTTTTATGTGTTTGATTGAAAAAAATCTGCATGTTGGCCAGGTATGGTGGCTTATGCCTGTAATCCCAACACTTTGGGAGGCTGAGGCATGTGGATCGCTTGAGGTCAGGAGTTAGAGACTAGCCTGGCCAACATGGTGAAACCCCCATCTCTACTAAAAATACAAAAATTAGCTAGACGTGGTTGTGGGCACCTATAATCCCAGCTACATAGGAGGCTGAGGCAGGAGAATCGCTTGAACCCAGGAGGCAGAGGTTGCAGTGAGCTGAGAGTGCACCACTGCACTCCAGCCTGGGTGGCAGAGCAATCTAAAACAAACAAACATACAAAAAATCTGCATGTGTTGTTCAAGCACCAACTATTTTATTTTTATTTTATTTATGTATTCATTTACTTTTGAGACAGAGTCTCACTCTGTCACCCAGGCTGGAATGCAGTGGCATGATCTCGGCCCACTGCAAACTCTGCCTCCCAGGTTCAAGCAATTCTTGTACCTCAGCCTCCCAAGAAGCTGGGATTACAGGCACATGCCACCACGTTCCATCTAATTTTTTTTTTTTGTATTTTTAGTACAGATGGGGTTTCATCATGTTGACCAGGCTGGTCTTGAATTCCTGACCTCAAGTGATCCACCCGCCTCGGCCTCCAACAGTGCTGGTATTACAGGCGTGAGCCACCACCCCCAGCCAAAGAGCCAACTATTTTAGAAATGTTCTTTTCACTTTCCATATTCAGAAGGCCTCCAAGTCCCATCAGTTCTACTTTGACCACTTCTCCTTCTCTGCCATGGTCCTAGTTCAGGCCTTATTATCTCTCACCCAGATCTTTCAATTGTGTCTTACCTGGTTTTCTTCCCTGACTAGACTGGAATCTTTCCATTTCTCCTTCACACTGCCTCAGAGTCACCTTTCTAAAACATAAACCTGCCTGTAGTCCCTGCTACTTGGGAGGATGAGGCAGCAGGATCACTTGAGCCCAGGAGGCGGAGGTTGTAGTGAGCCAAGATTGTTCCATTGCACTCCAGCCTGGGCAACACAGCGAGACTCTGTCTTAAAAAATCAAATTAAATTTAAAAAATTAAATTTAAAAATTAAATAAAATAAAAAATTAATTAAAAAAATAAAATAAATGAAACATAAACCTGGTCTTGTCAATCTTCTGCATAAAACCATTCAATTAATGACTCTCCCGTCAGTTCAGAGGTGCCAGGGAGCATGAAAGGGGTTTTGTTCTTGACTGCTTTTTTAAAAAAATAAACTTTTAAAATCAGTTTTAAATTTACAGAATTATTGCAAGGATACTAAGAGAGTTCTCATATACGCCACAACAGTTTCCTCTATTACTGACATCTTACATTGTACGGTACATCTATCATAATAAATGGAGAAGTAGGTCTGGCCCAAATTGTGTGCCATTCAGAGAAGTTTGAACTCTAGCAGGTAATAGAGAGTCATGGAATTCTGTTTCTTAGTAGCCTGTTTCTGGTTTATGAGGACAGCAGTACCTTAAGCTTATCTAGCCCAATCTACCCTTCTACTTGAAATTCCCTTTAGATACAAAGTAGCCACCCAACCTGTGATTCAATGCCATCTATAAAACAAAGCTCACTGCCTTTTGAGAGAACGCACTTCAGCTACATGCAGTTCTTGTTAATGAGTTATTTTTATATGATTCTCAAATGTACATCTTCAGCACAAACTGATGTGTGTCCTCGTCTCTGGAACTACATTTTTTTTCCCTGCCAAATATTTTCACGTGGATGTCCCAAAGGCATTTCAAATTCAATGTACCTAAAGCAGGACTCATTAAGTTTCTCTTCAAAAATTTTCTCCTCCATTTCCTTTTTACCATCTGCCCAGACACTCAAGATAAAAATGTCACCGTCAGCTTCTACTCTTTCCTTTTTCTTGCTCCCTATTTGACTGAGTATAGTGAGTCTAGGAAACAAGGAATTTAAACATTCATATGGCTTCTATGATAACTGACAATTATCTTTAAATTGTCATTATTAAGTCATGGTGAATAGGAGTTCATACTATCTCCCCAAACTAACTAGGATGAATTCACAATTTTTAAAAAGGTATTAACAATTTTTAAGGCTGGGCATGTTGTTGGCTCATGCCTGTAATCCCAGCACTTTGGGAGGCTGAGGCAGGCAAATCACCTCAGGTCAAGAATTCGAGACCAGCCTGGCCAACATGGTAAAACCTCATCTCTACTAAAAATACAAAAATTAGCCAGGCGTGGGCCAGGCGCAGTGGCTCACACCTGTAATCTCAGCACTTTGGGAGGCTGAGGTGAGAGGATCACCTGAAGTCAAGAGTTCGAGACCAGCCTTACCAACATGGAGAAACCCCGTCTCTACTAAAAATACAAAATTAGCCGGGCGTGATGGTGCATGCCTGTAATCCCAGCTACTCGGGAGGCTGAGGCAGGAGAATTGCTTGAACCCAGGAGGCAAAGTTTGCAGTGAGCCGAGATTGCGCCATTGCACTCCAGCCTGGGCAACAAGAGTGAAACTCCGCCTCAAAAAAAAAAAAAAAAAATTAGCCAGGCGTGGTGGCATGCATCTGTAATCCCAGCTACATGGGAGGCTGAGGTAGGAGAATTGCTTGAACCCGGGAGGTGGAGGTTGCAGTGAGCAGAGATTGTGCTACTTTACTCCAGCCTGGGCAACAAGAGCCAGACTCAGACTCAAAAAAATAAAAAAAAAAAAGGTATTAACAATTTTAAAACCTCAAGGTGAGCTCAACAGTTAAAGAATATTAGGGAGGGCCAGGCGCAGTGGCTCATGCCTGTAATCCCAGCACTTTGGGAGGCCGAGGCAGGTGGATCACGAGGTCAGAAGATCGAGACCATCCTGGCTAACACGGTGAAACCCCGTCTCTATTAAAAACACAAAAAATTAGCCAGGCATGGTGGCGGGCTCCTGTAGTCCCAGCTACTCAGTAGGCTGAGGCAGGAGAATGTCGTGATCCCGGGAGGTGGAGCTTGCAGTGAGCTGAGATCCTGCCACTGCACTCCAGCCTGGGCGACAAGAGCATGACTCCGTCTCAAAAAAAAAAAAAAAAAAAAAAGAGTATTAGGGAGAAACTTACTTCTTATACATTTATTAAATACAAAGTATGATCCTAATCAAATAACTTAACAATTCTCTCTTTTTTTTTTTGAGACGGAGCCTCACTCTGTTGCCCAGGCTTGAGTGAAATGGCACAACCTTGGCTCACTGAAACCTCCACCTCCCAGGTTCAAGCGATTCTCCTGCCTCAGCCTCCCAAGTAGCTGGGATTACAGCTGCCCACCACCACACCTGGCTAATTTTTCTATTTTTTAGTAGAGGTGAGGTTTCATCATGTTGGTCAGGCTAGTCTCAAAGTCCCGACCTCAGGTGATCCACCAGCCTTAGCCTCCCCAAATGGTGGGATTACAGAAGTGAGCCACCTTGCCCAGCCTCAATTCACTTAATCTCATGAGATGTCATAAATCTTAGGTTTAGGGAAAATGACTACAAAAAATTTGCATTTGACTAATAAGAAGGGCTGTTTTCATGACTTGACTCTTCCTACTGAAGCCAGAAATTATGTTTCTGCTTCTCACAGTTCAATGGAAATAAATGACAGAAAAAAAAGTCTAAGTTTAATGGCATCAGGAACAAAAAGAGCTTTATAATAAAGAACAAATCACCTGGGCATGGTGGCTCCCACCTATACTACCAGCACTTCGGGAGCCAAAGGCAGGAGGATTGCTTGAGCCTAGGAGTTTGAGACAAACCTGGGCAATATAGTGAGACCACATCTCTACAAAAAAAAAATTTTTTTAAAGTAGCCAGGCATTGTGGCACACATCTGTGGTCCCAGCTACTTATGAGGCCGAGATAGGAGCATCACTTGAGCCTGGAAGGTTGAGGCTGTAGTAAGCCATGTTCAGGCCGTTATACTCCAGCCTGGGTGACAGAATGAGATCCTGTCTCAAAAAATTAAATTAAATTAAATTAAATTAAATTAAATAAATAACAAATCATTTTATGGAAATGTAATAGATTTAATTTCTCTTTGTTTTAATAAATATTCATTTTTAACATTATTAAGTTTACTTGCAAAAGTAATTAAAACTATTTCTGGTACCATCACAAGAATTGAAAATTGCCTGGAAATAGAACAATATATGTTAATTAATTTCTTTGGTGAAAGTTTAGAATGAGTAACAAAGGATATTTAATAATGGAACTAATGAAAATATTTCTCCATTTATCTCTCAGCAATAACCAAAAATATAAATCACTGGGAAGGCTACACAGCTGTTTTGTTACATGATTATCTTTTTTTGTTGTTGTTTTAATTTATAACTATTTTCTTTTTTTCATGTATTAGTTGTTATAAGTAACACTGCATGATTTCAATTATCTGGTTTTATTTAGCATGCTTATTAGAAAATGAAGGAAACTGGAATTTCCAAATGATTGAGATTAACAAATGGAAAGCTGGAGAAACTAGACAAAGGGAATCAAGGAAATTACCATCAGGATTTCAAGTATGAGGAGACATAAGGCTAACTTGGATCTTTCAGGAGAAAATTTCAAGAACATATATTTTAATCAGGATCCTAGGTCCCCAACTTAACGTTTTAACTAAATTATCTCTCCCAGTTTCTATGTATATTTCTTGGGCATTTTGCTGGGGGGCAGCTGAGGCAGGGAGGGAAATGTGGTCTTCCACTTCTTCCTCCTTTTTACTTTCTGACCCCAGAAATCCAAAGGTGTTTGTAGGGTTATGAAAAAGAAGTAGTTTTTATTCCCTAACATTTCAAAAGGCCGAGGGAGATAGCTATTGAGGAGCACATTACTATTCTAAAGGGATACGTGATGTCATAGGAGAGCCTTAGCCTCTAAGAGTGGATGCAACATCTCAAAAGGGCCCCCATTCCCAGCTTTCGAAAGAGACCAAGAACTGTGTGTGCTACCTCCCAAGCATGCCAGGCCCTTAGGTCAAACATCTCCCAAATGTTGCATTAATTCCTTCTGTTTACAGTGTCTAACTATAGTTTTTTTTCCTCATCCTTTGACATTTGAAAATCATAAATTTTCCTTAAGGCATTCAAGCTTGTAATCAAAATAATTATCTCTCAAC
Source organism: Homo sapiens (assembly GCF_000001405.40). Lineage (NCBI taxonomy): Eukaryota > Metazoa > Chordata > Mammalia > Primates > Hominidae > Homo > Homo sapiens. The sequence continues at coordinate 85,908,041 of NC_000011.10, forward strand.
ATATGAGATCCTAAAACACCAAACCCTAGCTTTGTAATTTAGTAATCTGGACTTAAACGGTTTTACTAAATTGTTTGAGGCAGATAAATAATATATGCCTTTCTTTCTAACTTCAAGCCACCAGCAATATTTGAGCCTTTTCCATGGGACTGGTATTGCTTTATATTATAATTATTTGTGGTTTTAATCATTGGATTATAAGCTCTCTTGAGGGAAGGAGCCATGCCTTATTCACCCTTGCATCCTTCTACATCTAGCTCTGAACCTTGCCCATAATAAGAATTTATGGCTGGGCACCGTGGCTCACACCTATAATCCCAGGTGTGATGATGAAACCCCGTCTCTACTAAAGATGCAAAAAAAATAGCTGGGCATGGTGGCGGGCGCCCGTGGAAGGCACCCGTGGAGGCTGAGGCAGGAGAATCGCTTGAACCTGGGAGGTGGAGGCTGTGGTCAGCCAAGATCACGCCACTGCATTCCAACCTGGGCAACACAGCATAGACTAGATGATTAGATAGATAGATAGATAGATAGATAGATAGATAGATAGATAGATAGATAGATAGATAGACAGATAGAATTCATGGCCGGGTGGCTCATGCCTGTAATCCCAGCACTTCGGGAGGCCGAAGCAAGCAGCTTGCTTGAAGCCCAGGAGTTTGAGACCAACCTGACCAACATGATGAAACCCCGACTCTACAAAAAAAATACCAAAAAAAAAAAAAAAGATTAGCCAAGTGTTCTACTACTGCAGTTTCGCTACTCAGGAGGCTGAGGTGGAAGGATCACCTGAGCCTCAGGAGGTTGAAGCTAAAGTGAAGCTGAGATGGTACCACTGCACTCCAGTCTGGGTGACAGAGCAAGCCCTGTCTCATGTTTTTGGTTTTTTTGGTTTTTTGTTTGTTTGTTTTGAGACAGGGTCTCGCTCTGTCACCTGGGCTGAAGTGTCATGGTGCAGTCATAGCTCACTGTAACATTGAACTTCTGGGCTCAAGCAATCCTCCCGCCTCAGTCTCTCAAGTAGTGGGGACTACAGGTGCACACCACTACGCCCAGCTAATTTTTTATTTTTATTTTTGGTTTTTGTGTTATTTGCTAAGAATTCCTGCATTTAAGAAATGATCATGTGATAGAGATATGCATGTGGTAACATATTGAATGCTTTAAGATTCCTAAATACAATTAAATCTCAGTGACAAAGCAGAAAATGTTATCATCTCCTTCTAAGTACCCATCTCAGTTACACTCTTGGCAGCTTCTGACAAGAGATACTGAATCTAAACCCCTGTGCCTTTTTTCTTTCATCATATTCCCTCAAGACTTTTATTACTTCCTCCAGTTTATATCACCATTATTCTCACCAGCCTACCTCTTTCTATTTTATGCTCTTGCTTCTAATTCTCCTATTGCTCTGTTGTCTCCCCATGAGCACCTCCTGATCCAGCACCTGTGTAGCTCAGGCTGCTTTGGGTGGTGGAGAGGTGGGTTTGGATGTTCTATCTAGTAACATTCTTCTATATACTCTTCCCACTATCAAGCCCTCTTTGGACAAAAGTCATCAAAATACACTTTTTTTTTTTTTTTTTTTTTTTTTTTTTTTGAGACGGAGTCTCGCTCTGTTGCCCAGGCTGGAGTGCAGTGGCGTGATCTCAGCTCACTGTGACCTCCACTTCCCGGGTTCAAGTGATTCTCCTGCCTCAGCCTCCCGACAAAATACACTTCTTAAAAACAGATGAGAATTCTACCAACAGAACCAGGACATTTTTTCCTATTTGAATTAGCCACATTATTTTTCTTCTTCTTTTTTACAGGCCCAATTGATGTACAAAAGTTAGTCAATTTCTTCAGTAAACATTAAGCCTGCTATGTTTATCAATGACCTTCCATCACCTACAGGATAAAAACCAGACTCTTTAGCATTATTTGGCCCTTCCTTAATTGTCCAGTTCCTCTCCTGCTTCTCCCCATTCTTATTTTGTATCTATCCACACTAAAATGGTCATGCCTTTGCACATGTGGTTTCTTCTGCCTAGAGCACAGCCTCCTGTGTCTGCCCAGGGAGTCCCTGCTTAGTTTTCAGGATCCAGATTAAGTGTCATCTCTTCTATTAATGCTCCCTTATCCCCGACAACTGATAGAAGTAGGGTGAACCTCTCTCTCCTCCGATGGCACCAGGATGGCTTCCATTATGGTTATTATCATGCTATTTTCTGTTTTCATTACCATCTTTCCCACTAGGGTACAAGATCCTTGAAGGTTACTACACCTTGTTGATCCTTTGTTCCCAAAGTGTAATATCATTTCTGCCACATGATAGCCATATGATACAACTGAATGAATGAACGAATGGACAAACAATATTTCATCTACCTGACAGTTCTCAGAATTACCTAGCACTCAGAGAGAACATCATTGTATTCTAGAGGCTGACAGAAGGACTACTAGCCTGTGCTTCTCCTTTAAAAAGTCCCAATAATATAGCATTTTCCCAGTGTTATTGGTTTTCATTGTATTGTTTATAATTACCCTTAGATAGGGCCTAACTTAGCTACTAATATGCCCTATTGCTAAATTCATCAGCCATGTTTTCTTAGTTATGTCTGCCTCTGACTTATACCTAAGTTCAGCAGTGTTTTTGAAGGGTACAAAAGGACAATTCCTGCTATTCTATCATAACTGCCTAACTATTCAGACAAGTTCTGCTGATGATCTAAAAATGATTTCCACCTATTCCTTTTAAGGGAGGAAGGACAAAGCAAGCCCAGTAATAAATGATACACAATAGGTCTTCCCCTCAGGCAAATGCACTTTTAGAAGTTGAGTTTATTATAGAAAACTTAATAGAACTTGGCCAGTCATGGTGGCTCACACCTGTAATCCCAGCACTTTGGGAGGCCGAGGCAGGCAGATCACCTGAGGTCAGGAGTTTGACACCAGCCTGACCAACATGGAGAAACCCTGTTTCTAATAAAAATACAAAATTAGCTGGGCATGGTGGCACATGCCTGTAATCCCAGCTACTCAGGAGGCTGAGGCAGGAGAATCGCTTGAACCCAGGAGGTAGAGGTTGCAGTGAGCCAAGATTGCACCACCGCACTCCAGCCTGGGAGACAAAAGTGAAACTCCGTCTCAAATAAAAAAAAAAAAAAAAAGAAAGAAAAAAGAAAAAAATAAAGAAAAGAAAACTTAATAGAACTGAATCAATAAGTACCAACATTCATTCTCTTCTTCTGAGAACAGGTTGCAATTCACAGGAAGGAAGTTGAAGAATTAAAAAATGCTATTCATGAACTGGAAGCAGAAAATTTGGTGCTTATTGATCAACTATCCAACTGTAGACTTGTGGATCTCAAGATACCCAGGTGAAAATTGTTAATATATAGAGAGTATTTTGTAAACATTTGTATCTGCTGTAAAAAGTTGTTTTTTTAAAACAAAAAAAGATGATTTAATTATTCAGTGCTCCAGCAGTAGTCAAAAAGAAAGGGACAAAAAAAATGCTCATGGTGAAGGTATAGGATTATTACTATTGACCATTGGTACAATGTAAAGTTTGGCTTGTTTTATCTTGCAATGAACTGTAGTCACAATAGCCAGCACATAACATGAACATCATAACTGCCAACATTCAGGAGCCTCCAGACCAGCAGGGGTAATGGTCATGAAAATAAGTACATAACAGTACGGCAGAAGATAGAGGAGGTAGAGAGTTAGCACAGAGGAGGAGGTGATCCACTTGCTGGAAGTTTCATGGAGGTGATCTGGGCTCCTGTGGATTGTAGAATTATTTCTTTCGGTTGAAAGAGTCAAAACTACTCTGTAGGCCGAGAAAAGGGCTTGGCATTCCAAGTCATATTTGTTCTTGCATACAAGAAACCAAGTGGTGCATATACCTTTATATGTTTGGTTAGCTGTCTTCCTTATCTGACAAAAAAAAAAGTCTTAATATATTTATCCTGACAGAAACCTAGGGCCCTTGAATATAAAATTAAAATTCAAAATGGCACTCATAATTTAGACAAGTAGTCAAAACCAAAAAATAATCTAAATAGTAGCATGTTTAGGAAGAGAGGGGAAGTCACACAAATGTAGGGTGCATGTGTGCAAGTATGGGAGAGAAATGTCTAGGTCTAGGAATTAAAGCAGATGTTAAGTTGAACCTGGTGGAATAGCCAGGAAAAACTTTCCACACAAGTAGTTCCTATTGTTTGTGTGACATGGAAGACTACTATTTGAGACATGATCATGTATTTGTTATGTATAAACTTTCTATTGTTTTCCAGGAAAGGTGGATACAGGTAAATTATGGGTTCCCTGTTTGCTAGGCTAAATGATGGGTGTCAGGATACAAGATTAGAGAAATTGGGAGATAAGCTGGGTGGGGCAGGATAGAGAAAGAGGCCATCTGCCCCCTTTGCATTATTACTTTGTGTGCTTCAGAGAGAGTAGATACCAATATAGATGAGGTGAGGCTGAATGAGGATTGATTACTGAACTCCTGTACTTCCAGTCTCTTGAGCTGATGCCCTAGAGGGCCCCTAGGGGTAGGTGCTCACTGTTGCCCAGTAGGCAATGCTCACTTTTGCCAGCCCTCCTCTCTGTGATCAGGTATCCAGTGCTACATTCCTGTCCCACCTCTAATCCTCGTCATCTGCTGCTGCTGCCTTTGGAATCATGTCTAATCTCTGCCAGGCGTTGCTGGTATGTGGCTTCTAACTACCTACTGCTATAGCTGCTGTCCACTGCCCTCTTTTCTGAACTGGCTAATCTTTAGGAAAGAGATACCCTCTAAACTGCCAGACCCGTGTCTCTACCTGGATCAACTCAGTCTGGTATATTTGATTTTGTTCTGACATGGTTGTAAAGTGCTAATAATTCTAAAAAAGGGAATTATTTCATTGGCCAAAGGGGACTTGGCAAGAACAGAATGGGAGACTGAGAAACTTTTAATGGGGATTTTCATTGAGTTGTTTACTGTGCAGTATATAATCTAACGTCATCCTCGCTCTTCCCTATAAAAATCTTCTGTAAAATCCACACTGTTCATCAGTGCTTTAGGGGCTGGTTTTCCTGAGAGTAATAGAATGCTTAGTCTAGCTTCAGAGTTGGAAGAAATGAAGTCAAAATATTTTCAAGGGAAAAGAAACACCATGGGTGACATTTATAGGAACTGATATATGTGTCCTTGCTATATGCTCCCACAACACCCTGAACTTTTCCTTTGTAACCAACCTTTATCACACTTTTGATTACTTATTTAATGTCTGCTGCTTTACTAGATTGTAAACTCCTTGAGGCAACTGTTTTGGACACTTTAGAAAGACCTGCATAAAGAAACTGGAAAATTTGAAAGCCCTCAATTATCTGCTAGACTTCTTATGCAGAAAGATAACCTGAAGGATGTTCAGGAGATTTTACTGTACCCATTTCCAAGCCAAAGGAATATTACACATATTATATCTTTTTGGTAACTTCCCCCTCCATCTCTTTGTTGAGAATTAAGTTTTGTAAAATACTAGTAGGGTGATAAGAAATAGACATGAACTGTCTCCAGTGGACACAGAAGAAGTTCTATTTCCCTATTTGGATGAGGAATGGGATATTGTGGTTAATAGAGTTACCACATTTCCTATGTAGTTACTCAAACTTTTTCCCATCTCAACTCACATAGAATGTCATAGGATTTGTTTGACACATTGGGGCAAACAGATGAGGAAACTGTCAGCCAGAGGTGACTGCCCAGGACTCCAGTGCCACAGGGCTGAGGCTAAGTGGGCCAACACCTACAAATCTAACACTAACTTACCATAATAACATCTTTTAAACTATTTTCCATATCATTAAGTATCAAGTGTTGTTACCCTGTAGTAGTACAGAAGTAACAGTAAACTAGCAATTAATAGAAAAAGCTAGATTCCTGAAGGTTATGGCATTTAGAAAGATCTTAATTGTTCACAATGGTAAAACTAGGAAACAAAAGAATTCTATAGCCTCAGACATGTCTCCCTGAAGACCACAGCTACATGTGAAACTTACGTTTACTAAGGTACCTTTACTAAACTTACCTTAACTAAAGTTAAGTTTTTAGAAGTTTTCATAGGTGTAAATATTGTATGTAGTTACAGTATTTGCTGGAGCCATTAGCATCTGGATAACACTTTATTCATGTTCTTTAAATAACTCACAGCCCCTAATTTAGGGGATTCACTTTACTTGCTTAGCTGCTAAGCGTGAAGGGTTGTTTGCACATTTGCAAGCGTTCAATTACTTCATGCTGTCTTCAGGTAAACCTCATGGAAATGCCATACAGAGTTTTCAAAGCATGATATTTTCTGATTGAAAATTCAGTGGACACTCTAAAAAGGAGAGCACAGAATTAAACAATGTAGAGAGAGCTACAACAGCATATGGACATCAGTTCGCTGGGCTTGTAGGTGAAGCATACCACTAAGCAAAAGCCAGGACCTAGATGGTATCTTGGATTCCTACTGTTCGCTTTCTCTTTCTCTCTTCATCTCAAAACGAAAACCACTCAAAAGTGGTCTTTCAGGACACTATCATTCCGCACCTGAAATACTACAACAGCGACCTGACTAGTGCCATGCTCACTCTCAATTTTTTGAACTTTAAGTGTGTTATTTCCTTATTTGGAATGCCCTTCTTTCACCCCTAGCTCTTCCCTGGCAACCACCTCCAGGTTCAAGACTGTATTAGTCCATTCTCATGCTGCTATAAAAAACTGCCCGAGACTGGGTAATTTAGAAAAGAAAGAGGTTTAAGTGACTCACAGTTCCACCAGGCTGGGGAGGACTCAGGAAACTTAGATTCATGGCAGAAGGGGAAGCAAACATGACCTTCTTCACATGGCAGCAGGAAGAAGTGCAGAGCGAAGGTTGGAGAAAAGCCCCTTATAAATTATCAGATCTCATGGGAACTCACTAACACGAGAACAGCATGGAGGTAACCGCTCCCATAATTCAATTACTTCCCACTGGGTCCCTCTCCCACAACATATGGGGATTATGGGAACTACAGTTCAAGATGGGATTTGGGTGGGGCCCAGCTAAACTGTATCAAAGACTAAGATCAGGTTTCATCCAGGAAAACTTTCCTTCCCCCTAAAGCTGACTCAGGTGCTGCTTCTTTCTGCATCCCATTATTCTCACACTATGGTAATTACCCATCATGGTACACACCATGACTTTAAAATACCGTAAGGCTGTCTGCCACCCCACTGGGCTTTATGCTCCTCAGGGTAGAAATTATGTCTCATTTTTCATCTATGCATTTCTAGCACCTAGTAGAGAGATAGACCCTAGTAAGCATGCAATGCAATATTTATTGACTGACAGATTGTTTTTCTCATTTGTTCTTTTAGGCGACTATATCTTACCCAAGCTGCTGGACTAGAAGTGCCACCTGAAGAAATGTCTTTGGAATTGCCAGAAACACATATAGGTATTACTTTATTGCAATAATGATGATGATTTTTTTCAAACTCTTGTTTTTCAATTTAAAAAACACTTACCTATTGTGAGCAGGTGCCCCACATACAAAAGCTATTCAGAGAATAGACACCTGCCAGCTTCTCTAAATTTCTCCTCTTGCAGTGCTTGTCCTAATCTATCTCCTGTCTGTAGTCCCACTTTCAAATTAAGGTCACCATGTTTCACAGTAAATTAAATAAATACTGGTGAAGAGGGATGAGACTGCTGTCTACACTGGCAAGGTTTAGGGCCCTATTTAGCCAACCAAAATGACAACATATACTTAGGCACCAATATAATTACTATAACTTATTAGCTAACAGAAAGAAATACAACTTAGAGTTTCTACAAATGGGACTCCCTCTTACTTTAATACATAAATTCTACATTTGCAATTCTCAAAGTTCCATCCAATTAAAAATGTGACAAAGTATGTATTGCATTTTTATTTGTATATGTTCAAAATGTATACATAATTAATTCCTTTGTATTTATCCAAGAAGAGAAGTCAGAATTGCAACCCACAGAAGTAGAAAGTAGAGACTTGATGTCCTCATCAGATGAGAGCACTATCTTACATCTTAGTCATGAAAATAGCATCGAAGATCTCCAGTATGTGAAGATAGATAAAGAGGAAAACTCAGGCACAGAGTTTGGGGACACTGATATGAAGTACTTACTATATGAGGATGAGAAGGATTTCAAGGTAAGATTCATAACAACACAACTTTGACTACTAAGAAAATGCTGTTTTGAGAAATGCTGTTTTAATTGAGAAAATTAACCTAAAATATGGATATTGAAAATTCCATTTGCAATTATTAGTAAAATTGGCCCACCATTCACATCTCTCATTTGGATACCATTTTCACTCCTACTCTTGCCCAATTTGCTACCTATATTCCTCTATAGGCCTCCATTAATAGTATACAAAGTAAGTTATCTAATGCTACATAACAATCCCCAAAACCTAGTGGCTTATAACAATAACTATTTATTCTCGCTTAGGGCTCTGTTGGTTAGAAATTCAGGAAGGGCTCCACTAGACAGTTCTCACTTGGTGGACTCTCAGTCAGTTGCAACCATATGTTGGCTAGGGCTGCACTCATCTGAAGGCTTGATCGGGGCAGGAGTCTTCATTTCCAAGGTGGTTTATATGGCTAGCATGTTGATGCTGGCTAAACTGAGGGCCTCACTTCTTCTTCACATGTGCCTCCTGACAGGGTGTTTTGAATTTCTTTTGTTATAGTGTCTGTCTTCTCCCAAAACAAGCAACCCTAGAGACCAAGATAAAAGCAGCAATTTGGCTGCAGTGGCTCATGCCTGTAACCCCAGCACTTTGGGAAGCTGAGGTGGGCGGATCACCTGAGATCGGAAATTTGAGACCAGCCTGGCCAACACGGTGAAACCCTATCTCTACTAAATATACCAAAAATAGCTGGGCATGGTGGTGCGTGCCTGTAATCCCAGCTAGTTGACAGGCTGAGGCAGGAGAATTGCCTGAACCTGGGAAGCAGAGGTTGCAGTGAGCAGAGACTGTATCATTGCACTCCAGCCTGGGTGACAGAGCGAGACTCTGAAAAGAAAGAAAGAAAAAAGAAAAAGAAAGAGAGAGAGAGAGAGAGAGAGAGAGAGAGAGAGAAAGAAAGAAAGAAAGAAAGAAAGAGAAAGAAAGAAAGAAGGAAAGAAAGAAAGAAAGAAAGAAAAGAAAGAAAGAGGGAAGGAGGAAAGGAAGGAAGGAAGGAAGGAAAGAAGGAAGGAAAGAAAGAAAGAAAAGAAAGAAGGCAGTTTTATATGGCTTAGCCTTGGAAATCATACATTGTCACTTCCATCATATTCTACTGGTTGATGTAGTTACAAAGTTCCATCCAAGGGGAAGGAACATAGCTCCTACATCTTGATGGAGGAAGGTCAGTATCACATTGTAAGAGAAGCACTTGGGATAGGATATGAATTAGGCTATCTTTGGAAAGTACAGATTGCACATATACCATTCATTAAAACCTGGAGTATTAAGCCTTTTAATTTTGAAACTTCTTTCTAGTACATTCCAGTTACTCCCACAGCCATCCCTTGTTATTTTCCCTCTTGATACTTTAAAAGTTCTCCTAGAATTTGATGTCTGGTAGTGGAAAAAATGATGTAAGAAAGCAGAAGAAACTGAATAAACCAACACAAACCATTTTAACTAACTACAATTCAATCCTGCTGCCATCAAGCGATGATTTAAAGACTAAAGTTCTAGTTCCTCTAGCACTGAAACATCTCCATGCGTATCTTGGAATCATGACTCCTGGGATGTCATGATGATCTCAGGCTAGTGGACAGTTGTCTACAAAATCCCCAAATAGCATACCATTTGGTTGAATGAAAGACTTACTTTCCATGAAAGTTTTTGATGTAGTCAAACTGCCATGGCCATGGTGTATTACTTGAGAATCCTCCTCCCAGTGATTCTGAAATATGTGGTAGGTCTCCATCAACTTGCTTTTCTACTATCTTACATTTATCACAGCTACATATTTTGAAAGCTAAATAGAATTATATGTATTTTGAGAAATAAGACATCACCTTCCTTTTTCATTCTTTGATTCTTCTAAATTCAAATAAATATTTATTGAGAACCCCACAACATGCCAGGTCCTTGTTAAATGCTTGTGCATTTAAGGGAGAGAACAGCAAGAAATGAAATCTCAAATATGCCTATACAGCAGGCCTTGCCCCCAAATCACTTACAGACTTGTAGAAGACAGGTAAGAAAATCAACAAGTACCATATAAGAGTAAACAGACCACCTGTACCTGTGTCCCTGATCAGTCTGTGCTTATCATTGCACCCCAGCACTTGATATAGGGCCTGGCATACAGTGAACACTTGGGAAAGGTTTGCTAAAGTGACGTGTCAAAGGAATTAAAAAGCAAGAGTTATGGCATGGGAGACTTCCTGGAGGAAGGGACATTGGGTAGGGCGTGAGCTCTGTCCACCCAGTTTTGGGTTGGCTATGGATTTCATATCAGTTAGACTTCAAATTCTGTTTGTTGATATCTTAGATTTGTAAACCAAAAGCTATCTGAGACAGGTCTCAATCAATTTAGAAGTTGATTTTGCCAATGTTAAGGACAGTACCTGGGAGAAAAAAAACCCACAAAATCACAGAAATAGTGTGTGGTCTGTGCCTGTCTCCAAAGATGACTTGGAGGCCTTCAATATTTAAAGGAGAAAAGTGGGCTGGAGGGGAAAGCAGGAAGGTATGGTCATCCACATGTTGCAAGAGAAAAGGAGCAGGTAGGGGAACAGTCAATTATGTATTCACCTCGCACTTTACAAAAGATCAGCTGAACATAGAGTAGCTACCTGTGGGGATATTTAACCTTTTATCTGTACATATCTGCTTAGGAACAAAAGCAAAGGCAGTTGCTTACATGACTCAGCTTTCAGCTTAATTTTTTCCTTTTGGCAAAGTGAATTGGGGTCCCATGTTTTTATTTTCCTTTCACAGACTATAGTTAGTTTTGCACTAACTATAGCCAGCATCCCTCCCCCATTAACCCACTATGAGACAAGCCTTCCAGCCTTGCTGCCTGCTTTTGGAAGATCTTGCCTACTGTGTATGCCCTACTGGGTATATAAGTTTCCTGAGTATTTTGTTTTTTTCCCATTTATAGTGGCTCTCATATTTCATGTGCTACACAGCATCAGGCAATTAGGGGGCAATGAAGTCTGTCAGATAAAGGCCAACTGTAATAAAGAAAGCCTAATCTATCAAGCTGGTAATTTGCTGAATCACCTCTCCTATTCTTTTTTGTGCCTGTTCACCATAGGATTATGTAAACTTGGGCCCCCTGGGAGTGAAGCTTATGAGTGTGGAGAGCAAGAAAATGCCCATTCATTTTCAAGAGAAGGAAATTCCAGTCAAACTCTATAAAGATGTCAGGAGCCCAGAAAGCCACATCACATATAAGATGATGAAGTCTTTTCTCTAAGACGGAAAGCTGCAAAGGAAACACAACTTTTCCTTATAAATGTTCTTTGGGAACTGAAGTATATCCGTTGCCCATTTTACTTACACTTTGGCTCATTTTTAAACCAGCTGTTATTTCTAAAGGTCATATTTACATTTAAAATCAAAGGTATTCAGCTATTCATTTACTTGCATGGTATGAGTGACCAAAACGGAAGCACGCTTTGTATTTCTACACTGAAGTATTCAGAAGCATGACAGTGGGTTCAAGGTAGTCTCTGAGGTTCCTTTTCACACACAAAAAATTCACTGATTAATCTGTGATTCCAGTATGAAATAGTTCCATTAGAAATGTTTCTAAGAAAAACTTAGAAGTTTGCATAGCATTGTCTACACATCTTTCCCTCTGAGGATGCTCAATGTGATAGACAGCCAGTCTATAATGCAAGCCAATTCTCCGTAGTTTAACCCTGTGTATTAGTCTGTTCTCATGCTGCTAATAAAGACATAATTGAAACTGGGTAATTTATAAAGGAGGTTTAATTTATTTACAGTTCAACATGGCTGGGGAGGCCTCACAATCATGTCAGAAGGCAAATGAGGAGCAAAGTCACATCATACATGGTGGCAGGAAAGAGAGGGCTTGTGTAGGGGAATTCCCATTTATAAAACTATCAGATCTTGTGAGACTTATTTACTACTTCAAGAACAGTATGGGAAAAACCTGCCTCCATGATTCAATTACCTCCTACCAGGTCCCTCCCACAACACATGGGGATTATGGGAACTATAATTCAAGATGAGATTTGGGTGGGGACATAGCCAAACCATATCACCCTGTTTATAATGAATATAAAAAATGAATGTTGGAAATAAACTTGAGAGTGTTAATTTGTTGTATAAAAATATTCCACTGATAGGGAGCACTCCCTCCCTCCAGCTGTATCTAGTCTAAACTACCACATTCCTATCCAAAGCAAATACCACTTCTCTCAGGGCTACCACAAGCCAAGGACACTGTGAGTACCTGGATGTGACATCAGCATTCCATTTGGATCCTTGAGACCAGATAATACCACCATATGTCATATTTCTGTAATCTTTAGTGATATAAGGATTAATTTAATCATCAGTGGGGGATGTTATTGGCATTTAAAGTAAGGACAATTGTGCAGCACTGTCTTGAGCCCACAGGATGTTAGCACTCCTGCTCCCTCAATCTCAAATGCTGCTACATTAACACTCTTCATTGTAGAAGTTGAAAACACTCGTCATCTTTCCCAACACCCCTTACATTGTAGTACCATCACCAATTGAACATCTTTGAGTTTCTCAATTTTTGGAGACAAGGACTCACTCTGTCACCCAGGCTAGAGTGCAGTGGCACTATCATAGCTCACAGCATCCTGAAACTCCTGGGCTCAAGCAATCCTCCTGCCTCAACCTCCCGAGTAGCTGGGACTGCAGGTCTGTACTATCATGCCTCAACCTCCAACAGTGCTAGGATTACAGGCATGAGCCACCGACCGGCCTCTCCTGTACTTTAATCTCCATTGTGTTCGGTGCTTTCCTGGACCCTTCCCATTCTCTCCCAAAACTTCCAACAACAACCTCTAAAAAAACAATAAACAAGACAAATGCCACTGTTGAAGGTGTAAATGTCCAAGGGGTTCACCTTGCCTGCTGCCTATACAGAGCCAATTCCTCAAGACAGGGGAGCCGGGCATGGTGGCTCACCCCTGTAATCCCAGCATTTTGGGAGGCCGAGGCGGGTAGATCACAAGGTCAGCAGATCAAGACCATCCTGTCAAGACCATCCTGGCTAACACGGTGAAACCCCTTCTCTACTAAAATTACAAAAAAATTAGCCAGGTGTGGTGGCAGGCGCCTGTAGTCCCAGCTACTTGGGAGGCTGAGGCAGGAGAATGGAGTGAACCCGGGAGGCGGAGGTTGCAGTGAGCCGAGATCGCACCACTGCACTCCAGCCTGGGCAACACAGCAAGACTCCGCCTCAAAAAAAAAAAAAAAAAAAAAAAAAAGAGGGGAATTGCAACAGACAAAAGAGTAATTCACACAGAGCCAGCTGTGCGGGAGACCAGCGTTGTTTTATTACTCAAATCATTCTCCCTTAGCATTCGGGGAGCAGAGTTTTTAAGGACAACATGGTAGATGTGGGGAAGCCAGTGAGCCGGGACTGCTGATTGGTCAGAGATGAAATCATAGGGAGCCAAAGCTGTCCTCCTGACCAAATCAGTTCCTAGATGGGGGGGCCACAAGATCAGATGAGCCAGTTTATCAATCTAGGTAGTGCCAGCTGATTCATGATGTGCAGGGTCTGCAAAATATCTCAAGCACTGATCTTAGGAGCAGTTTAGAGACAGTCAGAATCTTGTAGCCTCCAGCTGCATGACTCCCAAACCATAATTTCTAATCTTGTGGCTAATGTTAGTCCTACAAATGCAATCTACTCCCTAGGCAAGAAGGAAGACTGCTTTGGGAAAGGGCTGTTATCATCTTTGTTTTAAACTGTATACTAAGTTTTTCCCAAAGTTAGTTGACCCTCCGCCCAAGAATGAAAAGGACAGTTTGGAGATTAGAAGCAAGATGGAGTCAATTAAATTAGATCTCTTTCGCCGTCTTGGTCATAATTTTGCAAAGGCAGTTTCAAAGGTGTCTTTTCTTTTTGAGACAGGGTCTCACTGTCATCTAGGCTGGAGTGCAGCAGCATGATCATGGCTCACTGCAGCCTTAGCCTGCCAGGCTCAAGGGATCCTCTCACCTCACCCTCCCAAATAGCTGAGATCACAGAAGCACACCACCATGCCCAGCTAATTTTTTATTTTTTGTAGAGATGGTGTGGGGCGGCGGGGGGGGGGGAGGTCTTACCATGTGACCTAGGCTGGTCTTAAACTCCTGAGCTCAAGTGGTCTTCTTGGCTCAACTTCTCAAAGTGCTAGGATTATAGATGTGAACCGCCATGCCCAGCCTGTTGAAGGTTTCTTTTACTCTCTGGTTTTGACTGGCACCTGGCTTTCCCCAGAAAGAGCTCACTTCCCCTGTGGCTCTCTCTCTAGTGGTTGGTATTGATTCTTCTCTGCCACCACCTTCTGTGGGGCTACATGCTTTCACTAATGCAATGCCTCTTCTAGACCACAATTCCACCAGTCTCATGTAAAAACATGCCTTTTGAAGCTCAGTATATATATCACCCTCTACTACTATTCTTTGCTATAAATTTCTAACCCTTCTCATCACTCTTCTCCATAATCTTTAATTTGGCACCTGGTTCACAGGCCTCTTTTCCACTCTACTCCATTCCCTAACAGATCCATCTATTGAGATACCTATTAGTCATTCATGAGTATAAAATTGTTGCATGTATGTGTGCTTCTGTTTGACCATCCCAGATCCACTCTCTACCCTTATCTCTGTGTCTCAAAGGGTGACCTTTATGGACTGCGTCAATGTCCTTTGCTTCTAACCTTCTACTGAGTTTGTTTAATAGGAGTTTCTAGCAGGAGATCAAAGAAAGTGAGAAGGGTGAGATTTCTTCCCCCAGCTCTTTCTCTAACAGGTCATGTAGATTAGCAGGGTTCCTCTATCAAAGGCCACTATTCCTGTTGGAAGGCTCACCTAACAAAGGTTGAGCATCCCTAATGTGAAAATCCAAAATCCAAAATGTTCCAAAATCTGAAACATTCTAAGCACTGACACAATGCTACAAGTGGAAAATTCCACACCTGACCTCATGTGATGGGTTGCAGTAAAAACTTTGTTTCATACACAAAAAAAAATTTTAAATAGTATATAAACTTACCTTCAGGTTATGTGTATATGGTGTATCTGAAATATAAATGAAGTTTGCGTTTGGACTTGGGTCTACCCCCAAGATATCTTATTACGTATATGCAAATATTCCAAAATCCTAAAAAATCTGAAATCTGAAACACTTCTGGTCCCAATCATCTCAGACGAGAAATACTGAATCAGTATAGCTACTCTCTAGGTCTGGTAAGTACTCCCTCCCTCTCCCCCTTTAGACCCAGGAGTGGAACAGTTCCCATCTGTTGATAGCCCCAGGGAGTGTTACCATTCCTGTTGGTTTTCCTTGATGCTGCCCACACCTTTGTATATATTGCCTTTGTTAAATTTTCTCCAGGTATCCTGTTTGAATGTGCCCTTTGTTTCCTGCTAGGAAAGGTAAAGGCTGGAGATTCAGATCTGGGAATCAACAGCCCAGGACTGAATTTAAAGCCATGAAAGCTTAAATGACATAACCTAGGGACTGAGTTTCAATAGAGAAAAGAGACATGGATGCACCTGGAATAATTCATTCTGTAGATGTGGGCCCTGAAACTAAAAGGTATCACTCTCAAGAGATTTCAGAGCAGAGGTGGACTGAATCTAAGTAAAACGGCAAACTAGCCCTGACCCAGTTCAACTCTATTTTTTTTCTTCGCTCTCCTCTCTTTCCTTTCCCTCTCCCTCCTCACTCACCACCTACACACGGCACCCACTCCTCACCAGAGCCTCTCGATTCCCCCAGCTCAATTCTTGATTCCTTTGAGGTGATTTTCTCCTCACCTAATATAACTAACAGAGGATAGATTCTTTTTTCTCTGGGGAACAAAGAATACCAACCCAGACACTATACTCCTTGTATTCACAATGTTGAGCATACAAAACTTTATACGTGTGTGTGTGTGTGCACGCGCGTGTACAGTGCAAAGAAGCAGGAAAATAAGACTAAGAATCAGGAGGAAAAGCAAACAATTAAAGCATGCCCACCAATGACCCAGATATTCAAGTCAGTAGGCTAGGACTTTAAGAATATTATTATATGGTGGCTGGCAATATGGCCGAATAGGAACAGCCCTGGTCTGCAGCTCCCAGTGAGATCAACACAGAAAGTGAGTGATTTCTGCATTTCCACCTGAGGTACCCAGCTCATCTCACTGGAACTGGTTAGACAGTGGGTGCAGCCCACGGAGGACGAGCTGAAGCAATGTAGGGCGTCGCCTCACTCGGGAAGCACAAGGGGTCAGGGAAGCCGTGAGGGACTGTGCCATGAGGAATGGTGCATTCTGGCACAGATACTATGCTTTTCTCACGGTCTTCACAACCTGCAGACCAGGAGATTCTCTCAGATGCCTACACCACCAGGGCCCTGGGTTTCAAGCACAAAACTGGATGGCCATTTGGGTAGACACCGAGCTAGCTGCAGGAGTTTTTTTTCATACCCCAGTGGTGCCTGGAATGCCAGCAAGACAGAAACTTTCACTCCCCTGGAAAGGGGGCTGAAGCCAGGGAGCCAAGTGGTCTAGCTCAGCAGATTCCATCCCCATGGAGCCCAGCAAGCTGATATCGACTGGCTTGAAATTCTTGCTGCCAGCACAGCAGTCTGAAGTCAACCTGGGATGCTGGAGCTTGGTGAGGGGAGGGGCATCTGCCATTACTGAGGCTTGAGTAGGAGGTTTTCCCCTCACAGTGTAAACAAAGCCACTGGGAAGTTCGAAGTGGGCAGAGCCCATCACAGCTCAGCAAAGCCCCTGTAGCCAGACTGCCTCTCTAGATTCCTTCTCTCTGGGCAGGGCATCCCTGAAAGAAAGGCAGCAGCCAGCAGCCCCAGTCAGGGGATTATAGAAAAAAGTCCCATCTCCCTGTGATAGAGCACCTGGGAGAAGGGGCGGCTGTGGGCACAGCTTCAGCAGACTTAAACATTCCTGCCTGCCAGCTCTGAAGGGACCAGCAGATCTCCCAGCAAAGCACTTGTGCTCTGCTAAGGGACAGACTGCCTCCTCAAGTGAGTTCCTTAACCCCGTGCCTCCTGACTGGGAGACACCTCCCAGCAGGAATCAACAGATACCTCATACAGGAGAGCTCTGGCTGGCATCTGACGGGCGCCTCTCTGGGATGAAGCTTCCAGAGGAAGGAAGAGGCAGCAATCTTTGCTGCTCTGCAGCCTCCACTGGTGATACCCAGGCAAACAGGATCTGGAGTAGACCTCCAGCAAACTCCAGCAGACCTGCAGCAGAGGGGCCTGACTGTTAGAAGGAAAACTAACAAACAGAAAGGAATAGCATCAACATCAACAAAAAGGACGTCCACACAAAAACCCCATCTGAAGGTCACCAACATCAAAGACCAAAGGTAGATAAATCCATGAAAAGGAGGAAAAACCATCACGAAAAGGCTGAAAATTCCAAAAATCAGAGTGCCTCTTCTCCAAAGGATCACAACTCCTCGCCTGCAAGAGAACAAAACTGGACAGAGAATTGAGTTTGACGAATTGACAGAAGTAGACTTCAGAAGGTGGGTAATAACAAACTCCTTTGAGCTAAAGGAGCATGTTCCAACCCAATGCAAGGAAGCTAAGAACCTTGAAAAAAGGTTAGAAGAATTGCTAACTAGAATAACCAGTTTAGAGAAGGACATAAATGACCTGATGGAGCTGAAAAACACAGCATGAGAACTTTGTGACGCATACACAAGTATCAATAGCCGAATCAATCAAGCAGAAGAAACAATATCAGAGACTGAAGATCAACTTCATGAAATAAAGCAAGAAGACAAGATTAGAGAAAAAAAGAATGAAAAGGAATGAACAAAGGCTCCAAGAAATATGGGACTATATGAAAGTGACGGGGAGAATGGAACCAAGTTGGAAAACACTCTGCAGGATATTATCCAGGAGAACTTCCCCAACCTAGCAAGACAGGCCAACATTCAAATTCAGGAAATACAGAGAACACCGCAAAGATACTCCTCGAGAAAAGCAACCCCAAGACACGTAATCGTCAGATTCACCAAGGTTGAAATGAAGAAAAAATTGTTACCGGCAGCCAGAGAGATAGGTCGGGTTGCCCCCAAAGGGAAGCTCATCAGACTAACAGCGGATCTCTCTGCAGAAATCCTACAAGCCAGAAGAGAGTGGGGGCCAATATTCAACATTCTTAAAGAAAAGAATTTTCAATCCAGAATTTCATATCCAGCCAAACTAAGCTTCATAAGCAAAGGAGAAATAAAACCCTTTACAGACAAGCAAATGCTGAGAGATTT
Organism: Homo sapiens; assembly: GCF_000001405.40. Taxonomy (NCBI): domain Eukaryota; kingdom Metazoa; phylum Chordata; class Mammalia; order Primates; family Hominidae; genus Homo; species Homo sapiens. Next base: position 85,926,548 of record NC_000011.10, read on the forward strand.
TGTCACCACCAGGCCTGCCTTACAGGAGCTCCTGAAGGAAGTACTAAATATGGAAAGGAAAAGCCAGTACCAGCCACTGCAAAAACATACCAAATTGTAAAGACCATCGACACTATGAAGAAACTGCATCAACTAATGGGCAAAATAACCAGCTAGCATCATAATGACAGGATCAAACACATAACAATATTAACCTTAAATGTAAATGGGCTAAATGCCCCAATTAAAAGACACAGACTGGCAAATGGGATAAAGAGGCAAGACCTATCAGTGTGCTGTATTCAGGAAACCCATCTCACGTGCAAAGATACACATAGGCTCAAAATAAAGGGATAGAGGAATATTTACCAAGCAAATGGAAAGTAAAAAAAAAAAAAAAAAAAAAAAAAGCAGGTGTTGCAATCCTAGTCTCTGATAAAATACACTTTAAACCAACAAAGATCAAAAAAGACAAAGAAGGGCATTACATAATGGTAAAGGGATCAATTCAACCAGAAGAGCTAACTATTCTAAATATATATGCATCCAATACAGAAGCACCCAGATTCATAAAGCAAGTTCTCATAGACCTATGAAGAGACTTACACTCCCACACAATAATAGTGGGAGACTTTAACATCCCACTGTCAATATTAGACAGATCAATGAGACAGAAAATTAACAAGGATATTCAGGACTTGAACTCTGCTCTGGACAAAGTGGACCTAACAGACAGCTACAGAACTCTCCACCCAAAATCAGCAGAATATACATTCTTCTCAGCACCACATTGCACTTATTCTAAAGTTGACCACATAATTGGAAGTAAAACACTCCTTAGCAAATGCAAAAGAACGGAAATCGTAACAAGCAGTCTTTCAGACCACAGTGCAATCAAATTAGAACTCAGGATTAAGAAACTCACTCAAAATCACACAACTACATGGAAACTGAACAACCTGCTCCTGAATGACTACTGAGTAAATAACGAAATTAAGGCAGAAATAAATAAGTTCTTTGAAACCAATGAGAACAAACACACAATCTACCAGAATCTCTGGGACACAGCTAAAGCAGTGTTTAGAGGGAAATTTGCAGCACCAGATGCCCACAGGAGAAAGTAGGAAAGATCTAAAATCGTCACCCTAACATCACAATTAAAAGAACTAGAGAAGCAAGAGCAAACAAATTCAAAAGCTAACAGAAGACAAGAAATAACTAAGATCAGAGCAGAAATGAAGGAGATAGAGACACGAAAAACCCTTCAAAATACAAAAATTAGCTGGGCATGGTGGCATGTGCCTGTAATCCCAACTACTCAGGACGCTGAGGCAGCAGAATCGCTTGAACCAGGGAGGCGGAGGTTGCAGTGAGCTGAGATTGCACCACTGCACTCCATCCTTGCGACAGAGCAAGACTCCGTCTCAAAAAAAAAAAAAAATTTAATGAATCCAGGAGGTGTTTTTTTGAAAAGGTTAACAAAATAGATAGACTGCTAGCTGGGCTAACAAAAAAGAAAAGAGAGAAGAATCAAAAGACACAATAAAAAACGATAAAGGAGATATCACCTCTGATCTCACAGAAATACAAACTACTATCAGAGCATACTATAAACACCTCTATGCAAACAGACTAGAAAATCTAGAAGAAATGGATACATTCCTGGACACATACACCTTCCCAAGACTAAACCAGGAAGTTGAATCCCTGAATAGACCAATAACAAGTTCTGAAATTGAGGCAGTCATTAATAGCCTACCAGCCAAAACAAGCCCAGGACCAGACTGATTCACAGCTGAATTCCACCACAGGTACAAAGAGGAGTTGGTACCATTCCTTCTGAAACTATTCCAAACAATAGAAAAAGAGGGACTCCTCCCTAACTCACTTAATGAGGCCAGCATCATCGTGATACCAAAACCTGGCAGAGACAACACAAAAGAAAATTTCAGACCAATATCCCTGATGAACATCGATGCGAAGACCCTCAGTAAAATACTGGCAAACCGAATCCAGCAGCACATCAAAAAGCTTATCCACCATGATCAAGTCAGCTTCATCCCTGGGATGCAAGGCTGGTTCAACATATGCTAATCAATAAACTTAATCCATCACATAAACAGAACCAATGACAAAAACCACATGATTATCTCGATAGATGCAGAAAAGACCTTCAATAAAATTCAACACCCATTCATGCTAAAAACTCTCAATAAACTAGGTATTGATGAAACGTATCTCAAATAATAAGAGCTATCTATGACAAACCCACAGCCAATACCATACTGAAGGGGCAAAAGCTGGAAGCATTCCCTTTGAAAACCAGCACAAGACAAGGATGCCCTCTCTCACCACTCCTATTCAGCATAGTATTGGAGGTTCTGGCCAGGGCAATCAGGCAAGAGAAAGAAATAAAGGGTATTCAAATAGGAAGAGAGAAGTCAAATTGTCTCTGTTGGCAGATGACATGATTGTATATTTAGAAAACCCCATCCTCTCAGCCCAAAATCTCTTTAAGCTGATAAGCAGCTTCAGCAAAGGCTCAGGATATAAAATCAATGTGCAAAAATCACAAGCATTCCTATACACCAATAATAGACAAACAGCCAAATCATGACTGAACTCCTATTCACAATTGCTACAAAGAGAATAAAATACCTAGGAATACAACTTACAAGGGATGTGAAGGACCTTTTCAAGGAGAACTATAAACCACTGCTCAAGGAATTAAGAGAGGACACAAAAAAAAAAATGGAAAAACATTCCATGCTCACGGATAGGAAGAATCAATATTGTGAAAATGGCCATACTGCCCAAAGTAATTTATAGATTCAATGCTATTTTTATCAAGCTACCATTGACTTTCTTCACAGAATTAGAAAAAAAAACTACTTTAAATTTCATATGGAACCAAAAAAGAGCCCGTATAGCCAAGACAATCTTAAGCAAAAAGAACAAAGCTGGAGGCATCACACCACCTGATTTCAAACTATACTACAAGGCTACAGTAACTAAAACAGCACGGTACTAGTACCAAAACAGATATATAAACCAATGGAACAGAACAGAGGCTTCAGAAATAACACCATACATTTACAACCATGTGATCTTTGACAAACCTGACAAAAACAAGCAATGGGGAAAGGATTCCCTATTTAATAAAAGGTGTTGGGAAAACGGGCTAGTCATATGCAGGAAACTGAAACTGGACCCCTTCCTTACAGCTTATACAAATATTAACTCAAGATGGATTAAAGACTTAAAGGTAAGACATAAAATCATAAAAGCCCTAGAAGAAAACCTAGCAATACCATTCAGGACATAGGCATGGGCAAAGACTTTGTGACTAAAACACCAAAAGCAATGGCAACAAAAGCCAAAATTGACAAATGGTATTTAATTAAACTAAAGAGCTTCTGCACAGCAAAAGAAACTATCATCAGAGTGAACAGGCAACCTATAGAATGGGAGAAAATTTTTGTAATCTATCCATCTGACAAAGGGCTAATATCCAGAATCTACAAGGAACTTAAACAAATTTACAAGAAAAAAACAACCCCATCAAAAAGTGGGCAAAGGATATGAACAGACACTTCTCAAAAGAAGACATTTATGCAGCCAACAAACATATGAAAAAAAAAAAGCTCATCATCACTGGTCATTAGAGAAATGCAAATCAAAACCACAATTAGATACCATCTCACACCAGTTAGAATTACGATCATTAAACAGTCAGGAAACAACAAGTGCTGGAGAGGATGTGGAGAAATAGAAATTATTTTACACTGTTGGTGGGAGTATAAATTAGTTCAACTATTGTGGAAGAGAGTGTGGCGATTCCTCAAGTATCTAGAACCAGAAATACCATTTAACCCAGCAATTCCATCACTTGGTATATACCCAAAGGATTATAAATCATTCTACTATAAAGACACATGCACATGTATGTTTATTGCAGCACTGTTCACAATAGAAAGACTTGGAACCAACCCGAATGCCCATCAGTGATAGGCTGGATAAAGAAAACGTGGCACATATACACCATGAAATACTACGCAGTCATAGAAAAGGATGAATTCATGTCCTTTGCAGGGACATGGATGAAGCTGAAAACCATCATTCTCAGCAAACTAACACAGGAACAGAAAAACAAACACCGCACGTTCTCACTCATAAGTGGGAGGTGAACAATGAGAACACATAGACACAGGGAGGGGAGCGTCACACACTGTGGCCTGTCGGTGGGTGGGGGGACTAGGGGAGGGATAGTATTAGGAGAAATTCCTAATGTAGATGACGGGTTGATGGGTGCAGCAAATCACCATGGCACATGTATACCTATGTAACAAACCTGCACGTTCTGTGAGGTATTGCTCCTCACAAGATGACATTAGCTGCAGGGGTCTGCCCACCGACCCAGACCCAAACGATGGATGAATAAAACGTACACTGACACACAGATACTCTGTTTCGCCAGTCTTGCTGAGTGTCCAACCGCCTACACACCAAGAGAGGTTTGTGACGTGGCCGGTCCTGAGCAGCCCGCACTTCAGGCATTTATTTAGTATAAAATTAACAACAGAAGCTTTGAATAAACACACTTGTGGATAATTAACATGGTTAAGAGAGTAGTTCTACTAATGATTAAAGCTCAGGTACTGCAGTTTAAAGTAAATACCATTGGGGGCAATATCCTTGGTCGACCTCCCTCCGAGAGGGCCATCTGGCTCAAAGGTTAGTTAATGGAGGTAGGGTAAACAGACATAACTGGGGAAGCCTCTATTGTCCCTAGTATTTACCCTATGACCTAATGCTCTAAGGTAAGAACCCACTGCCTTCAGCCTGTTCAATTATTACAATCTATGTAATCTTGCAGCCTTCCAAAAAGGTTTGTGACTATTCTCTAAAACTTTCCCTAATATTTCCCTTTAATATTTCTGCCACTATCCTGAGTGAATCCCAACAGCTCTGCACATGTATCCCAGAACTTAAAGTATAAAAAAAGAGAATATTATTATAAATATGTTAAAGAAAGCAAGGAAAAGATGAATAAAACAGGTAAAAATATGAAGAATTTCAACAGAGCATTAGACTCTATAAAGAAGAACCCAACGGACATTCTAGAAATCAAAATATACAAAATCAAAAAGTAATAAATCAGTCTAATGGCAGACTGGATATGGAAGAAACCAGAAATAGTGAAATTTGGGATAAGTCAATATCCAATATCCAAAAATAGTCAAACACAATTCCAGAAAGAATAAAGAATAGAAAGAGCAGAACACAGTGGTAATGAACATGTGCAATTAAGCAGTCCAACATCCGCTAACTGCAGTTAGTGTTCAAGGAAAAGCGGTAGTAGGGATAAAGGAGAAGAAATATTTGAAGACATAATGGCTGAGTTTACCAAAACTGATTAAAGACAATCTACAGATTCAAGTTCTAAAGAACTGACACATGGAATCTAAGCATAATGCTGTTAGCAGTGGCCAATCTGTATGGGTCTGCAGCAAACTGAATTCTTGCCTCCTCAGAAGAAAGAATTCAACCAAGAGGCATAAGGCAAAGGGAGAGACCAGGGCAAGTTTTAGAGCAGGAGTATTAAAAAGTTTAGAGCAGGAATGAAAGGAAGAAAAGTACACTTGGAAGAGGGCCTAGCAGGTGACTTGAGAAATCAAGTGGATGGTGTGACCTTCGACTTGGAGTTTTACATGCTGGCATGCTTCTGGGGTCTTGCGTTACTTCTCCCCTGGTTCTTCTCATGGGCTGAGCTGACCGCATGTGCAGTGGCTTGCCAGCCCTTGGGAGGGGCTGCATGTCCAATGTGTTAACAGGAGTTGTATGCATGCTCACTTGAGGCACTCTTACCTTACCAGTTGAATGTTCCTAGAAGGTCATATAGCAGTTAAAGTCCCCCATTTTGCCTCTCAATGTACATGCTTGAGCCCACTCCCCCAACTACTGAGATCTTATCAGGAAGCTGCTGATCACGAGTTCCAGGTGTTTCTATCTATTGGGAGACCGCCTTTCCCTGGCACCAGTTGTAACCAATATTTATTTATTTATTTGTTTATTTATTTGTTTATTTAGAGATGGAGTCTGGCTCTATCACCTAGGCTGGAGTGCAGCAGCGCAATCTCAGCTCACTGCAACCTCCACCTCCTGGATTCAAGCGATTCTCCTGCCTCAGCCTCCCAAATAGCTGAGATTACAGGCATGAGCCACCACGCCCTGCTACTTTTTTTGGATTTTTAGTAGAGCCCGGGTTTCACCGTGTTGGCCAGGCGGGTCTCAAATTCCTTAGCTCTGGTAATACGCTGGCCTCGACCTCCCAAAGTGCTGGGATTACAGGCATGAGCCACTGTGCCCTGCCAATTATTATTTTAAAGAGACAGTTAAAACCGCCTGACCATCACTTGATGGTTGCCTGATGTTCCTGGTGGAGTGGGGACCCTCTCCTGCCTGCTAATGTCTGCCTGACTACCTACTGTAACAATGCCATATCTTGAAAGGGGGTCCTGATACAGAGAATGAGACATTTGGCCAAAACTAAGCAAATCTGAATAAATGTATAAACTTTAGACAAGAACAACACATATTGCAATATTGGTTCATTAATTGTGTGAAAAGTACCATACTAAAGACAAAGATTAATACAGGACAAACTGAGTGTGGCGTATATGAGATCACTGTACGTCCCATCATTGTCTTTTGTAAATCTAAAACCTTGAAGATAATAGTCTGTTTATAAATAAATAAAGTCACAGACTGCAAAAAGATACACCATGGGCCAGGTGTGGAGCACTTTGGAAAGTTGAAACCAGAGGATCACTTGAGTCCCCAGGAGTTCGAGACCAGCCTGGGAAACATAGGGAGACCCCCTTCTCTACATAGAATAAATTTTTAAAATTAGCTCGAAGTGGTGGAGTGTGACTGTGGTCCCAGCTTCTCAGGAGGCTGAGGTGTCAGGATCACCTGAGCATGGGAGGTTAAGGCTATGACTATACCACTGCACTACAGCCCAGGTGATGGAGTAAGACCCTGTCTCAGAAAAAAAAAAAGGATACACCATGCAAACATCAACCAAAATGAAGACAGTTTGACCAAACTAATATCAGACAAAGTAGACTTTAAGGCAGGAAGTATTAAGATTAAAAAAAAATGAAGAAAAATATAATAGTAAATGAGCCAGTTCATCAGAATGACATAACAATCCTAGATTTGTATGCACATAATAAACATGGTCTCAAAATACATAAAGCAAAGTTTACCAAAGTAAAAAAGATACAGTAAATTGTATGTTATATATATTTCATAATAAAAAAGGAAAAAGAAAAAAGAGACAAATACAGACTTGAAGATCTTACTGCACCTCTCTCAACAAGTGATAAATCAATTCGACAAAATTAATATAAGTTAACGACTGTATAACGTTCATTCCTTTCATGTGGACATGAAACATTTCCAAAAATAGACCACATGCAAGTCATAAAGAAGTCACAACAAATACTCAGAAAAATTGTAATCACATAGAATGTGTTCTCTGACCACTGTGGAATTTTATTTTTTTATTTTTTTTTTTGAGATGGAGTTTCACTCTGTCGCCTAGGCTGGAGTGCAGTGGCATTATCTCGGCTCCCTGCAACCTCCGCCTCCCGGGTTCAAGTGATTCTCCTGCCTCAGCCTCCCGAGTAGCTGGGATTATAGGCGCCTGCCACCATGCCAAGCTAATTTTTGTATGTTTAGTAGAGACGGGGTTTCACCATGTTGCCCAGGCTGGTCTCAAACTCCTGACCTCAGGTGATCCACCGCCTCGGCCTTCTAAAGTTCTGGGATTACAAGTGTGAGCCTCGGCACCCAGCCCACGGTGAAATTTAAAAACAACAACAACAAAAACCCTTCAAATAATTAGAAAGTAAGCAGAACACTTTTTAATAACTCATGAGAAAATATTTTGAATAATGAAAATATGACATGTCAAAACCTTTTGGATCCAGCAAAAGTTGTGTTTAAAGACAAATATATAACTTTAAATTCATGTATTAAAAAAGAAAGGCTGAAAAATCTCAAGCTGTTACCTTAAGGATTGTGAACCCCGAAAATTTCAGGCAGGTCTCAGTTAATTTAGAAAGTTCATTTTGAGTGCGGAGTTCAGGAAGCTCGGACCGAAGGCCGCCACTGGGCGGGCGCCCAGCCTCCCGCCCGCGTCCGCGCCTCGAGCCCCACACGCTCTGGCGGCCGCCGCGCCAGCGTCTGGGAAGGCCAAGCTGACGCACCTGGGGAAGGCGATCCTGGCAGGCGGCCTGGCGGGCGGCATTGAGATCTACATCACCTTCCCCACCCAGTACGTGAAGACGCAGTGGCAGCTGGACTAGCCCTCGAACCCGCCGCGGTACCAGAGCATCGGGGAGTGGGTGTGGCAGACAGTCCGCAGCCATGGCGTTCTGGGCCTGTACCGCAGTCTCAGCTCCCTGCTCTACGGCTCCATCCCCAAAGCGGCCGCCAGCTTCGGAATGTTCTAGTTCCTCGGCAACCACCTGCGGGATTCCCAGGGACGGCTGGACAGCACGCGCGGGCTGCTGTGCTGCCTGGGCGCTGGAGTGGCTGAGGCCGTGGTGATCGTGTGCCCCATGGAGACCATCAAGGTGAGGTTCATCCACGACCAGACCTCCCCAAACCCCAAGTACCGAGGATTCTTCTACGGGTTAGGAAGATTGTGCGGGAACAAGGGCTGAAGGGGATGTATCAGAGCCTCACGGCCACCGTACTGAAACAGGGCTGGAACCAGGCCATCCGCTTCTTCGTCATGACATTCCCTGCACAACTGGTACCGAGGAGACAACCCCAACAAGCCCATGAACCCGCTGATCACTGGGGGCTTCGGAGCCATCGTGTGCACAGCCAGCGTCTTTGGAAACACTCCTCTGGACGTGATTAAGACCCGCAGGTAGGGCCTGGAGGCGCACAAATACCGGAACTTGATGGACTGTGGCTGGCAGATCCTGAGGAAGGAGGAGCTCAAGGCATTCTACAAGGGCATTGTCCCGCGCTGGGCCAGGTCAACCTGGATGTGGCCATAGTGTTTATCATCTATGATGAGGTGGTGAAGCTGCTCAACAAAGTGGAAGACGGGCTAAGCCCAGTGGGGCCACTGGTGCCCCAGGCACCTCCAGAGGCCCCACCACTCTTGTCTCACATGATTCCAGTGCAGTAGTGCCAAAAGGCTCCTTTCCACATCCCTTGAGCTCTGTGACCTGGTCTGTGCATTGTGGCCGTCAAGTCCATGTGTCCTATAGCGCCGTGTCTCCCCTGTGGTCTCTGTGTGACACCACCACTGTGTCCCGCTGTCTGGCCCAGCCATGCTTAGTATGCATCTGGCCTGTGAACCTGTGCCCACTTGTCCATGTGCTTACTATGAGCCTGTGCCTGTGTTTCATGTTCTGTGTCATGTGACCCTGTGCCCGCCTCCCAGGGTGCCCTGTGGCCTGGGTCCTTGGCCCTGTAGCCCTGGCCCGGTCCCAGTCTGGTGCTTTCCACCCTCCACTGGCCTATCACCGCTGCCTCCGGGCCTCCCCCTGGCTTCTCCGCATTCTAGAGTCTGCAGCACCCCCCTTCTCCCGCCATTGGCCTTAACTGGCCCTTGGGCCCTTCCTCCACCCAGGACAGGGTGGCACCCACCACTCTCAGGACCACCGTGCAGAATTTTAAAAAAAGGTATTTTGCCAAGGTTGAGGACACACACCCATGACACAGCCTCAGGAAGTCCTGATGACGTGTGCCCAAGGTGGTCAGGGCAGTTTGGTTTTGTATATTTTAGGGAGACATGAGACATCAATCAACATATGTAAGATGAACATTGGTTCTGTCTGGAAAGGTGGGACAACTTGAAGCAGGGAGGGGGCTTCCAGGTCATGGTAGATAAGAGACAAATGGTTGCATTCTTTTGAGTTTCTGATTAGCCTTTCCAAAGGAGGCAATCAGATGTGCATTTATCTCAGTGAGTAGAGGGGTGACTGAATAGAATGGGAGGCAGGTTTGCCCTAAGCAGTTCACAGCTTGACTTTTCCCTTTAGCTTTGTGATTTTGGGGGCCCAAGATATTTTCCTTTCACAGGATCTAGGAAAAAAAAATAAATCCAAAGTAAAGGTAAGAAAATACAGATGAGAACACTGTTTCAGGAAAAACTGTCGCAAACAGTGTTTTTCCTTTACTTGCCCACCACAACAATCAACACAGAGGACCTCGTTTTAAAATTTTTATATTTTTTTACCCAAAACAAAAATGGTCAATAATACAGAAGACTTCTGTGACCAAATGTGGGGTTTTTTGCCACATGCCGAGCAGTAGACACCAGCTGGGTGTTCTCCAATTCAGTTCCAACACGATCTACCTGGATATGGTGTCAGAACCCATAGAGTGAGGGGGCTCAGTCCCCAAGACTGCCCCGCTTAAGCCCCACAATCAGAGTGGCAGGGAAACATTAGACTCCTGCCTTGGGGCAAGTGAAAGGAAGACAGGAGAGAGATTCTGTTTTCTGAGGCCGCTGGTTGGGTCTAACACATCCAACATTATAACAACAAAAGATTGTAACAAGGTGTTCATAGAACGGGTAATTTTAAAAAAAGAAAAAAGACCGCAACGAGGGATATGGGAATGATGAACCAACTATATATCATAACACCACAAGCAGAAACCAATTAAAGAGAAAGCTGACATACACAGGAGAAAATCAACAAACCCAAAAGTTGGTTCTGATAAACTCTAGTGCTGCCTGATGGGTTCATCTTACCTGCTGCCCAGAAAGCCCAACACACTGAGAACAGCAGGTTTTTTGCAGCAAAGAAAGAGTTTAATTAGGCCGGGCATGGTGGTTCACGCCTGTAATCCCAGCACTTTGGGAGGCCAAGGCGGGTGGATCACCTGAGGTCAGGAGTTTGAGACCAGCCTGGCCAACATGGTAAAACCCTGTCTTTACTAAAAAGACAAAAATTAGCCAGGCATGGTGGCACATGCCTGTAGTCCCAGCCACATGGGAGGCTGAGGCAGGAGAATCTCTTGAACCCGGGAGGCAGAGGTTGTGGTGAGCCAAGATCACACCATTACATTCCAACCTGGGCAACAGAGCAAGACTCTGTCTTAAAAAAAAAAAAGAAAAGAAGAAGAGTTTAATTAATGCAGGGCTAGCCAAGCAGAAGATGGACTTTATTACTCAAATCAGCCTCCCAGACAACTCAGAGGCTACGGTTTTTTGGATAATTTGGTGAGCAGGGGGCTAGGGTATGAGTGCTGCTGATTGGTTAGAGATTAAATTGTAGAAATGTAGAAACCAGTCCTTGTGCGCTGTGTCAGCCTCTGGGTGGGGGCCACAAGAGTCATGAGCCACAGGTCCAGGTGGAGTCAGTCAGTAGCCAGAGTGCAAAAGTCTGAAAAAACATCTCAAAAGACCAATCTTAGGTTCTACAATAGTGATGTCATCTATAGGAGCAATTGGAGAAGTCACAAATCTTGTGACCTCTGGTCACATGACTCCTGAGCAGTAAGGGATTATAGAAAAGCAAGCTAGGGAACAATGCTGGTTATCTTTACACCTACATTTTAGTAGAATTCAATCTCCCCTCATAACCCTAATCTTGTGACTTTTCATTAGTCTTACAAAGCTGGTTTCAGTCCCAGAACAAAGAGGGGATGAGTTTTAGGGAGGGACTATTATTATTTTTGCTTCAATGCTAAACTGTAAACCAAATTTCTCCCATTGTTAGCTTGGCCTATGCCCAGGAATAAGCAAGGCCAGCCTGCCTGTGAGTCTAGAAGCAGGATGAAGTCAGCCATGCTAGACGTCTCTCGCTGTCATAATCTTTGCAAAGGCAGCTTCAGTTCAAAACCAGCCTGGGCAACATAGTGAAACCCTGTCTCTACAAAAATTTAAACATTAGCTGGGTGTGGTGGTGCATGCCTGTAGTTTGTTTTAGCTACTTAGGAGGTTGAGGCAGAAGATTGCTTGAGCCCAGGAGTTTGAGGTTACAGTAACCTATGATCATGCCACTATACCCCAGCCTGGGTGACAGAGGGGGACCCTGTCTCTAAAAAAGTAAAAATAGGCCAGGAGCAGTGGCACACCTGTATTCCCAACACTTTGGGAGGCTGAGGTGGGACGATTGCTTGAGCCTAGGAGTTTGAGACCATCCTGGGAAACACAGTGAGACCCCATCTCTACAAAAATAAAAATTAAAAAATTAGCCAGGCCTCGGTGGCATGTGCCTGTGGTTCCAGCCACTTGGGAGTCTGAGGTGAGAGGACTGCTTGAGCCCTGGAGGTTGAGGCTGCAGTGAGCTATGATCATGACATTGCACTCCAGCCTGGGTGACAGAGCAAGACTTTGTCTGAAAAAAAAAAAACAAAGTAAAAGTAAAAAAAGAAAGGAAAATGTTGAAGAAACTAAACATCGACAAGAATACAGAGCACCTGAAACTTTCATATAATTGGTGGCAAGACTGTAACTGGGAATGAACACTGAAATATGTTTTGCCAATATTTATTAAACCTGAACATGTATATACATATACTGCATGACACGGCAATTCCACTTTGGGCTTTATATCCAACTGAGATGAATGCTTATGTTCACCAGAAGACATGTACAAGACTGTTCCCAGCAGCTGTAATGATAATAGCCAAAAACTGGAAACAACCCCAATAACTATCAGTAATAGAACCTGTAAGTCAATTGTGCTATTCTCACTACTAAGCACTCAATAAAAAAAAAAAAAAGTAAATTGTGCTTAGTCACACTATGGAATATCACACAGCATAAAGAAGAATAAACTACTGACACGTGTAGCTATAATATACAAGTGAATCTTACAGATGTAATATTGAAAGAAGGCAGACATACAGTATGATTCAATTTAATAAAGCTCAAAAAGAAGACAAGCAACCAATCTATGATGATAGAAGTCAGAACAGTGGCTATCTTTGTGGTGGGTAATGACTAGGATGAGACATGAAGGGCTTTTCTGGTAATCTTGATCTGAGTGGTAATTAACCTGGGTGTGCTCACTTTGTAAACATTCATCAAGCAGGACTCTTAAGGTTTGTGTATTTGACGGGTGTATCTTACACTTCAAAATGGAGTGAAGTTGCCATTTTTTAAAGAATGGTAAACTTGTTATAGGTAAGATTTATCTCTATTTTTCTCAGGAAAAAAAAAAAACTTACTTTCCACTGGGACAAATCAAACAGCTTCTAGTAACCAACAAAAACAGCCTATGTGGCAACTCACTGATTTCAGCAGGTCAACAGAAATTGATTTTTTCTCTCACACTTGGAGAGTTCGGATCATGATTTTAAAGCAAGCCAGTCATAACATGTTAAGAATCCCACCTAATTTGTTAGTTGTGGCAGTTTTTCCTTCACAGTGTGAATTTGAGTCAGAAGAAAATATCAAGTGACTATATAAGGAAAATGGCTGTGCTTCCAAGACAAGGATACCCTCTCTCACCACTCCTATTCAACATAGTATTGAAGTTCTGCAAGGGCAATTAGGCAAGAGAAAGAAATAAAGGGTATTCAAATAGGAAGAGAGGAAGTCAAATTGTCTCTGTTTGCAGATGACATGATTGTATATTTAGAAAACCCCATCCTCTCAGCCCAAAATCTCCTTAGCTGCTAAGCCACTTCAGCAAAGTCTCAGGATACAAAATCAATGTGCAAAAATCACAAGCCTTCCTATACACCAATAATAGACAGAGAGCCAAATCATTACGGAACTCCCATTCACAATTGCTACAAAGAATAAAATACCTAGGAATACAACTTACAAGGGATGTGAAGGACATTTTCAAGGAGAACTACAAACCACTGCTCAAGGAATTAAGAGAGGACACACAAAAAAAATGGAAAAACATTCCATGCTCATGGATAGGAAGAATCAATATTGTGAAAATGGCCATACTGCCCAAAGTAATTTATAGATTCAGTGCTATACCCATGAAGCTACCATTGACTTTCTTCACAGAATTTTAAAAAACTACTTTAAATTTCATATGGAACCAAAAAAGAGCCCGTATAGCCAAGACAATCCTAAGCAAAAAGAACAAAGCTGGAGGCATCATACTACCTGACTTCAAACTATACTACAAGGCCACAGTAACCAAAACAGCATGGTACTAGTACCAAAACAGATATATAGACCAATGGAACGAACAGAGTCTTCAGAAATAACATCACACATCTACAACCATTTGCTCTTTGACAAAGCTGACAAAAACAGGAAATGGGGAAAGGATTCCCTATTTAATAAATGGTGTTGGAAAAACTGGCTATCCATATTCGGGAAACTGAAACTGGACCCCTTCCTTACACCTTATACAAAAATTTACTCAAGATGGATTAAAGATTTAAATGTAAGATGTAGAATCATAAAAACCCTAGAAGGAAACCTAGACAATACCATTCAGGACATAGGCACACCCTAATTGAATGGCTGATGGTGGCCATACAAATGGTATGGAATGACACCAGAGAAATACCAGAAACTGTGAGTAAATGGCAGTTGTATACAGATTTGGTGCAAGTAATTTGGGAGATGGGTATATGGCAGGCTATGTTCGATCTGAATACCTGAGGGCCAGATGATGAACGCTTTACCTCCCACATGAGGGACCTTGTATTGGGCTCTGCCCCGCCAAGTGCCTTCGGCTCCCTGGCCGCTCTCCTCACTCCATATGTGGGGTGCCACATACTTGAAGTGACTACTGCCATGGCGGCCCTTGGGGAAGCAAAGGGCCATTAGTGGGACCTAGGAATCTACACCATAAAAAGGGGAACAGTACCCCTTCTGCAGGGTGCCACCTCATGGGACAAAAAGGGGCCCCAGTGGATGACCCACATGCCACCAGATATAGATTGATTTGATTTTGGATAGGGTTGACCAAGAGAAAATTGATAGGCAACCCAATGAAGTGCCGTTAACTTTGTAGAGGCAACTGTCCCTGGAGCAGCAATTCCAGAAAATGCCCAAGAGGTGGCAGGATGATGCTGCTCAGCTCAGTACCCCCGGCCACTCCATCTCAAGCACTACTTGCAGATGGATGGAGGTATAGAAATTTTTGTGTTTGATAAGGGAACTGGCCGAGGTGCTCGGCTTGGGGGAACACTGGACAACTGGAGGCCACAAGTGGAATTGACAATCCACTGGTCCCCCACCAACATACAGCGGGTGCTGGTGCTGGTAGACACTGGCACAGATTGTACTCTCGTCTGTGGGAACCTGGATAAATTTCCAGGCAAGGCTGCATATATAGATGGCTATAGAGGTCAGTCAGTGAAAGTGAAACCTGCATCTTTGCACCTTGGCATTGGCTGCTTGGCTCCCCACTTATAAACTATGTTTCTCCCATACCTGAATACATTTTGGGGGTGGATACTTTACATGGCTTGGCTTTACAAACCACGGATGGGGAATTCAGACTCCAAGTATGTGGGGTTAAGCTGGTACTCCACAGACATACACATCACTAGCTCCATGTCCTGCCACAACCCTTATGGATTACTTCCACGTGTCAATACCACTTGCCAGGTGAGCATACAGAGATAACTGAGACTATTAAGAAGTTAGAAAAGGTGCAGATAATGTGTAACACCTACAGACCCTACAATTTTCCAGTATGGCCAGTCAAGAAGCCTGATGGAACTTGGCAGATGACAGTGGATTATTGAGAACTAAATAAAGTAATACCCCTTTTACATGCAGCTGTACCCTCTATCATGGATTTGATGGACCCCTTGACAATGAAGTTGGGAGAGTACCACTATGTGGTGGACTTGGCCAATGCATTCTTCTCAGTTGACATTGCTCCAGAGAGCCAGGAAGTTTGCCTTCACATGGGAAGGGCAACAGTGGACTTTCACAGTGCTGCCGCAGGGCTATATGTGTAGCCCCATCATACATCATGGTCTCCTTGCCACGGATTTAGCCGCCTGGAAGTGTCCAAAGGGAATCCACCTATTCCATTATATTGATGATATTATGTTAACCTCTGATTCTCTTGCAGGTTCAGAAGTGGTGGCACCCCTTTTACAACAACATTTGGCAGCATGAGGTTGGGCAGTCAACAAATCCTAGGTCCAAGGGCCTGAACTGTCTGCCAAATTATTGGTAGTTATCTGCTTGGGTAAAACAAAGGCTATACCAGAGGCCATCACTGATAAAATTCAGGCATATACCCGGCCCACAACAATGAGGCAACTACAGACTTTTGTAGGCCTCTTGGGATATTGGTGGGCATTTGTACCCCATTTGGCTCAGATGGTAAAACCGTTGTGTCAGTTGACAAAAATGGGAACTACTTGGGATTGGGACAATGAGGCTGAGATGGCTTTTCTGGCAGCCAAGTGGGCCATACAGCAAGCACAGGCCCTACAAGTAATTGATCGGGGCGCCCATTTGAACTTGATGTGCGTGTGACCACAGATGCTTTTGGCAAGGCCTATGGCAGCACACAGAGGGCTTTAGAATACTGGCAGGCTTTTGGTCCCAACTTTGGAAGGAAGCTGAGCTCTGGTATTCATTGATAGGGAAGGAGTTAATAGCTGCATATGCCACCCTTCAGGCTTGTGAGAGTGTGATGGGACAAACAACAGTAGTCATGCCTGTAGATGACTTACCCAATAGTGGGGTGGGTACCTTCACGGGTAATGACCCTCCGGACTGGGATGGCACAGACATCTACCTTAGCAAAGTGGGGAGCCTAGTCAAAACAGCAGAGTACCCTGAGTAAAAGCCCCTTATCAGCAGAATTACAAGAAGTCTTGGGACCTGTAGTCCTGATGCAAGATAAGGCCATGGGTCAACCTGAGGCACCCTTAAACCCTGAGCCATTACCATTTAAAGAGGGGCAGGCACCTCTTCCATTCCCAGTGGAGCATGGTATAAAGATGGGTCCAGCCAGGGTGTTACTGCTGCCTGGACTGCTGTTGCGGTCCAGCCTAGTATTGATACCATATGGTTTGATACTGGAGGTGGACAAAGTCAGTGAGCTGAACTCGGGGCAGTATGGATGGTGATCACCAAGAAGGAGACACCTATGGTAATCTGCCCCAGTAGCTGGGCAGTTTACTGAGGCCTGACCTTGTGGTTAACTACCTGGAAGTTACACGATTGGCTAGTTGGTCACTGGCCCATTTGGGGCCAGGCCATGTGGCAAGACCTATGGAAAGAAGGATGACCTCCTCTGACCAGGTATGGGGACCAACAGTAACCTGTGGTTGCCTGCCCTAATGCCCCTAAAGGCAGGGGAACAAAAAACCTGGCTTTGAACATGGACCCTTCAAGTCCCCCATTGCCAATGGTTGGCTATGGTAGCCCTCTGGGGGGAGGGCCTACAGTATGATTTACATGTCACTCCTTGGGTATTCAATATATGGCTTCCATGATTGACCGTTCGTAGGGGAATGCTCAGGGAAGGAACCCCCCTCCTTGTATTGTCTGTATGGCCTATTGTGAGCTCCCCAGTGACTTTGGCACAAATACAGGACACAAAGAAACCATGGGGAGCTGAGAAGCTGTGGTACCATTGCCCAGGGCAGAAGCCCTTGGCGGCTGCATTGTTATCCAGAGATAAAAGGTTGGCTTGTATTTTGCCTCAGAAGAGTGATTTACCTGTGTGTGCCTGCTTTGTCATTCTGACCATAAGTTGACATGCTCTAACAGCATTGTGGAATGGGCTATGCTGAGATGACCAATGTGTCCAGCTGTTGGATCTGCACCACCCTTCCCGTAGCAGCTGCAGATGACTTGCCCTGGCACATACATCCAGCTTCTGCAGAAAACCAGACATGGTTAGAGACTTGGGGTCCCATGGCCAATGTTTGTAACATGACACAGCAAGCTTTGGCTAGGGAGTGCTATAAGACCCATGGCATTCCCACCCCCTGGCTGACCTGTAGCATCTATGATGGATGGGGCTGGTTAGTGGGGGTTAGCCCCCACCACAGGTACCATGATGTATAGAGCAGCTTTGGGTAATGCCACCATGGGGTGGTTACCCGCCATAGCCTGCACAAATATAATATATGTCACCACACCAAAGGTGCGGCAGAATAGGCAGCTTCAGCAAGGTCAGGCCCTAGTAGACTTTGTGCCCCCCCTGGGAGTTTATGGGTCTATGGAGACACGGGATGGTTCTTTTTGCCAGTGAACTGTCTGGCTGCTGTACCTGGGGGTGGCCTTTTGTGCCTGCCACTGATATTCCCACATTGCCTAGACACCCACATAACTGGGAAGAGCTACGTTCCTGGTTTTTGGGAGTGCAAAACCAGGTGGCTCTACCCCTTAGTATTAGCCATCCCTAGAGCAGGTGTCATAACTGTAGAAATGCAGGTTGCAGCCCTTGCTGAGCACACTGCTCAAGCCTTGAATTACACCCAAGTTGCCCTCCTTCTGTTGACAGATGAGGTTGATCAAACCAGGAAGGTAGCACTGCAGAACCAGATGGCCCTAGACATATTAACTGCTCCCCAAGGTGGCACCTGTGCTCTTTTGGGAACACAATGTTGTATCTTCATCCCTGGCATCTTTTGGGAACACAAAGTTGTACCTTTATCCGTGACAATCAACAAAACATAACAGCAGCTTTGCAAGGAGTTTCCCAGGAAATCAAGGCAGTTGAAAGCCTTACTGATGACCCCCA
This sequence comes from Homo sapiens, assembly GCF_000001405.40. Taxonomy (NCBI): domain Eukaryota; kingdom Metazoa; phylum Chordata; class Mammalia; order Primates; family Hominidae; genus Homo; species Homo sapiens. The sequence goes on from NC_000011.10 coordinate 85,945,216, forward strand.
ACAAACATGGTGGGCATCCCTGGGCTCTGGCCTATGCTGGACTCTTAATAATTATGGGTAGCATAGTGAGAATATTAATAGTGAGTTGAGTGAGTTGTTGCTCTCTGTATTGCTGCTGTGGCCTCTGGGTCCAGGGTTCTGCCCTGTGGGCACATCTCCCCACTAGGAGAACTCCCTCAGCCTAGGGGGTGGAGTATAAGGAAAATGGCTATGCTTCAGTCAGGAGTAGGCCAAGGCAGACATCCAGTACAGCACGACACAGCAGGTTTGGAGTGCAGGCACAAAATCTTGTGCACTATGTAATCACACTTATGTAGTCATTTAATGTAACCTGTTTGTGTGAGCCCATATGTGGCTTTAAGCCACTGTTGTCTGTGAGAAATATAATGGCACTGCTGACTCTGTAGGAGAGGGGGAGAGAATAAAGCCATGTCCCAACTGCCTATGGTCCCTCGAGTGTTCTTTCAGCTACCCACCACCCATCCACCAGCTCCCCTCAGACCTCAGCTCAGGTTGGAACCTGACAGACTAAAAAAGTCTTGTTTGCTGCCAAGAAGATGTCAGAGTTGAGAAGGCATCATTTGGAAAGGGAAGGGGAAAGAATGTCTGTATTAGTTCATTTGCATTGTTATAAAGGGATACCTGAGGCTGGGTAATTTATTTTAAAAAAGAGGTTTCATTGGCTCACAGTTCTGCAGGCTCTACAGGAAGTGTGATGCAAGCATCTGCTCTAGGCAAGGGTTGCAGGAAGTTTACACTCATGGTGGAAGGTGAAGGGGGACAGGTTTATCACATGGCAAGAGCAGAAGTGAGAGACAGAAGGGAGATGTTCCAGACTGTCTTAAACAACCAGATCTCATGTGACCTGAGCAAGAACTCACTTATCACCAAGGGGATGGTGTTAAACCATTCATGAGGCATTTGCCCTCATGATCCAATCACCTCCCACCAGGCCCTACCTCCAACATTGGAGATTACATTTCAACATGAGATTTGGAGGAGACAAACATTCAAACCATATCAATGTGCTTTCCTTCCATTAGTATCATTTCTTGTGTTTGAGATTTGCAGAATAGCAGTATCTCTAAAATAAATCTGCAGTTTTCTCAACAACTCAAATTCCAAACAGCTTACAATGGTAGCTTTGTTAATGACTACATTGCAAAGCAACTCTCAATAAAGTTGTACCACTGTGAACTTCCTATGGGTGTCACTCATTCAACAAAGCATTTATGGAACCAGTCAGGCACTGTTTGTAAGGTTTTAGGGATGCAAAATCAAACTGCTTCTTTCCTCAAATAGCTCATGGTCCACTAAGAGAGCCTGAGCCATCATTGCTGCTTTCAGTCTTCAGCAATAACAAGGAGGGAAGGAAGCAAGGAAAGTGGGAGAAGACAGGAAAAGCTATTCTAGGTGTGGTGGGTGAGGCTACCATGTGTTTAGCTCACACTGTTTTTAGTACCTTTAGTAATAGGCTTGGAAAAAGCAATTTAAGTAAAAATGAGTTTAGGAGGATTTTTATGTAGGTTTCAGTTCTCAGAATAACAAAGTATTTGAGTTTTGCATGTTGTTATTCAAGATTTGAGGGGCAGGAACAAGGTGGTTGGAGCTTGAGCTTCAGGGTAGTAAGTTGCTTACTTTAGGCCAAAAATTAGCTAGGTTTGAAGAAATTAAGGAGGTGTAAAGAGACAGAGTATGGGAAAACACATTCTGTGGAGTCAGGCTGGCTGCCTTTGCATCTTGGGTGGTCACTTAACCTCTTTAAACCCTGGTTTCCTCAACTATACTTTACAAACCTAATTCCCATACTGCAGTATTATTTAAGGATTAGAAAGTGTGTAACCTACACATAGTAGACATGCAATATATGGCAGTTGAAAAAATTGACATATAACAGGAATCTCTAAAGATTCTCTGGAAGTAGCCAAAGAGTATGGTTGTCTTTGCAATGCATTCACGTAAAGGCACACAGAGCAGAGTCTGTGTCCAATCCGTCACATGGTGTCAGGTGCAAACCAGTATGATGACAGCCGGGCTCTACACACTTTAAGTTTTAATTTGTATAGATATATGATAGTTTTATATGCATATGGGGTAACTACATGCTTATTAATCCAAAGGCTCGCTCTGTCTTTTGCTGAGAGCAAATCAGTCACCGCCCTGGTATAGGGGCATGGTCTTCATCCAGTAGGCTCCAAGGGCCCATCCTGAATCTGCTGATCTACTTGAGGCTGTAGGGACAAGTAGTAAACCTAGTTCCAAAATTCTTATGTGTAGCAGGAGGTGGGGTACAGGCATTTTTGTCTCTTCTCAAGCCATGTAGTCAGACACTAGAACCATTCAGGGAACAGAGAGGCTAGGTTAGTTTTATGGCAACAAAGGGCTGTTTGTTAAAGGACTGATTTCCTTGCTTGTTTTACTAGATGCCAACACAACAGTTCTCTGTATTTTTCTTGGAATAAACTGGCTTTTGTAACAGACACAAGGAAATGCACCCTCGAACAACTGAGGCTTTCTAAATATTAGTGACTTTAACTTGATTAAGTATTTCCATTTCCTATTCCTATGACTTTGTGAGGCTCATGTTCCCAGAAAGCCTTTTTTTTTTTTTTTGTATCGTGACTCTTTAGGTTGGTTATGTTTTAGGTCATTCTGTTCTTATGATCTGAGTAAGTGCTAAAAGCCTTTAAGATACTTTTAAAGAATCTTTAAATAGAAATGTTTTCAGATTTCCAGCACAACAAATGAGTCTTAAAGTAACTGCAGATTCAGATATCCTCACAGATTCTTAGCATAAGGTTTTGTCAGCATTTCCTTCCTCAAGTCCTGTGTCAACTCGCTGACCTCTTGCCTTCTTGGGTTACTGCCATCTTTTTGTATAAAAATATGCTAGCCCTTGCAACATTTTCCTCCTAAGAAGAATGAAAATTAACCACGTGGGATTCCCCTCTCTATGACTACTCTGAATGAGGCCAGCGAGTCACTTTTACCTCAAAGTCCTCAGACACCAAATCAGAGGGATGGTGTACCCTGACCTCCCTTGAGGTTCTAGCACAAGTGTGTAATTAACCTTAGAGCTTTAATGTTCTTCGTTACATCTCATTTTTACATCAGTCATTTTCGCCTAGCCACTTAAAAAGTGTCTTTTTTTACTTTTATGCTATTTATATGGAAATGTCAACGTGAGATATAGCTGGACCTAAAATCTGGTGAGAATGTACATATTTTCAACATGTCTTGTAACATTTACTCAGCACTAGCAGCTTGGATCTGCTTAGTTTTCATTTTTTTAAGCTTTTGATGTTTTTTGTATTTGTTTTCATTGACACATTTCAATTCTAAAACATTATTTTAAAAGATTTCTCAGATCTCAACTTGCAGTATGTGTCATGGGTTTTGAAGTCACAGATCAGAAAAAGCTTCATGAAATTAATTCTTCTAATAAAAATTGTAGGACTGTGGCACTGGTTGCTATTTTGTCTTTAAATATATTCTCCCTATTAGCAATAGTACAAAATATAAGTGAAAAAAATAAACTACTCTCCCCCTTCTTCTATAATCATCTATTTAGCTGTTTTAGTTGGTACACGGTCACTCAAATTAAATACATTTTTTTAGTCTTTAGGCTTTTTTTTAAATAGCCATATGACAAAGTTCTGGCCAATGGAATGTGAACAGAAGTGCAAGAAGTGTGCACAATTTCTGGGTCATCTCTTCTCCTGTCCCCACCCACCTGAATCCTGCTGCTTGGAATGTGGTTATGCTGCTTAGCCGTATTGGATTGTGCACCTGAGAGTAATACCTTAAGGACTGTGCGACACCAAGACACCTAGACCTAAAAGTGGACACTTAACAATCTTGTGGGGCAGAGTAGGCACACATACCAAGTCACACTTCCATGTGTGAGGGAAAAGAAACTATCTTGTTTGAATCATTGTTAGTTTAAGTTTACTGTTATACACAACCAAAACCAATCCTCATACAGAGACTGAATATTTCCCTTATGAGAAGTCAATGGTTTCAATAGTAAAATATTGTCTCTGCCAGGTGTGGTGGCTCATGCCTGTAATCCTAGCACTTTGGGAGGCCATGGTGGGAAGATTGCTTGAGCTCAGGAGTTCGAGACCAGCCTGGGCGATATAGTGAGACCTCCCCTCTACAAAAAGTTAAAAAATTAGCTGGGTGTGGTGGCATACACCTGTAGTCCCAGCTACTTGGGGGCTGAGGTGGGAGAATTGCTTCAGCCTAGAAGTTCAAGGCTGCAGTGAGCCATGATCTTGCCACTGCACTCTGGTCTGGGTGACAGAGCCAGACCTTGTCTCAAAAAAAAAAAAAAAAGAAAAAGAAAAAGAAAAGAAAAGTAGTCTCTAGTCTCTAGGACATTAAATAGGGCTGGGTAAGCAATTTATTCTGTTAAATTTTTTTTTTACAAATTGACATTTTGGGCTGGATGATACGAAGAAAAAATGTTTTAAAAAGGGCTCAAAGTACATTAGAAAGTATTCTACTTAGAAAATATCTATGGGCATCTAAACTGTTGCCCTAAGTATACTTATGTGTGGGGTTGGCTGTTTTCAAAAATGTGTTCTGTCACACCAAACTATAATATTACTGAAGTTGCCCCAGGACCAAGAACTCCTGCTTGTCGTGAGGACATGTGGAGTCAGGGGTTCAAAGTTCTGCTTTGAAAACCACTCATGGGATCTCCACAGGCATTGGGCTTTGGTCAGCTATGTAAAAAGGCAGAATTGGCAATGTCAACAATTTAGTAATACAAACAATAGCAAACACTTAAATGTGCTTATTATATGCACTTTACACATACTGATCCTATCTATTATAACCCTATGAGGTAGGGTCTATAATTACACCCATTTTACAGATGAAAAAACAGGCAGAGGGAAATTCAGTAACTTTTTAAAGTTCTCCAGGTAGTAAAGGAGCAGAGCCAGGATTTGAACACAGGTAATTTGGATCCAGAATCTAGGCTCTTGACTACAAGCTGTTCTGCATCCCAGTGAGAATAACAGTAATTACATATCACATCTTTATCATGTTCTGAGTGTATCTTTTAAATTCATTAAATACAAGTCAGGCATGGTGGCACAGGCCTGTAATCCCAGCACTTTGGGAGGTTGAGGTGGGCGGATCACTTGAGGTCAGGAGTTCACGACCAGGCTGGCCAACATGGCGAAACCTCATCTCTACTAAATACAAAAATTAGCCAGATGTGGTGGCTCACACCTGTAATCCCAGCTACTCGGGAGGCTGAGGCACAAGAATCTCTTTAACCTGGGAGGCAGAGGTTGCAGTGAGCGGAGATGGCGCTACTGCACTCCAGCCTGGGCAACAGAGTGAGACCCTGTCTCAAAAAAAATAAATAAAAATTTAAAAAATTCATTATATACAACAGTCTTATGAGGTAGGCACTATTATGATAATTTTACAGATGAAGAAACTGAGACAAAGGGAGAGTATGTAACTTGCTCAAACTGGGGTTTAAACACACAGCATGGCAGAGTTTACACCATTACTGCTATGCTGTACTCTCTCATCAAGCAGTAGTTGCTTCCCTCAGTGATGGTGATACTCTCCAAGGAAGGGATTTCTGCAAATGGTCCTCTGCGTATTTCCATATTCCAGGCTCTTCATCTGCCTTTCTTCCATCTCCTACCCCATAACATTTCCAGTCCTAACCACTCAGCATTTCCCTTTCTCCCGCTGATTTTGCAACCTATCTGATTGTCTCTCACCTAGCTATCTCCTCTAGCTCACTACAGCTTTCAGGGGCTAAGTTTTGCTCATGTTGGAAGACTGTTATAATAGTCTCCCTATAGTTCCTTCATAATACAGCAGCCAGAGCGAGCCTTTTAGCAACAAAAGTTTTTAAAGAATCCTCTGGTCAACATTTTCGGTGGCTTCCCCACTGAGAAAGAAATCCAAGCCTCAGCATGGCCTAGCCTAGGCCCACTGCCACCCCTGACCTCAGCTCCAACCTGCTCGCTTTGTTCAAACCTTGCTGGCGACAGTGCTGTTTCTGACTAGGGAAACAGGGCCTTTGTTCTGCCCTCTGCCCCCATATGTGGGGAGGAGAGCCACTCTCCAAATCTTACCATCCTGCTTCCTTACTTAGTATCTCTGTTCAAAGATGACTTCAAGGTCTTCCTTGACCCTATCCCAAACAGCACCACACTCTGCTCACATCACTCTCTCTACTATTTTTTTCTCACAACACTCATCATCATTTGTCATAAAATATTTGCTAATTGCCTACTCTCACAAGAAAATAAGCTCAATGAAAGAAGAATCTATGTTTTGTTTATTGATTCTTGCACCTAGAACTACTGGCACATTGAAGGCACTCAGTGTATTGAATGGATGAACGAAGAACTCAATCTGCTTTCTAAAAATCTTCCTTGGTCAGTCTTTTGCTTAGTATCTCTTTTAGTTCATAGCTTTTTGATATCTCTGCATTTTCTCAATGCCATGTGATCTGCCTTCTGTCCCTGACAATTCCCAGGTATATCTAGGGGTAAGGTTCAAGTTCCTAATTGCTAGAACCAATGGGCAGGTTTTGGTCTTTATTTTACTTGTGTTGGCCATTCCCTACTTCTTCAGTTATATCCTTGACATAATTATCTTTCCTGGTTCTCCGCCTCCAGCTTTGATTGTTCTTTCCTGGCCTTCACCCCTTAATAAGGGTGTGTTCCCTGGGACTCATCCTTGGCCCTTACTCTGGCACACAGTGGTTCCTTTGGTAATCTCAACCGCTGTCATAGGTACTTTTTTTTTCTTTATTTTATTATTATTATACTTGAAGTTTTAGGGTACATGTGCACAATGTGCAGGTTTGTTACATATGTATACATGTGCCATGTTGGTGTGCTGCACCCATTAACTCGTCATTTAGCATTAGGTAGATCTCCTAATGCTATCCCTCCCCGCTCCCCCCACCTCATGACAGTCCCCAGAGTGTGATGTTCCCCTTCCTGTGTCCATGTGCTCTCATTGTTCAATTCCCACCTATGAGTGAGAACATGTGGTGTTTGTTTTTTTGTCCTTGCGATAGTTTGCTGAGAATGATGGTTTCCAGTTTCATCCACGTCCCTACAAAGGACATGAACTCTTCATTTTTTATGGCTGCATAGTATTCCATGGTGTATTACGTGCCACATTTTCTTAATCCAGTCTATTGTTGTTGGGCATTTGGGTTGGTTCCAAGTCTTTGCTATTGTGAATATTGCCGCAATAAACATACGTGTGCATGTGTCTTTATAGCAGCATGATTTATAATCCTTTGGGTATATACCCAGTAATGGGATGGCTGGGTCAAATGGTATTTCTAGTTCTAGATCCCTGAGGAATCGCCACACTGACTTCCACAATGGTTGAATTAGTTTACGGTCCCACCAACAGTGTAAAAGTGTTCCTATTTCTCCACATCCTCTCCAGCACCTGTTGTTTCCTGACTTTTTAATGATAGCCATTCTAACTGGTGTGAGATGGTATCTCATTGTGGTTTTGATTTGCATTTCTCTGATGGCCAGTGATGATGAGCATTTTTTCATGTGTTTTTTGGCTGCATAAATGTCTTCTTTTGAGAAGTGTCTGTTCATATCCTTCGCCCACTTTTTGATGGGGTTGTTTTTTTCTTGTAAATTTGTTTGAGTTCATTGTAGATTCTGGATATTAGCCCTTTGTCAGATGAGTAGGTTGCGAAAATTTTCTCCCATTTTGTAGGTTGCCTGTTCACTCTCATGGTAATTTCTTTTGCTGTGCAGAAGCTCTTTAGTTTAATTAGATCCCATTTGTCAATTTTGGCTTTTGTTGCCATTTCTTTTGGTGTTTTAGATATGAAGTCCTTGCCCATGCCCATGTCCTGAATGGTATTGCCTAGGTTTTCTTCTAGGGTTTTTATGGTTTTAGGTCTAACATGTAAGTCTTTAATCCATCTTGAATTAATTTTTGTATAAGGTGTAAGGAAGGGATCCAGTTTCAGCTCTTTTAATACTTCTGGACTTCTTTAAATGTCTAGAAGTGGAATTACTGAGCAAAGGAGACAAACATTTTTATGACTTTCTGGAAGGGCTGGCCAATTTACAGTGCTCCTAAAAATGATCAGAGTTGCTCACTTTCCATCCCAATAATTACAGACTTTGAACAGGCAAATAGGTAAAAACAAAGGCACAGAGAATTCCAGAGTTTCAATTAAGAGGCAGGGAAGAGACAGTTAGCCTGAGCAGAAGCTTCAAGAGTGGAGGTATGAGAAAGGCTGCAATGGTTGTAGGCCTTGAATATTTGATAAGCAGTGAGCCACCCAAACACACTGAAGGATTCCAGCTGTTAAAGCACAGGATTCAAGGGAAGGGGCTGGAGCCAACCAGAAACATGAACACCCACCACGTGATGGATCACTCCTGCCCTTCTCAGGAAGCTACATTTGGGCAGAAAATTATCAAGAATGAGAACTTTGTGAATCATGTATGCTAAGTGTTGCAATCAATAAACTGCCTGGTAAATGAAACTAAAAATGCCTGATGGGTCCTGTGGTTTCCCATAACACAAGACAAGAGGCCTGGGAAGTCCTGCTTACTTCCCAAGTTTCCTATAAGACAGTAAAATAAACATTGATGAATGGAAAGCACGCTTCTCTATTGGGTGACTGATAAATATTGTTCTCCTAAGCCCATTGGACCAGTATTCCTCCTGTCTGCACCAAAGACCAGCCTTCCCCCAAAAAGAAAATCCATCTTTTTCCCTTGGGTTGGCCTGAGTATCAGCAGAGCCAGCTATCAGGTAGTGTAGACTGGGCTCTAACCTGGGATGATAGCAATAAAAATCTGCACTGAATGTCTATTTGTGACCTGTGAGACCAAGGCTCTTTTGTGCTGCAGGTTTGGTCTCAAGGGGTGATACATCCCATTAATCTGACCTCTTATTCTTAAGTATGAATTCCTGTTTGTAAACAGGCCTGCTCTCTACTTTGTCTTTGGCTATGAGTAAAAGCTTCCTGAAGCCTCACCAGAAGCCAGTGCCATGCAGCCTGCCATGAGCCAATTAAACCTCTTTTCTTTGTAAATTACCTAACCTCAGGTATTTATAGCAACCCCAAGAACAGACTAACACTACTACCCTTCTTAGGACAAAAATGATCAGAGATGCAGATTTAATATTTTGTGCCTTACACAGGCACTAAGCTAGCTGGCAGTGCCAGTGTGGTGTGCTTAATGCTTCCATGTAGTGTTCTTAAAAGTTTAAAGAAATCTGACTTCCTAGATAGCCTAAGTGGTGGGCAGTGGGGGGCTACTTGATATTTCCTTCCCTAGGGTCCCAGTCAGAGGCACGGTAACTCAATACTTGTTTATCCAGAGGACAGGACAGCTGCCAAGGGACCAAGGCTCAAGGAAGACAGACAGGGTACCTAATTGGGGAAGGCTCCGACAGAGCAAGGTTTAGCTCACAAGGTCAATCACACACAATTTTTATTTCAAAACCAACTTTAGGCTGGGTGTGGTGGCTCACGCCTGTAATCTCAGCACTTTGGGAGATGGAGGCGGGATCACTCAAGGTCAGGAGTTTGAGCCAGCCTGGCCAACATAGTGAAATCCCATCTCTATTAAAATACAAAAATTAGCCAGGCATGGTGGCAGGCACATGAGGCAGGAGAATCGCTTGAACCTGGGAGGTGGAGGTTGCAGTGAGCCAAAATCACGCCACTGCACTACAGCCTGAGCAACAGAGTGAGACTCCACCTCAAAACAAAAACAAAACAAAACTTTAATTTTTTTTTTTTTTGAAGCAGGGTCTCACCTCACTCTGTTGCCCAGGCTGGAGTGCAATGGTGTGACCTCGGCTCACAGCAGCCTCAACCATACCGGGTTCAAGTGATCCTCCCATCTCAGCCTTTGGAGTGGCTGGGACTTAATTTTTTTTTTTTTTTTCACTGTTGTAGAGACGGGGTTTCACCATGTTGGCCAGGCTGGTCTCAAGCTCCTGGGCTCAAGTGATCCGCCCACTTTGTCCTCCCAAAGTGTTGGGATTACAGACATGAGCCACTGCACTGGCCTAAAATTAGCTTTTTTATTAGATAAAAAGCTATTTTGAACCAGGGCTTATCAGAAAACAAAACTTTTTCTAACCTCACCTTTCTCTCCTAGTTGTCTGCCTAAAATCAGTTTAATATTCGCTTCAAGTTACATCTGCCCCAGAACAAATACCATAGAAGGAACTTTCATTAACAGTGTTGTCAGTTTCATACAGCTTTCATGCAACTACGTCTGCATACTACATCAACAACAAATGGGACACAATGAGTGCTTATGCTAACATTAGGAATACTAGCTAGAAACACAGAAAACCTTTTGGATTGGTGATACTTCAAATAGGACATTACTTCTTAGTAACAGCAAGAAATCAGCTTAATGTTTTCAGCAAGAGACAGCATGGATGATAATGCAGCCTTTCTTTTCCGAAACTTCAGACAGCAGAATTCCAGAAGGGCTAGTCACACCCATGGAAGGCAGCAAGTGTGGCAGAACAAAGATCTAAGCTGACTGCAGAGGCCACTGATGAAAGCTGTGAAATATCTTTCCTGGAAGGCAAGAATAAATTCATCTGGCTTACTACTGTGGTGTCTCCATACATTGTGACCTAGTCACTGCTAGCACACAGGAGCCACACTCACTCTTAAGAGAGATTTTTTTTCTCTGTGGAATTTTGTAGAATAAGCAAACAGAGTTTGGAAGCGTGTTTGTGAGTTACGATAAATGAGAAGAACCTTGAAATTATTTTTAGTTCAAGAAAAACATCCCATTAAGGCCTATTTCTCATAAGTCACATTTTGTTGGCTTCTGGAAAAGCAGAAGATTCCTAGGCTAACATAAGGAAGTCCTCTTCCTAAATATGTATTCTCATAGTCACTTGTTAAGAAAGGGATACCTTTTAAAAAATGCTGAATGCTGATAGATGTTAAATCAAAGGCAAATAATTTTGAAAACGATTTGGGACAGGTACAGTTGTCCTCTGCTTACAATCTTCTCTCTTATCTCAGCCAATAGCTACTTGCTAACTGGATAGTAAAATGACATGAGCATGTATGAGTTTACAGCCTGATGTAATTATGTAATCAATAGCTGATTTACTTCACTCATTATATTTTGGTTAAAGTTGCTCTTGTCGCATGTTTGCATTCTTCCTTGTCAACGATGTCTGGGCATCAGAGGAGGAGGCAGGAAATGTACTTCACTAAAGACCACTGGGAATAAAGAGTGGCCATCAGTCTAGATTGCAGAGGGAAACAATCTCCATGTCAGTATATATATATGAATTACGTGACAGCAGGTCACAGAGAGAACAATGGACCATGAAAGCAAAGATTTGATTTCCATCTGTTAACTTACTCATCTGGGCAAGTTCCTTTTTTTTTTAAACAGGGTCTCACTCTGTCACCCAGGGTGGAGTATGCAGTGGCATGATCCCAGCTCACTGCAGCCTCAACATCCTGGACTCGGGTGATCCTACCACTTCAGTCTCCCAAGTAGCTGGGACTATAGGCATATACCTGGCTAATTTTTGTATTTTTGGTACAGATAGCGTTTCACCATGTTGCCCAGGCTGGTCTTGAACTCCTGGGCTCAAGTGATCATGTACCTCAGCCTCCCAAATTACTGGAATAACAGGTGTGAGCCACTGCACCCAGCTCCTTTTCTGATTTCTGATTCCTACATATAAAATGGGTAAAATATGGATAACACTTATCAAACATAGCCCAAAAGTTGTTTAAACAATGAAATAAAAATGGCTATGAAGCACGTCACATACTGAAACATACTTAAAAAAAAAAAGGCAATATGAAAGAAAACAAGCCACAGACCTTAAATATAAACACCTCCTCAAACACCACAAGAGACAAAAATTTGTAAAGTTAAGGAGGGTAACTTATAAAAGTACAACTTCCCAGTTTATATGAAAATGGTTTAATAATACTGAAACTTAAAAGCTGATAAAATTTATTGGCTACGACTACATTTTTTCTCCAATCACAGCAAATATTATGAGACACTTATCAATGCAAAGCTTTTGATCCTTTATCATGTACTCTGAACCCTATGCACTACTAAATAGGCAATATGATACAATCAAAGGTTTCTTTGGCAGACATAATTATATGTACCAAAACATTAAACTGCGTATTTTCCCTTAAACTTACCTGACTAAAGGCATCTGATCAAAAGACAAAAAGTGAACAATTTTAATAAGTAGTTGCATTTATCAATAAGAGTCTACAAGGTAACAAAAAGTGTAAAGAGACATCTTTTTGAAAATTCATATAAAACAAACCTTCCATGTTATTAGATCAACAAATATAATCACCTGGGTATATTTTATTAGGGAAAAATGACAATATTGATAATAAAAAGAGAAAGGAAAAATGAAAATGCATCTCAGACCAGAATACCATAACAAAACTTTTGTGGAAGCTGCATTTTATTTGAAAATCCACCCATTTTGCTAACATACATTTTAATATTGTAAACAAAAATAGAATCTGCAGAGACAATGCAACAAGAATGCTTAAACTCATGTACAGAATTGCTTTCCTACAATGAACTGTCCTTCTTAAGGCCCCTCTCCACCCAAATGTTAAAGATGTATTTACACAAAGCACCGATCAACAGTGCAGTTTAATTCTTCGTTTACTAAACTCTTGGCTAGACATTAACTTTAAAGATACTATTTCCCCTTATTTAAAAGGTATATGATCATAACATGGCACGAGCCAAAGAAAATGTTCAAGGACTTTGCCCCCCTTCCCTCCCCCTTGTAACACCTTCTAGAGTTTTAGTGAAAAGAAGGAAAGTCTTGAAGTGAAAGCAATTCCTCACATTCATTTTGGAAAGGCCCTAATGTCAAATGGAAAATAATGACATGCCAAGCACAAAGCAGTAAAGATCCTTCCCAATGCACTAATGCTGAATTTAAAATGTAGTGCTTTTCCTAGTCAGTGAACTGTTCCCTGGCAAAATCCTAGGCACAGAATTGACTATAAGGATTAATGCATTTATAATGCTTCCCTAAATCCCACAGAGGCCGAGAATTCTTAAGAGATTCAGACCTATGGACTTGCCTTAAAATATTTAGTGCTCTGTATGTCAGCTGAGAAAAGCATTCTGAATCAGATTCATTCTTGTGGATAAAAATCAAACATACTGTGCACATCCATACTCATTTTCATAAGGAGGTCTGATACAATATTAATGTTATGTAAAATTGATAATCATAAATAAATACAAATACTTAAGGAATGTCTACTGCAAACTGAATATAATTTTTTTTAAAAAAAGAAAAGTTAATTTCAGTTATTGTTTCTGTATTTGTGAGGACTGGAGAAAAGAAAGATAATGCATAATTAGGAATTTTAATTTTGATCCCCCAAAAGAGTCCTGTTGAAATACAGTAAAGGACACAGTTCTTCTCTCCAGGCAGCTTTTCCAAATACAAATTTCACACTTTCCAAATAAGGGCTTTTCTTGATAGGTTACTGATTATGGGTATTAACAGGAGTTGAAAGAATTGAAGGGTTAGTCACCAAAAAGACAGATCTTAGTCTTAAATCATAGCAATTCTTGGCTTTATAAACTGTATTGATACGTTCTCCTATAAACTAGTCCCAATTTCCTTCATGGGCCTTCACTGAGTTACTTGTAGCATTCTAATGGAAGAAGAGAGTTTAAGAGATTTAAGAGACAGCAGTTTGGATTTTGCTGGAAGTAAGGATTTTGCTGCTTGAGCACTTGTCTTTTTGGAGTAATTCCATTTTCTTCCATCAAGTTACATAAACTGTATCTGGAAAAAAAAAGTGGGTATGTTAATTCATTGTATTGTAGGATGTCTTCTCATAAATAAAAATGCTTTGTGGTCTTTACCATTTAACTGGCCCAGAAGTGTTCACAACATGCTTATCACAAACCCTGTTTATAAAACAAAGTCAGTATTATCAACTTATGTGCCAGAAAGCTCAATATTTGACACATATAGGGACTTCCAAATAATGTTTTTTGTTGTTGTTTTTGAGACAGAGTCTTGCTCTGCTGTCTAGGCTGGATTGCAGTGGCATGATCAAAGCTCAATGGCTGGGCACCATAGCTCACACCTGTAATCCCAGCACTCTGGGAGGCTGAGGTGGGCAGATCACCTGAGGTGAGTTCGAGAGTTCGAGACTGGCCTGGCCAATATGGTGAAACCCCGTCTCTACTAAAAATACAAAAATTAGCCAGGCGTGGTGGCGGGCGCCTGTAATCCTAGCTACTCGGGAGGCTGAGGCAGGAGAATGGCTTGAACCCAGGAGGTGGAGGTTGCAGTGAGCTGAGATCGTGCCACTGCACTCCAGCCTGGGAGACAAGAGCGAAACTCCATCTCAAAAAAAAAAAAAAAAAAAAAAAGCTCATTGGAACTCCTGGGCTCAAGCAACCCTCCTGCCTCAGCCTCCTGAATAGCTAGGACTGCAGACAGTCGCCACCACACCTGGGTAATTTTTGGGTGGGGGTAGAGACTAGGGTCTCACCGTATTGCCCAGGCTGATCTTGAACTACTAGCCCCAAGTGATCCTCCCGCATCAGCCTCCCAGGGTGCTGGGATTACAGGCATAAGCAACCACATCCAGGCCAAATACTTAACTGCTAAAAATAGAGGAATAGCATGTGGAGGAGGAAAAGAAAGAAGATCAATGACCTATTTTTTCATGACAAGTTCAGAAAAATCTCTCCATAAGCACAAATACCACAAGCAAAATCTCATTTGGGAAGCAAAATTTGAAATATTATTTCCAAATGATATACAATTAGAGACAATAAAGGGAACAGTAATATTATACTAAGTCTTTTTATTAACATAAATAAGAACCTGAAAGAGCCATAAAAATATTTTTCAATAGGGTACTACTGTTCATTCAAAGATATTTCACTCACAATTTCCCTTAAACTGCCCATCCAAAGATTACTGAAGTAGATGTGCTAATAAACTTGCCAAATCAGAAGACTATAAACTCCCAAAGATCTAGAAGGTATATCTAAACTGGGGGCTAGAGCATCAAGAAGAACAAATTACACTGTCTTCCAGCAAACAGAGGCAGTGTGGATCATATGCAGAATCCTTCTAATCGAAAGGGCTTAAGTATTCACTTGCCCTTAATTAAAAAGCAAACTTTATCCGATCTCATCCATTTACTGTGAGCAGTGGATGAGATTACTTTAAATAATTATGTTACAGATATTTTCCAAAAGTTGTTTTTCCTTATGTCCTATCTTTTCATTCTGCACCTAAAGAATAGAGGAAGAGGAGGAGGAGGAGAGGGAGCCTAGAGTCCTTTAAAGAAATGAAAGAGAAGCGTGAATTGTGTTTAATGTTTGGTAATTGTTTTTAAGTATTTAAGTCCCCATCTCCCAAAACAAGTAGCAATACCTAAAGTGATTTATAAGAAATCCTCCAAAGAGAGCTCTGCAAAGGGGTCCTTTCCTGAAGCTCTGTGAGGACTGTGACTGGAGGGGCTGGATGCTGCCGACAGCTGGGGGAAAAGAAGACAGAGAGAGGGAAAGAAAAAAAGATCTCAGAATGACAGAACATGAAAGCAGAAAATGTATGAAAGAAGAAGTGGTTTTGGTTTTGTCATCTTTAATAAATATAAGGGCAGTCTTTGTAGAAAATGGATTGTTAAGACAAAAGTTTCAGTCATATGTCAAGTTAAAAGGTATGCAATGGCATGTGTTTTTCAGAAAACAAACTCGTGCTTCTGAAGTTTCAAAGGAATAATGTCTTTTACCCAAAAGGTCGATATAAGCTGACCCATGGTTAAGAATTTTAATGTGTGTATGGGGGGTGGTGGGGGGATAGGGGAGGGAATACATAATTGCATTTTTGTTTAAAATTGAGAGAACATGGTTTCCTGTGTCCAGGCTATCTGTCCAAAGCTGTGCAACTCTGACCTCAGTCCGGACCCAACACATCTAGCTGCAATATTCTTTCCTTTCTTTCTTCATAAGGGTCGAAAAGTCCTGTCCTAGGTTCACACACTTTTTACACGAAGTTGTCTCCTGCTCATTTATCTTGACGAACTGCAGCTGACACACGTACTGTGGGAGGTGAAAGGGACCTTAGAGGTCACCTACTGTAACTGTCCACATACTGCCCTGAATATGGGGAATACTTAAGATCTTTGATTCTGCTTCCTGTTTGGACAAATTTACTTGATTCTTAGAATCTGTCCTATTGTTTAATTCGAATATACTGTAAGGCAAGTAAACAACTGAATTCAGTATGTATCTTTATTCTCCCAAACACAGACTATTCCTGAAGAACCAAGATATTAATTTTCATACATGTATCCTTCATTAAGCTGACATGAGCGTTTCAAACCCGACATGAACCTTTTTACTTTGGAACAAGCTTTTAATTCTTTTTCTCCCTCTGTATAAGATTGCAAAGCATATAAGCACAGGACTATTACAAAATGAGCTTTTCTTTTAGGGATGTCCTAGTGAGTAATAAAAGTTGACTAACTGGAAATAGTTTCAATTCATACTTCAACATTCAAATCCTATAGAGGATTTCTTTGCTGGTGCCAAGTGATTTCATTTCTTTCTACCTATTTATTTATTTATTTATTTATTTATTTATTTTCGGAAAAGCACTACAGAGAATGAACAGCCAATGAGCTTCGGCAAATATTACATCACTAGTATATGCAACTTGTTCTGGATGCCAAGATCAATTTATAGGCATCAGTTATACTCATGGTTGAGTAATTTCCTAATGCATATCTTGTTCCCAAAAACAAATGTTCAAAGACAATGGGAAGAGACAAATGGAACAATGATGGAATCACGCAGGCAGCTACAGATGGGAGGACAGAGCAGCATGCCTGGGCTTGAGGTTTCAAATATCATCCATGCAGAGACAAATTAAGGTATAACTACTGGAAAGACTCCCCCTCCTCCCTCTTCAGCGCAACCACGGACGGCCAATCAAAAGCACAACGATTTCAAGTAAAGTGATCCTCAGTTACTGAGCTGGAGGGAGTCCAACATCCACACTTATCTCCAAGATGAACTTGGTTTCTCTCTGAAGCAGATTTTCTTTTTCACCTACAGTTAAAACAACAGCAACAACAAATCCTACTTATTGCAGATAGACTGCATCTAAAATCAGAAGTTTCCTATGATAGCCCCACACCGAAATACCTTCTTAAATCACGTTTTCACCAGGGTAGCAGTCTGAAGACCTGACAGACCCACAGTAAAATGCCCCTGAAGAATACGGAAGAGACAAATCTATTTTCAATATGTGAGCATACTGCTAGACAAGTCCTAGAGGCTTATAAACAATGTTGAAAAGGATTACTTTTCCTTGAGAAAAAGAGCTGGTTTTTTATTAGAACTCCTAGTAGTCTCTTAAATTGGTAAAACACATACACGTCTCATATCTATAAAAATGTAGCCAAACTAAAACATGACAGAGACCACCAATAAGAAAACAAGACAACATCCCTGGAATAAGTTTCTTATCATCAATATCTGTATCAAGCGGATGAAACCATAGCCAGGGCTAGCTAGGCTGACTGCACAGCTCCAAGGAGTGGGACATACAGCAGCCCCTGACCATCCTACCCCTTCCTGGCATCTATTCCAAAGCACAGACACACCATGCACTGGTGAGAAAGTAGTCACCCCAGAGAGTAAATAAGAGAAGGAAAGGAAATGTGCTTCAGTAGCCCAATTACTGCTCAGGAAAATCAAGAACAAAATAGCATGAAGAGGCAATGGGTTCTTGGTAGGTGAGAAGTAGGAGAATTTTAAAACTATAAGAGCTGACTTGACTCTACTTATTTCTGTGAGTAAATTAAAGAACATGATGTAGGGTTGCTAAAGAACATAAAAAGGCAAGGTTAAAGTACTAGAGGATAAAAAATTAAAAACACAAACCAGCAACCAAAAGCTGTTGCTTTCACATAAAGCTATTCACATAAAGCACAAAATCATCAAATTTTACAAGAGAGCATATGTAATTTGTTGTTCTGGACACCAAGACAAATCATAATTGATCTTTCCAGTCAAGCCCTACTATTACATCACCAGGTATCTATCACAAATAAAATTAAAACAAAACAAAAACAAAAAGAGCCTTTACCTATTTACTTCAAATAACATTCTCTATCCCAAAATTCCCACAGAGCCAAAAAAAATTGGTATAGCTATCAGTTCGTTCAAATCAAAATGACCTATGTCACAACTGAAGATGTCTTCAACAAAGTGGTCAATTGTAATGGTCCAATACAGACATAGTCTTTTCTCATGTATAGAAAAATGAAATACTGAGAAGAGCAGCGTATAAATATACTAAAATCTGCAAGTGGTTGATGATAGTATCTCTTAAATTCCTTCTCCCCTCCTCCACTACTCTAATCAATCAATAAGAAAAAATACGGTAAAATGTTACCAAAATCTTTGCATTATATCCAGAGCAATGATTTTTTTGGTTATAGAGCGTGTTTCATATAGTCTATCTATCAACAGTGTCTTGTTCTGTCACCCAGGCTGTAGTGTAGTGGCGCAGTCACGGGTCACTGCAGCCTCAATCTCCTGGGCTCAAGTGATCCTCCCATCTCAGCCTCCCAAGTAGCTGGGATTACAGGCATGCACCACCACACCTGGCTTTTTTTTTTTTTTTTTTTTTTTATTAAAGTTAAGGTCTTGCAATGTTGTACAGGCTGGGTCAAACTGACTTTAATAAAGGACAAACACACCTAGCTTAAAGAAGGTTAAAAAAAGTCTATTGATAGACTATCATAAAATAAAAATGGTTACTCCTTCATTATACTCCTGTTAACATCAAACAAAGAAAATTTCAGGTTAGAACAAGAAAACATCAACAATCTCAGAAAGTGAGGCTAGTGGAATTAAAAGCTTATGAAAGACTAAATGGTTGGATATTTAGGAAAAAACTTGTGACATATCATTTGGCTGTACTTAAAATCCTTAGAGAACCAATTTTGCCACATCTTTACATTTGAATTTTTCAGTCACCCAAAAGACTGGGTAGAAACTTAACAATGCTGTAGAGATTCATTCTGTCTCATTGGCAAAATCAACCTCTTAAGAGAAAAATGGATTGTACTCCCTTTGCCTGGAATGACAGTGCCAGGTTTTGTAGAAAGATGGAACTGAATCTAATCCTAACTCTCTTATAAAATGGGATTTAGAATAATAGGCCCAATACCTGTACTGCCGCTTATGGCTGTCTTGAGAATTAAATGAACACAAGCACTCAGCATGCTGCCTGGCATATATTAAGTAGCTCAAATATTCTTAGTTCCATCTTCCCTACTACCTACCATCAAATGTTCATCTACAGATATAAGAGGCCTAGCTCAAATGTCATTGCCTCTGTGTTGTTCTTGCTCCTCTGCCGTGCTCTGTTATGTCTTTCTTATAAGGGGTCTCATTCCATTATCAACCAGTCACTTGTGCATCTGTATTACACTCACCTTTAGGCTGCTCAGGTGCAGGAAACACTTTATCTGTCCTTTGTTCAGCAACTAGCAGTCAATTACACATTGTAAGAATTCTAAAGTGTGCAAAATTAAAATGCCTTTTGGTGATAAAACAAGCTCCATATAAAAACAGTCTCCAAAGTGGAATGTACAAAGAAATTATTACAACTGTCCTATTTTTAAAAATTCCTATTTTTACATGCTTAAATGTACCTCATATATATTGCTGTAGAAATATATGAATGTATTTTATAAATACACATACAGTCATGGTACATACTTGCTATGGTTTTGATTGAGTGTTTGTTCCCTACAAAACTCTTGTTTAAATTTGGTTGCCATTGTAAACAGCATTGAGAGTTAGGACTTTTAAGAGGTATTTAGGTTCTCATCAAGGGAGTGGGTTCGCCCCCTTTTGTTCTCTCTCTGCCTTTCTGCCTGCCGTGTGATACCTTCCACCATACTATCATGCACCAAGAAGGCCCTTGCCAAATCCCAGTACGCTGATACTAGACTTTCCAGCCTCCACAACTGTAAGCCAATAATTTCTCTCTTTATAAACTACCCAGTCTATGGTATTCTGTTACATCAGCACAAACAGACTTAGACAATGCTTCAAACATGTTTTCCTAATACTGATGTGTAATCAAAACATTTAGAGACCATGGTGCTACTAAATAGGATTCCACAGAGACACTGAGTCACAGAACAGTTAGGCTGTTTTGGGGTAATGTTTAAAACATGACCAGGCCATTAGTGGTACGTTGAATCCAGTTGCTTAAGGATATAAATTATACAGTGCTGCATTTCATTTATTTATATTAAAGATAATGTGATTCCTCAGCTTCCCCTGTGAGATAGTGCTAAAAGACAGGATTTCTCTACTATATACATGTAGGGGTCTGTCCTTTGGGTTAAGTCTAGTGCCACAAATAATTGCTTCTTGTGTTTATGCTCAACAAAACCCCACCTTGGGTTTCTGCCCATCAACAACATAACAAAGTAATGCCAACATTAACCCTGTCACCTTGAATGCATTACCCATTTTGTTTTTTTGTTTTTTTTTTTTTTTTTTTTTTTGAGACAGACTCTCTGTCGCCCAGGCTGGAGTACAGTGGTGCGATCTCAGCTCACTGCAACCTTCGCCTCCCAGGTTTCAGCAATTCTCCTGCCTCAGCCTCCTGAGTTGCTGGGACTACAGGTGCCTGCCACCACGCCTGGCTAATTTTTGTATTTTTTGTAGAGACAGGGTTTCACCATGTTGGTCAGCCTGGTTTCGAACTCTTGACCTCGTGATCTGCACCCCTCCCCCAGCCTCCCAAAGTGCTGGGATTACAGGTGTGAGCCACCGCACCCGGCCCGCATTACGCATTTTGTTTTAGGGGATGCCACACAGTGACCTGGGAGCATTCCACTTTGAATGTATGTTGTATCTGAACCTCTCTAAAACTGTTTTTCCCCCCCCAAAGACAGGGTCTAGCTCTGTTGCCCAGGCTGGAGTACAGTGGTGTGATCATTGCTAACTGTAGCCTCCAATTCCTGGGCTCAAGTGATCCTTCCACTTTAGCCTCCAAAAGTGTTGATATCACAGGTGTGAGCCACTGTGCCCAATTCTCCTCTTAGAATTAGAGAATAAGGACAATTCAGGGAATAGGAACAATTTCCAAAAACAGGGCAACCTTTAAATATTTTCTTAGTCAGTTTCAAATATTTTCATTTGATCCTTACAGCAAAATGATAAAGTACACAAAGTAATACCACAATTTTACAGGTAAGGAAACTAAGGCTCAAAGTTACATAGAGAATTTGCTCTCAACACATGGTTAGCTGAGGAGTCAAGTCAAGACTGCTGAATTGTGACCCCCCAAAAGATGTGTTGAAGTCCTAACCCCTGGTGCCCATAAATTTGACCCTACTTGGAAACAGGGTCTTTGTAGATGTAATCAAGTTAAGATGAGGTCTTTGGAGTGACCCTAATTTGATGACCAGTGTCCTTATAAGGAGAGGCACGTGGAGGTAGAGACCCATAGAGAGAATGCCATGTTGACAGGTAGAGACTAAATGGCTACAGATGCAAACTATGGAACGAATGGGGCTACCAAAAGCTGGAAAAGCCAAGGAAGGACCCTCCTCTAGAAAATTCAGAGGGAGCATGGCTCTGCCGATACCCTGATTTCTCCAGAAGTGATAGAAAACAAATTTCTGTTTTAATTTCTGTTTTTAAGAGCTTAAAAACTTTTAACATGCTTAATCAAGTTTGTGGTACACTTTGTTACAGCAGTCCTAGGAAACTATAATATAAACTCTAATGCAGATCTGCTGGTTCCAAGGCTGGTGTTTTTTTCCTCTTCAAACTCTGCTATCCCAATTAATTTCAATTCAGCTAGAATTTACGGCTATATTGAATTTACAAGAAAAAGTTAAAGTTGGAGTAGAGAAATAATTTTTTAAAGGAACTTTTCTAGTAAATGTGAGACAATACATTCCCATTCTTTCTGTATACACAGTATTATACATGGTCACTGATGTTCGTCATGAAGATTCTGCAGAACTTCACAGGCACCCCGGACTTTAAGAATACTTTCTGGTTTTATTTATTAAGACAAGAAATTAGATTTCTACCTTTTCGAGAATGTCCTCAGCAAAAACCTAGTAATAAGCAAGGTCTTATTCTATAAGTTGTCTTGTTAGCAATAGTGATCAGCAGATGAGACTTCTAACATTTCTATTTCGAATGATTCAGGTGTGTGTACTAGGAGCTAGTTTTCACCTATGGTACTACATCCCAATCCCCAAGGAAACGTCCCTCATGGTATTCTGCAGTAGGCAAGGATGAATGAGCACAACACATTGCTTACAAGGCAAAAAGCCTTCTTCACAGAAATCCAGCTGGAGAGATCGGCTGACAGAGGAGGTACTGCCAATACTCACAATTAACACACCAAGAGAATAAAACAACAACAACAAAACCAAAAAACAAAACCAAAACGAAACCTAAAAGCAGCCACTAGTTCTTAAATACAAGAAAGTACTTTAAAAGGCTTTTTCTAAGACTTAAATTATTCGAATATCTAAAGGCAACAGTGTTCCCATTTAGAAGGATAAAAAGCACTCACAACAAGCCATCATTTCCTTTCAGACACTTAACTGATGTCAGACTGATTTAAAATTAGCCACTGCAAACAACAAAAAACAGCAGCCATTTTGCATCTTTAACCATATCCTCCATAAACAAAACTGGCAGTCCTCCTTTAAAAAAAGGCCTAATACCAGTCAAGAAACCAACAAAACTTGGCCAGGAGCAGTGGCTCATGCCTATAATCCCAGCACTTTTGGAAGCCAAGGTGGGAGGACTGCTTGAGATCAGGAGTTCAAGACCAGTCTGATGTATGCTTGCTCTACAAAAAATTAAAAATTAGTCAGGCATTGTGGTGTGTGCCTGCAGTCTTAGCTACCCTGGAGGCTGAGGCTACAGTGAGCCATGATTGTGCCATTGCACTCCAGCCTGGGGGACAGAGTGAGACCCTGTCTCAAAAAAACAAAACAAACAAACAAAAACAACAAAAAAGAAACCAACAGTTAATTTTAAAATTAAATGCCCAAAGGTAATACTCTGTATTTTTCATATTGCTTCTGGGAAAATAGGCAGATTGATATGTGATCAGTGGGAATTTTTCATATAAGGAAATAAGATGACAACAACAACCCTTGTCACCCCCAAAGAGCTTCAAAAATACCTAAACTGCCATATAAACATTCATTTAAAAAGTGTTATTTCATATCACAATGACTTTCAGAAGAAAATTGAAACTATAACTGTCTTCATGCTTAATAACATAATAGCTGTATATTGCAACTAAAGAATTAGTTTATGAACTACTGGCTTAGCAATGGACATTTCAATTTATGTAAAGCACCAGTAAGAGAAAGCAGGAGTCCCCTTTCCAGACACACTAGCAATCTGTACCAAGTAACCAAATAGTAAGACTGTGAGGAAGCACAGAAGAGAAACAAAAGGAAAACCACAAGGACCTAGAATTTATCATGAAGTTAAACATCTAGGAAGATGCACTAATGTAGAACAACATAATAAAGACAGCTACAATGTTAGGCATGAAACAGAAAAACAATAGTATCTGTTGTTAAACAATTCCATGAAAATATCTAAAAAATACAGAAAAATGACTCAACACACACACACACACACACACACACACACACACACACACACACACACACGGAGAAAAGGGTATGTGTATAGGAATTCATAAGTTCAAAGCTACAGCGCAGTCTACTGAATTAAAGCCATAATGACAATTTCCTGAAGAATTGAATCAAGTCTGAGCTAACAGCCATCTGGAAGGTGTTAGCTGCTTCCTCATAAACAAGCACTAATGCAGTGCTTAGAGTAACCTAGATAAAATGTAAGACACACAACACACTGGAATGTCTCACTAAATGGCAACAAGATAAAGGTATCTGAGAGGGCTAGAGCTCTCTCAAAAATGTTAACTTGATATAATAGTAATCAGGCAAGAGACCAAGAGCTACAAGTTATGCCTTAGGTAAGTAACAGCTCTCAAAACAAACACTTCAAAGAGCAAGGAAGAATTTTGGGAACAGCTGTAGAAATTAGATTTGATTAAAAGATTCCATTTTGATGGAATTTCATTTTTCATTTAAACTACCATTTACTTTACCCCATACAAAGAGATGGATGATCTCTGCCCTTAATAATTTTTTAATCCAATTGAAAAAAAGGGAACAAAACAATGAAAGAACAATTAAAAGGTAATTCATTAAGAAAAATCTTTTGGTTTCGGCTAGCATTCTACGGACAAAATTAATCCAAGAGACTGGCTGAGAATCATTAAACATGCTTTAAAGCATGAGAAAAACCTTATCTAGTTCAAAGATAAACAGTTTACTTTTTTCTTTTTAAAAAACAGACAGTCTCACTATGTTGCCCAGGTTGGTCTGGAACTCCTGCACTTAAGTGATCCTCCTACCTCAGCCTCCCAAAGTGCTAGTATTACAGACATGAGCCACTGTGTTCGGCCAACAGTTTAATTTTTAATTATTAAAAATGTTCAATCATAAACATAAAATAAAGCTGTCTTCATTCCTCAGGTGAGCCGTCTAATGTTTTAGCTCACCATAACTATTAGCCAACAAATCAAACCAATTTTGAACACCACTGCAAGTTATTATAATGGTTACAAGTAAGTGAAATGAGAGATTAAGGAGGGGCAGAGTAAGTTATATGATGAAAAAGGTAAGTTTACAAGGTGATTCATTTACTTAACAAATAATGTCCAAAAACTATTACATGTCAGGCACTGTTCTAGGAACTAGGGACAGAGAAGTAAACATGCCAGAGAAGCTTGCCTTCATGAAGCTTATAATCTAGTAAAGAAAGCCCTTGCTAGACTGGATGGATGCCAGGTAGTCACAAGGTCTGTAAGAAAAAATAATGCAGAATAAGGAAAAGAATTCCAGATCTCATAAGGATGTGAAAGGGACACCAGATGACTGAAGACTGGACAAAGAATAAACCCACTTTATGGCAGGTGAAGGACTTATGGAAAAGACAAATAACAGCAGAACACTGGATACTTATTGAGAATTGTAAAAGCATGGAATCGAAGAACTTGAATATTCCGTTAACTCATTATTACTCTTATAAATAGGGAGGCTTCATGAGGTTGTTTTAAGATGGAAGGAAAGCTGAGAAAAGGCTTTAAATGTTCAGTTATATTTAGATTCACCTCCTTAGGCTGGACACAGTGGCTCACACCTGTAATCCCAACACTTTGGGAGGCCCAGGAGGGAGGATCACTTGAGGCCAGGAGTTTGAGACCAGCCTGGCCAACATGGTGAAACCCTGTCTCTACTAAAAATTAGTTGGGTGTGGTGGCGTGTGCCTGTAATCCCAGCTGCCGGGGAGGCTGAGGCAGGAGGTTTAACACAGGAGGCAGAGGCTGCAGTGAGCTGAAATCGTACCACTGCCCTCCAGCCTGGGGGACAGAGTGAGACTCCATTACCCACACACAAAAAAGATTCACCTCCCTAAATGTTTGAGTATGGAGATGGGTATTACAAATACTGCCTACAAAAGATTGTTCCAATATTTACAAAACGGATTAAATCGGGGAGGCAGAGAACATGAGTGACTATTGCAAAACAAGTGTGAATAAAGAGGTTCCAAGACTGGGTGAAAGCTGTAGAATGCAAGGAGAAGGGTGGGTCTAATTATAGCAGAGGAATAATTAGTGAGACTTTGTGATTAGATACATGCAGAACAAAGGAATTACAAAATAATTAAAAGTAACATTAACAAATTTAAGATTCTGACTTTCAAATGATTCAAATGACTATGTAGAGAGACCAAAGCTTCTTCAAGCCATTTCATTGCTGCCTGATTTTATTTTCCTAGTTATCAATTTGCTTCCTTCATTTGCTTTTTCAGTAATACTTAAGTACTCATTTCAAATTTTATCTTTCAACTAGAAACTTATTACCCTAATGTTCTCATTCACTTCTCTTCTGATATAAAGTAATTAAGAAAAGGTATTTCTGTCCCTGTTTTTTTTCATGCACAAGGAAATTCTGGCACTTTTCTGGTGTTTCTGTGAAACGGTTATGTGGGTTTTAGAAGGCAACAGGACGTAAAACCTGGGTTAAGAGCAGATGCTGGGTGGGTACGGTGGCTCATACCTGTAATCCCAGCACTTTGGGAGGCCGAGGCAGATGAACTGCTAGAGCTCAGGAGTTCAAGAACAGCCTGGGCAACATGGCAAAACTCCATCTCTAAAAAAAATACAAAAATTAGCCAGGCATGGTGGCATACACCAGTAATCTCAGCTACTCAGGAGGCCAAGGCGGGAGGATGGCTTGAACATGGGAGATGGAGGTTGCAGTGAGCCGAGATCGCACCACTGTACTCGAGTCTGGGTGACAGAGCAAGACCCTGTCTCAAAAAAAAAAAACAAAACAAAAACAGAGCAGATGCTGGATGACAAGCAATTTTTTGTTTGTTTTGAGATGGAGTTTAGCTCTTGTCGCCCAGCCTGGAGTGCAATGGCCCAATCCAGGCTCACTGCAACCTCTGCCTCCCTGGTTCAAGCAATTCCCCCACCTCAGCCTCCCAAGTAGCTGGGATTCCAGACATGCACCACCAAGCCCAGCAATTTTTTGTATTTTTAGTAGAGACAGGGTTTCACCATGTTGGCCAGGCTGGTCTTGAACTCCCGACCTCAGGTGATCTACTCACCTTGGCTTCCCAAAGTGCTGGGACTACAGGCGTGAGCCACCGTGCCTGGCCAACAAGAAATTTTTTAAAGGTAGATTTTTGCCAACATTAAAAAAAAATGTTTAGGTTTTTAAAAAGCAAAACTCATACACAATGTTTCAAGGTTGAAGGTTATTACCCAAAACTGTAGAGAATATTCTTTACAACTATAGTAGTTACATCCTGAATGTGTAAATGTGGTTTACAATTTAGCAGAAAAACCTAAGGAGTGTGCAGACTGTTCACTGCTGACGAAAGAAGATGGTGCTACCGTATTGGCCAGTAAGGGCTCAGTACCACTAGCAGAGAGACTGTGGTATAAATGAGCACTGGACTAGGAATCAGACACACCTGGGGATAAGTTGATTTCACCATTTAATTAGTTGAAGAACCCTTCCAAGTCTGTCTTCTTTACCTATGAAATGTGACGGTGAGAGCAGACCCATCTACCTTAAAGAATCGGCTAACACAATGTATGTGAAAGTAATTGGAAATTGTCTGGTAGTATCCAAGCTTAAGGTAGCAATATATTCTGACAACAGCCTGCAAATCAAGATGCAGAGTGGGTGAAGGGTTTAACTACATATCAGGAAAAACACTTCTGTAGTCGAAGGTCCCTAATAAGTTTTTAGCATGGACTATAGCTTTAAAAAAAATTACTTAAATACATTTAGGTTTCTATCACTTAGTCTCTTGTACCAAAATAATAATAATAATTTTTAAAGTAAATGATACATATCTGAAGTTAAATGTACAAATAACAAAATAAAAAACAAAAGGACATGAAAAAGACATTAACTGTGTATCAAGAAAACATCTACAACAGATAGGGAAATCATCCATATACTTCTTAAAAGATTATCAAGTTAAACCAGTAATGAGATTACTGCTGGTAAAAGTTCAATAACAATTACTATAAATACTGTAAACACTCATAGTCTATTTTATAAAAACAAATGCACAAAAAGTGACTGACTTATAAAAGTAATGACTGTGTCAATTACCCTCACTCCAAGTTATTTTCAATTTTCACTGTAAATACTTAACTGATTAAAGAACAAGGAGGAAGTCATTTTAACATGGACAAAGGGTGGGGTAAAAAAAGAGGCATGTTGGTAAATGTATTAATTGCAACCAACATGAATTTTACCCCTTAATCAGAACTAAATTCACTACCCACTCTCAGCCAAACAGAGATATCAATTTATTAAGAGACGCATTATTCAAAACGGCTGAGAAATGAAAGGATTGCCTAGGCTTCACTAGTCTATGAAATACAGTCCACTATTTCACTTTCTGTGGTTTCAGTTACCCAAAGTGAACCGTGGTCTGAAAATAGGTAAGTAGAGGATATTAAGATAGTTCAAGAGAAAGACAGAGAGGGAGAGAGCAAGCATGTCCGTGAGCAAGAGCACACATTAACAAAACTTTTATTACAGTACACTGTTACTGTTCTATTATTCATTATTATTAATCTCTTACTGTACTTAATTTATAAATTAACCTTTATCAGAGGTATGTATGTATAGCATATATATGGTTCAGTACTACCCCATTTTCAGGCATCCACTGTGGGTCTTGGAACATATCCCCCAAAGAGAAGAGGGGACTACCGTGCACAGAGACTAGATTCAAATTGGATCAAATAAACTAATATTGGCAATGTAAGACTATATGCTTTGGCAAATGTAATATATATGCATTCAAGTGAAAGGGGAATAACAAGTCCACTAAGCAAATGCTCATTCAAATGTTTTCAAGCATTAAACACATAACCAATCAGTTAGCATTAGCAACCATTTAAGAAAAGGAGGGGTGTTCTAACAATTGCATATAATTAACTACTTCTAGATGTCAAAACAGTACGAGCAGAGCCACAGACACAGAAGGATAAACCATCCTATCACTTCACAAGAGCCTCATCCCAGAGTATGCCACCAGAGAAGTGAATAACAAAGGAATTTCCTATATCTTCTAACCGTAACGGGTAAAACATTAAAAAAAAAAAATTCTTCTAATGCAACAATAATGGGACAAAAAACAATGTATATTTATGGTGTATTTTCAGGAACTAGGAGAGAAAAGCCTTAGAAACACGTCAAGAGGAAAGTCTCTGGATTAAACCATCTAAGTTTAGCATGACATTTCAAGCTTTTTGACTCCTTTTTTTGGTTTTTGAAAACAATCCTCAGTGGCAGAAAGTTATCTAACGAAAAAATAACATTCAAAACTTTTTGGAGAGTTGCCAAGAGTTTCACAAGCATCTCAAGGCCAACACGCCCTGCTGTAGCATCATTCTAGCCATTAGCCAAGGAACTAAAGCTCTGAGTTAATGGTTTTGAGGTTCACAAAGGATACTACACCAGAATCACGAAGAGCAAGTAGGCTCCTTAATCTCAGAAAAATCATCCTTTGGATCTACCAACTATAAGTTACCAAGAATTTTCTGTCTTTAGTATTTGCTATCTACTTATCCTTTCCCTCCAAATAATCAATATTCCTAAAGCTCTTATATAAGAAAGATATGAAGCAAGCAATATCCATAATGAAGGTAGAAAGTGCTAGTAACTTGTTTCTCAAGTTGTACAAAAGGGTTTTATAGTATCATATTCCTTCCAAATCAAACACATTACCACAGTTACATGTAGTGTGTAATACCTGTGCTCCTGATACAGGGCCAAAGGGGTTTGGAGGTCTCATGACAGGCTGGCTGTATATTAAGGTTGGTTGCGTCATTACAGGAACACTTCCCATTTGTGGAGGCTAAAAAAGAGAAAAATATCAAAAGATACTGACTCCTATCTTCCTTATTGTGACTAAGTAAATAACAATGACAACAGGGATGACAGGTCCTAGTACCTTTGCTTGACTCAAAGGGTAACTTCCTCTGAATATAAGTAAGACTAACAGCTACAAACTTTCGAGAGTATTTTTTTTTCTTTTGGTAAGTAAAGTCTTTAACATGCTCATTTTTAAAATGTAGTAACAAAGCCTAACTTTTTCTATTCAATGAGTTGCAAAATGTAAACTTTATTGTATTACAACAGATAAAATGATTAAGACTAAGAGTTTCCAAATTTATCAGGTTTAGACATCAAGAAAACTTAAGACTCTGTCTTCGCTGCTAAGAAATTTCAAAGTAAATTTGTATAACAAATCAAGTACTTTTGCCATTATGCAAGTGATCACAAGTGAAGACAGTTGATTCTCTGAATAAGCCTGCTCTAGTTCTTCCATTTTATTTCATATAAGAATCAAGAAAGAGCTTAAACTACAAACCAGAGGTTAACTCTTTCTTGAGTAACTGAAAATACAATCTCAACCAAATATGTTTCTTTAAAAATTACCACTACAGGGTATAAAATTAACCTAGTAAGTGACAATACCTAGTGTAAAAATAATGCACAAACAGAATACTGTTTTGGTTAAAATGCAATGCTCTAAAATCTTTCCTTTCAAGAAGTTCTATTTATTGTTTCAAGCAGACTACTATTTGCATTTAGAGCTTCATTTTAAGTTTATGGCCTGAGTTTCTCAGCAGACTTTTTTTTTTTTTTTTTTTTTTGAGATGGAGTCTTGCTCCGTTGCCCAGACTGGAGTGCAGTGGCATGATCTCAACTCACTGTGACCTCTGCCTCCTGGGTTCAAGCCATTCTCCTGCCTCAGCCTCCCAAGTAGCTGGAATTACAGGTGTGCGCCACCATACCCAGCTAATTTTTGTATTTTTAGTAGAGACGGAGTTTCACCATATTGGTCAGGCTGGTCTTGAACTCCCAACCTCAGGTGATCCACCCACCTTGGCCTCCCAAAGTGCTGGGATTACAGGCGTAAGCCACCACACCCAGCCTCAGCAGACATTTTAATGCAATGACTATGAAAAAAAGCTGTGAAACTTCTCCACATGTATAAAAGGAGTTACTTCCATATCATATACATAAAGAAGTAACATAGCAGGCACAGTAGCAATACCAAGGGACACGGTACTGCCTTCTACCAGGAACAGTTCCTCAAATACATACCAGTGGGTTGAAGCTACTAGCACCATTTCTTTTCTAATTGAGTCTCTATATACTGAGAGTTGGGAAACTAAGGGCAATCTAAAATGCACATTGTGGCATTTTGAAAGGTTAAAAGACTGTTTTTGTACTGTAATAATCATTGTCACAGGAAAATTTCTCTAGCCTTTATCAGACTAAATTTATCTCTATACAATTCAAGTGTTAATCCCTCCCATGCCCTACAATATCAGGTTATAAGACCTCACTGGTATTTAATATATGGTCACAGCAACAAAGGCTTAGAATTAACATTAATGTTTGAAATATAAAAGGCCCAGCAAAGTTACGAGGAGAAAAATAAACCAAGTAATACTATGAACATTAATGCATAAGATCTCTTGTATAATGATTATTCTAGACATACTTATGAAACCAATGCTATGGTTCTACTGCATTAGGCACTAGGGCTAGGAGTATGAGGAGCACTAAATTCTTTTTTAGGTTAAATTGTAATAAAAACATGTTATATATGAATCAATATTTTTTCCAAAAGCTGTACCTAGGAAAATACTTACAATTCCATATCCTATCATGCCTGTTGGTGTAGTAGCAGGATAGGCCATTACAGGGGGTGCCTAACATAGTGAAAGGAAAAATGAACAAGAAAGTATAACTCATGTGTGTCAACTGAGTTCAAGGAATTAGTAGCTGTAGTTCCACTAAAAAGAATTGCTAAGACAGCTGTGAGTAAGTGACACTTGTGATCATTAAGAACTGTCGATTAATGGTCAGTGAAAAAAAGTGTTTTGAAATTAGCAGAAAAGCAGACTTATTAGAAGGATAACTATACCACTTAAACTTAGATACAGCAGTGATCTAAGATTTCATCATGCTTTTTACAGCTTTAAAAATCTTTAGATTTAAAAAAGTATCTTAAATAGTTCTAAATAGTTCTAAAATTTAAAGCCTATCACTATCATTAAAAAATGTCTACCCAGAAAAAGTATTATTGAATGTTTTCTTACTTAGGTACCTGATTGCTTTAGCATTCAAAGAAAAAAATGTAAAGATCTCAAATCAATCAATAACCTGATCTTCCAAAAAGTTAGTTTCTAAGGATCTTACTCACTCTTTTCAAAAAACTCCAAAGGTTTCAAACTACTATTGAGTATGACTATTTCTATGAGCCATAGTTCTTATATAGAGTATGTACGTTAGCTTTCTAATTTATTCCAAAAATTATTTAAGAGGAACAATCAATTAGGTCAGTTTATGCTTTCATGTTTAAAAGAACCATCTATCACTATGATGTTTAAGTTCCCCTCTTCCTACTACTTTGATTATCTGTAAACATACAATTTGAGAACAGAATCATTTTAGATATAGTTGCTGTCTTAACAACATTTCCTGTGTGTGTTTCTCATAATGAAAACTGAAATTGAATAAAGGTGAAAGACCAATAACACTGCTAAAACATAAAATAACTGAAATTATATGGCAATTTGAACATATGCATGGAGAAATTAAATGAAATATAACTTTAAAAAAATAACACTAAAGTGAATAGTTATAAGTTTAGTATTCGGGTGAGCGTGTAGGACTTATTGGTCTCTCCCTACTTAAAACCAAGATCTGCAAGAGCAGTAGACAAACTGCCAAGAAGAGCAGAAGCCTGTAAGATTTCATGCAGTTGTTATTTTAAACATTACCACAATCAACATTTCCCTTCATTCAGAAGTCATCAAGTGCATAGTGGCAGCACAGATACACACACAGACACCCAGCCATCTGGCAGCAAATGGCGGAATATTAAGCAAGAAAAAAAATCGGTATTTCCCATGCCACCATCAGAATCAATTCTGCAACACACCCATGAAATCAGTAGATGCTAGGAAGAATTTCTGGCACATTGAAAATCTGAATGTGAAAACAAGTAATAGCTGAAAGGTTATGAGATTCTGCTACAGCAGTGGTTAATAGCATGCCAATTTATTGCAAAAAGGCTCGTTTTTGGTCACTTACGTATTGTGGAAAATGCATGCCATTCTGTTTTTCCCAGGGAGAACAATTACATAATGCAATAACACTGGATTAGAACAAGTACTTACACAACAGAAAATACACAGAGAGCATTTTAGTTCACATGTACATTCACTAACTACCTAAAATCCCTTGTATTTCCAGTATCTAATGAAAGAACATCTATACTAAAACACTATCAAGGTTGACAAGGGAATTGTAGTCTTTGGCCTCATCTCTTTATATAAAAAATAGTTTATTGATTACAAGTACCATTAAAACATCAATTCTATCAACAGTGTCAACAGTGCAAAATTTTGGGCATTGCATAAACAGGGTTGCATCAGATGTCTACCACAGAAAAAAAGCAAGCACTAATTAAAAGAATTTGTAGTATAATATATATTTTAATAAAATTCCAATGAATTTGTGTTAAATTTAAAAAACACTGAAAAACCTTGACAGTGTTTAAGGATTAATAAAAAGGTTAGAAATGTAAAGAAATGTCAAAAGCAGCAGTTTATCTTAAGTAGTGAATCACATTATCAGCCCCAAACATTAGCCATTAAAAAGAAAACTCCATAAAATACATATAAATATTTAAGCAAAATCCTTAGGAGATGATACACATTACCATATATAACACAGCAAGATAAAGACTGTTACCTTATCAACTTAAATACAAATTCTACATGACTAAATACCTACTACATTTTAGTAGTCAGTCTTAAGTGCTATCTATGAACTCCTAATACTTCATATAGATTAATACTAACTTAATATAAGAAAATATTCATTATATTTTAATAGCAGCACTGGTATTTATATCATTCCTCATACATCATCAATGTCATAATTCACACGAGTCCATAAAATCCACTACTCTAAACTCCTACCATACCCTAGTCAGTGAGGTGTGTTATAGTGGGAAGAAGACTGGATTCAGAGTCAAAGAGATGGATTTCAACTTAAATCTGCTTTTCAACTGCTTTGCACTTAGGGAAAAAAAAAATCTTTAGAAGTGGGGTGATACATGCTCCAATTCCCTCAAGACAGCAACATTTACATGTTTAAGATTGTGTATTTGTGTGTATAAAAATCTAAACTACTTAAATGCAAAGTTTTAAAATCAGTGATGATAGGCTGGGCGTGGTAGCTCAGGCCTGTAATCCCAGCACTCTGGGAGGCTGAGGCGGGTGGATCACTTGAGGTCAGCAGTTCAAGACCAGCCTGGCCAACATAATAAAACCCAGTCTCTACTAAAAATTTAAAAATTAGCTGGACCTGGTGGTGGGCACCTGTAATCCCAGCTACTCGGGAGGCTAAGGCAGGAGAATCACTTGAACCTGGGAGGCAGAGGTTGCAGTGAGCTGAGGTCGCGCCACTGCAATGTAGCCTGGGCAAAAGAGCAAGACTCCGTCACAAAAAAAAAAAAAATACAAAATAATAAAATTAGTGATGGCAATGAACACTGTCTGAAAGAAAACAAAAACAACAACAAAAAAACACTGCCTTAAAAAGGTAGCTAAATCTCAATATTACTTTCCATTTATGAAGTCTTAAGCTATATAATAAAATGCACAAATTTTAACAAACATACTATTTTTAGCTCAGTCCTACTAATTTTAACATATCATTAACCCACGGAAAACAGGGCAGTGCTCTGGAAGTGGCTATAAGGACAACCGCAGCCTCTAACAGTAACAGGACAGCTGTCAGTAACGTGTAGCCCGTGTAATCAAAACACAGCTACTAGCCTACTGTCTGGAGAAAGAATGCTTCAAACTTTTCCACAAGGAGTTTTCTTTGACTGACGAAAATTTGTTGGTTGGTAAGATAGAAACTGGCCAAGGACAGGAGAATAGCCACAGAGCTATTCTGGGTCTACCATACCTTACAGTAATTAAAACATACTAAAACCTCTTCATTACTAGATGCTAATTATTTAATTAGAAAATACAGTTAATCCTCATTATTCATGGATTCCATATTTGCAAATTCACCTACATGATAAACTTTGTGACACCAAAAATCAACACTCCTGGTGCTTTCAAGGCCATTCATGCTCATTTGCAGAGGGGCAAAAATTTGACTCATCCAATACAGTTCACCTCCAGCTGAGATGGAACAAAGGACACTCTGCCTTGGTTCAGCTCTCATACCAGACCAGAGGATAGAGAAGGAGGATGGGGAGTCCATCATACTGCAAGAAACTCTGACTCTGGGGCCAGCTGGACAGGGCTAAAATTCCAACTCTGGCACCAGTTAGTGCGACAGCCTTAAGCAAGTCACTTAACACTTCTGAACTTTATTTCCTCTTTCATAAAATAAATAGAATATACTAGAATGAGGTTTTCTAAAAGGACCGTCTATGTGACATATACATATATGCATATATTTCCCCCAGCAAGGGTTCAGTGTTCACTAATTCAGTGTTTGGGGTGACTTAAGTACTTAACTGCCACAAATAATGAGTATCAACTGTGTAAGTTATATGACATATATATAATTGCCAAACACATTGTCATATATATAAATTATATGACAAAACCGAAGCAAGTATAGTTTCTTTACCAATAATGAAATCACAAGATTTTGTATTTTAGAAAAATAAATAAAAAATTTGAGGTCAGTAATATAGAGTAGTGATTAAGGACATATGTTCTATAGTTAGGCTGCCTAGGTTATAAAAATTCAACTCATCATTTAAGATCTCTGTAATCCTGAGCACATTGCTTAATAACTCTGAGCCTCCACTTCCTCATCTGTAAAATAGGGATAATAATAGTGACTAACACATTAATAGGAGGATTATAAAAAATAAAACATTATTATTTACTGGAATATGTCTGGCACAAAGTAACCCTTAAATACTTGTTAGCCACTAAAATGTATCTGGTAAATATAGGCAACCAGCTTCCTTTGAAAGAAATACAATTACTTATACTTCTAAACTCAGTAACAATCCTTCTATTTATGTCTATCACTTTAAAAACATTTTCATGTTACATATTTAACTAAATTATTCAACTGTTAGTCTATCAGGAGCTTTTTCAACTCACCATTGTTGCAGCATTCCAAGCGGTTGTTGGTGCAACCTTTGGTTGCCAGTTAGATCCCCCAGTTAACTTCTTTTCACCTGGTTGACTCCAATTTACATCACTTTAAATAAACATAAGTGAGAATATTAAATGTCTCTAATTATAAAGTTTCCTTAGCTATATACTTATATAGAACAGAGTAAGATAGAGACTTGAGGCTGGGCGTGGTGGCTCATGCCTGTAATCCCAGCACTTTGGGAGGCCAAGGTGGACAAATCACTTGAGGTCAGGAGATTGAGACCAACCTGGCTAACACGGCGAAACCCCGTCTCTACTAAAAATACAAAAAAATTAGCCAGGCATGGTGGTGGGTGCCTGTAGTCCAGCTACTTGAGAGGCTGAGGCAGAAGAACGGCGTGAATCCGGGAGGCGGAGCTTGCAGTGGGCCGAGATTGCGCCACTGTACTCCAGCCTGAGCAACAGAGCGAGACTCCGTGTCAAAAAAAAAAAAAAAAGATGCAGACTTGATATCTCTACACATATTTTTGAGAGGAAAGCCAAATCAACCCTCCAAATAACACATGGAGAAAACACTAAATAACACACGGAGAAAACAATGTGTATATTAAACACTCACTTCTTAGTGGTTCCATTTCCGATGCCAAGATCTAGGAAAGGAGAAAAACAAAAAAGCATTTTATAACACGAGACGCAGTTTAATAAAACAACATAAAAGAAGATTAACGTATCCAAAGACTACTTACTGCCCACAAGGTTGGCTAAAGATGAATCCAAGTCATCAGATACTAACTTGCTAGGTGGGAGTTTGGCAACAGGAAGGTTCTGGTTCTGAGAGGCCACTGTTGGTTTGAGAAGTCCACCTAGTTCATCAAAGCCTTAAAGTTACAAACAGACGAAATAGAATTTGTAAGGAACTTTATGACGCTATGGTTTTCTAAAGGAGGTCTTTGCCTTTTCTCCTTGTTTATTCACTGGAAAAGTTATCCAAAAAATAGACATTAGTAAATGTCTTTAAATGGAAAATGAAGAAAGTCACCACTTCATACTGAATTGACTGAGAAGGCTGTATTTGCTTTGACAGAAATCATCTCTTATCTCATGACAAAATTACATTAGGGTTAAAGGGGATAAGAGAGAAGTATTATAAAAGAGAAAAAAAACAAATGTAATTCTCCTGCTAGCCCAGCAAAATTTTCTGAAGACTCACTTATATCTAAAGCAATATAGGTTAAAAAATAGCTCTCTGGAACTTTGAAAAAAGTTCCTTTTACGTTAAGAAATAAGATTTTATAGACTTTTTTTTTTTTTTTGAGACGGAGTCTTGCTCTGTCGCCCAGGTCGGACTGCGGACTGCAGTGGCGCAATCTCGGCTCACTGCAAGCTCCACTTCCTGGGTTCACGCCATTCTCCTGCCTCAGCCTCCCGAGTAGCTGGGACTACAGGCGCCCGCCACCGCGCCCAGCTAATTTTTTGTATTTTTAGTAGAGACGGGGTTTCACCTTGTTAGCCAGGATGGTCTCGATCTCCTGACCTCATGATCCACCCGCCTCGGCCTCCCAAAGTGCTGGGATTACAGGCGTGAGCCACCGCGCCCGGCCGAGACCTTTTTTTTAAAAGCAGAGAATGTAAGAGTGAACTATATCTAAGAAACTGCTAAATACTGTAATTGTATAAGCCCATCTAGTAAATGAGAACAATTCTTAAAAATGAAAATAAAATTCTTTAAGTTTTCCTCACCAAATTATAGAAAATAAAAGAAAATCCAATCAAACAAACCCTCTATGGGACTCAATAGTATGATCTAGGAATATTACAGTTTGAAAAAGAAAGTCACCAAAGATGATAGTTCACAACAATGATTGGTCTCTCTTTCCACTTTCCCAGGCAAGACAAACTAAAACCTACCGCAGCAAAAAAATATTATCATAAACCTACTAGTGCATAGAAAAAAATAAATTCTTAGTCCATACATATTCTTTATAGGCTTGCTTCTTAGTTTTTGAAGGATAACTAATTATATGTTATAAAATTAAGAACATCTCAATATATTCTCTCTAAATGGCTAAAAGTTAATTACTAACCAAAATCAAAGGCCATCCGATGGTAAGAACAGAATTATGAGTGTCAAAGTTTTACAGGCACTTCAAATTAACAAGGTATTAATGAAAACACAAAGTGGAAACCTGGTTCTACAGATCTATAAAGTTCCTTTAAGACAAATGAACCATAATAAGAATCATTCATAAAACAATAAAAAGCTCCTGTACCCACAGGCCTGATTATTTAATACATTCTAATTGTTTATACACAGACTATTTAAACAAGTCAAGGTACCACAAGTTATATTATTCTAGTTTACAAACATAGCCAATTTCATACATTAAGAGACAATACAGTTATTATTCATTTCAGTAAAAGTAAAAATTGTATGCCTAAAAAGGCACAACATCTACACATAGTCACAAGCAACTTAGCATTCTACAGAGCTAAATCTCTTTTTCTCTCTTATTTTGCTCTAGGACTAACTCACTCTTCCCAAAGTCTAAATTGGCACCAATAAAAGAATAATGACTAAACAGCTCCTTGAAGTTCTCATCTAGTGCTTGGGGGGATGGGACAATTTCTTTGGCTACCCCAGTTTAATATATCTAAACATTTTAAAAGCAGCATTATTTTTCCTTACACAGAATCTAAATTAGGACATTATAATATTTTTAATAAAATTTTTTTTCCTTACCCCCAGAATCTACAATAACATTTGTAGATTTATTTCCAAACACAGATTCAAAGTCAACATTAAGGCCAGCTGAAGGGTGTGGCTGTGCAACTGGAGAAGGAGTGAATCCTGAGTAAACCAAAATGGAAAAAAGCTCAATTATTTAATAACTCTACATTTACGACTATTTAATAATGATGACAATAGAATGGAAAATGCACTAAATTCCCCACACAAAAACAAAGCCAATCCTTCAAGCAAAATGTTTTCTATATCACATTTTTCGCAGTGATTGCGTTTTCCCTAACAAAATCATCCTACTGACAAAATTAACAAATGAGCAACTCACACTGAACTGAAAATATGCTTCATTACAGAAATCTTTGCTTATCTTTTACCTTAATTTTATATGCAGATAATCTTTAAAAAACTAAACACATCTAAAATTACAAGATTTTGCATGAAGCAAAACATTTAAGGGATCAGCTGAGAATGCAGTAAGAATTCTGTGGTGCTTTAAAAAACAAGTATGAAACTTCTAGTAGCCCCAAGATAAAAGTTTTTCTCCCTCCCACCTACCCATTTTCCGTATTTCTCTCCATCCTTCCTTCAACAGTTAATCAAAAGCGAAATAGCTTAAGTTCAGTGATGGGATTCTGAATGTTCCAACTCACTAATCCTTATGTCCACCTGTATCCATATGCTTTTAAAACATCAAAGAAAAAAGATATGCCACTTTCAACTCTCAACCACTCTCTAACTTCAACTTAGTACTTGCAACAGTGGGGATGACAAGCACAAACTCAAGCATACTAATTAAGGTGACTCTAGTTTTGCAACACAAAACCATTAACAGACCTTATTCTTTCTTGCCTGCGTTACACTAATGCTAGTGGTATTACACAGACAATAAGCTCACATCTTTAAGATCAGCCTATACAGAGTTAACAAATATAAGATTTCCAATTATGTGAGGTTATATTTAAGTAAGGTTCTGAATGTCTAGGGGCTGAAAAGAATTAAAATCCCCTAAAAATATTAGGTCTGTCATGTGATTTGGAGAACTTTCAATCATTGAGTATATCCAAATAAATATCAACCTCACAAGGATCACAAAGAAGAAATTATTTCACCTCGTGGAATGTCATAAGGCTCCTAAGGTCTCTTCCTTTTCTAAATTCTACTAAGTCAGAATATAAAAAACCCAAGAAGCAAACAAAAACCACCTATATTAGAAGGTTAAAAACTACACCATTAGGGAGAAGTTAAACTTTTGGTGTCCTAAATTTAGGATCCCTTTCTTCCCCTCCTCTATTCAGGTCAGAATCTCACTTTGAATTCTTAATGTGTAACACCAGGACATAAAGTATAATGATGTCATGCTGTACTAGAGAGACTGATCTCAAAGAAAACTGTAAAAAGTAGGACAAGATTTGGTGAGATGTCCAAGAAGGTCCTCAAAGACAGAAACAACAATTTATTATTAGCAAAGAACCATACAAGCTGATCCACACTAATGATACTACTTTAAAGTAGCATTTTACACATCCTATAATGACTATTCTGTAGCGCACACATTTTTAGAGAATGTACCAGTTTGATCTTGTTCCATAATCACGTAACCCTTAAACTACTATTAAGTCAAAGACATTGGTCATACAATGAGAACACAAAACACTATCAAAATACGAAATAATTTAGTATATAAATCTTCTGACTATTCATCAAAAGGATCTGAGAATCCTAGACTTACCAATTTAATAATATTTTTAAGTGTGCAAGGTGTTTAAGAATTATGCCATCAGCTTATTGGTTGTTCTCTTAACTCTTTACATAAAAAGCGAATGTATCTACTCAAGAAAAAAATCCATCATGCTTAATTATGTGTCCATGCTATCATCAGAGTGTAAGTAGTACAAACAATGTTCTTTAAATCATTCTGGTAATAATCTTGGCTATTGATGTCACTAACTTTTAGATTATATATGGAACAACAATTTAAAATTAGGCCAATATATCAAATTCCCATTTTCTCCTGCTACTTTGCCTCAGCCTTCTAGAATATGATTGATATAAGAGATAAGCCTATCCTTTATAGTCACACAGAAATTACTTCATTACTTTCTGTAAAAAGAGGAGCCATCTCCTGAGGTGCCTAGAGGTACCAATCTGTGAAATTATGACATAATTACCTAAAAGTATACAAGGTTAGAAAGACTATAAAGTAACCCAGAACTTGTATCTCAAGTTTTAAAAACATCTATAAACAGAGGGAAAAAGTAAAAAAAAGTTAAAAAAAGAAATTAATAAATTGCAATAGCTAATCGGC
The DNA here is from genome assembly GCF_000001405.40 of Homo sapiens. Taxonomy (NCBI): domain Eukaryota; kingdom Metazoa; phylum Chordata; class Mammalia; order Primates; family Hominidae; genus Homo; species Homo sapiens. The sequence goes on from NC_000011.10 coordinate 85,986,174, forward strand.
TATTAATATTTGCTTAAAGTCACACAGTTATCAGGGAGGCAAGCAGTTTATTTCCAAATTTCCAAAGTAAAAATCTTTTAAGTAATTACTGCATGCCTGAAACACATACACCAACAAGGTTAGAGTTTTACATCATAATTTCAATGCACATTATCGACTTTTTGTGAAACTATCAGGACTGCCAACTTTTAATTTTTTTTTTTTTTTTTTTTTTTTTTTTTTTTTTTTGAGACGGAGTCTCGCTCTGTCACCCAGGCCGGACTGCGGACTGCAGTGGCGCAATCTCGGCTCACTGCAAGCTCCACTTCCTGGGTTCACGCCATTCTCCTGCCTCAGCCTCCCGAGTAGCTGGGACTACAGGCGCCCGCCACCGCGCCCGGCTAATTTTTTGTATTTTTAGTAGAGACGGGGTTTCACCTTGTTAGCCAGGATGGTCTCGATCTCCTGACCTCATGATCCACCCGCCTCGGCCTCCCAGAGTGCTGGGATTACAGGCGTGAGCCACCGCGCCCGGCCCTCGCCAACTTTTAATTTTTAAAAGTTATTTAAAACAAAAAGACCCAGCTAGTATCACTATTCTAAAAGAGAAAGTTTACAGAAATACACACACACACATACACGCGTGCGCACATGCTAAAAAGAGCAGGCGCTGAGCTCTGAGTTAAGGTTAACTTTATGATATCATTACATTGTCCTGCTTACTCTTCCATTTCACCAAGGCCCAGTGAAAACTTTCTCACTAACCAGCACCAATCCACAGTTTATCATTTAGAAACCACTGGCCTGCAGGTTAAATCTCAAGAGGACAATAATAAATTAATTGAAAAGTACAAGATCAACAAGCTTTGGGGACAGAAAGACATTCCAAACACCTTTTACAAAATTTGGGTGGATTGTTAATTGATTTTGGTGGTAGTTTCACAATAAATTAGGACTCATACTTTTTTGTCAAAGTAACTACTACCATTTATTAAACACTACTAAGCACTAAGCAAGGGCTTTATAAACAGGGTATTATTTAAACCTCACATAAACCCTATGACATAGTTATTATTATCCCTGTTTTACAGATGAGGAAACAAAGAGAGATTACATAATGTACCCAAGGTCAAAGATTTAGTAAGCATCAGAACCAAGACTTGAACCCCCATTTGTTTGATTCTAGAATCTATTAGGGTTTTCAGTTTAATCCCAAGTATTTCACCTTACATAATATAGTAAGTAGAAAAAGAAATTTTTTACTATTGCTATAACTATTATTAAAAACAACCCAAATTTTATGAACTTCTTGAGCTTTTCATTGCTAATATTAGACCAAAAAAAGTGAATAATCTTTGGCAATTTTAAAATCTAAAAGCAATAAAGAAAAAATCAATGTTTAGGATTTTAGTTGATGACTACATAATAATTTAGGTGAGAAGTACATTCTAATTATGATGTGGTCCACATATACAAGAATTTTAAATTCTTTAAATTTTCTGAGAGATAGGGTCTTGCATGTTGCCGAGGCTGGCCTCAAACTCCTGGCCTCAAGCTATCCTCCTGCCTCAGCTTCCTAATTAGCTGGAATTATGGGTACCAGCTACTGTACCCAGCTCCCGAGATGGTTTTTAGTAGTAGTCATTTTGATACTTTTATATACCTAGCAAAGTGCTAGATGTTACATAGTCATGTATGTAAACTTCAGGACAATCCTGCAAGACACTATTATCCCAACTTGCATAGCCTTAAAAAGGTTAAATACTTGCTTAAAGTCAAGTTCATGAAGCAGAACTAAAATTCAAACCTAAGTTCACTAGGCTCCAAGCATATACCATCAAATGCCCTAATAAATTCCATTTTAAAATACATTTAGTCCTGTCCAATTCTTGTAATCAAGAGCCTCAATTCTTTAGTTGTGTCAAACATTCTTTTTAATGCCAACTTAACTACAGTAATAACTACTATGCACACAGAAAATATCAGCTGGACTTTTGAGGTTTTATTGCTACCACACTGGCCTTGAACATATGTGGAAAGACATAGATAATACAAAACTTCAGATTCCATAACCTTGTAATATTAAAACGTTTTCATGCTTCTGAAAATTTAAGGTTTTGAGAATGGAGTAAAGTAAGAAGATGATAAGCAACTATTCATAAAACCACCAAGTGTTTAATTAAGGCAAATGAAGTTAGGCAAAAACTAGTGTGTTCTCTGAAAGCAAATAAGTATATTTTTTCTTACCAAGTTTATAAAAACTCATTTTAAGAAAAAAAAAATCCTTCCTGCATAAATAAGTTGTAAAGATACTGTTATCTAGCTCCAAATGAGCTGGCTACAGTAGAAGAAACAAGGCACATAAAGGAAGTATTAGGACAAACTTAAGTGACACAAAAAATTCTGACAAGGCATACAAGGCAGGAAGGCAGGAAAGGAGTAAGGAAAGGGAGAAAAAGAGGGGAAGGGGAAGGAAAGAATCAGGGAAGCAGCTAGGGAGGCACGTGAGGAAGAAGAGGAAGAAGAGAAAAAAAAGAAAGAGAAGAGGAGGAACAGTTATGAGTGGGATGGGTAATCAAGAAAAACAAAAAATGGGGGGAGCCCAAGCACTTGGCATTCTTCAAATTACAACTTGCTAAAAAAAGAACTTAAGGCTCCATGAAGTATTAAAAAAACATATTCCGTTTGCATAAATTAGAAAGAAAAACCCAACACTGTATCTCATTAGAAAAGAAATATTAGGCAGTTGGCTTTTTAGCCAACACTATCGTGTCCTCTAATGTGTGGTTTTACAGCTAAGAAAGCAAGCCTACACACTTTCACAGACACTCACATATGCAGCATAGTTAAGACCACGACTCTCCTTTATGTACAATTCAGTGTTCTTAAAGCTTCAATGAGGACAAGCTACCTATTACACTGATCATTGTATCAGATAAATGTCTTCCCTCTGTCAAGGTCAGAGGCTATCTAGATACATAGCTCTTCTGATTTTTCTGGATTGTTCTTAATCCTATAGAGTAAGGGCTGGCAACTTGTATCAAAATGACATGAAGGAATTACTGCAATGAATTATCACACTTTGGATATATATGTGTTTTAAGCTATTAGACTAGTCATATTTTTACAACACCTGACTTGGAACTTTGTCTGATCTACTAACTTGCTTTCTAGTTAATTCTTCCTTCTCTTCCTTCCTCTCACTTATATATATCTAAGAGAATATTTAGAATGTGGTCACATGATTTGTTGAGGGTATACTGATGACTTTCTGCATGCTGTTTTAATCAAATATTTAAATTCACATCACCGTTAAGCTGTTTCTCTGAACTGAACAAAAGAAATTTCATCATCTTTGGGGCTGAGGGGGAGCAGAGTTAGCATCTTTTTCAGCAGAATTCAAAAACATTTATTTCAGCTTCAGCATATACTTTAAAACTTACTATTCCCTATATAACCTCAGTGTGAAATTCTGCCTTTTTATACTGTAATTACAGGATATCCAAGTCGTGTTTCTGCTTTACTATTTAAAATGAAACACATACTTCCTACTTTTATCTCCATACTATCAATAAAGTGAAATCCTTCAGAATGGGATAAAAGATATGCATAGATTTTGGACAATATAAAACTGTGACGTGCAACAGTTAAAAGAGAAATAAAATATTAAAGATAGCTGCTAAGAGTGATTAACCACCCTCTCTCCCAAGCACAAAGAGAAAAATATAATCACATATAAACATGTAAGTTTAAGTGATGTTACTTTTCAACCAGTTCTCCAAACTAAAACAGGAAGCTGCATGTGATACTAGACAGCTAGAGTATTGCACTATAACACGACAGAGAACCAAACACCAAAAAAAAAAAAAAAAAAAAAGTTCAACATCAAGAGAAATTTTCCTAAAAGTCTGTATAAATAAAATTGGGATACCAGTGTCAATTTAAAAACCTCACTACATTATGGCTGGTTAGTTTTAGAATTTGATATTAAAATCTAAAGTAACTATTGCAGTGCTTTTAAAATAATTAATGGACACGTAAAATATAGTTAGGCAGTATAAACATTGATTGGAAAAAAAGGTTAAATGGTACTTTACCAACAAACATTTCATGAGTAGGTGTCCTAGTAGTAAAAGTAGATACATCTGAAGAAATGGAAAGGTGAACATCACCACTACTTTTTGTGAGGAAAGGATTTAAGCTTGGAATGGCATCATCAACAGCATCTACAGTAGCAGAGAAAGGATCTGTGCAGTCCAAATGTATTATAGCAAAATGAAGAAAGGAAGTAAATAAATTAGTATTGTAATTAGTCAAAAGATGCAAAGTGAAAAGTAGTAACTATATTATTGTTTATTAATCTTAAATATCTAAATTATCAAAAACAAAAAATACCTAATCATCAAGATAGAAGAATTGCATTTAATATATTTTTAAGTGAATCCTTAGAAAAAATCCTTTTATTTGTTAACACCACAAAGCCAACAGTCAGGTAGTTAAAAAATGGAATAATAACCAAGATGTTTCTATAAAGAGCCACCCATCTTGCACCAATCTTCCCTGTCCTAGGTGAGTGTGCTGGTCGTGGTGGTATAGCTGTGTTTACTTGAATAATTGATATTGACAATTGGTATGTGTGTTGTGAGTAAACTTTCAAAGAAAAAAAGAGGGTAATGACAAATTAGGGCTAAGAAGCTGTTTTTGGCATGTGCAGATAATTCCTGCATAGATTCAAAATAAAAAATAAAGATGAAGAAAAAAATCTAAGGATGGGGGAAAGAATTTTAGATAATTAAGAACAGAGATGAAAGAATGTCCACTTAATAGACTGCGAACACCTTTGAATGTCTATCTAAGAGCTTTAGTCTTTAAATGAATTGCTAAAGGAACAACAAAAGTGTTGTTTGCCTACTAGAATGATATAAATATGTATTATATCAAATCCTTTATCTAAAGTTATTCTAGAGTCAGATAATTATTATACTGATACCTTATTCAAGATAATTATCATTCTAATGACTGAAATCTATTTTTCCTTACTTCTCAAGATTTAAAGAGCTAACTAAATGGGGAAAGAAAAAATAAAAAGCAGCAAAAATAGTATAATTTTTTCTTTGTAACATAATTAAAATAAGAGGATACTCCTGTAATTCTCAACAGTGGAATCTTCTTGTCTGTTCTAGTTTAGTTCTTGACCTTCACTGAAATATACTGTGGTATCTTCATAGTACTAGGTACTGTATTTTACTCTTAAGATTGTATGATTGAACATTAAGAAGGCAACAGTGGCCTAAGGACCAGCTCATTTACTATGATATAGGCACACTTCCTTTAAAGTCAAAAAATTCAAGGCAAGCATTCTACAAGCTCAAATACAACTGTCTGAAAAAGGAAAAAAAAAAATCAAGAAAATACTCAGGTTATGATTTTAAAAACAACACATCTTTTAAATACAACTTTTTCTGTAGTAAGAACTTTTCTATATAGTATTCTTATGGAACATCAATTCACACTAAAAAAAAAAAAGTCCTACAAATCTATCAAAATATGCTGATTATGCTATTCAAACTCGAAATCTTTCCCATCATTCCACCCCCAATAAATGGAACACTGGGAAAAAAGAATCAGAAAACAGTAATTCAGAAATAGAAACTAGAAAATAGTTAAATAGTTACAAGAAGTTGCAGGGGGGCACGGTGGGTTTTTTTGTTTTCTTCTTTTTGAGAGTGGGTCTTGCTCTGTTGCCCAGGCAGACTGCAGTGGTACAATCAGAGCTCACTGTAGCCTCAAACTCCTGGGCTCAAGTGATGCTCCCACCTCAGCCTTCCGAGTAGCTGAGACTACAGGCATGTGCCACCATGCCTGGCTAATTTAATTTTTGTAGAGATGCTATGATACCAACGCTAGTCTTGAACACCTGCCTGGACTCAAGCAATCCTCCTGCCTTGGCCTCCCAAAGTGCTGGGATTACAGGCATGAGCCAACAAGGACATTGGTTTTTAGTACTAAAAATATATATATATTTTAGCTAATATATATACTGATGGCCACTCTAGCTTCTTCTTGCATAAGAAAGGAGTTGCATTAAGCTTACAGTTGGCCAGTTAGGCTGAAAGTTCTGGGTGTGTTTTGTTTTTTTTTTTTTTGAGACAGAGTCGAACTCGCTGTGTTGTCTAGGCTGAAGGGCAATGGTGTGATCTCAGCTCATTGCAACTTCCGCTTCCTGGGTTCAAGCAATTCTCCTGCCTCAACCTCCTGAGTAGCTGGGATTACAGGCGCGTGCCACCACGCTCAGCTCATTTTTCTATTTTTAGTAGAGACGGGGGTTTCACCATGTTGGCTAGGCTGGCCTCGAACTCCTAACCTCAGGTGATCCACCCGCCTTGGCCTCCCCAAAGTGCTGGCATTACAGGCATGAGCCACCACACACGGCCGAATGTTCTGTTTTTAAATACATGATATTAACAGCTGCATAGAGTTTTAAAAGTACATTATATTTTGTCAGACAAGTAAAATATCTGTTTTTCACGCAAAAAAAGCCATGAAATACGTAATTTTTTAAAGACACATTATTTCTGTAACAGATCCATTGGTTTATGAGAAAACACATGTTCAGGAAAGGTTACCAGTCATCCGCTGTTCTACTGACAGATAGGTTTTATCTAGCACCTAATTTCAATCACTTCCTATTACGTGAAACACCTTAGAGAAGAATATTCAGAAATATTTGCAAATGCATTCATAATTAGATCAATCAGATAAGGAAAACCAGTTCCTAATCTACTTGACAAAACACTACAGGTAATCTACAAGATGTTAATCTATTAATGGACATTACACTATAATAATAAAAACCAATTCATTAAGGTATAATAATAACGCTCCAGCTATTTCAAGTTAACCTATTAAACTGGCAATTCGAAATCCCTTAAAGTTTTTTTTTTTTTTTTTAAATAAGAGTCTTGCTCTGTTGCCTAGGTTGGAATGCAATGGCATAATCATAGCTTACTGCAGCCTCGACCTTTCTGTGCTCAAGCAATCCCCCCACTTTAGCCTTCTGAGTAGCTGGGACCACAGGTGTATGGCACCATGCCTGGCTATTTTCCGATTTTTTTGTAGAGGCAAGGTCTTGCCATGTTGTCCAGGCTGGTCTCGAACTCCTGGGCTCAAATAATCTGCCTGTCTCAGCTCCCAAACTGCTGGGATTACAAGTGTGAGCCACTGCACCCAGTCTAAAATTTTTAAATATAGTTTTGTCCCTTTTTTTTTCATTATTCATTCAAGTTTAATTTTTTCATTTTTTTGAGACAGAGGTTCGCTCTGTCGCCCAGGCTAGAATGCAGGGGCATGATCTTGGCTCACTGCAACCTCTGCTTCTCAGGTTCAAGCGACTCTCGTGCCTCAGCTTCCCGAGTAGCTGGGATTACAGGTGCACACCACCACACCCAGCTAATTTTTACATTTTTTGTAGAGATGGGGTATCACCATGTTGGCCAGGCTGGTCTCAAATTCCTGACGTCAAATGATCCACCCACCTCAACCTCCCAAAGTGCTGGGATTACAGGCGTGAGCCACCACACACCTGGCGCAAAAGTTTAATTTTATGCTACACTAGAGTCATCTAAAAAAATCCAAAAAAAGTTAAAACAAGGATTAAAATGGCACCACAGTCATATTATCGCCTTTAAGTCCTAAACAACTGATACCTACATTCACACACACTAAACTGATTTTTTTTTTTAAACATGGTAGAGACAAGGTATTGCTATATTGCCCAGGCTGGTCTCAAATTCTTGGGCTAACGCAATCCTCCTGCCTTGGTCTCCTAAAGTATTGCAATTACAGGTATGAGCCACTGCACCTGCCCAGATAATCAAATTTTTTCATCAAGTGTTTTGTGTTTCATGCCAGCTAAAAGTAAAGCAAATTAAACTTCAGAATGGATAATTCTATTACACCTAAACTAAAATCTGAAATCTTGCTTCAAATATTCAACAGTGTACCAAACTGATAATATTGTATATTTTTAGATATAAAAATTCAAAGTTTGCTATCATCCAAAATTTTCAGGGTGATGAAAACCTAGGTCTTCTCAGATATTAGTATTCAATACCGACTGCTTGTTTAGACTCCACAACATTTGTTGAAAAAGTCAAGGCTCATTAATAATACAATGAGGCCAACAAGAGAGCTTGTGTTCTCCCATTTTCATTCTACCAAAAGGTAGAATCTTAAATGTCTTTCATATATACATATAAACTTTTCTTCCCTTTATCTCTATCTTATCACTAATCTATGACTAGGAATGCGCATCATTTCTGTGGTGTTTAAAAGAACTAAATTAAATACTACGTCTGTTATTGGCATTCATTTTTAGCTAATAAAAGCCAATAAAAGAACAGTACAAGATTTGGGGATTATGAAAAAAATCATACCTTTGCTTTGTCATATACTATAACAGCAGCATTATATGTAAAATGTTACATATTTAAGTGTTCAAGTAAATAGTTAACTTCAAAATACCTTAAGCATTTAATGTTATGATCTAAGCTTCTCATACATGAGATTTCTTTTCTTTTCTTTTCTGTCTCCCAGGTTAGAGTGTGGTGGCACAAATCTCGGCTCATTGCAATTTCCGCCTCCGGGGTTCAAGTGATTCTCATGCCTCGGCCTCCCAAGAAGCTGAGATGACAGATGTGTACCACCACACCTGGCTAATTTTTGTATTTTTAGTAGAGACAGGGTTTTGCCATGTTGGCGAGGCTGTTCTGGAACTCCTGTCCTCATGTGATCTGCCCACCTTGGCTTCCCAAAGTACTGGGATTACAGGTGTGAGCCATCGCACCTGGCCTTATATGAGATTTCTTTATTTCAGTCTAAGTTTAAGTTAGTTTAGTCTAACTTTAATTTTAAAAATTAAAAAAAATATATCGATCTGATTGTCCTGGATATGAGTACTGACTTGAATTAGAACTTTCTTGGCTTAAAGTACTCTTCAGTATCATGCAGAAGTCAAAACCTTGTTTATCACCAACTCAGAAGCCAAATATCCTTATATGAAAGTTAAGACAGGATTTAATTCTGATTAATTTATAGGACTTAATATGGGGGAAATTTTTACAGAAACAGCATACAAAGCAAAATAACCGAAAATAGAAAAGTAAAACATGATTAAATGTATTCCAATATATTGCAGTCTGTCACATAGAGACTTTGATGGAATAATGTCTTATAACAGGACATAGAACAATTCTTACAGACTGAAATTACTTAGAATTGTTCTTCCACAGTAATAGTCTATCTGCTTTCATATGTGACTTTAACAAGTTCAAGTAGAAACTTCAACTTGTCATTTTTAGTTGTACATGGTGTCCAGACAAAACAGGAATTGCAGTTCAGCTTCTTTGAAATGTTTAATATATTTTTATTTGGCCTTCTATAAAATTTTTAGTCTATTTAGAAAAACAACTCAGCCTTAGTTTTAAAAAGACTACTACATTTCTTTAAAAAAGGAAATAAGCTGAAACTGCTTAAATGGTCATGTTAATTCTACTAACCTTTTCTAAAGCAATTCACAATAAGGCAGAAAATAATTAAGAATCCAAAAATCAGAACATAACATTAGGATATTAAGAAACTGCTTTCTTAATCTTAATTTACTATCTATAGTTCATTCTGAAATAATTCTAAAATACTTAACTTTAAACTATTAATATCTTGTCATTTTTAGGAATTACTCTCAGATCTTAAAACTTAGCTAAATTAAACTAGCCTTCAAAGTCAATTAGTTTTTTAAATCAAGTTCAGGCTCACAAAATTACCATGAAATCTAGTGTTTTAGGGTTTTACTATCTGCTCTGTGCCCCACCTTATTCAACAAACATTTACAAACTACTTGTCGGAACAAAATATTTTAAAACCTGCCTTCACAGAGCTTACTTTCTAGGATATAGTTCCTTCAAAAAAATAATTTAAAATGTTCTTAAATTCAAATCATTAAAATAAAATGAAAAAAAGCTTTGTTTATATACTATAAAAACTCATTAGAATAATTAACTTATCTTGCTATGAGAGATAAGCCTATCACTTCAGAACTGCTTAAGGGCAGCAAACATTCTTATTGGTACAAGGGGAAAATTCTTTGACTAGCAAAATCTTTCAGGTCTTAATTAAAAAAACATTTAAAACATTTATGTCTTGACCATAAAGCTGGTCGAGACAATTATGGTCACAACATGTTCCCTGTGTGATAATACCATCTGAGTTTTATTAGAACTATATCATATACTTAACACAAAGATAAGTTATTCCCCAAAAGTTAAAAAAAAAAAATTCTACACCAAAATCGAAATAACCACCATGCATTTTCTGGTTATGGAATAAAAATTCAACATTAAAAGAATAATCTCATAGTTAAAAACACACTTGGTCCTTCCTCTTACATTTAGTTTTATCTTTATTAAATGTCATTTCATAATTTAATTGAACATAAATTCCTAAATTATTTATAATAAATGAACATACCTTCAAGGGATAAAATTGCTTCATTGCCATTTTAATACTTATCAAGTTCTCATGTATCAAGTGTAATAAAAAACTACAAATAAGTAAACACCACAGAATGAGGAGGAGAGATGCATGTAACATCTAAAATAGAATTCATCAATGCTTACCTCCCCATGTACTTGCTACCTGAGAAGCAGTTGACATAGGATGTACAGATGGGTGAAAAGTTGGCTGCTGCAAATCAAGCAGATCATTGGGCAGCTTTGATGTGCTAGAAAGATATTTTGGAAACGTGTTTTATTTACCAGAAAAACTTTGCTACTTTAGTGTCACCTTCTCCACCCACCACAGATAAAAACATTAAAAACAAGGGAGAAAAGTCTCATTAATATAAATCTCAAAAGAGGAACAGTTTCTTCATATGACAGCATATTTCTAAGGAGGCTTGGAAAAATAATCTAATATCATATCTTAAGTTTATATAAGATTCAAAGAACAGTAGCTCTTCTGAAAAGGATGAATGTCTTCCCCTAGAAAAAACTAATTTCCCTATTAAAATGAACCTAAACAACAAGATTCTAAAATACAAAATATCACAGCAATTTTAATATTTTTAATAAAACTCTTTTCTTACTTTTAATATTCACAGAACTTGAATCACATTTGCAATACACTACACAGTAAAATACTCATTAACCTCACTTCTAGTGCCTCAGTGTCCAAACTATGTATCAATGATACAGGGAAAAAATTTTACATGCATTTATGAATAGAGCCACCCCATCACACAACACACTATTTACATGATATATTTCTTTCTTCTTTTTTTTGAGACAGAGTCTCGCTCTGTCGCCCAGGATGGAGTGCAGCGGCGTGATCTTGGCTCACTGTAACCTCTGCCTCCCAGGTTCAAATGATTCTCCTGCCTTAGCCTCCCAAGCAGCTGGGACTACAGGTGCGCAGCACCGCATCCGGCTAATTTTTGTATTTTTAATAGAGACAGGGTTTCACCATGTTGGCCAGCCTGGTCTCAAACTCTTGACCTCAGGTGATACGCCTGCCTCGGCCTCCCAGAGTGCTGGGATTACAGGCGTGAGCCACTGTGCTCAGCCTCTTTTTTTGTTGTTGTTTTGCTTTTTTTGAGACAAGAGTCTCACTCTGTTGTCCAGGCTGGAGTGCAGTGATGTGATCTTGGCTCAATGCAACCTCCACCTCCTGGGTTCCAGTGACTGGCATGCCTTAGCCTCCCAAGAAGCTGGGATTAAAGGTGCATGCCACCATGCTTGGCTAATTTTTGTCCTTTAGTAGAGACAGGGTTTCACCACACTGCCCAGGCTGGCCTCGAACTCCTGACCTCAGATGATCCACCCACCTGAGCCTCCCAAAGTGCTGGGATTACAGGCGGGAGGCACCATGCCTGGCTTACATGATATATTTCTACCTCAAGACTTCTATGTAATTTTTTTTATTTGAGACAGAGTCTCGCTCCGTCGCCCAGGCTGGAGTGCAGTGGAGCGATCCTGGCTCACTGCAAGCTCCGCCTCCCGGGTTCATGCCATTCTTCTACCTCAGCCTGCCAAGTAGCTGGGACTACAGGCGCCTGCCACCACGCCCGGCTAATTTTTTATATTTTTAGTAGAGATGGGCTTTCACCGTGTTAGCCAGGATGGTCTCGATCTCCTGACCTCATGATGCGCCCACCTCAGCCTCCCAAAATGCTGGGATTACAGGCATGAGCCACCATGCCCGGCCGACTTCTATGTGATTTTAATGAACAACTCAAAACATGACCCCAGAGTGTCTAAGAATTCAAACACAGTACAGATAATTTTTTTAAGAGAAGGGGTCTGGAGGCTGGGTGTAGTGGCTCATGCCTGTAATCCCAGCACTTTGGGAGGCTGAGGCGTGCGGACTGCTTGAGTTCAAAAGTTCAAGATCAGCTTGGGCAAAATGGCGAAAAAATACGAAAAATAGTTGGGCATTGCGGAGTGCGCCTGTAGTCCCAGCTACTCGGGAAGCTAAGGCAGAGGGAATGCTTGAGCCCAGGAGGTTGAGGCTGCAGTGAGCCATGGCTGTGCCACTGCACTCCAGCCTGGGTGACAGAGTAAGTCACTGTCTCAAAAGAGAGAGAGAGATTGAGAGAGAAACAGACAAACAGACCAAGAGATGTTGCCCAGGCTAGCTTGTACGGCTGGGCTCAGGCCTTCCTCCTGCCTCAACCTCCTGAGTAGCTGGGACAACAGGCACACGCCACCACACCCAGCTCCTAATTTTTAACTTATATATTCTCCAAAATAGAATGTTTTTCTTTTTAAATGGATATACAATAATTGTACATATTTATGGGATACATATGATATTGTGATACATGCATACCATGTAATTATCAGGACATCTATCACACCTCAAACATTCATCATTTCTCTGTGTTGAGAACATTCTAAATCTTCTAGCTACTTTGATATAGGTAATACAATTGTTTTTAATTAGTAATTCTACTGTGCTATCAAACACTAGAACTTATTCCTTCTAACTGTATTTTTATAAAAAAGTTTTGAAGACATGTCTTTTAGATGTACAATAGTTGTGTAGATAGTAGATATAAACGCATTTAGTGCTTTGGGGAACATATAGAATATACAATAATAATTCTGTAAATGGGCTGTAAGATTTGCCCTTAATTACTATTAAAAAGGTGAAAATTTTTAGTATGTGACATAAAACATAGTGAAATTAGTTCTTTATCCAATAATTTGTTTCAGCCTCGAACAATGAACATTCTTTTCACTTCTTTCTCCTAGGACAGACTTCTTTTCAAGATCTCCATGTTGAGAACTTGCCCCTTAATGGGGTCAATGTTACTTAACTGGGGATTAAAGAAGGTAGCATACATGAGCAAACAAATCATAAAGCTGAAAGAAAAAAAAGAACTAAATTCAACAAACACCTACTAAGATTTCAGGGAGCAGGTAGCAACTGAGCATGCATACAGCAAGCAGTTCACGTAGTAAAACTTACACTGAGCTATTAGGCTCAGCTATTAGGAGTCAGTAGGCAGGCAGATGAGCTTTTAAGGGTGAGTTAATAAACAGCAACAACAAAGTGAAAGGAAAAAACTCACCACTCTCTATGGAACATTTAACATGTGCTAATAATGCACTGTGCTAAAACCTAGTCACCTGGGAGCATCTTAAAAACAAAAATTCTTGGGCCCCAGGCCCCACCTACTGAATCAAAACTCTAGGATTGGGACTCAGATATCTGTAGTTTAATAAACTCTCCAAATGCTTCTGATGTTAAAGTTGAGAACCACAGTCTCATCTGAAAACAAGGTTTCTCAAAAAAAGTTAAGAACTAACAGAGCCAGGATTCAAACCAGAATCTGACTTTTAAAACTACTTTAAGCCACTCTGAGGTTCAGAAAATGCCAATTGTTTTACTTTACCTGGCAATATTATATTTCCATGTTAAGTAGCTTAAATTAGACAACAAGATTATTAAAGTTAGTCTGGTAGGCTTCAATACCAAGAAACCTGGCAACTAAACTCTGTCACTGTGTTCCAGATTACAGAGTTTAAAACCAGGAAACAGATATGACAGACGTTTAATATCTAATGAAATGGTATTTTGAAATATATATCATATCCATATGTCAAAGAGCTATAAAGGGTCTTGAACCATTAGATGCCTCATAAATGTGTTTAATCATAATTTTTACACAATGAAAAGTTGGCCCAGAGATAACAGCTATATTCCTATTAGTATAAATCAGTGATTTAACTATCTTCCATTTCGTAAATACGTAAAATATAAACTCATCACTTTATCTTTAGGTATTATACCAATATCACCATTTATCGCCACCTCTTTGTGTGAATAGATTATAAAAGCATAAATAAAAGTAAACCTGAAAAGTTCTGCAAAATTTCTATTAGAAGTCTTTGAACCTACATATTCAAAGGTAACCTTAACTTCTACTCCTACCTGTTAGAAGAACTAGGGGTAGAAAATATGTCAATGGCTGGTGCAGTCATTATCCCTCCTGCTGAGGTGGATACAGGAGAGGCTGCAGTTGTTAAAGAGGTATGAGGTTTCTTTGCAAGTTCTTTTAGGCGCTGTTCCTGTTAAGAAAGGGAACTACCATAAGGATTCCAGAAACCAGATTTCTTTGTACAGCCTCTGAAAAAAGCATTTTCTAATTTGTTCTGATAGCAGATATTCTGTTTTACCTAATTCTATGTCAGGACGAAAAGTTAGACTGAGTTTCAGCCCATTAGGTAGCTATACATTTAAGACTCTAAGTCTGTGCAGAGGCCCCATTTACCTAATGAACACCTGTACTCATTTTTCGAAATAAGGAGAATGCACAAACTTACCTTTAAAGCTTTCAAACGTGCCTGTTCTTCCTCTAATGCTGCCTGCTTTTCCCTTTCATCCACTTTGGTCAGAGATAGACCAGTGCTTGCCAGGGAAGACACTGCATTGGAAAGTGTAGTTGCCCTAGGATAATTGAACAGAGATAATTTGGCTTTTTGCTAAACACTTCACATTACACCCAGGTCATGAAATGGTCTGGCAACCTTGCCATGGATAGGCACTATAATTATAAACTTAACTTCTGGATTCAAATCCAGTACTTCAGATGAAATATTCTACCTAGTGATCTACAGGATTAAAGCAATTAGAAAAATCTTGACTTAATATACACTCACTGCTTTCAGAGTAAGTGTTTGACTTTGGAAAGGGTTCACAACAGAGTGGGGCACATTGCCTCTTCCAAGCCCCAAGAGAGGAAACCAGTGCAATTGGGAAAGAGCCCACATAATCCCACAAAATCCCTGATGGGAAAAAGTGTTGAGTTTATCACAGGGAAAACCCTCTGCTAATTTACAGCCTACGTTTCGGCAGTGCCACAGGAACACCAAAACATGCATACCAGTAACACGTAACGTAAGTCTAGGTATGTTTCACCTATAACAACATCCCCAGAGGACTTCAGGTTCCTTCAAAAGAAGACTGGTTTCAATCTAGTCATCAGGCCATTTGGCATCTTTCTATGTGCTGCCCTTTTGCCAAACCAGAATTTCCTTTTTAATATACATGTACAATGTATCATTTTTCACTGGCAAGGCACCTCCTTTCCCTTTTATCAAAAACGTATCCACACTATAAACCTCAACATTAACTTTCCAAATGTTAACTCTAGGCTAAGTAAAACAAGTGGTAAAGAATTCTAACCTGAAGAACTACCTTGAGCTTTATTAATTTTCCTTTTACCACACACCAAACATCATTAGTTTCTACTCTTAAGCACGTAAAGTGGTAAAAACTACCTTTTAAATTTTATGTAATATTAGTATTATAAATAAGCCAATAAAAAGGTACAATTCAGAAGACAAAGGAAGAATAACATAGTTGTGACAGAAATGCAAGAAAACCAATAAATTTTATGATAAACATTTCAGGTAAATTGGTGCACCTGAACTACGTGGCTCTTTTTTTCGTTATTCTCTCAAATAAATGAGACTTATTGTTTTGACTGCTACTTCGAAAATCTTACTAGAAAATTCAAAGTACAAATCTAGGATTAAAAATGAGTACTAAAATCCAATAACGGCATTTCCCTTTGGAAATTATTTAAATTTTATTACTAAAAGAAAGATCAAAAGTTCTGAAACAACCAGAAAGTCTAAAAAGAACCAAAGGAAGGTTCTCACTATACAAATTCTTTCTTCATGCTGTTTTAAAAAAAGGTTCATAAGAAAACATGAGAATAACTCAAGTAATTTCTTAACCCAATACAAAAATCATGTTACCAGACTGATATGAAATGATTTCTGTTACTTTCAATTTGCTAGGTTAAATGGTCTTAGTCTGAGGAATTAGCTTAAAACATAATAAAGTGATTAAAATATAAAATATCAATAATCAACCCCATGAACTGGCATTAGGCAGAGATGATGCAATTTGATGTCAGATATTCTAGGTTTGAGTCCCAGCATTGCTACTACATACTTCACAGGGCTATTGTGAGGATTGAGCAAATTAATACGAAAGTATCTTGCAATTATAGGCCTGGCACGGTGGTTCATGCCTGTAATCCCAGCACTTTGGGAGGCTGAGGTGTGCAGATCACTTGAGTTCAGGGGTTCGAGACCAGCCTGCTCAACATGGTGAAACCCTGTCTCTACTAAAAATACAAAAATTAGCCGGCCGTGGTGGCATGCATCTGTAGTCCCACCCTTGGGAGGCTGAGGTGGGAGAATCGCTTGAACCCAGGAGGTGGAAGTTGCAAGTGAGTTGAGATTGTGCCACTGCACTCCAGCCTGGGCAATAGAGTGAGACTCTGCCTCGGGGGAAGAAAAAAAAAATGTATCTTATAACTACAAAGCACCACATAAAACAATGCATTAGCATCTTTAGGAGAAATTTTGACATCATAAACACAATTCTAAACTATGCAGTCACTGTCATTATCTTAACAGATGCTGACATTTATTGAAGGTCAGAAACAATTTCAAGAATTTGCATGTATTAATCCATTTAATCCTAATACTAATTCTATGAGGCTGATATTATGATTAAATCCATTTTATAGAAAATGAAATCAAGATATAGAGAAATTAAACAGCTTGGAACTTGAGCTGGTTTCATCTACTGCCTCAGAAAAATCACTCTGGCTTTTTGGCCTACAAAGAATGATATACCTGCTTGCAGCTGTAGAATCTTTGATTTTCTTTCCTTCCAAGGAAGCTAAATGTTGTTCCAAAGCATCAAGAAGACTGCTAGGGGCCTGCAATTGTACAAATATTAAGAATTTCATGATAATTAGGCCACTGGTCAAATTAAATCAAGTATCATCTAATTAGAGAGCAACAAAAATAAACAGGTATGTTCTTCATGTACTAATTAACAGTGGAGTTTTAGCTACTTAATAAGAATGACAATCTTACTTTTGTTATACAAACGTGACCTAGTTGGAGATATTAAGAAACATTATCAAAAACGTTAAGAACTGAAAACTATGTAAACATGAAACATTTTTTAAAAATCTTGCAAGTACTTAAATTTTAAAGTAAAACCATACTCCTAAAAGCTCGACATACTACTGAGCATGCAGAAGGTACTTAATAAGCACCTGATGAGCAACTGAATGTGTTCAAACATGACTCTGGAATAATTACTGATAAATGACACTGAACACTGTCATCAGGGAAATGAAAATGAAAATCACAATGAGATACACCTTTTCACTTACTACAATGACTAAAGTTAAATACATCTGCAGTATCAAATGTTGGTGAGCATATGGAACAACTGGAACTCTCATATATCACTAGTAGGAGTTTATCACCTTGAAAATGGATTAGGTTGTTCTTTACAAAGTTAAATACACACCTACCTTAATGACCCAATTCCATTCCTATTTACCCCAAAGAGATAAAAACTTATCTCTGTAAGAAAAGACTTAATGTTTAATGTGGCTTTATTTACAATAGTCAAAAACTGCAAATAATCCAAAACTCCATCATTTGGAAAATGGATAGACAAAATTGTGGTAAATATTATTCAGCAATAAAGAAGAATTAATTAATGGTATATTCAACAACATAGATCTCAAACAATACGATGAGCAAAAAAAGCCAGAATGCAAAAGTAAATACTTGTATGATTACGCTTATATTAAGAACCAACAAAATTATGCTATTAGAAATCAAAACAGTGACTGTGGAGGTGGGTAAGAAGTGACTGGAAGGGGGCATAAGGATTGGGGAAATAGAATTTTCCTATCTTGAATGATGTGTTGGTTACATAAATGTTTATTTATCAAACTGCATTGAAATGAATACTTACGTTTTTTTTTTTAATGGAAGACTAATTTTAAACTCAGGCTATAGGTCAAATCTCAACTTAATATGAAGAAAGCTCTCAAAAGGAAACCTTTTCAGTGTGCAGACTAAGAACTGTCCGCTCTAAGTGAAGCAAATGCACCAGTAGCATTTACTTACCCTAAATATTCTATAGGATTTGAGACACAGTTTCTGGATACAGGATCTAAAAATAGTTAAAGGGGCAATACCTGCTAATTTCTCTATCATTGATGGCTTTAACAACTTCTTTCATCCACTATTCCCTCTATATACCAGGACCCTAGCCCAAGGGAGACACAGTAGAAAACCATTTAAAACCAAATACTACATTGGAAGATGAACTTCTTTGTTGAACTGAGAGTATACATACACTTTCAAACAGCCCCAGCAAAAATGTTTGCTAATCAGCAAGCAAAGCACTGTCTTAAGAGCTTTCAGAGATGATAAGGAGGATGTTGATGATAGTGGTTAACATTTAAAAAGCTCTTCTCACACAACAGGTACTGTGCTAGCTACCTTGTAGTAGTCACTGAATCTATGAAGTAGACACTACTGGTATATCCATATTACAGATAAACAACCTGAGACAGTGAAGATTAAGTAATCTGTCCAAGATCACATATCTGATACACAACAGAAGCCAAGATAGGGAAGGTATCTCTGACTTTAAAGACTACATAATTAACTACTATGGTACCAAATCCTGGACTGAAACTGTGGTCATAGAAACTGTAGTTTATCTTTTTTCTGAAGGGTTTAAGCTGTGGCTTACAAATAAAAATATTAAACTACCAAGTTATGATTAGTAAGACAAACCATTTCTAAAATCCCTTCTAAATATATCTGGCTATTTTTCAAAAGTCAAATCCACACGACAAAGAGTGAGGAGGCTGGGCACAGTGACTCACACCTGTAATCCCAAAACTTTCGGAAGTAGATAGAGGTGAGATGACTGCTTGAGCCCAGTTGTTTGAGACCAGCCTGCGGAATATAGGGAGACCCTGTCTCCACAAAAAAATAAAAAAATTAGTTGGGTGTGGTGGCATATGCCTGTGGTCCCAGCTACAAAGGAGGCTGAGGTGGGAGGATTACTTGAGCCTGGGAGGGTGAGGATGCAGTGACCCATGATTTTGTCAATGCGCCCCAGCCTGGGTGACAAAGCAAAAGCCTATCTTTTCTCTCCCTCCCCCAACAAAACCCAAAGAGTGAAGAAAATGTGATGCTTTACACCTTAAAAGAAATTACCAAAAAAAAAAAAAAGAGTAAATAATCTCAAATTTTCACTCTTCTGCATTACCACCATCGTCCCTAAAGTGTAAATAGCTTTGTTTTGTTCACTTTTGAAAATTTTCTGAATCAGCCAAAGAATGCCTGGCAAGTTACCTTTGCTCAGAGATCATCAATACAGAGGAAAAGAGGAACGGAGGTTAAAGAACCCTACTCTAATTACAATAGGGTGAATATTAACATACACAGATACATGATGACGGCCTGTAACTTCTACATCTAGCCTGAGGACAATGATTTTTAAATAAAACATAAGGGAAGCATAACAAATGGGGTGGGTAACAGGTGAATCTAAAGTTGCCAAATCATTTTATAATATACGTTATTCAAGCAATGACTTGTCTCATGTTCAACCCAGAATCATGTGCTTGCTCTTAATAAAGCCAATTTATTTCAAGTGGACATATACAGGATTCTTTACTTACATATAACCCATGACTAGATTTATTGCATACTCTTAGCCTTGACATTAGAGGGAAGAATCAGAACAAGTGAGTACAGAGAAACTCAATAATAACTGTTAACAAGGCGTTTAAAAGATGTACTGGAAGCTGGGTGTGGTGGTTCACGCCTGTAATCCCAACACTTTCGGAAGCCTAGGCGGGCAGATCACCTGAGGTCAGGAGTTTGAGACCAGCCTGGCTAATATGGAAAACCCCGTCTCTACTAAAAATACGAAAATTAGCTGGGCGTGGTGGCTTACACCTGTAATCCCAGCTACTTGGGAGGCTGAGGTGGGAGAATCGCTTGAACCCAGGAAGCGGAGGTTGCAGTGAGCTGAGATCATGCCACTGCACTCTAGCCTAGGCGACAATAGCAAAACTCTATGTCAAAAAGAAACAACAACAAAAAAATGTCCTGGAATAATTCAAAACAAGGTAAAACAGATGTCAACAAATGAGAGAGTTGATGGAAATGTTACAAGGATAGCTTATGCCAGGTACTTTCATTCTTAATACTCCGTAAAGAAAACAGAGAATCAGCCAGAACAACCAGCAGGTATGAAGTTTTTTCCTAGAAAATTTTTTGATGATGATGATGATAAAGACAATATTAAAATAGCAAACATTAGTTGAGTGTGTTTAATGCTCTAATTTTTTTTTTTGGCATTAACTTATTTAATCCTGTGAACTACTTACTGTCTGAGGTAGGTACTGTTGTATCTTCATTTTACAGATGATGAAACTGAAGAATAGAAAGTAACTTCCCCAAAGTCACAGGGCCAGCTAATGGCACAGCCGGGACTGAAATTTCGACGTATCCCAAACCCTACTCTCTTAATCTTATGTTTTGTGGTTTATCCCTAAATTAATACTCCCACCTGAGTCAAACAGTCAAAGTGGAAGTTTAAAACAGGAAAAATAAATACTGGATAATTCTCTACCAGCATTATAGTGAAAATTGTTTTTCTAAATATCATTTTCTAAATTCAGGTTCCAAAAAGTTTTTTTTTCCTTTTTTAAACAATGATGATGGGAAAGAAAGAGTGATTGAAGAGATTAAATAAATGGTATGACAGTGGGTAGGCAACAAATATAAGTGGTAAGCAGATCATTTTACGTGGTCATAGTGTTAGAACAATCTTCAGGAATACATCAAAATGTTAAAACTGGTCAAAAACTGCATTGATCCCTTTGACAATGGGGGCTATATGTTACTTATCTTAATACTCTTCACAACTTGTACACAACAGATAGTGGATTGGTATTTTAACAATAAACTTACCTGTGAAAGGTCTGGTATATCACCTCTGTCAATTCCAACTTGCTGTAAGAAAAGCATTGTATTTAATAAATTATAATAAAAATATTTTATAAATAAAATTTGGAAAAATGACATCACGGCTAGTACCAGTAATATTTTAAACAGACTTCTTAAGAATCAGGAAAATATTTAATCTCCAAAAATACTCAACATTTCCAATGGCTTAGATATTATTTGGTGGCCCTAAAAGTTCTTAACAGTAGGGAAACTAGAGTTGGAAAGTCAACAAATCTAAGTTACCATCCCTGTCTTCTGAACACCTGTATGTAAGCTACCTTGTCACAATCTGAAAACTCCCCTCTCTTCTATGTGTAATATGATAAAAACACTATGGTAAGAATGAGAAAGCCTGACCATGAACAAGCTCTTTGATGCAAAAAAAAAAAAAAATTTAAGAAACAAACCTGAAGACATCGACTTTGTCTTTCTCCATAAAACATGCTTTCCCTGGAAATCACCACAGATAACACTTTAAAAACTCATGCTCTGTCAGGTAGGCCAGGTTTACATAAATGTCAAGTGATATCTAATCAGGATATAACTGTCTTCTCAAACCAATTCCAATATACCTTCATGATGCTCAGGCCCTAGGCAATTTCCAGCAAAAAAAGATAGAAACGGTTCCTGTGTATTCTAGCACCCCAATTAGAAAACTATTTTCTGTCCCGTGGCTGTGTTTCATTTTCTAATCAGTCTCCCTTCCTTTTGTGACCTCTCAGGGGCTGGTCTCAGAATGATGTCAGCAGAAAATCTGATAAAGGCCAGATATGGTGGCTCATGTCTGTAATCCCAGCACTTTGGGAGGCTGAGGTGGGCGGATCACGAGGTCAGGAGATCTAGACCATCCTGGCTAACACAGTGAAACCCCAGCTCTACTAAAAATACAAAAATTAGCCGGGCATGGTGGCAGGCACCTGTAATCCCAGCTACTCAGCAGGCTGAAGCAGGAGAATCGTTTGAACCCGGGAGGTAGAGGGTGCAGTGAGCAGAGATTGCTCCACCGCACTCCAGCCTGGGAAACAGAGTGAGACTCCATCTCAGGAGAAAAAAAAAAAATCTGATAAATTCATTATTACTCAGATGTTACTAATCACTGCCTGATATATTTGTCCTCCTCAAACATGTTTCAAGAGGTTACTCTTGCCTTCTTCCAGGAACTAAGGCGTTCTAATTAAACTGCAAGCCCAAACACAGTCTCAAAACAGAATATTTTAAGGTAAGGGACTCTGGCCGGGCGCGGTGGCTCACGCCTGTAATCCCAGCTCTCAGGGAGGCTAAGAGGCGGGAGGATAGCTTGAGCCCAGGAGTTTGAGACCTGCCTGGGCAATATAGTGAGACCCCGTTCTCCAGAAAAAGGAAAAAAAAAAAAGCCAAAAAAAAAAAAAAAGAAAAAAAGCGTAAGGTAAGGGACTCTTCATATTTTTCTTAAATCATATGGAGCAGGCTGGGTGTGGTGGCTTATGCCTATAATCAGAGCACTTTGGGAGGCCAGGGTGGGTTGATTACTTGAGGTCAGGAGTTCCAGATTAGCCCGGCCAACATGGTGAAACCTCATCTCTAAAATTAGCTGGGCGTGGTGGCGGGCACCTGTAATCCCAGCTACCCAGGAAGCTGAGGCAGGAGAATCGCTTGAACCTGGGAGGCAGAGGTTGCAGCGAGACGAGACCATGCCATGGCACTCCAGCCTGGGTGACACAGCAAGTCTCTGTCTCAAAAAAAAAAAAAAAAAAAAAAAAAAAAAAAGTCATATATAGCAGACAGTCTATTGCACCTAAGAATAAGTTAACAGCAGATCTGGAGTACAGAAGGGGGCTTACAACTTAAGTTTGGGCGGGATGCCATGGCTCACGCCTGTAATCCCAGCACTTTGGGAGGCCCAGGCGGGCAGATCACCTGAGGTCAGGAGTTCAAGACCAGCCTGGCCAACACGGTGAAACCCCGTCTCTACTAAAAATACAAAAATTAGCCGGGTGTGGTGGCAGGCACCTGCAATCCCAGCTACTCGGGAGGCTGAGACAGCAGAATCGCTTGAACCCAGGAGGTGGAGGTTGCAGTGAGCCAAGATTGCGCCATTGCACTCCAGCCTAGGGGACAAGAGCAAGACTTCATCTCAAAAACAAACAAACAAAAAAAACTTAACTTTGTAACTACAACTACCAAATGCAAAGAACATAAAAGGCCAAGAGGGAAGGTCAACAAATTAAAACTTACTTGAAGAATTTACTAGAATCACAGCATAAACACCACCTTCTTCTGTTTTAGTACGTGACTGACCCTTAAAAAACGGAAAGGATCTTTCTCCTTGAAACATTTTTAAATTCAAAATTAATTTCAGTAGGCTTCATAAAACAGCAGACTAATAACAAAGCTATTGTTGATCATCCTGTTCTGTCCTATTGCATCTAATATAGAATAATATATCACCACAGTAACAAAGCCTAGAATCACTATGTTGCTAATTCCAAAGTAACTGCTTTGACATAATTGAGCAAATTATCCTAGGAAGAAATCTTTGGTGGAGATGGGTAGAGGCTGGAGAATGGGAGAACAAACAAAAAAACCCCTTAAGAACGCCTCTGTGGTAGCAAGATAATGCCTGCAAGTATTACCACACCTGCCTTCCGTGACAATTTCAGAAAATTATTTTTAAGCAGAGCTGCAAAATTAGATATCCTATTACCTACATTCATAGTTTTCACAATCAATGATAATAAATACACAAAATCCATTTCTGTCGGGGAACAAAAGCTTTTTTTTTTTTTTTGAGATAGAGTCTTGCTCTGTCGCCCAGCCTGGAGTGCAGTGGTGCGATCTCAGCTCACTGCAACCTCCGCCTCCTGGGCTCAAGTGATTCTCCTGCCTCAGCCTCCTAAGTAGCTGGGATTACAAGTGCCCGCCTCCATGACTGGCTAATTTTTGTATCTTTAGTATAGACGGGATTTTGCCATGTTGGCCAGTCTTGAACTCCTGACCTCAGGTGATCCACCCACCTCAGCTTCCCAAAATGCTGGGATTACAGGTCTGAGCCACGGTGCCCAGCCAACGAAAACATTTTGAACTATGGCTCCAGCTGTCTCACTGGAAAGAAACCTGCACTGATACTGGATATTCTCTACCACATTTAACAATAAACATTCTCAAATATATGGTTCATTCCAACCATAAAAATCTCTGGCACTACTGTATGTCACCTACTTAATTTTATAGAGAAGTAAACAATGTAAAAACAGGTAACTTTTCAATACTCGCTATTGAATTAAATTTACAGCATGTATTTTATTCACTACTTTATCATATTCATATCTTGCCACAGAATTCAATACAGCATAATAATGATTGAATACTAAATTGAAGACATTTATTTTATTTGGATAGTGAGTGATGACTTCAAAATCCATACTTACAGACAAAAAGGCAAGTTAGGAGACAGTCACTTAAAGACAGTTTACCTCTGCAACTTTGAGGAACTCTGAGATTCTTGTCATCCTAGTTAGGAACTTCTTATAGATGTCAAGACCTTCTTTGCATTGGTTCTTTTTCATATCAAAATATTTTTCTGACAAAATAAATGTAAAAATTCTTTTGTTCACATCAAAATATAACACCCAAAAAAGGAAAAAAAAAGTAGGTAATAGCTCCAAATAGGTCTCTAAAGGAGCATACATACCCTACTAGAAAAATATCAGTGTTAAGTTAGCTTAGGTATTTAAAGCAAATTAGAATAGAGGTGCTATTATACTAAAAAAAGAAACATTACTTGACCCTACTCATATTCCTAGTTTGTGCCATAGTACTTTTCCTCACAATTACCTAAGTACATATTTGTGTGTAAACACGTACCACACTTGACCCCATTTAAAACAGCACTAACATCTATTTCCAATCTTACTAATAGTATATTATCTAAGATAACAACTTTACCATGCCCAAATGTCACTCAGAAAGTTCATTTAAGTTTAATGTATACATAGAAAAGGTTAATTTATACTAATTATAGTATTGAAGACTATGCCTTCCAAAGCTTTATAGAAAAACCTTTATTTTTCACTTGTGAAAAAATAAGCCAAATTTCCCTATCCCTATAGATTAAAGCATCCCTGAGTAAGTCCACGTTACTTCAGACTATAAAAAACAGATTTAAATTTTTTAAAAGTTCATTATGGAGTTGATTATGAGAAAACAATATTCTTCTGGGACAAAATATTTGTTTTTTTCCCATCTTTTTTTATTGTGGTAAAATACCTGTAACATAAAACTTACTATCCTTTTTGTTTTTTTTTTTTTTTTGAAACTGAGTTTCGCTCTTGTTGCCCAGGCTGGAGTACAATGGCACGATCTAGGCTCACTGCAACCTCCGCCTCCTGGGTTCAAGCAATTCTCCTGCCTCAGCCTAAAACTTACTATCTTAACCCAGCTAAATTTTAAAGGCACTTTTATATTTCTAAAAATTAATAAAATGGGTGGAAAAAACATAGATACATCTAAAAAATAAAGTTCATCTTGCTGAACATCCTGGGTATAAAAATATGTAATCACTTGCAGAAGTAATTAGGTATAAAACTCTTTTCTCCAAATTAACTGTTACAATGAATGAATATATCATAATAAATTTTTAGCCAGCTTTAAGTAACAACTCAGTCAATATTGTTTATCCATATGACACAAGATAAGAAATGTTATTAGGCTACAGCAGTATTTACCCAACAAATTAATAATTCCTTCATTGTATGCTGCAAACAGTCTAATGGCATCTTTGAACAGGAGCATGAAGGCAGCATTTATTACCCCATTTGTAAGTTCATTGCTATTAACCTAGGGAAAAATTGGAAAATAAAATTAGCTAATCTTAGGTTTTAAATGACATTGACAAAAAGATTTCCTTCAAATTAAGATACAGTAAATTCATGCATTAGGCATGTTAGTGAAAAATACATTTATTTTCTCTAATACATACATAAAGATCACGGTGCAGTAGCTACCATATAAATGAACATTATTTATTATTATTAAATTTGCTGTAACCAGATAATTGTATTTATTTGACTAAAAGAATACTGGAAATATTTTTAGTTTTATCTCAAGGAATAAATCAAAAAGATAAACCAAATTAATTCTAAGTTCTTTTTTAGCACATGAAAATTAACTCGTTATATATAGAAAAACTAAGCACAAAATTGAATGGCAAACAAAAAACTGGTAAAAAAGTTATTTGCAGACTATCTAGTAGAGCTGATGTCCATTATATAGGGAGAATCCTAATAATAAATAAAGTAAATGAAAACAATTTACAAAATAAAAAATACATATGGATAATAACGTGAAAAGAAATACAACTTCACTTATCAGGTAAATTAAAATACAATAATCAAATCAAATTACTAAAATATCCTTTCCTGAACATCAGACTATATTACTCAGTGCCCATAAGAATGAAAAAAGAAAAGAACACGGTAGCTCATGCCTGTGGTCCCAGCACTTTGTGAGGCCGAGGCAGGAGGATTGCTTGAGCCTGGCAGTTTCAAATGAGACCAGCCTGGGCAACACAGCAAGACCTTGTCTCTACAAAAAACTAAAACCAAGAAAAGGCAGCTGAGCATGGTGGTGTACCCCTGTAGTCCCAGCTACTCAGGAGGCTGAGGTGGGAGGATTGCTTGAGCCCAGGAGTTGGAGGCTGCAATGAGCTATGATCATGCCACAGAACTCCAGCCAGGGTGACAGAGAAAAATGCTGTCTCAAAAAAACAAAAAAAAGATGAAAAAGCAAAAACAGACACCTGTTGAGAAGTTAGTGGCTCACCCTTTTGGAATATAAGCAATATTTATTAAAAATTTAAATGTTTATATTATTTGAACCACCACATTCTTTTTCTGGGTGTTAAACCTATTGAAATAGGTTTACAAATAGAAACACACACACACACAGAGGGAGAGACAGACAAGAGACAGAGAGAGGAGAGAGAATTGAGTGTAGCACTGTTTAGGATAAAAAAACAGAATAAACATCTATCAACAGGAGGATTAGATAAATTGTTATTATATAACAAAGTACAATACAGACATTGAAAAGAATAAGAAATTTTAAACAAATACAATATATTAAGAAAAATATGCATGGTTGGACCCTGAGATTCTATACAAACCAAAATAATGTTGAATAACTGCATCAGTACCCCATGCCTTCTAGAGCAGGGGTCAGCAAACTTTTTTTTGTAAAGGGTCAGATGGTAAATATTTTAGACTGTGGGCCACACAGTCTCTGTCATAACTTTTGAACTCTGCTGTTGTAACATAAAACAGCCATAGATAATATGTATCAGTGAGCTTGGCTGTGTTCCAATAATACTATTGAGGACACTGAAGTTGGAATTTCATGTAACTTCCACCTGTTACAAAATACCATTTAATTATTTTCAACCACTTAAAAAACATACAAAAACAGGCAGTAAGCTGTAGTTGGATAATCTCTGTTTTAGTCTATGAAATACCTGTAAGATTTATTGAATGTTTACTGAACACTTACTATGTGCCACATTAATAGGCAATGGGGGTACAACAGAGAACAAAAGTGACCTAGTTCCTGCCCTGAAGAAGCTTAAAAACTAGCAATTAAACAATTTAAAGGAAAAATCTATTTCAGCATGAAACTGTCACAGTTCCATTCACTAACTTGCACTCACAATCTCTAAAACAAAATGACAAATAAATAATAAACAAAACATTGTTAAGATAGATGACAAAAAAACAGAACAGAGTTGAAAACGTTAACTTCTAACACATTATAAATGAATGACAAAGCTGGCAGCTTGGTTCAAGTCATGGTCATTAAAACAAAAATTCCAGCGAACACAATGCCCTTGGGCAATAGCTACATAATAAGCTATTATAACTGCTATTTAAACTTCTTCTTCTGAATAATTGCCATGCTTTGAGTCCCATTAAATAGACAAAAGTAAAATATTAAGTTGGCTATTTATTTAAAAAATATCCCTGTACATTTTCAAGATCTAAAAGCCATTATCAAAAGAAAATATATTTTCAGATCAATCCTTTCACCACTTTAGCTTGTATATCTTAAAATTCTAGAGCTAGAGAAGCACTAAAGAAATAAATCCAAAACAGTCATAAAAATCAGAAAGTAATTTGACTTGAGACTATTTTATAAAAAATCCTTAGCCATATAGGATATCAGGATGTGAAAAACTAGAGTCTGTGAAAACTTGAGGTTAAAAATTCTCATGAATTATAATGACCTAATTTTTTAAAATCTTAAATTACAAAAGCATAACTCACATTAAAATCAAGAAGTGCATCCATCTGATTCTGAATAATTGGTACAGTTTTTAGGAGTTTTTCTGTGTTCATTGTTCTCATAACTCCATCAGCCCTGTTATGAAAAAACCAGAGAAATAAACAAATGAATCTGCAATTAAATCTACATTTCAAACTCCCCCCCTGGTTTTCTACTAAAACAGAGAACCAAGTTGCTATGAAATGTCACATATTTTTAAGTCATTATGGAACATGAAAACTGAAGCAGAGATCATACAGAAAAAACAAAAACAGGCAACACAATATGTCAAATATCAAGGTACTCATTTAGAACTAAAAAAGAACATAAAGCATGAGCCATAAAAGCAAAAGTATACATTATACAGCAAGGTCTATAGCTTGTATTTTCACAAGATGAAATGATCTGATCCTCACAATCATTGGTGTGTAAAGAGCAGTTTTACCATTTTTTAAAATTACAAATAAAATAATCATTTGCCTCAAGTCAAAAAACAGTTAAACACTCTGTAGGCCAAGAGTTAACAAAGTCTTAGAGCTCTGTTTTATTTAAAGTATTTTATTCATGACCCAACAGCAATGGCTTTTAATTCAGAAATTATAACTAAAACTACTTTATTACAAAATAAAGAACAATTTTACCAAATCATTCTAATCTGGCTATTACACAAGAGATACTTTCAATGGACAGCCTTTAATAAAATAGTCTGTTAAATATTTCCAAACAGATATTTCTAAAGATAGAGAAATTATTGGCAGCACCAAAACAGATTTAAAAACCAGTACATGAAAGGTACTGGGGCTAACGTACACAACTAATATTAAGAGCTTATTATATATCACACTAAGTATTATTCAGAGATTGCCCTATCATTTTCAAATCCTCATTCTACTGATTTACTGTTTGGTTGAGTAACAAGGCATTTCCAAAAAATATGTCAGGTTCCCCTAATTTACAAATGACCTATACTTATAAATGGCTGTTCTACCCTACGATAAACCATGAACTATGACCTCAGACGCCAAAAAACAATTAAGCTATAAAAAGCAACAACTGTGCTTTGTAGGACACAACAAAGTTTAATAACCAAATACTAGACTGCCTTAAGTAGTCACCTATTGATCAGCTTCGGCCTAATTCTCCCTAATGTGTTAACTTATGGATGCCTGTTTCCGCTCAAGTGCTAAACAGCATTGGCTGGAAGCAGCTGCTGGAGCTTGGGCTGAGGACACCATTCCTTCTTTTGCAACTCTTCTTACTGATGTCATTTTTTTACCTCTGGTTACTTCTCCATCACAGAAGATTTGAACATTGGCTCAGTCTTTCTTGTCATTAGCTTCAACATCTACATGGACAACCAATCCAACACCTTGATGTCAAAATCCCTGATTCTAACCTTACTGCCCCCAGAAACCACATCATCCTAGCCCCACCCCTGAAGAACAACAACAAAAAAAGGTAAAATTCAGACACCTTATTCTGTGACAATTACCTTTTAACCTTTCAGCTGCTTTGGTCACATATCCCTGTGGTAAAAACTATTTGACCTCATCAGAAACTTCAATGTTTCAACTCCACCACTACCCACATTGATCCTTTCTCATTTTTACTTTCTTCATCTAGCTTAGAATTCCACAGATCATTAATATAATCACTCCTTTACAAATACCTTTAACTTTCTTGCACCTCTTTTCTTCCCTGCATTTCAGTCATCTGGCAAATTCACTATCCTGGCTGAGCAAACACCTAACTAATCCATGCCTGTACACACATAGCTGAGTGCTGGTAAAGAAAACAGCACAACTGGGCAAACTGGCAAAACTATAAACTCATGATCATCAACCTCAAATGAATACTCAACATTGCCAGCAATCCTCTTAGCCGTCTCTAATAAAATCCTCTCCTAAGTATCTTCGAATCCTCTTCTCTTTCCTTGTCTCCTTACATGAAACACATAAGCTCTCAGCTCTTAACTCCCAAAATATTTCATTCTGGAACAGAAAATAACAAAAAGCAATTGTCTGGTCTTCTTGCCACCCAAACTATATTTCTATTTAAAAAGTGTTGGCTAAGGCTGGGCGCGTTGGCTCACGCTTGTAATCCCAGCACTTTGGGAGGCTGAGGGGCGAGTGGATCACGAGGTCAGGATTTCGAGACCAGCCTGGCCAATATGGTGAAACCCCATCTCTACTAAAAAATACAAAAAGTAGCCGGGCACAGTGGCATGCGCCTATAGTCCCAGATACTCGGGAGGCTGAGGTGGGAGAATCGCTTGAATCTGGAAGGCGGAGGTTGCAGGGAGCAGAGATCACGCCACTGCACTCCAGCCTGGGTGACAGAGTGAGACTCTGTCTCAAAAAAAAAAAAAAAAGTTAGCTTCTACCTCATGTTTTTCCTACCATGGTAGATTCCAAATGAATCCAAGATTAAAATATAAAACACCTAATCCATAAATATAACTGATGAAAACATAATCATTTTAGCTCACTGAGCTTGCTTGAAAGATAAAAAACATAAAAATGAAGATAATGATTTTGATCACCTAAGATTGTAAAGCTTTTAACAATGTTAAAAAACAAGGAAAAATACTCATAACCTATAACAATTTATTTTCCTAATATACAAAAAGTTCATTTGTTGAGTGTTTGTTATGTGTTAAGCACTACATACAATATCCCATTTAATTCTCACAACAATCCTGACAGGAAAGTACTAATTAACATCGTAATTTTACAGATGAAATAACTCAGAGCTTAAGTAAGGCCTTCCCAGTTTTGCCACAGCATACTAGTATGGTAGAAAGGGTTA
Organism: Homo sapiens; assembly: GCF_000001405.40. Classification (NCBI taxonomy): domain Eukaryota; kingdom Metazoa; phylum Chordata; class Mammalia; order Primates; family Hominidae; genus Homo; species Homo sapiens. The sequence goes on from NC_000011.10 coordinate 86,017,676, forward strand.
TAAGTGTGCCAAGATGTTGATCCTTTTTAACCCTTTAGCCTCAAGTAGTCTCTTGTATAAATAGTTAACAGTTTGTGTGCCACCATGTGAAAGAAGTTTAGCAAGCTGATAGATACGTAATAAAATATCCTTGTTTTTAGAAAATATTCACCAAAGTATTAAAAGATATAAACTATAAAAGGCATCAGGTATGTAACCCACTCTCAAATGGTTCAGAAAAAAATGTGTGTGTGCGCCTGTGTGAATATACACAGAAAGAGAAATGCAGATGTGGCAAAATGCTAAAAACTGGTGGTTCTGAGTAAAGTATACAGAAGTTCTCTAATATTCTTGCTACATTTCTGGAAGTGAAATTATTTTAAAGTAATATTATTTTTTAAAAGTCAGTAAACCAGCTAAAGTATCTCACTGAAGTCTCTCATCTAATTGGTGTGAAGCTAGAATTCAAACCTAGATTCATCTGACTAAAAAAGCTTGTGAGTTCTTACCACTATTAAACACAATGGAAAAGAGTGAAAAACCCAATAGAGAAGCTGTCAATGGACATCAAAAGACAATTAATAAAACAAGTATGGCATTCAAAAGGAAGGGGGAGTGTGCTCAATATCACCATTTATTCAATCAACTAATATAAAATGAACACATATGAACGCATTTTTCATGATGATGGAAGAATACAAATAACTATTTAAGCCAATAATTTAGTATAACTTTTATAAAGGATAATTTGGTGTTTTGTATTAAAATGTTAAATGTATATATATCTCAATGACTCATCAATTTTAATAATTTATTCTATAGAAAAACTCAATGCAACCATACATAAAAGGATGGTCAATCCACTGCTTTTATAAGATTAAAAAAAGGGAATAAATCAGATGTACACCTGCAACATAATTCTACAGCCATTCATAAGAATGAGATGGATTGAGGCCAGATGAGGTGGCTCATGCCTGTAATCTCAGCACTTTGGGAGGCCGAGACAGGTAGCTCACTTGAGGTCAGGAGCTCAAGATCAGCCTGGCCAACATGGCAAAACCCCATCTCTACTAAAAATACAAAAATTAGCTGGGCATTGTGGCGGGCACCTGTAGTCCCAACTACTTGGGAGGCTGAGACAGAAGAATCGCTTGAACCCGGGAGGTGGAGGTTGCAGTGAGCCAAGAGCACGCCACTGCACCCCAGCCTGGGTGATAGAGCCAGACTCTGACTTAAAAAAAAAAAAGAAAAAAATGAGATGGATCTATGTGTACAGACATTGAAAATGTCCAAAATACACAGGAGGGGAAGAAAAGCAGCCTTCAAAGAATCTGATCCAATTTTTATGTAATTTTCTATGTGCCTTTATATACATATTTCTATTTACTCGCACAGAAAAGGTTAGACACACTAAAATGTTAACATTTTCTATGAATTAGGATGGTATTTTTCTTAAATTTTATTACTTTTGTAAACATAAAAAAAAATCTTAATAAATCAAACTTTACTACTTACAATGAGAGTCCTCTCCAAAAGGTGTAGCCTACTGAGGTTTTTGCCATGATATAATAATTTCAATTGCTGTCATGTCCTCAATTTATACCTGATATTCTTGATTTTTTTCTTTTGTATTTATACAGTCTGACGTGTATATGTGTGTGTATAATGCCACTTTTGCACTTCTTCTTGGTCCCCACTCAATTATGGCTCCTCCTTGATTCAACTAAGTCAATACTAATTTTATTGTACTTAATCAGGAGCTATTTTCCTCCAATTAAAAAAGACTGCTCTATTAAATAAAAAAATTCACCAACTATTCTCAAGACTGGCCCTTCAAATTAGAACAAAAGTTACCATTTTAAAAATCTATTATTCTGAAATCTGTAAATACACTGAAGATCAACTTCACTGAAGACACTTTACAGTGAAATATTATTGGACAGGATACAGAGGTTAAAAATCAGACTTCTAAAAAAGTTCTCCACCATAATCTTCTACAAAGTGCTTAAATATATGAAACAAAATCTGTAGAATTTACTTTAGGTATATTCCAAAATAATCACCTCCTGATGGATTTGGAATGGCAGCATAGAACATTTAAATTCAGCTTTAAATTTTCTTGCATAACTAAGAGGTTACCTCTATATTTTAATTAAATTTTTCACTTCAGTCCATTAATTTAAAATTTCAATAGAACAATCTAAAGGAACACATCAATTGCTTAGACCTTTGGGATCACTGAGCAGCAGAGTGGCTCAGGAAGGCATTCACCAGACTATTTCTGTACATGCCAGATTCCCTTCAAGACAGGTCTTCATAGCTACAAGGGTCATCGCTGCTGCTAAGAATGTCTTCAGTGGCTTTCTCCTGAGGCCTCATCCTATATCCTAGGAAAAAAATCTGCATATCAGGTGTTATCACTTATAGAAGCACTGACTATATCATTCATGTGACTGGATCATGTACTAAGATGATTGTTATTTAGGGTGCAGCAAAAATTAAATGCATCTTCTGCATTTAAGATTAAAAGAAAGCTTAAATACAAAACAGCACTGAAAGAAATGAAAAAAGATCCAAATAAACAGAAACACATCTCTTGTTCATAGACTAGAAATTTAATCATTAAGAAGGTAATACTCCCCAAACTGATCTATAGATTCAATGCAATCCCCCACAAAATCCCAGCTATCTTTTCTGCAGAAATCAAAAAGCTGATCCTGAAATTCACATGGGAATGCAAGGGGCCCAGAACAGCTAAAACAATCTTGGGAAAAAAAAAAAAAAAAAAAGAATAGAATTGGAAGACTCACACGTTCTAATTTTAAAACACACTGCAAAGCAACAGTAATCAAGACAATGTGGTACTGGCATGAAGATATACATACAGATCAACAGAACAGAACTGCAAGTCCAGAAATAAACCTTTACATTTATGGTCAACTCATCTTCAACAAGGTACTAAGACTATCCAATGGGGAAAGAAGAGTAATTTCACAAAATGTTGCTGGGATAACTCAATATCCACATACAAAAGAATAAATTTGGACTCACCTCTCACACCATATACAAAAGTTAATTCCAAATAGATAAGAACCTAACTATATGGGCAAAAAATACAAGATTCTTAGAATAAAAAGTAGGAGTAAATCTTTGTGACCCTGGATTAAACAATGATTTCTTAGACATGATTACAAAAGTACAAGCAACCAAAGGAAAAAAAAGATACACTTAATTAATTAAAAATGTTTGTTCTTCAAAAAACACCAACAAGAAACTGAAAAGACAAGCCATGGGAGAAAAATATTTGCAAATTATTTATGCGATAAGAAACTGGTGCCCAGAACATATTTTTTAAAATTCTTGCAACTTAACAATAAAAAGGGCAAGTAACCCAATTTAAAAATGAGCAAAAGGCCAGGTCAGTAGCTCAAGCCTATAATCTCAACACTGTGGGAGGCCAAAATGGGAAGACTGCTTGAGCCCAGGAGTTCAAGACCAGCCTTGGCAACATAGTGAGAACTCATTTGTATGAAAATTTTTTTAAAAATTAACTGAGCATAGTGTTGCATGCCTGTGTTCCCAGCTACTCAGCAGGCTGAGGGGGAAAAATTGCTTGAGCACAGGAGGTCGACACTGCAGTGAGCTGGGATGGTGCCACTGTCTCAAAAAGTGAAAATAAAAAATAAAAACAGGGCAAAGGGTTTGAAGAGGCATTTTTTCAAAAGACGATATGCAAATGGTCAACAGCTCAAAAAAAATGCTCAATATCATTAGCCATCAGGGAAATGCAAACTAAAAATCACAAGACACCAGTTCACACCCACTAGGATGGCTACCATTTAAGAAAAAAAAAAAAAGGCAAAAAAAAACCCAGAAAATAACAAGTATGGCAAGAATAGGGAGAAACTGAAAGTGCCATACATTGCTGGTGGGAACGTAAAGTGATTCAACTGCTTTGAAAAATGATTTGGCAGTTCCTCAAAATGACAAACATAAGAGTTACCATATGACACAGCAATTCCACTTCTAGGTATACACCGAAGAGAATTAAAAAGATAATCCACATAAAATCTAATGTTCACAGCACCATTATTCCTAATAGGCAAAAGTAGAAACTATTCAAGTGGCCATCACCTTATGAACAGATAAACAAAATGCAGTATATGTCCATAAAGTAAAATATGATTTGGCTAGAAAAAGGAATAAAATACTGATATATGAAATAACATGGATGCTATAACTTGGACATATCATGCTACACAAAGGTCACATATTGTATAATTTCATTTATATGAAATGTTCAGAATAGACAAGCCCAGAGACACAGAAAGTAGATTCATGGTTGCCAGGATCTAGGGGAAGAGGGAATAGGAAATGAATGCTAATAGGTATAGAGTTTCTTTGTGGAGGTGATAAAAATGTTCTGAAATTAGTGGTGATGTTGGACAACTTTGTAAATACACTAAAAACCAATGAATTACACACTTTAAAATGATAAATTTTGTTATGTGAATGATATCTCAATAAAGGTGCTATAAAAAGAACTTAAAAACAAATCCTACCACAAAAAGTACTTGATATACCTCATCAAAGAAAAATGAGGCTCATCTTTTAAAACTGGCTAAAATTTCATAATTCATAATCTAGTAACTCCTATGTTTTACATTTTTAAAAATTCAAATCAATTAGATGTCAAAAAAAGCTTAACTCACCCTCTCTTCACTTTTGTGAAATCAAATGCAACTTGTCTGTATGAAACTGCTTTCTCATTTAAATATCTACTATACCGCCTAATAAATGTAGACATGTCATATCCTGTAAAAAAACAAAAACAAAAACAAAACAAAGAGAGAGACAAGTTTTTATAAATGACTAAAAATCCCAATATGCCTAGAAAAACAACTCATTGCATCCAATGGCTATAAAATGTCTTGATATCCCAATTCAATTTAGTATGTAAATTAAGTAACTAATTAATAACATTACCATTAAATTCTCTTAAGGCTTCATATTTAAATCAGATAAGTCCTATGTAGTTTTAAAAAAAAAACCTCTTCCCTTAGAACTTCACTATTCTCTCAATATTCCTATTCTTTATTCATCAGGAATTAGAAAAACGTTCTTTTACACAACTTGATAATCTCACAACTCAAATTTAACATCCTATGGAACCACAATCCCATTCCTCAAATCAAGCAACTTTATATAATTTTTATACTCCTAAAATCTTTAGCTGTATTTAGAACCATAACTTGTATGTGCCAACCTTATAAAAAGTATAAAAAATTACTGTGTAATATAAGAAATGGCAACATGCAAGTTCAGGGTGTAACAAAAACAATTATATGAATGTTTTCAATGAAACTTTCTAAATGAATACATAAATCATTCTAAGATTTTGTTTCATCATGACCTTGACTTGAAAACTTTAGCAACATAAAATCTAATCAATATTATTTTCTAAAAACACCAAAAACTTTGTGTTTTAGTTATTACCTGGCTCAAGGAAGTCTATAAATTTTTGCTCCTCATTGAAAAGTGAACCCATTTTATCTCATATTCATCTAACAAATTTAATTACTTGGTCTTTGCTACCTTTAAAAGACAATACCAAAACCAACCAAAATGTAAACTAACTGGATTTCAACATCACCAGTTCATTTATTTAGCAAAATATTTATTGAGTGCCTATTAAGTACCAGTGGAGAAAAATCAGTGAACAAAATAGAAAAAAAAATACTGCTCCCATATGACTTCATACCTACTACTGTACACGTCAGGTGTTACATGCTCACATTCCTCAGCTCTTCGGTTCATATGGTTCTATCTACTATACCCCATCCTAAGACGGTAAACACCTCTCATCCTTCAAGGCTCAACCTCTCGTCTACATAAAAAGAGTGAAATTATTAACACCTTACCACTAGAATTGCTTAATTTCCATCTTAAGAAAATGATAAATCAGTCGCTAATAAGACACAAAAAACCTACTTGGATATATGCATAAACTCTGCCTAGAGCACTGCTCTGCATCTTGTTTTCCATAGACTTTTAAAGTTAAAATGAACTGAATGAGGGAGGAAGTGAAAATTAAAGGATGAGTAGGCAGTTTCTTCCATGCCCCTGAAAATAGAGACACTCCATTTTTATCTATAATATATATCTGGCTTCTGTTTAAGATTTCAAAAAGAGGCCAGGTGTGGTGGCTCATGCCTGTAATCCCAGCACTTTGGGAGGCTTAGGAGGATCGCTTTAGACCAAGAGTTCAAGACCAACCTGGTCAACAGAGCAAGAGCCCATCTCTACAAAATATTTAAGAATAAAAATATTAGCCAGGCGTGGTGGTGCACATCTGTAATCCCAGCTGCTCAGGAGGCTGAAGGGAGGACCGCTTGAGCCAGGAGTTAGAGGCTGCAGTGAGCTACGATCATACCACTGCACCCAGCCTAGGTGACAGAGCAAGCCCCGGTCTCTCTTACTCCAGCCTCAGCAACAGAACCAGATCCTGTCTCAAAGAAAAAAAAAATTTTTTTTTCAAGAGAGGGGGTCTACTGTTTTAATTTTTTTTCCTTAAGTTAGAGCGCCGTAACTCTTGTTAAAATATAATGCATTTTGTAACAATGGGTCCTACATATAGATTACTGGTCTTCTAGAATGTCTGGAAGATAGGGTATTAAATTCTTTTTAAGCAATACCTGCACTTACCAAAGGGAAACAAGTATTGGACTGAACACCTCCAAACTCAAATACAGCCAGTCACATTAAAAAAAAAAAAAAATTCCCCTGATCTTTTTTTTTTTTTACACCTCCAGAAGAACCACAGTTCAGGCCCTGATTAACTCTACACTAGATAACCAGAACAACTGAAACAGTCTCAGCATCTTCAAGATTTGGTTTACTCTGATCTAACTTGACTAAGCTATGATGCTTTCCTGGTAACACATAATTCCCTCTCCCCTCCTCTCTCTACTGCATTATAAAATTCCAACTCTATAAAAAATTTTTGTGCTTGATTTTGGCTCTGAACAGCTTCTTGAGGGCTATCTGCCACTACATGTTCTCAAATACACCATTCATATATATTCTATTCACATTCATTTGCTCTGTAAATCTTAAATACTCATATCCATGTGAATGACTTTCACATCCATATACATCTGTGTATCTGTCCTTACTTTCACATTCATGTATTGTACCTGTGCTTAAGCCAACTCATCTTCTCATCCTTCTCTTGAAGCCCAGCACAAATCTCACCTTCTCTAAAGACATTTCCCTGATTGAGCCTCACTGTTGAATATTCCCAATTCATTTGGCATATCCTTTATGAGGTTCTCCCTAAAGCTAACATTCTATAATGCTAACAGCCTAGTTACAGAACTAAGTAAAACAGATCCCATTAAGACAATGTGCATGGACAGCTATAACCACATTATGTCCATTTCAAGTTACTAAATAAAAAATAGCAGGCCGGGTGTGGTGGCTCACGCCTGTAATCCCAGCACTTTGGGAGGCCGAGGCAAGCAGATCATGAGGTCAAGAGATGCAGACCATCCTGGCCAACATGGTGAAACCCCATCTCTACTAAAGATACACAAAGTAGCTGGGCGTGGTGACATGCGCGGGTAGTCCCAGCTACTCGGGAGGCTGAGGCAGGAGAATCGCTTGAACCCGGGAGGCGGAGGTTGCAGTGAGCCAAGATCATGCCACTGCACTCCAGCCTGGTGACAGAACGAGACTTCGTCTCAAAAAAACATAAATAAGAAAATAGCTACGAATATGAAGGAACAATTCATCTCAACAAATTATATCCACTTTAGCTACTAAAACATGTAATATTTCAACTACATTTCTTGGAATGAAACATAATATAATAACAATGAAAGCAAATATTACATAGCATTTCTTTTTTTGTTTGTTTTTTTGAGACAGAGTCTAGCTTTGTCACCCAGGCTGGAGTGCAGTGGCATGATCTTGGCTCACTGCAACCTTCGCCTCCTGGGTTCAAGCGATTCTCCTGCCTCAGCCTCCTGAGTAGCTGGGATTACAGGTGTGCACCACCAATCCCGGCTAATTTTTGTATTTTTAGTAGAGACGGGGTTTCACCATGTTGGCCAGGCTGGTCTTGAACACTTGACCTCAAGTGACCCACCCGCCTCAGCCTCCCAAAGTGCTGCAATAACAGGCATGAGCCACCGTACCCAGCCTTACATAGCATGTCTTGTGTGCCAGGCACTGTTCTAAGCACTTTGTAGTAATTAACTAGGTTAAGTCTCATGACAATCTTACTGGGTAGGTACTATCACTATTACTCGATTCTACTGATGCAGAGGTGAAGTAACCTGCCCAAGTTCATATAGCTGGTAGGCAGCAAAGATGAGATTCAAACCTAGACAGTCCAGCTCCAGAATTCATGCTCTCAAATAACTACTCTGTACTCCGTCTCAGAGAGCTCTGAGTATCTGGTAGGAAGATTATTATTAATCTTCAAATTAAAAGACAGTTTTTTCTTTCCTACAACCTTCACTAAAATATAAGGTTTAAAGTAGCACATGTTCTAAAAGACAGAGTTCTACTCTGGAGTAATCATCATGTGGGTGTCATTCTTTTGATTTTCTATAATGTAAAAGTTATCTTTACCTTGCAATCCACTTTTATCCAAAAAATTGCTTAAGTTAAACAACGTGTTTCTTGAAGCCAAATACTGAATAAAACGCTGGAAAAAAAAAATTACATCATATTAAGGTACTGCCATCTCACCAACTCTAATTCGAAAATTAGGAGGAAAAGTTATGGTTAACACATTCTATTAAGCTTATCTAGTTTAAATTTCTCATCCTCACTCTTTCCATTAACTAGTTACCAAACCTAAAAACATAATACATATTTTTCACTAGCATGCGAGAATTTATTAAAGCCTAATGCCCACAGATATAGTATTAAGTCAAAACAATAAAAGCAAATAGGCAGTGGAAGCAGTAGTTTTGGTTTTATTACAGCATACTAAAACTATAGCTAATCATTTTTAGGTGGCATCTGTATTTTAAACAGCCGTCTGGTAAACCAAAGTTTTGGCTTTAAAAAAAAAATACTTCTAAACATACAAGAAAGCAATAGAGATCCTCTTACCCACTGTCCAGATTAAACAAATTCACATGTTCACTTCACATCTTATATAGAATCAAAACATTATAGCCTCCATTGAAGAACCACACCTTCAATCTCCCTTCCCTCCCTCTTCAGAGGTGAGTACTTTTCTGAAACAGGTATACGTTACTTTCACACAGGTTTTCACCATTTTACTAGACATACAAGTATCTATAAACTATCCAAGTGTTTTCTATTTGAAATTTACACAAGTATCATAGTGTACTTACTCTTTGCAATGTGTTTTAACTCAACTTTTCCCTAAGAATTGTCCCACTTAACATTTCATCTTAAATGATGTTCTAATATTCTAATGAATACATCATCATAAATCCATTTATTTATTATGGATATACTTTGTAATTTTCGCTATTATTAACAAAGTTGTATTGACATATTTCTTCATGGTCTCCATGCATAAGTATATGAGTATATGAGTTTTTCAGGATATATACCTAGGGATGAATTATTAGGCCAGCACATATGTAAAAGCTCATCTTCTCAATATTGCCAAAATGGTCTCTGAAGTGCTTACCATAGTACATAACCTTAGTCTCCTTCACATACAGCCTCTAAATAGCTAAAGAAATGCCTTTCAACTTCGCTTCTTAGGATTACTTTACTTTCTTCTTCATTTTTTTTTTAATGCATGTAGAGGCTAATAATCAACTAGGATGTACACCATCACCTCTGAAATCAGTATTTTTTTTTTTTTTTGAGACAGGGTCTCGCTCTGTCATCCAGGCTGGAGTACAGTGGTGTGATCACAGCTTTCCACCCTCCTGCTCTCAAGCAATCCTCCCATCTCAGTATGAAGCACCACCCACCATCCACCCCTCACCCTCGCCCCCAAGTAGCTGGGACTACAGGCATGTCCAGCTCACATTTTTAAAAAAATTTTTTGTAGAGACAACGTCTTACTACATTGCCTAGGCTGGTCTGGAACTCTTGGGCTCAAGCAATCCTCCCGCCTTGGCCCCCCAAACTCTCAGGATTATAGGTATGAGAAACTGCGCCCGGCCTCCAAATTAGACTTGTACAACTGAGATCACCCCAAACTAACAAACCAGGATTTTGAAAATCAATGTGTAAACTGAAGACTCATATTTCACAATTATCCTAAAATAGTGTTTCAAAAAGTTATAAAAATATCGTAAGACAATATTAGACTATGATTTTAATAGATTTTGATAAGACTCTTCTTTACCTCTGCATTCTAAATTAATGTAAATAATTTCGTCTACCAGGCCATTTCATTCATGATTTTAGAGATAATAAATCTAAATTTTCCTTTTCATTTTATTAGTCCTTTCTACGTTCATTATATTTAGCTGCAAAGACATATATGGCTTTAATCAAGTTTTGATTTTGTTTTCAACAGCATCCTAATGATATTCAAAATGGTATTAAATTGAGCACCATGCCAACACTCTGGCAAGTAATAAGGCTTCACAGGTTCCCATTTTGGGTCATAAGCGGTAACCTGAAATGGATTATCCTAAACCTTCATTTAAAGAATGGCAATGTGGAAGGTGGGTGATTAGGTACATAAGCATTTGTTATGCCATTCACTCTACTATTGTGTATATTAGAAACTTTTCATAACAAAATATTTAAAGAACATATTTCAGATTATTTTACCCAAAATGGTATTAAATACTTTATAATAAATCCATGCTTGGTACTTCTCTTTTCTAATTTCATCTACAAATTTTTAACTCTACATTTTCATGTATTAATCATCTATAACTTGTCATACTATAGTAAGAGCCTTGGTCAATTCTATTTACCATGAAGGTACTATCATATTATTGAGGAAGCTCCAGAAGTGACTTACCCAAGTCACCCAGTTGGTAAGTGAACAACAGTATAAAAGTACCTACCTGCCTCATGTTAAGGGTCTATAACACAATGCTCACTCAGCCTTACCTTTTGAGATTTTTCTCTGTGGCCAGGTTTCTCAACCTGAGTACTCTGACACTGAATCAGGTAATTCTTTGTTGTTGGAGACTGCTCTGTGCATTACTGTTTTTAATTTTCTTTTTTTTTTTTTTTTGAGATGGAGTCTCTTGCTTTGTTGCCCAGGCTGGCATGCAAAGGTGTCATCTCGCTCACTGCAACCTCCGCTTCCCAGGTTTAAGCGATTCTCCTGCCTCAGCCTCCTGAGTAGCTGGGATTACATATGTGCACCACCACGCTTGGCTAATTTTTGTATTTTTTACTAGAGACGGGGTTTCACCATGTTGGTCACACTGGTCTCGAACTTGCGACCTCAGGTGATCCACCCACCTTGGCCTCCCAAATTGCTGGGATTACAGGTGTGAGCTACCTCACCCAGCCTGTTCTGTGCATTATTGTAAGATGTTTTGAAGCAGCCCTGGCCTTTACCTACTATATACCAGCAGCATCCCCTTCAGTTGTGACAAATGTCCCCTAAGGGAAAAAAAAAATCATCCCCCTTCCCCACTCAGTTTTGAGAATCACCGCTCCATGGTATTCCAATCACCACAGTATAGTGAAATCCTATGTACAGCCTCTAACAAATTAATGGCACCTGCCAATGGGAACATCTGAAGGTTGTACAAACTAGCATAAAAACCTGAAGGTTGTACAAACCAGCATAAAAAATGAACAGAGCATGGAATTTGCTTTAACTGCCTACAGGAAGCTAAACATGAGTTTATCAAAAAACACACTATCAAAAAAACACACTAAAATGCTATCTTTCTCCCCTTGTCAGTCAATCTACAAAATGACTGTCAACTTTCTGTTTTGTCTTTATTAACATTTTGCCTCTAGTACTATCAATTACCTTATTTACAGCCTCTGAAAGCCATTATTGATACTTTGTTTATCTGGCAGTGTAGCTGGTTATATTTGTGGCTTTTTCTTTTTAAAAAATAAACTACATCAAATAAATAAAGAAGAAGAAGAAAAGTACATACACGCTTGGAATTCTTCAGAATAATCATAATCTTAACTAAACATATTCTTGCTAAAAGTAAAAACTATTATCCTAGTTAAGATGTTTCAAGTTACATTTAAGCTAATACAGCCAAACATTTCTATTAGCTCTATCAACTGGTTATAATGAATTAGAAAGCAACTAACATAAGTCCTAAAAATGGTCATGTCTGTTGACTTAGTAATCACATTTCAGGTAACACTTAGGGGAAATCATTTTTAAAAATTAAAAACTACAAATAAAATCACTCAATGTGGTGGTATAACGATGAATCAGAAAACTCAATTTCTAGCAAGGAAAATAGTTTAAAAATTGTGAACTATACGATCAATTACATAGTTACTAAAGATGATAAAAAAATACAACATGGCAATGCTGATAGTGTAATATTATATAAAAAGCTAAGTATATTTTATCTACATTATGATTATAGCCATTTAAAAAATACAAATACTTTTGGACAAGAACTAGAGGGAAGACCAAAATGTGCCAAAAGTAAGATGTGCTGGAACAATAAAGTTGTGGGTAAATTCTTGCTTTAATTTTGAACTTTAATAATGCTATATTGGTAGTTGTCAAAAAATAGTTTCAATACTGAAAAGCCCAAAATAACACACAACGTGATGGATGTCAACAAGTCATTACGCTCAGAAAACTAATACCAATGACTAAAGTTCTTTCTCATCTCTAGAAGGTTATCTTCCCGGGCTGCATTTTTCTAAGGCACATACCGAAGAAGATTTATCTAGTTCTACTCAGATGTTCTTGAAAAGCTCCTGTTAATACAATTTTACAAATAAGTTTATTGAGCTGAGAAAATGAACCAAAAAATTAGCTGCTAGGCTATCACGGAAAGTAAGATGATTCTCTCAAAACAGATTTTCAAAAGCGTATATATCTTATTTGTTACCCTTTTAGGCAACAAAGGCTTCAGACACACCTCTCTGCTGAAGAAGGCACACTTCAATCAGTCCCTCTCAGCAAATGCCATCTTAGTCCTAAATATCACAGCTTTGAAGTAGGCAAAGTGCTTCCATAAACAACTATATGAGATCAGACAAGAATCTAAAGCTGGGTGTGATGGCTTACGCCTGTAATCCCAGCACTTTGGGAGGCTAAGGTGGGAAGATCACTTGAGCCCAGAAGTTCAAGACCAGCCTAAGCCAAGATGGAAAGACCCCCATCTCTACAAAAAAATTTAAAAATAAGCCAGGCATGGTAGCACACACTTGTAATCCCAGCTACATGGGAGGCTGAGGTGGGAAGGTCCCTTGAGCCCAGGAATTTGAGGTAGCAGTGAGCTATGATGGTACCACTGCACCTCAGCCTGGGCAACAAAGCAAGACCCTGTCTCAAAACAAACAAACAAAAAATCTAACTGGACTATAATAAAAGAACAAATGGATATAGACAAAATATATAGTCTATAAACAGGACCAGCAAAAACCAGGGATGCTTATGGAACCCATTTCTAGGCATTAATCTTTGCTTCTTGATCCATTATTGATGTCCTCTGTGCTCTAACCCACTTTTTGCTTTCTGGCTTACAAGCTATCTTTCCTCAAATTACAGGGTCTATAATTATATTTCTGGCTAGGCACCTTGACCTTTGTACCTGGGAGCTGTTTCTGAAGTTTCAGTGAGAGAAGCTAGCTAACAATAAGTCAACACATCAGTATACTTGTTCAATAAAAATTCTGCTTACCTCATTTCCATACACCATCAAATGATGAGTTGTAATGAGAGATTTGAAGACCACCACCCAACTACTATTAGTAGTTCTTTCAAATAAACTGTCTGCCAACTGTGGGATGTTCACATTCATCTCATTTGTGCACTGAATTAAGTCTGCAATAAAAAATTTTTAAATGATTAATTTCCTCTGTGGTTTTAATTTATTGTTAATACCAGATCTGCATACAAACAGGCAAAAGATTTAACACAAAGTGGAGCAGTAATAGTTTGGAGATGTTGTTAAAAATCTCTCAATTAGAGCAATTGAGACTACCATAATCTACCTAAGAAGCAGGGTACCAATTAGAATCACATAAATGATCAACAATACCAAAAAATAAATCAAACTCCCTCAGGGTATAATTCTCTCTCAAGTACTTTGGTCATCTCAAAATGAATTGTTTCAAGGTTTTGAGGAACCTTCTATTTCCTTACTACTTAAAAACCTTCCATTAAAATACTGGTATTATTCATCTCTTTAAAATTAACTTTAACATTTTTCTTTAAATAAAGCTTATTTAAAGAAATCATCCATACAGAAGAATGAACAAAATGAAGATCAAACTATCTTTATGAACATCCACCCTAGAATGCTGTCTTTGCAACAGGAAGATAACAGGGCAGAGATCTGGTCTGTAATTGAGTTGGATCTGTTTGTTCATACAAAAGATTTATACTCCTTCTCTCCCCTCTGTTCTACTGAATTAGCTCAGATCAGTTGATAACTAGGTAATACTGAGAACAAAACTGGAAAAAAAGATTCTCAATAAAACTTAAGAAGAGTAACCTACAATCTGTTTAAGAGATATTATTCGTAAACTCAATGAAGAAAATGTAAAATAGGTTGGGTGCGGTGGCTCACCCCTGTAATCCCAGTACTTTGGAAACCTGAGGTGGGGTGGATCACCCAAGATCAGGAGTTCGAGACCAGCCTGGCCAATATGCTGAAACCCCATCTTTACTAATAATACCAAAAACATTAGCTGGGCTTGGTGGCGGGCATGGGTAATCCCAGCTACTCAGGAGGCTGAGGCAGGACAATTGCTTGAACCTGGGAGGCGGAGGTTGCAGTGAGCGGAGATAGTACCACTGCACTCCAGCCTGGGCAACAGAGTGAGACTCTGCCTCAATAAAAAATGTAATATAATATAATCCAATTTAGAGATATAACAGAGGAGAAAACCAAGAAATGAGTTACTTTTAAAATATATATAAAATGTAATGTATAAATGTCTCAGCTATACTACAATAAAGGGAAAAAAGTTATTCATGACATTAATTTGTTCACTTTTAATCTTCAGTGTGTAATGATTAAATATGAATTCAAATGATCTAACTTGGCCTTGATTGCTAGCAAGAAATGACAATGTAACTACCAACATTTACTTAAAATTTTTCCTTTAATAGGTCCAATTATTATATAAGTTAATATCTGATAAACACATGCATTTTAGATAAGCAGCTACGGTGGCCAATACTGCTTAAAGAACAAAGAACAAAACAGAGTGCCCATGGAACAACAGAATGACACAAAGCTTTCACAATTCAGACTATTTGCAACAAAAATGAAACAGTAAATCCAACTTGGATATGCATGCTTCAACTTCTGAGAGTAAAAAATGGAATTTAATCTCTGCCTTCTCTAGATCTTCATAGCACTTTATAACTGGCCTATGGCACTGAACATATTACACTAGACTTCAGTTTCAACGACAGTACTTTATACACACAAACACACACACAATTTAATACTATATAGTGCATGGTGCATGGTGTGTGTGTATATATATATACTGTACTATGTATGTTATAAAACATATGTGTATGTATATGTACATATATCCATACTATATTCCCTTTGTGATCTGTTCTTCCCCCCACTGCATCACTGCCATCTTCTTTGCAATGCCTCCCATATGCCAAGCACTCTTATCTCAGGTGTTTGGTACTGTTGTTCCTCCTGCCTAGAATTCTCTTCTGCTAGATACCTATGCTGCTTGCTCCCTTCGCTTCCTTCCCATAGCTATTTGCTAAAGTGTCACCATATTAGATAAACTTCCCTGAATATTTACGCAAAATAACAAAGCCTTGGGCATTCCCCTACCTCTAAACCCTCATTATCCCCCTTACTCTGCTTATTTCTCTCCAAAGCATTTATTGCCACTGAACTCATCTTAATTTGTTTAATGTCTTTCTCTCTCAATTAAAATGTTTTTAAGTTCCATGTGGGCAGGGCTTTTTTGTTCTCAACTCTATCCCCAAAGACCTAGAATAATGCCTCAAACATAAAGATCAGTCATATTTTTTAAGACACATTCATTTTGGTATGCATATGGGTATTCTTAACATGACATTTTTTCAAAAGCATCCAAGATTGTGTCCTTACATTAAGTTAAATCAACATCTTACAACTATCTGTACAACCTGCTATTCCCAAGAGGTTGAAAAACAAAGCCGAGCCCAATACATGTGCAAATTTTCAAATTTCAAATTAAAAGGGGATCTAACAAATAAAGGTTTTTACTATAATGCTTATTAAAAACTATAGTATGCTTTTAGTACTGATCACAGAAAAACTGGAGTTATTTTGAAGGATAACTCCAGAAGCTAAAAAAAATTCTTCACACATAATAAAACAGGAAAAATTAAGTAAGAATTCACACTGAGATTATGAATCCAGAATAGACCAAATGTAAAACCAAGTTATACAAATATGACAGGTGGGGTGGGGAGGATATTGAATAAAATTAGCAGTCTATACCTCCCATAGTATTTAACTCAGCCAGTCATTTTCTCCATACAGTAATTTTTTATCTGTACAATGTTTCTCATTTAATAGTACCCTGAAAATGCTTCCAAGTTTGAGCTCCAAGTCAGGAAGGAAAATATTCTTCCCACCTGTGACTAACCAAAAGTAAACTGTTCCAAACAAAAGTAACACTTATCGGGGACTCTCAATAGTTAACTGCTTTTCCCACTCTCAATCCAGAAGATACTATTTCTTAAAAAGCAAAAACTGTAACGATTTCCCTTGCCAACCAATAAGTTACCAAAATGAGGACAGATCTTATATTTTCTTTTCATTATTTATCTCAATAACATAAAAACTGAAGTACCTTCTTGAATATTCATTATTAACAATTTCTGAATCCCACACACACTAAAAAAAAAACAAGTACCACATGGCACGTAGGTTCTCTGCTTTAGGTATGAGTGAGAATTTACAAAGATTTCCAATATTTAAGGGGATGAAGACAATAGGCCTAAAAATAAGCCTACCATAGAAATGACAATCACTTTTCCATGTAGAGAAAGCAGAAGGAACCAATACCCACCATACAAACACAAATGCTCTTTTATTATTTCATATGCTCTTTCAACAAACAATGACTGAGGTAGATAAAGCTGATGTTAACTGTATTTACACAGGCAAGGTCACAGGAGCTAAGTGACAGATTAATGACTAGAATTAAATTTTTGCAAAGGATAAGGATCCACTAAAACATACAGCAAGTAAATGCTCAACTAGCCAATTTAATACACGTTCTCGACTGAAAACTAATTAAAAACAAAAACAATAGAAAAACAGTGAAATGCAAAACAGTATTTTTGTATTCTGAGGAAGTCTTTTTTTTTTTTTAACAAAGTACAAAAAATTTAGAACTAAGCAGTTACCAAATGGTTTCATTAATCTTACAGTCATATTCCTAGTGTAGGCCTTTACAAACTCTCCCACCAGGCAGAGTTCACCAACTTCAGCCTATATAGATTTCCCCAGGCAGAGTTCATCAACTTTAGAAACTTAAATTAGGACACTCAGGGTTCACTTCTACAGCAAGTCAGGCAACCCAGCCAGTGGCCTGTGCCATCAGAATGCAGAGTTCTCAAGTTCCCATCTAAACAGCAACTCACTAGGCTACATCAAAACCACACTGATACCCGAATAAGATTTTCTAAAAAAGAAGCCTGGCCTAAACCAGTATTTGTTTGTTTGTTTTTAAATCAACATACCACAATCACTTAGCCAAACACAGTAATACATATAAAATTTAGTAATCCCTTTCAAAAAGGTCATTTTGAACGAGAACTTCTTTTTTACACCTGCCCTCATAAATTTACAACCTAAAATTGATTTATTCAGTCATCTAGAAAACTGGAGATACGGCTGGGCACGGTGGCTCACATCTGTAATCCCAGCACTTTCGGAGGCCGAGGCGGGCGGACTACCTGAGGTCAGGAGTTCGAGACCAGCCTGGCCAACATGGTGAAACTCTGTCTCTACTAAAAAAAAAACACAAAAATTAGCCGGGCATGGTGGCACACGCCTGTAATCCCAGCTACTTAGGAGGCTGAGGCAGCAGAATTGCTTGAGTCTGGGAGGCGGAGGTTGCAGTGAGCCGAGATCATGCCACTGCACTCCAGCCTGGCCTACAGAGCGAGACTCTGCCTCAAAAAAAAAAAAAAAAAAGAAAAAAAAAGAAAATTGGAGATAAAATTAATATGGAAGGCAAGGCAAATTAACTGGTTAATCAAATTTTGCTTCACTTATCAAATCTTTGTAATTTTTCCTTGGTGGGAGTAGAAACAAAAAGCATATTCATCAAAAAATAGTAAACAGAGGATAAGGAACTTTTATATGAAGTATCAGCAAAATTTTTTTCATATAGCAAAATTGTTTTAAGTATTTCAAAACTATGCAAGTTGAAATTAGACATAGGCTAATCAAAGTTAAACACAGGCAAATTTGCCTAGTCGTAAGTGTCAATGTCCAGGAAATGAAATGAACAGTCTTATTTCTTACTCCAATGATTTGTGAAAGGGATCATAAAATATGGTCCAAATTAAGATGTAACTGTTAAAATTTTATCTGTAAAGTTCATGGGGTCTTCTGTGAGAAACACAATGTTTTATTTTTATATAACTTCCAGTAGAATTAACTCAAAACTATGCTCTTCACAGGCTGACTTACACCTTAAGAAATCTAACCAACATAATTGGACTTTAATAACTGGGGAAATACTCTTAAAGACAGAATATGGAACGCTGAGTACAATGACAAAGATTGACAAAAATAATCAGATGGCTTTTAGAACAATACTAATGAAGCTAAGGGACCTAATTCATAATTTAAGTGGACATATCCAAGAGTGAAGAGTTAATCAAATGACACTACAGTCTGACTATGAAATACTATGAGGCCAACGAATGCATGGCACAAAAAATAAAAGCTGTCAGGAGAAAATGTTCACCACATATTAAGTCAAAAGTTATAGTAAAGAAAAATACACAGTACAATTCCATTTTTTAAAACTGTATGTGTGAGGCTAGGCATTGTGGTTCATGCCTGTAATCCCAGTGCTTTGGAAGGCCGAGGTAGGATGACTGCTTGAGGTCACGAGTTTGAGACCAGCCTAAGCAACACAGGGAGATCCTGTCTCAACAACAACCAAAAAAAAAAAATTTTTTTTGAGATGGAGTCTTGCTCTGTAGCCAGGCTGGAGTGCATGGCGTGATCTCGGCTCACTGCAACCTCCGCCTCCCAGGTTCAAGCGATTCTCCTGCCTCAGCCTGCCAAGCAGCTGGGACTACAGGGGCCCGCCACCACGCCCAGCTAATTTTTGTATTTTTAGTAGAGACAGGGTTTCACCATGTTGGCCAGGATGGTCTCAATCTCTTGATCTCGTGATCTACCCGCTTCGGCCTCCCAAAGGGCTGGGGATTACAGGCATGAGCCACCACACCCAGCCAAAAAAAAAAGAAAATTTTTTTTTTTTTTTTTTGAGACGGAGTCTCACTCTATCGCCCAGGCTGGAGTGCAGTGGTGTGATCTCGGCTCACTGCCACCTTTGCCACCCAGGTTCATGCAATTCTCCTGCCTCAGCCTCCCAAGTAGCTGGGATTACAGGCACCTGCTACCACGCCCGGCTAATTTTTGTATTTTTAGTAGAGATGGGGTTTCACCATCTTGGCCAGGCTGGTCTTGAACTCCTGACCTTGTGATCCACCTGCCTCGGCCTCCCAAAGTGCTGGGATTACAGGCGTGAGCCACCGCACCCAGCTCCCTAGTTTTTTTTTTTTTAATTACTGCTTGTAGTGGAGGTTGAGGCGGGAAGATAGTTTAAGCCCAAGAGTTTAAGGTTACAGTGAACTGTGATCACGACATTGCACTCCAACTTGGATAACACAGCAAGACACTGTCTAAAAAAAAAAAGTTATGTATGTGTAATATTTTTTTGTATATATTGTATTTGCCCAAATACAAGGTGATGCATACACAATCGAACACTTCCAAAATGACTTAGCAACTATGTCATATATGAAGTTAGAGAAAAATAATTTATAAAGGAACTATAACACTGTTACTTCCATAAACTAATCTCAGTACCTCTCATGTCACATAGCACACACCAGTTCTGTACTGTAATTTATTCCACACCCTTTAGAACGTTATCATGATCAAGAGCAGAAAGGAGAGCCATGACACATTCTTTATCTCCTCAAGGATGTGAGGAAGAGGTGGTACAAGAATAAGAGTGGCTGGGCCAGGCATGGAGGCTTACGCCTATAATCCCAACACTATGGAAAGTTGAGGCAGGTAGATCACTTGAGGTCAGGAGTTCGAGACCAGCCTGGCCAATATGGTGAAACCCTGTCTCTACTAAAAACACAAAAATTAGCCAGGCATGGTGGCACATGCTTGTAATCCCAGCTACTTGGGAGGCTGACACAGGAGAATCGCTTGAACCCAGGAGGCGGAGGTAAAAGGAAGCTGAGATCACAGCCATAGCACTCCAACCTGGGCAACAGAGCGAGACTCCATCCGAAAAAAATTAAACAAAACAAAACAAAAAAAGAATAAGAGTTGCATGGTAAAGTACCTGAGAATTTGGCAGCCACTATGCCAGAAGTAGGTCAGTATTTTGAACACAAGTTCAATCTCTTACAATGGTAAATGAGCCTTAAGGAATCTCCAGACCCCACACCCAAAGTAAGTCAAAGTCCTGGCCGGGCACGGTGGCTCACGCCTGGAATCCCAGCACTTTGGGAGACCGAGGCGGGTGGATCATGAGGTCAGGAGTTCAAGACCAGCCTGGCCAAGATGCTGAAACCCCATCTCTACTAAAAATACAAAAATTAGCCGAGCTTGGTGGCAGGTGCCTGTAATCCCAGCTACTTGGGAGGCTGAGGCAGAGAACTGCTTGAACCCAGGAGGCGGAGGTTGCGAGCTGAGATCACACCACGGCACTCCAGCCTGGGCGACAGAGCGAGACTCCATCTCAGAAAAAAAAAAAAGGTAAGTCAAAGTCCTATCTTAACGTTTAAAAATAAAAGACCAGGTGCAGTGGCTCATGCCTGTAATCCCAGTACGTTGGGGGTCAAGGAGAACGGATCACTCAAGGTCAGGAGTTTGAGACCAGCCTGGCCAACATGGTGAAACCCCAGCTCTATTAAAAATACAAAAATTAGCTGGACGTGGTGACAACACGACTGTAATCCCAACTACTTGGGAGGCTGAGGCAGGAGAATAACTTGAATCTGGGAGGCAGAGGTTGTGGTGAGCCAAGATCATGCCACTGCACTCTTGTCTGGGCAACAGAGTGAGACTCTATCTCAAAAAAAAAAAAAGTGCAGCTGTAGGAAAAAAATCAGTATATTAGCACAACTAGATATGCTATTTCTGTCACTGTGTTCTTAGCAACATGAATGGACTAAGATTCCCACACTTAAAAATTAGAAAATGTAAAAATAGAGTGGAACATGGTGACATGCACCTGTAGTCAGCTACTTGGAAGGCTGACAGGAGGATCCCTTGATCCCAGGAGTTCAAGGCTGTAATGTACTATAATCATGCCTGTGAACAACCACTGCCCTCCAGCCTGGGAAACACAGTGACACTCTGTGTCTAAAAAAAAATAAATTAAAATAAATTTTAAAAGGCAATCCTCCCCCCACCAGAAATGTAAAAATAATTCTACCATTTGTAAAATTGCCAGGTAAAATGACAGCACTTTCCCTCTCTAAAAACTATTCAATAGAAAAACTGCCATAAGTCTTCACAAATCATCTCATTATCTGGTCTGTTTATTTTAACAAAGTTCTTCCTGAAGAAGGTAACCTGAAAAGACCTCCAACAATGCTAGTTTCAGGTGCTTATGAAGAAATAAAAAATTTAACAGAGGTAAGTATTCCTGGGAATATATACCACATAATTGCAAAATTGTGTTGGGTGTCTTCAGAACTTTAAAAAGCAACAAAATCATTTTGGGAGGCCGAGGCGGGCAGATCACGAGGTCAGGAGAGCGAGACCATCCTGGCTAACACGGTGAAATCCCATCTCTACTAAAAATACAAAAAAATTAGCTGGGCATGGTGGCGGGAGCCTGTAGTCCCAGCTACTCAGGAGGCTGAAGCAGGAGAATGACATGAACCCGGGTGGCGGAGCTTGCAGTGAGCCGAGATCGCGCCATTGCACTCCAGCCTGGGCGACAGAGCATGACGCCGTCTCAAAAAAAAAAAAAAAAAAAAAAAAGGCAACAAAATAAAGTTATGTTGCAGATGCAGAGATCAGAAATATAGAAATATACATGAGGAACGAAAGAAACAAACTGTCTTAGTGTTATAAGAATGGATGGTGATAGTCTGTGAAAAAATTTCTAATGTAAATTAGAAAGATCTTACACAAAAGGAAAGATGTTATATAACTTTAAAAAAGGGGCTGTGGATGACCAAAAAAACACAAAATATCCAATATATACATGAATGTAAAATGAGTCAAATGTCATGTGGTGAGGTATGTATGAGTGGCGAAAAGAAACTACTATTTTAAAATCACAGATTACTTCTCTTTCTAATAACTTTTTAAAATTTTATTGATTTATTTTTATAGAGACGAGGTCTCCCCCTCTGTTGCCCAGGCTAGTCTGGAACTCCTGGGCTCAAGGGATCCTTCTCCTCGGCCTCCCAAAGTGCTGGGATTACTACAGATGTGAGCCACCGCACTCAGCCAGATTACTTTTTATAGTAATCTTTCATATGTATTCTAACTAGTGAGTTTCAATATTATGAGGCTGACTGCTTCATCTATATCCCTAACATTTACATATTTAAATAGGTTAAATAAATAAAACTTGAGGGGCTGTCAATGTCTCTGGGAAAATGCAGGCTTGCTTTATATTTGGGGTTACCTTACATTCAGGTACAAACAGTATAGGTGTATATATGTTTAAGTGTGTGTATATATTCCAAAATGCTTTAAGTGAGACACAGGATGAAGCCACACACTTTCAGAGCTATCCCTTTTGCTGGAAATGACCCGGATGCAATTCAAATAAACAATGGATTCACCTAAGTATATGCCAAATACTTAGATATACAAAGCTGAGAAGATGCAAAATTTCTCCCCTACTAAACTGAGGTCTTTGGGGGTAAAGATACAGCCTCACAATACATTATGGTGATTGTAATCTGTATGTATAGGATTCAGAGATGGCAAAAAGACCAGGCAATTGTTTTGGAGGGGAAAGCAAATTTTCCCTGGTTTCAATTTCATACTCTCTTAACTCATCATACAATAGTTACAGCACTTTTCACACTTCATTACAATTACTAGCTCATATATCAGTCTCTCCTATGAGAGAGCTCACTAAAGGCAGTCCATGACTTCTTCATCCTCAAATTGCCAGCACCTAGCAGGATACACCTTAAATATTTATTAAATTAATACTAGTAAATGAAATGTAACTTAGAAGACATCTGTAGAAAGCAACAATATTCTATTTAGTCTAAGCTTCAGTGCAGCAAATTTGGAAAAAAATATATTAGCAATCTAGAGAGCAGCATAATTGCTTTTTCAAGTTTATACCACCCCATATTCCTCCTCCTGCCACTATACTGATATTATGAACTACCTCAATAAAAAGCCTCTACTTCAAGAACGGAACACAGAAGAGATTTTTTAAAAGGCATTTTCCTGGCAGAGAAAGGACTGACATCCTTTTTATTTGTGGCAGAGGAAAGATGAGGAACTGAAAAGGGAATATGTAGAGAAGAAAGAATTCAGATAGAACTGGGTACACAAAGCAAACTCCTAAGATACTATATATTAATATATGTCTGAAATTTAGCCTCTTAAGTCATGGCTGAACCCAAGCCAAATTTACCGAACTGTTCAAACTTTAATTTTAAAAGTGCAAACTAAATTGTTTTAAATGAAGTCATTATGTAATTGCTCTAAAATTTTAATCAACACTGAAAACACATTTTTCAGATCAGTCTAATCTACTGTCTCTTAAAATTATCTTTCATTTGTCTCTTTACCCACTAATGTCATAAATACAAAAACTCTTAGAACAAAAGTGGAAAGTTTAAGTCATGAAAATGCTCTATAGAAAAACATATACTCTTGGAATACTCTGACTTCACTGCCACTGACTTGTATTTTCAAATGAAAGAGTTGTTCCTCCCCCCTCCTCTGATTATCAAAATGTTTTAAATTACTACGTAAGCCTTCTTAATATAAGAAAGTGTAAACCTAGAGCTTTCCGTTGGCATTCTGGTAAACTCTGCATTCCTACCACTAGATGGCAGACTGTACAGAGGAACAACAGGACCCTGGCAAGAACACAGATGCATTCAGGCTCATCTGTAAACCACATTCTTAAATCTGAGATTGTTTAGGATTCCATTCTAGTACTCTAAAGTGGTGATTTTCAAACCTAGATACCTTAGGCCCATCCTAGATTCCAAATAAGGATTACTGTAAGGGATGAGGAAAATCATATTTTGGTAAGCACCATCTCAAAGATTTATTACTTCTATGTCAATTTTAAATTTATCAGAAATACAAGACAATAAAAAGCTACTTAATGGAATAAAAACTCATCACTTAATATAAGAATTAAAAATTTTATTTAAACAATAAGAAAACAAACTGAAAGTATTACAGTGCTCCAACATGAAAAAATAACATATTCATGGTATAAATTACATTCTCTTCTTTGAAGATCTTAAATTTCACAATGACAACCCCACCTATAGGAAAGAAAACATATTAAGTATCAAGTAATTTAAGAACAAATGCCAAAATTACAAACACTTTTTTGTATTACATGCTAAGAACTTACTAACTGTTCGTTAGCCCAGTTAAATATCATCAGGACTCTCAAAAAAAAAAAAAAATCTAGTACTGGATCAGAAAAATACAGAAACCTCATTTCCTAAGCAAAATGAAAGTCAACTAACAATACATTGAGAATACTACTTACCTCCACCAATGCTGTGAACCCAAGCAGGGTCCAGAGTGGGGGCAGAAAAATTCTCCTTTCTTTCCAACAAGACAGGGAAAAAGAAACCAACAACTGAGAGGCTCTGCAAGTGCAGATCAGAGTACTATAAAGGAAAAAACATTTATGGTATAATATCTATAATTATTTATAGATAATTCTGGAGAGGTTAAAGGAATTGGGACTAAGTCTGGAGAAAAGTACGTTATTAGTTAGGAATGACCAACCGTCCTGGTTTTGCTGGAACAGTCCTGGTTCACACCTGTTGTCCAGGGTCCCATTCAGATAGCACACCCTTTCACTCTTAAAAGTGACCCAAGTTTGGATGACATATTACACATCACCTTAGTTATAAGCACACTAATAAAAGTTTACATGTAGCTAAGAAATTAATACACTACCAGTAGCAGCTATTCACAGTGCATTTGCATTTTCCTTTTATGAGTGCTATATTCTAGTTCTTAGCCTCCTTAAAACACAAACATGCTTCTATTCTGCCTACTTTGCCCTCTAACCCCTCTACCCATGACCATTTTTAACAATAATCTCTGCTTCTGTTTTTTTCACCCCGGGAAACTCATCTAATTTCTTAACCTCAAAGAAAATCTCTATGCAAATCATTCACAAATTTCTTCTCAGAAAAATCAATCTAAGGTCTTCTGGGGGAGTTAGAGACATTAGAATTTTTCACCTCTGTGTCCAAAAACATCTCACGTTTAAAAAACAAGAACATGGTCTCAACTATAACCTAAATGTCCCATTTTTGTTTTAATTAATAACACTCATTCTTAACTTTGTTAAATTCTCAGGAATCCTGTCTCTTTGTATCTTCCACAATGTGACACAGCGCCTTATACATGTGTTCATATGACAGCATAAATATTTGTGGATTTGTAAGTGAAACAAAGGCTCATTTCTCCACTCATAAGATCCAGGAGACAGAAGTAAGGGTAACAGCGAAAAAGCCTTCCCTGTAGGTAGGTTAAAGTTTTTCGTTAAGAGCCAAACCCATGTCTAAATTAAGTAGGAATCCAGAAGATTTTTCATCTCTTCTCTTAAAAATTTTTAAATTCTGCCCAGTCACAGGGAATAATGGATTGCAGTTAGACTCTCTGCCAGAGGCTCCCTCACTCAGAAAACACAAGTTCCGTTCCATGTCCCCAATGCACACAGAACAACGAGAATCTTTATATTCCACTTTCATGAAGCTTTGCAAACCTCAGTAAGAACAAACAGAAATCCCATTTATTCTAGTATTAACTGCATACTATAATACGCCAATAGTGTCTTAGGAGTTAGAAATATACAATAGTGGACAAAGTTTCTATTATCACGGAGCTTATATACTAATGGGAGGAATGTAATCAGTAAACAAATGAACAAATAGATGGTGGCAAGTGCTAAAAATTTCTTAGCTCTTGGAAGGGATGGAGCTATGTGTTTGAGGGAGGTTGCTAGGAAGGAGCCCCACATAAAATGACTTTTAAGAATTATGGCAACAGTGGTAGTGTGTCACCAGTGGCCTGGAGGCCTATGGAACTGACCATCATGATCAACTACCACCTTCCACATAGTGAGTAAGTGTGAAGGCCTCCCATTCATTCTATATCTCACATGTCTGCTCCACCTGTGCCAAACCAAAGACACATCAAACGGGATCGTCTCTTGGTAATTTTGCAAAGCCTCTAGTTTTACGTATATAGTACCAGACGGTGGAAATCTCATTTATTTATTCACATGCTTCACAATTAAAACAATCTGATCACTTTAAGTGACTCAAAATTACACGAGCCATTTATTACACGATTAAGTGACGTAACTGTAGCTAGTAAGCATGTGAAGACCCTGTAAGCCAGGGGTTCCCAACCCCCAGGCCGTGGACCATTACTGGCTCATGACCTGTTAGGAACTGGGCCACACAGTAGCTGGTGAGCTAGGAAGCATTACTGCCTGAGCTCTGCCTCCTATCAGATCAGCAGGGGCATTAGATTCTCATAGGAGCGCGACCCCTATTGTGAACTGCACATGCAAGGGATCTAGGCTGTGCACTCCTTATGAGAATCTAATGCCTATGATCGAGGTGGAACAGTTTCATCCCGAAACCATCCCTCCACACACCCCCTGCCAGTCTGTGGAAAAACTGTCTTCCATGAAACCACTCCTTGGTGCCAAAAAGGTTGGGGACCGTTGCTGTAAGCCACTGAGTAACAAGTGAAAGCCATTTCTGAAAAATCATTTTTCAAACTGCTGGAAACCAACTGCAGTAATGGCGGATGTAGCACCAAATAATAACCTATCTACATGGCTTTAAATTTTGAAATAATACTCTCTAAGTGGAAAATATGAGCAATTTTAATACATTATTAATATATCACTATAAAATAAAGCCATTAATAAATCACTACAAAATAAAGCCAGAGTTATTTTTCCTAATAAGTTTAATATTACGCCTTTAAGTTTCTACAAGAAGGAAAAATCACCAGGATTATTCTACAAGAAGAAATAATCACCAGGACAAAAAATATCTCTATCCTCATACACCTCATAACCATACACCTGTTCTTATAAGATTCCTAGAAGGGTACAGTGGTATGCACCTGTAGTCCCAGCCACTCAGGAGGTTGAGGTGGGTGGATCACTTCAGCCCAAGAGTTTGAGGCTGTAGTATGCAATGATGACAACTGTGAATAGCCACTGAACTCCAGCCTAGGCAACATAGTGAGACCCTGTCTTGAAATTCAAAAAAAAAAAAAAAAAAAAAAAAAAGACTCCATATAACCCACATTCACCTATTTCCTATTTCTCAGCACTAAAAAGTCTGACAATTTTACTTCCTGACAAATGTCTTTCTTAAAAGGAATTATAAAATTTTATATAGATCTATATTTATACAATATCCCATTTATTTTCAAAACCACATTCTATCTATGAATGGATATATGAAGAGTCTCCTAAATTTCTTAAAGAGTGTATCTTTATCCTGGCTTGTGTGAGAAAGTAATATACATTTTAAGTGGTCTAGACAAGTAGGAAGGGAAATTTAATCATCTTTCTCCCATCATTCTACAGTACCAATCTTTCACCAACTTTTTTTTGCTATGATGCCAAACGATCTTCAAATAAACCTTCTACCCAACCACAGCTTTTCAAGTTAATCTCTTCCTAAACTTGACAAACACTGGAGAATGTTAACTAGTTTTTACTTTCATTGCTACATTAGATACTCTCCAGAGTGACTGGGATTGGCAGGTATCTTGTTTTTAACTCTTTCTACAAGATATTTCATTAAAGTTAATTTCTCCCATTAAAAATCTTCTGGCTCACATTTATTTGATAGTCTGTCCTAAGAGCTATTCATTTTCAATATCTGCTTCAAATACTGATAATGAAGATTTTAATTTGCCATCACTGAAGTTCTGCTCTAGACTCTCTGGCTTCCATGCATGGTCCCATCCATTTCCATGTGCTACAACTGTACTATAACAAGACTAACCAACACATCAGAATGAGCAAAAAAAATCTAGAATCAAATTCGAGATTCATGATTCACCATTGTGATTTCAGGCATGTTAATTAGTCACTCAGTTTCCATTTCAACATTTAAAAAATAGGACTAATACTTAATTTTCACAACATCTTGGCTTAGTAAGGTGATATATTTAGGGTATTTTAAAAGTACCCTAAAGCTTTAAAGCATCATTACAAATATTTTCATTTCTTTCTTACCATCATTTTGTATTGATGTTTTCCCTCATTTTAGGAGACAACTCCTCTATCACCTTTCCAATACACTGTCATGAAAATAGCTCAAACTCAATTACTGCTGCAAAACCTTCATTATCTAATGCCCAATTTCTTCATCAACTGGGAAGTGTTACCATAGATCCTTGCACTCAATCTTAAGAGTGGCAAAATCTTTATAATGCACATATGATTTCTTTCTTTCTTAATAAAGACAGGGTCTTACTCTGTCACCCAGACTGGAGTAGCTGGGACTACAGGTACATGCCAGCACATGCAGCCAATTTTTAAATTTTCTGTAGATACAAGGTCTCACTATGTTGCCCAGGCTGGTCTCAAACTCCTGGCCTTAAGTGATCCTCCCACTTTGGCCTCCCAAAGTGTTGGGATTACAGGCATGAGCCACCGTGCTTGGCCAAGATTTCTTTATACATTACAAAATTCTTTCATATCCTTAGTCTTCCAATTTAACAACAGCCTTGTGCCAAGGCAAGGAATGCTCTATTATAATATCTCTATTGCAAAGATTTAAATACTTGTCTAAAGTAGCACAAACTAGTGGCTGTGTTGGAACTACATTTTTCAAACAGTAACCTTTCCACTAGCAGGATAGATGAAGACACACATCCACAACACACACACACTCTACCCCCATTTCCATGTGGTCTGAGTGAGACTTATCATTTTCTCTAATTACTCTAAACTGCACACATTTTCACAAATTCAGTGTTGTGTTTAGTTCTCACAAATCTAATTCCTAGTATACACAGTAGGCCACCTCTTGTCTGGTTTAGTATAATCCTCATTGGCATAATCATCTTCTTTGTGGCTACAATGAACTAAAGTTGACAGACTATGAGGAAAGCGACACATTATTCAACTCAAGTTCACAAGTTGCGAAAGTTCTGGGCATTGCCCATTTCCAAATGACTCAAACTGCAAGCCTTAATTTATAAGCAAGTTTAAAGAAGCCAAGAATGTCAGAGAACAAACTAAATCAACTCACTAGATTTTAGGTGAACAGGTCTTATATGATGTTACATGAGAAGAACACAAAGCAATTTTCCAGTCATCTTTTGCCCTAGAGATGTAATTACTATCAATTCTAAGTAATAGCAGAAGGGGTAAACTACGTTAAAAGGGGCCTCAACAGTTATAACACATTCTTGGTTAGTCATTAAGTTATGAAAATATAACTCTGATGAAGAAAGTCAAAGAAAAATCAATTCTAGATTAAGTCTATAAGCCCAAGGACAGGAAGCAACTTATTAGTAAGTTTCTCTCTTAAAACGTTTCCGGCTGGGTGCAGTGGCTCACACTCGTAATACCAGCACTTTGGGAGGCTGAGGCGGGCAGATCACCTGAGGTCAGGAGTTTGAGACCAGCCTGGCCAACATGGTGAAACCTCGTCTCTACTAAAAATATAAAAAATTAGCCGGGCATGGTGGCGGGCACCTGTAATCCCAGCTACTTGGGAGGCTGACGCAGGAGAATCTCCTGAACTCGGGAGGCAGAGGCTGCAGTGAGCCGAGATCCCGCCACTGCACTCCAGCCTGGGCAACAAGGCCAAAACTCCGTCTCAAAAAAAAAAGGTTTCCAATCTCCTGATGCGAAGCAATGGTTCTCTCCTTGCACTGCACCTTCATGCAGTCAAGGAGTATCTTAGTATCCCAAGCTGCTCTATAAATAGCTTTCTAACTTAGCTGCCAGTTGCAATTCTATAGCTAATTTTTAAGTTAGTACCTATGGCTGTTTTTCATTGCCACTCAGCTATGTCAGGCAGTGTTTCTAGGTTAGGCTACTACAGAAACCACTTGAAGATAGTGCCTTGATCCACTCTAGGTCACCAAGTCAAAACAGTATTTTGCAAGAATACGATGAACAAAAATAAATGAGGGTTTATACTCTATAAAGTCTAAGACTTTATATTAAATTGATAGCCAACACAAATTCCAAACCTGACAACAAATACACAAATACATAGTTCTGTGAAGAAAAATTACTAAAGCTAATGTTAATAAAAGAAAAATAGGCCGGGTGCAGTGGCTCACACCTGTAATCCCAGCACTTTGGGGGGCTGAGGCGGGCAGATCACAACATCAGGAGGTCGAGACCATCCTGGCCAACATGGTGAAATCCCAGCTCTACTAAAAATACAAAAATTAGCCGGGCGTGGTGGCGCATGCCTGTAATCTCAGCTACTCGGGAGGCTGAGGCAGGAGAATCGCTTGAACCTGGGAGGCAGAGGTTGCGGTGAGCCAAGATATAGCACCACTGCACTTCAGCCTCCTGGGGAGTAAGAGTGAAACTCCGTCTCAAAAAAAAAAAAAAAAAAAAAAATTACTGCCTGCTAAACTGTAACTTTTCAGTCATTAAACAGCTGGTTTTACTTCAATAAGGAAATGTACAAATGGGAATAAGGATAATGTGGGTATATCTTCCAATTCTGAAAATGGGAGGCAAAGTGACCACGTAAAGAACAAATCAGAGGGCCGGGTGCGGTGGCTCCCACCTGTAATCCCAGCACTTTGGAAGACCAAGGCGGGTGGATCACATGAGGCTAGGAGTTCCAGACCAGCCTGACCAACATGGCAAAAGCCCGTCTCTACTAAAAATACAAAAATTAGTCAGGCACGGTGGGTGCACACCTATAATCCCAACTACTTGGGAGGCTGAGGCATGAGAATCACTGGAACCCAGTGCAGTGAGCTGAGATTGTGCCACTGCACTGCAGCCTGGGTGACAAAGCAAGACTGTCTCAAAAAAACAAACAAAAAAAAACATAAATCAGATCTTTACTCCGGTTCCATACCAAAAGATCAAATGCAACTATCCAGTTAACTTATTTTATCTTTGATATTCAGTTTTAACACACAAATTCATTGCAGAGCAACCCACTCCATTTTGTATGTATCAATAAATCTTCACACTGATCTTATATCTCAAAACCAGACAAATTCCCCCATGACAGCTCGCCTGAAATAAAGCCAGTAACTGTTAATTGGAGAAATTCATTTTCTTTTATTTTCCCTTTTTTTTTCCTTTTCCCTGAGAAAGAGTCTCACTCTGTCACCCAGGCTGGAGTGCAGTGGCGCAATCTCGGGGTTTCATCATATTGGCCAGGCTGGTCTCAAACTCCTGACCTCAGGTGATCCACCTGCCTTGGCCTCCCAAAGTGCAGGGGTTACAGGCGTGAGCCACCATGCCTGGCCTCTTTTCTATTCATCTAAGAGAACTGCTACCTTCCAAAATTCTGCCCATCCCCTTCCAAAGATGCAATCTGAAGGTAGATGAACTTAGAGAAGTTAAAAAAAAAAAAAGGTACCAACAATTAAAACGAGTTTGCTAGGTAAAACTACATATTGGACACAACTAAAGATTATTCTAAACTACATCAGGCCAGGTGAGGTGGCTCACGCCTGTGATCCCAGCACTTTAGGAGGTCAACGTGGGTGGATCACCTGAAGTCAGGAGTTCACAACCAGCCTGGCCAACATGGCAAAACCCCATCTCTACTAAAAATAAAATACAAAAATTAGCCAGGCGTAGTGATGAGAGCCTATAATCCCAGCTACTCAGGAGGCTAAGGCAGGATAACTCCTTGAACCCAGGAGGCGGAGGTTGCAGTGAGCAGAGATCGCGCCACTGCACTCCAGCCTGGGCAACAGAGCAAGACTCTGTCTCAAAAAAAAAAAAAAAAAAAAACTATATCAGTAAGTTGCTTAATTTCAAGTCACAAAAGGCCCCCCCAAAAAAAAAGCCAAAAAGAAAGTTCACCCTTTTTTGACAAATAACTCAAAACTAGATGTACATGTACTGCAAGTAAAAGCAAACTTTTCTGGCTCTTAATGGTTGTCACTGGTACACAAAAGTTTATAAGCCAAAAATGTGCAAGCAATTACAGCCACAAAAACTGATGCAGCCTTGACCTATTACAGATTTCTAATATTAAACAGATACATGCAATTCCCCATTCTACAATACATATACACAGCATTCATATAATTTAAGAAACACAGTCCTTCCATCATGCAAATTAAATTAAGGATCCTGGCAACAATAATAATGTTTACATTTCTGTGTTTCTGAAGAATTAAAATGAAGAGATAAAAATAAGGTGAAGCAATTATCCATCAATTCATCACTTAATAATTTTAAGATTATGTCACTGTGGTAGAACATAAATGGTGATGGATTAGTGATGCTCCTTACACACCCTCAGCTGATCCCCCAATATGAACAACAGGCAACACATATAAGACAATTTTTAATAAAGGTAGAAAGAAACTCCCTTTTTTTTACATCCAAGATACACACTGGAAAAAAATTATTTATTGTTATTATTTTTTATGTGATGTGGTCTCGCTATGTTGTACAAGGTGGCCTCAAACTACTGGCCTCAAGAAATACTGCCACCTCAGTCACCTGAGTAGCTGGGACTACAAGGATGCACCAACACACCCAGCTGAAAATTCACATTTTTGTTGCCCATTTCCTCCTAAAACAAGAATCACATAAGACAATGCCACCTATTCCTACCAATGATAATAAGATATGCAAATTCAAACTGTTTTTCAAATAATGATATAGTAGTAAATGGGACAGAATACTCTGATGGAGAATGAAGCAAAGGCTCAGAGAGAAACTGTTTCTGGTATTCGTTTCCAAAGGACCAAGCCTACAACAAAAAAAGCTAAAGGAGCACAATTATAGCATCACAGAATAACAGAGTAAGAAGGTAATTTAGAAAATAAACTATTTTAGTAACAGATTTTTGTGAGGTCATATGGAGCTAGGGTCAGTACCCTACATTCCAGTTAGAGCTTACTCCTCTTGAAGCATATGGAAAATTTATCTTAAGATAAAGTGGTGGCTCACTCCTGTAATCCCAGCACTTTGGGAGATGGAGGTGGGCGGATCACTTGAAGTCAGGAGTTCCTGACCAGTCTGGCCAACATGGTGAAACCCCATCTCTACTAAAAATACAAAAATTAGCCAGGCATGGTAGCGTGCACTCACAGTCCCAGCTACTTGGGAGGCTGAAGCAGGAGAATCACTTGAACCTGGGAGGCAGAGGTTGCAGTGAGCTGACATCGCGACACTGCACTCCAGCCTGCGTAACAGAGTGAGACTCCATCTCAAAAAGAAAAGAAAAAAAGTATAGAAAGTTGACATCTCAAAATGTAATCTTACATATTTACATAAATTATATTCCTCAAAGAAAAGCTCTCTCCTATCTATATCTCATTCCATATAAGTTTTCTGTGAGCTAAGAAGCTCCCCTTCAGATTGCCTGACCTCTAGTCAAGGTTCTTCATCGCCATCTAAATGTCAGATTTATTCTCTATGTCTTCTTACTAATAGTGTTTTGGTTTAAGTATGTGGAAAATAAAGCCAATAAGACTATCTGATGAATAGGTTTGTATAAACATTGTGTTAACAATGCATGTCAATTGCCCAAGACATAGAAAGGTTTCCTTAAAGGTTAGCTATTCTCCCCATTTTGTATGTCCTAACTAAACCAACTGAAACGGTTTGGCTCTGTGTCCCTACCCAAATCTCACCTTGAGTTGTAATAATACCCATGTGAAGGACAGGACCAGGTGGAGATAACTGAATCATAGCGACAGTTTCTCCCATGCTGTTCTCATGATAGTGAGTGAGTTCTCATGAGATCTGATGGTTTTATAAGGGGCACTTCTCTCTCCTGCCATCATGTGAGAAAGGACATGTTTGCTTCCCTTTCTGCCATAATTGTAAGTTTCCTGAGGTCTCCCTGGCCATGCAGAACTGTGAGTCAATTAAACCTCTTTTCTTTATAAATTACCCAGTCTTGGGTGTTTCTTCATAGCAGCACGAGAATAGACTAATACACCAATTTTTATCAGACTTTGTGAATCCCTGAAGACTGAAAGTTTCCTTTCTTTTATAAAATTTCTTCCTTCAGATCAAAGTTAGGTTTACATTATTTCTGTTGAGAAGACTTCTTCAATGATTCCTGTGCAATCTAGAGACTCGGAAATCCCCAAACCTCAGTAATTGCCACCATTCATTCATTCTATAATAAAGTTAATACAAAAACTTGAAGCAGCAAAATCTCATCTCAGCTTCCAGATCAGCAAAACTCCTTGCCTTTCCTGTTTTCACACTGGCAGCAGAAACTACAGATAAAGTGTAATTTTGAAAAATTGGCTCTAACTATGGTCCAACTTGACCTACAGTAGCCAAAAAGCTATATCTAAAGGTCATATAATTAAAAGTCATACTCCCTTCACAATCTAGCCTCAGACAATTGCTCCGACTGTATTTCTCATTGCACCCAACCTGTCCCTCTCACAGTCCAAAAGCACCCCATTTACAAATCTCTTTGTTCCTCAAACACAATTTCAGCTTCCTGTCTACAAATGTTTGCTCATGCTCTTTCCTCCACCTGAAATGCCTAGTGTTCCTAATAACTTATCATTTAAGGTCCAGTTATCTTCCCTTATCAAAAGCAGTATCTCTCTTATCTGATTTTTAACATCATTTGATCTGTACTTATCTCACATTGTCTGGCAATACAGCTATCTGCATACGTCATCTACCCTACTAGACTGAGGACAGATTAGTGTTTCACAATAATCTCAACACAACCTGAATAGTGACACTGTTAATTAAATTTGGCCTAAAGCTGCTTCCATAAGCAGGGAACTGCACCTCAGTATGTTAAAACTGCAACCTAACTCGAGTATATTCTTGTAACGAGGCTAAGCGTTCTGCCAATCACAAGCGGCAAGCTGCTCAGACATGTCCAAATAAGGCAAACGTGGACACAAACGTGGACCTGTAACCAATCAGACTATGTCTGGATGTCACTTCTTTTTCTGTCTATAAATCCTGACTATCCACATTGCTGGGTGGAACTCTCTGAACCTTTACTCCTTCAGGGTGCTGCTCAATTCATGAATTGTTTCTTTGCTCAAATTAACTGCCAAATTTAATTTGTCTAAAGTTTTATTTTAACAAGACTCAATATGTAATGCTAATGAGCATATTAATTTCCTTAAGACGAATAAAGTCTTTTTTTTGAGACAGGGTCTCACTGTCACCAAGGCTGGAGTACAGTGGCATGATCTCGGCTCACTATAACCTCTGCCTCCTGGGCTCAAGTGATCCTCCCGCTTCAGCATTACAAGTAGCTGGGACTACAGGTGTGTGCCACCATGCCCAAATAATTTTTATATTTTCAGTAGAGATGGGATTTCACTATGTCACCCAGGCTGGTCTCAAACTCCTGGACTCAAGCAATCTGCCCACCTCGGCCTCCCAAAGTTCTGGAATTACAGGGATGAGCCAAAGCACCCATCCAAGACTAACAAAGCCTTGTTTGGTAGAAATCCAGCTTTAAAAATGCACAAGTGACAATATATCATTTTCAGATATATAAAAGTCACTAATTAAATCAAACAGGCCACGAAGATTCTTACTGACTTCAAACTGATTTAACAAATCTTATTTATTCATACTATCACCCAATAAGATAGTTTGTGTTAAGTTCATTCATAAATTTGGAACTCAATAAAAGCTCAATTCCCAGACAAGCCCACAAAAGCCATGAGTTCACAGTATGCCTGATTTTACTTATTTGGAGAGCCAAACACTATGTATAACAACATTCGGAGGTCCAATTTTGGGTGGCAAGGTATATTTAGCCCCCTGCACATGTGCCAACAGAATCATGCATTCCTTCTTTCCTGTCTTTCTCAACAACCTCACTACAAACTATGTGTGAAAAGGAAAAAATACATTGCTAGTTTCACAGCACTGGTATCTAAAGCTAGGGAAGCAGCTAATAAATGGGAGAAAGGAGGGCTCTAAAATGAAGACGGAGGATGGCACTGAAGAGCCCAGAGTTTATCAAGACAAGTCCTGCTCCTTTAAGAGCTCCCTCTCCAGCCTCATCTCCCCTTACTCCCATTAACACTTTGCATTCTACCACACAAAACTATTCAGTTTCCCACAAACACACCATAAAGCGCTTTTTTGCCCCATGTCACTGCTTATCATCTGCAAATCACCATTCATCCTTAAAGTTCCTGTTACCTCCCCTCTGTGAGGTCTTTACTAACCTCCTTCAAAGTTAATTACTCTCTCCTACTTTGATCTTTATGTAAAAATTTATTATGCATTTACCTTAATGTATTATAATCAATTATTAGTTTGCACATTTTACACTATTAGATCTCAGGCTCCTTTTAAGGTAAGAATCAAGTGTCACTCATTTTTTCTTTTTGAGACGGAGTTTCACTCTTGTTGCTCAGGCTGTGGGGTTTCTCCATGTTGGTCAGGCTGGTCTTGAACTCCTGACCACAGGTTATCCATCCACCTTGGCCTCCCAAAGTGCTGGGATTACAGGCGTGAGCCACTGTGCCTGGCCCACTCATCTTTATAATATTTTCTGGACTGTCACCATTTTTCCTTAGCACTCCAAAAAAAATATGATTTTTTTTAA
This sequence comes from Homo sapiens, assembly GCF_000001405.40. Classification (NCBI taxonomy): domain Eukaryota; kingdom Metazoa; phylum Chordata; class Mammalia; order Primates; family Hominidae; genus Homo; species Homo sapiens. Next base: position 86,055,012 of record NC_000011.10, read on the forward strand.
ATGTTGGCAAAAATCTACCTTTAAAAAATTGCTTGCTGGCTGGGGGTGGTGGCTAATGCCTGTAATCTCAACACTGTGGGAGGCTGAGATGGGTGGATCACCTGAGGTCAGTAGTTTGAGACCAGCCTGGACAACATGGTGAAACCCCCGTCTCTACTAAAATACAAAATTAGCCAGGCGTGGTGGCACACGTCTGTAATCCCAGCTACTTGAGAGGCTAAGGCAGGAGAATCGCTTGAACTCAGGAGGCGGAGGTTGCAGTGAGCCTAGATCGTGCCACTGCACTCCAGCCTGGACAAGAGCAAAACTCCGTCTCAAAAAAAAAAAAAAAGATACCATGGAAACATACAATGACACTATTATTTGTGGACCAAAACAACTTATTGATAGTCATGCAACTATTTGTTACCTTCTTCATATATCTAAGACTATTCTGAAAATGTAAAAAATATAAACTGGATCAGATTAAGTGGTTTATCCAGCTGAAAGAATGACCCAAATAATTCCAGTTATCCATCACCAAACTATACCCAGTAGTCATGGAGATTGCCATCAAGTAACATTTTTCTCCTGCACAATTCCATTTCCACATTACACAGAGGTAGTAGAGTTGTATTCCATGTCAACTTCAAAAGATTAAAAACCCAAATATCTTTGGTTTTCCTTAATACAAATGTGTTTCTTCATACCATATACAAAAGTTAACTCAAAATTGATCAATCTTAAATCTAAGAGCTAAAATTTCTTCCTAAAACTCTTAGAGTTGTAAAGGTGCATAACCTTGAATCAGCCAATGATTTCTTAGATATATCGAAAGCACAATCGAAAAAATCAGAGGCTGGGTGAGAGTGTGATGGCTCACGTCTATAATCCCAGCATTTTGGGAGGCCGAGGCAGGTAGATCGCTTGAGGTCAGGAGTTCAAGACCAGCCTGGCCAACATGGAAAAACCCTGTCTCTACTAAAAATACAAAAACTTAGCCAGCATGGTGGCACATGCCTGTAGTCCCAGCTACTCGGGAGGCTAAGGTGGGAGGATCACTTGAACCTGGGAGGCGAAGTTGCAGTGAGCCAAGATCACACCACTGCACTCTAGCCTGGGTGACAGAACAAGACTCTGTCTTTAAAAAAAAAAAAAAAGAAAAAACCCTTGAAAAATTAGACTTGAAAATTTAAAACTTTTGTGCATTAAAAGACATTGTATCAAGAAAGTGACAAGCCAAGCCACAGAATGGGGAAAAAAATTACAAATCATATAAAGATCTAGTATGTGAGGTATGTAAAGTACTCTTCTGGTATCCAGAATACATAAAGATCAAATTTTAAAACAGGCAAAAGACCTTGAATAGATATTTTCCCAAAGATATACAAATAGTCAATAACCACATAAAGAAATGCTAAACAGCATTAACCACTAGGGAAATGGAAACCAAAATCACAATGACATAACACTTCACACCCACTAGGATGACTATTTTTTAAAAATCATAAAACTAAAATCCTGAAAATAACAAGTTTGGCAAGAAAGTAGAGGAGAAACAGGAATCTTCATACATTGCTGATGGGAATGTAAAACAGTGTCACTGATGTGGAAAACAGTTTGGTAGTTCCTCAAAAAGTTACACAGAATTACCATATAACCCAGTAATTTTACTCCTAGATATATACCTAAGAGAACTGAAAATATGTTCACACGAAAACTTGTATGTGAATGTTCATAGCAGTACTATTCTTCACAGCCCAAATGGCTAAACAACCCAAATGTCCACCAACTAATGAAGGTATAAATGAAATGTGGGTAACTATACAAGGGAGTATTACTCACCTATAAAAATGAATAAAGTACTGATATGTGCTACAAGGACAAACCTTTAAAACATTATAACTGAAAGAAGCCAGGCACAAAAGGCCACATATTGTATGACTCCATTAATACGAAATGTACAGAACAGAAAAATTCATAGATAGAAAGTGGATTAATGGTTGCAGGGGGGCCGAGGAGAGCTTAGGAGTGACCGTTAACAGATACAGGATCTCTTTCTTGGGTGATGGAAAATGTTCTAGAATTACATAATGGGGATGGTTGCACACAACACTGTGAACATACTAAATAACACTGAATTCTCTACTTTAAAACTGAATTTTATGTTATGTAGATTATGTCTCAATTTTAAAATTGCAAAAAAATGTGTACTCTAAAAGGGAAAAAAAATAAATAATTGCAAAAAAGAAAATTATGTGTGTGGGGCCAGGCGCGGTGGCTCACGCCTGCAATCCCAGCACTTTGGGAGGCCGAGAGGCAGGCGGATCACGAGGTCAGGAGTTTGAGACCAGCCTGACCAACATGGTGAAACCCCGTCTCTACTAAAAATACAAAAATTAGCTGGGCCTGGTGGCTCGCGCCTGTAATCCCAGCTACCCGGGAGGCTGAGACAGGAGAATCGCTTGAACCCAGGAGGCAGAGGTTGTAGGAGCTGAGATCGTGCCATTGCACTCCAGCCTGGGCAACAGAGTAAGACTCCATCTCAAAAACAAACAAACATATAAATAAATAAATAAATAATGAATAAAAAATTATGTGTGTGTGTGTGTATGTACACACAATTAGCCCTCCATATCAATGGGTTCCATTATCATGGATTCAATCATGAATCGAAAATATACCAAAAAAATGCATCTCTACTGAACATGCGCAGACATTTTTCCTTGTCATCATTCCCTAAACAATACAGTATAACAACTGTTTATGTAGCACTTATATTGTATTAGGCATTTTAAGTAACCTAGAGATGATTTAAAGTATTCAGGAGATGTGCATAGGTTATATGCAAACAATGTCATTTTACATCAGGGATTTGAGCACCCTTGGATTTTCTTATCTGTGGGAGGTCCTGGAACCAATCCCCTATAGATACTGAAGGACAACCGCATATATTTATCACCTCACCTCAAAATCTCTTTATCTTAGCTTTGGATTAGTTAAATGCTAATGTTTCAAATTATTCAATACAGTGCATGAGGCGGATTTCTGCCAACAATTGTTTGAAGTATATTAAAAAGACTTGCCAATCCTCTGCAGTGTGAATACCACCCGCTATTTATTTTTTGCGATATACTTAAATTACATTAAAATTTTTGCATATAAGGTGTATTTAAAATATGGCACACATTCCTATTTCTTAAATATCCACAAGATAACTATTACCAGCACATAAAATTTTAAGTGCACACACACACCCCCACAAAGATGACCCTTGATCTCAGAACTTATAATCACGTGGGACCTATAATCAGAAGAAACATGTAAATTAAAATATGACAATTGAGTATATTCTGTGAAGTCACTTACAGAGTATATCTGCAATCTTTAGTGAGGAAAGAAGTTTTGGAAAGCATACCCAACTTCCTCAACCACTACTTGGAAGAACTGCCCCTTGATTAAGACTTGGGTCCCTAGGATGCTTTCAAGTAATAAGTTCATGGCTATAAATACCAGCACCATTCCCCTAATCACTGCTAAAAATTCCATGTATTCAGATGAAACTTTCAGCAATTCCCACTGGCCCCTGGAATCAACTTACTGATTAAGTAATCTAGATTAAGTGATCCTATTTTTACCACCATTGCTACCACCACCCTAACCTTTGCCTATTATCTCATACAGCTTCCTTCTAAAACAGACACTTCTTTTCTTTTACATTTTGATATCATCTGTTAAGTGTGCTTTATCCCTTCTTATATCAAAAATGAGTCTACTGTACAGTTATACTCTAGGAGGCACCTTTCATACAAAAAGGTGTGACAGGCACCTTCTAGAGTTGTGCAAGGAAGCAGCTCTGATAAACTCCTCAGATCTATTTCTGGTCCTCTGTTTAATTCTTAAAAATTACATTCCTAATTTCAAGAATATGTCCTCAAAAATGTGCATTTTAATATAGTGTTCAACTGGAGCAGCTACAAAAATTTTGAAGTAACAATGTTTTGGAAGACACTACCTTGTATCTAAACAAAACTAAATAAGCCTCTTAATGCCTCATGAGTTCCATGAAACAGTAATTTGTTATGTTTTTATCAATGTTACTGACTCTATATATAAATTTGTAACCAGGCAATTTCCATAGTCACCATAAAAAATATCCTTAAATGTCTACTGGCATAGATTTTTATGTCCATAAATTGTTCATGGAATAGTCTGAGCTATGAAGGGAGGTTAAGTATAATCATTCAATATTTACTGAGCACCCATGGGGGGTTGCTGACTAGGTACTTGGAGAAGAGATAGAGAACAATACCGAAAACAATTCCTATTCTGTGGAGGAAATGTGCATAAACCCAAAATACATAAAAGCAAGATAGCCACTACAGTTTAACAATATTTGAAACTCTATAAATGGTGAGAATAATGCTGGACTGACAGGACCAGGGGGAGTTATTCAGTGATGTTTTTATGAAAGCGGTTACCTTAAATGTGAATATTAATGGGAGCAAGGTAAAGACAGTTTAAAAGAGGCCGAGCATGGTGGCTCACACTTATAATCCCAGCACTTTGGGAGGCCAAGGCCAGAAGTTCGAGACCAGCCTAGGAAAGAGACCCCTTTCTCTTTAGCAGGGCATGGTGGCACACACCTGTAGTCCTACCTACTCAGGAGGCTGAGGCAAGAGAATCCCTTGAGCCCAAGAGTTCAGAGTTACAGTAAGCCATGATCATGACACTACACTCCAGCTTGGGTGACAGAGCCAGACCCTGTCTTTAGTCCAAGGAATCATATGTGCAAAGGCTAACGGTTTGGTAGTCAAGAACTTTTGGCACAATTGATACCTAACCTGCCTAACTTTCACAAAAAAGGATAGTTTTGACATAAAAAAAAAAAAGAGAGAGGACAAATAATCAAGAGTTCCAATTAATAACTAATTTTTAAGGCCTTTGGGAAAAAAATTTAAATATTATTGTTAAGACTTTTTTGCCCCAGCAGTTTCCTTTCCAAGTCATACTGAACACTCCTTCCAATCTATTTATGGACATAAAGTGGACATAGGGATTATGATACCACATCTCTTGCTTGAAATCTTCCAAAAGTTGAGGCACTGTTACCTACAAAATCAAATCCAAAATTACTTTGAGAATTCAAAGGATCCCTTAGATCTAGTTCCTCTTTGAGTACTCTTTTGTCCCTTCTAATACACACTCATCCCTAAAGGTGCATTTTTTTAGTCTCAGAACCTTCACACTTTTAAAATTGAGGAGCCAAGAGCTTTCATGTGGGGGTTCTCTACCAATATTTACTGTTAGAAACTGAAACTGATAAATTTATCAACATTAATTCATTTGAAAAATAACAGTATTTTCAAAAAACCCCACAATTTAGAAGAGTGGCACTGTTTCACATTTTGGCAAAACTCTATTTTGTGGTTTAATAGGAAATAGTTGAATTATCATTATCTGCTACTACATTCAACCTATGGCAATATCACACACACATCACACAGCCTCTAGAAAACTCCACTGTACAGTGGTTCTTGAAAGAATAAAAATAGAAAAGGCAAATAATGTCTTAGTATATGAAAACAGTTTTGAACTCACAAACTTGCTGAAATGGTCTTGAGGACCCCCAAAAGTCCCCAGACCACACCTTAAGAACCACTGCCAGCAAAGGAGAAAGGCAATACAATGCAGCAAAGATAATCTTTTCAACAAATAGTACTGCACAACTAGATATCCACAGGCAAAAAAAAAAAAAATGAATCAGGAGACAGACATTACACTCACAAAAATTAACTCAAAATGGATCACAGACCTAAATGTAAAATGCAAAATTATAAAGCTCCCAAATGGTGACATAGAAGACAATCTAGATGACCTTGAGTTTGTTGATGACTTTTTAAATACAATGATGAAGGCATGACCCATGAAAGAAAGAACTGCTAAACTGGACTTCATTAAGATTAAAATTTTCTGCTCTGTGAAAGGCATTGTCAAGAGAATGAAAAAGACAAGGCACAGACTGGGAGAAAATATTTGCAAAAGATACATTTGATAGCCGGGCTCAGTGGCTCATGCCTGTAATCCCAACACTTTGGGAGGCTGAAGCAGGCGGATCACCTGAGATGAGGAGTTCAAGACCAGCCTGGCTAATATGGTCAAACGCCATCTCTACTAAAAATACAAAAATTAGCCAGGCATGATGGTAGACACCTGTAATCCCAGCTACTTGCGAGGCTGAGGCAGAAGAATCACTTGAACCCCTGGGAGACAGAGCTTACAGTGAGATGAGATGGCCCCATTGCACTCCAGCCCGGGAGACAGAGCAAGACTCCATCTCAAAAAAAAAAAAAAAAAAAAAAAAAGAAAAGAAAAGACACATTTGATAAAGGACTGTTATTCAAAATAAACAACTCTCAAACCTCAACAATAAGAAAACAAAGAACCTGACTTTAAGAACAGGACAATGACCTTAACGGACACCTCACTAAAGAAGATATAAAGATGGCGAGTATGCATATGAAAAAAAGTCACATAATCAGGAAAATGCAAATTAAAACAATACCACTACACACCTATTAGAATGGCCAAAACCCATTAACAGTGACAATATCAAATGCTGGTGAGAATGTGAACAGAAACTCCCATTCATTACTGGTGGGAATATAAAATGGTACCATCACTTTGAAAGACAGTTTAGAGGTTTCTTGCAAAACTAAAGGTATTCTTACCATATGATCCAGCAACTGTGTTCCTTGCTATTTACCCAAACGAACTGAAAACTTATGTCCACACAAAAGACACGCACACAGATGTTTGATGTTTATAGCAGCTTTATTCACGATTGCCAAAACTAGGGAGCAACCAAGATGTCCTTCAGTAAGTAAATGGACAAATAAACCCGGGTATATCCAGATAATAGAATAGTCAAGTGCAAAAGAAAAAAAAAAGCTGTCAAACCGTGAAAAGCCATTGAGGAAATCGTAAACGCATATTAGTACGTGAAAAAAGAAAATCTGAAAAGGCTATAGACTGTATGATTCCAACTATGACATCTTGAAAAGGCAAAACTATGGAGACAGTTAACAAAAAATAGTGGTTGCCAGTGGCTGGGGAAGAGAAGGGATGGCGAGGGGGAGCACAGAGTATTTCAGGGCAGATAAACATTGTACCGCTACAACAGTGGATATGTGCCATACAATTGGCCAAACCCATAGAACATACAAACAGCAAGAGTAAACCTTGGCCGGGCGCAGTGGCTCACGCCTGTAATCCCAACACTTTGGGAGGCCGAGGTGGGTGGATCACCTGAGGTCAGGAGCTCGAGACCAGCCTGGCCAACATGGTGAAGCCCCATCTCTATCAAAAATACAAAAATTTAGCTGGGCGTGGTGGTGGGCACCTGTAATCCCAGGTATTTGGGAGGCTGAGGCAGGAGAATCCCTTGAACCCAGGAGGCAAAGGTTGCAGTTAGCTGAGATCGCACCACTGCACTCCAGCCTGGGCAACAAGAGCGAAACTCCGTCTCAAAAAAAAAAAAACCCTAATGTAAACCATGGACTTTGGGTGGTAAAGATGTCTGAATGTAGGTCCATCAATTTTAACAAATGTACCACTTTCGTGGGGGATATAATATATCTTGATAATAATATAACTTGAGAAATCCTTCATTTTCTGATAATCTAACAAATCACAACTCTGAACATAATTTTTAATACAAAGGCTTAGGTTCATCAAGATTCTCTTTTAAAGAACTATCTAACTGCCCAAAATGATTCACATACACAGTGAACATACAAAATACTAAAAGGTCAAGTCCAAAATTTTGATTCTCTAGAGAAACGTATAAAGCAGTTTAACTGGGAACATACTAAGACAGAACACAAAGTAACGGAAATGCCACTTTAGCTACCAAAAGAACAGGAAGAGCAAATACTAAGACTTTACTTTGAAAGTCTAAGGCTACTTCTTCCTGGTAGGGCTCTAACCTCTTGCCAAGAAGCCTGTAAGTTTATTTTTCTTACTTCTTTATTTTAAGTGAGAAACCATGAAATTAACCATTTCAGAGCTGAAGAAAACAAAGGAGAAACAACTATGTCTACGGTGAACTTTCACATTAACTATTCTAAATGATTATCATGGCCAAATAAACAAATATTTTTAAATGAAAGCAATTCTGATTATTAAAATAGATTATTTTTAAACAATCAGTGTTTTTTAAACATCAAAGTAAATGTTTCATATAAATGTCTCACAAAGCGTATGAAAGAAAAATGTCAATCACATCTTATGAAGTGTTTCACTTCTCACCTGCCATAGTAACTTTAAATTCAAAGACACCTTTAAAAATTATCCAGATATATAAAATATTCAGTAAACACAAAAGGTATATAGATGCCCAAAGTCTTATACTATTTCTTAACATAGCAAATAAATCCATCAGGGAACAATAATTACAAAAGTATTTCAGAATTCATTTGCTAATTATGAATAAGCGGCTACAAAAAATAGTTGAATATTAAGTTCTCTTTAGAGTTCCTCTTTTAAAACACATACTGTTCAGAAACTTAACTAGACATATCTGGGAGGAAAAAGGATACATTTGTGAATTTTATTATATACCTCAGGCATTCTGTTCTGCCATGGCGACAGAAAAAATAAAAATAAATAAAATGCCTCAGGCATTTGACATGTGTGATCAAATCTTACTCATTACTACCACTTTGATAACTCTATTTCTATTTTCTGTATTGCAAAACTACTAAAAGACTAGTAAGGATAATGAAAAATGAAAATATAAATCATATGACTAATTCTTACAGGAAAGAATAGGAAGCCCAGACATTAATTACAAAATAACTGTCTTCTTAAAACAAGATCCTTTTGGAAAAAAAAAAAGTCCCAGTTACCTTACTTTTAAATAAAAGATATCCTGGGACAGATCTTCTACTTTATTTCTTCCTTACATGCATCTTCTTAGAAATCACATCCTAGTTACCAGATCCTTCTTGACAATACGCAAACTAAGCACCCATAAGATATTATTAACTGAGACATTAAAAACCATTTGTGCTTTAAAAGGGAATTAATTCAGGTACAGTCTGGTATGTTATACGCATTTTTAATGTAGTTACACAAACCACTAGCCCAAATACAAATTCTACATATGCAAAATATTCAAATCCTACTTTTTAAAAACTTATTTCCAATTTCTAGATCCAGTTCACAACATACAAATAACCATGCTGTATCGACCAGAGATATGTTGATAATGGATGCTTAGTAAGAACTTGATCTTGATTTTGTTTTAGAAAAGATAAGGCAGTGGTTGAAATGAAATGTCCCTGTAAATTAACTGGGGAAAATATGAATTAAAAAACAGAGACATACAGGATATGGTGACTCACACCTATAATCCCAGCACTTTAGGAGGCTCAGCTGGTAGAGAGGATCCTTGAGCCCAGGAGTTTGAGACCTGCCCGAGCAACACAAGGAGACCCTGTCTGTATAAAAATTAAAAATTAGCTGTGCGTGGTAGCAGATGCCTGTGGTCCCAGGTACTCAGAAAGATTGTCTGAACCCGGGAAGTCAAGGCTGCAGTGAGATGTGATTCCACCACTGCACTCCAGCCTGGGCAACAGAGTAAGACCCACCTCATTTTAAAAAAAAAAAAAAAAAAGGAGACATTACAGCCATTAGTATAAATATTACATTTCAGTGAAATATGTCAAAATATAAATGTCCAACGATAGTAAATAAGAATAAAGAAAATTAAGAATTCATATCAAAAAATAGGATAAGGGCCAGGCATGCTGGCTCACACCTGTAATCCCAGCACTCTGGGAGGCTGAGGCAAGAGGATTACTTGAGCCCAGGAGTTCAAGACCAGCCTGGGCCACATAGGGAGACCCCCATCTCTCCAAAAATAAAAAGTTTCTTTAATTAACCAGGCGTGGTGGCACATGCCTATAGTCCCAGCTACTTGGGAGACTGATGTGGGAGGATTTCTTGAGCCTGAGGAGGATAAGGCTGCAGTGAGCCATGATCCTGCCACTGCACACCAGAGACAGAGCAAGACCCTGTATCCAAAAAAAGGGGTGGGGTTAAGACTAAAGATTGTAAGATCAGATAAAAATGATTTTTATATTAAGAAGTTATAAATTAAAAATTGTGGGCCAGGCACAGTGGCTCACACGTCTGTAATCCCAGCCCTTTGGGAGGCCGAGGCGGGCGAATCATGTGGTCAAGAGATCCAGACCATCCTGGCCAACATGGTGAAACCCCATCTCTACTAAAAATACAAAAATTAGCTGGGTGTGGTGGCATGCGCCTGTAGTCACAGCTACTCAAGAGGCTGAGGCAGAATCTCTTGAACCTGGGAGGCAGAGGTTGCAGTGAGCCAAGATCGCACCACTGCACTCCAGCCTGGCGACAGAGCGAGACTCCGTCTCAAAAAAAAAAAAAATTTGTTTTTTCTATCCTGCAATAATTATGGTTCTTTTAAGCATTCTGTACTGCTAAATGGAATTAGAAGCTACTTTCTATGTATATGAATTGCCCCCACCTCCAGCTGTGAGACAGGATTAAATGAGATGATGAGAAAGTGCCTGGAAAACTGAAGTTCTTCAAATATAAGGGCTGCTATTCCTCTACCTTGATTATGGCTACTAAAGGCCTAAGATTAAACGGAAATCGTGTTTATTTTTACAAACATATTTCAAGTTTGACAACTCTTTCACACTAGGGATGCTAGTCAACACTATTATCCACTAACACCTACAGTATAAGCAAAGCAAAAAAATCTTTCTTCAGTAAGTATATAATGTAGTATGAATTAAGCCATAATTCATGAATTATTAATAATCACTTCCTAATGTGGAAAGATCTTGGCGAGAAACTGACAGAAACCACCTCCACACTCTAAGGGCTTATACGAAAAACAACAGTCCTAAGCATATTTTTTGTTAAATGCTGCCATTTTAAAATGAAATCATTTTCATTAGATTCATATAAATAAGCATCAGTTGCTAGGGGCATTAAAAGGTGCACATAAACTAAGCTTTCACTATAAAGAAAAATTCCTAAAAGACAAAAAATTACTTGAAATGACAGGTTTCTGTATTAAAGCCTAAAGTTCATGATGTCAACACCATGAACTGTCCGTAGAAGACTTTTTAATTTTCTCAAAGCATGTTAGTGTGTGCAAGGAAGGTATTTGTTTAGTAAACCACTCACTGGTCAGACTTTACCTAAGATAAAGGTATTTTATTAGTGAGAACTGATTACAGGACATTTTAATCAACAATGTAGGGAAAATAGTATCCCTGTATTTTAAAACCTCATTGAAAAGAAACAGAAGCACATTAACGACACATATATTTTTAAATCAAATACTACCAGGTATATTCAAGTTCCAAAAACGTGGGAGCTTGTAAACACAGAAGTGGTAGAGAAAAAGAACGACAAATGCAAGATTATCCTCCAAACCTAATCCCAGTTACCATCTATCTGCAGTAGTGGCTATAACAAGAGAAATAGCTAATAACATTTATGAAACAACATGCAAATAGCACTCTTCTAACCCTACCTATTTTCTCCTCTTTTTGACAATGCTTTAAAAGAACCACTGCTACATTTGAAATAAGACACAAACCTTTACAAAAAAAACTTTTAAAAGCCTTATCGATTCTTATTTTGAATGAGGAAAGAGGAAAATAGTTCACACAGTCACAACTAGTTTCTTCATACTCCCATACAAAAAAAAAAAACAAAAAAAAACCAAAAGCAACTAACAAAAGAATTAACACAGTGTCAGGACAAACTGTAAGATTTGGTAGGGCAAACCAAGTAGTATTTGAAGAGCCGTAAATAGCAGAAACGTCTACTACACGTATCAGATAATCAAAAAATCACATATGGCTTTACGATGCATTTTAAAAAGTTTTCTGTTCATAAGAGTGTCACCATTTAAACATATTCTCCATTCTCTAAGACAAGCAAGGACTGAGAGTTTAAAAGCAGCCTGCATGCATATCTGAAAGAATCAAGCACTAATGCTTTTTTATTTAAAACTTTTTTCCACAGTGGAGGAACAATCACAAAGAATAATAGGCTTCTGTGTAGCAAAAACTTGTTCTAACAGCATTCATGAGCACAGTAACTTGGAAGAATCTACATTTCGTACATTTTTTTTAAAGTGCAAACTTTACGGCCAAAGTCCAAATGAGAAATCAAAACAGGCTTCCAGACAGTGAATTATCTTTCAGGGCATGCTCACTCTTGCTTCAAACAGTAAAACAAAGTAACTTTCATGTATGATGAAAGTCAGTCAGACTAATGTGTCCAGTCATTTAAAAAGGGAACTTACTTATCGTGACTATTGCCCTATTTTTCCCTGAAAAGTTTCAGGTCTAAGCTCCATTGGCTTGAGTGATCCAATGAGCTTTGTACCCTGGGGTAAAAGAGCGCAAAGAAAAAGGAGGGTATTACAGGTGACTTCCAGGTTAGAAAAAAGTTACGAGGAGTTAGCTCTACTAATTGTATCTACGTTAGCGAATGGACGAATACTATGTCGTGTAAGAGAAGCTAAAGCTAGTTCCTCAAAAGGTAACTGGCATAATTAAAACATCCAAACTCAAGCATCATCAAACATCATTTTGCCAATTTTTTTAAGGGATGTATGTTATTTGTAAGTAAATTTATTAATCCATTTGGAATTCCAACAGTCTACGCTTAACACTCAAGCTTCTGAATTCAAGCCGCCAGAATTAACAGTTCCAGGAACTGATAAGAGTATCAGCAAAATGCCTTTTTCCATATCCCCATGTGAAAAGCTGGGGGGCAGAGCTGACAGTCACAAACTCACCCCAGTCAAAAGTATGGACAACACAACGATTAAATTCCACCAGAGGCAAATAAAAATCCCAACTTTCCAGAAAGCTTTCCCTACACCAAATTGAATCCTTTTACTTTCACTCCCACAAAGAAGGTAATCTGAAATAAAAGTCGGGTAACTGGGTATGGTATTTAAAATGAGTCGAAGAAACTACACTGAAGCTACTATAGAGGCGATGAAAAGGTAACCCAAAAGCAGGAGGGAAGGTGGAACAGAAAGCCAGGAAGGGATGGGCGAAGCAGCTAGTGGAGCAAAGGAAGTGGGGGATCCCTTCCAGGGAGGCAGCCCGGAGGGATAACAAGGATCTGGATGCAAGGAACCAGGCGTTTACTGAAACCCGAAGGAGGCTGATGAAGAAACAATGGGGCTTGGAGACGCTCAGACGAGGGCGACGAGGCGGCACCGGACGGGTGGGAAGGAAGAGCAGAAGGCTGCAGTGGAGACGGGTAGGGGGTGAGAAGCCAGGTGGGGAAGCAAGTTGGTTGGGTATGATGGGGTGTGGTAGCGCACCGGGCAGGGAGACGAGGGTCCCCTAGGAATAGGGAGGGGAGTGGCTTGTCAGATTTTGAGACGGGGAGCGGAGGCCGTGAAGGCAGGTGTGATGGAAGCAAAAGAACACAGCTCAACGGGCACAGGACCGGCCGTGCCAGAGAAGACGCAGGGAGGGAAGAGGCAGTAGAAGGGTGAAAGACAAGAGAGAGAGAGAAGGACGCGCGCGGGTCGCGCGGGCGCCGGGGAGCGGGGGCCGCGGTCGGCTTCACTCACAGTCCAGGTGCTTTTTCTTGGGCCCCATGATCTCGTGGGTCGTGGCCTTGCATACTGTCTTGGATACGGCAGAGCCGGTGACACTGTGCTGGGCGGCAGTGATTCGGTCCGTCAGGCTCTGGCCGGACATCTCTGCAGCTCCTCCACCACCCCACCCGCTCAGCAGCCGGCGGGGACTGGGACCCCCAAGAGCCGGAGGGTCCCCACCCCCCACCGCACCCCCTACCCCCACCGGCTCCTTCCCCGCCTGCCGGCCTGGGGCGCGGTTCGGGGCCGCGCGCTGCCACCAGTCCAGAGAGAACCGGCTCGTGTCACCCGCGGAGTCGGACAAGATGTCGGGCACTCCCTTGCCCCCGCCTCAGTTCAGCCCACCCCTTCCCGGGTCAGCTGGAGCCGGGCAGGGTAAGAGGAACAGGCAGCTGCAGGAAAATGGCGGCGCCAGGCTCCTCCTCGGAGCTTTCCGGGCTGCCCCGGGTCACGTGACTCGGACACCGCCCCTCCTCCCTTCTCCCGCCCCTTTCCCCTTCCCTTTCCTCTTCGACGCCCGCCCTCCCTCGCTCAGCGAGGGAAGAGCTGGGCGGCGCCCGCGCGTTACGTGATGGAACTCGCCAGGCGGGCGCAACAGGAGGCCCGCCCGAGGGGAGTGCACAGCCGGCGCATCACGTGACTCTCCCTGCCAACAGGTCGCCTGAGGCTCGGCCCGCGGGGTCACAGACGCCGGGCGGGGCGGGGCGGGAGAGGAATGGCGAGGGCGGTGTGCTGGCGGGGGTGGGGCGGGGCGGCAGGCTTCTCCCCTTATCCCCCCACCTCAAGTGTGTCCTCGTGTCTGTGGTTGAAACCAACAGCTTGACAAAGGAGGTGCAGCTGCCTTCACAGCTTCCCCTGAAGTGGGGGGTATTAGGCCTCTGGCTCCCCGAGCTTTCCCAGCAGAGTCAAGAATGTATTTCAAGACGCCTCCCAAAGCCGCCCTCCTGGCTTAAAGGAGAAGGTTCCAAACGGCCTATTTTCTGAACCTTCCAGCAGGCCTCTCTCTACCATGGAACTATTGAAGCTCTCCTTATTTACTTACCCCAGAAAGGTTTTTTCCCCCCTTTCCTTGAGAGGCTTGGAAATGTCACCTGGTTTTGTTTATCTCTACTCCGAAAACCCGACACGTTGCTGCCATTCTAAATTTAGATACTAGCTGGCCGGTATTCATTCTCTAGGGTGTGGAATAGGACAGGAAACACATAGCTTCACTGGAATTTGAAAAGGGAAGTAGTAGGATGATGTCAACAGCGATTAGCTTGACCCTACATGGCTGACTGCTGTGGTGATTAAAGGTCCAGACCATAGAAGGAAGTGAGAGGGGCGGTAAATGGAGAAGTCCCATTCAAACAGTCCAGACATCACTGCCTGCCATCTCCCCTGGTTTAGTCTTTCTTACCTTTGGCCTCTTTTCTCTTATTGGGTGAGCCAGATTTCCATGGAAAGACGTTGACACTGCCCTGTGGACATTTTAAAAGAAGTATTACATCCTGAAATACTATTCAATGAGACCCAGACCATACATTAACAAAGCCTTTTATATGTTATTAGAGCCTCTACATTCAACCCAGGGTTAGGGATAAGTTGAAAAATATGTGAGTGCTAAGTTACCATGATAGTCACATGTAATCTTGCTAGTTTCAAATGAAATGCTAACATTCTCAGAAAGTCTGTGTACACCATCTGCCAGCCAAATCCAAAATACTGTGCTTCAATCTGGTGACTCTCAAAGGATGCAAAGCTGATAGATATTTAACATTTTATGTATCATATCAGGAATTTTGTGGTCTCCCATTTTCCCCACGCCCCCTCACCCCTCTTTTTTCCCCACTATGGCTGGTGAAATTCTGCAGCAACATGCTCTTGCCAAGAACACACAAGTTTTTAATCCCAGCAGGCTTCATCTTTGTCAAGCCAGCCTCCAATTTCACAAAACTATAATGAATTCCTTCAGTGTACTGCAATCCATCTGTGGTTTGGTGCCCAGTTTGCTGCCCCACGTCCACTGGGCAGTGGAATTACCAAATTCTCAAGACATGTTATCAGCCATCATTGCTACTGGTCTATGGGTTCCACTGTATAAGTTACTGATTGGCCTGAGCCTCTGCATTGGTAAACCCCAATCTGAGGTCAACACTAACATGGTCTAGCTATCAACAGCTGAATATTTTATCCTTAGGGAAAATGCCAGTCATTCCTAAGTACATAACAGGAAAGTATTACACTATTACTTTTACCAAAGAGGTTCTTTCAGACCACTTTTGTGACAATAATTGTTGACATGTTTACCCTATTAACAAACAAGCTGCTGTTAGAAATATTTTATTTTTTTCCAAGTATACATAGTAGAATTTCTAACTATGTAAATAATCAGTAATCATTGAAGAGGTTTATGTGTGGTTGTGAACTGAAATATATGGAGAAATTTAAAAGAAGATGGGGAATTGTTCTAAGGGTAGACATTACTGACCTATGTTGTCTTATATGCTTAAGTTTTCTGTGTCAGTTTCCTTGGTCTATTCAGGAAATATCTCTACCTGAAGTTCCACAGATGCCAACTCACCATGGCCAATACTGAACTTCTCTTGCCCTTGCCCAGCATCCTACATCTTTAATCCATACTGTTCCCTATATCCGTTAATGGCCTCACCACATGTCCAGAAGCTCCGCTCAGAAAGCTGTGATTCTGAGTTCTCCTTCTGTCTTATTTCCCTCATCAAGCCTAATCTACTTTTATCTCTCAAACACATCCCATCTCTAACCCCACTTCTGTTGCCTTAGTTCCAGCCTTTATGATCTCTGTTATACTAGACTGTTTTAGTAACTTCTTAGCTGATTCTCTGTCTTTTATACCCTGACTCTCCAATTCAGATCCTTCTGAAACCAAAATGTGATTGTCTTTTCTTTGCATTAAAATCTTCCAGTAACTCCCCCATCGCTACCCTAAAGGATGAAATTAAGAACTCTCAACCTGGCATACATGGTTCTTCATGATCTGGCCTCATTTTAGAAGTTTCTAAGTATGTAAATAATCAGTGACCATTGTAGAGGTTTATGTGTAATTGTGAAATGAAATACATGGACCAATTTAGAAGAAGATGGGGAATTAGAACTAAGAATAGGCATTACTGACCTACTTTATCTTATATACTTAAGTTTTCTCTGTGTCAGTTTCTTCAGTCTATTTAAGAAATATCTTACCTGAAGTTCCACATGTGCCAACTCACATGGCCACCTAAACCTGTTGAGCCTTGTCTCTTCCCATTCCTCTAAATTCCCCTACCTACCTACTACTTGTTGAGCCTCATCTCTTCTGATTCCTTTAAATGCACTCCAGACAGTATCACACTACTTGACATACTTGGATGTCATGCTGTTTCACATACCAATAAGCAGTTACTGATTTCCTTTTGTTACTCATATATCCTTCTGTTCTCTAATTATTATTGTGATTGACTAATTGCACTAACATGGGGGTGCAGAGATACATCCATGCTAGTATTATGGTTGATGCAAGGTAGATACACAGTAGATGGTGATTGAACGAATGAATGAGAACGCTTTGAAATCACGCATTCGGACACACCATCACTCCAAACCTCTCATTTGATAAAATCTGCCCACTTTTTCACACATTTAGCATGTCTACTGGGCATGGAGGCATAAGCCTATAGTCATAGCTACTTGGGAGGCTGAAGCAGGAGGATCCCTTGAGCCCAGGAGTTTAAGCCTGCAGTGAATTATGATCCTACCACCGCATTCCAGCCTGGATGACAGAGCAAGACACTGTTTCTAAAAATAAATAAAGCATGTCCATCCCATAATTATCTGGTTGGAGCATCATCCTTATTCAGTACCTTGTTAATTAATTTACTCTTTCAAAAAATATGTGTTGAACTGTGTGTCAGGCATAAAGGTTCTAAGTGCCAAACACTATTTACAGTGAACCCATCAGTCCTTTGGGAACTAGTTAGTTCTCAACTTGAAGGCCTCTTTGCTTTGATTGTAAAGGAGCAGACCAAAAACAGAAGGAAAAAACTTGAATAACACATTTCCTAGGTATTTCCTAGGCTCTTCCAACTAAAAGGTATGTTGTAGAGAGGCAGGGAGTGTTCGGAGAAGGAGCAGGTTTTTTTTATTGCCTCCTATGTGCTAAAAACACTACATTTTAAAAATGTAATGCTCATAACAATAATTTCAAAAAGTATCATGTCCAAGTATCGTGCCCATCCAATACAAGAAAACAGACAAGTCTTGGAAATTTTTTTTTTTTTTTTTTTGAGGCAGTCTTGCTCTCTTGCCCAGGCTAAAGTGCAGTGGCATGATCTCGGCTCACTGCAAGCTCCACCTCCTGGGTTCACGCCATTCTCCTGCCTCAGCCTCCTGAGTAGCTGGGACTACAGGCGCCTGCCACCACGCCTGGCTAATTTTTTGTACTTTTAGTAGAGACGGGGTTTCACTGTGTTAGCCAGGATGGTCTCGATCTCCTGTCCTTGTGATGCGCCCACCTCAGCCTCCCAAAGTGCTGGGATTACAGGCGTGAGCCATCGTGCCCGGCCAAGTCTTAGAAATTGAGTAACTTTCCAAAATCCCACAGATACTAAGTGGCAGAAGCAAGATTTAAAAAATAATTATCCTTCCAATACTCTGCCCAGACCCTTTAGCCAGTACTTGAAGCAACTGCCAATATAGACTAAATTTATTCAACAGATAGTTCTTGCCTTCCTGCCATGTGCCAGGCTTTTCTAGACGCTATGATAAAATAATGTGCAAGACAAACAGGGCCTCTGTTCTTAGAGATCTTAGTGTCTAAGTCTTAACAAAGGAGAAAATAGGTAAAAGTATGCTGCACCTGAGGAACCTTAAGTCATCGTCAATGACTTAAGAAAGTGGCAGAGAAAAGGAATATGGAAGAGAGAATTGACCAGAATTTTTACTTTTATTATAACACTTTGTTATCTAAATTATAATCTTTTGATATTAAGCTAACTAAACTGATATGAACACATGGCAAACCCTTCCCCCCTCACCTTTCTGTGTTTACACTTCCTGATGCTGCCAAATCAGTTAGAGATCATAACTTCACATAACCTTAAAAAGGTAAGGACTTTTCTTCATAGCTAAGTTCCCTTGCTAGAACCTCTAAACAAATAAAGTCATGTGCCGCGTGACATTTCAGTCAACAACACACCACAGATACAGTGGTGGTCCTATAAATTATAATACCATATTTTTACTGTATCTGTTCTATGTTTAGATATATGTTTAGCTACACAAATACCATTTTGTTACAGTTGCTTATAGTATTCAGTACAGTAATGTGTGGCACAGGTTTGTAGGTTAGGAGTAACAGGCTATAATATATAATCCTGGTGTGTAGTGGGCTATACCATCTAGGCTTGTGTAAGTGCACTCTGTGATATTCTGAAACCGACAAAATTGCCTAATGACACGTTTCTCAGCACTTACCCCATTGATATGTGATGTATGACTGTATTCCACTTCCAACTGCAGGAAACTTATTCAGGCTCCCAGAATACATATTTTTGACAATAATACATAACTTTGTTGATTACTTACCCTGTTCTAAGCATGTTACATACATTATCTCAGTTACACCCTAAAACAACTTCATGACCTTAAGTGGAGGAGACAGCAAACTGTGTCCTTTTCCCCCTGAGCACATAGTTAGACCACATTTCCCAGCCTCCTTTGCAATTAGTTGGGGTCTTGTGACTGACTTCTGTCCCACAGAATGTGGACAGAAATAATGAAAGCCATTTAAGGCTTGACCCATAAGGTCTCAAAAACCTCCTACAAATCTTCCACATTCTCTTTCTTTCCCTACTTGCGGGCTGAATGAAGACTTCAAAGAATCTAGAGAAGGTCAAAACCACAAAATGGAAGAAGCCTGGGGTCATAGATGAATCCTTGGAGGAATGCTGCCTGTGAGAACTGCATGACCAGAAACATAAATTATGCTGCTGGGCGCGGTGGCTCACGCCTGTAATCCCAGCACTTTGGGAGGCTGAGGCGGGTGAATCACCTGAGGTCAGGAGTTAGAGACCAGCCTGGCCAACATGGCGAAACCCCGTCCCTACTAAAAATACAAAAATTAGCCGAGCGTGGTGGCACGCACCTATAATCTCAGCTACTCGGGAGGCTGAGACAGGAGAATTGCTTGAACCCTCGGAGGCAGAGGTTGCATTGAGCAGAGATCACGTCGCTTCACTCCAGGTTGGGCGAAAGAGCAAAACTGTGTCTCTAAATAAATAAATAAAGCCCCTGAGATTTTTGATGCTGTTTGTTACAGTGATCAGCTACCCTACCTAATACACTTCTTTTCTCTCCATTTTACTGATAAAGAAATTAAAGCTTAGGAAAAGTTAAGTAACTTGCTTAAGCTTGCTCAGCTATTAGGTTGGGGAAGTAGGATTGGAGCTCAGATCTACCTAACTTTAGAGCTGGGCTCTCACTGCTTGTGTTCGTCGTGGAACTATTTCATGTACTTCTAAAATTTTCATAAAAATTCCATATGGCCCTTTAATACAAACTGCTACATCTAGCATGGCTACAAAAACAATAATCTGGGTAATCTCCAGCTTCTCTAACAAGTATGAGGCTCTCTTACTATCTTTAACACATTCCTGCCACACTTTCCTTTCTTTCAGATATATTACTTTTACAATTTCAAAATAACAATATGTTTGGACTTTTTTAGTTATTCAGAGATGATGTCTAGACTGGCGGTTAAATACAATCCTTCCCTTGAAAGGGAAAATTAACCAAACCTTGACCCTGAATCATCATAAAAAAACTGTCTAATTAGGCATGGTACAGTGGCTCTCAACTGTAATTCTGGCACTTTGGGAGGCCTCAATGGTAGGATCACTTGAGTCCAAGAGTTCTAGACCAGCCTAGGCAACATAGTGAGACTCCTTATCCACCAAAAATTTTAAAAATTAGCCAAATGTGGTGGTGTGCAGCTATAATACCAGCTACTTGGGAGGCTGAGGCAGGAGGATAGCTTGGGTCCAGGAGCTTGAGGTTACAGTGAGCTAAGATTGGGCCACTGCACTCCAGCTTGGGCAACAGAGTGAGCCTCTGTCTCAAACACACACACACACACACACACACACACACACACACACACACCACACACACAAACAACCTCCCTATGAAGCAGAATAAAATTAGTACACATGAGATGTTAACATACCTGGGGGCCATTTTTCTCTGTAACCTAAGAGGATGAATCAAGTAAAAATGTATTAGAACATGCAACATTGTGCTAAAATGAAATCAGAAGCTTAATGCTAATGTTAATATTGGGATATTGAGTTTTGACCAGTAGTTGTCGGAAAAATGAAGGAGATTTATTAATTCATTTGAAGCAATGGGAGACGTACTGAATTTGGAGTCAGACACATTAGATCTTGAACTTAGGTTCAAAACTCTGGGCAAGTTATTCACTTTCTAATACATAACGCAGGGATAATAGTAAATATCTTGCAGATTTCCTGTTAGGATTAACATAACGTATACAAAAAAACTGGTGCAATGCTTGACACACAGTTGTCACACCAAAAATAAGATTAATCAATATTTACCCAGGATTTGCTATGAGCAAAGTACTCTGCTACATTCTCAGGATACAGAGATGACTTAGACAAAATGCCAACGCAGTGTGTTAAGTACTATGATAGAGGTGTTGCATGCAGTATTAAAAGAACAGAGAAAAGGAACACTGAATTCTGCTTGGAGGAATCGAGGGTTTCCCAGGGGCATAAATTGCCATGTTCTTCTTTATATGTTTATCCTTTTGGCTTTGCATCTTTATCCTCTTGGCTATCTTATTCCCCCTCTTCTGGATTAAGGTCTTTGATTGTTAATGAACACCTTTGTCCTTTACTCATGGTATTCCCAAGACATTTGACAATTAACAAATATGGGACCAATTCTTCATACAGCAGTAAGGTTGAACAAACCCTACCCAAATTAAAGGGTAAAAGACACTTGATTATATAAGGAAGATCTAAATGGATTATGGCACATGCTTCCATTGTCCAGTTTTGAAAACCTGGGACTATGGCTTTGAAATACCCTGTGAACTCTATAATCATCTTTGTCTTAGTGTCTGTCTGCATTGCAGTTACTAGATATATGATCATCAGAGTCTTGAATGCTGCTGCACATCCACTGTTAAACTAGATAATTTACAGATGTTCATTCAACAAAAAGGATGAGAAGGTTTCATAAAGAGGTCAAAATAACTACCATGAAAAACTCAATACACCATTGCAACTTATTAAATAGCAATGCAGATCTGGACTGATCACGTCCCAGGTAATGATGGTGTTTCTTCCAGCTTGGGTTGAAGATTGGCTGAAAGAAAGGAGACTGAGAAATGAAGCAAAAACTATAATGATTTGCAAAATGAATCAACTGTACCATTCCGTGACATGCAACACAAACACAAAATTGAAGCCCTTGTTGTTCTAACACCAACTTGCTTAGAGACTTAGAAGTTAAACCACAGATGAACTGATGTAACTGTAACTCTGCAGACACATATGCTCTAGTAGCTCATCTAGTTGACAAATTTAAACCAATCCCTGCACTGGCTACTAACGTGCACCATAAATTCCCCCCTATGATTAACACCAGCCTCCTCTCAAATCCTGTAAGTAATACCTTTCCCTAACTTCCCCCTTTTGAGACATTTTGAGACTAAAATTTTGTTATGGTGATGCTTCTCCTTATTAGTAACTTTAATAAATCCAGATTTGCTTATAATCAGCAGGTTTTCTCATGATCTTTGTATGGAGCTGGCAGGCTAAATTATGTCCCTTCCCTGCCAAAGATGGCAGGTCCTAATGCCTGAAACCTACGGCTATATTTTACATGGTAAAGAAATGTTGGCCAGGCACGGTGGCTCACACCTATAATTCCAGCACTTCGAAAGGCCGAGGCAGGTGGATCACTTGAGGTCAGGAGTTCAAGACCAGCCTGGCCAGCATGGTGAAACCCCATCTCTACTAAAAATACAAAAATTAGCCAGGCATGGTGGCACACACCTGTAATCCCAGCTACTTGGGAGGCTGAGGCAGGAGAATCACTTGAACCTGGGAGGTGGAGGTTGCAGTGAGCTGAGATCGCACCACTGTACTCCAGCTGGGAGACAAAGGGAGACTCTGTCTCAAAAAAGTAAATAAATAAAAATACAAAAATTAGCTGGGCATGGTGGCGCATGCCTGTAATCCTAGCTACTTGGGAAGCTAAGGCACAAGAATTTCTTAAACCCGGGAGGCGGAGGTTGCAGTCAGCCGTGATTGCACCACTGCACTCCAGCCTGGGTGAGAAAGCAAAACTCCATCTCAAAAAAAAAAAAAAAAAAAAAAAAAAAAACAGAAGTGTTGCATTGCAGATTTAATAAAGTTTAGGATGGGGAGATTATCCTGGATTATCTGGGTGGGACCAATGTAATCACGGGGTACTTATAAGAAGAACACAGGCAATCAGAGGGAGGAGAAGGCTATGTAATAACAGAAGTAGAGATAGTGATATCTCCTCCATCCAAGGAATGCCAGTCACATCTAGAACCTGAAAGAAACAATGAATACATTCCCTTTGGAAACTCTACAAGGAATCATCCTTGGCCACATCTTGTGCTTAGTCCCACCAGACTTATTTTAACACCAACATAAAAGAAGGTAATTTCTGGAGGTTAGAAATCTAAAATCAGGTAAAAGAATAAATTTCCATGTGTTAAATCACTATGTTTGTGGTCATTTTGTTACAGCAACAAGAGGAAACTAATACAGGGAGATTTGGCAGCAATTTGCAAAGTACATTCTTGTTGCTGTGTGGAGAATGGAATGTAAAATAAGAACAGAAGCAAGAAAAATAGCTAAGAAGGAATTGCTGTAGACCAGAAGAGCAGTGATCGTGACTTAAATTAGGGTGGTAGGCATGGAAGTCAAAAGAAGTAGATAGGTTTAGATATATGTTGAATAAAGAATCAACAGAATTTGCTGGTGGATTGAATGGTAGGGAGTAGAATCTGGGGACAAGTTGCTCAAGTAAAGACTATGAAAGGGTGACTCCTAGGATTTTGGACTGAATAACCATGTGAATGGAGAATAAGGACAGATGAAGTTGGAAGGAAGATAGCTTATATGCCACAATTAAAAAGAGCCTGGATATTGTCCTGAAGGCAAGAAGAAGATTGAAAGATTCTAAGGACAGAAATGATATGGAGGACTAACTGATCTTTGTGGAACCTCTCATACTTGAAATTCAATTAGTCTTTTAAATGATTCCCTGAGCCAGAAACCATGATTCCATCTCTTTCCTTCTTCCTCTACCCTGTATAATGATTTGGTTTTTAGTTCAATTACAGCCTTGTTATGAAATATCAAGAAAGTTTTGGACAGCTAAATTTTACATTTTATGGTCTTCCTTAGGCCTAATTCACAGTGGATTACATAAGATTAGAAAACAAAAAGCTCATAAAAATAGTTGTTCTCCTTTATAACACTTAGCCCAAGGGCAAGATCAAAATAAAACTAGATGGTGGATAGAGTACTTTGTGATAGTGGCATTAGAAATAAGAAGAAGCCTATTGATTCTAGAGGTAAAAATGCATAGGAGTTGGCAAAGAGATTGCATGAAATGGATTAAGGAGATTGCAAAGTTTAGGTTGATTCCTAGGTTTCCGGTTGTATCATGATGCTATTCACTAAAAAGGAGAATCCTGGAGCAGGGGGAAGGTGGAAAGGTAGCAGGGAAAGAATGTTGTATTTAGTTTGAACATACTGATTTTTTAAATTAATAAACTTACTTTTTTAGATAAGGTTTAAATTCACAGAAAAATTGAGTGGAAAATACAGACAGTTCCCATGTAGTTCCTGTCCCAACACGTGCACAATCTTCCCCACTGTGGACATCACGTGCCACAATGGTACATTTGTTACAATCAGTGAACCTACATTGACACATCATTGTCACCCAAAGTCCATGGTTTACGTGAGGGTTCACTCTTGGAGTTGTACATTCCATGGGCTTTGACAAATGTATGATAACATGTATCCACCATTACAGAATCACACAGAATAGTTTTACTGACCTAAAAATTCTATGTGTTCTGCCTATTCATCTCTCCCTTCCCCAGCCTCTGGCAATCATTGATTTTTCACTGTCTCTATAGTTTTGCCTTTTTCAGAATATCAAATAGTTGGAATCATACAGTCTATGCCCTTTTAAGATTGGCTTCTTTCACTTAGTAATATGCAAGTAAGATTCCTCAATGCCTTTTCCTCAATTGCGTGATAGCTGATTTCTTCTTAGCACTAAATAATATTTTGTTATCTAGATGTACCACAGTTTACTTATCCATTCACCCACTGAAGGACATCTTAGTTGCTTCCAAGTTTTGGCAATTATTAATAAAGCTGCTATAAACATCTATGTGCATGTTTCTGTGTGGACATAAGTTTTCTTTTTCCTTTTTCTTTTCTTTTTTTTTTTTTTTTGAGACAGAGTCTTGCTCAGTCGCCCAGGCTGGAGTGCAGTGGAGCCATCAAGGGCTCACTGCAACTTCCTAGGTTCAAGCGATTCTCCTGCCTCAGCCTCCGAAGTAGCTGGGATTACAGGCACCCGCCATCATGCCCAGCTAATTTTTGTATTTTTGTAGAGACAGGGTTTCACCAGGTTGGCCAGGCTGGTCTCAAACTCTTGACCTTAGGTGATGTGCCTGCCACGGACTCCCAAATTGCTGGGATTATAGGCGTGAGCCACTGCACCTGGCCAAACATAAGTTTTCAGTTCATTTGGGTAAATATCAAAGAGCACAACTGCTAGATCGTATGGTAAGAATATGTTTGTTTTGTGAGAAACTGCCAACTCTCTTCCAAAGGGGCGCCACCATTTTGCATTCCCACCGGTAATGGATGTGAGTTTCTGTTGCTATGCATCCTCTCCAGCATTTGGTATTTTCAGTGTTCTGAATTTTGGGTCATTCTGATAGGTGTGTAGTGGTATCTCGTTGTTTTAATTTGCATCTCCCAATGACATATGATGTTGAACATCTTTTCACCTGATTACTTAACGTCTGTGTATCTTCTTTGGTGAGGGTGTCTGGTCAGGTATTTTGCTCATTTTTAAATTGGCCAGTTCATTTTCTTATTGTTGAGTTTTAAGTATTCTTTGTATGTTTTGGATAACAGTCCTTTATCAGATGTTTATTTTGCAAATATTTACTCCCAGTCTATTGCTTATCTTATTCAATTTTACATTGTCTTTCACATAGCAGAAGTTTTTCCGTTTTTTTTTTGTTTTCTGTTTTTTTGTAAGACAGGGTCTCACTCTGTCACCCAGACTGGAGTGCAGTGGCACAATCAGGGATCACTGCAGCCTTGACCTCCTGGGCTCAAGTGATCCTCCTGCCTCAACCTCCCTACTAGCTGGGACTGCAGGCATGTGCCACCATGCCTGGCTAATTTGTTTATTTTTTGTAGAGATGGGGTTTCACTATGTTGCCCAGACTGGTCTCAAACTCCTGGCCTCAAGCAATCCTCCTGCCTTGGCCTCCCAAAGTACTGAAATTACAGGTATGAGCCACCATGCCTGGCCAAGTTTTTCCATTTTACTGAAGTCCAGCTATCAGTTTTTTCATGAATCATGCATAGGGTTGAATCTAAAAAGTCCCTGCCATACCCAAGGTCATTTAGGTTTTCTCCTATGTTATCGTGTGGAACTTTTATAGTTTTTTGTTTTACATTTAGGTTTGCTGTGGTATGAATGTTTGTAACCACTCCCCAAAATCCTAACCCCCAAAATGATGGTATTAGGAGGTGGAGCCTTTGAGAGGTCATTAGGTTACCGTGGGTGGAACTCTCGTTAATTGGATTAGTACCCTTATAAAAGGCCTCAGAGAAATCCCTTCCTCCTGCCATGTGAAGACACAGTGAAAAGGGAGTGACCTGTGAATCACGAAGTGGACCTTCACCAGACATCAAATCTGCCAGTGCCTTGATCTTTGATTTACCACTCTCCAGAACTGCAAGAAATACATTTCTGTTATACATAATCTACCTGCTCTATGGTAGTTTGTTAGAGCATCCTAAATGGATTAAAGACAAGGTCTATGATCCATTTTTTTAATCCTTGATGCTGATTCTAGAATATGATCCATTCTGACTTAATTTTTGTGAAAGGCATAAGGTCTGTGTCTAGATTCATTTTTTTTTTTTTTTTTTGCATGTAGATGTCTAAGTTGTTCCAGCAAAACTTGTTGAAAAGACTATCTTTTCTCCACTGAATTGCCTTTGCTCTTTTGTCAAAGATCAGTTGACTATGTTTATGTGGGCCTATTTCTGGGCTATTTTGTTCCATTAATCTCTTTGTCTATTCTTTTACCAATACCATGCTGTCTTGATTACTGTAGCTTTATAGTAAGTCTTGAAATCAGGTAGTGTCAGTCTTCTTATTTTGTTCTTCTCCTTCAACGGTGAGTTGGCTATTCTGGGTCTTTTGCCTCTCCATATAAACTTTACAATTAGTTCATCAGTATCCATAAAGAACATGCTAGGATTTTGATTGGGATTGCATTGGGAAGAACCAGCATCTTGACAACATTGAGTCTTCCTATCCATAAACATAGAATACTCCTCTATTTTTTTAGTTACTTAATTTATTTGTAGTCTTCCTCATATAGACCTTGTACGTATTTTGTTAAATCTATACCTATTTTATTTTTGGGGTGTGCTAATGTAAACACTAATGTGTTTTCAACTTCAAATTCTACTTGTTTATTGCTAATATATAGGCGAGTGGTTAATTTTTGTATATTAACATTGTATCCTATAACCTTGTTATAATAGCTTATTAGTTCCAGGAGTTCCTTTGGTTGATTCTTTTGGATTTTCTGCATAGATGATCATGTCATCTGTAAACAAAGCCAGTTTAATTTCTTCCTTCCCAGTCTGTATATCTTTTCTTTTCTTTTTTATTTTATTGCCTTAGCTAGGACTTCTAGTACAATATTGAAAAGGAGTGGTAGAGAGGACTTCCTTGACTTGTTCATGATCTTAGTGGGAAAGCTTCGAGTTTCTCAGTGTTATGTATGAAGTTAGCCATAGGGTTGTTGTAGATGTTCTTTATCAAGCTAAGGAAGTTCCCCTCTATTCCTAGTTTCCTGAGAGTTTTTATCATGAATAGTGTTAGGTTTTGTCAAGTATTTTTTCTATATCTGTTTATATGATAACGTGAGCTTTCTTCTTTAACCTGTTGATGTGGTAGGCTACACTGATTGATTTTTTAATGCTGAACCAGCCTTGAATACTGGGAATAAGTCCCACTTGGTCATGGTTTATAATTTTTTATACATACTTTGATTCAATTTGCTAATTTTTTGAGGATTTTTGCATCTATATCATGAGAGATACTGGTCTGTCATTTTCTCATGATGTTCGTCTGATTTTGGTATTAGGATTCTGCTGGCCTCATGGAATGAGTTAGGAAGTATTCTCTGCTTTTATCTTCTGAAGGAGATTGTAGAGAATTTGTCTAATTTTTTCCCTTAAATATGTGTTAGAATTCACCAGTGAACCCATCTTGGCCAGGTTCTTTCTGTTTCAGAAGGTTATTAATTATTGGTATCATTTTGTAAATACACCTATGCCTATTCAGATGGTCTGTTTTTTCTTGTATAAGTTTTTGTAGACTATGTCTTTCACAATTCTTTTTATTTATTTATTTATTTATTTTTTGACATGGAGTCGCACTGTGTCGCCCAGGCTGGAGTGCAGTGGCGTGATCTCAGCTCACTGCAACCTCTACCTCCCGGGTTCAAGCGATTCTCCTGCCTCAGCCTCCCAAGTAGCTAGGATTACAGGCATGCGCCACCATGCCTGGCTAATTTTTGTATCTTTAGTGGAGATGGGGTTTTGCCATGTTGGCCAGACTGGTCTCGAACTCCTGACCCTGTCATCCATCTGCCTCGGCCTTCCAAAGTGCTGGGATTACAGGCATGAGCCACCACTCCCAGCCTCACAATTCTTAAGTTACTGCATTTCATCTAAGTTATCACATTTGTCAGCATAGAGTTGTTCATAATGTTCCTTCCTTTTAATGTCCCTTCTTTCATTTTTGGTGTTAGTAACTTGTGTCTTCTGTTTTTTTCTTAGCCTGGTTAGAGGTTTATTGATTTTATTGATCTTTTCAAATAATCAGCTTTTCATTTTTTAAATTTCTCTCCATTAATTAATTTCCTGTTTTCAATTTCATTGATTTTTGCTCTAATTCTTATTATTTTCTTCTGCTTACATTAGACTTAATTTCCTCTTATTTTTGTCATTCCGTAAGGTGGTGGCTTAGGTTATTGATTTTAGATCTTTCTTCTTTTGTAACATATGCATCCAGTGCTATAAATTTCCCTTGAAGTACTCCTTTTGCTGTATCCCACAAATTTTGATAAATTGTATTTTCATTTTCATGTAGTTTAAAATATTTTTAAAATTTCTCTTGAGATTTTTTTTTGACTCGTGTTATTTAGAAGTGTGTTGTTTAATATCCAACTATTTGGGATCTTCCCACTTTCTATTGCTGATTTCTAGTTTAGTTCCATTTGGCCTGAGAACAGACATTGTAAAATTTTTATTCTTGTAAATTTGTTGAGGTGTATTTTATGGCCCAGAATGTCGTCTTTCTTGATGAATGCTTTACATGAGCTTGAGAAGAATATATTATCTGTTTTTGTTCGATAAAGTCGTCTATAGATGTCAGTTATATCCAGTTGAGTGATAGTTTTGAGTTCAACTATATCCTTACTGATTTTCTCCCTGCTGGATCTGTTTATTCCTAATAGAGGAGTGTTACGGTCTCCAACTACAATAGTGGATTCATGTATTTCTCTTTGTAGTTCTATCAATTTTTGCCTCACGTATTTTGATGCTCTACTATTAGGCACATATACGTTAAGAATTGTTATGTCTTCTTGGAGTATTGACCTCTTTATCATTATGTAATGCTCCTCTTTATCCCTGATAATTTCCTTGCTCTGAATTGTGCCCTGTCTGAAATAATAGCTACTCCTATATTTTGATTAGTGTTAGCATAGTATATTTTTCTACATCACTTCATTTTTAATATGTATATTTCTTTATATTTAAAGTAGGTTTTTTGTAGACAGCGTATAGTTGGAGCTTGGTTTTTGATCCACTCTGACAAAGTGTGCTTATTTTTTATTTGTTTGTTTGTTTCTTTGAGACAGTCTCACTCTGTTGCCCAGGCCAGAGTGCAGTGGCGCAATCATGGCTCACTGCAATCTCTGCCTCCTCCCAGGTTCAAGCGATTCTCCTGCCTTGGCCTCCTGAATAGCTGGGATTACAGCCGTGCACCACCATGGCCTGGCTAATTTTTGTGTTTTTACCAGAGACTGGTTTTCACCATGTTGGCCAGGCTGGTCTCCAACTCCTGGCCTCAAGCAATCTGCTGGCCTCAGCCTCCCAAAGTGCTGAGATTACAGGTGTGAGCCACTGTGCCTAGTCTGACAAGGTGTGCTTAAGCCACTGATGTTTAAAGTAATTATTAATATAGTTGGGTTAATATCTACCGTATTTGTTTTTGTGCTCCATTTATTGCCCTTATTCTTTGTTCCTATTTTTGTCTTCCACATGTTTTCTGCCTTTGTGGTTTTAATTGAGGGTTTTATGTGATTCTGTTTTCTGTCCTTTCTTAGCATATTGATTGATTATACTTGTTTTGTTTTTACTTTTGTAAGTGATTGCACTAGAGTTTGCTATATACATTTACAAGTAATTCAAGTCTACTTTCAGATAACACTATACCACTTCACAGGTAGCACAAGTACTTTATAATAACAAAGTATTCCTAATTCCTCCCTCCTATCACTGATACTATTGCTGTCATTTATTTCACTTATCCATAAGTATACATAAGCCTATATATAATATACATATATAGTCAAATACATTGTTGCTATTAATATTTTGAACAAAATGTTACATTCGAAAAATTAAGAATAAGAAAAATAAAATTGATTCCCAAAGCTCTTCCTTTCTTTATATAGTTCCAAGTTTCTTACCTATATCATTTTCCTTCTCTTGGAAGAATTTCTTTTAGCATTTCTTGCAGGGCAAGTCTACTGGTGGCAAATTCCTTTCATTTTTGTTTGCCTGAGAAAGTCTTTATTTCTTCTTCACTTTTTTTTTTTTTTTTTTTTTTTTTTGAGGTAGAGTCTTGTTCTGTCACCCAGGCTGGAGTGCAGTAGTGTGATCTTGGCTCACTGCAACCTCTACCTCCCAGGTTCAAGTGATTCTCCTGCCTCAGCCTCCTAAGTAGCTGGGACTACAAGCACACACCACCATGCCTGGCTAATTTTTTTGTATTTTTAGTAGAGATGGGATTTCACCATGTTGGCCAGGCTGGTCTGAAATTCCTGACCTCAACTGATCTGCCTGCCTCAGCCTCCCAAAGTGCTGGGATTACAGGCATGAGCCACCACGCCTGGCTCTTCTTCACTTTTGAAGGATAATTTTGCAGAGTACAGAATTCTAGGTTGCTGGGTTTTTTTCTTTCAACACTTTAAATATTTTGCTCCACTTCATTCTTGTTTGTATGATTTCTGAGGTGAAGTCAGATGTAATTATAGTTAAGGTGTTTTTACCCTCTAGCTTCTTTCAAGATTTTTTCTTTATTTTTGATCTTCTGAAGTTTGAATAAATGTGCTTAGTATAGTTTTGGTGGGCATTTATTTTGTTTAGTGTTCTCTGAGCTTCTTGGATCTGTAGTTTGGTGTCTGACATTAATTTGGGGAAATCTCAGTCATTATTGCTTCAAATATTGCTTTAGTTCCTTTCTCTCTTTCTTTTCCTTCTGATATTTCCATTACCTGTAAATTACACTTTTTGTAGTTGTCTTACAGTTCTTGGATATTCTGTTCTGTGTTTCTTTTTTCCAGTAATTTTTAAATCTCTTTTTCTTTCATTTTTGGAAGTTTCCTTGTCACATCCTCAAGCTCAGAGATTCTTCCCTCAGCCCAGTCCAGTCTACTAAGGAGCTCATCAATGGCATTCTTTATTTCTGTTAGTGTTCTTGATCTCTAGCCTTTCTTTCTGACTTTTTCTTAGAATTTCCATCTCTCTGCTTATATTTTTCCATCTGTTCTTAAATGTTGTCTATTTTTTACATTAGAGCCCTTAACATATTAATCATATTTGTTTTAATTCCCAGTCTGATAATCCCATAATCTATGCCATATCTGAAACTGGTTCTGATTCTTAAGTTTCTTCAAACTGTTGTTTTTTGCCTTTTAGTGTGCTTTGTATAGTACTATTTTGTTGGAATCTGGACATAATAACTAAGTGAAAGAAATCCCAGTAAATAGGCCTTCAGTGATAAGGTCTGGGTAAAGTGGTAAGGTTTGGGGGGATGAAAAGCATTCTATAGTCCAGTGATTTGATTCCAGTGTTTTGTGAGCATGTGTACTTCCAGTCTTCCAGATAGGTTAGGCACTGATAGGTTAGTCCCCCAGTAGGTTAGGCTCTTGTGGTATCATATAAAATATAATAATCTTGTGTATAATATAAAAATATATTTGGTCTGTCCCTGTCTTCTGGCACAGAACTCCTAAAACCTTTGGAATTTCCCTTGGAATGATAGGAGTGCCTTTGTTATTCATAACGAGTCCCTTTCAACCATGTCTATGTTTATACCAATAAGGTGACTTATGGTGGGGCCCTTAGACGGCCTCAGGATAGAACTGGTCTCCAGAAAGAGCAAGTGATTAGAGGGTGAGAATTTTCAGCCCCATTCATCAATCTCTGGGGAGGGAATAGGGACCTGGAGATTGAGCTCTATAAAAACTCTTGAACAATGAAATTCAGAGAGCTTCTGAACAATGAAATTCAGAGAGCTTCTGAATTGGTGAATACATCCATGTATTGGAAGGGTGGTGCATTCTAATTCCATGGGAACTGAAGTTTCTGAGCTCAGGACCATTCTAGACCTTGCCCTGTGCATTTCTTTATCTGGTTGTTCATTTGTGTCCTTTATAATAAACCAGTAAATGTAAGTAAAGTGCCTTCCTGAGTACTGTGAGCCATTCTAGCCAATTACTGAACCTGAGGAGGGGCTCATGGGAGCACCATATTTATTTATTTATTTTTTTATTTAATTTTTATTTTTATTTATTTATTTATTTATTTATTTATTTATTTTTGAGATGGAGTCTTGCTCTGTCACCCAGGCTGAAGTGCAGTGGCGCGATCTCAGCTCACTGCAACCTCTGCCTCCCAGAAGGAACCCTGTATTTATAGCCAATCAGTCAGATGTATGAGTGCCCAGGGACTTCTGATAGGCATCTTAAATGGAGGAGGTCTTGAGAGATTGAGCCCTTAAACCTATGGCGCCTGATGCCAACTCCAGGTAGTTAGTGTCAGAATTGAATGGAATTGTTGGCATCCACCTGGTATCCAGAGAATTGGAGAATTGGTTGCTGGTGTTGGAAAAAAATCCATTCAGATAAAATAGTTCCCCATGATGGTAGGCCTTGTTAAGAAAGAAGTGCTCTATCATATTTAAAAATAGTTCCTTTTCCTCTTCCCCTGCAAGAAGCCTAAGGGATTTTTCTCCAGTAGTCACTGTGTGTACCTGGTAGACCTTCAGGAGGTAAAACTCACAAAAGTGTTGGGGCTTCCTAGGACAAGGTCCCCCTGGAGTTTTTAACTCTAAGACTTGTCCACATTGAACCTCCAGCAATTCGTTAATTACAGGTTAGGTTTTCCTCCCCTAGCACTGGCTCCTGCAGAGGTTTCTGACTGTGGGCTTCCGCTCTGGTAAATTTTGATTCCCTGTATCTTCCTGCCTGTCTTCAATTTTGGGGCAGCAGTTTGCCCTGTGACCTCGTTTTTTTTTTTTTTTTTTTTGACAGATCTAAGAAATGTTGTAGATTTTTCTGTTTGGTCAGCTTTTTTATTTGTTGTTAGGATGGAATGGTGACTTTTTTTTTTTTTTTTGAGGCGGAGTCTCACTCTGTTGCCCAGGCTGGAGTGCAGTGGCATGACCTCGGCTCACTGCAACCTCCTTCTCCCGGGTTCAAGAGATTCCTCCTGCCTCAGCCTCCCAAGTAGCTGGGATTACAGGCATGTGCCACCACACCTGGCTAATTTTTGTATTTTTAGTAGAGACAAGGTTTGACCATGTTGGCCAGGCTGGTCTTGGACTCCTGACCTCGTGATCCACCCACCTCGGCCTCCCAGAGTGCTGGGATTACAGGTGTGAGCCACTACGCCTGGCGAGTGTTGACTTTTAAGCTGCTTACATGCGAGAATAAAAACTGAAAGTCCTGGACATACTGATTTAGAGTTGTTCCTGAGATACCCAAATGGAACTCTCCAGTATGCCAAAGGGTATTGATGTGGCTTTCAGTAAGCTGGAGATCAGACCCAAACACTGTGAGTGTGTAAGAAGTTGGTGAAATCATGGAATGTATGAAGTTAACCTGGGAGTGAACTAAAGACAGTCCTGGGTAATTCCGACATTAAAGGGGCAGCATACAATTTTGAATGAGCACTGAAGATACATAGTCACTTTCTGATAAAATTAAGTTTTCCCTGGTACCTTGTTATAGCTCATATAAATTTATCAAAGTTCATTACCTTTTACTCTTTTACACCCACACCTCCCACACCTCATTTAACTAAAGCAATTATATTATATAATCTGCTCATCCTGGGGCAATTTTTAAGATGTAGACTTTTTAACAGTGGAATAAAGTATTTCCAACTACCTTTTAAATAAGGTTCTATAGATTGTTTAATTCAAATCTTTTGTTTAAACATATCACTTTAAAGCAAATATATTTTATTCCAGTTGGCAAACTAAAGAAAGTTTCGAGTACTGAATTCTAAACCTCCAGAAGTAGGATTAAAAATTTAGATGCTTGAGGATTCCAGGAAACAGCAACATTTCTGCAGGCTACAGTAGAATAAAGGCTGGAGGGACACATCTGCCAAACTTTATATTATAATTAAATCACTTTGTACTGTCATAGCTTTAGTTTAGAAGAGAATGTTTGTGGGGATTTTTAATCAGATAAAAATAGGGCTGCTGTTTTCTCTATACCAATTAACATAGTTGACATTTAGCCAGATCTACCCTGGACACAGTAGGGGATGTACAGTTTGTCCTGGTTCTGTGGGAAATGGAAAATGCAGTACTTGGCACAAGAAAAATATGTGAACCCAAAAAAATGTTGTCAAATATAGCAAGTCAAATTAAGTAAATTGATTTACTGAAGGGCAGTCTATGCTTTCGAGAGAAAAAAGCAGGAAGAAAGAGTTTCTGGACTACTAAAAAGCTGAAGAGACCTTGAGTTTAACTGTTAACATTATATGTTAATAAATGAGCATATTTAGTTACAGCCATTTTTCTAGCACTTAAATATGCAATTCTTACGATGAGTTTAAGAACGGAACTGGTAGTGGCTCATACCCAGCATATAAAGACATGTTAAGGTTGGGCGCTGTGGTTCATGCCTGTAATCCCAGTGCTTTGGGAAGCCAAGGCAGGTAGATCACTTGAGGTCAGGAGTTCAAGACCAGCCTGGCCAACAGGGTGAAACCCTGTCTCTACTAACAATACAAAAATTAGCTGGGCGTCGTGGTACACACCTGTAATCCCAGCTACTCAGGAGGCTGAGGCAAGAGAATCGCTTGAACCTGGGAGGAGGAGGTTGTAGTGAGCCGAGGTCGTGCCACAGCACTCCAGCCTGGGCGACAGAGCAAGACTCCATCTCAAAAAAAAAAAAAAAAAAAAAGACATCTTAAAAATTTTTAGCACAGAAAGACTACTTACATGCCATCTAACCCAATTCCTTCACTTATAGATGAGGAAAATTGATCCCAGGGATGTTAAACTGCTTTCATCAAGTCACACTGATATGTTGCCCTCTCAGAACTTCTGCCACACA
Source organism: Homo sapiens (assembly GCF_000001405.40). Lineage (NCBI taxonomy): Eukaryota > Metazoa > Chordata > Mammalia > Primates > Hominidae > Homo > Homo sapiens. Next base: position 86,090,672 of record NC_000011.10, read on the forward strand.
TCCTTTGGCTCATGCACCAAAAACTTTAGGAGAATATCAACGATATAGTAACATTTCAAATAACTACAATGCTTGAAGAATAGTTTATTCTCATTCATTTGAAATTCTGATTAACTAATGTTTTGAAAGAAAAGTAGTTTTATATTTATAACTTCTTAAAAATTTATCCCAGGTGTCTTAGCTCATAGTAGCACCTTTACAAGTAATAGGTTGAAAACATGAAATTGCTGATATTAGCTACTTTTTTTAACCACAAAAATAGCAAATTTTAACCAAGTGCAGTGGCTCATGCCTGTAATCCCAGCACTTTGGGAGGCTAAGGCAGGCAGATCACTTGAGGTCAGGAGTTCGAGACCAGCCTGGCCAACATGACAAAACCCTGTCTCTACTAAAAAATACAAAAATTAGCCAAGCATGGTGGTGGGTGCCTGTAATCCCAGCTACTGAGGAGGCTGAGGCAGGAAAATCGCTTGAACCCAGGAGGTAGAGGTTGCAGAGAGCCAAGATCACACCACTGCACTCTAGCCTGGATGACAAAGTGAGACTCTGAAAAAAAAATCAAGAAAGAAAGAGAGAAAGAGAAAAAGAAGAGAGAGAGAGAAAAAGAAAGAAAGAAGAGAAGAGAAGAGAAAAGGAAAGGGAAAGAAAGGAAAGAAAATAAATTTTGGGACTTGTACTAGTCAGCATCCAAAATGGATCTCAGTGATCTTTACCTCTTGGTATTCAAGTCCTTGTATAGCCCCTGCCCATGATGAAGAGAAAAAGAAAGAGAGAGAAAGAAAAGAAAGAAAATAAATTTGGGGACTTGTATTAGTCAGCATCCAAAATGAATCTCAGTGATCTTTACCTCTTGGTATTCAAGTCCTTGTATAGCCCCTGCCCATAATGAATAGGAATGACCTGTGCAACCAATAGAATATTGAGGAGTTGAGGATGTTTGACTTCTGAGGCTGAGGTCATAAACAATATTGCAGCTTCCACTTTGCTCTTTCCTGGCTTATTCACTCTGGCAGGAATCAGCCACCAAGTTATGAGAACACTCAAACAGTCCAAGGGAAAGGTCCACGTGGCAAAGAACTCAGACCTCCCGCCAATAGCCTGCACTAACTTGCCAGCCTGTGAATGAGCCATCTTGGAAGCAGATCTTTCCACACCACAGTAAAACCTCCAGAAGTCCTGACCAACATCTTGATTGCAACCTCATGAGGCACCCTGAGCCAGAACCACCAGCTAATCTCTTCTTAAATTCCTGGCCTATGGAAACTATGTGAGATACTGTTTTTTGTTTATTTTTTTTTAGAGACAGAGTCTCCCTATGTCACCCAGGCTGGGAGTGCAGTGGCTTTTCAAAGGTGCACAATCAGTACACTACAGCCTGGAATTCCTGGGCTCAAGACATACTCCTGCCTCAGCCTCCCAAGTAGCGGGGACTACAGGCACATGTCACAGTGCCCACTGAGATGCTATTGTTTTAAGCCACTAAGTCTTGGGATAATAGGTAACAAATATGGAGCTTTTACAAATATGTATCTGGGCCAGGCGCAGGGGCTCATGCCTGTAATCGCAGCACTTCGGGAAGCCAAGGCAGAAGGATCTCATAAGCCTAGGAGTTCGAGACCAGCCCAAGCAACATAGCAAGACCCTATCTCTACAAAAATTAAATTGAAATAATTTGCTGGGTGTGGTGGTGTGTGCCTGTAGTCCTTGCTACTAGGAAGGCTGAGGGGGAGAAGAACACTTGAGAGCGGGCATTTGAAGTTACAATAAGCCATGATTGTGCCACTGCACTCCAGCCTGGGAGTGAGACCCTGTCTTTAAAACAAACTATATATATATATATACACACACACACACATACACGCACACATGTATACACGTGTGTGTGTGTGTGTGTGTATATATATATATATATATATATATATGACTAGAGGCTGGGCATAGTGGCTCATGCCTGTAATCCCAGTACTTTGGGAGACTGAGGTGGGAGGATTATTAGAGCCCAGAAGTTTGAGAACAGCCTGGGCAACATAGTGAGACCCCATCTCTATGAAAAAAAGAAAGAGGCCAGGAGCAGTGGCTCACGCCAGCACTTTGGGAGGCCGAGGCGGGCAGATCATGAGGTCAGGAGACTGAGACCATCCTGGCTAACACGGTGAAACCCCGTCTCTACTAAAAAAAAATACAAAAAATTAGCTGGGCATGGTGGCGAGTGCCTGTAGTCCCAGCTACTCAGGAGGCTGAGGCAGGAGAATGGTGTGAACCTGGGAGGCAGAGCTTGCAGTGAGCCAAGATTGCGCCACTGCACTCCAGCCTGGGCGACTTAGCGAGACTCCATGTCAAAAATCAAAATAAAAAAATAAAAAATAAAGTATAAGACTAGATAGTATTAGGAAATTTTACAGCATTACTAAGGAATGGAATTTTGTTTGTTTTAAAATATGGTTTATAGTTCATGTGGTTTCCTTGGACCAATAAGACCCTTCCTAAATCCATTCCAGAGATTATTATTTTGGGTCTCATTCCCTCCTTAGAGAGCCCTCTAAGAATCTCTCCCTGCAAGGTGACTCAAGTTCACACCAATGTTTCTCTGCTTTGATCCTTAGTAAAACTTGTTGGACTTCACAGTTCATTCTTTTAGCATCTAATCTCTAATTGTTTCAAGTATGCATTGCTTATCTCTTCAATTAGATCAATTCGATTGTAAAATTCCTGCAGCCAGGACCACATCTTTTACTTGCTTTAGACCTTCAACATTGTTGTCTGCTGGGGGCACATTACATGAGTATCATTACTCATTTATTGATTGACCAAATTAATAGAATCGCTTCTCAACATAGTTTTCCTCCTTGAAGATCATTTTATCCTAGAAACCATTCTTTATTTCAGAATGTGGCATAGATTTTCGACATGGACTTTTTTCCCCCAAGAAAATCATACAGTACTTTAAAACACCCAAGTCTATCATATAATCCTCTTTGAGTTATTCATATTTCCTAAATGTGCTGAATTTTTTGCTATCACTTTGTGACTTTCTCCAATTGTGAAGCTACTAATTTAATTATATTATTTTATAATTGCTAAAATACAGGTTAGGCCAAAAAGAGCTTGCTGTGGTAACTACATGGACTCTGTCTGAAAGGCCCACCCCTAACATTTGTAATAGTGGGACCAAATGATACATAGAAGCCTATATATCATATGTCTAAATATTTCAAAGTCAGGTATCAAACTATCAAACTTTTAGAAAAAAAAAAGAAGTATGTTCTATTCTTCTGTCTTGATAAGTTTTCTTCCTAGTTATTTCTTCTCTGAATTTCAGTTTTATATTTTCTATTTCTATCTTGACCTTAACTTGTACTCATTCTCAGAGTCTTAAAAGATTTAAAAAAAAACCAAAGTGACTGTATTCAAAGTGTTCAAATATGTCGTCCATCAAAAAATGTAAATTAAAAACTGGAAAATTCCCATTATTTAATGTTAGAAAGGAATTTTTCTAAAGTATTCAAAAGAATCTCTCCTGATCCTTTTGTAGTTCATGAGTGTAATGATTGAGTGTTCATGCACATGTGTGAGATATGCCACCCTTGAACCTTGTTACACCGTTGTCACATTGCCCGTTTGACATGAAAAAAAGAAACAAAAGAAAAATAATCTTTCCTAAAATTTCTAAAGAGAAAAGCAAATTAGAATCATTAAATATCAACTTCTTTTTCAGATTCATCATCTGCTCTGAAAATGTCAAAATTTTAAATCAAAAGAATTAAACAAAAAATGTTTTAAAAATTATTTGCATCATTTAAATATTTTAATAAAAATAAAACCATTTTTAATGGTCACATTCAATGGCCACTCAGTGGCCAATGTGAAGAAATGGTATCACACTTCACGCATGTTATGTATAACCTTCATATACACACATTTGAATAATATAAATTGTTTTATCTTAGAAAATGTTCCTCAGCCACCATATTTAATTATTGCAAATAAAATACTAGTTCACAAGTAGTCAGGAAACACAAATTAAAACATGAAGAAGGCCAGGCACAGTGGCTCATGCCTGTAATCCCGGCACTTTGGGAGGGCTAGGTGGGCAGATCACTTGAGGTCAGGAGTCTGAAACACTAGCCTGGCCAACATGGCCAAACCCCATCTCCACTAAAAATACAAACATTAGCTGAGTGTGGTGGCGCAGGCCTGTTCCCAGCTACATGGGAGGCTGAGTCAGGAGAATCACTTGAACCCGGGAGGCAGAGGTTGCAGTGACCCAAGATCGTGCCACTGTACTCCAGCCTGGGTGAGAGTCTCAGAAAAAAAGAAAAAGAAAAAGAAGAAGAAAATGGATACTTTGTGTGTTGGAAAATGATACTGCATTACGCAAAAATCTTTTGCACTCTTGATAACTGAAAGGTCTGAAAAGTTAGTCTCTTCTCTTACCTAGGTGCTTCTGTTATTCACATTCTCCTAAATTGCTCATGTTCATCTTCATATCTTGTGGTGGTATAATGCAGAAGACATCACAGAATTTGGACACAATTGCCTTTTCATTTAATGACGTAGGATAAGAGATATAAAGAAGCATTTTCCTGGGCCTTAAATGCTGTTAAGCACGAGTGGATGCTTAAGAACACACTGTGTCAATGCTAAGAGCCAGATCTTGAGTATCAGAAGTGCCCATGTGTTGTTAAATAAATTTTTTTGGGGACGGGCACAGTGGCTCACACCTGTAATCCCAATACTTTGGGAGGCCGAGGCAGGTGGATCATGAGGACAGGAGATCGAAACCATCCTGGCTAACACGGTGAAACCCCGTCTCTACTAAAAATACAAAAAAATTAGCTGGGCGTAGTGGCGGGCGCCTGTAGTCCCAGCTACTCGGGAGGCTGAGGCAGCAGAATGGTGTGAACCCGGGAGGCGGAGCTTGCAGTGAGCCGAGATAGTGCCACTGCCCTCCAGCCTGGGCGACAGAGTGAGACTCCGTCTCAAAAAAATAAAATAAAATAAAATAAAAATTATTTTTTGTGTTGTGATATGTAGGGCCTTCTAAAGCACAGGGCCTAAGACTAGGGCCACTTTGCCCAGGTAGCAGGGTTGTACTATTTTATCAAAAGTTAATCACCGAAAGTCAGAAATTTTTTTCTAGTCTCATGTATGATTTACAGATTAAATAATAATATTATTATTTTTTTCATGGCAAGGTGTCACTCTGTCAACCAGGCTGGAGTGCAGTGGTGTGATCTCAGCTCACTGCAACCTGTCTCCTAGGTCCTAGTGATTCTCCTGCCTCAGCCTCCCAAGTAGGTGGGATTACAGGCATGCACCACCACACCAGCTTATTTTTGTATTTTTAGTAGAGACAGGGTTTCACCATGTTGGCCAGACTGGTCTCAAACGCGTGACCTGAAGTGATCTGCCCACCTCAGCCTTTCAAAGTGTTGAGATTACAGGTGTGAGCCACTGCACCCAGCCCAAATTAAATAATTAAGTTATTCATAGTGATAGAATAATGAGAGTGCAGATTCTGGAGAAATGGTGATTGGGTTCACATCTCAACTTCTCAACTTTGTTACTTAGTTGTGTGACCTTGGGCAAGTTACTCAACTTTCTGTGCCTCAATTTCCTCAACTGTAAAACAGGGATAAAAATAATAATATCTAGAGGGATGGTTGCTATGCTTAAAAATACCAATCCTACTGAGGAAGGTGCTGAGAACAGTACATGGATCATAGCAAGCTCTATATATGTATTGCTCTTACTATATGTGCACTCTCCAAAGCATTCTGTAGAACCTAATCCATTCTTGGAAATAACACAATAATTAATGATAATTATGATAATTACAGTGTTTGAATACCTCCCATGTGCCAAGCACAGCATTTATATTATTTCGTTTAATCCTCAGAACAACCTTGACAGGTAGGCATTATTCTCAATTCTCAGAGGAAGAAACTGAAATTAAGAAAGGTGAAATAATCTGCTCAAAGGCACAGATAGTAAGTGACAGAGCTGAGCTTTAAATGGAAGTTTTCTGAATCCTAAACCTGTGCTCTTTCTACTTTGTTCTTGGCGGACAAACCATGTTGCTTAATGCCAAATTCCTGGTTCTGAGATCCCAGAATACAATGGTTTTGTTATTTGTGAAGATGAAAATTACAAATAATTTGTAATCACCAAACTGAACCCCTTGAGGGGACAGATTGTTTCCTTCTGCACCCCTAGCACCATGCCTGGAACACAGTAGATAAATAATATTTGTCCAAACAATGATGATTAATCTGGAGACAACAATATGCTAGGGAAATGAACAAACTTTTTTTTTTTGAGACAGGGTCTTGCTCTGTCACTCGGGCTGGAGTGCAGGGGCACAATGATGGTTCACTGTAATCTGGAACTCCTGGGCTCAGGTGATTCTCCTGACTCAGCCTCCTAAGTAGCTGGGCCTACAGGAGCACACCATCATGCCCAGCTAATTTTTAAATTTTTATTTTGTAGAGATGGGGTTTCACTATGTTTCCTAGTCTGGTCTCGAACTTCTGGCCTCAAGCAATCCTCCCCCTCAGCCCCCCATAGTGCTGAGATTATAGGTGTGAGCCGCTGCACACAACCAAACATAACATTTTGTGAATTGACAGTCTATAGGTTCATTGAGACAGCTGCAGTGCTTCCTCTACTTCACGTAACAAATTTTTATGATAAGTAATAATTTTTTCAGCCTGAGCAATATAGTGAGACCCTGTCTCTAAAAACATTTTTTTAAAATAAATAAACCAGGAACATTTATGCATACCTGTGGTCCTATCTACTTGGGAGGCTGAGGTGGGAGGATGGCTTGAGACGAAAAGTTTGAGGCTGCAGCGAGCTAGAATTGTGCAATTGCACTACAGCCTGGGTGACAAGGAAGAATCTTGTCTCTTAAAAATAATGATCATCATCATTTTTAAAGTTCAGTTATACTTATGCCCTCTGTTCTTGCTTTGACATTTTTAACCATGACGTATAGACCTTGACTCTCCCTTGCATCTTTTTGAAATGAAAACTGAGTTTATTCAAATTTCTTCTGGCTTTAGCTATTATTCCCATGATCCTTGCTAGAAAACAAATTACAGGATATTTGGAGATGTTTCCTTGTTTAGATTTGAATTGCCTGGGCTATTTTTTTTTTCTCGGAAAAATCTCATAGTACACACAGTTTCGTACCAGCTTGGAACATGGTTATTTGGCCCATCTGCCATTTTAAATAACATTTAAATTTAGGTTTGTATATTTTTAGGGATATGGTGGTGATGCTATAGAGTTTTATTCTGAGAGTTTCAGTTCTTCAGGAGTTCCACAACGAGCAACTTGCATGTAGTCTGAACAATGTGTTTAGATGCATTTCCCAGCAAGTTTTAGGGGAAAAAATTAAACTCCTCAAGTTCATCTCTCTTCTGCTTGACCAGAGGAGCAGCAATTTATTTACACTTGAGTTCAGATTAGGAAAAAAGAGGAAGGGGGTTTCAAGCAAACTCATACAGCTCAAGCATCTGGCAACTGTTAACCAAAATGGTGGTGGAAAGAGAAGACTTGTGTCAGACAAAATCTCAAGTATCTACTTCCTCATCCTTTCTTAGTGATGAAAACTTTATTTTGGCTGGGTTTATAGCCACCCAAAAAGAAAAGAAACCCTTGCAGTTAGGTATGTAGGTATGTGACTAAATTCTAATAAATGAGATGTCATTGAAATTGTTCTTTTGAATTTCCAGGAAGGCTCCTTAAAGGGAGATCATGCAGACAGATCATCTCTGGCTCCTTCATTTGGGCTGGAAATAAAACATGATGGCTGAAGCGTGAGCAGTGCTTCTGGGCTATTAGGTAGAAGCCATGTGGCAGAGCCATGGGGTAGAAAGATTCTGTGTGCATGATGATCATAGAACTGTTATACCAACTCTGGATGGCTTACTTCTGGACTTCTTTTATGTAAAAGAGAAATGAATTTATATATCGTTTAAGGGCACTTATTATTCACTGTTTTCTCTTTCTCATCTATACCCAATTCCAAGAGACAGAACGATCCATTAGGATCTTCATATATGGTTCTATCTTGGAAAAGGTTAAAAAAAAGGATCTGACTATATTTCCATGATACTCCTCACCCCAAATATTACACTCTTTCCACCTGGCCTATGAAAGCCAAAGACATCAGGACAGCCTCTTCAAAGAGAGGGAACTTGTTAATTAACCCTAGTTTATGAATATGATAGCAATTTCTCAGATAATATGCTTATATTGTCCCAAGATGGACTAATTACATATTCTGGGTTTTGTTCTGTGAAATTAGCTTAAATGATTTCTCTGTATTTGATACAATTCATTAATTGTTAATTAATTGTTAATTGGTCCTTTAAGATCTCTAGAATCATTTTTTAGAGTACCAAGAAAGGCAAACTAGCCAAATGTGACTTTTTGACTTTTTTTTTTTTTTTTTTTGAGATGGCGCCTCACTCTTGTTTCCCAGGCTGGAGTACAATGGCATGATCTTGGCTCACTGCAAACTCCGCCTCCCAGGTTCAAGTGACTGTCCTGCCTCAGCCTCCCAAGTAGCTGGGATTACAGGCGCCCTCCACCACATCCAGCTAATTTTTGTATTTTTAGTAGAGACGGGGTTTCAACATGTTGGTCAAACTGGTCTCGAACTCCTGACATCAAGTGATCCGCCCACCTCAGCCTCCCAAAGTGCTGGGATTACAGGCATGAGCCAGCGTGCCTGGCCCCGAATGTGACTTTTTACCTCAAGCATCAAACTGCTTTATACATTACATTGAAATATACCTCACAGCTGTTTCCCCAGAAAGACTAGTTTTCTTTTCAAATATTCTCTCATTTTTACATTCTAACCTCTAAAATGTTTCAATCTGTTATAATGTATTGAGTCTTGTAAGGTTATAAATTAATTTCTTTTTAAGTATGATTTTTGCCCTGGAAAAGAGATTTTACATGATCAATAATGAATAATTAGTAGGGAAGTAGCCAAGAGTAGAGGATGGGCAGAGAAAAGAAAATGAAAAAAAAGTTAGACTTTAATACAGAAGAAAATTTATCTTACGTTTTCTTCCACATTAAACATTTTGGCTAAGTAAATTCTTATAAGGGAAACCAAAAGATTTTTAACCAGCAGAAACAAATGCCTGATAAAACCAAAAGACAGGTTTCCTTATGATCTAATAAAGTAATTTTGTCTTCATAATTAGCAAAGTGCTATTGCTAAAATAGCACTTAGGAGATGATGCTCAGATATTCCCCCAGTGGGAATAATGTACATGATTCAGACTGTGAGCAATGACAGCATAGGATAACTTACACATTGCCAAATCATATCCCCGGGTGCCAGAATGTGTGTGAATCTTCTACCTACTACCGACTCATGTCTCTAAGATACGTTGACAGACCTATTTGTCATGTCTCTTTAGTCTGTGGTGTGGTGTAATACAAAGAGCACTGGGTTGAAGGTCAGAAATGTTAGAGTTCTAGTTCAGGCTCTAACACCTGTGACATTGTGCATGTCACGTGACCTTGCCTGGTGTCAGCTTCCTCATCTGTAAATTGAGGTTAATGATACCTACATTACTCGCTTTACATGTCTGTTCTGAAGATCAAATGGTATGTACTTATGAGTGTTTTGGAAATTTTAAAATATTAAATATTCTATTACTGTAGGTTTTTTCACATATACCTTTGGCCCTACTTAGGGGTCCCCTCCCTTCCTCCCTTTTTCCCTTCCTCCCTTCCTCCCTCCCTCCCTCCCTTCCTCCCTTCTATTCTTCCTTTCTCTCTTGCTCTCTTTCCTATTTATTTATTTATTTTTTTTTTTGAGATGGAGTCTCACTCTATTGCCCAGGCTGGAGTGCAGTGGCGCCATCTTGGCTCACTGCAACCTCTGCCTCCCAGGTTCAAGCAATCCTTTTGCTTCAGCCTCCTGAGTAGCTGAGATTATAGGCATGTGCCACCACGCCCAGCTAATTTTTGTATTTTTTTTAGACATGGGGCTTGGCCATGTTGGCCAGGCTGGTCATTCTTTCTTTTTTTGTAGAGACAGCATCTCGTTTGTTTTGCCTAGGCTGGTCCAGAACTCCTGGCTTCAAGTGATCTTCCTGCCTTGGCCTTCCAAAATGATTTTTTTTTTTGATACGGAGTCTCACTCTGTCACCCAGCCTGGAGTGCAGTGGCACGATCTTGGCTCACTGCAACCTCCACCTCCTGAGTTCAAGCGATTCTCCTGCCTCAGCCTCCTGAGTGAGATTACAGGCAGGTGCCAACACCCCCAGCTAATTTTTTTTGTATTTTTAGTAGAGACGGGGTTTCACCATGTTGGTCAGGCTGGTCTCGAACTCCTGACCTCAAGTGATCTACCAGCCTCAGCTCCCCAAAGTGCTGGGATTACAGGCTTGAGCCACTACGCCCAGCCCAAAATGTTGAGACTACAGATGTGACCCACCGCGCCCAGCTACTTCTGACATTTCTTTCCCTCCAAATCTCTTTGAAAATTAGAACCCAGTCTAGGAGATCTTTCAATGACCTCTCTCAAAAGCAAATCACAACCTTCTGAGCCTCTATCTGTAAATGAGAAGTTGAAATAGATTAATAGGCCCAGATTTTATTTTGAAGCAGAACATTTTTTAATAAACTTATTCTGAAGATCAGCAGGTGAAATGGACAGAAACGGGTTTGCTCTTGGTTGAGACAGTTGAAGCTGGAATGAGGATAACTCGGAGTCCTACCTAATTAGTCTTCTTTCCCCCACTGTATTCCTAGCTCTCTTTTAGGCAGCCACTGAGGCTCCTCACAACAAACCTCAGATCCTTCCCACTCGAACCTTCTACAGTGTTGATGGTATGATTCTAGCCCTTACGTATCTATCATTCTTCAAGCAAATTCTCTCTATTATAAAGCGGTAAAAGATAGCTGTAAAATGTTATAGATGACAGATGTCTTGGCCTCTCCAATGACTTAAATACTAGGTAGTCCACCATTCCATCATCTGAATCATTCTGAACTCTTGTTAGTCACCCAACAAATTTGTTGAAATGTAGCCAAGTCAATAAAACCAGATAGGTACCAAATTTCTTGAGCTAGAAGATGACTTTAAAAAGTAATGTAAAATATCGCCAAAGCTCTCAGGGAGTAGGAACTCTGCATGAAACTATAAAATATCGAATAAGCAATTCTCCAAGTTGTTCTCCACTAAATATACAGCAATACTGCAGGCTCTTTGAATCTCTTTTAAATAGGAATGATTCAGAGATTAAGAAGCCATTTATAATAAAGCAAACAATTCAATGCCATTTCTCAATGGCCCAAACAAGAGAGTTTGTTTTGGGAAGTTGGTTCCAGAATACACAGATCATATAATTGCACAGTGTCAGAGCTGGAAATGCTGTTAGGGAGTAACCAGTCTATTTTACATATGACAAATGTGAAGTTCAGAACGACTGTGAGTGAGCTGTCCAAGATTAGGGATGCATTCAAGCTTCATTAAATAAGTATTAACTGAGTGCTATGTGCCAGGTGATAGGGATAGGAAGGCAAATAAAACACGATCTTTGTCCATGTAGTGGAAGAAGACAAATAAGTGAATAATTGCAGTTAAATTGTTGCATAAGTGGGACTCCAACTCTGTGTCCAATTTCATAATCAAAGGTCTATCCCACTACCTTATACTGACTCACAACTAAACAGCTCGAGAAATTAGTAGTGGGGAGCCATGGTCAGTATATCCAGAGATATGTTTATGTCAACTAAGCCTTGGTCTTTGGGGTGCACAGGTACTTATCCACCTTTCTTGAGGACCTGTGAATAATAGGGAAGACTCTATTCTTATATGAAAGGAAATTCTTACAAAGATTTTTTGCCAATACTTATAAGGACTTCTTAGAGCATTGAGGAAACCATGAATGGTAAAGGCTTACAAAGCAAAGTAATAATAGTATAGCCTTTGCTCGGACTTTTGAAGAAGTTACCACCAAGGTCAAAGTCATGAAAAATTATATGGCATACTTTTCAACCTACTTAAGTAAGAAAAGGACATTTTAATTAGCTGTCCGCATATGTTTCTTTTTCCTTAGTATATAAAATATTGAAGAAATATACAAATATTTCAAAGATCTGTACCATCATCCAGAAAGAACAACAAACGCAAAAGCCAAACAACAGCCTGGGCAACATAGTGAGACCCTGTCCACCCTCACCCTCATCAGCTGTCCATTCAATAAAAAATGAGCAACTTTATGAAGAGATATTATGCCTACAAATTAATTACAATAGAATGTAAGCGTGCACTCACATTTTTATGAAAAAATGCATCTATGCATAAAAGCAAATTTGGAAGACTACACATCGAAACATTAAGAATAAGAAAAACCTTTAAGGAAAATATAAACAAATACATAATGGTTTTATAGAATACATACACAATAAAAGTAAAAAGACCTAAGCCTGGTGATGTGTTCCTGCAGTCCCAGCTACTGCAGAGGCTGAGGTAGGAGGATGGGTTGCCCCCAGGAGTTCAAGTCTGTAGTGCATACCTGTGAATAGCCATCGTACTCCAGCCTGGGCAGAATAGCAAGTGCTCATCTCAAAAAAGAAAAAAAAAAAAAGGAAAAGTAACCAAAATCCTTTATTTAAAACTCTCATGTATAATTTTTGTATTTTCTAATGTCTCTGGAATGGAAAAAAATTCCCAAATCCAACCATAGAGAGTATTGTTGAGAATTGTTAGTGACCATGTTCAGACTTTTCATATTACTGGTAGTTTCAGACCTTCCCAAAACACTACATATCAAATATTTAAGTTACGGAAAGTATCATCAATGTTACTTACCAAATGTCAAAAGAAGAGAAATAGTCACCAATGAGAATCTATAGTGTAGTTAATTAGGTAAAATATTTATTTAATTGAACCAACATTTGAGTACCCTCCACAGATGTAGTTTTATCCTGGAAAAAAATGTAGAAGTGTACTAGCTAAAACAAAAAAGATAATTTAGTAGGAAACAAGTAAGGAATAATGTGAAAGCAACTTATAAACAAATATATGGTGGTATAATCTAGATTATAGATAACATCTAATGTCTGATTTAATAACCCTAAACCATGTTTATCTCAAACTACAGTGGATGAGAGCAAAATAAACAATTAGCTTTTTTGGGCAGCATTGACACAAGATAGACATAAACGTATGCACAAACTTATAGGAAGTTCTGAAACAGAGCATCAACCACTGTGTGGTAGTTATGCTCTATGGCAATCAAGAACAGCCTCACTCTTTTTAACAGAAAATTATCTATGAGTCACCAACAATTGCCATTGCTCTAGCTGATCACAGGGCTCAGAGGCAAGACTGAAAACAATGAATCAACAGAACAATTAGTAGCTATGTTTAGGCCATTAGGACAGTAGCTGGCTCCTAGTAAGAGCTCAGTAAATGCTCTCTGTAGAATAATCATTCATTTTTAAAGAGCTGCTGGTGATACACTAGTCTATCCAACTCTTCTCACACCTTTTCCTCTTCATTTTCTCACTTCTCTGGGTCCCTGTCATATACAGCGCTCAAAGAGAATCATCATCCACAATGTCATCTTTGAAGGAAATAGAAAATTTATATCTGGATGCCAAACACTTAAAAATACAAAGGCTTCTGAACCTAAAAGGTACAATTAGCTAGAGGTCCATCTGAAAAAAAAGAAAGAGTAAAAAGCAATTTGGGTTCAAATACAAAGAAATTTTTGTGTTGTTTTTATGCATAATATTTCAAGCTTTGTCTCTATGAAGCTTAGAGATTTGCTAACAGCATATTAAAATGAAGCTAGGGATGCCCTCTCTCACCACTCCTATTCAACATAGTGTTGGAAGTTCTGGCCAGGGCAATTAGGCAGGAGAAGGAAATAAAGGGTATTCAATTAGGAAAAGAGGAAGTCAAATTGTCCCTGTTTGCAGATGACATGATTGTATATCTAGAAAACCCCATCGTCTCAGCCCAAAATCTCCTTAAGCTGATAAGCAACTTCAGCAAAGTCTCAGGATACAAAATCAATGTACAAAAATCACAAACATTCTTATACACCAATAACAGACAAACAGAGAGCCAAATCATGAGTGAACTCCCATTCACAATTGTTTCAAAGAGAATAAAATACCTAGGAATCCAACTTACAAGGGACGTGAAGGACCTCTTCAAGGAGAACTACAAACCACTGCTCAACGAAATAAAAGAGGATACAAACAAATGGAAGAACATTCCATGCTCATGGGTAGGAAGAATCAATATCATGAAAATGGCCATACTGCCCAAGGTAATTTACAGATTCAATGCCATCCCCATCAAGCTACCAATGACTTTCTTCACAGAATTGGAAAAAACTACTTTAAAGTTCATATGGAACCAAAAAAGAGCCCACATCGCCAAGTCAATCCTAAGCCAAAAGAACAAAGCTGGAGGCATCACGCTACCTGACTTCAAACTATACTACAAGGCTACAGTAACCAAAACAGCATGGTACTGGTACCAAAACAGAGCTATAGACCAATGGAACAGAACAGAGCCCTCAGAAATAATGCCGCATATCTACAACTATCTGATCTTTGACAAACCTGAGAAAAACAAGCAATGGGGAAAGGATTCCCTATTTAATAAATGGTGCTGGGAAAACTGGCTAGCCATATGTAGAAAGCTGAAACTGGATCCCTTCCTTACACCTTATACAAAAGTCAATTCAAGATGGATTAAAGACTTAAACGTTAGACCTAAAACCATAAAAACCCTAGAAGAAAACCTAGGCATTCCCATTCAGGATATAGGCATGGGCAAGGACTTCATGTCTAAAACACCAAAAGCAATGGCAACAAAAGACAAAATTGACAAATGGGATCTAATTAAACTAAAGAGCTTCTGCATAGCAAAAGAAACTACCATCAGAGTGAACAGGCAACCTACAAAATGGGAGAAAATTTTCGCAACCTACTCATCTGACAAAGGGCTAATATCCAGAATCTACAATGAACTCAAACAAATTTACAAGAAAAAAACCAACAACCCCATCAAAAAGTGGGCGAAGGACATGAACAGACACTTCTCAAAAGAAGACATCTATGCAGCCAAAAAACACATGAAAAAATGCTCACCATCACTGGCCATCAGAGAAATGCAAATCAAAACCACAATGAGATACCATCTCACCCCAGTTAGAATGGCAATCATTAAAAAGTCAGGAAACAACAGGTGCTGGAGAGGATGTGGAGAAATAGGAACACTTTTACACTGTTGGTGGGACTGTAAACTAGTTCAACCATTGTGGAAGTCAGTGTGGCGATTCCTCAGGGATCTAGAACTAGAAATACCATTTGACCCAGCCATCCCATTACTGGGTATATACCCAAAGGACTATAAATCATGGTGCTATAAAGACACATGCACACGTATGTTTATTGCGGCACTATTCACAATAGCAAAGACTTGGAACCAAGCCAAATGTCCAACAATGATAGACTGGATTAAGAAAATGTGGCACATATACACCATGGAATACTATGCAGCCCTAAAAAATGATGAGTTCATGTCCTTTGTAGGGACATGGATGAAATTGGAAATCATCATTCTCAGTAAAGTATTGCAAGAACAAAAAAGCAAACACCGCATATTCTCACTCACAGGTGGGAATTGAACAATGAGAACACATGGACACAGGAAGGGGACCATCACACTCTGGGGACTGTTGTGGGGTGGGGGAGGGGGAAGGGATAGCTTTAGGAGATCTACCTAATGCTAAATGACGAGTTAATGGGTGCAGCACACCAACATGGCACATGTATACATATGTAACTAACCCGCACATTGTGCACATGTACCCTAAAACTTAAAGTATAATAATAATAAAATAAAAAAATAAAATAAAATAAAATGAAGCTAACTGGTTAACTCACATGTCAAGTCTTGTAGGTATAAACCGTTATTATTTAAATTATTACAGTTTTAATAAACATTCATATAGCACTATATATTACTAAAATGCTTTATAATATTGTTGGCTCTTATTCTTCTAATACTAAATCAGTTAAAACTAAAAGCAATTATTTTTTTATTCACTAATGAGAATAAAATTTGACTGCTTTGTAGAATCTACAGAGAAAAAGACAGGTGGACTTAAAGTTTAAATATTTAGCGTAAAATTTAATTAAAATATTTAACTGGATAATTTAGGAGCATAAGAAGTTGTACACATTTAAAAATTCATTTATTAAAATATTATTTTATTTTGAATTTTGCTTATAATTATAGAACATAACAGACACTGATAGTCTATATCACTGTTTTTCCAATTTTTCTTATGGTATGAATCATAAGGAGTGTTTGTTAAAAATATAGTTCCTTAGCTTCCAAGTCTTGGAATTTCTGAATCATCAAGTCTGCGATGAGACCAGGGAAATTGTATTTTTAACAAATACCATAAGAAATTATTATTGGGGAAATTTGGGAAACAGTCATTTCTGTAAACTAGCATCCAATTCCCTGGCCCCATAGAAACTGGGAACATATAAATTTTACTTGTATCTTCAATCTTTCACCCACCGGGCTCAAGAGTTTTGAGATCTCTTTTGATCTTCATAGCATTCCATAAGATAGAGAGTGTTACCATTTCCTGGAATCAAACTCTGAAAGTTTGAATAACTAGACCAACAGAAAAGTTGAATAACTAGATCAAGGTCTCAAAGCCATGTCTACGTGGCTCCAAAAGCTATGCTGCATCAGTACACTGTATTCTGTATTTTCTTCTGTACATTGCCAAATCTTGCATCTCAGACAAAAAAAGAAAAAGGAGAGATAAAGAAGAAAGCATAATTCCGTAAGTGCACTCCATATTTTCAAGAGGTTATTGCATATATACAGTAAATTAAAAAGTTAAATCCACCTTAAAAGTCTCCAGTTGATATGTAAAATTGTTTTGAAAGAATCATGTAGAAGTCCCAGGGGAAGACTAGGAATGGTCACAAAATAGATTGAAGATTATAGTTAATTGTATATTAGTATTGAGGTAGGTGTTATTTTTGTTAGGAAGAGCCTCTTTTGGTTAAGGAAATAGAGAAAAGAGTAAATAGGTCTTGATATTTGATGGGATCTAGTGTATCATTTCTCTAAAGCTGGCAATTCAAACTATAAGATCATTCTTTTCTGGTAGGTGCAACTCTTAATCTTGACTGGAAAAAAAAAACTAAGAAAATCATGCACAGTACATATGTCCAACTTTTTGTTCTACCTTGATGCTGAGAAGGGAGATCCTTCAAAGTCTTTTGATAAGTAAGCCTTGTTATAAGAATCAGGTTGTCATGTACAAATGCAAGAAATAATTCACCTGAGTCGAGCTAACTTTTTCAGAGAATGCAAGCTGAGTTGAGCTAGTTTTTGTGGAGAACACAGGCTCTAATATTACCTTGAAAGACCCAGCAAACAAAACGTTCAGGCTTTTGATGCAGAAATGGGACAGACAACCTGTGACAAGACGAGGGGGAATATGTCAGCAAGTTGCTATTGAAATAAACAAATCCCCCACCCCTAACACATACCCTTTTATTTTGTGGTATTAATTTAATGTAGACAATGGGGATTATTTTTTAAATTTTATTACAGGATGTGGCTGCTTCCTTGGCTTTCAAAAAATTCTACTTCCTCCATTTGTTTCTATCAGTGTTATATTTCTGCTTTACAACCATGAATGGAGGTGGTCTTGGAAGCAGACTAGTGTCCGTATGTGGCGGGGTGGGGTTGGATTTATGGCTTAGGGGAGATCACAGTTTGGTAACTAGCTTAGCTCAGGGGAGATTCCAGAAAGGTAACAGATGGATCAAGCAGTAAGAGGACAGTTACAGCTACAAGACTGTGTAGTGAGAAAAGAGTTAAAGGGTCTGATAGGCTGAAAGGATCTTGCTGTAAAGCAATTATCAAAAACCATGGCATTCCATTTCTTCTTATGTAGACATGATACACCAGAAATTAAGAACTTTGTATTAGAAAAGCTAAGTAATATCCCAGGGAAGAAGTTTCAACACTTGGGGGAAAATGATTTTCAATCACTTTGAAAGTATAATTTGCATATGAAAAACTATCCTACTGATTATATAGCATTCTAGGTCCTAAGAGCTACCATTGCTTTGTTAACCTTGACAGTGTTTGGTGGTCTCTTGTTTGTGGGATGTCTGGCTACTAACTTGATTCTTTTTGGCCCCAAGATAATATTATTCTGGTCACTACCACAGTAGCCCAAAGCACATGTTTTCCTTTGGTGCGTTGATTTGACTACCAGTGTCTTGGAAGAAAGGCCAAAAGTCAAGAGAAATTGAAAGACTTTGGGCAGTGGTTAAGCAGCTACTTCATATTTCAAAGGACAGACACTTGAAGTCCACAGTGAACTCCAAGTTATGAGGAGAATAATTCACCTGCTGTATTAGGCCGTTCTCACACTGCTGTAACGAAATACCTGAGACTGGGTAATTTTTACCCAGAAGCATGGCAGCATCTGCTCAGTTTCTGGGGAGGCGTCGGGGATCTTATAATCACGGCAGAAGGTGAAGAGGAAGCAGGCACATCTTACATGGCCAGAGCAGGAGCAAGAGAGAGAGTTGGGGGAGGTGCTACACACTTTTAAACAACCAGATCTCACAAGAACTCACTCACTCACTATCACGAGAACAGCACTGAGGGGATGGTGCTAAACCATTCATGAGAAACCACCCCCATGGTCCAGTCACCTCCCACCAGGCCCCACCTCCAACAGTGGGGATTACAATTCCACATGCGATTTGGGTGAGGACAAAGATCCAAACCATATCACCTGCTCACCACCAGCACGTCGCTCTCTTGTTCGTTTCGCTCCCTTGTTCGTTTGCTTTTGCTCTTCCTCTCTTTCACTGCCTATTTTTCTGTTTCTTTGTATGTGTGTACTTTGTTTGTTTTCTTTTTCTCCTGTCTCTTCCTCTCCTCCTTTATCAATTGTTTCCCCCTCCCTCTTTGTCTCTTTCTTTGACTTTCTTCTTTTAAAAAAATATAACTAGCCCTGCCCCTGCCCCTGCCCCTGCCCCTGCCCCTGCCTCTGCCTCTCCCTCTCCCCTCTCCCCTCTCCCCTCTCCCCTCTCCCTCTCGGTCTCCCTCTCCCTCTCTTTCCACGGTCTCCCTCTGATGCCGAGCCGAAGCTGGACTGTACTGCCTCTGCCTCTGCCTCTCCCTCTCCCCTCTCCCCTCTCCCCTCTCCCTCTCGGTCTCCCTCTCCCTCTCTTTCCACGGTCTCCCTCTGATGCTGAGCCGAAGCTGGACTGTACTGCTGCCATCTCGGCTCACTGCAACCTCCCTGCCTGATTCTCCTGCCTCAGCCTGCCGAGTGCCTGCAATTGCAGGCGCGCGCCACCACGCCTGACTGGTTTTCATACTTTTTTAGTGGAGACGGGGTTTCGCTGTGTTGGCCGGGCTGGTCTCCAGCTCCTAACCGCGAGTGATCCGCCAGCCTTGGCCTCCCGAGGTGCCGGGATTGCAGACGGAGTCTGGTTCACTCAGTGCTCAATGGTGCCCAGGCTGGAGTGCAGTGGCGTGATCTCAGCTCGCTACAACCTCCATCTCCCAGCCGCCTGCCTTGGCCTCCCAAAGTGCCAAGATTGCAGCCTCTGCCTGGCCACCACCCCGTCTGGGAAGTAAGGAGCGTCTCTGCCTGGCCGCCCATCGTCTGGGACGTGAGGAGCCCCTCTGCCTGGCTGCCCAGTCTGGAAAGTGAGGAGCGTCTCTGCCCGGCCGCCATCCCATCTAGGAAGTGAGGAGCGCCTCTTCCCGGCAGCCATCCCATCTGGGAAGTGAGGAGCGTCTCTGCCCGGCCGCCCATCGTCTGAGATGTGGGGAGCGCCTCTGCCCCGCCGCCCCGTCTGGGATGTGAGGAGCGCCTCTGCCCGGCGGCGACCCCGTCTGGGAGGTGAGGAGCGTCTCTGCCCAGCCGCCCCGTCTGAGAAGTGAGGAGACCCTCCGCCCAGCATCCGCCCCATCTGAGAAGTGAGGAGCCCCTCCGCCCGGCAGCCGCCCCGTCTGAGAAGTGAGGAGTCCCTCTGCCCGGCAGCCACCCCGTCTGGGAAGTGAGGAGCGTCTCCGCCCGGCAGCCGCCCCGTCCGGGAGGGAGGTGGGGGGGTCAGCCCCCCGCCCGGCCAGCCGCCCCGTCCAGGAGGGAGGTGGGGGGTCAGCCCCCCGCCCGGCCAGCCACCCCGTCCGGGAGGGAGGTGGGGGTGTCAGCCCCACGTCCGGGAGGGAGGTGGGGGGGGTCAGCCCCCCGCCCGGCCAGCCGCCCCGTCTGGGAGGGAGGTGGGGTCAGCCCCCCGCCCGGCCAGCCGCCCCGTCCGGGAGGTGAGGGGCGCCTCTGCCCAGCCGCCCCTACTGGGAAGTGAGGAGCCCCTCTGCCGGGCCAGCCACCCCGTCCGGGAGGGAGGTGGGGGGCTCAGCCCCCCGCCCGGCCAGCCGACCCGTCCGGGAGGGAGGTGGGGGGTCAGCCCCCCGCCCGGCCAGCCGCCCCGTCCGGGAGGTGAGGGGCACCTCTGCCCGGCCGCCCCTACTGGGAAGTGAGGAGCCCCTCTGCCCAGCCAGCCGCCCCGTCCGGGAGGGAGGTGGGGGGGTCAGCCCCCCGCCCGGCCAGCCGCCCCGTCCGGGAGGGAGGTGGGGGGGTCAGCCCCCAGCCCGGCCAGCCGCCCTGTCCGGGAGGTGAGGGGCGCCTCTGCCCAGCCGCCCCTACTGGGAAGTGAGGAGCCCCTCTGCCCAGCCAGCCGCCCCGTCCGGGAGGGAGGTGGGGGGGTCAGCCCCCCGCCCGGCCAGCCGCCCCGTCCGGGAGGTGAGGGGCGCCTCTGCCCGGCCACCCCTACTGGGAAGTGAGGAGCCCCTCTGCCCAGCCACCACCTCGTCTGGGAGGTGTACCCAACAGCTCATTGAGAACGGGCCGGGATGACAATGGCGGTTTTGTGGAATAGAAAGGGGGGAAAGGTGGGGAAAAGATTGAGAAATCGGATGGTTGCCGTGTCTGTGTAGAAAAAAGTAGACATGGGAGACTTTTCATTTTGTTCTGTACTAAGATAAATTCTTCTGCCTTGGGATCCTGTTGATCGGTGACCTTACCCCCAACCCTGTGCTCTCTGAAACATGTGCTGTGTCCACTCAGGGTTAAATGGATTAAGGGAGGTGCAAGATGTGCTTTGTTAAACAGATGCTTGAAGGCAGCATGCTCGTTAAGAATCATCACCACTCCCTAATCTCAAGTACCCAGGGACACAAACACTGCGGAAGGCCGCAGGGTCCTCTGCCTAGGAAAACCAGAGACCTTTGTTCACTTGTTTATCTGCCAACCTTCCCTCCACTATTGTCCTATGACCCTGCCAAATCCCCCTCTGCGAGAAACACCCAAGAATGATCAATAAAAAAAATAAAAATTAAAAAAAAAAGTTAAAAAATATATATATATAACTAATTAATTTTAACAGACAAATGATAATTGTGCATATTCATGGGGTACATAGTGATGTTTCAGTACATACAATGTATAGCGATCAGATCAGTGTAATTAGCATGGCCATCCTCTCAAACATTTATAATTTCTTTGTGTTAGGAACTTTTACCATCCTCCTTCTAGCTATTTGAAACTCTGTAATGTATGATTGTTAATTATAGTCATCCTCCAGTGCTGTAGAACACTAGAACTTGTTCCTCCTATCTAGCTGTGATTTTGTTTCATTTAACAAATCTCTCCCTATCCCTCCCTTCCTCCAACTTTGTTTTACCTCTTCTCTTCTTTATTCACCTCCACTCTCATGACCATCTTTGAAATCAACCAAATATGGAACTTAAATACAGCATTTTAGATATTCATATTTGTAGAAAATAATTTTATACTTGCAGCTCTTAATTTTAAAAGCATATAAGTTTGCATATCTCTTTCTTAAAAGAGAATTCAAGGCCAACAACTTAAATTTTACTTCTGACAGGATTTTTTATTGTTTTCTATAGGTCAGTGAGCCTGAATAGACAAAATATTTCCTAGCAAAGCCCTCATATTTAATATTATGTGAATTTAAAGTTTTTAAATCATAATTGTAAAATAAATATTTAATAACTCCTTTACAGATAGACTTTCTTCTAAGTTGTGCTAATTTGGTGGTGTTTTGTTGTATAAATATACTGGTTATATTAACATAAATACAATAATCTAAATGTAGCATAATTTTTAAAATGAGTTTCTCTATATTTATTTTTTAATTTTTTAATTTTTAATTTTTGTAGAGATTGGGTTTCGCCATGTTGCCCAGGCTACTCTCGAACTCCTGGGCTCAAACAATCCTCCCGCCTCAGCCTCCCAAAGTGTTGGGATTTCAGGCATGAGCCACCATGCCCAGTCGAGTTTTGCTTATATTTAATTTATTTCATTTACACTTAATTTTGTAGCTGAAAATAGGTTTTGAGGAACCTGAAGCCTTAAAGTAAGAATGTTGAAGAAGAGGACCAGTTCTCCAAGGCAGAAAACGCTATTACAAAAAGTAGTATGATTCTTCTAGGCATTGTGTCCCTGAGATCAGGGGCTAAACCAATTTTTTTTAGACACTCCCTATCTAACATCTATAAATCTAGGAACTGGAATTGGAAGTGGAAGAGTCTATGTATAGGAAACATGTTATTGTATTATTTTTTCACATGATGCCATCTTCTATCTATGTGCCAAGTGGAAAATGTCACTGGAAGTGTTTCTTGGCCAAATATAACTCTGTTCTGGGAAACTACTTCCTTTATCAACCGCAGGTATCTAGACACATCTTAGAATATACTACAGCTCTCCGAGGAGTGCCCACCATGCTCCTCTGAGCCCAAAAATCAACTCTCAGGAAAAAATTGCAAATTAATCACAAAGGCATCTAGACTAGCATGCATGTTGCTTCTTTTTCTGGCAGATCCCTAACCTGGCCAACCAGCTGGACATGCAGTGTGAGAACTGGGAATGGGAGTATCCTGTAATAGCCAAGCAAGCTGGCTTTTAGAGATCCCCTTATGATTGTCTCATAGGTCTATCACACTTAACATTTTCAAATCAAAACCCAATCCCCAAAACATGTTCTACACTCAGTCTTTCATATGTCAGTAAATAGCACCACCATACCCCAAGGAGTTCAAGTCAAAACTTAGGACTCATTCTGGTTTCCTGTTTACCTTGCTCCCAAAATCCAATTCATCAACAAATCCTAGAGGTTAATTCCTCCTAAATAAATCCTGAATTTTACCATCACCACTGATATCATCCTCATCCAAGCCACCATCATCATTTACCTGGACTTTTGCAAAGGATTCCTGTTTTCACTATTGCCCTTCCATACTCCATCCTCTATCCAGCAGATAGAATCATCTGTTAAAAACAGAAATAAGTCCATATCTCTCCTTTGCTTACTCCAGCCCCATCCATAGTCTCCCACTGTAATTAGAACATAACCAACAGTTGTGCCATACCCTGTGAAACCCCATATGATCTGGCCTTTCTCCACCTCTACGGTCTCACCTCTTACCTTTCACCCTTTTATTCAGTTCATTTCAACTACATTGTACTTTTTTCTCCTATCTCATTAACCTGCACACCATGCTCATTTGCACTCAGAGCCTTTGGATTGCTGTTCCTTCTACCTGATGTGGTTTTCCCCAGGCCTTCTCATAGCTGTGTCCTCATAATCCAAGTTTCAGCTTAGTTATCATCTCCTCAGAGGAGCCTTTCTATCCCTCCTCTCCCTATTAAACGTTTTAGAATTACATAAATTTTTAAAAATTATGTGCATCTATTCCAGCTTTCTTTTGATTAGTAAAGATTTAAAAAATAGAATTATGTGCATCCATTTTTTCTTTCTTTTTTTTTTTTTTTTTTAGACAATATCACTTTGTCACCCAGGCCGGAGTGCAGTGGCATGATCTCGGCTTACTACAACCTTTGCCTCCCAGCTCAAGCAACTCACATGCCTCAGCCTCCCAAGTAGCTGGGACTGCAGGCGTGTGCCACCTCACCTGGCTAATTTTTGTGTTTTGTTTTTAGTAGAAATGGGGTTTTGCCTTGTTACCCAGGCTGATCTCAAACTCCTGGCCACAAGTGATCTGCCCACCTTGGACTCCCAAAGTGCTGCGATTACAGGCATAAGCCACTGCACCTGGCCAGTGTGCATCTATTATTTTGATATTTTAAGTTAAAGTAAAAACAAATATATAAATAAAATAGCCTCTCTAGTCACTATTATATCACTTTGCTTAGTTTTCTCCATTGAAGAAATTATCTCAAATTATTTTCTTTATGTGTCTACTTGTGTATCCTGTGTTTCTCACTACAATGTAAGCTACATTAAAGAGGGGATTTGCTTTAGTGACCC
The DNA here is from genome assembly GCF_000001405.40 of Homo sapiens. Lineage (NCBI taxonomy): Eukaryota > Metazoa > Chordata > Mammalia > Primates > Hominidae > Homo > Homo sapiens. Next base: position 86,115,095 of record NC_000011.10, read on the forward strand.
CAAGACTGCTAACCTCATGTCCTATCATGTATCCCAGCACCTTCAAAGTCTTTTGTACATTGTAGACTCTCAATAAATATTTGTTAAATGAGTAGATTTCAGTTATCCAAGAGACAGGCAGTGTTCTTTTGGCTGATGCTTATATGCATTCACTTGAAAAGAGTATTGTAACAAAATTTGTTCAAGTTGGATTTTGTTTGCATATTAAGATACTACTGCTGATACCCATGCATATGGAATGGGTCTTTGATACAAGTGAGAAATTGCCAACACTCATTTACAGCCTATTAATAAATGGGCTTTATCCTATAGATTAGTATCTATGTCCCTGTCAACATGGCAGTGGTAAAGTTCACATCAAAGTAAAAATTGAAAAACAAAATTAATGTTAATTTGGATTTAAAAGCTCATACCTGAGTTCTGCTTTCAAGGCAGTGAGGAACTGTGGGGAACTGTCTGGAACTGTTGATGCTGCAGGTGAAGCTAGAACATGAGAATGCTATAGGCTGGTTTGTAGCACAATGAAAATGGAAGAATAAGAGGTAAGGCCAGTTGCCCGGAGACTCCAAATAAGAAACATGGTTATGAGGAAGTGGTTTAGAATTAGGGCTTTGAAAAATAATAGCTGTCATTGATTGAGTGCCTACTATGTGTGAGGCCATTCTCCATAATCCTTACGGAAACTCCTAAGCTAGGTATTATCTCTCCATTTTACAAATGAGTAAGCTGAAGTTCAGGAGGTTAAATGACTGCCAAACCATACAGTTATGTAAAAAGTGGAGCAATGATTTAAACTAGATTTTTCAAATCCTAAAGCTGACATGCTTTCCACTGTACCACAATGTCTTCCTTTGTACTGGTGCACTCCATTTATTTCTGTGATTCCTGACACCAATTTTAGGGCCTGGGACAGCATCCTAATGGAATCATGCCTAGCTGGATAGCAAATGCCTCTGCTGCCAGTAGAGGGGCAACTTAAGAGAAAGGTCCAAGCCAAATTGGATCCAAGAGTTTCTGACTAAGCAGGTTTCAAACCTCCTGCTCACACCTCTTCCTCCTCACTTTCTTTCCCAACATCCTCCCACGGCTCACCTCTACCTCTGTCCACTGGAGACACCATCCTCCAGGTGCTAATAAGAAAGCTACTCTGACCATGGAAAAAGGGAAAGAGGCAGCTCAGCAAAATCACTGCTGAGAGCCTGGGCAGGCTTAGGCAATGTGATCTGAAGAGCTGAAGTGTGCAGCCCACAGAGAGAAAGAATTGGATAAAATACAAAACTAAAGAAGAGGATAAACCTAAGAGGAAAATCTTCCTGACAGAGATGAATTAGTTACGGGACTAACTCCGCAAAGGAAGAGATTGGGCTCCGTTCCCTGAGGCTCCCTGAGCAGAAACCATGTTACAGAGAACAAGTAGGGGGGTTGTGGTTAGCAGGGACATCAATGACTAATAGGTGCTTTCCACCTCTGAGTTTTATGAAGATGAGTGGAGTCTTTTTGAATAGAGAAAGAAATGAAAATAATAATTAACATGGAGAGATGGGGCTGACTAAAGCATGGCAAAGATAAACAGGAATGAGGCTGTTGGCCCTCGTAGTGAGTGTGGAAAATCATTTCTTCCAATTGGGAGAGGCAGAGGTGATCAGTTCAGAGGTTTAAATTCAGAGTCCAGGCTCTGTCACTTACTGATTATCTGAGCAAATTAGTTAGCCTTTCTAAGCTACAAAATAGGAAAAATACACTATTTTTCAGATTATTTCTCACTGCAGATTAGGAGTAATGCCATTGAAAAGGTTCTTATGAAGATTAAATGAGACAACTCATGTAAACAACAGTATCTACTTAGCATGAAGTAAGCACTCAAATGACAGTAATTATTATTGGAATATGGCTTCGTGTGGAGGGGGAAATAGAGCTGGGCAATTATTATCAAGGTCACCATATGGGGATAATTTTTCCCTTTGGACTTAATGATGGCATCTCCTTGGTTTAATTATTTGCTGTGTTGGTAGCTCACATCCTCTCTACTGACTTGGCTTTCAGCTCACGGGAAGATGAAGCCCAAATACAATAGATACCAAGGCAAGCTTGCCAAAGAGCAGCTCAACCCATACTGGTACTCTGAGTCATTCTAAGGATAAAGCCGCCTCTCCATGGAGAAGGATATTGTACACAGGAGATAATACTAATGACACCGTCCATTTACTTAGTCTCTTACAGTTTACAAAGCACTCTTACCTGGGAAGGGTTACTATCTTCATTTTATAGATGAGGAAACAGAGACTTAGAGAGGTGAAGCAACTTGATTAAGGTTGCATAGATAATTGGTTGTGAGGATTCACTCCCAGCTCCTCTGACATCATGTCTGGGGGCTCTTTTATACCACAAGATGCTGCAGGGAACATGAACAGGTACCAGATTAGGAGGCTAGTTGCTTTCAATCATAAAAACAGTGAATTTAGGAACAGGAAGAAGCTTTCAGATGACCTAATACTGTGGTTTTAGATTGTGTCCAGGGGTCTAGTAGGCGGTGGAGGGAGCCAAGCAGGAGGCGGGATCAGCTTTTATCAATTAAATTCATCAGATTTTAATTTGATGAAATTAAAAAGAAAAAGAAAGTTGGAAAAACCTAATCTAGTTCAACTAACTGTCTCATTTCCCCAAGAAGGATATTGAGGCCCAGAAGGGTTAAGTAACTTATCCAAATCAGAGCTAAGACTAGCATAGCACTCAGTCCTCAGTCACCTGCATATTTGATAAGCATGTCATAAATGTCCTCATTCTCCAAATATTTTCCTTTGATTACCTCAAGCAAGTCACTTACATGTAATAATCAAATCATTGAAGAGAAATTAGCTCTGGTGTGAGTCTCTTCTGATGACACCATGTGACCTTGGAATAGTCGATTGATCTCTGGACCCTCAGCTTTTCTATAGGTAAAATGGGGATCATAATTTCTGTCTAGACTCTCAGTGGGGCTGTTGTGATGAATGTAAAAGAAAAGACCATATGGAAGTTCATAGAGTTCTTCCTGGGAAGGAGACTCAGCAAGTTCAATGTCTTATTCTTTATCAATACCTACCAAGAATGTCACTGCTTCTAAGATGATATCTGCAATTTACCATTCTCATTTATTTGTCATTCTTTACTCAAAAAGGCAATGAGGTTTGTAACCATGTCAGTACTACTGGTTTGTGAAAAAGTCTCAGAAAGTTCTTATCACGTTGGCTTTCTGATAAGACTTTTTGATTTCTACTACTTACATGTGGAAAGTAAATCATTTTAGGTTAAACACCTTTCCTTCTAGACAAGTGACAGAGGCAGATGTCACTCAGGGTGTTGTAGCAAGCCTGGGGAGCTCATAGCCAGATGAGATCACAGGACTTGTGTGCAGGGTACAGAGTTTGGAACTCTCCCACCTAACTGGCAGTTTCTCCTCCTTCGACAAGGAATACTAAGAAGATATTATCACAAACTCTTAGGCAGATCTTGAAAACAGTCTAATTTGTTTGTGACCTTAGCCAAATTCTTGATCTCTCTAAGCTTCAGTTTTCTCACCCGTATCATGTACACTTTCCACCTCACAGGGTTGTCAAGGATCAAAAGAGAGAACACAGGGTGTTTTTGAAATTGTTGAGCATCTACTAACTAAAAGGATTGTTATTTTTAAGAATGTGTAAATTATTGCAATTATTTATAACATGCATTTCAATTAAATACTTTCAATTTGTTAGAAATACCCACTTGGATAGATCAAATACTAAGGTTGAAGAGAAACAGTGTTTTAATGTATTCTGGTCTCTATGTAGAAAGTAAAATGGTAATACTGAGCCAGACGGAGTTAGAGCTAGGGAGCCAGTTAGCCCCTTGCTTGGCATCATCATAAGACAAGAAATACTTTCATGTTTTCATTAAGGACATTTTAAATTTAAAAAGAAGAAATTTTAAAAGCCTTTACCAAAATTCTGGGTTCCCCAAATTTCTAACTACATCCCTTAGAGAACAGCATTTCTTTGCTTATCCGTGTTGATACTTTAAAAAATCTAGACCTAGTTTCCATTATGCAGACAGCCCAGGCACAGAAGCCAACCAGTATTTTAAGACTGCAATGTTTACTAATGGATGTCTGGCTAGAAACAGTGTTGGCAGAATCCTGGCAGAGGCATTTACTCTCACTAATGATGTGGAACAGGGCTGCATAATTATGTCCACTTGTATTAAGTCTACCTAAGACTGTGATGTTTTGTAGTGGAACCAGAAACAAGCATCCCAAAAACTCCTGGGATTTTCCTGCAAGAGGCATTACATCAGAACTGGTTCAAGGCCAGGCACGGTAGCTCATGCCTGTAATCCCAACACTTTGGGAGTTCGAGGTGGGGGATCACTTGAGGTCAGGAGTTTGAGACCAGCCTGGCCAACATGGTGAAACCCCATCTCTACCAAAAAAGACAAAAATTAGCTGGGCGTGGTGGCAGGTGCCTGTAATCCCAGCTACTCGGGAGGATAAGGGGGGAGAATTGCTTGAACCCAGGAGGTGGAGGTTGTAGTAAGCCGAGACCATGCCACTGCACTGTAGCCTGGGCGACAGAGTGAGACCCTGTCTCAGATAAATAAATAAATTAATTAAATAAATAAATAAATAAATAAATAAAATTTTAAAAAATCATAAAGAACTGGTTCAAACATTCTCACAGTCTTTGCCCAGCCATTGATTTCATTTAAGGCCTTCTTCACAAAAATGACTTCACGGAGTACAGAGATCAGAATGCTTAGCAGAAAATTTTGGGACGTAAAGACAGTATATACCATACATGGACTATCCCAGGCCAGGAAAAACCTATTAAACATTTCCTTGGAAACAATATGAGGTACTTTTCTTGCACATATACAAATGTAGAAGGACACTTAATCTATCCCCTGCTCCCTGCTCCAGGAAAGCTATTGAAGTTATACATCATCATTTTCTTTCCTAGCTGTACCTGGGACTAGAAGCATCAGCAGTTATTCATCAGCAAGAAAGAAGGACAATTACATTCCTTGGGACTGCCTGGACACTATTCTCATGGAGAGTAATTTCTGCCTACTAAAAGAGGTAGATTCCAAACTTAGGTACGTGAGAAATCATTTGGTATTTAATAGAACTCAAGTCATCCACATAGCCCTAGAAAATGATAATTAATAAGGAGCTATGCATTGAAAATGAATAACAGTAAGCCTTTAAAATGAAAACCCTTAGAATAAAGGAATAGCTGTTGTTATTATTATGTTAGTATTACTTAGTATTAAAAAGGTCAAGATAGTGTCATCAGATTTCTTTTCCATCTACATAATTCCTAGACCTCCAGAGAATCTTCATGTCATTTTCTGAAATGGAATGCTGCTTCAAAAATTTTGGAAATAAACCCTAAAACGAGGACACTAAAGAAGCATTGATTTTTGCAAATTACTATTAAATAATATCTTTATCCCATATTAATAATTTAACCACAATGTTTGTCAAATAACCTAAAAATTTGGCTACTTTAGAAAATATCCAGTATCATCTGAAACCAAATATTAGGGTTTCAAAAGAGTTGGAACTTGGATCTGGGGTAAGAAAAAGTACCATGTCCCTGCCTGCCTCCCTTCCTTCCTTCCTCTCTCTTTTCCTTTCTTCTATTCATCCTTTCTTTTTTCATACTTCTGGCCTTTTGGTGCCCCTTATCTATATCTAGGGTAACATTTCAGTGGAAGAGATTCTAGAAACAAACAATGTGTGGCATTCAAATATAGAGAGTTATTTGCAAGGCAAGATGTAGTTTCTGCCACTCATATGAATCCTCTGTCAAGATGTTTGTCCCTCAGTTGTTGATGCAGATAGTCAAAGATTATCCCTTTAATCTTTAACATTGTCAAAGTTAATATATACCCTTTACTTTTCAACACTGTCAATGTTAATATAAACCTTTTAATTTTTAACATATTCAAAGTTAATATAAACCCCATTAATGCTTCTCAGGTGATCAAACACAGGAATGATCACTATGAACTAGTTGTATCAGTAGTTTTTCCATTCGGTAGCTGGTACATATTTGGGGGTATGATATCGTCAAAAGTCATAGTGATAACTGCCCTTAGTTATAGTATTTTTAATACAAAATAATATCACCTTTATTATTTCATTTGAGACTCCCATAGACCACTGCTTGCTACTCCAGAAACTGTTCCCAATTGTGTCTGCCATTTCATGCCCTCTCCTGAGTACTGCTGCTCCCTCTCCCCTGAGTTTTATTCTCTACTCCTTCCTTTATCCTTTTAAGTATAGTTAACACAGGCTATTATGTTTAACACACTGTACTAAATGTATTAGTTTCTTAGAGCTATCATAACAAAGTACCACAAACTGAGGGGCTTAAACAACAAAAATTGATTGTCTCTCAGTTCTGTAGTCTAAAGTCCGAAATCAAGAGGTCAGCAAGGGTATTCCATTTGAGGACTTTCTCCTTAACCTGTAGATGGCTATATTCTCCTTATGCCTCTAACATCATCTTCCCTTTATACTCTCTGTGTTTTTGTATCCCAATTGCTAGTCCTATAAGGATGTCAGTCATACTGCACTAGGGTCCAGCCTAATGACCTCTTTTAAACTTGATTATCTCTGTAAAGACCCTGTCTTCAATTAAGGTCACCTTTTTTTTTTTTTAGATGGAGTTTCACTCTTCTTGCCCAGACTGGAATGCAGTGGCCCAGACTGGAATGCAGTGGCACAATCTTGGCTCACTGCAACCTCCGCCTTCTGGGTTCAAGCGATTCTCCTGCCTCAGCGTCCTGAGTAGCTGGGATTACAGGCATGCACCGCCATGCCCGGCTAATTTTGTATTTTTACTAGAGATGGGGGTTTCTCCATGTTGGTCAGGATGGTCTCGAACTCCCAACCTGAGGTGATTCATCTGCCTCGGCCTCCCAAAGTGCTGGGATTACAGGCATGAGCCACCACACCCGGCCTTTAAGGTCACATTTTGAGGTACTAAGGGCTAGGGCTTCAGAAACATATCTTTTTTAGGAGGACACAATTAAGCCCATAACACTAAGCCTCAAAGATAACAGATGAGAAACACAATATAGAAAAGAAGAACTTAAATGAAATCTCAAGTGTCATTATCATGAAATGCATTGGCCATGCCTGGTGTAGGACCTGATTGTCTCCCTCCTTATGTCCAACCTGCTACCATGTTTCTGGGGCCAGCTCATCTCCTTGGATGGAAATCTGATCATGCACATTCCTTCCTTCCTGTGATAGTTAATTTTATATGTCAAATTGACTGTGCCACTGGGTGCCCAGATATTTGGCCAAACATTTTTCCAGGTGTTTCTGTAAGGATATTTGTGGAGAAGATTAATATTTAAATCTCATCTTGGTAAAGCAGATTGCCTTCCATTATATGCATGGGGCTTATCCTATCAATTGAAGGCCTGAATAGAACAAAAGCTGATCCTTCTTTGAGTAAGAGAGAATTCTTTTGCTTGACAAACCTTCAAACATGGACATCATTTCTTCCTGGCTCTACAGTAGCTTCCAGCTTTGAGGCTCAAACTGGCACATCAGCTCTGCAGATTTTGTACTTCTTAGCCTTCATAATCATGTGAACCAATTCCTTATAATAAGTCAATCCCTCTCTCTCTCTCTCTGTCTCTCTCTCTCTCTTTCTCTGTACTCTCTCTGTCTCTGTTTTTCTGGAAACCCTAGTATACAGTCTAAGACCAGGTCTCACTTAATGAAGAAAAATCACAAACCATATCAGCATCCTTTCAGGATTACAACTTAAGAGCCCCAGAGCAAGCTCTTTATCTTACTAGAAACAATACTCAACTTCCCTAATCTGAAGCCCCTATGTCTGGGTTATTCCTCTGGGTTTCAGTCATAAAGATGACTGAAATCTGCCCCCCTATCCCCACTGATCTCTCTTGAGAATAAAGCAAGAGCCTGTCCCAAAGTCAAGTCCAGCTGCTAATCTTAGTGCAATCATGGATTGGAAAATACTGAGATCTGAACTCAGAGCACTCTGCTACATGCACAAAACTTTTCACATCTTCGCAACATTTCAAACCTTTGTGGACTTTCTCAAATTTTCCCTATCTAATTTCATTTAGGGCTTTTCATTTCCTTCACCAATTGTCTGGTAATTCCTTTACTAACTGCCAGTTAGGTAATTACCCAAATTTCTAACTACATCCCTTAGAGCACAGCATTTCTATGCTTATCCATGTTGATACTTTTAAAAATCTAGATCTAGTTTCCAACATGCAGACAGCCCAGGCACAGAAGCCAACCAGACAATTCCTTTACCAACGGTTTTTTATAGCTCAATAATGTATACATGTGACTTTGTAAAGAATTAGCCTTGTCTACTTAAGGCTCAATACAAAACCTTCCAAAGTTTTCACAGATTAACCAAATTAGTCTTGAAAAATATCTCCAGGTTAGAAGAGGGTAAACCACTCTCCCTGACTCTGCAGCCTCACTCTCATCCCTACTTTGGGTTTCTGCTTTCCAGATTCTCTTATGTCACCACATCACCTATTCACCCCTCCCCCAAAGCGGTATGATTCTCCTTTAAAAATTTTAATGTGTACAAAAATGTTTTCCCTTGGCATAACTGAGACAGGCTGGTATTTTCAAGAACAGCTTTACTAAACATGAGGGAAAACAGAAAAGAAATAATTACAGAAAACATACACAGTATAAAAATAGCCAAGTTTCCAACTGCAGGTTTCTGTTTCTAAAAATTCCATTTGAAGTAGGAACGCTTTACTGGGCCTCAATCTCATTTACCCTTAGTCAACCACATCCCTTAATTTTGCTGTATCCTGTCTGGACTCCTTCTCCCCTTCCACCAACACCTCACCCTTCCCTGAGCCCTGTGATCTTGAGCCACTATCTCTGTTTTTTGAACCCACATCTCCAAGAAAAAACACCCAAGAACTTACTTTTAAAACTAAACTTACTTTTTATTCTCTTAATTAAAAATATCCTGGACTCACAAAGAGCTGCCAAATTGCTAGCTTACAAGAGATTTTCAAGTTTTGATGTTTAAGATTTACTGGGTTTCAAATATTAGCCCTTCTCAATACTGAAGTTAAACCAGCATAAACCAAAGTGTAATCTAGGAAATGATCCTTGGGATAACAAATATTCTTTACAAAGGCAGGTAGTATTCTATAATCAAAAAAAATCTGAGGAATTCTGGGTTAAACAAAGTTTCATAGTTTTCTCCATTGCATAATTTCTCAAACCATTCCATGCAGTTAACAAATATTTACTGAGCACCTATATTGTGCTAGGCACTACTGTAGGTACTGAGGATTCCCTGGTGAAGAGCGAACAGGACAGATAAAATCCTTGCCCTGCCCTCATGGAATTTGCCTTGTAGGTGGGGTTCACCAGAAAATATGAACAAACAAACAAGAGCATTTCAAATCGTGGTATGGACTTTGAAGACCTTAAGGGGTAAGGTTATAAGGGTATAACTGGAAGTGGGGAAGCCCAGGAGGCAGAGGAAACAGTGAGTCTAAAGACCTGGCAGGAAAAAGCTTGGCCTGTTGGAAGAAGAGAAAGGAGCTTCTGTGGTTGGAGCTGAATAATTAAGGTGGGGAGTAGAAGTGATGAGGTATGATCTTAGAGAAGTAAGATGTTGTTGGTGCAATGGAAAGCAATTTGGAAGGTTTTAAGCCTTGGCATGATTTGACTTACCATTTGAAAAAGAAAAATTCCTTGCATGTTGTGTGGAGAATGAAATTTAGAGGCTAAGATTACAAGTGGAAACCAGTTAGGCTCTTGCAATAGTTCCTTTGAGAGATGGCAGGAGTGTCAGTGCAGATAGAGAGAAGTGAATGGCTTCAGCACATGTTTGAGGCGTAGTGACAACAAGACTTCCTGATGAGTTAATGTGAGAAATAGAGATCAGAGAGAAGACACTAATGACTTTCAGCTTTGGGGCTTGAGCACTTACATATATGTTGGTGGTATTGACTGAGCCAAGAGAGACTAGGAAGCAGAGGCTTAAAGGGGTGAAGGAAATGAAGCCTTATCCATGATAAGTTCAAGATACCTATTTAGGTTGGTGCTAAAGTATGGTGGTTTTTGTCATTGAAAGTAGTGGCATAATACATGTGTAAGAGGTGCTATCAAGTAGATAAATTTTATATATATATAAAACATAAGAAAATAAGTAATATATATGATAATTTATAATAATAATATATATATGAGTCTGGAGTTTAGGGGAAAGGTTTGAGATATATGTTGAGAAATCATCAGCATACAGATGGCATTTAAAGTCATGGAACTGGGGTCGGGCGTGATGGTGCATGCCTGTAATCCCAGCACTTTGGGAAGTCAAGGTGGGTGGATTGCTAGAGGACTGGAGTTCGAGACCAGCCTGGCCAACATGGCAAAACCCCATCTCTACTAAAAATACAAAAATCAGCCAGGTGCGGTGGTGCACACCTGTAATCCCAGCTACTCAGGAGGCTGAGGCATGGGAATTACTTGAACCCAGGGGGCGGAGGTTGCAGTGAGCTGAAATTGCGCCACTACATTCCAGCCTGGGTGACACAGTGAGACACTCTCAAATAAGCCCAAAGAAACAAAGTCACAGAACTGGATGAGACCACCTAGGGAGACAGCAGAAAGGAGCCAAGGCCCAAATTTAGAAATCTGGTACAGACAGGAACCAACAGAGGACCACTTTTAACATGTTCGTGGGCATTATGACTCTATAAGAGGTGGAAACAGAAGGCAGCATTTCCCTAACTTTTTTGACTTTGAAACCTTTCATCATGTAGCATGTCACAGGACTAGGGTTTTAAGGAAAACATTTTGGAAAATATTGCTCATACCCTTCTAGTTACACTCCATTATGGCATTATGTATTAATTTCTAAGGTAACACAGGCTTTCTCTCTAGGTAGAGAGGTATTTCCATAAAACTTCATCTATCCCTAAACCAAACACTGTCCGGAGGATCCAAGCCCCAAAATATACCTATAGGAAGCACACATGTGCCAAATGCAGTGAGCGGCAAGGAGGGCTGTCTCACCACAGCCTTGTTGAGCCCAACCTCAAATGCTGCCAGATTTTAGCCTTTTTTTTTTCTTCATATTTCTAATAGTATTTTGGTGGAGGAGTAAGATTGAAGGTCTGGAGAGAGGCCCTGGGAGTAAATTGTCCTTTTCTCTGGTGATGTATGTAATATTGTTCAGGGTACTAGCATTTGGGTGTTTCCACCTATATACACTATATCAGAGTGTCAGAGTGTCACTTGATGCTCTAGAAAGAATTAAAGTTTTTTTTTCTATTTTCTAATGAATGAGGTTTTTGTTTGTTTTGTTTTTGTTTTTTTGTTTTGGTTATAAGGAATAGAAACTCACTCAGAGGCCCCATAAGTAAAAAATGTATGAGGGAAATACTGAAAGGGAATTTATCTGGTGATAGGAAGTTAGAATCTGAGGCAGCCGTAGGGATAGGTTTCTCTCCAGGACAAGTCTTCTCTTTTTCTCTCTCTCTCCGTCTCTTTCTCTCTCTCTCTCTCTCTCTCTCTCTCTCTCTCTCACACACACACACACACACACACACACACGCACACGCACGCAAATTCACAAAGACTCAGAGGCTGCATGGTCTTTCATGGTACCTCTGAGACCTCTCACATTTTATAGTTATACACTAAGAAATCATAATAAAATCTTCTATGTTTGCATACCACAATCTAAGTAAGTCTTGAAGATTTGCTTTGTAAACAAGGAGACCAAGGCCCAGGGAGAAGACACCACCCAGTGAAAGGAGCCCTAGTTGGGTTTAGTAAATTTGAATTCTGCTCCTGTGTGACTGTAGGCAGGTGGCTTCATCTGGGTTCAAATTCCTCTTCTGAAAGGGAAGTGACTGGATAGAGATAGGTGATCTTCAAGATGCATTCCACAGTATAACATGGCTGTGGTCATACAGCTGGTGGATTATGGCCAAGTAAGAATCACATCTCCTGTTACCTGGTCTAGTGTTGTGATTTGTTTCATTACACTATACTGCATTTTCATTTTTAAATGTTTTTTTAAAATCTCAACCCATTTTTTTTCTCATCTGTTTGGATTGCTGTGAAAACACTTTTAAGAAGGCAGTATGGTACTGTGAAAAAAGTGTAAGCGTTGAAACCAAAGAGATGGATTTGGATCTAGGTTTACTGTCAGCTCTGTAATTTTAGAGCAGTTACTTAACCTCTTCCTCAGCCTCAGTTCCATCATCTGTAAGACAGGTGTATATAATACGTGCCTTGTAGGCTTGTTGATGAGATTAAATAAGATTGTGTCTATAAAGCATCAAAGATAGTATGTATAAACATTCCATCTCACATTTTACATCTCCATGCCTCTTAATTATTTAGGGAGATGAGGAATTACAGCAAATCATTTACGAACCAAGATGAGGACGAGGCAAGCGATAGCTTTATTGTCTGCATAAGTAATATTTATCAGAGAAATATTTTAGGTTAATTTTTCTGTTCAAACATTTTCAAAATATCAGTCCATGTTCCTTCTTAAGAAAGCACACACACAATCTTTAGAAAGATTATAACTGAATCTTTGTTGATTATTGAAGATCTTGCTGTGCCTTGGGCTTATTATTTCAAACTTGAATTCGTATCATTCAACTGCCTTGGAAAAACGTGCAGAAGGTACAAAACTTAGTTGGAATGTGTTAAACTCAGGAAATCTAGAATTTTGTTGTTTGTTTTGAATTGAAATTCTTGTTAACAATTTCTCTGTGGTTCAGACTTCTAAATAGTACAAACATTCCATTTATAGTTGAGGATCTTGGGTACTGTGTTCTGGTTAAACAAATGATCCACAGAATTTTTTTTTTTGAATGCCTACTTTGTTGAAGGACCTGAACCAGACACCATTTTGGACATGAGGAAATATTAAAATTAATATGAGGCTTTAAGGAATGTACACTCTCATTAATTAGGCAAAACATAAACTTATAAAAAAAAGTAGCTACAACAGAAGTCAAAAAAATGAGAGAAGGCTTTATAAAGAAGTCAGTACTTGAAATGGGACTTGAACCATGGTAGGATTTGCACTAGCAGTGCTCAGTGGTAGGAGGAATGTTTGATGGAGAAGGATCTTTAGGGCAGAGGGAATAGTTTGAATAAATGCACGGGGATGGGAAAGCTTAGGTTATATCTAAGAGACTTTAAGTTGTTCATTTTGGAGATAATTAAGGCTAACACAGATACTTAGTTTTTCTTTTGTTTTTTTATTATACTTTAAATTTTAGGGTACATGTGCACAACGTGCAGATTTGTTACATATGTATACATGTGCCATGTTGGTGGACATTCCTAGTTTTTCATAACATCTACTGAATGTACAGATGTCTTGAAAAGTGTTTCTTAGGCCCCTAGAGTGATGAGAAACTGATTTGCTGTGCATTCTTTCGTACATTAGTTTATCTCTGTAGGCTGATAATAGGTAGGTCACAAAAGAAATCATAGGGCTACCAATTTGCCTGTTTGTTAGAAGCTAAGATCCATTTCTTGGACATCAGAGATGTTTGGTACACTCGACAGCCTTCCCAGGTTCCATTCTCCTTTCTAGAAAACCATTACAGCCATGGGCTAGGTCCTGAGTTTGGGTATCCACTGCCCCTCTGTAAACAGCTCAAGCCAGGAACATGAAGGAGGAGGGCACTAGGTTTCTCTAATGTTCTTTCCATTTGCCTCACTTGCCCCTTGTTTGCCAGCCCAATCCTGTGCCCATTCTCACCCTTAGAAACAAGGCTACTTAAACACAAGGTCGCGTTCCTCAGAGGGAAAGATAGCATTTCACCTAATGGTCAATGGACTTACATATTCCCTTTATAAAAGTGGAAAATGAGAGAAAGCAGGTGGGGGGAAATCCATGCAGAACCCTGGTGTTATGGGACATCTCTCAACCTACTTTGCTGAAGCTAATGCTTTCAGCAGAGGTGAAAAAGGCATGACACAGCAATGTGTATTACACATTGAAGTATCTGGGCAGTGAGACTCCCATGAAAAATTGCTAGATAGTTACTCTCTTGAACATTTCTAAGCATTGGTTGATTCTGTTGATATGGTTTGACTGTGTCCCCACCCAAATCTCATCTTGAATTGTAGCTCCCATAATTCCCATGTACTGTGGGAAGGACCCCACTGGAGGTAATTGAATCATAGATGTGGGTTTTTCCCATGCTGTTCTCATGATAGTGAATAAGTCTCATGAGAACTAATGATTTTGTACATGAGGGTTCCCCTGTGCAAGCTCTCTTGCCTGCTGCCATGTAAGATGTGACTTTGGTCCTCATTTGCCTTGTGCCATGATTGTGAGGTCTCCCCAGCCATGTGCAACTGTAAGTCAATTAAACCTCTTTCCTTTATAAATTACCCAGTCTCAGGTATGTCTTTATTAGGAGCATGAGAACAGACTAATTCACTGTTAAGTAGAGAAAATTGAGATTCTCAAACTTGGCTTTCTATATGTAAAGCAAGTCTATGCCAAGGAACATGGCAGTTTTGTGTTTTAAAGAAGCAAATCTTTCATCAGGGACACCTAATGAGGAAGGTTCTCTTCTTGTCTTCTTTTTTTGTTGCTGTTATTTTTCTATATCTGGCTTCTTTGTTTCTGCCCTTCACTTTCAACCATAATGCACAACTTCTCCCCATTTAATGAAAAACTCCTTTCCTAACATAGTACAGCGTCAGAGTGGTAGAGCTGGGAGGGAACTTAGACATTATTGAAGTCACCCTTGACTTTTGAGATAAGGAAAATAAGCCCCAGAGAGATAAAATGATTTTCTGACTGTAGGAGTGGTAGGGATAGACATGAATGGTGGGAAGTTATAAAATAATTCACAGAGTGTTTTATGGTTTACAGAGTGTTATTACTTATGTGATTGCACATGATCTCATAACACCTGTGATGTAGGTGATATTATTATGTCCATTTTACAGGTGAGGAAACTGAGACCCACAGCATTTTCCTATAAGGGGAAAGAGTATATATTTTTCATCAGGGAAACTGCTCATGGCAAAGCCTAGTGACTGTGAAGTGCCAAACCCTGTTCTGAAGGGCTAGGCATACAAAGATTAATAATGACTGCCCCTGCACTCATATCTGTTAGGAAGAGGTTGTTGGTCTCCCCAAAGGCCACACACGGGCACCCTAATGCTGTCAAAAATTAACTGAACTCTAGTGGAACTGCATCTGGTACAGCCATTTGACTCCCTCTAAGCGTGGCCATGTAGAAACTTTGGACAGGGCAACTCTTCTAAAGAGGAACCTACACTTTAAACTGTATAAAATTGAGAGTCTATGTAATGTGAAAAGTGAAAAGTGAATAAATTAAAGTTGGCTCAAGATCATAGAAGCATTTGGGTTCTAACTGGCAGGGGAAGTTGAGTGGGGATGAATTAGGGGCTTTCAGATCTCTTCTCTTCTCTTTTATTCTTTTTTGTGAATAGTCCCCATCTCTGTGGCCCTACTTTTTCAGAGTAACACTGACAAATACATACTCTTTTTGTTTTTCATTTTTATTCTTGGTAAAATAATCTGATCAATAACTGGATCATACCTTCATGGATGCTGGAAAATTCTGGAACTTTTGTTTATCTAAGACAAGGATCAGCAAACCACTGCCTGTGGGCCAAATCTGGCTGCTGCCTGTTTTTATAGGCTTGCAAGTTAAAAAATCATAACTGCATATATATATGTGTATATATATATATATATATACACACACACACACACACATATATTTATTTTTATTTTTATTTTTAATTTTTTTGAGACAGAGTCTCACTCTGTTGCCCAGACTGGAGTGCAGTGGCGAGATCTTGGCTTACTGCAACCTCTGTTTCTTGGGTTCAAGCAAAGAATAGTTTTTATATTTTTTAATGGTTGAAAACAATCAAAATCAGAAAGCTATTTTTTGATGTAAATATAATATTAATTAAAATTTCAATGGCAAAAAGTAATGTTTTATGAGAATGCAGCCACTCTTTTATTTACATCTTATTTATGCTTTTGTCCCACACAATGGATTTTAGTAGCTGCAACAGAGACTACATGGCCTGCAGAACCTAAAAATATTTACAGTCCTGCCCTTTACAGAAAATCTTTGCCAATACTTCTCTTACAGCACTAATCATACTGTATTAGAATTGGTTCTCTCCATATCCATCTCCCCAGCTTGACTTTTGAGCTTATGGAGGGCGCCTCTTTGCTTAAGATGAGGCTTTAACTCCTGGTGGGCACTCTAAATATTTGTGGGATGGAAGAGAAAATGAATCAATGATGTGGGCTTGGCAGAGTCGATTACCCCTTTGGGGTCTCAGCTTTCTTTTCGTGAAATGAAAGAGTTGGTTAAGGTGACCTTGGTCCCCATCTAGCTCTGACATTCTATATTATATATTAAGGTTTCTGTAGCTAAAAATAAATATCACGTTTGGTTCATTGAACTTCAACTTTGAGTTCTCCCTTGCTGATCTTCTAACTATTGGTTGGTTTCCCAGGTCTTTCAGTATCATGAAAGGGATGCCCTTATGAGCTAGCTTCCCTGGGCATATTGTGTTAGTGTATGTGGTGTGTGCATTGCATGTAGTATATAAATATATTATATTAAGAAATCAATAACTTCCTTCTTCATTTCTGCCTGTCTTGTGTGAGTCTGGTGACATGAACAATTTTCGCAGGGTCTGGTCATTCTTTTTTTTTTTTTTCTTTTTTTTTTTGAGATGGAGTGTCACTCTTGTTGGCCAGGCTGGAGTGTAATGGCGTGATCTCGGCTAACCACAACCTCTGCCTCCCGGGTTCAAGAGATTCTCCTGCCTCAGCCTCCCGAGTAGCTGGGATTACAGCATGCGCCACCACAACCTGCTAATTTTGTATTTTTAGTAGAGACGGGGTTTCTCGATGTTAGTCAGGCTGGTCTCGAACTCCCGACCTCAGGTAATCCACCCACCTCAGCCTCCCAAAGTGCTGGGATTACAGGAGTGAGCCACCGTGCCCGGCCGGGCCTGGTCATTCTTAAGAATCTGGGGCCAGGCGTTGTGGCTCATACCTCTAATCCCAGCACTTTGGAAGGCCAGGAAGGGTGGATTGCCTGAGCCCAGGAGTTTAAGATCAGCCTAGGCAACACAGCAAGACCTCATCTCTACCAAAAAAAAAACAAAAACCCAAAAATTAGACAGGTATGGTGGTGTGTGCCTGTAATCTCAGCTACTTGGGAGGCTGAGGTGGGAGGATTTCTTGAGCCAGGAGTTCCAGTTTGCAGTGAGCTATGATCACACCACTGCACTCCAGCCTAGGTGACAGAGTGAGACTTTGTCTCAAAAAAAAAAAAAAGAAAAGAAAAAAAATAGATTTTATAATCAATACCCCTGTATTTGAATCATGACTTTACCTTGTACAAACTGTAACAAGTTATCTTGTGTATATTCATATCTCATGTATATATTAGTATCTTCATCCTGTATATTTTAAGACAAATTACTTAATTTTGATTTTCATTTTCCTTAGCTGTCAGATTGGATTGAAAATACCTTCTAGAGCCAGGTGTAGTGGCCTGTGCCTGTAGTCCCAGCTACTCTGGAGACTGAGGTGGGAGGATCACTTGAGCCCAGGAGTTTGAGGCTGTAGTGAGCTGTGGTCATGCCGCTGCACTCCAGCCTGGATGACAGAACGAGATCCTGTCTCTTAAAAAAAAAAAAAAAGTCTGAATGTTTGGAGTTCAGAGACCACACACTGGAGTTATGGCTACTCCCTCACCTCTATGCATCCACACAATAGACTCAGAAAAAAAAAATCTGCCTTTACTTGGAAAATCTCACTACTTAGAAAAGCTTACTACTTGGAAAATCATGGTATTTTCAAACCAAACGGAGATAAAAGTCCTTGTGGAAACTTTACAAGCGCACAGTGTCATTCCCTGAGGTGGTTCAAAGAACACCTTCATCAGGCTGGGTGTGGTGGCTCACGCCTATGATCCCAGCACTTTGGGAGGCCAAGATGGGTGGATGGCTTGAGCTCAGGAGTTCAAGACCAACCCGGGCAACACAGCAAAAACCCGCCTCTGTTAAAAAGAAAAAAAGTAAAACACACAAAAGACAAAGAACACCTTCATGAGGCAAGGTCAGGGCCAGACATAACATCAGTGTGATTTGATTTAAACCATTATCCTGCACTGTTTCCTCTCAGAAATGTTATTGCCTCTCTTCAACCCCATCATTGTTAAAAAATGGACAGAATCTTAGAACTGAGACATATGTGACCTAAGGAAATGTGCTTGCCTATAAATATGGTCCCATAAAGTCTGCCTGTACTGAAGCCAAGAGCAGCTCTCAAGCAATAGACAAAATTTCTTTTGCGGACTCTTGTTATTTTTTCTACCCTTTCCTCCCAGGTTTCTAACACTGTTCACTGATTATCATGGGCCTCTGCTATGATGCACCCAGTGTGGAAAACATCTAAGCCTTCAGTTCAGTGTCTCCCTTCCCTTCTCACTACCCTTAAAAGAAGGGTAGTGAGGTATAGTGGAAAAGAGTAAAGCACTAAGACTCAAATAAATCTCACACCCAGCTCCTCCATTTGTTGATGGAGCCTCAGTTTCTATAATCTACTAACACTTACTATCTCCTACCTCTGCTAATCACCCCTGAGTCCCTTACCAGCAAGAACCATGCATTATTTCTTCTTTTTATCTCATACTACTTAGTGTATAGCATGCAGCAGAGGCTTGACACATGCCTCTGGAGTAAAATTGAACCAACTTGACACATAATCTTGCATGGATCATGAAATGTGGAATGTCTGTGCTAAAAGGAACTCAAAGACCTACCCAGTGCAGTGTCTGCAAACACAAGGCAGTTGCAACCCACTCCCCTCTTCTGTGCTAAATGGACAGAAATGACTAAATAGTCACAATATTCTTTCTAGCAGAGAGTCTTTCCTGACCTAAGCTTCACAATTTTCAATGGAGCTCCCTTGGAGGCCACTGCTGAAATTAGCACTGGAGAAAAAAACCTATGTACCATTCTGGATTAAGTATAACTTGCATTTTATAAATGAAGAAACCCAGACCTAGATAGGTGATATGATTTGGCCAAGGTCACACAACTAATTGTAGGGTGAATTCAAAATAGAACGTAGCCAGCCCTCCATATCCACAGGTTCCAAATCAGAGGATTAAACCAAAAACAGATAAAAAATATTTGGAAAATTTTTTTTGAAATAACACAATAACAAAAAATAATACAAATTTAGGCCGGTCGTGGTAGCTCATGCCTATAACCCCAGCACTTTGGGAGGCCAAGGTGGGTGGATCACTTGAGGCCAGGAGTTCGAGACCAGCCTGGCCAACATGGCAAAACCCTGTGTCTACCAAAAATACAAATACTCCTTGGCTTGAAGGCATTGAGACTTCTGTTAGAATCCAAATGTTAAGCTGTGGATAGAGCACTGGATGGACAGCATGGAGACCTATACAGTCCCTAGGTATGGGGAGAATTTCTAGCAATGACGAATGTGCTTTTTGGTGGGAGTGGTGGGGTGCTTGGCAGACAGGAGAGCCTTAGAGTAATGTGGATACCTTCTTGGTATTTCAGAAGGCAAGTCAATTGCTCAGCACACTTTCACTGAAGGCCTCTTCCAGGCACAGATGCAAGGACTTAGAGGCATAGATAGATAAAACCAGGACTCTGCCCAGGGCTTATAGACCAAAAAACAAACATTGTAAAAAAAACCACAATGATAAGTGAACTAACAGAGATATGCCTAGAGCCTTGCAACGGCAAAAGGACATGACCACACATTGCCTAGAGAAGTCATAGGGAACTTAACTGAGGAAGTAGCTTCTGAGCTGATTATTTGAAGAGAAGTCACAGTTTTCCCAGGAAATTAAGAAGGAAAGAGTGTTCCGTCACAGAGAACTGTGTGTACAATGGCAAAGGGCTGGAACAGAGTCTGTCATATACTGGCAACAACAGAGAGTTCTGTGTGCAAGGAGTTCCAAGTGTGTGATGAAGGGGGGTGGAAAAGAGAAGGGAATGAGGGCAATGTCCAGTGTCAGGAGAGGGATCTAGAGAGAGAAGCAACACCTGCTTTGAAGGAGTCTACAAAGGCTGATAAGACATGCATAAATCATTATAATGCATGGTAGAATGATCCAGTGTTTTTCAGAGGATCAAAGGATGGAGAGGAGAGCTCAGAGAAGAGAGAGATGACTTTTCACTGGGAGTTAGGGATATATTACTGATAAGTCAAGCAGGGTTCAAATTGATCCTCTTTTACTATTGAAATTCAAGTAGAAGTTAAAAATCTGTGATATGATTACTTGTGCAATCGTGTTCTCATTGGGTCACACCTTTAACTTGATAGACCTGATCCTAAGTCCCAACACACCACCCAGTGGGGTGCCCATTCCCATTACATAACATATTGGTGTTTTCTTCACTACTCTGTTACCCATTGCCTACAACAGTGCCTGACACCTGGTAGGTACTGAATAAATATTTGTGGAATCAGTCTTTTAAATGATATATTTTTATTATGGCAACTACACACTCTAGGTTTTTCCCAGTGTCTTAAAAAGTCTGTCTCCCTTGGGAGGCCGAGGTGGGTGGATCACGAGGTCAGGAGTTCAAGACCAGCCTGACCAACATGATGAAACCCTGTCTCTACTAAAAATACAAAAATTAGCTAGGCATGCTGGCATGTGCCTGTAATCCCAGCTGCTCAGGAGTCTGAGGCAGGAGAATCACTTGAACCCAGGAGGCAGAAGTTGCAGTGAGCCAAGAAAAAAAAAATATATATATATATATCTGTCCCTTAGTCGCCATTAGTACCACTGTATTTGTCATGCATCTGGATTTCTGACTTAGCTAACACGGTAAGAGAACCCACAGATACAATATAGAAAAGCTTCATTCTCAGAAACTCTCCCTATGCGAGCTGGAGTTTTTGGGAGGGAGGTGGGAGAGAAGTGTGGTTTAGTAAGAGCACACCATTTCCGGGCTGGAGGCCTCAGCCATTCCCTGCTGCACAGTTAACTGCCCATGCAGTCTTGGACCAAGGCATCTTGTTGTCTCGTTCTTTGCCCACTGAACACACAGGCTCTGAGAGTCTTGGATGGAGGTGGAAAGCATTCGCATCTTGAAAAGGATGTAGTTGGGGCACTTGTGGCCTTGTTTGTTTCTTTCCAGAGCTCTGGCTACTGTATTGGAAAAGGTAAACTTTCAGATCTGCAGGGATGAAAAAGTGTGTTGCTTCACAACTTAGCATCTACCTGATACTGCCTGGAATGTAACATTTAATGTGTTTAATTATCATGGTCAAATGAATCATCAGTGAAAATCATTATCAACTAAATATGTTCTGTTTTTTTTTAAACAAAAGATTCCAACTTTGTTTAGTTTTAGGTTCAGATGCCAAGTTTTTTAAGCTGAGGAATAGGCTTGCTTTATATTCTGACCTTCTACAGTCTCTACCTCTACCTCTCCTTGAAAATTCTGAATCCCTTCTGTATTTAGGAAGTAATAGAGAAGGCTGTCTTTCCTAATGGTTTCACCGGCCTCTCATCAACCGAAACTGAAAGCCTTTGGAATTCTCTCCACCATTTCACCACTGCACTCTTGAGTCCTCTTGATTCTATCCCCAGATTATTCTTACATGTATTCCCTCTTGTCCAGCACATTAATTGAGGTTCTCAGACTGAGTTATTCTAACTGCCTTTTAACTAATCTCTCTGACTCCAAGACCTCATTATCAAGCCAGCCTTTGCACTGCTACAAAACTAACCTCCCTAAAACACAGGTTACACTATGGCCCTCTCTTCCTTTCTGGGCATATCCTTATAACGCAGGGAATAAAATACAAAATTCTAGCATGCTATTCAAGGCCACCTCAAGTCTTGACAATGCTTTGTGAGCCCAACCTCTGGAAAATGAAAAATACATAGAAGAAAAATAAATTTATAAAATAAGCTGGATATAGTTCATAAAATCTGTGTCCAAAAATCTACTGCAAAAAGTGTTTTGTGTGTGTGCATACAAATATAAATTTAGATAGATAGAGATATGTATATGACACACAATGTTATAAATGGTTAAGATTTCTAGACAAGCCCATACAAATCTATTTGATGTATAATTTGTAAACAAACTACTGTGCATGTGCAACAAAATTACTCTGCAATGCCGATAAATAAAATAGGAAAACCATTAAAATTTAAAATAATTTTTAAGAAATATATCTTGACCACTGACCCTTGAGATGACAAGATGGACAGATGACTCCATTTGTCTTTATAGCTAACATTTACACTGTGCTTACAATATGCCAGGCCATATTCTAAGAGCTTTACAAGCAATAGCTTTACAAGTATTTGATCTCACAACAACCTTATAAAATAGATACTATTTCTCCATTTTGTAAACAAGGAAACTGAGGCATGGGGTAATTAACTTGCCCAAAGTCACATGCAAACTGGTAAAGGTGGGATTTGAATTCAGACAGCTTGGTTCCGAAGTTACCACTGCTTAAATTAGCACAGCCATTATGGAAAACAGTATTAAAGTTCCTCAAAAAATTAAGCATAGAACTACCATGTGATCCAACAATGTCACTACTAGGTATATATACAAAGGAAATGAAATCAGTAAATTGAAGAGATATCTGCACTCCCATGTTTACTACAGCATTATTGACAATTGCCAAGATATGGAATCAATCTAAGTGTTCAACAATGGATGAATATGGATAAAGAAAATGTGATATATATATATGTATATATATACCACAATGGAATACTATTCAGCCGTAAGAAATAACGAAATCCTGCCATTTGCAACAACATGGATGAATCTGGAAAACATGTTAAGTGAAGTAAGCCAGACATAGAAAGACAAACACAACACGTTCTCACTCATATGCAGAATTTTTAAAAATTGATCTCTGGCTAGATGCAGTGGCTCAGGCCTGTAACCCTAGCAATTTGGGAAGCCGAGGCGGGTGGATCACCTGAAGTCAGAAGTTTGAGACCAGCCTGACCAACATGGTGAAACCCCATCTCTACTAAAAATACAAAATTAGCCAGGCATGGTGGCACATGCCTGTAAACCCAGCTACTGGGGAGGCTGAGGCAGGAGAATTGCTTGAACCCAGAGATAGACGTTGCAGTGAGCCAAGATTGTGCCACTGCACTCTAGACTGGATGACAAGAGTGAGATTCTGTCTCAAAAAATAAATCAATCAATAAATAATTATAAAAATAAAGATAACCAAAGTTTCCACATTTAATGACAATTCTATCTTGAGAGCCACTGTAGAGTTACCAGGAGGAGCTAGAGCTGGTTAATGGTGGAGAATGTGCAGGAAGTGTCTAAAACTGTCAGGGCTAGACTGGCTGGGGAACAAAACTGGGTAGTCAGGATTGGGTATTGGGTACATGATGTTTTACTGAGGTAGTTTTAGTGCCAGTGATATTTCAGTGTTCAGACTTAATTCATTACTGTAAAGAATAAATTATTAAATTTTCAGCTTTTAAAAAATCATCAAATAATCTGTGTAGATAATCTCCTTAATGTCAGGATGAAATGAGGGTCAGATGAGGAATTCAGGAATGGGGCTGGACACAGAGATGTGGTGAGAGATGGTGAAGCTTATGAATGGGGTAAGGTTGTTACCCATGTCATTTGTTCATTTTTTAAAAGTGATAACCAATTTCTCTGAGTCTAAGATCTCCTAATCAAGCCAGCCCTTGCACGGCTACAAAACTAACCTCCCTAAAACACAGGTGAGACTATGGCACTCTCTTCCTTTCTGGGCTGCTCCTTATTGGCTTGATTTTTAGGGTCCAGTATATCCAAAGTGTCAAAACAAAAATGTATTACTTCAGAGGGACATGCAGGAGGAAGAGGTTAAGCACTGAGTGCTAACCACAGTCTGCCTTGGGCAGAAGCAGAAAGAAGCCTCAGGCCAAATGATAGAAGGGAAGTCGCTTTCTGTTTTTGTTGCCGGAAAGGGCAAAGAATCAAAACACCACTTTCGCAATGAATGATCTTACAAAATTGCAATAACTGTGACAAGACCTGAAAGACAAAACGCATTTTTGAAACATCTTCATGCAGTATCTTTTTGCTTTGAAGTATTTCCCATTTGAAAATTGGGATTGTTTGATGATGTACCATCATCTCTGGTATCAAGACAAATACCAAGACAAATCTTGGTAGATCAAGACAAATAAAATATTGTGAGAAAATTGGGATACAGAACCAGGTTCAAATCCAGGCTTTACCACGTATCAGCTGTGTGTTTTTAGGCAAATCTTAACCTCGCTGAATCTCAGTTCTTTCATTAATTAAAGGGGAATAATTTTACTACCTGAGCCTTAGGATTGTTAGAGTGCCTCAGACAGTCAGCATTCAGTAAATATTCAAATATTCATCAAATAGCAACAGTGGTTAGTGGGATTACAGTTGATTATTTATTTTAGGTCTCTGTATTTCTTAGATTGTCTACCATGAGTATATGTTGTTTTTGTAATTAGAAAGAAAAATAAAACTTATTCTTTTTAAAAATGAAGGCCGGAGGGCTGGATACAGTGGCTCATGCCTGTAATCCCAGCACTTGGGGAGGCCAAGGCAGGAGGATCACTTGAGCCCAGGAGTTGGAGAGCAGCCTGGGCAACATGGGAAAACCCTATCTCTATCAAAAATACAAAAATTAGCCAGGCATGGTGGTGTATGCCTATAATCCCAGCTACTTGGGAGGCTGAGGTGGGAGGATGGTTTGAACCCAGGAGGCGGAGGTTGCAGTGAGCCGAGATCGCACCACTGCACTCCAGCCTGGGCAACAGAGCCACACCTTGTCTCAAAAAAAAGGCCTGGTGTGGTCACTCATGCCTGTAATCCCAGTGCTTTAAAAGGCCAAGGAGGATCGCTTGAGGCCAGAAGTTCAAAACCAGCCTGGGGAATGTAGTGAGACCTCGTCTCTACAAAAAATGGAAAAACAAAAAAAAATTTAACTGGGTGTGGTAGCACACGCTTGTAGTCCTAGCTATGTAGAAAGCTGAAGCAGGAGGATCTTTGGAGCCCAGGAGTTTGAGGCTGCAGTGAGCCATAATCATGCCACTGCACTACTGCCTGGGCAACAGAGCAAGACTCTGTCTCAAAAAAATAATAATAATAAAAATTAAAGACGAGGGGCATAATTTCTCATATTTTTACATTTGCTCTCCCCACCCTTGTCTCTTTTATGTCTCTTTCTGCTGTTATAAAGAGTGCATGCTGTCTATGCAGCGATATTCAGAAGGCATCATAGAATGACAGTCATTCTCTATTCTCCAGCACAGTGCTTTTGGGGTCAGCTGACTCTACCCAGGCCTGCAGTACTGAAATGAGGCTCAGATCAGGGTGGTGTCTGTGTCCACGGGAGATCTGTTCTCTCGATTACATATCGATTCCCATCCTACCATTTCCTCAGTTTGACACTAAGCTGGATGCTCCCAGCCATCCCCAGTCCTCAGACAACTGTATTTTTTCCCTCTAGTTTTATTTATTCGGCACCAAGGCCTAGTGGCACCGACATGGCTGCAGGAGTCAAGCCTGCAGTTGGTCTTTGAAAAACAGGGAGAGTGTGGGCGAGTGCATTAAAGGAAGCAAAGCTCTGGCAGCAAACCAGCTTCTAATCTTGACGCCACCCCTGGTTCTCTTCTTTTCTTTATCATTTTAGGCTTGTGGGTCCCAGATCTCCATATTTGCCTTCTGGAACTGCTTTAGCAATAAGAAAAAAGATGGATGAGGGAATTAGGGCCGAGTTACTCCAGCCCCATGAAGCACTCCAGCACCAGGAAGCATAACCTGAGGCTCCATCACGTTTGGAGCTGCCTGCCTTGCAGTGGCCCATCCCTCTCATGCAGAGGGCCTATTTTCAGAGTCACAGAGGTAGGGAAAGAGCCAAAGGGCCAGAGTCTTTCTGAATATGTGGGCTTTGGGAGTACAAGGTGCCCATCATCAGATTCCTCTCAAACCCGTGGCTACTTGCTTGCTCCCATCCCAGTAAACATTGTCGCCATCCACCAGCTGCCCAAGTCAGAAATCTAGGAGTTGCTTTGGACCACCTTCCTTTCTTCACATGTCTCATCCAAGTATACACACAATCCTACTTACTCTACTTTGTAAAAGTGGCCCTTGAAGCCACCCACTTCCCATTTCCAACTAGTTGAGACAAATATGCTCTTCTGTCTCTATAACTGGTATCCCCCAAATATGACAATTGTTTAAATGCCTGGTAGTCCCAAATAACAGCAAGAGAGCATAAGGTCACACAGACAGTCAGTGACACATAGATCCAGAGGGGAGTGCAGGCTTCCTGATTCCTAGTCCAGCACTCCTTCTGGATTTGTTCATTTGTTCAATATGCTGTATTGAGCCCTTAAGAGATGCCAGTCACACTGCTAGATACACTTATCTCTGGGGTTTCTCCAGGGTCACCTCTGGGGTGACTTCCCATATTGGATTATGGTTTTCTGCCTGTTATTTTATGTCCCTTTGCTCCGGCATATCACAGAGTAGGGCATCCCTCAGGCCCCTGCCGGACCTCTCATCCTAGCAATCCACAAGTTGGCTTCTGTGTGGTTTACTCACAACAGCTTCTAAGCTGTGGGGCCAACAGAAAATACACACATTGAGGCATTTCTCCAGAGGAAGAAACTATGTGAGTCAAACATTTAAGCCACAAGTAAGTGCAACTATTTCCCTCTAGACCAAACTTCTGTACATAGGAAAGGGGAACAGGAAGGTTGATCTGGGTTCAGTTTTCATTCCTATCTCACTCCATGACATCTTGGGAAGGAGGAGCTCACAGCATAAGTCCTTAGCATATCCAGAATTCCACTGATTCATTTAACACATGTTAATGAAGGTGTGCCATGTGCCAGGCATCAGCATGGGTTCTAGGAACCCAGTGCTCTGTCACACAGATGGAGATTCTGTCCTAGGGGATTTTGTAGACTCACACAATTGGACGTAACCTACTACTTAGTTTCCTTTTAAATACATTCATTTTTTAATGCCATATTCACAAATTTCAAATAAAGGATTATAGAATCATAGAATACAGGAGACACAAAGGAGATACTCATTTAACCCAATGCCTTTCTCCTCTTAGTCAATGTTTAAATCTCTTTCCCAATATCCCTCTCAAGTGATCATGTGATTCCTCCTTGGACACCCACAATGACAGAGGATTTACTGCCTCCAAGGTGATCTATTCTATTTCTGAACAGCAGCAAGGGTTAAATGTTCTTCCCTGTGTGAAGCCAAAATCACTTTCCCTAAAACTTGTATTGCGTTCTGCCCTTTGGGCCTATACAGGACAAGACAGTCTCTTCCATTCTGAGTGGGCCCTGGCTATGTGAGGATGGTTGTTACAGTGCCCAAGTATTCTCCAAACATCTCCCCTTGATGCTCCCTCTCCCCTTGAACATGGTTTTGAGCTCATTCTCTAGTCAAATGGCCAACAGAGCCACCCTCCCCTGCCCAACTCTGTGGAAGGAACTTCACGTAAACAATATTTTCCTTGATTCTCCCACATTAAGTTCAGAGATCATGCCACTATAGAGCATCCTTCTCTCACCTCTACAATACCCCATCACTTGTGTAACTCTGTATGTACCATTGAAACAAGCAGGCAAACTAGAGCTAATAATATTGAGCTTTCAGGGTGGCTTTGATTAAAAGAGATAATGAATGTTGAATCAAATACTGAACAAGTATTGATTGAACACTCATCCTACACTGCACACTGTGCTGAGCTCCGTGTGTGACACCATTCTGAGGAAGATAGAAAAGGTCTCTAACCTTACGGAGATTTTAGCCTAGATCCTGAACATAAGCCCCTCTCCAGGGCTTGTACAGTTTTAACCAAAGGTGGGGGTCTTCAGAAGCAAATCTCCATGACCTAAGCTGAAAGCTCAAAAATGGTACCATTATGATGGTCATCATGATGAACTTAGATACGACCATATTAATGCCAATACAGCCTTTAGATGTTACAATTTCCCTGTGAGAATAATACTTTTGGAAACCTAAGAAAGTCCATAGTGGTATTTCTAATGACTAACAACCATGGTATCAACTATGGCCTCATTTTTTCCTACTAGAAACTCCGTATTTCCCATAAATCAAGGAGTTTTATAATAAATGACCTGGGTTAGCTTCTACTGAGCGACTATTCTAATCTGGATCACTTTTCCTACCTTGGTCAAACCAAATGTGAGATTTTAGGGCAAAGCAGCAGTTTTATTGAGGGAAGTGCAGTTGCACTTACAGGCATGGTGCCAGGCGCCTTTCCTCCTTCCACTGTCTGCTATAGTCATTATCCTGACCACAGTTCTCTTCGGCCACCATCTTATTCGGCATGCTACAGTTGACAGAATTTGCATCCAATATTAAAGAGGCTTTCAGCTTTTCCAAAAGCTGTGCCTTGGCTTCCTTATCATTTCACATTACAGCTTGCACATTGTTTGGTCAGGGAACTGATGGGAATGGAAGTTATTTACTGAAAAATAAATCACCTCTTATTTCAGTTGAAACCACTGTTCTTCCTGTTTCTCTGTTACTGTCAGATAATCCACCATCTTGGGTGGAGTGTGCATGAAACCACTACCTAACATATGACCAGGGGAGGGAAGTGACCACAGGATATCACTATCTGTGTCAGAAGAGTGGCAAATGTTTAGCAGGAAGCACTTCGCATTTACTGGTACAGCAGAGTTGTATATCTGGGAAGATGGTCCATGGCCACCATGTTACTAGGATGAGAGTTAAGGTCTCTTTCATTACACCTCATCCACTGCCCCTATATACTGACAACATTTATTAATACTATCTACGCTTTTGGATATTAATCATAATTTTTTTTTTGAGACAGTTTCACTCTTGCTGGAGTGCGATGGTGAGATCTCGGCTCACTGCAACCTCCACCTCCTGGGTTCAAGTGATTTTTCTGCCTCAGCCTCCCGAGTAGCTGGGATTATAGGCACGTGCCACCACACCCGGTTAATTTTGTATTTTTAGTAGAGACGGGGTTTCTCCATGTTGATCAGGTTGGTCTCGAACTCCCAACCTCAGGTGATCCACCCGCCTTGGCCTCCCAAAGTGCTGGGATTACAGGAGTAAGCCACCACGCCTGGCCTATTAATCATAATTTTATCCATGTGGCTAATATCTACAATTAGCCTGGCATTGTGCTTGACACTTTATGTACTCTATCTCACTCAATCTGCACAACAAATCTTATGTGGTAAGCATGATTATTCTGTTTTCATATGAGAAAACTGGTTCAGAAAGGGCAAGTGGGTTGCTCAGGGTAACTTTAATAAGATTCAGGCCCAGTGTGGTGATGCACAGAGCCTGACATCTTTTCACTCTCTTACTTTACCACCTGGTACGCACAGAGCCTGACATCTTTTCACTCTCTTACTTTACCACCCTGTACACATGAATCCCAATCCAGAAAAGAGGGGGCCTCTCTCAGAATGTCCTTCCTCCCATACTTGTTCACTCCCTCCCATTATTTGTGTTTTTATCTCCTACACAGGCTTGCAAGTTCTGATGAGGGGAAGATGCCATTCATCTTTGTAGTCTTCCAGAGAATAGAATACGATAGTGTCTCAAAAAATGCCAAGTGAAAGCACACACACAAACCAGAATATAACGCTATAGCTGGAATTTCCGGCTCCTAGTTCAAAATTGCAGAAAGACTTCCTTCTTAAGTATAATAATGAATCTAATCTTATGTAGCCTATGTGATATTAATAGTAGCCTTGCAGTGACTGAACAGTAAAACCTCTTTTTCACTGTGGCTCCAAATTGCACATCCTCTTGGTGTCCAAAGCCAAAGAGAATAAAAATCCTCCCACCCATAGTGTGCCAGTCAAAAGTAGCTGAGTCAAGACATGCAGTTTCTCAAATATGAATAGAAAAACTTTCTGCTCTACATCAATAGGAGAAGCTTCCCCAGAAGCACAAGAAACTAGTGAGAGTCATTGTGCAAAGAGCGTAAGAGGAGAGATCTCCTCTTTATATACAAAGCTGGCTTTGCTGGGACCAGATGCAGATTGAGAGGCAGTGTTCTCAGTCATTAGTATTTAAGACCCTGACACCTGAAAATCATCATTCCAATTAGAATGGAAGAAACATGCAAGAAATAGGTGCACAGGGATCAGCAAGCCAAGAAAGAAAGAGGACTGGGATGGCAATAACTCTCCAAATTTATGGAGGGCTTCCTATGTGCAGGCACTTACTTTATTAGTTTTAGTATTTATAACAATTTGAGGGGTAGATCTATTTTGCAGATGTAGAAATGAAGCTGTAGAGCAGTAACCTGCCCAAGTTCTCCCTGTTGGTAAATGTAGAGCTGAGAGAATTGAACTCAAATGTCTGACTCCAAAGCCTAAGTGCTTAACCATTAATGCTAATCATTAACCACACTTAACTAACCATTTCATCTTTTCCTTGGCGAGCAGGGACTAGAGGTTACATACTAGAAATCCACTGCATATTCTTTATTGGCCTTATTTACATTATGAAAAAACTAAATGTACAGTTCTCATTCTGTAAAATGGATGCAGTCATTCAAAATTAATCTTTTTGTTGTCAATTTCAGTCCTGGGCTAACAACCTCCCCTAGATAATGTACAGAGACATCTGGACTCAGTGTCTCCACATTGACAATTTTATTCAAGAAACTCATATCCAGAGCGGCCAGCCAGATAAGCAGCAGCCGTTATAGGCTTGAGCCTGATAAAAAATGTTGCTTGAGGCCGGGCATGGTAGCTCATGCCTGTAATCCCAGCACTTTGGAAGGTCAAATCCGAGGCAGGTAGATCACCTAAGGTCAGGAGTTTGAGACCAGCCTGGCCAACATGGTAAAACCCTGTCTCTACTAAAAATTAGCCAGGCCTGGCAGTGTGCTCCTGTAAACCTAGCTACTTGGGAGGCTGAGGCATAAGAATCGCTTGAACCTAGGAGGCGGAAGTTGCAAAAATGTTTTTTAAAAAGCTACTTGTTTCACTTATATTAGTAGAGTGGATTATAGTCTACCATGCACTTCATATCTATTATTTCATTTGATCCTCTGAAGAATGTTATGAGATAGATAAAATAAGTAATATTATCCCTATTATATATATGAAGAGGCTCACTTAGAATTACAAAATTAGAGCCGGGTGCAGTGGTTCACACCTGTAATCCCAGCACTTTGGGAGGCTGAGGCAGGCAGATCACCTGAGATCAAGAGTTCGAGACCAGCCTGGCAAACATGGTGAAACCCCATCTCTACTAAAAATACAAAAATTTGCCGGGCATGGTAGCAAGCGCCTATAATCCCAGCTACTTGGGAGGCTGAGGCAGGAGAATCACTTGAACCCAGGAGGCAGAGGTTGCAGTGAGCTGAGATCGCCCCACTGTACTCCAGCCTGGGCAACAGAATGAGACTCTGTCTCAAAAATAAATAAATAAAATAAAATTAGAAAGTGGTGGAACTGGGACTGTAGTTCAGGGGGACTTTGAGTTCAGGTCCTGATAATCCAAAACCCAAATAAACAAACTTCTAGCCCTTTAGAAATATGGATGGAACCATGCTCAAATCTTGACGTTATCACACAAGTCTATCAGCTTCACACATCACTATCACATCTGCCAAATAAGAATGAGGATATCTGCTTTGCAGGATTGTTCAACTAAATGAGATAATGTAGGTAAAGCCCCTTCAATAAAGTAGTGAACAGAACAGACATGGATCCTGTCCTCCTGAAGTTTATAGTCTGGAATCAGGAGGTGGCGATTAAGAAGAAAACATTCAATAATACACACTTAACTATCAAGTTATACTAATAAAAAGTGTCATAAGGGAAAAATACAGAGTGCTATGCAAATGTGCAGTGGGGTGACATAACTTAGAGTGTGGTCCAGAGAGGCTTCCCTAGGCAGTGACAGCTAAGCTGAGACAAGAGGATGCAGTATAATAAGCCAGGTGACATGGGGAAGTGTGAGGCCATGGGTGTGGGTGTCGGTTACAGCAGAGAGCGTTCCAGGCATAAGAAGCATTTTTGAAGACGTGTGGTGCCCATGAGAAACAAAGAAATTACTTGTGGGGCTGGAGTGTGAAGAGATCCAAGAAGAATGATGTGACAGGATGTTGGTGAGGTTGGCAGCCTTCATGGCATGTGGGGCCTTGCTGGTCAAGTTTAAAATTTTGAACTTTATCCTAACAGCAATGGGAAACAACCAAAGGGATTTAGGCAAGGGGGCAACATCAATAGGTTTGAGCTTTACAAACTTCCAATTCCTGACTAGGGAAAGTTGGGATCTTTTTAAAACTTTTCCTTTGGCCGGGAATGGTGGCTTATGCCTGTAATCCTAGCACTTTGGGAGACTGAGGCAGGCGTATCACCTGAGGTCAGGAGTTCAAGACCAGCCTGGCCAACATGGCGAAACCCCATCTCTACTAAAAATACAAAAATTAGCTGGGCGAGGTGGCGGGCGCCTCTAATCCCAGCTATTCAGGAGGCTGAGGCAGGAGAATCACTTGAACCAGGGAGGCAGAAGTTGTAGTGAGCTGAGATCGTGCCATTGCACTCCAGCCTAGGCGACAGAGTGAGACTCCATCTCAAAAAATAAAAACAACAACATCAAAAAAGCCCCTTTTCTTTATTTTTTTGAACAAACACTTCCTTAGTACCTCTTATATTGCAAAGACAGCAATAGGCTGTTTGTTTCAAATGTAGAATCTGAAGACTTAGAATGGGGCAAGAACCAACATGTCCCTTTAAGGAGCTAGAACATGTCACCTCAAAGGCTCCCTCCACTTCTGCCACCTAACGCAGTTGCTTCTTACTCTAAGCAAGAAGTAACCTCCAAATCCTAAAAGTACATTAAGAACCAGTGGGACATTTCTGGGAAGCTCATTTATTTATTCTTTTTGTTGAGCAGACAAATATTAAGCATCAACTATGTACCCAGCACTGTACTGGGTGCTGAGGGTACAGGATTGATAAGATGGAGGTCCTATACTTTAAGAACTCATGGTTTGGGGTTGAGGTAGGCCAGAAAAATAACAATCCCAACAAACTAGAATCTGTTACAAGAGAAAAAGCCAGGAGGGAGTTGCTCACAGAACCTAGAGTGAGGAAAGCTTTAGAAGAGGTGATTAGCACCTAATATATGCTCCGTAGCTGCATACTGAGTAAATTTAAGTTTGAGCTGAGTCTTGAAGATGAGGGGAAGGTTAGCAGGGAGAATAAGAGGAGTAGGGAATGAACAAGATCACACATATCAGAAGAGTGTCTTTTGAGATTATTTTATCAGCAGTAAACTGGATGGGTTGAAAGGGAGAGATTATAGGCAAGGAGGTCAAGTAAAAACCTGGAGCAGTGATCCTGCTGAAAATTGAAGAGGACTTCATGTGCACTCAGCAGTAATTGGGACTGTGCTCAGTTTGCCTAACCTTAGCTTGCTCTCAGTGGTATGGTGCACGGCTTGTAATTGTTATTCGCATCTCCCCATGAATGCATGCCTGTTCTCCCTCACTAGGGTGGAGACTGTCATTGACTGAAATCCTTATAACACTTAATTCTGTACCCTGCACCCCATGCATCCCCATCAAAAGCTGGGTTGATGATTGGATTCCTCGAGCTGGCGTGGGAGTGGGAGAGCTGGAACAAGGGAGCAGGGAGAGGAAGGGAACCAGGGCTGGCAATGAGGGTCAAAAAGCATTTCATGTTATCTTAAATTTTTTTCACAAGTGTAATGATGCCTTTATGTGTTCATGACTTAATTAAATAGTTTTTTTTAAGGTAATAAAATCATTAAGAATATGCAGTATTGCTTTTCACTGCTTTTCTATTTTTCCTTTTCCTTTTTGTTTGTTTGTTTGTTTGTTTGAGATGGGATTTTGCTCTGTTGCAGGCTGGAGCACAGTGATGCAAGTATGGCTCACTGCAGCCTTGACCTTTCAGGCTTAAGAGGTCCTCCCACCTCAGGCTCTTGAGTAGCTAGGACCACAGGGGTGGGCCACCATGTCCAGCTAATTTTTTTTTTAGAGATTAGGGTCTCACTGTGTTGCCCAGACTGGTCTCAAACTCCTAGCCTTAAGCAGTCCTCCTGCCTGAGCCTCCCAAAGTGTTGAGATTATAGGCATGAACCACTGTGCCATGCCCAGTAGTGCTTTTAATAGTGAAAAGTTTGAATTACCTAAATATCCAGCAATAGAAATATTACCAAATCAATCATGATACAATTTCAATGGCAGAATTTAACAAAAATAATGTTGTTGAGGTATGTTCACAGATATAAAGAAGTTAGTATTTTATAGTTCCACTTAAAAGTAAGTAGATATTAATTACTATATTCTGAATTATCCCATTTTTGTTAACAAATATATGCACAAAAAGGTTTAAGATACCTTTATATAAGAAGTTTATGTAGTTTCTACATCAGCGGGATTCTGTTGTGCTTTCTTTTACTTCTCTATTTCCTAATTTTTAAATAAAAAATAAATAATAAGAAAACCCCAATTTTTAAAAATGTTAATGAAATGAGAAAACTGAACTAGGAACAAAGAGAGTAAGAAAGCTAAGAGGAAAAAATGTACCATGGTGCCATGGTGGATGGGGATAATAAAGAAAGTAGAGAAAAGACGTTCTTGGAATTGTTTTTTTTGAAAGAGATTTTCTTATTTTCCATAAAGTTAAGGGGAAAAATATTTTTGTTCTCAGAGTTTTTCAGTGTGCTTTCCAAGCCATCAAATTCCTAAATATAACCAAAGTTGATGATTTTACAAGTAAGCCAATATAAACATAGTAGATGTTTATATTTCAACATTAACAACGTGACATTGGAGCTGCAAAAGATCTTCCCAATTGGCCATATTTTATTTTTCTCAAAAGTTTCCATTTTCAGTCCCCTTTTAAAATACATCCAGTCCCCCCTCCCCACCCCCACTCCACCCCTTTGTGGCTTTAAAATTTCAAGAAAAGGCAGAACCAGATTAACATAGTAAAACTGGGGACAGAGCATGTGGAAGAAAGGAGCAAGAGGGAGGTGGTAGAAGGTTACGCATTTGGGGAGGAAGAGGAAGAGAAGGAATTTTTGCAGAGCCTTGCCTCAAAGAGGTACTACTCAAACTTAGTCAAATCATGTAGGCTCTTGTTAAAATGCAGGTTTTGATTCCGCAGATCTGGGTGGGACTCCCTGGTGATACCCATGCTTACTGGTCCATGGACAACTTTGAGCATCAAGGCCTTAGACTCTGGGACTTTGCTCTTCCACCCTGGTCACATTTCACATGGGCAGCCTCTGGCTGTGATAACCTCTTTCTTTCTAACCTAATAGGGTTTTATTTTATTTATTTATTTATTTATTTTTTTGTCAAAATACCAAATATTGGAAACTTTTCAGAAAGTAGTTTAACCATGAGCAAGGTACAGTTCAAGGTACTCTCCATGGAAGAGAGTAAAATGGGAAATACAATATGGAATGGGTAGAAGCCCCTGATATACGAATGTTATTTGTTATAAAGGGCGTGGTGTTGTGGAAAAAGCCCTGGACTGGTTGTCAACAAAACTGGCTTCAATACTAGTGATTACTAACTAGCTATATGCCCTTGTGCCAGTCATTTTTCTCTGGTTCTCTGTTTCCTTTCCTGTTAAATAAAATAATTGGTCTACATGGCTTCTAAAATCTTTTCAGTTCTGACACTTGAAGAATCTATAAAGGAGATCCTATATCAATAGGAAGGGAGGGAAAGGGATGTGCCACCACACGCGCAGCTGCCAAGGATCCTGTACATGTGGTATTACTGTGGTGGAATCTCCCATTTGTCTGCCCAGATGCAAAAATGTTATTGGAGTGAGAGACTGGGAAACTTGCCTGGTATGAAATCCTAGTACCCCAACTTCCTGCTTTTGGCAATTTAGAGTCTTGGGAATCAGTCCCAGCCCCTATAAAATAAGGCAGACCCTGTAAACATGCCTTCCAAGAGCCTCCAATGTAGCTCTGACAGCTTTCAAATTCTAAGCTCCTCAATCCTCCATTCTCAGGCCACCCTCAGGTTTCACCTCATTCCCCTGTACTGGTCAGCAGCCAAATTCTGCAGCCTCTTGAGCTTAAGGTCCCAGCCAAAAAGCCTGACTGCCCTCCTACTTGTGAACAAATCCCAATTCTTGAAGCAACCCCAGCCCTCCCCAACAGACTCCCTGCTGAACCCTGAGTCTCCCAGATACTCAAACTTAGTTCAGCCCTGTAGCAATCAAGCCTCAGGGATTTGGGCTGGCTGGAAGCTGACACTTCTCTGTTTAAGATAGTCCCATCTGCAGAGTGAGGATCAGCCCCTAAATTGATAAGCACAGGGTGGGAAAGCGACCTGCCCTAGTGAGATTACCCAGACTCTAAAGTAAGGTCCTGCAGCTCCACCTCATACCTCCATGGACACACACTCTTTGGCTTTTAAGTTATGAAACAGACCTGTTGCTATTCTAAGGAAGTCTCACAAGTCACCATATAAACATGCCAGCTTCAGGCAGCTTCCTGTGGTTTGCCAAAAACCAGCTGGGAAGGCAGCCAGACTCCCGCCACCGTCCTGGAACCCCCTCCTCTAGCAGACATTCACTCAGGGCATGACCTCCTGAGGTGCCCACTTGGGATGCAGGAACTTAGTGGCTGCTAGAGTTGTTATTTTTCCCTCCAGCCCCAGCCTGGGCTGGGCTGAATGATGTGGCTGGCTGGTACAAAGGCTGCTTTTTATAATGTTCTTCTTTGGTATTTTTGCTGTCTGGAGAGGGCTTCCTTTCCTCCCACAGTTAATTAGCAGCATCAAGCATTTCCCTTTCTCCAAAAGAAGTCTGTTCCCACCCATGAGGCCAGGCAGAGGAGGTGGCAGGTGTGGCTAAATGCCCCCTGAGGTTAACCTCAAACTTAAACTTAGAGCCCTACTTGGTTAGAAGTGATGTGAAATGCAGGGCTAGCTTCCATTCTGGGCAGAGTCGGCAAGTGGGCACACGTCCCTGGCAAGCTAGCATCCCAATCAGGTGAGGGGACAGAGAAGGGGGTGGGGAACCAATGTGTGTTTGACACATTTGTGAATTGTTTCTACAACAAAGACTTTTTTAAAACAACAGAGTGAAGCTTTATATATTTGAATGAGAAGCACACAGAAGGACCTATTGTCTGGAGGAAAAATTGCATGAGTAATTGTGCATGACTTCAGACTTCCCAGTTGAAATGTTAGGCATATTAAGGATGATTGAGGGCATTCCAGTGTTTTCAGTGTGGAGAAGAGGGAGGACAGAGCTCCCAGGACTAGGGGAGGGAGGCAGGTTGTGTAGCAAGACAAGGGAGGAAGGAATCTGAGGAACTCTGTACCCCACTTTGCTCTCTGGTTTCCATTTTTCCTCTATTTAATTGAACTGCCACCTCCTACAGGAAGCCTTCCTGACCCTATCTCCTTCCTCCACCTGTCACTCTAGGTGTTCTTCTTGATACATATCTCCTGTCTTTTCATTATTTACTTGACTATGATACTGTGGATGGGCCATAGAAAAGAGAGGATGGACTCCAGATGCCACTTCCTAGATGTGTTACCTTGGACAAGTTACTTAGCCTCTCTGTGCCTCAGTTTTCTTGTCTATAAACAGTAATACCTTGTAGGGTTGTTGAGAGGATTAAATGTGTTAAAACCCATAAGGAACTGAGAATAGTGCCTGACATACAGTGTGCACCCTCAATAAATGTTAGCAATTATTTATTTTTATTTGCATCCCCTCTTGTTTGCACAGGACCTAATATATCATGGGGCAGCTGTGTTCAACCCTCATATGCATCTTAATTGCTTGAGGAGCTTTAGAAATGTACAGGCCTGGCCTGGGCTCCATTAATCTATGGGTGAAACCTGGTAATGGTATTTTGGAAATGTTCCCTGGGTGGTTTTATTATGTAACCAGGTTGAAAACCAGTGTCATAAATGCTCAAGGAATATTTGTTGAATGAATGAATGAACCAAATGGGATCAGAAAGAACAAACCCCATGCTGGCTTCGGCAGCACATATACTAAAAATTGGAATGATACGGAGAAGATTAGCATGGCCCCTGCACAAGAATGACACACAAATTCATGAAGTGTTCCATATTAAACATATATATAGAGAGAGAAAGAACAAACCCAGGTTACCCCATCTTTAGGAATGTGAAGGCATGATGATTCTGTCTCCTTCAGAAAGTTGATTCTTCCTGAGACAGGTTTCAAGAGAAAAATATGACAGAGAATATAATGGAATA
The DNA here is from genome assembly GCF_000001405.40 of Homo sapiens. Classification (NCBI taxonomy): domain Eukaryota; kingdom Metazoa; phylum Chordata; class Mammalia; order Primates; family Hominidae; genus Homo; species Homo sapiens. The sequence goes on from NC_000011.10 coordinate 86,153,479, forward strand.
CATGAAAGAAAGAATCATAATCCTAGTCATCTCAACATGAAAGTATTGAAGAAATAGAAAAACAATTGCCTAGAGCTCATATTAGAGATCAACAGTTATTTTCTCTTGCTCTCCCTTCTGTGTATGCAGATTTATTTCCTGGAGTTGCTATAACAACTCTAGCTAGAAGGTGAACTTTGACTTTTCCTCTAGTTTTAATTTCGATTTGCTACTCAATCTTTAATTTAGAGGACATAAAAATTTATCTCAAATAAAGCATTTGCACCACTCTAATGTATATTCATGCATGATGATAGCATAATTATAATTAACTGCTTTACCTAGTTGGTCCACAAAATTTAAACTGATTACTGCTTGTAGAACATTAAGTCAGGCACCTCAAAATGGAAATAGGAAACTAGGCCGGGGTGGTGGCTCACACCTGTAATCCCAGTACTTTGGGAGGCCAAGGAGGGCGGATTGCTTGAGCTCAGGAGTTCAAGACCAGCCTGGGCAACACAGGGAAACCCTGTATCTACCAAAAATACAAAAATTAACTGGATGTGGTAGCATGTGCCTGTAGTCCTAGTTACTTGGGGGGCTGAGGTGGGAGGATCACTTAATCCCAGGAAGTCAAGGCTGCAGTGAGCCATGAAGGAAAATTAAATTTAAGAAAAGAAGATGCTATATACAAGGAACAGTGACAAGGTGAGAAACTAGCAAACCTACAGTTGTCTAAGTAGTTTTTGATGCCTAATATTTAAAAAGTTAGTAAAAATCTTGCATTAATTCCCAAATGAAGAGAACGGGAAATTTTAGAAAATAAAAATACTTAAATATAGGAATAAATATTCTTCATGACCTTACTAAACAACAACAAATAATGGGAGAGATGTACCATTTCCTGAATGGAGGATCAATAATGTGAAGGTGTCATTTCTCCTCAAATTGATCTAAAAGGCTGGGTGCGGTGACTCATGCCTGTAATCCCAGCACTTTGGGAGGTAAAGGTGGGCAGATCACTTGAGGTCAGGAGTTCGAGACCAACCTGGCCAACATGGTGAGACCCTGTCTCTACTAAAAATACAAGAATTGGCTGCCGTGGTGACACATGCCTGTAATCCCAGCTACTCAGAAGGCTGAGGCATGAGAATCACTTGAACCTGGGAGGCAGAGGTTGTAGTAAGCCAAGATCACACCACTGCACTCTAGCCTGGGCAACAGAGTGAGACCCTGTCTTAAAAAAAAAACAAAAATTGATCTATAAACCGAATAAAATCTCAATTAAAAAACCAGAAATATACAACAAAAATACTATAAGCAAAAGTTAAAGAGTGAAAAGGACAGATTACTTGCCAATTATACAACAGAAGATTAATATCCTTAATACATAAAGAGTACTTATCAATGAATATAAAATACAAATTAAACTATTAAAAAATGAAGCAAGGAATTGAACAGTTAATTAAACAGAGGAAGAAATGTAAGTGGTCAATAAGCATATAACAATGTTCAGTCTCATGGGTACATAAGGAAATGTAACTTAAAATAAGTCTGAAATATTTTTAGTCTTCAGGTTGTAAAAAATGAATAAACAATAAAATCCAACATTAGCAAAACTTCAGGGGAAATGACACTCTCAAACTCTCTGGGAGTATCAGTTGTTATCACGGTTTCTAGAGAGCAACTTGGAAGTATGTATCAAAATTTTCCATTTCTAGCTATCTAACCTGGAGAAAAGTTTGTAGAAGAGTCCATTTACACTGTAAATTAAGTAAAAAATAGAGAGAACACCAGGAGGCTCCCATAGCACAGCCAGTAAACAGTGCCAACACTGGAGTTAAAGTGCTGTGGTTCAAATCCCTGTTTGGCTACTTACTAGTCCTGGGGCTTTGGGTGAGATTACCTTAGCTGCTTCAGCAGTCAAGTAGGGATGACAATATGCAGTACCTATTTCATAGGGTTATTCTGAGAAACATTTTGCATGCCAGGTGCGGTGGCTCACGCCTATAATCCCAGAACTCTGGAAGGCAGAGGCAAGAGGATCGCTTGGGGCTAGGAGTTCAAGAACAGACATGCAAAGGGCTTAATGCCAGGGATAAAATACTTCCCTGTGCCATGGTAGTCCACCCCTCTCTTTCCCAAACCCCTAACCGTGTATGCCATTGCAGGTTCCTAAATATGTAAGTGCGTAGAGAAACTTATGGCAGAAACTGATAGCACGGTAACTTACAGAAGAAGGTGGGGTTGAGTGGGAATATGTAAGATTTTTACTTTTTACTTTCTACTTGTTTATTTTAAAAACATTTTGCAGGCCAGGTGCAGTGGCTCATGCCTATAATCCCAGAACTCTGGGAAGCAGAGGCAAGAGGATCGCTTGAGACTAGGAGTTCAAGACCAGGCTTAGGCAACATAGTGAAACCTAGTAAGGCCCTCGTCTCTTAAAAAATAAAATGCAAAGAATGTATTCATTTATTTATAATCACTTGTGTAATTAAAACTTGTTAAATTTGACAGAAGAAATAGGATGGTAGGCAAAAGTATTTATCCCAGGAAGTTAGAAAAATGGAATATGATGATAGCATATATCATGTCCTAGATATTTTAGATGATGGAATATGGGTTACGTACAGAGACTGGGTTTTCAGAACTAAAAATCAGAACCCAATGTCTACCAAAGGATTTTTAGTATAATTTCTGTGTAGGAGAGGCAGCCTGGATCATTCAGTCTGGATGCCAAAATAATGGACTTTCTGGAACAATCTAATGGTTTATTATTACAAATAGACTGAAACTGGGCCTGTTCAAAAATTCCCAATCACATTCCGTTTTTGGATCCTGTTGGAACTGAATTCCTCCTGACCCAAAACCTCCTGACCCAAAACCTAGCATTCAGCCTGCCTTATCCTAACTCCCCTAGGTCCAAGGCCTTGCAGATTTCCTCCCTGTGAGATCTCCCAGGAGCCCTGGCAGAGCATTCCTAACTTCTCAATTGCTTCTGTGGCATCTCTAGGCACACTGTCTGCCCTCACCTGCTAGGGAAGCTACTTTCCTGTCTGTGTCATCCCCCTGGTTCCTCTATGACCAGCCCCCAGCCCCCAGCCCTAGCCTGGCATGAAGCTGAGCCAGCTCAGGCATGGCCTGGGCTTCTGATACCAATCCTGCTGAGGTTAGCACAGACAGTCCCAGACACAAGGTAAGCTGAGGCCGTGAGAATGAATTTCTGGGTAACAAAAGGAGGAGGGCGATAGGGCCAGAGATAGCAAAAAGAGTTTGCCAGGAAACCAGAGACACGGGTGCTGAGTGGAAAAGAGAAGTTGGAGCAGGACTCAATGAACATCTTGAGGCCACTTAAAGGAAGTGGGAAAAATGTAGAAGCAAAACATACACAGCAGTGTTAGCTGTAAGTGTGAGAAAGGATGGCCTTCATCTCATCAATTGATGATGTTGATCATCAATGATCAAGGTAAACACATGGGTTCATCCCTGAGAAGATCAAAACAAAAAGCTCCAGTGCGCCCCAGAAGGTTCTGCTGGGGAACAGGGAAAGAAATGAGTCAGAAAAACCTGCTTCCCACCCTGGCTGTGTGACGTGGAGCAACCGCCTTTACGCCCTGAGCTTTTCCAGCAAGTTGGGTTCCTTCTAAATATTAAATGTGTTTGGATAACTAAGGCTCTCAGTCTGCTGTTCAGTAAATCTGAATTTCTTTCTTTTCTTTTTTTTTTTTTTTGAGACAGAGTCTTGCTCTGTCGCCCAGCCTGGAGCGCAGTGGCGTAATCTTGGCTCACTGCAACCTCTACCTCCTGGGTTCAAATGATTATTGTGCCTCAGCCTCCCAAGTAGCTGGGACTACAGGCATGCACCACCATCCCCAGCTAATTTTTGGTCTTGGTAGAGACGGGGTTTTGCCATGTTGGCCAGGCTGGTCTTGAACTCCTAACCTCAGGTGATCCGCCTGCCTTAGCCTCCCAAAGTGCTGGGATTACAGGCCTGAGCCACCGTGCCCTGCCGGTAAATCTGAATTTCTTTCTTTTTCCATCAAAATGTTGATGATGATGAAAACTCACCCCAGTCTCTTGCTACCCATGTCATCCTCAGTGTCAGCAGTCAACACACCATATAATAGTTGTGATAGATAATATTTACTGAAGTGTGTATTGTTTGCAGGCTCTGTTCTGAACCCCTTGCAGTAGTAAACCTCACAATAACCCTATGAAGCGGGTAATAGTATTCTTCCTAGTTCACAGATAAGAAAATTGAAGCCCAAAGAAGTTTAGTAATTCGCCCAAGCTGAATAGCTAATAAAAGGCAGATCCAGGATGAAAATCCAGCTCTAACTGCAAAACCCATGCTCTTTACTACTGCACCATATGCCTTCCTGACAGTAAGGCAGAAAATAGAAAAAAAGGTAAAACAAGGGAAGGTCCTAGCAGAGATACTGAGGGAGACTAAGAGGAGGCCTCTGATCCTGGGTAGGAGCAGCTGTTGAAGGAGGCTTCCTAGAAATCTCCCATTTGACAGTGGGATCCAGGGGGGAAATGCCACTGCTAAGATGAAGGAGCAACCTCCTCCCCTCCTGTGGGACATGGGGGATGGCATCTGAAAGGAAGCTGATCATAGATATAACCTGTGCAAATAAAGCTGTAGGCTGGGGCACTGCTTCATGTTATGAAAACATCTTGCAGTAAAGGAAGGTAATGTGGTAATAAGTCCAAACAGAAGGGTGATGGGTTGGCAGGCAGTTTGAAACAAGCCAAGTCAAAGTTTGTCCATGTGTCTCTAGCTCTGCCTACTCTGATTTCAAGTGTTCTGTCCTAGTTCCGTAGGCAAAATCCCTGGCGGGAGGAAAAGGGCCTGAAGGAGATGCTTCCTGGAGAAAGGCAAAGCACAAAACAAGTAGAAGACATTATTCCTGTTAATGTAGTAATGCCGAGGATACTAGAGGTTTTCATTAAAGTTACAATCATTGCCACCATTTTCATTTATTCACTCACTCATGTATTTATCCAGGATTTCCTTATGGAGAATCTCCTATACTCCACGCCCTCCACTAGATGCTGGGACATAATAAATGGTCTCTAGGAATTTTCGATCTAGTCAAGAGACAATAGAGAGTGGGCTCTTCCAACCTGATCGGGTAAAAGCACTGCTGTCAGTGAGGGCCTGCCACATGCAAAAACATGAGCCTTCCTGCAAGGAGGTGATGTGCCAGTGGGGAGTAAGGAAGTACCTCCTACGATATGCAAGACAAAAAGGTCCTTTGGGAAGTAGTCCAGCTTTCTCAGTGTATGGAGAAGAAACCCATGAACCTGAGATACAAACAGGATAAACTGCAAATCAAGACTCCTTAGGGTAAATACCAGCTGAATGGCACCATTGCAAGTGCAGCAGGAGTTTGAGGGAGACAAACATCACTGTGAGTCGAGGAAGGCTTCCTGGAAGAGGTGGGACTTAAGCTAGGCTTTCCTGGAAAAATAAGGGGTGTGTGTTTGTGTGTGTGTGTGTTTGTGTGTGTGTGTGTGTGTGTTTGTGTGTGTGTGTGTGTGTACACACAGGCATGTGTATGTAGGGAAAATACCTGGCTCTTAGATGTTGGGCAAATTGTTCCTTAAAGCTGTTTAATTTTTTTATCTGTTTTTTTAGTCACCAAAAGTCCCTCAGATCTGCAATTGTTTGTTTGAGAAGATCTACCGCTAGATATGATATGATTAGTTGCACAGGCTTTGGAGTCTGATAGGCCTGGGGTCAAATCCAGGCTCTGCCATTTTCTAGTTGTATGACCTTAGTTTCCTCATCTGTTAAATGGGGATAATTACACTTATCATAGGCTTATTATGAGTATTAAATAAAATATGCAAAGCACATATCATAGGGCCTGTAACTCAGGAATCACCTAGCCTAATTCCATAAACATAATTATTTACCTGTATTGAGCCAATGGCATTTTCAGTGTCCTCTGAATTTATTTAAATTCCGTTAATTTTTTCCATCCAACTGTTAGGCACAGTGCCAAGCATCATCCTGGATGGTAGACACAGTCATGTGCCAGAGATATGTTCCTTGCCCACTCAGGGCAGCCTAGAGGGATATCAGACACATAAGCACATGATTGCAGTACAGTGTGAGGTGCACTATTAACAGCGGCAAGTAGTCGTTATTGGTGGTCATCTCTGAGTGGTCTATGGACTTGAAAGGCCATACAAGGGGCCAGTGGGGCCTGACCTCACCAGGATGCAGCTGCTCTGGAAACCCACCAGCAAAGTCATTATCACTTCTGGACAGCTCTAAGTCTGCTCTGTATTATTTACAATGTCATTTTCGTTTAATAGCAGAATAATCTAAATAGAAAAAAAATGTTCCCTCTTAATAGCCCAATATCCAGCAGAGACTGTGAGAAGCAGTAAAAATGCACCTGAACTTAAGCTTCAAAAAACTTTTCCTGGCTCCTCTTCTCTTCCAGTATGTTGGGTACCTTCGACAGCAAGCATTCCAGGTGGCTCCCAGTGAGCCCCACCTCCTGGTTTTCACACCCTTGTGTAGTCCCTTCCTGCTTTGTACCAGGGTTGGTCTCTGTGACCAATACAAAATGGCAGAAGTGAAAATGGCAGATCTCATATGCTGCTTATGAGATTAGGTTGTAAAAGACACTACAGCTTCCTCTTGGGGGCTTTCTTAGATGGGCTGTCTCTTTTGCATATCTCTGGGGAAAAGCCGTCTTGAGCAGACCTACAGAGAAGCCCACATGACAAGAAACTGTAGCCTCCTGCCAACAGGCATGTCAGTGAGCTGGGAAGTAGATTTGTCATCTCTAGTCAAGACTCAAGTCTCTAAAAATTGCAGAAGGCCAGGTGCGGTGGCTCACACCTGTAATCCCAGCACTTTGGGAGGATGAGGCTGAGGTGTGCAGATAGCTTGAGCCCAGGAGTTCAAGACGAGTCTGGGCAACAAAGTGAGAGGGAGACCCCATCTCTTAAAAAAAAAAAGAGAGAGAGAGAGATTGCAGCCCACAGCTTGATTCCATGAAAGTTCCATGAAAGGCCCTGAGCCAGAACTATCCAGCTGAGCCATTCCCAGATTTCTGACTCTCAGAAATGATACGAGATAATAAATGTTTGTTGCTTTAAGCTGCAAAGTTTTGAGGTAATTTGTTTTGCAGCAATAGATAACTCACACTATGCCCTTCCTTTGTGCTTCAGGCATTCTGCCCCTCCCCTGATATGGCACATACCACACTGTGTTGTATTTACTCATGTACTTATCTCTCTCCTCATCAGACTGCAAGCTCAAAAGAGATCATGTCTTATTGTCTTTATATCCTCATCACATGGCACATGCCTGAGCCATACCAGGTGGTCAAAAATATTTGCTGGATGAATAACTTGCATTTGTATTGCACATTAGAACTGACAAAGCATTAGTGTATTCATCTTCTTCCATAGTCTTCAGGCAACCCTAGAAGGTAAGTACTGATATCCTATTCCCATTTAACAGATGAGGAAATTGAGGCTTGTCAACTCACTTGAATATCTCATAGCCAGTAATTCATAAAATGAGGACTCAAACTTAAGTCACTAAGTTCCTAGTCTATGCCCCTTCCTCTATACCAAACTGTTTTTCATTTAGCTTGGTGAAGGTAGGGGTGGGAGAAAAACTAATCTGAAGAATGAGGTGCAGTCCAATCATGGATGGAGCTCCAAAGAAAGGACAATGGAGAAGAAAATTACTCACTTTTGAGTAGGCCAGGCCTCTACAGGCCTTCATACATATGTTCAATGTCTTGTTTAATGTTCTATTAAATGTCTTGTTTAATGTTCTATTAAACAATCTATTAACCCTAAAATAGATTGGTAACTTTTATTCCTCCTTCACAGACGAGAAAACCAAAGTATGGTTTCACATCTGTTAAATAATAGAGCTGGAACTCAAGCAAATGTATTCAGACTTCTAGTCCAAGTAACTTTTTCTAAAACCCAAACTGCTTCTCCTTTTCACAGTACTGGACAGCTGGATTTGGGCTCCAGATCTAATCCCTGATTCCAGCAGGAAAACACATGCAAAATATCATGGAGTCTCAGACAATGAGCAGACTCTGTCTTATGTAAGGATTCTACCTGGGGCTATGTCCTATCTTCTCCTGTGCTGAGCTCCAGTCACTGTTTCTCCAGCCTAAGGTCAAAGGTTTCACAATATCTCTTTTATTAATGAAAAACAAAAAGTGCAGTTGTGCTTAGAGTCAGTTTCAGTTTATACATCTTTACAAGAGGAAAATAATTGCCATGATGATTAAATGAGAAAAAAAGGTGTATGTAAGATGGCTGGTACATAATAGGTATTCACAAGCATGTAAATACACTTCTCCTGGCTCTCGCCTATATGCCTATGGGACATTTTTCAGGACAAGAGCACACATCCTTTTGTGAGCCTCTGTTCTCCACATAAACTGAAGTGTTAGCAGCAACCATGGAAAATAGAGGAAGAGGAAACTTCTGAGGGCTCTGTGCACAGTTTCCAGCCTGAAGGGAGCTCTGCAGTGGGATTTCTGCTTTAAGTCAGCTGCACAGGGGCCTGGAAGGCTTCTACCCTTGGGGGGAAAGTATGCCGAGGAGCTGAAGAACATCTTTCAAGAAGAAGCCCCAGCTGTTACGTGGGCAGTAGTAGAGAGTGGCTGGGGGGCTGCCTGAGGCCATGCTTGGTTGGGTAAACTTGGTCTGTTCACTTCCATCCAAGAGACCTTTCACTTTGAGGGCTCAATGATTAGAAAAACATCCCAGAAGCCAATAATTTCTCATTCTCCAGAGAGCCAGGAAGCATTTTCTGGGCTAGATATCAGGACAAACCCATGAATTGTGAGAGGTTCTCTCTGCTGAGAGCTCCCTCTGATCCCAGGAAATGGAGTGCTGGTTCCATGTGCTAGAAGACACAGCTTCCTGCCAGAAAGAGGATCTGGGCCTCATCTCCATGTGTGCCAGCATTCAGATGCGGCTGTCTGGGCTTTCATGGATGAGTCATGGCAATGGCCAGACCTCAGCTGCAAGTTGGGGTGAGCCTGACTCTCACAGTCCTAGTCAAAGCAGTTCAGAGCAATTAAACAATCAAATGGGAACCTACTAGGTGCAGGCCTTTGGGGAAGGAGAGCTATTGTGGAAAGGTCATGAGTTTTGAAGTTTTGAAAGAAAGGGGCTTCAATGTAAATATTAGCTTTACCACCTACTAAGTATAACTTGGGAAAGATACTTAGCTTCTTTAGACCTCAGTTTCTTTATCTTTAAAGTAATGGCGGTAGTAATATTTAATTAATTAATTAGTTTTGAGATAGGGCCTTGCTCTGTTACCGAGGCTGGAGTGCAGTGGCATGATCACAGCTCACTGGAGCCTCCACCTCCCTGGCTCAAGCAATCCTCCCTCATCAGCCTCCTGAGCAGCTGGGGCTACAGGGGTATACCACCGTGCCAGGCTAATTTAAAAAATTTTTTTGTAGAGACTTGGTTTCACTATGTTACCCAGGCTGGTCTCGAACTCCTGGGGTCAAGCGATCCTCTCACTGTGGCCTCCCAAAGTGCTGGGATTACAGGCATGAGCCACTGTGCCCAGCCAGTAAATAGCAGTAATAGTAATGGTAATGTGGGCTTTGCAGGGCTGAGATAAGAATTAAGTGTTGTTACCAAATATGAAGGGGACAGAATAATGCCTACTGTCTGATCAAGGCTCACAAAGCCCAATCTTAGAATTAGATTTTATATATAGAGAGAGAAGTGAATAACAGTCACAGTTAGGGAGACAGTTCAGGTAAAATTCAATATAACTCATTTGATTTTATTCAAACAGCATATATTGTAGAACCTTCTCAGTGCTGGCAACTAATAATGGCCCCTGGCCTAGAGGAACTCAAGAGTTTTGCAACTGAGATAGATGGATGAGTAAGCAAATTTCCATCAGGGTTATAAGGGATCTGACATAAACAAGAGAAAATTCTATGGGAGCAGAGTGGAGGAGGTGCTCACACTCACTGAAGGAGTTAGAAGAGGCCTTGTTGAGAAAGCAACTTCTAGGGCTCCACTGTCTGGGTCTTAAAAGATGAACAAATAGGAGCTCGCCAGGTGGAATGACTGTGGAAAGTTGTTGTTATTGATGCTTTTTTTAGACAGAGTCTTGCTCTGTCACCTAGGCTGGAGTGCAGTGGTACAATCTCAGCTCACTGCAACCTCCACCTCCTGGGCTCAAGCGATTCTCCTGCTTCAGCCTCCCAAGTAGCTGGGACTCCAAGTGCCCACCACCATGCCTGGCCAATTTTTGCACTTTTAAAAGAGATGGGGTTTCACCATGTTGGCCAGGCTGGTCTCAAACTCCTGACCTCAACTGATCTGCCTGCCTCGGCCTCCCGAAGTGCTGGGATTACAGGTGTGAACTACCGCGCCAGGCCAAAAGTTGTTCTGATATCAGAGCCCATGTGTAGAAGAAACACAAAGACATGAAAGAGCTTGGTTAGAGGAATGGGGCCATGGAGTAATGGATATAAGGAACTTGACAAAGGATGACCAGTCTCAAAGGATGACCTTGCTTGACTGCAGAGAAGCTGGACTTTGCTCTGGAGGCAACAAGGAGATTTTAAAGCAAATAACCAAGATGATTAATTTATTTTCAAGAAAAATAACTGGGTGGAGGATGGGTGCAAAGGGGAAAGACAGGAGGCCAGAGAGTGGAAGCCTAAGGAGATAAGAAGCTCATCTAGGTTACATAATCGGGAAGTTGAAGTGGGATGGATCAGGAAGAGAAGCTAGACCTCTTGGCTCCTAGTTTGAGCCTTTTCATTAGATTGGTCCCCATTCCACAACTTTGAAACCTGCTTACTAAGCAAACCCTGATCTAAAATTACAGTGCTTCTGTGAACAGGAACATAAAGCAACAAAATTGCAAGTAGGTTTGAATTGGACTAAAGCACCTGTTTTTTTAATCCATGGTTTGCCACAGCTTTAAAATATATTTAGCATTTTTCTTGGTACTCACCCTCTAAGGTCTGTCTTACAAGGCGAATGCAAACTCTTACTGATTTGGGTCAGTCATCCATCCGTCCATTCAATCCATCTGTCTATCTATATGTCAGTCCACCTACAGACATGTATTGGCAGCTACTATGTACTTAGTCTTTGGTTAAGTCCTGGGAATATTGAGATGAAAGGCAGTTTCTGCCCTCAGAGAGCTCACAGCCTAGTGGGGAGGGAGACAGAAAACTAAATAGACAGGGACAATCCAATGCAATGAGTGCTGATCCACGGAGAAGGATGTGCTTATTGCTATGGGAGCTCAGAGCAGGGATACCCAACAGTCTGAGCCATCAGGAAAGGAGGGGACACTTGTGCCAAGCTTTGAAGGGCAAAGAAGAGGGCACAGATGTATTCTAAGTAAGAGGAAGAGCATATGCTCTTTGGGGGTACAGTGCAGTGGTGGGAGTGATTATAATTTGGGAACCCAGCAATCTTCCTAGTCCTGAAGCCAAACACATGCTTTGCCTGTTTTAATTACACAAACCACATTAATTCAGATCTTAATTTATGGCTTCCCTCTGGTATACAAGGCTGCAAGCCAGTGCCCACTTTCTCCAAATCACCAAATAGGTAACATTTGTTTGGCATTTTCTGACCATCTTCTTTTAGTGCCTGTCTCAGGACACCACCCATTTTTGGCTCCAGTGCCTTAAGTTGGTCCTCCAGCAACCGAGAGCCCGCTTTAGCCCCAGATGGGCAGTGGCCCAGGTTTCCAGTCTTTGTCTGTTCTCGCTCACTTTCCTATCAAGTCTTAGCTTGTGGGTCAAATTCTGCCCAGCTTACTCTGTGAAACTGGAAGGCTATTGTTCATTCTACTTTCTTAATTACCACTAGCCAACTTAAAACATTCACCCTGTCAGAGATATCCACACTCAACATTGTCTTTGCTCATGTACTTGTCCCCTGTGAGGACCATGTTTCCACTATGCACACTTTCTCCTTGTGATTTTCTATGAGACCCCTTCTCTGGGTCACCTCCTATACTGGCAGCCCCATAGGTACAGCTCTATCATGATAATCATCAAACACAGAATTTTAGCTATCTGCCTATTTCAATCTTCCCCCCAGACAAAAAGTTCTGTGTCCTATTCGTTTTTCTCTTCCTAGTTCCTGCACATAGTGGCACTACTAAACATTTGAAGAATGAAGGAATTAGTAAAGGAATGGACAAAAGTCTGTGGAATAAACTCCTGCCAATGGAACACTACTCTAGAAGTAGGAACACCAAACACAAGAAGCAGGTTGGACCTAGGTGATACCATTCAGGACATAGGCACGGGCAAATATTTCATGACAAAGATGCGAAGAGCAATTGCAACAAAAGCAAAAATTGACAAATGGGATCTAATTAAACTAAAGAGCTTCTGCACAGCAAAAGAAGCTATCAACAGAGTAAACAGACCACTTATAGAAGGGGAGAAAAGTATTGCAAACTATGCATTTGACAAAGGTCTAATATCCAGCATCTATAAGTAACAAATTTACAAGAAGAGAAAAACCCCGTTAAAAAAGTGGGCAAAGGACAGACACTTTTCAAAAGAAGACATACATGCGGCCAACAATGATATGAATAAAAGCTCAACATCACTGATCATTAGAGAAATGCAAATCAAACCACAATGAGATACCATCTCACACCAGTCAGAATGGCTGTTACTAAAAAGTAAAAAAATAAGATGTTGGCAGGGTTGTGGAGAAAAAGGAACACTTATACACTGTTAGTGGGAGTGTAAATTAGTTCAACCATTGTGGAAGACAGTGTGGCAATTCCTCCAAGTCCTAAAGGCAGAAATACCATTTGATCCAGCAATTCCATTACTGGCTATATACCCAAAGGAATATAAATTGTCCTATTATAAAGACGCATGCACACATATGTTAATTACAACACTATTCACAATAGCAAAGATGTGGAATCAACCTACATGCTCATCAATGATAGATTGGATAAAAAAATGTGGTACATACACACCATGGAATACTATGCAGCCATGAAAAAGAGTGAGATCATGTCCTTTGCAGTGACATGGATGGAGCTGGAGGCCATTGTCCTTAGCAAACTAATGCAGGAACAGAAAGCCAAATATGGCATGTTCTCATTTATAAGTGGGAGCTAAATGATGAGAACACATGGACACATAGAGGAAACAACACACCCTGGGGCCTACTAGAAGGTGGAGGGTGGGAGGAGGGAAAGGATAAGGAAAAATAACTAATGGAACTAATGGGTACTAGGTTTAATACCTGGGTGATGAAATAATCTGTACAACAAACCCCCATTACACAAGTTTACCTGTGTAACAAACCTGCATGTGTACCCCTGAACTTAAAAGTTCTTTTTCAAAAAGGAAGAAGGTTGGAGAATCAACTTTTGAGACTTCTGGCACCCCTCTATGCCATAGGCTTGTACCTACTTGTGTCTTAGGTTAGTTATAAAAAAAGACATGCTGCTTTGAGAGCAGGGGGAAGATAGCATCTTATACCTTAATTTATTTAAGCTCTGTTTGGCCTAATTTCTCCAGGCCCATTTCTGTGGACCTGTGCTACTTTGTGTGGCTCTTATTCATGAACTACGTACTATTAATGACACACCAGGAGCTGATATTCTACTTGACCTGAATTGTGCTTTAACATTAATGCTGTGAAATTCACTGAAGAGAAGAATTAAACTGAAGTTAATACTCAGTTAAAAAAAAAAAAAAGACTAGTCCCTGATTTATTATTAGAAAAATCCTGGCCTTTGTTCTAATTTTATTTTATTTTTATGTTAAGATCCCAAAATAAGCTGGGCATAGTAGCAAATGCCTGTAATCCCAGCTACTTGAGAAGCTGAGGCAGGAGAATTGCTTGAGTTTAGGAGTTTGAGACAAACCTGGGCAAACTAGTGAGACCCCCATCTCCAAAATATATATATATATGTGTGTGTGTGTGTGTGTGTGTGTGTGTGTATGTATGTATGTATATGTATGTGTGTATATATATATGCATATGTGTATGTGTATATATGTGTATATATATGTGTATGTGTATATATGTGTATATATATGTGTGTGTATATATATATACAAAAAAGTCTGAGTAGCCACACAAAGCATATGTTGAGAGTCCTCAGTTGAAGCCAAATATAGGAAAAGCCAAACAGTGTATAGAAAACAAACAAATGAATCACAGTGTTGGGTAAACTGCTATTTGGCATAAATCCATGAACACAGGCCAAAAAAGTGTCTCTGCAAAGATGTAAGACATAGCTGTAGAAAATATCTCAGAAATAGATCTGAATTTGACCTGAAAACTTGACTCTGATGGAACTTTGGACAAATACATAATATTTTCCACTAATACATGTTTGTCCACCAATTTGTTCATGGATCACGGGTGAGGCTGCTCTCTGCGGTGTGAACTGCTCCATGGTGGCTTTGGTTGTTGTGCATGGCCAGCCAGAGCCAGACTAACCCACAGTCATGGGAAGCAAAGATAATACAATTTGGCAGCTTGGAGCAGTGGAATGGGCCCTGGACTGGGAGTCGGGAGCCCTGGGCCAGAGTCCAGGCTCTACTGTTAAATAACCGTACAGCACATGTAACATTCTTTAAAAATGTCTGTCCTTACCACATGCATTAACATGCAACTAACTATAGACTGTTTAATCTAATGTCCAATTTGACATTTAATTACAATAAGTCTGTTTAATTCATGGAATCACTAATTTCATGTAAAGGCACCTTGTGGATATGAAAAGGGGGAAAGCATTTGGCCTTAAGTTTTCTGAAATCTGTCAAATAATTAATTTTGTGTGTTGACTATATTCTAGGCAAAAAGGAGCTTCAAAAAATGGACGGGCTTGGCCAGTCATAATGGCTCATGCCTGTAATCCCAACACTTTGGGAGGCTGAGGTGGGTAGATCACTTGAGGTCAGGAGTTCAAGAACAGCCTGACCAACATGGTGAAACCCCGTCTGTGCTAAAAACACACAAAAAATTAGCCGGGTGTGGTGGTGCATGCCTGTAATCCTAGCTACTTGGTAGCCTGAGGCAGGAGAATTGCTTGAACCCAGGAGGTGGAGGTTGCAGTGAGCCGAGATCGCGCCATTGCACTCCAGCCTGGGCAACAGGAGCAAACGTCCATCTCAAAAAAAAAAAAAAAAAAAAAGCAAAGAACAAGCTCATGTCCTCCTACCCTCAAACTGTACATTCTAAGAGGGAACATAAGACAGAGATGTTATTATCTTTATTTTTATTTTATTTTTTGAGACAGGATCTTGCTCTGTCACCAGGCTGGAGTGCAACGGCACAATCTTGGCTCACTACAACCTCCACATTCTGGGCTCAAAAGATCCTCCCGCCTCAGCCTCCCAAACAGCTGGGACTACAGGCATGTGCTACTATGCCTGGCTAATTTTTGTATTTTTTGTAGAGATAGGGTTTTGCCATGTTGGCCAGGCTGGTCTCAAACTCTTGGACTCAAGAAATCTTCCTGCCTCGGCCTCCCAAAGTGCTGGGATTACATATGTGAGCCACTGTGCCTGGCCCAGAAATGTTATATCTGTAAAATGAGGTAGAAGGAGAAGAGTAATAATGAGAGCTAGCATTTATTAAATAGTCACTATAGGCAAGGCACTATTCTAAATGCTTTATATTGGGCGGGGCATGGTGGCTCATACCTGTAATCCCAGCACTTTGGTAGGTCAAGGCGGGTGGATCACTTGAGGTGAGGAGTTTGAGACCAGCCTGGCCAACATGGTGAAACCCTGTCTCTACTAAAAATACAAAAATTAGCAGGGCATGGTGGCGTGCAACTGTAATCCCCGCTACTCAGGAGGCTGAGGCACAAGAATCATTTGAACTCGGGAGGCAGAGGTTGCAGTGAGCCAAGATCGTGCCACTGCACTCCAGCCTGGGTGACAGAGCGAGACTCTGTCTCAAAAATAAGTAAATAAATAGTTTATATTTACGGCCTCGTTTAAACCTAACAGAAACCTTAAGAGGTAGGAACTACCATCAACTCCATTTTTACAGGTGAGGAACCTGAGGCATGGAGAGTTTTTGTTTGTTTGTTTTAACTTCCCCAATATTGCCTAGCTAAAGAGCCCTGGAGATTTGAACTCAGGTGGAGGTGGTATGACTGAAGGTCCTACGTGCCTAACCTCTGTGCCACTTGGTCTACCAGGGACCACCTGAGAGGTACATACAAAAAGTATCCTGGGAGCTCCACTGAGGGAGACATTCACCCAAAGAGAAAGATTACCTCTACTTTGCACACTAAGCTTTGATGAATGGGAGGATTTGGACATACAAATGTTGGTTGTGAGGTCAGAGAAAGAATTCAGACAAAGGGAAAGAAGTGCTTCCAGGTGGAGAGCAGCATTAGTAAAACATGAATGCAGTAAACACACAGGATCTAAGGAAATAGCCAAGATCAGTCTGGATATAACAGAATGAGTGAAAGCAAAATCATGGGAAAGAGGGTTGGGAGAATAAGCTGAAGCCGAACATGAAAGGTGGGCTCAGGCCGGGCTCAGTGGCTCACACCTGTAATCCCAGCACTTTGGGAGCCCAAGGCGGGCAGATCACAAGGTCAGGAGTTGAAGACCAGCCCTGCTTATTTTGCAGAGAGACCAAATGAAATTAAAATGGTCAAATAGACTTACTCAAAGTCACCTAGCAAATAAAATCAAAGTCACCTAGAAAAATCACTCTTGAACATGGAATTTTTGAAAAGTAAAACAAAAGCTTTTGTTGCACATTTATAAAATCTGCACGTACAGTAGATGTATCAAATGTTCTTCTCTCCCAACATTCATTCATGAGTCTTTGACACTTGGTTAAAACACAATATCCAAACAGGAGGCTTTTACAGTGTTGAACACAAAATCTTTTATACTTAGAAAAGTGATTATTTATATGCCATGCTACAAAATAATTCAGTAGAGATATTAACATTAACAATAGCTGACCCTGATTGCGCACTTGCTCTGTGGCAAGCATGGTTCTGAGCACTTAAAATGCATTTTCTCATATCATTAAGAAAACAATCCTTACATAGGTACTACTTTTATTTACTTTTTATGGTAGAGGAATCTTAAAAGACAATTAGTAACTTACTTAAGGTTATACAGCTTGTGAGTCCCTATCTGGGATTCAAACCTAGGACTGCCTGACACCAAATTTTATGGTTTGCTTTATGTTTTTTTTTTTTTTTTTTTTTTTTTTTTTTTTTTTTTTTTTTTTTTTTTGAGACAATCTTGCTCTGTCACCCAGGCTAGAGTGCAGTGGTGTGATCTCGGCTCACTGCAAGCTCTGCCTCCTGGGTTCACGCCATTCTCCTGCCTCAGCCTCCTGAGTAGCTGGGATTACAGGCATCCGCCACCATGCTCGGCTAACTTTTGTATTTTTAGTAGAGACGGGGTTTCACTGTGTTAGCCAGGATGGTCTCCATCTCCTGACCTCGTGATCCGCCCACCTCGGCCTCCCAAAATGCTGGGATTACAGGCGTCAGCCACCGCGCCCCGCCGCTTTATGTTTTTTGGGTTTTTTTTTCATTCTGTGGCCCAAACTGGAATGCAGTGGCACAATCTTGGCTCATTGCAACCTCCCCCTCCTTGGTTCAAATTATTATCCCACCTCAGCCTCCTCCTGAGTAGCTGGGACTACAGGCACGTGCCACCATGCCTGGCTAATTTTTCTATTTTTAATAGAGACAGGGTTTCACCATGTTAGCCAGGCTGGTCTCAAACTCCTGGTGTCAAGTCATCCACCCACCTCGGCCTCCCAAATTGTTGGGATAACAGGTGTGAGCCACTGCGTCTTGAGCCACCGAGTCCGGCTGAATTTTATGTTATTAACTATTACACTACATGACCTCCATAGCGAGTAGAGGATGCCACTTACCTTCTTACCAGAAAACTTTAATTAGCCAGAGAAGCTGTAGAAACTAAGAAGTTTAATCTTTAATAATTTCTGCCCTTAATTGAAAGTCTCTAGGTAAACAACTTTTAATAAGACTCCTTAACTCCCTGTCTTGACCAAGCATCTTTGCTGGGAAACAGATGCCCTTGGTTTGTTGCACAGTCAGGATTTCAGTGAGGGTTTGCAGTCTGTAGCCTGCCCAGTGGCCATCAAATAGCTGCCCTGCCATGAGTGAAGACTGCCTGGTGAGCCTGGGACCCTAGGCAGGAATCTGGAGTCTTGAAAAGCTATGCTTGGACTGGCCTGGGGCCCAGCCTCCTGCTCTACTCGGCCCTTCCACTGACCACCAAGTCCCATTAACCGCATTTAAGAAATGGTGTTTGGCAGGTTCTCATTTATATGTAGAAACGTAAAACGTTGATCTCATGGAAGTAGAGAGTGGAATAATGGTTACTAGAGGTGGGGAAGGGTAGAGCAGAGGGGGAATAGCCAAAGGTTGGTTAACAAATACAACAGTGCAGCTAAAAAGGAGGAAGTTCTAGTGTTCTACAGCACTGTAGCATGACTATAATTAACAACAATGATTGTGTATTTTCAAATAGTCAGAAGAGTGAATTTTGAATGTTCCCAACATGAAGAAATGAGAAACGTCTGAGGTGATGGCTATGCTAACTACCCTGACCCGATCATTACACATGGTATACTTGTATCAAAATATCACCCTGTACTTCATAAATATGTACAATTATTATATGTCAATTCAGAATAATAAAAGAAAAAGAAGAAATGGCCTTTGGCTCTGCTTGCTCTCTGTCCTTACTGCCACTGCCCTTCTTTAGATCTCCATCAATCATCTCTTGCCAGGACTACTCTAAAAGCCCCCTAAGTCCTTGGGCATCTAATTTGACACCTTCCAATCCTCTCCTCTGCTGCTAGCATGCTCTCTTTAAAGCTGATCATGTTAATCCTCTTCTCTGAAATCTTTGACGGACTGTTGCCTACAAAATAAAAACCACACGCCTAAGCATATCCTCTTATACCCTTAACAATTTGGCCATTACTTACCTTCTAGGACTCAATAAATATTTGATGAAAAAGTGAATGCTCTCCTGCTAGAAATCCTGTTAACAACATTCCCCACACTTCTTATTTAAGAGTCAAGTTTAGTGAGTGTCCCCAATGCATTGAATTTTAACAATCACTATTTTATCATAGGATAATAGAAACAGTTGGAACATAGAGTTGAGTCCTGCATTTGAATGCATTTATGGCTTTTTCTCTTTATATAAATCTGGGCAAGTTAATTCCTGCTTGTGGGCCTCAGTTTCTCCATTTGTGTAAAAGAGGGTAAACAAAAGATCTCTAAGGCCCTGCAACCCATGTCTGTACTAGTCCCTGACACTAGCATCTCTTTGAAAGAAGGAACCAGGAAGGTTAGTCCCTAGCCTGCCAGAGATGTGTGCCCACAGCTAATTCCTATACTCAGTAGCTTGAAGGCATCCTTACTTTATCACCTTTAACCCTTCAGCACTGTGTCTTGTAATCTCCTAACTGGGCCCTCACTGAGTCACAGTACTGGGGTTTTAATCTTCTATATAACAGCATCTGAAGCTGAGACAATGGAGCTCTCAGAGCCTTTAGCTATGATCTTATCTTCTGATCAAGATTTTCTTGGCTTGTGATTGCTCAGCCATGATGGGGTGGAGAAAAGCCCCTACGCTAGGAAGTGCTAGTGCTGACTCAGCATGCTGCAGGTCTGGAATTGGAGCAGAAACTTGTGTGGACCAGCAGGGACCTTGCAGGCTTAAGGAAGAAAGAGAGGAAAGGGCCAGGCAAACCTAAGAGAAACAATCCTGAAGGCAGAGATTTCAAGACATGCAAAACAGCAGGGTTTCTGTAAAGGAGAACTTCTTTACTGAGAACCTCCCGTATAGTAGACACTTTAACCTGGGCTACAAATCTGCAAGGCAGGTATTATTATTATCCCATTTCACACATGGGGAATCAAAAGTTCAGAGATTAGTCAGGTGCGGTGGCTCATGCCTATAATCCCAACACTTTGGGAGGCCAAGGTGGGTGGATCACCTGAGGTCAGGAGTTTAAGACCCGTCTGGCCAACATGGTGAAACCCTGTCTCTAATAAGAATACAAAAATTAGCTGGGCATGGTGGCACGCGCCTGTAGTCCCAGCTATTCGGGAGGCTGAGGCAGGAGAATTGCTTGAACCAGGGAGGCGAAGGATGCAGTGAGCCATGATCGTGCCACTGCACTCCAGCCTGGGTGACAGAGCAAGACTCTGTCTCTCTCTCTCTCTAGCAAGACTCTGTCTCTGTCTCTCTCTCTCTCTCTCACACACACACACACACACACACACACACACACACTCTTCAGAGATTAACTTTTCCAGAACCACATGACTAGTAAGTAGCTGTGGGGTTCAAATGTAGGTCTCCAAAGGTCTGTGCCCTTTCTTTCACACACACTGAGAGGCATCTGAGAGGGACTTAGGAAGTCTTGAGAGTAAAACTAGATGGTCAGTGAATGCCCATTGGATGGCAATTTCAAGCAAATGGACAAAATAGTAATGGGATAATATTGAATCCTAAATCACCAGCAGTAACTGTGAGAAAGGTAGAATTACAAACTCCCTGCTAAATAGCTTTAGGTCATAAATGAATGTTATCCTTTGGAGGGCACAAAATGAAGTGGTTAATTCCTTGAACACCAATGTGACTAATAAGCAAGCCATGGCATCCGTCATCTCGTCCGCACAGCTGTCTGGGTAGGCTAATCTCTGGCTCAAGGCCCTGGCTCCTGTCTGCCCAGTGGCATGCTGCACTCTGATCTCCTGGCTCCACAGTGAGCTTGACATTTCTGCTGAGTCTGACTCACTTGCTCCCAGCCTCAATTGTTCTGTGCCAATGCAGACTTCTTTTACAGTTGGCCTACTTAGAAACACAGGATGTTAGTGTTGGAAGGGAGATCCTTTAGAAGTCACCTAGTACAATCCCCACACATTACAAATGAGAAAACAGGCCCCAGATGAGGCTTGGTGATGACGTGCCTAAATTCCGGTCAGTTTAGTTATAAGGCATGATAAGACCTCAGCCACATGGCCCATAGGGAGGAAGCTGGGAATGAGCAGGACTGGAGCTGGCAATGCTGCATCAGCTGTAGGACTCCTAGGGCTGGGGTGGAGCACAGGGAGTGGATCCAGCTCCTTGGAAGAATGAGTTGGGTTAGGGAAGCAAAGCGTCAGGAACCCAGCCAGGCAGTGTGGAGTTCAGGGTAGCACTTTTGAAATGTGTGGCTGGGGAGAAGAATGAGGCTGAAGGTCAGTTGTGAAGACTGGACCAACATGCCCAGGAGGGTGAGGGGGTGTGAAGAAAAGTCACAACTTGAGGCTATCAGGGTGTGCAGAGTTCACCAGAGATGTGATAAGGTCCAGAGCAGTGGCAGCACACCCCACCCCCATGCTGAGTTGTGGCTGGTGCACTTCTGCCCTCTTTTTTTTTTTTTTGAAATGGAGTCTAGCTCTGTCGCCCAGACTGGAGAGCAGTGGCATGATCTTGGCTCACCACAACCTCTGCCTCCTTGGTTCAAGCGATTCTCCTGCCTCAGCCTCCCAGGTAGTTAGGACTATAGACGTATGCCACCACACCCGGCTAATTTTTGTATTTTCGATACGGACAGGGTTTCACCATGTTGGCCAGGCTGGTCTCGAACTCCTGACCTCAAGTGATTTGCCTGCCTTGGCCTCCCAAAGTGCTGGGATTACAAGCGTGTGTCACTGCACCCAGCCACTTCTTGCCCTCTTTAGGAAGGTTCCAGCCTGAAGCTGGAGGGAGCTGGTGATTTCATATCATAGCCAAAGAGCTGGGGAAGACAGCACTAAAGAACACCATCTATTCTGCCTCCCAAATGTCTCTAAGGTGTCCTTTACCTCCATTTCTACTGTCACCACCCTGAGCCCTGGTTGTCACCCACCTGAATTATTGCAACAGCAGTTTAGTTAACCACTTATCCTCTGCCTGTACTATTTCTAAAGCACTCTTCTCATTGCCACCCAAGCAGTGTTTCTATGACGTGAAGATGTCACTTGCTTTCTATAAATGTTGGATGGCTTGCACTGCCTAGCAGGCTTTCTCTCCTGGGCTTCCATGTGAGAACCAAGCCCTCCAGAAAATTATCTGAGTGACTATTTCAGGTCTTTCCAGGATGGTACATAGTTAATACCATTCTAGGTGTACAGGGGAGAGAAATTTATTTGTATGATAGATGTCTTAAGTCATCAGGGCTTAATTTTTCTGGTGGAATCCTGATTGGGAAGGGCTGGATAGAACAAAGCCCAGATATATGAACCTGGCACATTAGATCCTACATGACTTCAGCCCAGTGTTCCTTCTAGCCTTATCTCCTATTCTCCCCACTGTGCATTCTGTGCTCCGGTCACACCGAACTCTTGCCATTCCTTCATCTAGCTATTCTGTTCATCTGTTAATGTTCCTCCTTCAACCTGGTCTCCTTCTTGGACTTTAAAATCTTAGACATCCATCATTCAAGACCAAGCTCAGATGTCACCTCCTCTCTGCAGTGGTGCTTTCTACAGCCTTCAAAGGCACATCAAATTGTTCCTTCCCCAATGTGCCAATAATATTTTTGTATGTGTGTACCACTTCATTATTCATAATTGGAGGTTTACAAATCTGTGTGACTTAAAAATTTTGAGTTTCTGCACAGCAGGGAACATCTCCTCCACCCCCTGACCTGAATAGATGTTTGTTTAACTGAATGGCCTGAAGCCCACTAGATAATCAATGATAATGCTAATTCTGGAACACATGACTTAACTCTTATTCCATCATTATTTGGGTTTCTATATATGACTACAACTAGATCGAACATGAAGTATGTCACTGTCAGATATGCAGCTGTGCATGGTGATAGTGTGGGCTGGGAGAAGACTTTCTGAATAATTACTGACACAATGAGGGAGTGAGACCTGGCAGATCTAAGTGGGAATGGGGAATGGAGCCAGAAAGATGTTAGATAAGGTATAGGGGTAGACTTCATCAAGAGGTATGCAGAGGACCAATTTTATAATTTCTACAGGAAATAAGAAAAGGAAAAAAGAAGAAATAATTAGTGGTGGGGTTAAGTGAAGGAAATATGTCAAGAACTAATGTCTGAAATGACTCATCAAATCTGAAATCTGATAAAGGGAACTTACATTTGCGTAGTGTAGAATATCGTCACATAGATGATCTCATTTAATTCTCAGAACAACCCTGAGGTGGAGGGTGGGGTGCGTGGAGGGCAGGTAGGGAGTGTTGCACTGTTGTTACAGTCCTCTCTTTACAGAGGAGATGACCAAAGCTCAGAGAGCAGAAATTACATGCCAAACATCCAGTGTCCCTAAGTGATGCAACTGGAACCAGAGACAAGTCAGCCTGTCTCCTGGTCCAAAGCCACATTCACCTTTTTTTTCAGAATGGGGAGGCAGCTCCTCTGATCTAAAAGCTGAAAGTCTTCATAAAATCAAATAGAATGGCTAGGCACAGTGGCTCATGCCTGTAATCCCAGCACTTTGGGAGGCCAAGGCAGGTGGATCACCTGAGGTCAGGAGTTCAAGACCAGCCTGGCAAACAATGGCCAACATGGTGAAACCCCATCTCTACTAAAAATACAAAAATTAGCCAGGCATGGTGGGAGGCACCTGTAATCCCAGCTACTTAGAAGGCTGAGGCAGGAGAATCGCTTGAACCCGGGAAGCAGAGGTTGCAGTGAGCCAAGATCGTGCCACTGCACTGCAGCCTGGGTGGCAGAGGGAGATGCCGTCTCAAAGAAACAAACAAACAAAAACAAAACAAAAAAAAATTAAATAGACTGACATGTAGAGGTTTTTCTGAGCACTGACTCAGAGAGATTCTCCATAAATTCAATTTTTTCTAGGCTGCTTTAAAATGAGGATAGAACACCATTTAGTCAGCTGACTTTCAGGGAGTCAGCTGATACAGAGTAATTCTCCACTTGAGCTGGGAGAAGTCTGACTTGGCTAGAGAATCTGGGGCAGGAAAGAAGAGCAGAGAGCAGTTTATTTTTTACCTCCCTGTGGCTCTAGGGGGTACACAGGACAACCAAAGATGATGCTGCACTTTTTGGTCAACTCTAGACAGAGAGAGAGAAAGTCTCAGGGTGATGGAGTGAAAGAGTTAGGAAGACAAGAGTTCTCTCAGCTGGCCCTCTGTTTCTCAGATCTACCCACAAACCTTGGAACCTGTGAGACTTAGACTATAAGTACCACTGACCAGGCTCTGCAGAGGATCCTTTCTGCTGTATTTAACAGAATACAACATTTCCTGTCCCCCTGACAAAATGGTCAGACCCTCAGGGGCACAGAGTTGGTTTAAATAACTTTTTACCCCACTATGTTGCACTGTAGGCAGATCACTTGAGGTCAGGAGTTCGAGACCAGCCTGGCTAACATGATGAAATCCTGTCTCTACTAAAAATACAAAAATTAGCCGGGCGTGGTGGCAGGTGCTGGTAGTCCCAGCTACTCGGGAGGCTGAGGCAGGAGAATCGCTTGAACCTGGGAGGTGGAGGTTGCAGTGAGCCAAGATTGTGCCACTTCACTCCAGCCTGGGTGACAGAGCAAGACTCCATCTCAAAAAAAAAAAAAAAAAAAAAAAAAAAAAGATTAGGGCAACATAGGCTGGTGTGGTTGAAAGAGACTAAAGACACTGTCTAATTCAAATGCTTCATTTTAGCAGTGAGAAAATGAAGGCCCAGAGAAAGGAAGTGTCTCACTAGATCACACAACTAGTCCATGGCAAAACCAGATAAAGAAAATAGTTCTACTTTTCAATTAAGATCCTGATCTGGCCGGGCGTGGTGGCTCATGCCTGTAATCCCAGCACTTTGGGAGTCCGAGGCAGGTGGATCACCTGAGGTCAGGAGTTCGAGGCCAGCCTGACAA
This sequence comes from Homo sapiens, assembly GCF_000001405.40. Classification (NCBI taxonomy): domain Eukaryota; kingdom Metazoa; phylum Chordata; class Mammalia; order Primates; family Hominidae; genus Homo; species Homo sapiens. Next base: position 86,178,386 of record NC_000011.10, read on the forward strand.
ACCCATCTCCACTAAAAATACAAAAATTAGCCAGGTGTGGTGGCACATGCCTGTAATCCCAGCTACTCAGGAGGCTGAGGCAGAAGAATCGCTTCAACCTGGGAGATGGAGGTAGTGGTGAGCCAAGATTGCACCATTGCACTCTAGCCTGGGCAACAAGAGTGAAACTCCGTCTCAAAAAAAAAAAAAAAAAAAAAAAAAATTCCTGAACTGAAGTTATTCAGGAGGCCAAGGAAATCATTCTCTTCCTTCCCTTCTGTCACAACTCAGTAAATCTTTCTTGGCTTCTTGATTATTGGAGGAAGTAAACATTTTTCTATGCTGTCTTTTCTGGGACTGAGCATGGTCTGTAAGTAATAAACAAGAGTTTCTTCATCCTCTGGAACTCTATCCTCTGTATCCTTTGTAAACCCCACTCTCTAAAAAGCTCTCAGTTTTATGACTGGAGCCCCAGAACCAGGGGAAACATGCTGCCTGGGTTTTGCTTTTTCAGTGGAAGCAGATTATATCAACCTTGGTCAGAAAACATCATGAAATTCTGTTCCACTGTTGTTTAAAATAAATATTTCTGTGAAAAATGCTGATAAAATTTGTATTAGTCAGGGTTCTCCAGAAAAATGGAACCAACAGGATTCATGTATGTGTGTGTGTAAAAAGAGCACTAAAGAGATGTTAAAGAATTGACTCATGCAATTATAGAGGATGATGTCTTAGTCTGTTTTCTGTTGCTTCAAAAGAATATTTGATCCAGCGTGTATTCTGTACTTAAAAAAAAAAAGAAAAAAAAGAAAATCTGAAACTGGGTAATCTGTAAAGAAAAGAGGTTTATTTGGCTCACACTTCTGCAGGATAAGAAATTCAAAGGCATGGCCTTGGCTTCTGGCGAGAGCTTTCATGCAGCATCACAACATGTTGGAGAAGGTCAAGCCGGAAGCAGACACATGCAAACAGGGGAAGCCAGGGGAGCGTCCTGGCATTATAGCAACCCACTTTCACAGGAACTAATCATTGCTATGAGAACCAGTTCAGTTGCCTGACAGCGAGAACGGACTAACTTGAGAACATCACAAAGCCATTCATGAGCGCTGTCCCCATAATCCAAATACCTTCCACTAGTCCCCACCTCCCAACACCAGCACACTGAGGATCAAATTCAGCATAAGCTTTGGTGGAGACAACCAACCATATCCAAACCATAGCAGATGGCAAGTCCAAAATCTGCAAGGCAGGCGAGCAGTCTGCAGAACCCAGAAAGAATTAATGTTGCAGTTCAAGGCTGAAGGCCGCCTGCTGAAAGAATTTCCTCTTGCTCAGAGGAGGTGAGTCTTTTGTTCCAGTTAGGCCTTCAACTGATTGGATAAGGCACACCCACATTATGAAGGGCAATCTGGTTTCCTCAAAGTCCAATAAATTAAATGTTAATTTCATCTAAAACACTTTCACAGAAACATCCAGAATAATGTTTGACCAATATCCGGGCATTGCAGCTCAGCCAGGTTGACACAAAATAAACATCACAAGACCACAAGCTGAAAGTTTTACAACCCAAGAGTCCCGTTAGAACTCTGATGTAGCTGGATGAGTGCCAGTTGCTAGAGGAGCCGCTGCACATAAAGGTCTTCATAATACTGGACCTCGCAAAACCATAGATCTACATCAGAGGAGAGAGAAGGAAGCCTGGCAAAGACGGAAAACTCATCAGGTAGACAGAAAGGTTATGACTGGGAAAGACTATTTTGGCAAACAGAGATTCCCTAGCCCTAATCCCTTTCCTTCTGTTTTTGTTTGTTTGTTTGTTTGTTTGTTTTTTTTGAGACAGAGTCTCGCTCCGTCGCCCAGGCTGGAGTGCAGTGGCATGATCTCAGCTCACTGCAACCTCCGCCTCCTGGGTTCAAAGGATTCTCATGCCTCAGCCTCCCGGGTAGCTGGGATTACAGACCCAACACCACGCCTGGCTAATTTTTGTATTTTTAGTAGAGACGGGGTTTCACCACGTTGGGCAGGCTGGTCTCAAACTCCTGGCCTCAGGTGATCCGCCTGCCTCGACCTCTCAAAATGTTGGGATTACAGGCGTGAGCCACCGCACCAGGCCCTTCTGTTTTGTTTCATAAATTAAGCAAAAGACCAGATAGGGGAGACACTGCCTTGTTTTTCCTTCAAATATACTTGGTGGACTGGAGTTCCAACAACCAGACCTTTGGGGCTGAGATAAGTTTTTCTTTCTAAGTCCTCAGTGTGGGGAACTACGACATCTGGCTTCCTGTTAGGAAGTTAAAGCTTGTGGCTATAGGAGAAGGTCTGACTCTTGGTGAAGCTGCAAAAGTCTTAGAGCTCTAAATATCGGGCTTTGGACATGGAGATTCTTTTATACGTTCAACAAGTATCCTTTGTGCCAGGCTTGATTGTACATGCTGGCAACATAACCATGAACAAAAGTCACAAAAATCCCTGCTTTCCTGGAGTTTTCATGCTACCAGGGGAGACAGACAAGAGACAATATGAATACGTGAAATACAACATATAATATGCTAATTACAAGTGGTAAAGAGAAAAATAAAGCAGGGAAGGGGACTAGCAAATGCTGGGGAACAGATGTTGTGATTTCAGATAAGGTGGCTAAGGAAGGCCTTGCCAAGTAAGTAACATTTGAGTAAAGACCGGAAGCACAAGAGAAGGTGAACAGTGTAGACAACTGAAGAAAAAGCATTCTAAGCAGAGAAATAACTGTAAAGGCCATTGTTGTGGGTTGAATTATTTCCCGTCGCCAAAACATATGTTGAAGTCCTAAGCCCTGGTACCTGTGAAATGTGACCTTATTTGAAGACAGGGTCTTTGCAGATCAAGTGAAGATGTGGTCATTAGGGTGGGACCTAATCCAATATGAATGGTGTTTTTATGAGAGGACACAGAGACAGAGAGACACAGGGAATATGCTGTGTGATGACAAAAGAGAGATTTAAGGGATGCAACTGCAAGCCAAGGAATGCCGAGAGTTGACAGCCATGGCCAGAATCTCAGAAGAGGCAGGCAAGAGTTCTCTCCTACAGGTTTTAGTGGGAGCATGGCCCTGGTTAACACTTTTCACCTCCGGAACTGTGAGACAGTAAATTTCTGTTGTTTTGAGCCACTCAGTTTTTGGTACTTTGCAATGGCAGCCCTAGAAAACTAATCCAGCCATGAAACGGGTATGTGCCTGGCATGTTGAAGGAAGATGGAGGCCAATGTCACATGGGAGGAAGTCATAGGAGATTGGATCAGAGAAGTTACACAACAGATGGCGAGATCATGTGGCACCTTATGGTTGGAGATGTGACATGATCTGACTTACCCTTTAACGGGCTCACATATAGTTATAACTGTGTGTTGCATTCATGGCTGAAGGGAGATGTATAGAAGAACCCAGACAATATTACATACACTAGATAATCATAAGAGGTATAGAGATAGGTGCCAAATTGTGTAAATACTAAAATCACCGTGCTTATAATTAAATCTTTCATTTGCTCTTTAGGTGTATTTTAATCTGTAATGTTAATGCATAACTAATTTTTAAAAGATGAAATTAAAATTTTTATTTTCAAAAACAGACTCTTAGGTGGCAAAGCATGAATTTGCTGACCTCAGGTGAACACATTAGTGACTATCTGGGTTGCTCTAACCATAATCATGGCATACCCCTCACCTGGTGTCATAGACAAGGAGACCCATTGGCTAGATTCCCCTTCTAGGAAGGACTTGCTATTCTGTCAGGGGAAATATGGTCAGCAGACAGCCTTCAGCTCCTTCAGGGTTTGTCTCTGTTGCAGAGAACAGGCTATCTTGTATATGGTTCAAAGACAGAGAAAAAACTGAGTTAGCTTAAGAGACAGGAAATGTATTTATGAAGGATTAAGTATATCTCACAGAACCCAACCTCATGAAGGACTGGAAATGGAAGAAGATGGTCTCCCTGTTTCTGTATCTCTCATCATCATCATCATCACCGTGTTCTGTCTATACTTCTTATGGTAGATCAACTCTCACAGCTCATCAGATGACATGACCCAAAACGGAAGTCCCAAAATGTCACCCTCTGTTGCCCTTATTGTCTGCCACCATATAGGTCCAGTGCCTGTAGCCAACTGATCCTATCTCTCTAGATTCTCAGGAGAGATGGTCTGACTTGGCTCTCTCTTTGGTCAGATGTCCACTCCTAGCCAGTCAGCTATAGCTGGAGACTGGGTCATTTTGAATGGAAAACTGCCCTTCTTCCAAGGCTGTGGATGGAGTTTATTTTCTAAGAAGAGATGTGATGTTGGGAAGAATATGCAGTGCATCTCTAGCACAAAAATCCTCACAGCTATGATATTGTAGGAAAAATGTTCAACTTTGAAGCCATGGGATCAGTTTTGAGTTCTTGTTCTGCCATGTATTAATTGTATGAACTCTAATGGGGTCAATTAAACTTTTAAGCCTCTGTTTCCTCAACTGAAAAATTTCACATTTTTTGAGATGGGCACTAGGCTATGCACCAGCAATATAGAAATAAAAGATACAGTCCCTGCTAGACAGATGTTCACAGTCTAGCAAAGCAGGCAGGTAGGAAAGCCCAATAACTACAGTTCTAGGTCCATATGCAGTGATGGAGAGAGCACGCCTGGGTGAGGTGCCCTCCTTGAATGCCCCAGTGTGTGGGTGTGTGGGCATGCACGGTGTGGATAGAAGAGAAGAGGAAGGGAAGAGAATGGGGGAAAGCTTCCTAGAGGAGGTCAACCTGGGGCGGGAACTTGATAGGCAGGAGATAAATGTGGGGAGGAGGAAGTATACCCAGGCAAGGAGAGCACCATGTGCTGAGTCACAAATACGTGAAGGAATGTGGTCATCTCAGACACATGTAAACGGGAGGGCAGGGCTGAAGTAAAGAACTGCATCTGGCATGGAGCCAGGCAGGTGTGGTGGGGTGGTAAGAGATGAAACTCCTCTGATTGAGAAGGAAGACATGTGGGCAAGCGCTCTGAAAACAAACAGTGCTACAGACACAACAGTGGTGAACAGGGAGTGTTGATTATGTGAAACCAGGAGCTAGGCTACTTGGTGTCATGAACGTGTCTCTCTATGAGGCAGGAAATATAATCTTCATTTTACAGGGCCTTATTGAGTCATAGTCCCAAGGTCTCATGGTGTCTTGGTTTGGGTTCTCTCAGAAGTGGACGTTGAGAAAAGGATTCAAGCAAAGGTAGTTTATTTGGTGGACGATCCTAGGAAACCCCAGTCAGAAAGTGGGGAAGCGAGGTGCAGAAGAGAAGGAGCCGATAAAGTGTGTGCTATCAAAGACGTTACCACTGAGGGTACCTGGAGCTCAATCCCACTGGGAAATGTGGGAAGACAGAGAGGAATATGCCTCTGAAGTATTTCCCCCAAGAGGCAAGGAAGCTGGGGTGTTTCTCTCCAAATCTCCATCTGTCACTGTTTGAGGACTATTTCTCAGATATTAACTCTGGAAATCCCAGCTTCCCTTGCACAGGGCCCCAGCGTGCTCTTCAGGCAGTGAGTCACAAGGGTTCTCAGTAAGCAGACTTCAGGGTGCACAGGGGAGGGCTGAGAGGTTATGGGCAGAACATTGACAGCATGTGCTATGCACAAACAGTGAGGAGGGGAGCAAGGGCTTGGTCCCAAGCAGCCTGGCTTAGGTTTAACAACAGTATTATACTCTTTCCCAAATGTAGAGTATTATTAATATACATATTTATACTGATACTTACAGTACTTTTCAGAAACCATAGTATTGAGCCTAGAATAGAGGGAGTCTGTTGTCCTCATCAATGATTGACACATAATGGATACTTAATGAATATTTTTGGATGAATGTTTTAAAAGTCAAAACATAACTAATTCAGTGTTATTTACCTATAAAGAGCCTTTGGCTGGGAATCAGAAGATTTGGATTGTAGTTTGAGTTCTGCCATCAGTTTGGGGACCTCAGGGAAGCCATCTAGACTAATTGAGCTTCACTTTTCTCATTTTAAAACCTCATTTTATTACCCACCCCACTTGCCTACTGTTAGAGTTGTGAGGATGAAATGTAATAATGAATGTGAAAAGTTAAAAGTATGGCAAACTAAGGAGTAATTCTGTATCTCTGCCTTGATTTTGAATCAGGAAGAAGTGGGCCTTTGGTTTCCCAGGACCCAGGACCATGTACTGTGAGGCCACCAAGTCCATCAGTCAGGGCTCTTTGTTGTAACAGGTGCTAACTCTGACTATCTTAGTCAAAAAAGAGTTTATTAAAGAGATAGCAGGATGATCACAGAATTGATAAGCAGTCTAGAGAATCAAGCTAGGAAAATGGACAGGAACTGAAAAAGAACCATGGGGAAGACCACACCTCAGAAACATCCTGGTGAAAATGCTGCTTCCTCTCCCACTGAGCAGTGGACACCAGTGCTGCCACCAGCACAAATTCTAAACCGTCCGAGTTTCTTGGGTCATTTGCTTCAAACTTAGAGTCTCAGGCAGTAATATCAGGGGGGCCAAGATTAGGTCATATGCTTGTGCGCCAGCTGCCAGGGACCCAGGAGGCCAACCGTCTGGCCTGTTTTCCAGCTTCCATCAGGGGAAGACACATTCTACCTCCCAGCATGTCTCATGCAATGGCAGTTTCCCCAGACACAGGAAGGGGGCTCAGACGCTGGGCAGCCAAGAAGAATGTAAGTTCCATCCAAGTCAGAATGTAGGGAAAGTGAGGATACTGGTTCAAAATTGAAAAACCAAGATAAAGAGAAGGTCATGTTTTATTGAGTAGCAACATTGACTTGAGGCTTTATTAACCAGGAACTGTTCAAGGTGCTGGGTACAAAGAGGACTTTGACACTGGTACTGGCCTCAAGGTGCTCTAGCCAGTTAGGAAATGTATATTAAAATAAAATATGATAAGAAAGGGCTATAACTGAGATGTAACAAAATTCAACAGGAGCACAAAATAAAGGATTAATGCTGGGGATCATGTGGGTGGTCAGGAAAGTTTTCACAGAGATGGGTCTTGAAGGACGGAAAGAGAGAGAAATGAAAGAGCATTAGAAGCAGAGCCACCTCTGGTATCTGTTACTCTTTCTAACCAGCCAGAATCTGGGTCCGGTATTTCCTGCTCAGTCCTTTCCTACTGCCACCAAGCACAACACATATGCTACTACAATTAAGGTCTAAAATTAGTATGATTAAGGTCTAAGCAATATGAGGGTATTGTTCAAGCCAGGATTTTCTTCCTTGGCTCTCCCCAAACTCTCTAGTGCAGAGTGATGTTGGCAAAAGTTATTGCTGCTTTTGTTGTTTTTAGCTATTTTAGATGAAAGCATATACTCAGACCTGAGTTTGTTTGTTGGCTTGTTTTTTAGATATGGTGGTCTTACTCTGTCATCCAGGCTGGAGTACAGTGGTGCAATCATAGCTCACTGTAACCTTAAACTCCTGGGCTCAAGCAGTACTCCCACCTCAGCTTCCAGAGAAGCTAAGACTATAGGCACATGCCACCATACCCTGCTACTTTTTTATTTTTTATTTTTTGTAGACATAGTCTTGCTATGCTTCTCAGGCTCATCTCAAACTCCTAGGCTCAAGCGATCCTCCCATTTTAACCTTCCAATGTTGGAATTACAGGCATGAGCCACCACGGCCAGCTAGACCTGAGTTTAAATAATGGCTCAGCCACTGACTAAAATCTCTCTGAGCCTTGATTTCCTCAAAGATAAAATGGGAATAAAAAATACTTGCCTTCCAAGTATTCCAAGGACTTTTGAAGATTAACTTAGATAATGTTTGCAAAGTGCCAACGATTGGCAGTTGGCAGGTGCTGTTATTGCTGTTGGTTTGAAACAGTTCTTTGAAAATCTGGTGATGAAGAAGAGACCTTACTCTTCTTCCCCTTTGACCTCAGGGGTTTCATACAAAGAGTGAGGAGATTACAAGAAGGAAATGTCTTCCAAGAGAGAAAGAACCCAGAGGTTCTGCCAAAAATGTGAGACTATATGGGGGAAGCAGATATGAGCTACTTTCAAAGCCTGACTCCGTGGTGGGACTGAGAGCCTGGCTCCTGAGTCGAGAGAGGCTTTCCAATCCCACAAGAATGATTTCAAAAACAGCCCTCTTGGCATTACTGACATTTGCCTCTGCCCTTTTCAAGGAGGAAACAATTTACCCAGATGCAGGCCCGCTTAGGCTCCATTCTCTAGCAAGATCAAGCCAAGAACTTGGAAGGGTGGAGGACAGCACATTCATGAAGCCATTTTCACATACTGTTCCTGCACAGCCTTTGAAAATGTGTGCCTTGTAACAGGTTGAATAACACTGGTAAAATCGCATTGTGTCCATTCTGAATAACAAGTATGATATTTGAGAGGAATTAGCTATGGGCTGAAGAAATTTAATAAACAGGGAAGATACAGATGTGAAAATGCTGTGTGGCTTGGAACAGACACCAAATTATGTGGAGTATGAACTTAAATCTCCTTTCTGAAATTCCTGGCCTATAATTTAATAGTCTCTTCTTCCTAATAAACAATAGTGTTCTATTCCAACCTTGGACTTCTAGGTAAATTCTGACCATTCATTCATTAAACAGCTATATGTTGAATACTTACTACATGCCAGGCATTGCAATGGGTGTACAGGATCTTGATTCTGATTCTGGAGAAAGGAGAAGAGATTGTTTTGTAAACATTTAGGGCTTCTCCTTTCAAATGTTATTTGTGGGAAAGCATGAATGCCTCCCCTGTCTGTATATGGAGAAGATAATTTCATGTAGAATGGCGTAGTTCTGGTGTTTACTAGGCTCATCATCCCATCTGGGGGTAGGCCCAGGATTGGGAAGGATAGAGCAGCCATGCATGTTGCTATGGTAACTTGGCATTAACACACCTTAGCTCCTTTGTGTCACCCCCAAATTTCCTTTAAAACTAGTGTACATTTTCAGAATGTGGAAAGCTTTTCTTAATTTTCACGTGGCCAGTTATAAAGGCATTTTTCAAAGCACTCAGGCAAAAGGATGGTCCTTTTTTTTTGAGGCTGAGGCTATGCTGATGCTATTTTCTAAAAGCATAATCAGGATCTAGACTATCTTATTCTTTCATAGGAGATTGCACTTTCAAATCCCTTTCACATATGTTATTGTGCTTTTATTGCCACCTTGTTTTAACCTCCTGCTTAAGCTACTCTGAAGGGCAGGAAAATGAACCCACTAAATTTTTATGCCTCAAAATAACCATGTGAGGTAGGAACTAATACCTGTATTTTATAAATGAAAGAACTAAGGCTCAAACAAGGTCACATGGTTAGAAAATAACAGGATGAGGAGGAATGGAACCAGGCCTTTAGATTGCAGATCTGGTGTCTTTCTGTTATACCTTCACTGACTCCCAGTATCTTCCAGCCTTTGTTACTTTATAAAAATATAGATGCATACAAAGCAGTGACTAGTTTGTGCTTTTCTTTCCTTTCTTTTTTTTTTTTTTTTTTTGGTTGAGATGGAGTTTTGCTCTTGTTGCTCAGGCTGGAATGCAATGGCACGATCTTGGCTCACTGCAACCTCCACCTCCCGGGTTCAAGCAATACTCCTGCCTCAGCCTCCCGAGTAGCTGGGATTACAGGCATGCACCACCACACCCGGCTAATTTTTTTTGTATTTTTAGTAGAGACGGGGTTTCTCCGTGTTAGTCAGGCTGGTCTCTAACTCCTGACCTCAGGTAATCCACCCACCTTGGCCTCCCAAAGTGCTGGGATTACAGGCGTGAGCCACCGCACCCAAGTGTGTTTTTCTTTTCTTTTTCTTTTTTTTTTTAAAATAGCTTGGCTGGGCGTGGTGGCTCACACCTGTAATCCCAGCACTTTGGGAGGCCAAGGCGGGTGGATCACGAGGTCAGGAGATCGAGACCATCCTGGCTAACACAGTGAAACCCCGTCTCTACTAAAAATACAAAAAATTAGCCAGGCATGGTGGTGGGCGCCTGTAGTCCCAGCTACTCAGGAGGCTGAGGCAGGAGAACGGCATGAACCTGGGAGGCGGAGCTGGCAGTGAGCCGAGATTGCGCCACTGCACTCCAGCCCAAGCAACAGAGTGAGACTCCGTCTCAGAAAAAAAAAAAAAAAGCTTTATTGAAGTTTTTGTATGTATGTTATATATTTCTTCATAAAATTTACCCACTGTAAACATACCATTTAATGATTTTAAAAAATTTTTGTAATAGCTTTATTGGGATATAATTCACATACTATACAATCCACCCACTTAAAGTGTACATCCAGTGGTTTTTGGTATATTCACAGAGTTGTATAACCATGACCACATCAATTTGAGGACATTTTTAGCATCTCAAAAAGAAACCCTGTACCTTTTACTATCACATCTGAATCCTCCCTCATAGAAATGGTTTTATATAACATGTGGTCTTTTGTGACTGCCTTCTTTCACTTAGCATAATGTTCTCAAGATTCATCCATGCTGAAGCATGTACCTACTTTATCCTTTTTATGGCCAAATAATACTCCATTGTGTAAGTATAGCACCTTTTGCTTATCATTTTATCAGCCAATGGACATCTGAGTTGTTTCTACCTTTTGACTATTATGAGTAGTGCTGTTATGAATATTTGTGTACAAGTTTTTGTGTGGACATATGTTTTCATTTCTCTTGGGCATATACTTAGGAGTGACATTGTCAAACGATAACTCTATTTTTAACTTTTTGAGGAACTTCCAGGTTGTGTTTTCGAAAGTGGCTGTACCATTTTATATTCCCACCAACAATATATTGAGGGTTCCCACTTTCCTATGCCCTCACTGACGCTTAGTGTGCTTTGCTTTTTTCACTCAACATTATTTCATAGATATGTTTCCATGTTCACTTGGTTATCATTTTTAATGGTTACACAGCGTTCCAAATCAGTTAGTTGGATATTATTTAAAAATTACTTTAAAGCTCAGGACTTGGATTGTTTTCATTTTGTGCCATTATAAATAGTGGTACTAGAATCTTCACTGCTTACTACATTTTTCCTTTAGCTTATGTCCTTGAGGTATGTTCCAAAGTGGAACAAAGGGCACATACAGCTCATGTACTGCTTCCCTGGTTAGTCTGCAGAAGAGTTGACTGTACCTAAAATGCTATCAGCAAAGTTTGCACTTGCCTTCCTCTCCACAGCCTCTGCCAACATAAGGCTTTGTTGCTTTATTTGTGTATATTAATGATATAGTTACTGTATTAGTCTGTTCTCACACTGCTAATAAAGACATACTTGAGACTGGATAATTTATAAAGAAAAGAGGTTTAATTGACTCACAGTTCCACATGGCTGGGGAGGCCTCATAATCATGGCAGAAGGCAAAGGAGAAGCAAAGTCATGTCTTACATGGTAGCAGGTAAGAGAGTTTGTGTAGGGGAACGCCCATTTATAAAACCATCAGATCTCATGAAACTTACTCTCTCCCATGAGAACAGTATGGGGGAAACCATCCCCATGATTCAGTTATCTCCATCTGGCCCGGCCCTTGACACATGGGGATTATTACAATTCAAGATGAGATTTGGGTGGTGACTGAGCCAAACCATATCAGGTATAGGTACATGATAGAATCTTATTTTTTATTTTTATTTTGAGACAGAATCTCACTCTGTTGCCCAGGCTCAAGTGCAGTGGCACGATCTTGGCTCACTGCAACCACTTCCTCCTGGGTTCAAGTGATTATCCTGCCTCAACCTCCCCAGTAGCTGGGAATTACAGGCATGCACAACCACATCCAGCTAATTTTTGTATTTTTTAGTAGAAATGAGGTTTCAGCATGTTGGCCAGGTTGGTCTCAAACTCCTGGTCTCAGGTGATCTGCCTGCCTCGGCCTCCCAAAGTGCTGGGATTACATGTGTGAGCCACCACACCTGGCCTGAATCTTAACAATCTTAGGCTGTTTCGATTTGTATTTCTTTCATTGTTGGTGAACTCACAATATTTTAACAGCCATCAGCTGTTACTCTAAGCCATCCATCCAAAAAAGCCAAGCAGTGCAGGAGAATCTAGGGCCATAGCAAAAGGCAGAAGATGGAGCTTAAAGAAATTCCCTGGGTTTGGGCAGGGCGTAGTGGCTCACGCCTGTAGTCCCAATACTTTGGGAAGCCAAGGAGGGGAGATCACCCGAGGTCAGGATGATCTCAGGTCAGGTTCGAGATGGTGAAACCTCATCTCTACTAAAAATACAAAAATTAGCCTGGGCGTGGTGTCAGGCACCTATAATCTCAGCTACTTAGGAGGCTGAGGCACAAGAATAGCTTGAACCCAGGAGGCGAAGGCTGCAGTGAGCTAAGATCGCACCACTGCACTCCAGCCTGGGCGACAGAGTGAGACTCTGTCTTTAAAAAAAAAAAAATTCCCTGGGTCTGGGAGCAGGCTCAGGAGGTATGTTTGATAGCGTGACTGCAGCCTCAGCTGTAGATGAAGAGGACACTGGTAATGATGCTGAACTGATTTAGACATCATATCCTTTTCCACGTTCTCCTTTCATTTGGCACTTCTCCTGGTTCTGCTTCTCCCTCCCTGGCCATTCCTTCTAAGCCTCCTTTCAGCATTTCTTTCCTTCTACCTGCTTCTTATACATCGGTATTAAATATAGGATTTCATTATTGGATCCTTCTTTTTTAACTTAATACTCTGGGCAATCTCATTCACCCCCATGGCGGTAATGACAATTTAAATGCTGAAAATTCCCAAATATGTATTGCCAGCCTAGACTACGCTCTTGAATTCCAGAAGCACATATCTAGTTTCCAACTGTATATCTCCATTTGAATGTCCTCTAGGCACCTTGAGTCCAGTATCTTCCCCTCCGATCACTCCTTTTTTTCCCCATATGCCCTACCTGTATGACTGTAGCAACATCAACCCAGTCACTGAAGCCAGAAATGTGGAAGGCACTCCAAACTCTTTCTTCTGCACCTACATATTCCTAAATGTGCACCTTCTTCTCCCTAAACCTATTACACGAATTTGATTAATGTTTCAACCATTTCTCCCAATAACTCTAGCATTGTTACATGTATTAGGGTTCTATTGGTTGCAACTCGTTGCTTCAGAAGGGAATGGAAGAAGATTTATTGGATGTATACTTGTGTGGAATGAAAGGAGAAACTGAGAAATCATTGTGGAGAGGCAGGCTTCAGAGTGGCTCCGGGGACCTCAGCAGCAAGCAGGTTGCTCTGGGCCTTCTCTGGAGAGTCTCCTACGAATAGACTTGGTTCCAACAATGCTTAGCCTCTGCATCTCTTGGATCAAAGTTCCAAATTTCTAGGGAAATCTGGGGACCAACAAAGATTAAGAAGTTTAGGAAGTTTGAGTCATGTGATGGGGACACAGCTCTGGAGGATGACTTCTATGTATTAGAGGCAAATATCAAAGAAAAAAGAGACGGCATGAGATGGACAGTCTTTCCAGAAATTGTCTATGACATTGCCACAGTTTCTGAACTGGTCTTCTTGCCTCTGGTCTTACATTTCACCAACCCACATTGTGCATTCTCTTCCAAAATACAAGTCTGAGAGAAAAAAAAAAAGAAAACTATAGGCGTGAAATCCTTCTTCATCTCTTACTAAGTCTTGGACTTTGAGCAACAGCAACTACCATCTGAGTCCCTCTGATCTGCTAGCACTGTGTCAGTACTTTACATATGTTATATTCATGACCACTCTGCAGGGCAGATATTGTAATTACTGTGCAAAAGAAGAAAGTGAGGCTTGGAAGGAATTAGTAAGCTTGTCCTAGGGGCCCTGACTGGCAAGTAGCAGAATTTACCTGATTCAAGGCATTTATTAATGGATTATACTCCTTCTCTGAGATTTGCAGTCTCTTGGTTTATAAAGTGAGTATAACTTTTTTGTTTTTCAGGATTAATGTTAGAATTAGGCAATACTGGCTACATAATTTGTGAGGCCCAGTGCAAAATGAAAATGCAGGATGGCCCCTTGTAAAGTAATTATTAAAAATTTCAAGAGAGCAACAGCAGGGCATTAAACTCAGTATGGGGCTCTGTTTTTGGGAGGCACCAAACACCCAAACCATATCAGGATGTGAAACCATCTTTGGGGGACCATTATTCAGCCTACACAATAACAATATTCTTATTCTTATTATTTTGTTGTCCTTATTTCATGCTTCAGTGGTTTCAGAATAAAGTTCAAACTCTTTTCCAGGACATGGCTAGCCCATTGTGATCTGACCCATGCCTATCATTCTAATTTCAATTCTTTCTATCCCCCCACATGCATTGAACACTCCAGTAACATTGAACAACTTGTGATTTTTCCACTGCAATCTGCTGTCACTTGCTGACCAGCCTCTTTCATACTGTTATTTCTGCACAGAATATTCTCCCCCATTTCCCCTTTTCACCATTCTTCTTCTCTTTCAGTTCTGTCTGATTTTATTGTTGTTGTTTTTAATACTTAGCCCAGGTTTTCTCCTTGGAAAACTTCTCTCCACCACTTATGATCTTGGAAAAGTTTCTTCTCTATTTTCACATCTAAAGAATGAAAATCACAGAATAACACCTGCATTATTATGAGGCTCAAATGACATAATCCACATAAAGCACTTGGCAGACTGCCTGCCAGGTGGTAAGTGCCCACAAAAAAATTATCTGTAATTATCGTAAATATTCTTTGACCTTCCCCCATGGTGATATAAGAGCTTTCTCCTCTGTCCTCTACTAGCAACCAGAGCATAGAAGGTGGCAGGCTTTCCTGTAATTTACTGCTCATGTGTAAGTCTGTTCTGCTGTACTGACCATTCTTTGAGATCAAGAGCTCAATTGTTCATTTCCATATCTTTAGTGCCTAGCACAGGGTTTGGACATATGGCAAGTTAATACTTATTGAAGCAAAATAGGGAAATAATTATTAAGAGGACACATGCTAATTCTGTTCTCAGAATATTTTTTAAAACATTCATTCCATTCTTATGTTCCTGCAGTACAAGTCTAAAAATATTTCATTTGTCTACCTTCTATTTAAATAAAAGTGCAGCATTAACAAAACCTACCCTGTTGAGCCAAATTTCCTTTTGTCTTGCTTTGCTCTAGTCACTTCCTCTTTTTTTTCTTTCTACTTCCTCCTGGTAAAGGTCATTTCTTTCTGTGTCATAATCTCACCTTTTTTTTTAAAAAAATAATGTCAATGTTTTTCCCAAAATATGCATTCCCAGAAAGCTGCGTAGTCGTTACCCGTAACAAGGAAAACCCCACCCTTCCTGTCCCCCGCTGTGCTGCAGCCCTTGAAGTCTCCAGGGTATCTGTAACCTTAGCATGGAGTCAGTATGAGCTCCCTCTCCTGGCAGGTTATAGTCATGCTAAAGCTAGACACGGCTAGAGTATCCCAGTCACACATCCAGAAATGATTATAAAGCATGAGATAACCCAGGCCTTTCTGTTCCCTGAGCTCAGATTTAAGGCAGGTGTGGGGCTATCTAATTTGTTTGTAAAATCATTCGCTTGACAGGCATCACAGAGATCTGAATCCCATCCTACTGCTTGGAGGAAAGAAGCTGCACCGTTTATGAAAAGAATAAGAATTTGGATTTGTGCCCTGTTCTACCACTTATCTAGCTGGCTGCTCTTTTGTCAAATTACTAATACCTGCAAGCCTCTGGATCTTCAACTTTAGGGTAACATTAGACCTATTTCACCTACCTTATAGGGTAGATGTAAATTTTAAAAACAATATAAAAACGGTGCTACTTATTGGGTAATAGCTATGCTTCAGGCACTGATAGGTGCATTATCCCTATTTTGTATATGAGAAAACCACAGTTCAAGCAGTTGTCACATAGTAACTCTGTTAACACATGGAGAGCCAGGATTCATACCCAGGTCTTTCTGACTCAAAAGCCTTTCTTGATGTTTTCCCTTTAATTATACCAGACTAATGTTCCTGAATCATGCATCTGAAAACATTTGGGGGAAAACAAAAGTAAAATTCTATACTACGAAGGTAAATTTTTATTTTATAGATGTTGAAATTGAGGCCCAGAGAAGCGCAGTAACTTTCCCTAGGAGTTGGTGGCAAATACAACTCAGTAGTTTATTAAGGACTCAATAGTATTTACCCAATAGGGCTAGCAAGTGTGCAGGCTACTCGGGTGTTAAAATGTAGCTGCACCCAGGTGAAAGGGCAATCCAATAAAGGTTTCAGGTACTTTACACTTTTTTTCACATGCTTTCCACTTCATGGTTGCACTGGACAGCTTAGGTGATACAATCTCAATGATACTGTCCAGATCACGAGGGTTTCCTGAGTCCTTGTTGTGAAACACAGGAGGCCCTCTGTGTGACTTGGTCCCAGCATCAATTTCCAGCTTCATCTCTCATTAGGTCTCCTGGGTCATCATCTAGCTCCAAACCTCCTCCTCAGTCATAATGAACTGCTTGCAGCTCCTGGAATGCATCACATGGATTTGTGCCTCAGAACCTCCATTCCTTTACCTAGAATATATTTCACCCGCTGAGCATCTACTTATTTTCCAAGACTCTGTTTAAATGTCACTTTTTGGATACAGTCTTATTTGATCTCCTACCACCCCTCCCCACTTGAGATAGAATTAACCATTCTCTCCTTTGGGCCTCTAATATCTCCTCTTCATATTTTTAATTGGGACATATAATGTTTTTATTGCACCAATATGCAATAAAACTGGTTTGTTTGCACTTCTGTTTGTTAACACCTTAAGAATAAGGACCATCTTGAGATGGCGGCCACCGAGGGGGTCGGGGAGGCTGCGCAAGGCGGTGAGCCCCGGCAGCTGGAGCAGCCCCCGCCCCAGCCGCACCCACCGCTGCCCCAGGAGCAGCACGAGGAAGAGATGGCAGCAGAGGCTGGGGAAGCCGTGGCGTCCCCCATGGACGACGGGTTTCTGAGCCTGGATTCGCCCTCCTATGTCCCGTACAGGGACAGAACAGAATGGGCTGATACAGATCCAGTGCCGCAGAATGATGGCCCCAATCCCGTGGTCCAGATCATTTATAGTGACAAATTTAGAGATGTTTGATTACTTCCGAGCTGTCCTGCAGCATGAAGAAAGAAGCGAACGAGGTTTTAAGCTAACCCGGGATGCTGTTGAGTTAAATGCAGCCAATTATACAGTGTGACATTTCCGGAGAGTTCTCTTAAAGTCACTTCAGAAGGATCTACATGAGGAAATGAACTACATCACTGAAATAATTGAGGGGCAGCCCAAAAACTATCTAGTTTGTCACAATAGGCGAGTAATAGTGGAATGGCTAAGAGATCCATCTCAGGAGCCTGAATTTATTGATAATATTCTTAATCAGGATGCAAAGAATTATCATGCCTGGCAGCATCGACAATGGGTTATTCAGGAATTTAAACTTTGGGATAATGAGCTGCAGTATGTGGACCAACTTCTCAAAGAGGATGTGAGAAATAACTCTGTCTGGAACCGAAGATATTTTGTTATTTCCAACACCACTGGCTACAATGATTGTGCTGTATTGGAGAGAGAAGTCCAATACACTCTGGAAATGATTCAACTAGTACCACATAATAGTTCATGGAACTATTTGAAAGGAATTTTGCAGGATCGTGGTCTTTCCAAATATCCTAATCTGTTAAATCAATTACTTGATTTACAACCAAGTCATAGTTCCCCCTACCTAATTGCCTTTCTTGTGGGTATCTATGAAGACATGCTAGAAAACCAGTGTGTCAATAAGGAAGACATTCTTAATAATGCATTAGGGTTATGTGAAATCCTAGCTAAAGAAAAGGACATGATAAGAAAGGAATATTGGAGATAAATTGGAAGATCCTTTCAAAGCAAACACAGCACAGAAAATGACTCACCAACAAATGTACAGCAATAACACCACCCAGAAGAACTTGATGGAATGCTTTGATATTTTATTAAGGGACTCTGCAGGAGTTTAAAATGAGGGTGATCCTTCCCTTTGCCTGTGGCGTAAAAATGCATCACACAGGTATTGCTTTTTAACAAGAACTGACGCTCCTTGGGTGCTGCTGCTACTCAGACTAGCTCTAAGCCATGTGATTGTTCTAAAGCAAAGTCATTGCATGGGAAGAGGAAGAAAAAGTCCCATAAACGAACTTTTGTAGTCTTATCAACATGTAATCAAATCCCTTAGCATCAGCTCCTCCCTCAGCGGTACACGCGTCAAGATTTGTAGCAGTAATAACTGCAGGTCACTTGTATGTAATGGATATGAGGTAGCTGAAGTTTGGTTCAGTAAGCAGGGAATACAGTGGTTCCATCAGAGCCAGTCTGCACACTCACATTATCTTGCTATCACTGTAACTAACTAATGCCAAAAGAACAGTTTTGTAATAAAATTATAGCTGTATCTAAAAACAAAAAACAAACAAACAAACAAAAACAATAAGGACTATCTTGTTTGTCATTGCATCTTTAGTCTTCAGTATTCTGAGCACTTAGGGGCAGAGCATGATGACCGGCTAACCCAACAACTACACCCAACTAATCTTTTGCCTGCTTCCACTATAAAAGCCAGAAAAAAAAGAATCATTTTTCCCAACCTCCCTTGCAACCATTAGACACTACACACACAAAAAAGCTCTGCCCAATAACATCTGAGCAAAGATCTTAGGGAGAAGCAGACTGCTTCTAAGAGCACTTATGCAATTCTGATAAAAGGGTCAGAGTGACTGATACAAACCGTCTCCCTTTCCTTCTGTCTTGAATACAAACATGATGCTTGAGTTGGAGTAGTGCCATCTTGCAACCATGAAGGAAAAGCCCAAAAGGCCACTGAGCCACCCAACAAATGCAGCTGCTGCATTTATGTTACATGAGAAAATTGTACCATCGCCGATTCAATCTGCTGTGTTTGTGTCATCTGTTACTTGCACCTGAGAACATTCCTAAGTAACTTATAAATTAATAATTTTTGTCACTTAAAAACAGGTAATTTTTTTATTTCAAATATTTTCAAATGTTTAGTCCCAGAAACTTCTCCTCAAGAGGAATTTTAAACTAAGCCGAATAAATAATGTTGATCAAAGGAGAGGTGTTCTCACTGAAGAGGAAAGGAGATTGCTGTGTGGACTACCAGCCTTTTTCTTACTCCCTTGTTTTCCCCAGTAGCTCCTGAAGCACATATTTAAAACTTCTATGGCTTCTCTGAATACTGAACTACTCTCTAACACTTGATGGGAGTGTAAACTTGAACAGCCTTTTTTGTGCACAGTTTGGCAGTTTGAGGACAATTCCTATCATGTTGTTAAATTATGTAATCTTTGACTCAGCAATTCCATTTCTAAGAATCCAGCCACAGATATACTGGCATTGTTGTACAGAGATATGTATATATATACAGAAGGTGGTTCATTACAGAATTGCCTAAAGGTTAAAAAAAGAAAGAAAAATTTTAAAAAACAACATAGATGTCCAATAAGGAACTCATTAGTTACTTTATAGCACATTCATCCTCTGGCATATTCTGCACCCATTACTGACATTGAAAGGTCTCCAGGATATAGTAAAGTAATATACCTTTAACATATATTTAAAAAGTAACTCATAAAATACTATTAAAAGAAAAATCAAATGAGTACATAAAAATATACATATGTAGGTATGTTAATGCATAGAAACATGTCTTGAATGAAGACAATGTTAACAGTGATTACTTTTGGGTAGTGGGATTGAGAGAGAGAGAGAGAACTTCAACTTTTTACTTTGTAAACCAGTATATTGTTTCAAAAATTGGCATGTATTTATTTTTCTTAGGTAAAAAATAGAGAATAGTACCTTGCCAAAGAAGATAAACTGATGATAAATAAGCACATAAAAAGATGCTCAACATTATATGTCATCAGGGTATTGCAAATTTAAAAAACAGTGAGCTACTACCACCTATTAGAATGGCAAAAATCCAAGACACTGATAGTACCAAATGCTGGTGAGGATATGCAGAAACAAGAAAGCTCATTCATTGCTGGTGGAAATGCAAAATGGCAAAGCCACCTTGGAAGATAGCTTGGCAGTTTCTCACAAAACCAAACATGTTTTTACTATATGATCCAGCAATTATGCTTCATGGTATTTAATCAAATAAGTTGAAAACTCATGTCTACACAAAAACCTGCACACAAATGTTTATAGCAGCGTTATTCATAATTGACAAAACTAGGAAGTAACCAAGGTGTTCTTCAGTAGGTGAACTGGTAAATAAACCATGGTACATTCAGAGGATGGAATGTTTTTTAGCACTAAAAAGAAATGAGCTATCAAGCATGAAAAGAGTGGCATTCTCTCTATTCTCCATGAAAAGACATAAAGGAAACTTAAATCCATATAATTATACTAAGTGAAAGAAGACAACTGGAAATGGCTCCATACTTTATGATTCCAGCTATATGACATTCTGGAAAAGACAAAACTACAGAGACAGTAAAAAAGATCACTGGTTGCCAGGGGTTAGCAGGAATGGAGGGATGAATAGGCAGAACACAGAGAATCTTTAGAACAGTGAAACTACTTTGTATGATATAGTGGTGGATACTTGTCATTATACATTTGTCATAACCCATCCATATACATATAGCACCAAGAGTGAAGCCTAATATAAACTATGGACTTCGGGTGGTAACAATGTGTCAATGTAGGTTCATTCATTGTAATAAATGTACCACTCTGAGGCAGAATGTTGATTGTGGGAGAGACCATGTGTGTGTTGGGGCAGAGGATACATAGGAACTCTCTGGACTTTCCACTTAATTTTGCTGTGAACCTAAAACTGCTCTAAAAAATAGTTTGTTTAAAAAATAGAAACAACAATTCAAGACTTAGCCCAACATATTTTATTTTATTAATTTTTTTTTAAGGCAGACAGGGTCTTTCTCTGTTACCTAGGCTAGAGTGCAGTGGTGGGATCATAGCTTACTGTAACCTTGAACTCCTGGGCTCAAGCAATCCTTCTGCCTCAGCCTCCCAAATATCTGGGACTACAGGTGCATGCCACCATGCCCAGCTAGTTTTTTATTTTAGTTTTATTTTTTGTGGAGACAGGCTTTTGCTATGTTGCCCAGGCTGATCTTGAACTCCTGGCCTCAAGTGATCCCCCTGCCTCAGCTTTCCAAAGCACTGGGATTACAGATGTGAGTCACCATGCCTGGCCTAGCCCAACATGTTTATTCAACAGGATGGACTAGGTCCTGTGAGGGTACAGTGAAAATTAAGACATAGTCCCTTTTCTCAAGGTGCTTGAATATAATACAGCGAAGTTTTAAAACTATACCATACTATAAAGCAGATTTTTTAAAAAGTGCTGTAAGAAAAACACAAGTAACTGATTATGAGAGTCTAGAGAAAGGAATGAGTTCCTCTGTTCTGATTAGGGGGGATATGAGAATACTTCACTGCAGCAGAAGCATGTGAGTTGGATCTCAAAACATAAATACATTCTTGTCAGTCAGATAGAGTGGGAAGGGAACAGGAAGAGCACTCTAGGCAGAGGGAACAGCACAAGGAGGCCTGAAAGTGTATATTATATGTGAGGAATTGTGGCTGCCTGGATGGCTATCATGTAAGATAAGTAAAGGGATACCTTGGGAAATAAAACTGGACACGAAAAGTGGGGTAAAAGCATGCAATATCCTTTATACTCCATGCTAAGCTGTTTATATTAACAAAATATAGGGAGTTAGCACAGGTAGGCCAAGTCAATCACTGGTAGATTAGATCTGTTGTCCTGCAGCCAGGACAGGAGTTAAGAGGCATAGGCCTCTGTCCAGGGGCCTGGGCCAGGGTTCAAGAGGGATAGGTTCTGATGAGCCCACACTCTGAAGCCTGCAATGGGAGCACCAAATACTTGAACTCCTGGGCTAAAGCAATCCTTCTGCCTCAGGAGGATTATGGGGTTGCGCCAACAGCCAATTAAGGGCATCTTAGCACCTTTTGGATCTGAGCAGCTCTGGCCTCCCTGCTCAGCCCCTCTGGCTGGCAAGACCTTCTATAATTAGAAATCATGCTTTCTTATGCTTGGTGTCCCCTTTTAGGGTCATCTTCTCTAGCTAGACAGAGGAGCCTTGTGGGGATATTGGTAAGGATCCATTTTCTTCTTCCTATACCCGCTGTTCTAGGAGTTGGGTAGGAACATGTCCCTATTGACCTACCTCTCTTGAACCACCTATAATTCAACCAAGGAGTTTGTACTCTGGAACCTTCCTCATTTCTCTTGATTCTGGTTTTCTAAGCTCCTGACATTAAATTACTCTCTTATTTTTTCTCCTTGGTTTGATTTGTGTTCCTGGCTCTGATTCCCAATTATTCCAAAACATATTAGTTTAATGGTTTGGCCCTACATTAAACCTTACTGTGAACGACAGCCTTAAATGCCCCCTCAATAAGGGCTTTTTATCTAATATAGACCCTGCATCACATCATTGCACCTAAGCTGCCTATGATCTAATCAAGGATACATGATTTTTAAACACTAAACAAAATATAAGGTTGAATAGGATTAAACTGTAAAACATCTTGCAGTTAACAAAGAAAAGGCAGTAAAATGCAGTGGGAAAGAAAATGCATTCGAGACATCTGGATTCTAGTTTTATTTGTCACTAACTGGTTGCAGGACTAACCAAGTCTCTCAACCTCAACTATAAAATTGAAGGATTGTTCTATATGACTTCTCAGAGAACTTTAAACTCTGTGACTAGTGCTATGTGGGTAGAGAAAGGGAGGGATCTCTTTGGGTGGGATTTGTTGAGTAAGTCTTCTGGGAAAAGAGGAAAAGGGATATAAGGTGAGCTTTAAAGATGTGTGGGATTTTTTACTGGGAAGATGAAAGTGAGAGCACTTGCAGAGTTGGAGGTAAAAATGTTGGTAAAATAAGGAAGGAGGAATGAGCAGAATGGCTCACGGCACAGCAAACACCTAACACGCCAGCCTGAGCACAGCAGCTGGTAAGCAGTGGGAGAGGCCTGGAGGGGCAGGCTATGGTGAATGCTGTTGGACACAGGCTGAGGGGTCACAGAGGATCTTTGTGGAGAGAAGATTAGTCTGGAAAGAGTGGGCAGGATGGAGGGGTGGGAGAATATATTGGAGAGGAGGAGAGGAGTTTATGACCATGGTCCAGTTATGAGTTAAATACATTTGGACTAGGGTAGCTGAGATGTGAGTAGAGAAAGTGGTAAATCTGAGAGGCATTTTGAAGCAGAGATTGAATAAAGAGGAATAAGGAGGAAGTGATCTAAGTTAACTAGCAAAGCTTGAGGGGAGATTTTGTTAACAGGAAGGGGAAAGGAATTTTTTTGGGGGAGGTTTGGTCTTCTAGGGAGTTTCATTGTTTCATTCTTAGACATGAACATGTGTGAACAGTTGTACTGGGAGTCTTTTAAAATATGTACATTTTTGTAGGCAGTTAGAAATGTGAATATTATTGTCAAAACAGATAGATGAGTTTCTAAGTGTTCACACTGAGGCAGTAGTTGAAACTGTAAAAGCAGATGCTGTGTATGAAGAAGAATATTACAAAGAGAAAGACATACAATAATTAGAAGAAAGAAATTATTACACATTTTATAATGCTTAACTATTTAGCTTTACATTTTATTTCTAACTTAAATCCAACTCTTATAGTACTCCTTTGACCTGTCCTACAAATTTATCTCTCTCAATCTTTTTTTTTGCATAAATATTAGCAATCTTTTCCTTTTCTTTGTGGGTAACTGTATTAGTAAAGACAGGTTAGCTTATACTAACACTCCAAAT
This sequence comes from Homo sapiens, assembly GCF_000001405.40. Taxonomy (NCBI): domain Eukaryota; kingdom Metazoa; phylum Chordata; class Mammalia; order Primates; family Hominidae; genus Homo; species Homo sapiens. The sequence continues at coordinate 86,202,157 of NC_000011.10, forward strand.
CTCAGTGGCTGCAAGGTATTTCTCATACACTCTACATATCTGTCACTTCCCCTCACATTTTATTGGCCAATGCAAGCCACACAGCCATATAAATCCTCAAAGGAGGTGGCAGTTTGATCCCCCAGTGTACATTAATGGGAAGAGTGGGACTATTTGTGAAAAGTTCTAATGATAACCATAGTAACACACTTTTTTCCTTAGACCGTTATCTACAACCATGCCTCCTCCACCTTTTTATTTGTACCGTCACTAAAACGTTTTCAGTATGAACGTTTTATAAGCAGCAGTATGGTGGCATAATTCTGTGGCATAATTCCAAGTTGTTTCTGCTTCTTTGCTCTTTTCTCCTTATTTTGATGCTGTCTTCCTTTGGTTCCATGACAGGCTCTCTTCTTTTCTTCCTTTCCCTATTCTTAGAACTGAAGAGACTCAAGGAAATGCTACAACGGAATCAAAACAATTTTATTTTATTTTTTGAGACGGAGTCTCCCTCTGTCGCCCAGGCTGGAGTGCAGTGGCGCGATCTCCGCTCACCGCAAGCTCCGCCTCCCGGGTTCACACCATTCTCCTGCCTCAGCCTCCGCAGGCGCCCGCCACCACGCCCTGCTAATTTTTTGTATTTTTTTTAGTAGAGACGGGGTTTCACCGTGTTAGCCAGGATGGTCTCCATCTCCTGACCTCGTGATCCGCCCGCCTTGGCCGGCCTTCCAAAGTGCTGGGATTACAGGCGTGAGCCACTGCGCCCGGCCTCAAAGCAATTTTTACCCCATCTCTCCTCCCTGTGGTTGGTTCCACTTCTCTTCCTTCTTTAGCAAGAGTCATTTCTTCCCCTTTGAGTCCTGCTGCACTTCCTTCTTTTTCTCACTTCCATGTCACTCAGAGGTTAAGGCAGTTGTAGAGCAAAACAACCAGCTGACAAGCAATAGATGTTATGCAATTCACCATTTATTCTGTGCAACATTAATTAGCTGGTTGTCCTGATTTTCACAGCCTGTGCCCACCCCATACATTGTTGACTTCATTACTTCTAATAAGAATTAATCTTTTTTTCCATTTGAATCCCACAGAATGTGGTTTGAGTCTCTAATCTGATTATTACAGTCTGCCCTTCCTCAGGGTTATTTTTGTATATGCTCCCTCACTAAATCACAACATCCTTATAAACAGTGATGTGCACATAATAGATACTCAATAATTGTTAACTCACTGATGAGTCCTAAATTTGACTAACTTGCCATTGGTTTTGGTAACATTTGGGTAAATCTTGATTCAGCAATTGGCACTCAGACTTTTGCTCATATCTAGAAAAAAAGGAACATATATAAATAGAAAAAAATATTATCTGTTGAAGACCTTTCTATTTTTCACCCTCCATATTAAGATTGTAGTACTATTGTTTGTTTACAATTCATACCACACCTGCTTTCTAAGAGGCTTTAAGTAGACGTATTAGGCAATATATTCACTTATTCATTAATTCATTCATTCACTGATTTACTCAATAGTCACTTAATGAGTCCCTATCATAGGCTAGGGATAGGATAGAAAGTCTAATAAAAGGTTGGGCATGGTGGCTCATGCCTGCAGTACCAGCACTTTGGGAGGCTAAGGCTGGCAGATGGCCTGAGTTCAGGAATGCTAGACCAGACTGGGCAACATGGCGAAACCCTGTCTCTACTGAAAATACAAAGTGTGGTGGCACCCACCTTTAATCCCAGCTACTTGGGAGGCTGAGGCATAAGAATCACTTGAACCCGGGAGGCAGAGATTGCAGTGAGCCAAGCTGGCACCACTGCACTCCAGCCTGGGTGACAGAGTGACACTCTGTTTAAAAAAAAAAAAAAAGTCGAATAAAATGTGGTAACCTCTTTCAAAATCTGGGAGCAGGGGGGAGACACATAAGTAAAGCAATTGCTACTGTGCCATAAACACTGTAGCCTAAAGGAGAAGCATCTAAGTGAGATTGGAACTTCTTGGGAGATGCGACCCCTGAAACTAGCTTTGAGGTTAAGAGGAGGAGATAGCTGGAGAATTGGGGATGGTGGAGCAAGGGTTTTTATGAGAAGGAAATGTGCCATGTGCAAAAACTGAGATGGGAAATAAAATTACATGCTCCAGAAACTGCTCAAGAAATTCAATAGGACAGATCCATAACATCCTAGTTGAGGAATGGCAGGAGACAAGCTAGTGAAATGAACATGTGTCAGATCTAAAAGCATCTTGTGTCTTAAAGTAAGGAATAGTAACATCAAAGCTATGGAACACATCGAAACTCCTCTGCCAGGCAAGTGGGGTCTCAGATGCCATTCTGGGATTATACTTACAGAAGCTGGGTGTGGTTATGGGTAGGGTAAGACACTCCCCATAATATGCATGGAATAGAACTGAGAGGATCTGAAAGTGAGGGCCCAGGGGACAAAGCTAGGATTAATTCAAAGCTGACAGGAAACCAGAAATAATTAATATGAAACATGACCAGAAAGTACTAAGACATAGCAAAGAGGAAAAAATGCAGGGTCAGAGGCACAGCTTAGCATCTTTTTGTTGTTGCTGTTGTTCAGACAGAGTGTTCAGTCTGCTGCCCAGGCTGAAGTGCAGTGGCGCAATTTCAGCTCACTGCAACCTTCACCTCTTGGGTTCAAGAAATTCTCATGCCTCAGCCTCCCGAGTAGCTGGGACTACAGGTGTGCACCACCACACCCAGCTAATTTTTTGTATTTTTAGTAGAGATGAGGTTTCACCATGTTGGCCAGGCTGGTCTCAAACTCTTAGCCCCAGGTGATCTACCTTCTTCAGCATCCCAAAGTGCTGGGATTACAGGCATGAACCACCACACCCAGCCACAGCTCAGTATTTTAAAGCCACCTTTTCCCTTTTTGAGCTCCTTGAGCCAGTGTCTGGATGGTAAAGGAATATTTTGAACTGATTTGGACCTAAGGCTATCCAAGTATTTTAAGCAGAAGAGTGATAGGGCCTGTTGTTGCTCTTTTAACTCTAGACACACAGCATCTTGCTATGTCCTGTGAGCTCTACCCCATATGTGTCTGGCCCAGAGAAAGTCCTCAATAAATATTTAGTGAATGGCATGGACTTGCTACTAATTGTTAAGCACAGGAATGTTTTGTTTAGTCTATATTAGGTGAGTATAATGCTACAAGAAAACTGATTTCATAGAAACCTACAAGAATTTACTCTTCTCTTTTATTTATTGTAATAAATGTCCACTAAAATTATGTTATTTACCAGCCATCCAAATGTAAAATTAATCTTTTTTTTTAACAGTATCTCAGACATACACATTTAAAGCATACACATTAAGGAATAAGACAATAGAAAAGACACCCAAAGAAGTAGAACCAACTAAAATATAAAAACAAAATAACAAACAGTTTACCAATAAAGTGGTATACGTTTGCGTAACATCAATACAGAAACAGTAGCTAAGATGATTGCAAAAATGGAGTTAAGCAATACAAAGCTGCTTACAAGACTTGTACGTGTAAATTCTTGATCGTAATTGAACTAATGGTGGTGAAAATAAAGTTAAAATTTCCTGCAGATGTCAGGCGTGGTGGCTCACACCTGTAATCCCAGCGCTTTGGGAGCCTGAAGCAGGAGGATCGTTTGATCCCAGGAATTCTAGGCCGCAGTGAGCTATGATTGCGCCACTGCATTCCAGCCTGGGTGACAGAGAGAGAGAGAGACAGTGTCTCTAAATAATAAATACATACATAAAATATTAAAAAGAAATAAAAGAGATTTCCCATGGGAAACTTCATCATTTGCCTGCCATTCTAAAGTTGGAGTGGGGGGCAGAATAGGTAAGCTTTGGGTCCAGTTTATCATGAGAGAATGCATTAAGCAAACAACAGTTGAACAGAGTGTGGCCAGCTGGTACAATATGTCACAATGGTGCCATCATGAGACAAGGCCACGTAATATAAAAAGCGAGGAAGGAAATACAAACTCCAAGTAAAGACCAAATTGCTAAGGGCTGCAGGGCCTCCCAGACTACTCTTCATTCACAGCATAGGCTTCAAATGTGCCTTGTGAATGTGCATATGTAACATCTGAATGGATGTGCATTCTAAGTTAAAGTCAACACACATTTAAATCTGTACAGTTTTAGTTATTGATATGAACTTTCAGCCTCAGATTTTAGAATGATTTCTTCATGCTTAACAACATCACCAGATAACAAGAAGCAGCAAGCAAAAATGGCCTTTATGGTATTATAAAAAGTAAATATCTTTGTCTTATCTTTGTCCCAGATTCCTGGCACACAGCTCCCGAAACATTTTGGAATCCTGGGAATGATAAGGGTAAGACTATATTTTGCATGCTAATTAGATGTCTGGTGGCTGACGGCCCCTAGCAAGCTTCAGCATAGGGGCTGGAAGCCAAAAAGGCCAAGTCTTGATTAGAAACTTGGAACTTTCATCCCCATTCTGCTGGGGAGGGGAGAGGGGGTAGAGATTGAGTTCAATCACCAATGGTCAATGATTTAATGAATCATGTCTACTTAATGAAACTTGCATAAAAACCCATAAGCTGGCCGGGCGCGGTGGCTCACGCCTGTAATCCCAGCACTTTGGGAGGCCGAGGTGGGCGGATCACGAGGTCAGGAGATCGAAACCATCCTGGCTAACACGGTGAAACCCCGTCTCTACTAAAAATACAAAAAATTAGCCGGGCGTGGTGGCAGGCGCCTGTAGTCCCAGCTACTCAGAAGGCTGAGCCAGGAGGATGGCGTGAACCCGGGAGGCGGAGCTTGCAGTGAGCCGAGATTGCGCCACTGCACTCCAACCTGGGCGACAGAGCGACACTCTTTCTCAAAAAAAAAAAAAAAAAAAAAAAACCCATAAGCAATGGAGTTCAGAGAGCTTCCCAGTTGGTTAACACATCCGCATTCTGGGAGGGTAGCACACCCCAGCTCCATGGTACAGAAGCTGTTATGCTTGGGACTTTCCTGGGCCTCGTCCCTATACCACTCATTGGCTCTTCATTTGTATCCTTTAAAATACAAATATAAGTAAAGTGCCTTCCTGAGTTCTGTTGGCCAGTCTAGGAAATCATTGAAACTTAGGAGGGGGTTATGGGGATATTTGATTTATGGCTGGTCATATAGAAGTACAGGTGATCTAAAATAGCATGGTACTGGCATTAAAAACAGACATATAGACCAATAGAACAGAATGGAGAGTCCAGAAATAATTCCACACATTTATGGTCAATTGATCTTTAACAAAGGTGCCAGGAGCACACAATGAGAGAAGGGCAGACTATTCAATAAATGGTATTGGGACAATTGGATATCCACATGCAAAAGAATAAAACTGGACCCTTGTCTCACACCATATGCAAAAAAAAAAATCAACTCAAAATGGATTCAAGACTTAAACATAAGACCTGAAACTGTAGAACTACTAGAAGAAAACATAGGAAAAAAGCTTCTTGACGTTGTCCTCAACAATAACTTTTTTTGGTTATGACCCTAAAAGCACAGGCAGCAAAAACAAAAATAGACAAACGAGAGTGCATCAAACTAAAAAGCTTCCTATAGAAAAAGAAACAATCTATGGAATACAAGCTATGTGCAGGAGAAAAAAGACAAGAAACAACCTATAGAATGAAAGAAAGTATTTGCAAGCCATATATCTGATAAGAGGTTAGTATTCAAACTATGCAGGGAATTCAAACAACTCAATAACAAGAAAACACATAACCAGATTTAAAAATGGGCAAAGGGTCGGGTGCAGTGGTTCACGTCTGTAATCCCAGCACTTTAGGAGGCCGAGGTGGGCAAATCACCTGAGATTGGGAGTTCAAGACCACCCTGACCAACATGGAGAAACCCTGTCTCTACTAAAAATACAAAATTAGCTGGGTGTGGTGGTGCACGCCTGTAATCCCAGCTACTCAGGAAGCTGAGGCAGGAGAATCTCTTGAACCCGGGAAGCAGAGGTTGCGGTGAGCTGAGATTGTGCCATTGTACTCAGCCTGGGCAACAAGAGTGAAACTCCGTCTCAAAAAAAAAAAAAAAAAAAAAAAGAGAAAAGAAAGGCAAAAGACCTGAATAGACATTTCTCAAAAGAAGACGTATGAATGGCCAACAGGTATATGAAAAAATGGTCAACATCACTAATTATCAGGAAAATGTAAGTTAAATTAAAACCACAATGAGATATCACCTCACACATGTTCGAATAGCTATCAAAAAGACAAATGATAATACATGTTGGTGAGGATGTGGACAAAGGGGAACCCTTGTACAATGTGGGTCAGAATGTAAATTGGTACAGCCACTATGGAAAATCACGTAGAGGTTCCTCAGAAATTAATAATAGGACTACCTTATGACCCAGCAATCCCACTTCTGGATATATATCCAAAAGAAAGGAAATCAATATATTGAAGAGATATCTGCATCCCCACAATCATTGCAGCATTATTCACAACAGCCAAGACAGAAAATCAATCTAAGTGTCCATCAATGGATGAATGGATAAAGAAAATGTTTTACACACACACACACAATGTAATATTGTTCAGCCTTTCAAAATAAGGAAGTTCTGTCATTTATGACAATCTGGGTAAACCTAAAGGATATTATGCTAAGTGAGATAAGCCAGGCACTGAAAGACTACAGATACTACAGATCTCACTTATATGTGGAACTCATAGAAGCAGAGAGTAAAATGGTGGTTAACAGGGCCTGGGGGTAAGGAGAAAGGAATGGGGAGATACTGTCAAAGGGTAGAGGGTTTCTAACTGTTAGGATGAATAAATTCTGGAGATCTATTGTACAGCATAGTGATGATAGTTAAGAATACTGTATTGTATTCTGGAAAATTGCTAAGACAATAGATTTTAAATGTTCTCACTACAAAAAAGTTGTATGTGCAGTGATGGATATGTTAATTACTTTGATTTAATTATTTCACCACATATACATATATCAAAACCTCACATTGTACACTGTAAATATATATCATTTTTATTTGCCAACTATAGCTTAATAAAGCTAGGGGAGGGTGGAGAAGTACAGGTGATCTGATATTGCACGTAGCATCTGAAATGAGGGCAGCCTGTGGCTCTGAGCCCTTAAACCTGAAGAGTCAGAGGCCAACTCTGAGTAGTTAGTGCTAATTGAATTGGATTGTTGGACACCCAGTCAATTTCCAGAGACATGGAGAATTGGTTGGTGTGAGAAAACAACCCAAAAAGTTGGTGTCAGAAGTGCTGTAAGTAAAAACAGCTTACTTCTGGTAAAATGTACCCTACTAATTTTACTATTCTATTTATCTGGTAAAAAAAAATTAGTAGAATCTCATAGGTTCTGTGGGGTGTGTGTGTGTGTGTGTGTGTGTGTGTGTGTTCATGAGAAGTTTGGTTTGGTAGGTGCAGAAGTTTGGCTTTAGTGGATGTAGAAGTAAGTCTAGGGTTTTTTCCCTGAAATATTCCAGGTCTAGGTTTAGTCCTTGCTTTGTTCTTTCTCCTCGATATTCCATATTCCTTACTTCCTTCAAGTAAACTTCAAGTAAACTCACTGTTTTTGGAAACCAACATTGACCTCATTCAACTCAGTTACCTCTACTTGGTTCAGTCAAATACTCCAGTGTTTAACACATTCTGTAAGGCAGTGGAGAGCTGTGGAAAGGTTTTAAACCTTGAGAACATGGTAAAATTTACCACATGATTTTAGGTAATCACTTGGACCAGAGGTTGCATACCAGAGACTCAATGATAGAGGCTCTCTAGTGTAGTGCACAAAAAGCGCAAGTTCTGGAGTCAGCCAAACCTGAGGCCACATCTGGTTTTCAACACTTATTGGATGTATAACCTTGAACAAGTTACTCATTCTCTCCAAGCCTACATTTCTTCATCAAGGGCAATAGAAATCATTTTCAGTTAAGTCATGTTTGTAAAGCACTTAATGCAAACACTGGCATGTAGAAAGCACTCAGTAAATAGTAACTAGTAAGTTAATTGCTGTGTTGTTCTGTGAATGTTTTCTTTGTTGTTTCATGAGTCTTAACTGGATTTTAAACTCCTGGTCTGCATCTGTCTCTTTTACTTCCCACTAAGGGCACCTGATACAGTGTCTGACTAGATTCCATCCTAGACTCATTCCTTTTAGTCCAGGGCTGACCTGGTACAGTCCTGATTAGAAGGTTACTCAAATGTCATCCCGTTCCAACTCTGGGGCAACCTTATGTCAAAGGAAGGTAGACTAGGCCAAGGTGGTCTTTGACATCCACTTCTTTCTTTTTCATGACCCTGAAACCTTAAACTAGGATCACTTTAGGCTTCCCCTTCTGGACTCACACCTCACTCAATGCCACACTCCCACGCCACTCTTCTCCTGTCCACCTAGAATGAGTCCCTCGTTAAAACTGACTCTGGCCCGGCACAGTGGCTCACGCATGTAATCCCAGCACTTTGGTTGGCCGAGGAGTGCGGATCACTTAAGGTCAGGAGTTCGAGACCAGCCTGGCCAACATGGTGAAACCTTGTCTCTACTAAAAATACAAAAATTAGCCAAGCATAGTAGCACAGGCCAGGAGTCCCAGCTACTTGGGAGGCTGAGGCATGAGAATTCCTTGAACCTGGGAGGCGGAGGTTGCAGTGAGCCGAGATCACACCATGCATTCAAGCCTGGGTGACAAAAGTGAGACTCCATCTCAAAAAAAAAAAAAAAGAAAGAAAGAAAAACTCTGCCTTTCCAGCCCTATCTGCTCAGTAATTCATTGAATATGTTCAACAAACTTTTGCTGAGTGCTTACAGCATTCTACAAACTGGGGAAATAAAATGGAAGAGCTACAGTCGTTACACTCCAGTAACACATGTTTTGCTTATGCTATAATACAATTAGTGCTGGGATTAGTGAATTTCATCCCCAGAATTAGAACCACCTGTGAAGCTTTTAAAACTACAAATGCTTATGTCTCAGTTAATTTAGTAAATCTAGGTCAGACTCAGATATATAAAATCTCTGAAACTTTTTCGAAGATTTTACTAACAGCCAGGGTTAAGAACTACGGGATGTGTTGTGAGTAGAAAGGAGATAGGGATCACGGAGTGTTGGATGAACTTCTTGTTGGAGCATTAAATTGCATGCTGAAGGATGTGTGGTTTTCCAGAGAGAGAAGAGCATTCTAGGAAGAGGAAAAGCATAAAGCCAAAACCTAAGGCCTTTGAATTTATCAGTATAATTTTTACTAATATATGAGTTGAAGAGCGTTAGAAAACCCACTGTTGAATAACATTTATGCACACTAACTATAAACTTCTGAGCAAAATGTCCTTATTTTTATCCATCAATGCAGATGACACATACTATATTAACCATTTGTTTTCATGTTTAGTTTCTTCTACATATTAAGACCTTCTCAAAGGAGGGACATGTGACTTAGTATTTGTAACTCCACAATTGATACACAGTAGGTTTTTCAATCCATGTGTGTTAAATAAATGATGGTCATTATGTCATGATCTTAATAATGGGAGTTTCAAGTCAAGTGAAAGGAGAAATTTGGACGTGAGCTTTCAATTCCACTTGCAAAGCATGTAAGTGATCACCTCTTCTTTGTCTGTGTTGTGACCCTGTTTTGAAATATTCAAAAAGGCTGGGCGTGTTGACTCATGCCTGTAATCTCAGCACTTCGGGAGGCCGATGCAGGTGGATTGCTTGAACCCAGAAGTTTGAGGCTACAGTGAGCTATAATCATGCCACAGCACTGAAGGCTGAGTGACAGAGCAAGACCTTATCTCTTAAAAAGAAAAAAGAAAAGAAATACTCAAAATGTATCCATTTATTTGACAAGAATTTATTGAGTTTCTCTTATATACTAGCCTTTCTATTTATGTATTTGTTCTCAAAGTGATGTGAAATAATTTTTTAAAAATTATTTATAAGCTAATATTAGAGAAGGGAAGTTTGTACTTATTATTTTTTTTTTGAGACAAAGTCTCACTCTGTTGTCCAGGCTGGAGTGCAGTGGTGCATTCTCAGCTCACTGCAACTTCTGCCTCACAGGTCCAAGTGACTCGTGCCTTAGCCTCTGTACTTATTCTGACTATCAACCATGTGTTTGGTACTTTATATAGCTCCATGTCTGATCTGTAAAATATCATTTAATTTTTTGTCTTCACATCAGTCTTGAAAATAATCTTTCCCCTCCCACCACCATTTTTACAGAGAAGGGAGCTGACACTCCGAAGGTGCAAAGTCCAAGATCATATGACTCATGGACAGAAGCACCAAGATGTGGACCTAGCTTTGTCTTCCTTCAAAGCCCAGGCCTTTTTCCTCATACTATACCATCTCTTGGGTTGGATCTGTGAGCAAGGCCAGGTCTGAATGATTAAAAAGTCACTATTCAACCAACTGAGCCCACATGGCACACAGCATCAAAATGCTCACTTTAGCAAATTATCCCAAAGATAATTGCCATAACTTGATCAACTTCTTACCACGAATTCAGCAGTCTTGGAAATACAGTTTATGATTGAATCTATGAGCATGAAATGAAATGTAGGTTTTTTCAGTTTTTAAACAAAACTGGATAACTCTTATTGGCTTTTTTTTTTTTTCTGGTTTTGCTTGTTTTTAGGCCATTTCCTCCAACTGCTATTACTTCTAAACAACATAACCTAGAGTGTGTTAGCAATTATCTGGTTAATCTGACCAGCGTGAACATCCAGCCTACATAAAAATAATACTGAATTGACAACCAGAAAGTAAACTAGGGTGAAATTCAAAATTAGATTTCAAAATTATTAGGTCACACCATCACTAGGCCAAAAGTCTTGAGAAATTTATCCAAGTAGTTCACAATCATGGGTAGATATGGGGGCAGAAGAGGAGGATGGGATGGAGAACTAGTTAGTGTTCCCTTGTCGGGAATGAAAGGATTGTATGATATACACTATTCTCTACAGGGTATGCAGATATTCTCCCAAGAGCACTTCCATGCTGTGGCACTGGCTGGGCCATAGTACCAGAAAGGTGGTTCACAGACAGACTCAAAACTCTGGACTCTATGTGGAATGTTTATGGGCTCTTCATCCTCAGACCTTACCCTTTAATCCTTTCTTTTGGATCTATTTCCTATCTAGTGCCAGGGTTCTATGTGCATGAAATCTTGACTGTCCCTCTTGGGGAGTCCATGGCAAGATATGCTGGAAGCGGCGGAAGGTCCAGGGCAGTGACTCTGCCTCTAACCTCTAGGTAACCACCCAGATAGAAGGAGTCTCCTCAAGATAGGAAAGGCGTCAGATGTTCTAGCTCAGTTCTGGGACAGTGGTTCACCATTAGTGGATAGGAATTTTCTTTAGTCAGTCACTGAGTAGCACAACCCACATGTTCTCTAACTCAGGCTGTAGGGAAGGTCCTCCAAGTCCTTGACAAAGTTCTTCAGGAAACTGAGGAAATGGGCCTAATAAAAATTTAACTGTTGGTAGACTATGAAAGCCCAAGAGTATGATTAGTGCATTGGGGAGAATATTAGTTATAACTTTGCCTGCGAAGTACCCCCCTCTTCTTTAGGGCACACAGCCTCAGCAAGCAGGGCGATGCGGTCGAAGAAAAGAAGCCAGAACTCAATGGGGCAGTGTTGAACCCCAAAACCAGAGAATACCACTGGGAGCAACAGTAGGAAAACAGAGCAGAGCCTGTGAGGCAGTGAAATTGAGAGATGGGCACTCCCAGATTCTGGGTACTTCATGTACACCTGGGATATGTGCAGCCATCCTAGAACCTGCCTAGAAAGGAAGCACTTGAGGGACTAGTGTTCCTGCTCAAAACTGCCTGGGTACAAATTTGCTTCCTTAAAGTGGCTTGCCATTGATTCGTTCTCATTCATTATGCATTGGGTTGTTATTGTTTTTGTTGTTTTATCAAGTCTCAAGTTCTGTTGGTGTCTGTGTTCTACCCGCACTTATCTAGTGAGGTTGAAAATAAATAACAGACATTTAACAAGGCAGTAGAGCAAAAATGGTTAATAGTTTGGGCTCTGGATCTAGAAGACTTCATATTGTGACTCTGCCATTTCCTATCTATATATCCATGGGCAAATTTCTTAACCTTAATTTCCCTAAGACTCAATTTTCCCATCACTAAAATTAGAATAATAACTGTCACAAAATTATTATGAGGATTAAATAAGATGGATATATGTGAAGTGCTTAGATCTGTGACTACATATAGTAACTCTCAATAAATGCTATTCTTTATTATCATTATTATTAGGGTTTTAAGGTTCACAGAGCACTGTCATATGTATTTTCTCATTGGAATTAATTAGTGTTGACATACAATGCAAGTTAGGGGTGCGAAAGTAGATGGATAAGGGAAGAGACTGGTGAATGAGAGGTCCCTTCTTCCTCCTTGCTCTGGCATCTAACGTTAGATTAAATTTCTAAGCCGTGCCCGAACTCTGGATCTCATGCTCTCTCCTTTTCTCTCCCACTGGCTTTCCTCTTCCATCCTCTTAACTCTGTGGCTGGAATGTCCCGACGTGAGGCTCATCACTGCTCCAGCACAACCCCCTCCCCTTCACTTCGTCATCCAACCTTTCTCCATCTCAATCAGAAGATAGCTAAACCCCATTGAGGGCAGCAGGTGCACAGCCCACAGTGCTCACTGTTGGAGCAGGGCCTCTCTGGAGGAAATGCCCAGAGCAGTGGGAGGACTGGGAGAAAGCCTCAGTGTCACCCACAATGTTTCCCTGTTTCCTCTTCCTTGGGACTCCCCTTGTGGTGTGGCTGGGGAAATCCAGCCCAGTCATCTCTGAACTAAGAGCTTGATCTTCCAGTCTGGTTGCTTTGGGTGGGTAGAGCAGGCTGAAGTGACTGTCCCCACCCACACCCAACATTTCATGTTCATCTACTCAAACCCTCCAAAATGTTCTGTTCTTTTGGAGGACCACCCCTGCAATCTCCCAAATTAGCCAGAATGACAGATTCACACATGGAGCAGTTATGTTTGGCATACTTTTTCTGTAAGGTCCTCTAGTCACTATTAAAGATGATCACCCCTACTGGTTTCCCCTCCAGACTCCTGAGAATCACTGAGAGAGGTGGTTGTGGCTCAACCCCATACTAGGCCATTTAAAACAAGGTTATTTGGCCAGGTGCAGTGGCTCATGCCTATAATCCCAGCAATTTGGGAGGCTGAGGTGGGCAGATCACCTGAGGTCAGGAGTTCGAGACCAGCCTGGCCAACATGGTGAAACCCCATCTCTACTAAAAAATACAAAAATTAGCCGGGCATGGTGGCAGGTGCCTGTAATCCCAGCTACTTGGGAGGCAGAGGCAGGAGAATCGTTTGAACCTGGAAGGTGGAGGTTGCAATGAGCTGAGATTGCACCACTGTACTCTAGCCTGGGTGACAGAGCGAGACTCCATCTCAAAACCAAAAAAACCAAAAAACCAAGGTTATTAAAGAGGTTAATCGGACCTCCTTAGCACTCTGGAGTGGGCAAAAAGAAAAAAAAGAGGTTAATTAGTAGCATATAATCAATAATGCATTAAATCAGTAGATGAACCATGGAAACTGAAAATTCCCTGTGCCACCAAAGTCCCTTTCTTTTGAATGCCCTTCACCTTGCTTATGGCTGATGATGAGGTCAGAAGTCTTTCTACTGGGGCTTCTGTCTACAGCCTCCACCAGGTGCCTCTGATCCATTTTTGCCTCTAGCGCTTGACTTGGACCTCAGCTGTGGATTCTGCTTCTACTTGTGCCACCTCAGACGCATCCTCAATTGAGTTTTCAGCTACTTAAAAAGTTTGAAACTCACAGCCTACATGCAGAACATTCAAACTCTTAACCTACAGGAAGTCCAAAATCTGCACGTCAGTTCCCTTGGTATAGATGCCCTTTTCATCTCCGGATCCAATATATTAACCCTAGCTATCAAGTTTTTTTCCAGGAAATGAAACCAACTTCTGGGTTGGTGCCTTTGAAAGATCCTTAAACATAATCACATGTGCGAAGACCTTTTTCCCAAATAAGGCAACATTTGCAAGTTCCAAGGATATCTTTGAATGGCCATTACCCAGCTGACTACAGCTGCTATCATTGGCTGAGCTGGAGGATCTGTGGACTAATAGTAAGAAGGGATGGGGGAAAATCTTCCAAGAAATAGACGACTATATTGAAAGCAATTAATCTCTGGATGAGTTATTTCTTTCTGTACAATTTTTCTCCATTTTCTAAGCTCAAAGCAATGCACAGTTAATACTTGTATAATAAGAAGTATTATAGGGGAAAAAATTGTAATGTAGATCATTTATTGACATTGAAATAGTTCCGTAATCACTAAATGAAAAAAAAAGCTACAAAACAATGTAAATTTTGATGATTTTTGTTTTAAAATATACACACACATAAAGTAAAAAATAGTGAAAGTGCATGCATCAAAATGTTAATAGTAGCCGGGCCTGGTGGCTCACGCCTGTAATCCTAACACCTTGGGAGGCTGAGGCAGGAGGATTGCTTGAGCCCAGGAGTTCAAGACCAGCTAGGGCAACACAGGGATACCTTGTCTCTACAAAAAATTTAAAAATTTAGCCAGGCATGGTGGTGTGTGCCTGTAGTTTCAGTTACTCAGGAGGCTGAGGTGGGAGGATCGTTTGATCCTGGGAGGTTGAGGCTGCAGCAAGCCACGATTATGCCATGGTACTGCAGCCTGGGCAACAGAGCCAGACCTTATCTCAAAGAAAAATTTTAAAAAAAGTTAATAGTGCTTACCTTTGAGTTGTAGAATTATGACTAATTTTTGTTTTACATTGTATTTCTGGTGTTTTCAAATTTTCTGCATCAATTACTCATAAATTTTATAATGAGATAAAAAGATAAGTATTATTTTTAAAAATAAGAGAGGCCAGGCATAGTGGCTTATGCCTGTACTCCTAGCACTTTGGGAGGCTGAGGCAGGAGGATCACTTGATCTCAGAAGTCTGAGACCAGCCCAGACAACATAGTGAGACTCCATCTCTACAAAAAAATTATTTTAAAAAAATTAGCTGGACTTGTGGCATGCAACCACAGTGCCAGCTACTTGGGAGACTGAAGTGGAAGGATCACTTGAGCCTGGGAGGTCGAGGCTGCAGTGAGCCATGATCGTAGCTACTGTACTCCAGCCTGTGTGACAGAGCAAGACCCTGCCTTTAAATAATAAATAAATAGAATAAAATAGGAGATATTAGAAATTAGAAGTATGTAAATGATAGGATAAGAAGTTATTGTGTTAGAACCCATAGGCCTTCATATTAAATTATTTTAATATCAGATGGCATGCTAGAATAATAATGTGACTCCTATAACTGGAACCATAGAATAGAATTTTTTAAATGCTCTCTGAATGTATAAAGAAAAAATAAGATTTAATTGTGACATTCTGACACCCACATGCTAGGGTAAGTTCAACACCTGTGCAGGCTGCCTTCCCTCCCAGACAGTTGTGTCTGAACACCACCGTGGACTAAAACTAACAAAACTAACAATTTATGATATTGGCACCCTTCTTCCCTATGTCATTCACAGGTCTGCTTCATTCCTACGGATTAAACACCTCTCCAGGATCCTAGATTCAAGCCATTGCTTCTCGCATTTCCACCTTCTCACTCCTAAATTAAATGAGGGCTGGCTCTGTCCAAGAACACAATCTTTACTTTGTAGAGAAGGTATCTACCTCACAATTGGCTTTGCATTTCTCCAAATTCCAGACTTCTGCTGGCAGGATGTTCTAGTCCCAAAAGTGACTCCTGGCGAGGCCAGATTCTGTTCCCACCATAAGGGATGGAGCCTCACAAATATGCAGCTATGTGCCTTTGTAGTCTCAGCCTCTCAAGAGTACATTTTCTTTAGAAATAGTTATCCATCTCTGCCTGTTGGTAATCACTAATTAAAGGTTTGGGTAAGATTTCCTCGCAGCAAGAATCCTGCTATGAATTTCCTTCCTCCTAAATCTTAGTCCCTTGCGAGACCACACCAGATGCCAATCTTGTACAATTAGGAGGTGGATTCAGAATCTGCCAGGATTCTGAATCCTGCATGTGACTGCACAAGCTTCTCATCCAACACATACACAGAGGACGCTGGACAAACGCCTATGCTTTGCTGCCAGTTCATGCTGGGCTCCAAACCCTATCAGATCTCTTGCCTCAGCAGCTGGACTGAACAAAGTGGACTCCCTGAGGTTACTTTTGCCCTCCTGACTTGAGAACGTCCCAGACACCAATCCCAAGGCAGTGAAGAGATGAAAAGATGAAAGCATTACAAGAGTTAACAAAAGCCGAGTCGCCAGAGGTCACTGACGGGGAAAGTCTCTCAGCCCACTTCTGTTTATAACCACTTTATTCCTTCAACAGAATCCCCTGCAGAATCATTTCTCTAAAACCTCCATCTATATCTGAAATCCCCATTTTGTCCTGGAGTCTCTTCAGAGATCTTTTTTCTTTGGAAGGAAGGACGGAAGCCTTGAGCACCCCCTGGAGGTAGGCGTGTGCTAGTAAGCGTCTCCTTGGACTGTGGTTCTTTTTGTACCAGTTGGTAGTAGCTTTCGTACCAGTTCGTTGATACTTTTGTCACCTGGATTGCTGACTTTCGCTGGTTTCCAGTGCTGCCTCTAGGTGACCTATCTACAACTTCTATGACAGCTGACTGTCATAGGGGCTTCCACCTTCTTTGTATTCTAGCCTTGATAAGGGGAAGGATCCCTTGCCCTGCTGCAGAAATAAAACAGCCTGTTTCTCAGCCTTGTCCTCCATTTTCTCCTGTAAGACAGTTTGTTACTCATACAATTCTACTTGACATCTCTCCAACTTGCGTTGCTCCCTTCTTCTGTATCCTTATTACTGCTCTTCAATTTGTGTAAAATTATTGTCCTACCTTCAGCCCTTATCCTTATGAAAACCTTTTCCATTCTTTAAAAGCCCAGTTCACTGGCCACTTTCCCCACACCTACCTCTGAAATCCTGTAAAACTTATTTACAAAGTTCTTATCATACACTGCCTTGTATTTTAGTTATATCTGTATATATTATCTTACTGTATCCAACCAATTACCCAGCACGGTGTCTAAGATGCAGTATTCAGTTAATAATCATTAGATAAAAGTTGAATTAAGTTGTTGAGGGCTGTTTTCAAACACCCAATTTTCTAAGAATAGAGAAAACATTACTGTTAAAGATGAAAAAATACAAAGAAAGGAAGAAATAGAAGAAAGAGATGGGGCAGACAGAGATACAGGAAAGAATGGTGACTATGTAACTATAAGTCATGACGAATTCTCTCCTGAGAATACCAGTATGTTATAGAAAGAACACTGACTAAGTGTCAGAAAACTCAGCTCAAGTCCCATTTGGTTTTTAATGAACTGAATGATCACTAACCTACTCTCTGGGCCTCAGCGTTTTCTCTAAAGAACCAAAGCAGTGGGTTATATGACCTCTGAAGTTTATTACCATGTTGACATTGTATGACCATCTCTCTATTCAAGCATAGTGGTAGGATGGCGCTCAGATTGCACCTGTCACAGAGACTGGCATACTATGTGTGCTAATAAGTGCCAGTTCCTCTTTTCTTCGCACATAATGGAAATATTCTGCAACATTCTCAATTTTAATAAGGAGAAAAGTTCATCTTTATCCATTGAGGATAACATGGTAAAAGAGAATTGTACTACGTATTTAATTTAATTTTATGGAAGAATTTTTCAGTGGTTAAGTCTATTTTTAATTCCAGGTCTTGCCATATGCTGTTTCAAGGGGAAGCTTCTATTCTACAACAAACTACTTTTTGAGTCAAATGAAGAACTGAAAAATAGTTAGGCTTAAACAAATTCTTAGTCAACCACATCATGGTCTGGAAAGACACAAAAATCATTTGGCAAAGATTGCTCTAAATACAGTGAGAAAGGAGAAAGGCAGCAGGTGATGCCAATCAAAAAGGAGAATGCACTTTGGGAGGCTGAGGCGGGTGGATCACAAGGTCAGGAGATCGAGACCATCCTGGCTAACACAGTGAAACCCTCTCTCTACTAAAAATACAAAAAATTAGCCAGGCGTAATGGCGGGCGCCTGTAGTCCCAGCTACTCCGGAGGCTGAGGCAGGAGAATGGTGTGAACCCGGGAGGCAGAGGTTGCAGTGAGCTGAGATGGCGCCACTGAACTCCAGCCTGGGCGACAGAGCTGGACTCCGTCTCAAAAAAAAAAAAAAAAAAAAGGAGAATGACTTTAAATAAGATATTAGGAGATTCTGGAGAATTAAACTAAAGTTTTTGGAACCTATGACAATTGCAGATGTTCAGATTAATATGTGTAGGAACAACTTTTGTATCCGTGATTTTAAAGGAATAAGGAGTTCTATTTGTGGGACTTTTCACATTTACTAAACTTTAGTTCTTTATTTTTCTAAAAACTGATTTAATTTCACTATTTTATCAGGATGTTTTCCTGACTTACTTAAAAGAAGTCTAAACTACCTGCCATTCCTGCAAAAACATGGTGTTCTTTCACTCGTCTGTGTTTTTGTGGGTGCTGTTTCCTTCTCCTGGAAGTCCTCCCTCCTATTCTACCCTCCAAAACCTATTTTAAATCTCTGTGAAGACATGCTGTACTCCAGTCAGCAAAGTAAGTTGCTCCACTGTGGTCCACCAGTCTTGGCTCATAGCTCTCTTATTTTCATAATCACTGAGGCCCTCACTGGGTGAACACCAGTTACACCCAGTTGGGCATCAGTGTAGGATTTGAGGAGGAAGCTGATTAGGACACCAGCACTCAATTATAAGAAGCTAGGAGCCTTTCTTTATTGAACATCTAATACTATTATCTGTTAAAAAACTTTATTTAATGTTTTCCTCTGATGCTGTTCTGAGTATATTCTGAGAGGCTCTTAATAGAAGTGAAATTGTGTGGGGGAGTGGGGGGGGGATCTACAAGAGGAGGGTGCTGAGATAGGAGGGTAAAGATAAGAAACTCCAGTCCCAGAAGTCTTTGCAAGATGCAAGATCTAAGTTTACCCATTCCCATATTCTCACTTAGTTGACCTTTTATGGTTCTTCAGATTTCAGCTTCCTCAGGAAAGTGTTTCATGATCTTTCTTTTGAGAACAATCACAACATCATAAACCTCTCATCCATAGTATTTAACATAGTTGTAAATGTATCTGTATATGTGATTTTTTGATGGGCATCTGTTTCCACTAGCAGACTCATGAAAATAGAGACTTATATCTGGTTTTGCTCACCATTATTCTCTAGGATAAAACCTGGTACATAGTACGATTTCAATATTAGCAGAGCAAATTAATATTTTTGCATAAAAGGCAGTAGGGTAAACCAAATTGAAACATGGATTTGAAGGAACTGCTTAAAGTAACTTATCAGTATTGCTAATCATCAACGACAGAATCCGACAGGTTTGAGAATTTTGTGAAACGGCATGAAAGCTTTTTCCCTCCTGACAACAAACATATGGTATCTTTTCCAACATCACTTCTTCAGCTCTCTGACATCAATTGACTGTCCAACAATTCAATTAATTTCTGACATTATCTACCTGGAGTTAGCATCAGATCCCATAATTCAAAGGGTTCAGTCCTACAAGACTGCCCCCACTTCAAATGCTGTTTGCAAGTTTTGGGCCACCAGTACTTCTGACTAACCAGCTGTAAATCAGGGTTCCTTTGACCCCCTCCTCATGTTTGACAATTTGCTAGAAAGCTCACACAACTTAAAAAGGCACTTTGCTTATGTTTACTGGTTTATTATAAAGGATACAAATGAACAGCCAGATGGAGAAGTATATAAGGTGAGATTCAGAAGGGAATGTGCAGGAGCATCTGTCCCCGTGGAGCTGGGGTGCACCACCCTCCCAGTACGTTGGGTGTTCACCATCCTGGAAGCTCCCTAAACCCCATTGTTTAGGGGGTTTTTGTGAAGGTTTCATTACATAGGCATGGTTGATTAAATCATTGGGAAATGGTAAACAAATTTCATCTCCAACCCCTCTCTCCTCCTTGGAGGCTGAGGGTTAGGGCTAAAATTCCAAGCTTCTAACCAAGGCTTAGATATTCTGGCAATCAGCCCCCATTCTGAAGCAGCTGTCTAGGGGCCAAGAGCTGCTTCATTAGAACAAAAGATCCTCGCATCATCCTTATTACCCAGGAAATTCCAAGGGTTTTAGGAGCTCTGTGCCAGGAACAGGGACAATAACCAAATATATTCCTACGGTACCACAGGGTGGCAATAAATTTAAAAGTGTACATTTAAGGGTATATACAGTTAATAAGTAGGCTGTAATCATGATGCCAACAATGTTGTTAACCAAGGTTTCAAGGTAATGACAAATCATTAGGTTGCACTTGCATTTCATTGTAATTTATTAATACTAACTTCTTGAATAGACATATTAATGACATCAGCATGCCTTCACTCAGTAATTACAACCCTCTCCTTCCCACTCCATCTAGCCCCAACACCATCTTATTCTGAGTCATTTATTTGATAATTAGATGTACAGACACCCATGAGAATATGTAGCTAAATAAAAATTCTGATGCTGTGTTCCTGATAGCTTTTCTAAGGAGGCAGAGATAGATGACTTTTAACAACCATGGCCCATTCACAAGACTTACAAGTTTAGACCTCAACTTCCTTTGCTTTTCCTATTCTCCAACACTTAACATAGTAAAACATACTTTCTGGTACAAACTATAAATAAGTTGACAATTTAAAGGAATAAGTTAGACCTTATCAACCTATATACTGCAACTCAACTCAAAACTGATACTGACAGAGTAATAGAAAGCAAATCACATACAATCTATAGATTGAGACATTCAGTCATTAATTCCCTCAACAAATATGTGTTGAATGCCTCCTATATACCTGACTCTAGACATATAGGAGACCTATACGAGGTGTATAGGACATGAAGTGAATTCAACATGTAACCTGCTTTCATAAAACTCCCAATCCTGTTGAGGAGAGAAAAAAATCCATAATTAAAACTAAGATAAAAGAAGGGTTCTACTAAAGTGTAGGAAAAAGGCAACCAACTCAGGTTAGGTGGCTAGGAGAGATTTTCCTGGCAAGCTACGTTTTGAAGGATGAGCTAAATGAAAAGAGTGAGGTAGGAATAAGAGGGGATTTTAAACAAAAGGAAACATATATTATGGAGATCACAACTTAACCAGTAAGCTGTCATTTATTACACGTCTCCTTAAAAAGTTTCAACCTGTGAACATTCAGAAATACAAAGCTCTGCTCTGGAGCAAAGATACATCAACTATTTCAGGCATGCCAGGAGTTAGTGGTCAGGTAGGGTCATTTTAGCCCTAGCCATGTGACCATTGGGTTATTCCTCAGTCTAATGCCTACCATGAGTGAAGTCGGCAGAGCAAGGACTTGAAGTAAGCTGGAGGTAAGCTGGAGTGTGAAGTGTGAAATGAACTGTATGTGCCCCTTGCAAGGGTGAGCAGCCACAGTGCCAGCTGATGTTACCTTGTCAGAATGTAGCTTCAGTATTGCTATGGCTTTGTTTTTCTTTCAACTTGCAAATGCTGATAACTAATACAAAATTTTAAACTGTTGTCTGCAAACATAGTCTTGGTCCAAAAGCTCCTTCAGCTGATAAGCAACTTCAGCAAAGTCTCAGGATATAAAATCAATGTGCAAAAATAAGTAGCATTCCTACACACCAACAACAGTCAAGTTGAGAGCCAAATCAGGAATGCAATCCCATTCACAATTGCCACACACACACACACACACACACACACAACCTAGAAATACAGCTAAGGGAGGTAAAAGATCTCTACAAGGAGAACTACAAAACACTGCTCAAAGAAATCAGAGATGACACAATCAAAAAAAAATCCATGCTCATGGATAGGAAGAATCAACATCATTAAAATGGCCAAACTGCCCAAAGCAATTTATAGATTCAATGCTATTCCTATTAAACTACCAATGACATTCCTTGCAGAACTAGAAAAAAACAATTTTAAAGTTCCTATGGAAACAAAAAGAGCCCAAATAGGCAAGGCAATCCTAAGCAAAAAAAGAAAGCTGGAAATGTCACTCTACCTGACTTCAAATTATACTAGAGGGCTATAGTAATCAAAACACTATGGTAATGGTACAAAAACAGACACAGAGACCAATGGAACAGCATAGTGAACCCAAAAATAAGGCCACACACCTACAACTATCTAGTCTTTGACAAAGCTGACAAAAACAATGGGGAACGGACTCCTATTCAATAAATGGTGCTGGGATAACTGGCTAGCCATATACAGAAGACTGAAATTGGATCTCCTTCCTTAAACCATGTAGAAAAATCAACTGAAGATGGATTAAAGACTTAGGTTTCATGATAAAGACACCAAAAGCAATTGCAACAGAAGCAAAAATTGACAAAAGGGATCTAATTAAAGAGCTTCTGCACAGGAAAGGAAACTATCAATAGAGTAAACAGACAACCTACAGAATGTAAGAAAATTTTTGCAAACTATACACCTGACAAAGGTCTAATAATATCCAGCATCTACAAGGAACTTAAATTTACAAGAAAAAAACAAACAGCCCATTAAAAAGTGGGCAAAAAACGTGAACAGGCACTTTTCAAAAGAAGGCATATATGTGGCCAACAATCATTAAAAAACTCAACGTCACTGATCATTAGAGAAATGCAAATAAAAACCACAATGAGATACCATCTCACACCAGTCAGAACGGTTCTATTTTTTTTTAAGACAGAGTCTCACTCTGTCACCCAGGCTAGAGTGCAGTGGTGCGATCTCAGCTCACTGCAACCTCTGCCTCCCAGGTTCAAGTGACTCTCCTGCTTCAGCTTCCCTAGTAGCTGGGATTACAGGTGCATGCCACTGTGCCCAGCTAATTTTTGTATTTTTAGTAGAAACGGGGTTTCACCATGTTGGCAGGCTAATCTTGAACTCCTGACTTAAAGGGATCCACTCGCCTTAGCCTCCCAAAGTGCTGGGATTACATGCATGAGCCACCACACCTGACCCAGAATAGCTATTATTAAAAAGTCAAAAAATAACAGATGCTAATGAGGTTGTGGAGGAAAAGGAATGCTTATACACTGTTGATGGGAGGATAAATTAGTTCAGCCATTGTGGAAGACAGTGTGGTGATTCCTCAAAGACCTAAAAACAGAAATACCATTCAACAGAGCAATCCCATCACTGGGTATATACCCAAAGAAATATACATCATTCTGTCATAAAGACACATGCACATGTATGTTCATTGCAGCACTATTGACAATAGCAAAGGCATGGAATCAACCTAAATGCCCATCACTGGTAGACCGAATAAAGAAAATGTGGTACATATACACAATGGAATACTATGCAGCCATAAAAAAGAACAAGATCATGTCCTTTGAGGAAACATGGATGGAGCTGGAGGCCATTATCCTTAGCAAACTAATGTAGGAACAGAAAACTAAATACCACGTGCGCTCACTTACAAGTGGGAGCTAAGTGATGAGAATAAATGGTTACATAGAGGGAAAAAATACACACTGGGGCCTATTGGAGGGTGGAGGTTAGGAGGAGGGAGAGGATCAGGAAAAATAACTAATGGGTACTAGGCCTAATACCTGGCTGATGAAATAATCTGTACAACGAACTCCCGTGAAAGAAGTTTACTTGTATAACAAACCTGCACATTTACTCCTGAACTTAAAAGTTACATTTTAAAAACAAAATAACCTAAATACATAGATAAATAAAACAAAAAATGTTATGTGGGCCAAACAAAAAAAAACTATGCAGGCTGAAGCCTGGAGAACACAACTTTATGGCCTTTGATCTTTGTATAATTGATGGATTTGCTCTTAATTTTCAATGTTTTACAAAAATTACAAATGTTATCATTGATCTTTCATGTTCAGTAAGATCAAATGCATCTGGAGTATTAACAATGTTAGTAGGGAGAGACAGGCAATTAGTTTAAAAACAAAAATAGATGTAAAAATTGAAGATGATAAATGTATGTAGTGATGGGATAAATTGTTCAGGAATAATGACAATTCTGAGGAACAAATGTCTGATCATGCAATCACTCATATATCTATGCTATCAACAATAATAAGCAAGAAGAATAAAAAAATTGTCAGAAGGAAAGGCTTTATGGGTGTACAGCTAGAGAAGGAATATTAATGTCAGATGCCAGAATCAAGTTAATTCTGGATAAAAACATCATTTGTTTAGGAACTTGAGGACTGAACATGATAAAAATGCACCTGATGGAACTTTTTACATAGCCACACTTAAGTTCTGTAGTTTAAGGACATCATAGCTGCCAAGGAGATTTCTACACTTGCAGCCATCACCAAAGAGGGAGATTTCCTTCCTAAACATATGTTCAACGTGGTGGAAACTAGTATATGAGAAAAGATAGCTGAGAGATTGTACAGGAAGTAGAATAGAGCATGTCTAGTCTGTGATGTTGAAGGCAAACTAATTTTTTAAAGCAATAATTATAAATGTTTATAATTCAAATAGTATAAAAAAGACACACAGTAAAAACCAACTTTTCCTTCTTTCCTATACCCCCAGTTCCCTGCCTAAAGGTGACCTTTATTAGGAATTTAAATATTTCCTTTCATACACATAAGGGCACATTATACACACTGTTCTGTAACTTTTTTCCCATGTAATATATTTTGGAGATTGTTCTATATCAATTCATATAGATATACCTTATTTATTTTAAAGACTACATTATAGATATACTATAACTTATATAATCAATACCCCATTGATGGATCTATATTGTAGTCTTTTGCTATTACAAACAGTAAGTGTGCTGGTTCTCTTCAGAGAACTTATCTGGTGGAATTCCATCCAGGGCTTGCAAACATAAACATCTCTTAGTTCTTTTGGTCTTGCGAACAAATAAACTTAGAAAGAGCCATTTGGAAATGAACTTGTTTGTTACTAGAGAAGAACTGTGTGGAGAGAGGGCAAATGTGGCAGAATGCCCAGCAGAAAAACTAAATAGAAAATTAGGTCAGGATTGCTTCTCAGCCTTTTGACTAAGATCAAGTATAAAAATTAGGCTGGGTGCGGAGGCTCATGCCTGTAATCCCAGCACTTTGGGAGGCCGAAGTGGGTGGATCACTTGAGGCCAGGAGTTCAAGGTTATAGTGAGCTATGATTGTGCCACTGCACTCCAGCTTGATTGACAGAATGAGACCATGTCTCTAATAATAATAATAATAATTTTAAAATAATTAACAAGATCATAAAGGGCTTCATCTAATAACATAAAGAATTTGACCTTATCCTAAAAGACATGCAGAGCCAGATTGGTGTTAAGCAGAATGACAGGATTATATGGAAAGTTTACTATAACTACAATGAGAATAGATTAGAGGAGAACCAGTAAAGACAGAGAGTGGCCAGAAGAGGGACTATTCAAGTCATCCAAGAAATAATTTATGAGGATTTTAACTGAGGTGATAGCAATGGAAATGGAGAGGAGGCGATATGATGTTAGAAAACCGTGAAGGGATAACATCTACAGACCTTTGGCTGATCTGACAGGGGTCTGATTGGATGGGCAGAATCTAGGATGAATACCAGGTTTCTGGATTGGCTCACTTAGTATTAGTCACCACATCAGAAAGGAACAAGTACAGGGGGAAAGATGATTACTTGTGTTTTGGATGTTTGACCTTCTGGGGCCTACAGGTGGTTATATCCAATAGGCGGTAGAATATATAGGTCCAAAGCTCAACAAGAGCGCTACATACCAAAAGCAGACATCCACGTATGTATATGACGGGTGAAACTGAGAATGGAACAGGCCACCTGAGGATTACATAACCTTAATAGGACAAAAGGAAAAGTGGGGAGAACTCTAGAAAAAGAGACCTTTAGGTGGGAGGCAAAGCAAAAGGAGCCAAGGAAGGAAGACAAGGCCTTGGATGAACATTCAAAAATGAAATAAAACTTACATTGGCATAATAAAGGTTTCAAAGGCAGATATTCTTATCAGAGTCTCATGTGATTGGTGACTTAAGCTCTTAGATGACTAGCCCAGGTTTGCTCCGCTTTTAAAATAGCCAAGCTGAGAGTTTAACCCAAGGCTTTCCCAAATTCTAGTGATGATTTTTCCACCTTACTGGCTCCAAATTCCTTATTATCCATAGGAATTTAAAAAATAAGGTCACAAACTAGAAAACCAAGAATTTGAATAATAAGGTCACAGACTAGCAAAACCAGGAAAGCAGAGATGGGAAAGAGATGATACCAGTACAGTACCAACCTCATCAATAACTCCTATTCTCAGGTTTTTGCACGTTAGGAAATAACGTCTCAGAAAAGTTAAAATAACAAAACCACAACCCCAAAAAAAACCCTACCATAAAATCCTAAAACTCCAATTTTCCTTCTTCAGCACTCACATGCAAAGAAACATTAACTCTGCATAGGGATGTGTATGCTCAGGATTTTAATAATAAAGCCATCAGAAACTAATATTATCTTTTTCTGTACTATGGTCATTAGAGGGAGAACCATGAGGCTACTTAAGCCTTGTTCTACCTCACAAAATGTTCTTTGTTTTATGCAAATGTACTGGCTGTGGGAGATATTAGATGTCATTTTCATGAGTATGACATGAGTAAGTGTTAGAGGTAAGTTGACAATCTCCTTGTAAAGATATTAGCAAAACAGTATTATTATGACCCCGCAACACCTTAGAAATATTTTCACTATAATCCATCTTGTGATAATTACACCTGTTTTACTGGAATTTGACCTGAAAGAATAGAACTTGGTCAACAAGTTTCCAATCTTGTTGAAAGGGTACATTTTTGCAGCTGACATGAAAAAAAATTTTTTTAAGTAATGTGTAGGTTGGGCACGGTGACTCATGCCTGTAATTCTAGCACTTTGGGAGGCCAAGGTGGGAAGATCACTTGAGCCCAGGAGTTTGAAACCAGCCTGGGCCACATGGCAAAACCCCATCTCTACAAAAGATAGAAAAAAAAATTAGCCAGACATGGTGCTGTGTGCCTGTGGTCCTAGCTACTTGGGAGGCTGAGATAGGAGGATCGCCTGAGCCTAGGAGGTCAAGGCTGCAGTGAGCCATGCTCGTGTCACTGCAGTCCAGCCTGGGTGACAGAATGAGACCATGTCTCAAAAAAATAACAGAAGAAAACAAAACAAAACAAAGCAAACAAACAAAAGAAAGTAAACAAACAAAAGAAAAATTTTAAAAATAATATGTGTAGTATAAAGCTGAGTTGTATACTAGTGTACTGCAATTGGGTAGATTCCAAATGCAGGTTTGAACAAGGTTATTTCAAGGTCTTTCTCCTTATGTGGATTAGTGAGCCTGTGGAAGAGGTCTCGACCCAAAAGCTTCAACCTGTAAAAGTGGTTTCAGCTGGAGTAATTGTGTTCTCACCGTGGGAAAAAGCCTTTCAGTCCTTGCAATAGCAAATTTCAGGAGCTGACATCTTTTAAATCCTCTAAACAAGTCAATATAAATTAGGGTAGTAGGCAGAAAGATAATACTGATTTCATTCATTCAGAAAATGTTTGTTGAGGCCAGACACAGTGGCTCACACCTGTAATCCCAGCATTTTGGGAGGCTGAGGCAGGAGAATTGCTTGAGGTCAGGAGTTCAAGACCAGCCTGGCCGACATGGCAAAACCCCATTTCTACTAAAAATACAAAAATTAGCTGGGCGTTATGGCACACGCCTGTGATCCCAAGTACTCGGGGGGTGCTAAGAGAATAGCTTGAACCCAGGAGGGGTTTGCAGTGAGCTGAGACTGCGCCACTGCACTTCAGCCTGGGTAACACAGCGAGATTCTGTCTCAAAAAAAAAGAAAAGAAAAGAAAAAGAAAACATTCATTGAATGTGAAGTCACTACAGAAATCACAATGAATGAGAAATGGATTCTGCCCACAAGTAACTTAGCCTGGGGTGGGGACATGGCGCACCTAATTAGCTGGGTTGAGGCTGACATTTCTGTTAGGAACTTGAAGTACAGGTATTTTGTATTGTTAATCCACAGTCTTAGGAGTGTAGACCAAGAAACATGGCATGTAGCAAAGTTGGCATCCTAATATAAATGTCGAAAAGCTCAGTTGGTATTTTCTCACTGTTACCTGGAGCCACTTGCTCTTCCTCCTCCCAGTGGAAAGCTCCTTCCCTGCAATTCCAGCAGCACTTTCAGGATGTGGCCTCTGAGAGATTACATATTTTTTAGTCATCAAAGGGCAACCTGGCTCCACTGAGAGTGTTAACTGGACACATTTACCAGAGTACAATGTAACTTCCAACTAGTGATTTGGCTTGCCTCTCTTTTCCCTCTCCTAAGGAAATAATCAGAGCCCATATAAACATGCACATGCAAGTATGTAAATATACATGGAAAGAACAGGAACCATCTAAATGACAAAGAGCAGGGGTGTGGTTAAATAAATTGTGGCTATCTTTATGATATAGTACTATGCAGCCATTAAAATGCTATTACAGGAAAACAAAGAAATATATATCTATCATATACTGTCATAAAAATTGCTTATAAAATTATAACATGGTATGAATTATATTTTCCAAATATGTGTGTATTCATGTTTGTGTGTGGACAGAAAAAGCCAAAAAAAAAAATAGAAGACTCTGATATTAATAGTGGCCATCTCTGCATAGAATTACATGAGTTTTCTTCTTGGTGCTTTTCTCGTGTTTTCCAAATTATCCAAAATGTACATGTGTTACATTTATCCAAGATGTACATGTGTTACTTTCACTATATTTTAAGAATAAAAAACAAAAAGTGGTCTAGTTCTTCCTATTTTGTAGCTCTCTTTGACAAAGAAGTTTCACCAAATTCCTCAGGGGCTGGAACAGAAAGCTATTTTAGTGATGCCAACTGTGCCAACTCAAAACATTACTCAGAGAACTTGTTGCTGAAGGCAAAAAAGAGTCACTTCCTATCTTGTCTTGGGGAACACTCACCAGGAGCTGCAGGAAATCTTCAAAGATCTTTTTGTTGTTTTTGTTCAAGGGTTTTTAATTCTGTTATCTCTGGGGCCTCACAAGCAATACCAAAGTCTCTGCCATATCTCCCAGTATACCAAGTGGCCATGTGTAAGTAGGTTTATTGGTGGCCTTGAGTAATATCCCAGAGTTTCTGAGAGAGACTGGCAAAATGGGCTCTATCTGGAGTCAGAACAGCATAATTTAAGAACACAGAATCTGTAGGCAAACAGATCTTAGTTGAAATCCAAACTCTGAAATCTATTAATTATATGGCCTTGGATATATTACTTAATCTCTTTGTGTCTCAACTTCCTCATCTGTCAATTAGAACAAATAATATCTACTTATAATGTTTCTATGATGGGTAAAAGTTACAATACATTAAGTTAAGTATTTAGCAAACTGTATTGCTCATCGTAAGCAACAATGAATGAAAGCTATTATATTACTACAATAAGTAACATAAAAGAGAGAAAAATAAGTGTCATGAGAGATCAAGAAAATGCACAATTAGTCCTGGTTGAAAAGATGGCAAAAGGCTTTGTGGAAGGAGAGAATTTAGATATTCTACTTTTTATTTCTTTATTTTAAATTTTATTAGAGATGAGGTCTCACTATGTTGCCCAGGCTGCAGTATGTTGCCCATGCTGGATTGCTCAAGCAATCCTCTCACCTCAGCCTCCTGAGTTGCTGGGACTACAGGTGTGTGCCACCACACCAAGCTCAGAACATTTAGATGTAGCTGTGCTTTTTAGTTTAATACCAAAAATTACATATGTGTGCTAACCAAAACCCTGGCAACTTAATGATTAAAACCTTTACCCAACTTTGTACATTGTAGCATTTCGTACCACTCAGAGTTTACATTTTAAACTTTATTTTAGGCAGTGTTATTACAAAATAGTGTGGTACAAATAATTACCCTGCTAAATTAGGAAAAAAGAGAGAGAGAGAAAGTAATAGTCTACATAGAAGATATAGTAAATTGACCTTATTAAATCTGTTTCTTCCTCCAAAACTGGGGTGGGGGTGCAGCTCTTAATGAAGAGTATTACCTCCATCCCCCCTCCACCCCAGGGTGTTTGGAAATCTGTGCATGGTTTTGTTCAGTTGTCACAATGATTGGGAGAGCTATTAACATTTATGGGTTGGGGCCAGAGATGCTAAATGTCCTGCCATGCTCAGGACAATCCGCTACATCCAAAAGCTGTTCTGCCCTAAATGCTAATAGCACTCCTTTTGAGAAATACCATTAGAAATACTATTAGAAGGTCTCCAATGGCCTTTCCAGCTCTACAAGTTTGTTAGTGAATTCTATTCATCCCTTTGAACTAGCATTTCTTTAGTATTCTAAATGTCAAATTTAATTAACAGGCAGACAATATGAACTAACTAAGCATCTGTAAGGGTTAATTTTGGCTTGGCCACTGTGTTCAGCTATTTGGTCAAACATTATTCTGAATGTTTCTGTGAGGGTGTTTGGATGAGAATGACATTTAAATCAGTGGACTCTGAGTAAAGCAGATCACCTTCCATAATGTGGGTGGGCCTTATTCAATCAGTTGAAGGTCTGACTAGAACAAAAGACTGACCTTCTGAGCAAGAAGGAATTCTGCCAGCACATGACCTTCAGATTAGAACTGTAGATTTTGTGCTTTCCAGGCTCCATAATAGCATGAGCCAGTTACTTAAAATAAATCTGTCTCTCTCTATATATGTACACATACACTACTTGTTCTTTTCCTCTGGGGAAGGCTAATACAGCATCCTTATTCCTGGGCATAAGATTCAGAAAATATGAGAAGGAAAAATGAAGATAATGCAAATTATCTCCACTGTTTACCCTGGATATAGATTGCCGTGATCTCATTTTGTGCACACCTCAAATGCTGAAATGCAACATTTGAAGTATTTGGGTTTCAGGATGCCTCTGAGCATTTTACTGAGCATGTTTTCCTCTGCACTTCTAAACTCATGTGTACTTTGAAGAATATAATCCATGTTTCTGAGTCATTTACACTTAACTCATCAAAGTCTTGATTCACAATTATTTGACACTCTGCACCTTATTAGTGCTTGAACTCGCTCTATCAAATCTTTGTTCTAAGTCACCTTTTGGTCCCTCAAAGAAAGAAAGTAAAGTAAGAACCCATGTTAGAGTAAATTCAAGATATTTAATTTCTAATTTACCCCTTTTCAAGGAAAATATATTTTTACTAATATCTTCATTTGTAAAAACTTGTTGTTTTAACCCTATTTAAGATTTTCTCCCAGACAAGTTTTTAAGTATACACATATCTTTGAATTAAAAGCAGCAAGTAATTTTTACATAAAACCTATTAAGTATATTTATTTTCTTGCTTTGTTTATATGTACTGATGGTAGATTAGCGTCAAGGTCAGTGAAATCACATGCAACCTATTTTAAAAGTTGTTTTTTTCATTTATTTTCTTTTAATGCTCACACTGTTTTGCAAAGTCTGTGTAATTTCATATATGTAATTACTCTTTCAACACAAAAATTCCCTGATGTTGGCTTATTTCAACAAAAAACAGCATTATATCTGATCCAACAGGCTAATTCTCCTGAGACATCTTATAGTAACAAACCAATATGAACGTAAAAAAAAAATTTACAAAGAAATTGGGAATACAGTTTTGCATTTCTAAGGGTCTAGCCTCACAGTGCTAAGTTAAATTTCAGATCTCAACTTCTCTGCATAATTCACAGAAAAAAAATAAAAGTGGCTGGGCGCGGTGGCTCACACCTGTAATCCCAGCACTTTGGGAGGCCGAGGTGGGAGGATCACAAGGTCAGGAGTTCGAGACCAGCCTTATCAACATGGTGAGACCCTGTCTCTACTAAAAATACAAAAAAATTAGCCGGGTGTGGTGGGGCACGCCTGTAGTCACAGCTACTCAGGAGGGTGAGGCAGGAGAATCGCTTGACCCCAGGAGGCAGAGGTTGCAGTGAGCTTAGATCGTGCCACTGCACTCCAGCCTGGGCATCAGAATAAGACTCCGTCTCAAAAAAAAAAAAAAAAGAAAAAAGAAAAACAAAAAAAGTAAAAATAAATTTCAGATCTCAGGACTCTTTGGGCACTGACTTTAATTTATAGATAGGAGTGAATTTCTTATGGCTGATTAATAAACTTTCAGACAATATAAAGATTACAAAGGTTGGGAGGCTGAGGCAGGAGAATCGCTTGAACCTGGGAGGTGGAGGTTGCAGTGAGCCGAGATTGTGCCACTGCACTCCAGCCTGGATGACAGAGCAAGACTCCATCTAAAAAAAAAAGAAAAAAAGAAAAAAAGTTTACAAAATGTTAAAATAACAACAAAACTCCCATTTATCTGGCTTTAATTCCCAGTTTTATTTCAGAATTAGGCATTTATCTGTAATAATCCTGACTTTAAGATAATAACGGTTAATTAACCTGGTAGTAATTGTAGCCTATTTTTCAGAGAATTAGGTACAATAATCATGTACATGCACCAGACAAGACTTTGCTTTCAAACTGCAATGTATTCAATGCTTAAAGTTACAGAGGTGATCTTTTCAGGGAATCAATGGGAAGGGATATTTAAAATAAATTCATTGATCTGATTGATTTTTAAATTCAAGTAAGCTTTTTTTTTAAATACAAAAGTAATACATGCTTATGACCTAAATTATAAAGAGGAAGGAAGGAAGAGAGGGAGGGAAGAAAGGAAGAAAGAAAGAAAAGAAAGAAAGAGAGAGAAGGAAAGAAAGAAGAAAGAAAGAAAGAGAAAGGAAGGAAGGAAGAGAGAATGGAGAAAGGAAGAGAAAGGAAGGAGGGAGGGAATGAAAAAGAAAGAAAAAGAAAGGAGGGAAGGAGGGAGGGAGGAAAGAAACAAAAGGAAGGAAGGAGAAAGGAAAAGAAGAAGGGAGGGAAAGAGAGAGAAAGAAAGAGGCAAGGGAGGAAGGAAGGAAGGGAGGGAGGAAGGGAGGGAGGGAGGGGAGAGAAGAAAGGAAAGAAAGGGAAGAAAGAAAAGAAAGAAAGGAACATGTTGACAACTCAGCGGGATGCCATATGGTGAAGTGATAAAAAAAACTCAGGTCTGAGAGTTAGGCTGTGTGGATTCAAATCCAGCTCCACCACTACCTCTGTGACCTGGAGTTAGTAATTCAACTTCCCTGTCTCAGCTTTCTCATTTGTAAATACAGATGCAAGAATGTTATGAGGATTAAATAAGATAAATTGTGCAAACCTGCCTGTATAGAGCAAGCCCCGTCAATGAATATTATCTCTCAGTACAACTTTCTGGATCCTTTTTGTCTTAGTGTTTAAACAGGGACACTGCTGGTTTTGATTTACATTTGAAAAGAGCACTGAGAATCTCAGAAGATAGTCACTAAAAAAATATATTTTTCTTCAGACTTTTTCTTACTGTGTAAGAGGAAGATTGTGGATAAAATTTTATCGTTCATAAAATCAAGGCTGGTAATTTAAAAGCAGGAGCAAACCTTTGTTTCAAAAATTGAAATATATTCATTGTTCAACAATTTTTCCTCCAATAATAAATGGTTTAAGCTTTTCCACACACATATTGTCCCACACACTTTTTCACACAAACATATTTTTAAAGAACAAAATATTTGGCTGGGCATGGTGGCTCATGCCTGTAATCATAACACTTTGAGAGGCCAAGGTGGGAGGATTGCTTGAGCCTAGGAGTTTGAGACCAGTCTGAGCAACATAGACCCTGTTTCGAAAGAAAAAAAAAAAGAAGGAAAGAAAGAGAGAGAAGGAAGGAAGAATGGAAGAGAGAAAGGAAAAGACAGAGAGAGAAAGGGAAAGAAAAGGAAAGATAAAATGTACAAGACATTGGAATTACATCCATTTTTTCGGCCAATTATTCCTTTTAATTAGTGATAGGCATTGTTGTTGGCCTTTACCCTTAAGACTATATTTGGGTTTAGGGAGAAGTTAAATTATATTATGCTTATCTTCTCAACACTAAAAGTTAAAAATTCCACCTACTTCTCCTCCTATTTTCTCTATCTTAGTTAGAGATACCGTGATCCAGGAAGTCAGCTAAACTATAAACCTGAGTCATCCTAAGCCCCTCACGGTCCATGAATTATTGAGTCCTGTTGATTGCATTTTTAAATATCTCTGGAACCAACCCCTTGCTTTTCATCTTCATTGGCACTGCTTTAGTTCACGTCTGCAGTACTGAAATAGCTGAAATAGCCCCTGAGCCCATCTCTCAGCCTTACCCTCTGACCTTTGCCAAAGAGAAAACCCTTCTTTGGCTACCTATTACTTTACAGACCAATGGCATAAGGCCTTTCATGATGTGACCCCTCCTAAACTAGACACTTATTCATGAACCATTTGCCAAAGTATTAAAGTTATGCTGTGGATACTTAGGAGGCTGAGGTTGGAGGATTGTTTGAGCCCGGGACTCTAGCCTGGCTACAGAACAACACTTTGTCTCAAATAAACAAATAGAAGAGATGCTGTTGGCTGGGCACAGTGGCTCACGCCTCTAATCCCAGCACTTTGGGAGGTCGAGGCGGGCGGATCACAAGGTCAGGAGATCGAGGCTAACACGGTGAAACCCCGTCTCTACTAAAAATACAAAAAATTAGCCGGGCACGGCAGTGTGTGCCTGTAGTCCCAGCTGCTGGGGAGGCTGAGGCAGGAGAATGGCGTGAACCCGGGAAGCAGAGCTTGCAGTGAGCCGAGATCATGCCACTGCACTCCAGCCTGGGCGACAGAGTGAGACTCCATCAAAAAAAAAAAAAAAAGAAGAAGAAGAAGAAGAGATGCTGTGGAGTATACCTCTCCAGTGACTGGAATACGAATATCCATTCTTTTTTCTTTCTTTCTTTCTTTTTTTTTTTTTGAGATGGAGTCTCGCTCTGTTGCCCAGGCTGGAGTGCAGTGGCATGATCTCGGCTCACTGCAAACTCTGCCTCCTGGGTTCAAGTGATTCTCCCTCCTCAGCCTCCTGAGTATCTGGGATTACAGGTGCCCACCACCACGCCTAGCTAATTTTCATACTTTTACTAGAGATGGGGTTTTGCCACGTTGGCCAGGCTGGTTTTGAACTCCTGACCTCAGGTGATCTGCCTGCCTCGGCCTCCCAAAGTGCTGAGATTATAGGTGTGAGTCACAGCACCCGGCCCGGAATGTCCATTCTTTAGGGCACTTTCTATTATCGAGGAAACCAGAAAGCTGAAATAGCACTCACAAGATAGCATCTCTCTCTCTCTCTTTTTTCTTTTTCTTAGAGACAGGGTCTTGCTCTGTCTCCAAAGCTGCAACCTTGAATGCCTAGGCTCAAGTGATCCTCCTGAATCAGCCTCCTGAGTAGCTGGGACTGCGGGCACACGCCACCATGCCTGGCTTATTTTCTCATTTTATTTTATTTTTTAAGAGATGGGGTGTCCCTGTGGCCCAGGCTCGTCTCAAACTCCAGGCCTCAAGCAATCCTCCTATCTCAGCCTCCCGAGTAGCTGAGTCATGCATCCCTTTAACAACAAGAAAGGCTTTATGCCTTGTGCTACATTGCGCTACCATGTTGTTACTGCCATGACATCAATAGGCAATAGGAAATCTTCAACTCCATTAAAATCTTATGGGACCACTGTGCATGTAGTCCGTCATTGTGTGACATGTCATTAGGCAGCACATGACTGTATGTGGTAAACAAAGGCACTGCATAATTATAAGGGAGATTTCACTCAAGCTATAAGTGATCCTAATCAACTTTTCTTTAGCCACAAGACAGTGTTCTTTGCTAATGCTCAGAATGTAGTGTTTGCATCCAATGGATTGTCTGTCTCTCAGACTTTTGTCAGGGTAACACTGACAAAAATTTACTTTCCAAGCTAATTCTCACCTCTTCGTGATGCCTTCTCATATTTCCACCAAGTTACTGCCCTACCTGTTCTGTCATAGTACTGTATGTATTCTCTGTTGAGCATTTGTATTATAGCACTAGGTAGCACTAAAATTATTTATGAAGGTTGTTTTTCTAACAGAGACCTGTAAGTATTAGTGTTTAAAAGGACCAGCACTTGGGTCAATGAGATCTGGGTTCGAATTCTGATTCTCCCACTTACTTGTTGAATGTCCTTTGTCTAATCCCTTAATCTGTGAGCTACAAGTCATCTGTAAGACATGGATAATATAGTACCAGATTTATAGTGATATTGAGAGGATTAAATGGCATGCTGTGTAGAAAGCATTTTGCACAGTACCAGACACATGGAAAACACTTAGTAAAGTAGGTCTTACTGATCACCTTTGCAGTTAGCTTGACAGTAAGGAATCCCGTGTCTGGGACATCCATTATACAGCCTTGCTTTTATTCCTAGTGGTTTATCTACATTAGTTTTTGTTTTTGTTGTTGTTTGTTTTTTTATTTGGTTGGGTTTTTTTTTTTTTTTGACACAAATCTCACTGTCACCCAGGCTGGAGTGCAGTGGCATGATCGCTGCAGCCTTGACCTCCCAGGTTCAGGTGATCTTCTCATCTCAGCCTCCCAAGTAGTTGGGACTACAGGTGCATGCCACCATGCCTGGCTAATTTTTTCGTATTTTTATTTATAGACTCAAGGTCTCCTTATGTTGCCCAGGCTGGTCTCGAAATCCTGGGCTCAAGCGATCCTCCCGCCTCCGTTGGCATTACAGGCATGAGCCACTGCGCCTGGCAGTTTATCTACTTCGGAAAACAAAAGCACTTTCTCTCTTTTAAGGTTTTATTCCATTAGATAGTGAACAGATTTTCTAAGACAACTAGTGATACTCATTTGGTTTACCTCTGTCTTCCCTTACTAGACTATAAGTTACTAGAGGAGAGGCGTGATGTTTTATTTTTGAATCCCACCACCTAGAAAGTGCCTAGCACATAGCAGGTACTTTAAGAAAGTGTTTATTAAATGAACAGAAAAATTCCTTGAAACTGATTATAAGACATTTCTGATTTGTCATCTAGACCAGTGGTTGTCAAAGCGTGATCTTTAAATCAGCAGTACTGGTATCACCTGTGAGTTTGTTAGACATGCACATTGAGAGGCTGGATCCCAACCCAGTGTATCAGAGTCT
Organism: Homo sapiens; assembly: GCF_000001405.40. Taxonomy (NCBI): domain Eukaryota; kingdom Metazoa; phylum Chordata; class Mammalia; order Primates; family Hominidae; genus Homo; species Homo sapiens. The sequence goes on from NC_000011.10 coordinate 86,239,288, forward strand.
CTGGAGATAGGGCCCAGGCAACTGTGATTTAACAAGCTATCCAGATGTTTCTGAATTGTTACAATTTGAGAACCATTGACCTAGACAGTATTTTCCTTTAAAATACAGTATTTTTCTTTAAAAGCTAATAACAGTTTTTGTTTTTGTTTTTTTTGAGATGGAGTCTCACTTTGTTGCCCAAGCTGGAGTGCAGTGGCGCAATCTCTGCTCACTGCAACCTCCACATCCTGGGTTCAAGTGATTCTCCTATGTCAGCCTCCTGAGTAGCTGGGATTTCAGGCACCCACGACCATGCTCAGCTAATTTTTACATTTTTAATACAGATAGATTTCACCATGTTGGCCAGGCTGGTCTCGAACACCTAAGCTCAAATGATCCGCCCACCTCAGCCTCCCAAAGTGCTGGCATTATAGGCATGAGCCACCACGCCCGGCCATAAAAGCTAATGACAATATTTAAAAGCTAAAGATAGTATTTGAAAGCTAAAGGCAGTATTTTTCTTTAAAAGCTAATGTCATTTTATACATCTAAAAAACATTATGCTGAGCAAAAGAAGCCAGATACAAAAGAGAACATACTGAATTATTCTATTTATATGAAGTTCTACAATAGGCAAAACTAATATGCAAATATAGGCAAAACAGAATAGTGGCTGCCTGGGGAGAAAGAGAGGAGAGGTTTGACTGGGAAGAGGCATGAGAAAACTTTCTGAGGTGTTGGAAAGCTCCATCTGTATCTTGATGGTGTGTGGATTATATGGGTGTATGCCTGTGTCAAAACACATGGAACTATATACTTGAGATCTGTGCATTTCACTGTATATAAGTGAAATAAATACAAACAGAGTTAAAATAATGCCATTCTAATTCCTTCTGTATAAGTCTTATCAACAGGAGATACATGTTAATAGACTTGTCTTAAGAAGGTCTATAAGATCCTCCACGATCTGGCCCCTTACCTTCTTTTCTAGCCTTCTCTGTTACCACACTTTTGTCACCTTCTCTTTTCAGTCCTTCACCAGCACTGACCTTTCAGTGTACCAATGGCGTTTGTACTCTTCTCATATTCCTGCGCCAGGACTTTTGCACATGCTGTTATCACTCCCTAGAATGTTTCTCCTTCTCTTCTTAATGGGAGACTGGTTAACTCCCATTCTTCTTTTAGTTCTACTCTTCTGTCTGTTTCTCAGGGAAACCCTCCCATGTCTCACTTTATTACACACGTCCATGGAAACTTTGTCCAGCTGCTGTGTATGCCTGTGCAGCTTGTTCATCTAAACAAGGGTTCCCAGCTGAGGTGACAACTAAAACTAAAATCAAATTTGTGCTCCACTCACAAAGCCTTGCACACGGAGCAGGGTTGTATCAATCTGGAAAAGGGGGTGCCTTTTCTAATTTACCAAAGTCATTGTTTGCTTGCCAAGCTTTACCTACTCTGGGCTCTTTCTGCTATGGCCTTTTAAAAAATAGCACAAAGATACCATATGGGCTAGCAGCAGCCCTGACCTTGTACTTCCCCTTCATACCACTTACCACGGTAATTTCACATTTATTTGGTTAATGCTTGTTTCTCCTACTTGTCAATAAGCATGATGACAGCAGGAAATTGTCTGGTTTTGCTTATTGTCAAGTTTCCTCAGCACCTGGAACAGTGTTGGGCACACAGTAGGTACTCAGTAAATATATATTAAATCTATTCGTTATTTTTCTTTTTTTTTTTTTTAAGACAGAGTTTCACTCTTGTCACCCAGGCTGGAGTGCAATGGTGTGATCTCAGCTCACTGCAAACCTCAACCTCCCGGTTTCAAGCTATTCTCTCACCTCAGCCTCCCGAGTAGCAGGGATTACAGGCTCCAGCCACCACGTCAGGCTAATTTTTGTATTTTTAGTAGAGACGGGGTTTCGCCATGTTAGCCAGACTAGTCTCGAACTCTTGACCTCAGGTGATCCACCTGCCTCGGCCTCTCAAAGTGCTGGGATTACAGGCATGAACCACCACGCCCGGCCCCATTCGTTATTTCTTAACGCTGGATGAATATTAGGCTGTTTGAAGGTAGAGACTGTGTCTTATTTTCTTTTTTATTGTCCCCTCCTCCCCATTGCCCCTGGAATTATCCTACTGCTTTGCATGTAAATGGCATTCAGTAAATTCTTCCTGATTGATTTGAAAACGTTCAAATAAGCCATATGATGTTCTGTTCATAGAAAACCAGATCTGCAAGCATATGATTACACATTGCATGAATGATGATGAACAGCTGCTATTTATGAAGCAGAAGAGACAAAAATGTTGAATGAATGAGAAATAGACTCCAGTTGAAATGGGAAGGATTTAATTTAGCTTTTGAAACTCATTTCCTGATATGAAGCTTACAAGATACCAGGAGACAATGCCAAGGAACGCTGTGAATTTTCTTTTTCTATATAAGTAAATGATCTTGGAAAGTTCCAAGATGGATCAACCACTTACTTGAAGGCTAAGGGGTATTTCTTACTGAATTCTCAACAGCCAAGTATGAGATAGATATTTTAAAGTAAGTTTTTATTTTGGAATACTTTTACAGAAAATTTACTAAGAACAAAGATAGCATAGAGAGTTCCTGTATTCCCCTCATCCAGTTTCCCTCATTATTAACATCTTACATTACCATGTTACATTGGTCAAAATTAAGTAAAGACTGAAATCCGTACATTACTATAAACTATGCTATAGATTCTTTGTTTGTTTTCCCAGTTGTATCTTCTTTCTGTCCCAAGTGAGATAGCTTTTTAAAGTTCTTTGATACTTTATAAACAATTCTGTGGTCTAAAGACCAAGCTCTGTGCATAGAATTACATAAATTTAGAGCTGCCTGGGTCCCTCATCTTGAGGTAAAAGTGCTTTGGCTTTCCAATCAATTGAACACAATCTCTAGTACTGCCACTTGAACAGCTGTGTGTCTTTGGGCATACTGTTTACTTATCCTAAGTCTTAGTTTCCTCATTTGTAAAATGTGGGTAGTAAGACCTCTCCAACTGTGATGGTTCCTGAGATCTTTCACAGTAGGAGAATGCAGTGTTGAGAAACGTACAAATTTTTCTTTTTTAGAGAAGTAGGTCTCCTTATGCAGCGCAGCCTGGCTTTGATATCCCGGGCTCAAGCAATCTTCCTGCCTTAGTCTCTTGAGTAGCTGGAACTACAGGTACACATCAATGCACTCAGCAAAACTTATTTTTAATAGGTAATTAGACTTTTATGGTTATTAAATTAATACCACAAAAGTAGTACTCTGCATGGAACACCTATGACATTTTACATATCTTAAATTAGTAACAAAGACTCTCCTCTGAGCCCTCTTCTCCATCTTCCTGTCTAGCTTGCCTGGCTCAGCTGTAGCAAGAATTCTGCATCAGTTTAGAGAAAAACCCATACCCTGGATATCTGATCACCCCGGCCTTTTTTAGCACAAATTCTGTTAAGTTGGTGTAGCAAAAGTTTCCCCATTCTTGATGTCTCTTCTTAGTAATTTTCCAACCACCAACCCCTCCAACTTTGCTCCTTGACTATACATCCCCACTCCTTGCTGTAATTTGGAGTTGAGCCTGATCTCTCTCCTATTGTGATAGTCTTGACAGCTATCAAAATAGTCCTGAATTAAGTGTTCCTTACTATTTTAACAAGTGTCAGAATATTTTTCCTTTAATGTAGTGACAATAACGTAGTAATATAAACTAATTTCCATTTATCACCCCTGATTCATCAGAAACATTTTAAAAATAACCCCTTCAAGTTTTAATAAGCCTCTTTAAACTATTTTTGCTTTGTTACAGATAATATGAATGCTGTAAGGCATTTTTCTACCATATGTGTCCTTTATCCAAATGTTCAGCACTTTTCTAATTTTATGACTAGACGTTGACTCCCACTTCCCAGCTCCCACTAATCTCTCACACACGGAGTAATTTTAATTTGAAATGCTTTAGTCAATTATCCTTTACTTGTAGAACTATATTTCAGAAACGTCCTTCCCTTTGTTGGGAAAGATGTTCTTAACAAAGGGAAGGATGTTTCTGTCTGCTGATGAAAATGTCATGCCAAAGCACGTCTTACTTTGTCAGGAGCTTACTCTACTCCAGTCTCATCTCTTCTCACCAACTGAGGAGTGCTTAGTAGTGCCTGGAACATTGGAAGTACTGAACAAATGACTGCCGTCATTGAGACCTCAACTTTAATTTTTTTTCGGCTTCTTTATTTCAAAGTCTTCACTGCAGAAACCTCTCATTCTGACCTGCCTTTGCTTTACTTCCTTTTCTCATTCTCAACCAAGAGTTCTCTCTTTATCTACAAAAGAAAGAGTGACTTGCAATCTGCAGATAAGGAAACTGATGTCCTGGTTATAAAGTTATCATGCAGAAATAATTCAAGTATACTAGAATTTTATGGATGGTGCACTCTAGGTGGGTAATGAGGTCTAGAAGAGAAAAGATATACAACATCAAGCAGGTGCCCAAGAAATGGTAGGTCCCTTTCTCCCTTCCTGCCTCCTCATTTTTACAGATGAGGACATTTTTACAGAAGCCCGAATAGATAAGTAGTCACAATCATGTTCTAAGAAAAACAAAAAAAAGGTGGCGGATGCCGTATTTTATTTTTCGTCATCACTCTCCTTTTCCTGCTGCTCATTCAGTTATGGTTTCATGACCCATATAATAATTCCACAAGGCTCACCAATGTTATCTGGCACCTGCTAGAGAATAGATATAGTAACAGAGGCAAATATTTTGGTGAAGTTTAACAGTTGTGTTGCCTTCTAGAATTTCATTGTATCTGATGTGCAAAAACAAGCAAAACATTGTCGGTTAAGTATCACAATCTCATAATGGAGATGAGCACTGATTCTTAGGCCTTGGCGTAGTTCAGGGCCTATCCTTTAGCAGCTAAAAAGAGCACTTTGGCTGTAACTCATTGGAGTCTAGTCTCATAATGTTAGGATATTTCTATTTAAGTCTTAACCACTATTGGTAGCAACTGGAAGGATAATCATTCATTACAATAAATAGTCAACAGAATAAATATCCGACAAGAATTTACGAAGCGTCTAGAGTATAATTCGGTAGCGCTTTGAAATCCACCCTGGGATTCGGAAACCGGGTAGAAAACTACCTGGTTCAGCAAACGAGAATTCAAACAGAGGAGGGGCTTGGAGGAGGCGGGTTTCGACGAACCCAGCGCAAGAGTACGCCACGGCGCCTGCGCATCCCCTGACGGGTACTTTCCATTCGCCAGATGGGGGAAGCCAGGGGGAAGCAGGTTACTGTTTTTGCATTTCTATCTTCAAGGAAGAATTAGGTTATGAATAGTTCCGTGAATAGTCAGGAAGCGCTGTCCTCCAAGTTCAAGATTAAGGAAACGTGGCATGCACAGCTAAAGCAAGAGGTGACGTCTTGTATCTTCCCCCGTTTCCTGGGACATTGGTGGTGTAGCCCATTCCACAGACTTTCGCTCCCTAGCAGCGGGTCGGAGATCGAAGGAACGGGCCAATTGCGGCTGAAACGTCTTTGGAAGGAGGAAGGGGGTGAGGGAGCATCCCTTTGAGTTTCGCCTCTTCTCGAGGCGGTGGTGGGAAGGGAGACATACTTAATACTGCCCTCTTAATCCAACGGACCTTACATCGTGTAGACTGCCGGGAGGGCGGCGGGAAAAGGGCAAGACGGGAGTTGGGGAAGGGAAGGAGCCAGGAAGCCGCGCGGGAGGGCGCGCGCGCGCGCCCCTTTTTCAGCAGTGTGGCGGGGTCGCACGCACGCCCGCCTCGGCGGCTGGGCGCGATTTGCGACAGTGGGGGGGGCGGTGGAGGTGGCGGCGGCAGCGGCAACTTTGCGGCAAGCTCGGGCCGGGCTTGCTTGACGGCGGTGTGGCGGAGGCCCCGCCCCAGGCGGCAGGAACCTGGAGGGAGGCGGAGGAATATGTCCGAGAGGGAAGTGTCGACTGCGCCGGCGGGAACAGACATGCCTGCGGCCAAGAAGCAGAAGCTGAGCAGTGACGAGAACAGCAATCCAGACCTCTCTGGAGACGAGAATGTAAGTGCAGCTTCTGGCAGTTACGAGACTGCGGAGTGAAAGTTTTAAATTCTTTTAAAACGGGGGGCGCGGGGACGAGCGGGCTGCTGTGGGGGGAGGGAGAGGTGTCACTCAGGAAAACGCGGGCGTGCGGGAGAAAATTGAAATTGCCTACGGGGATTTTGATGTGGGGCCGAGAGCAAGCAGGAACTAGGCAAAGGAGAGTGGTTCTAGTGATTGCGTGGGTCTGAGAAGTCTGCCCTGAAATCAGTTTGCATGTGATGGGGAGTGTTTTGGCCTTTGGGGGGATTTAAGGGGAGAGTGCGGGTCTGAGATTCTAGTAGTTTAAAAGGCACGTTAGAGACTTTTCTAAGAAAGTTGGAAGGACGGGGCAGAGTTAGGGACCCTGTTAAAGGAGCGTAAGGGTTGTCACTCTAAGACCCTTGTGGAATTTTCAGGATGGAAAGTGATCTTCGATTTGCGGAGTTTGGGAGACTTTATTAAAGGGGGTTTTGTGTCCGCCTCCGTCCTGTCCGCGGAGACCGGGTGCGCCTGAAGGTCGCCTTTTCTGTAGGAGGAGCCGAATTGAGAGGATCGATTTTTGATTTGGGGGTGGGGAGTGACTACCTTTGAGGAAGTAAGAGTGGGTGATTTCTTCTTTGAACGTTTTTACTTAAGATAAAGGTGAGGGGGGTGGCGACCTGGAAGATTTTGGGCAACAGTGGTATAGGCAGATGTATTTAAGTGTGGGTTCCTGGCTTCGCCAAGTGCGCGATGTTTTGCAATCAGATTTTTTTAAGCTCTGAAATGGGTATTCGTAATCATTCGGTACCAACATTTAACCCAACTGAGTTTTAATTGACTCGCCAGTAAGAGCCGAATTGACATAAATAAGTTTTCAGTTTCATGTTTTAGGTTGATAACCAGTAAGGTCAACGAAGTATCTTGACAATTTATTCAAAGATACTACTCCAAAATGTGATTCTCCTTCTCATGATATATAACAACTTGTGAATATCTTTTAAAAAATCCTTAAAATGTTTCAGAAGAGTGGCGTAAGTTCTTCATTTTCTCAGTTTGGCTAGTTTTAGGAATAAATGTTACATCTTCTACACGCAGTTTCTAAATTCTGTCATAATTCCTAGCTGAAACATATAATGATGTCATGACTAAGATTTTCACGGAAAAGATGGGAAAGGATTCTTTTTGCAGAGACAAGATAGATATTCTTGGGATTGTCAGTTTGTGGGATCTTAGACTTCAAATTTCAGAAAAGCTTGGGTGTTAAGTGTTACTTTTGTATTTTTCACCCGATTGTGCGCCCCAATCTCACTGTACATTGGGATCTAACATTTTTTACCCTCTTCTTTTTATTATTTGAAGACCGTTCATTTTATTTCTGCGTTTTCTTAAATTTCTCTAGGCAGATTAGAGTATTAAGAGCACAGATGCTGGATCCAAGTGATAGGTTAAAATTTCTGTTCTATTAGCTTGACCTCGAGCAAGAGACTGACATAATTGTCTTAGTTTCTTAAAAATGAGGATGGTGGTGTATGGTATTTACCTCATAGAGTATTTGTAAGCATTAAATGAGTTAATATAGCTAAAGTACTAAGAAGAGTGTCTGCCCCATAGTAAGTACTATACACATGTTATTTATTTATAATAATTACTACTACTAATTTTATGATTACATAGAATAATGTTTCTGGCTCTTCCACATACTTAATAATCAGGCAAAATATAATGAAACTGTCAGACCTGTTTAGAATGAAGAAACTTGCAAAGGACAAAATAAAGCTTATTTTCTTCTTGCAGACCCTTACAGGAAAACATATTCTTTGCTGCAATTTTAAAGCTGTTCAAGACCAAATGATTGGATTAGTTTTGTTTTGGTTCCTCCATTTGGATAGCCTTAATTTTGTGTGTGTGCGTGCGCATGCCTTGGAAGCCTTAATCTTGTAGAGTCTTCTCAAAATAACATTTTTAGATGTATGAAATACAGGATATGAGGTTACAAACAAATTCAATTATAAAATTGTACACCATGTTATAAAATATTTCTAAAACAAATTTTAGATGTAGTCCTATACTATATGTACTTTATTAGCACATTAAGTAACAAGATCTAGCAGCGGGTCTGATAGTAGTGATGGGTATAAACACTTTTTCGAAGTGTAATATAAAAATACTTGATTTCCATTGGTGGCAGAGTCACAACTTCAGTAACATTAAGCATGTGTTACCTAGATAATAATAGAAGGAAGTGCTAAATTTTAAAGGTGGCAAAAATTAAGATGCAATTTTTTTTCCCCATTTGAGTTCACAAGCCTTCTGAATTTCATCCATGTACCCCTGACTTAGGGGCAGTAGTAAGGTAAGGGAGTAGAGAACATTGTATAAAAATGAGTTTAGAAAAGATAAGGGCAATAGTTTTACTCTTGAGGGAGCCAAATAATGGCAAAAGGCCAAAGCAGATGGGGTGTGGGGGAATATGTTTTTGTGTTAGAGTTCAGGTAACCTGAGCAGTTACTACTGTTAATGTGAGTCAGAGAATTACAGGCACATATTTTACATTTATTGTGTTACCTGCCATTTTATTGAACTTTTTGAGATCATATGACTGCAGAGTAGTTGGCTTCTGCGAGAGTACTAATGGATGCCTTGGTAGTAAGATCAGAGGGCTGAATCTGGAGACTTGTCTTTTTGCTTAAGCAAAAGCAAAGATGCAGGGAATCCCTGTGGCAAGATGCAGGTGCAAATTACTGCCCTGTGTCTCTTTCCTCGTTGGGCAAGTGAAGATGGTAGTACCATGTCTGTTGCACAGTATCATTCTTTACTTTGAGAATGGAATAGGATGGAGGTCACCCTGTACATATATTAGACACTCAGCAAAGACTTGATTTTAGTTTAAAGATAAAATGGAAGCATGGTGGCTGTATTACATTTTCATTTGATTCCATCTTGATTTGCCTTGGGAGGAGATGGGTAAATTAAGTGATCAGAAGTAAAATAAGCAACGTGCCCTATTAACGAATGTTTTGTGTGGCCTCTGTATTGGCAGCTCAGTGTTTAGCCAGAATGTAAAGAAACTGATATATAAAAACGTCTTAGAGTTTTTAAAATTTCAGTTCTCTAGTGTTAAAAGGTAATTTTACAGAAAAAATGGCAAGTGAACACATGTTGAAACTTTTACTCAGAGGGAACCAGGCAAATGTTATACAGTAATGGTTAACCCGCAAAATCAAAACAGTACAAATTTATTAATATATGGAGTAAAGGAATGGAGAGATGAATTCCAAATGGAGACAGAAACTTTTTTTTCCCTTGAGTGGAAGGGAAGACATTTTGAACCTCTACTGTAGAGACAAAATTTACATGTCTATCAGTTATTCATAATGAAAAAAGAGTTGTGGCTGGGCGCAGTGGCTCACACCTGTAATCCCAGCACTTTAGGTGGCTGAGGTGGGAGGATCCTTTGAGTCCAGGAGTTTGAGACCAGCCTGGGCGACATCGTGAAACTCTGTCTCTACCAAAAATTAGCTGGGTGTGGTGGCCAGCTCCTGTTGTCCCAGCTACTCAGGAGGCTAAGGTGGGGGGAAGATCACTTGAGTCTGGGAGGTGGAGGTTGCGTTGAACCAAGGACAGAGTGGGTGACAGAGGGAGAGCCTGTCTCAAAAAAGAGTTGTAAGATAGCTCAAAGACATAGTGGAGGGCTATAGTCTGGTAACTTGGAAGGATGTGCTATATAGATAATGCATAGTTTTCCACTGAGATACAGAATTGTTTTCTACGTTTGATGTTAATTATGTGAATACAACTGAAAAGGTGGAGAGAAAAAGAGATTAAAATACCACATTTTCTATTTCTGTAAAGACTAATGATATTCACATTAAATTACAATTCAAATATTTGTTGAGTACGTACTGCTTGCTACCCGCCTATTATTTCATTTATGATATTTTTTAACCTTCTATATAAAACCAACTTTAGGAAGCAATAATTTAAAAATAGCCCCTAAAGCAGTGTTTCCTAGGCTGTTTAATAGGCATTTCATGGAAAAAAAAAAAAAAAAAGGCTTCCTCTGGAATGTATTTTAGAACTGCTGCCCTAAGATCCTAGATTAAATAAATCTTTTCTTTCCAAAGGAGACATTGGAATCTGTAATCAGGAGGTAGTGGAATCCTCTTCTGAGATTAGAGAGCTGAGATTAGAGGGCCACTCGTGTGTGAGATAAGGTATGAATTAGGAGAATTTTCAAGGTTTCCTGCAGTCATTTCTTTTTTTTGGAAGGATTTACTTTAATTGTGATTGAGAGTCTCTGGAGTTCTGATTTATGAGTATTATTACTTTAGAACAATGAGACAGTTTTAACTTGTAAATAGCATAGAATATATGTAGCACTTTAAAAAAATTCTAAATGTTTTGCGTTATAAGCAGAATTTGAATAACAGGATTTTAAAAAGTGACATCTAATGTAGAAGCCATTAACACTCCTGCTTCAAACGGCTCCCCAGCTCCATGCTCCAGACTGAGCAGCAGTCAAATACATTATGAAGACATATACATCAGTCAGATTTAAGAGTCACAGCTTTGGGATGGAATTACCAGCCAAGAGACCAGTTAGGCTTTTTCAGCACTTCCAGTACCTTTTGTAAAGAGCTGTAAAGATTCACTGATACAGTGTATTAAAGTGACTGGAACAGACCAGTGCCTTATTAAAGACAGTATTACTCTTCCATTATTCTCATTAGTATTTATTTCATTTTCATTTTTGTTGAAATATAAAATATCTACAAACCTTCTAACCTGTAGCTGGATTATGTTTATCCTTATGTGGAGGCAAGAATACATTTTTTTCTTCTTGTAGAAATTATTTCTCTTAGGTCAGTCAGCATCTTCCCAGTAGAGTTATTTACTGCTAAAAACAGTATTGCTGTTTCATGTAATTTTTCCTCATTTACTGCTTACAGGATGACGCTGTCAGTATAGAAAGTGGTACAAACACTGAACGCCCTGATACACCTACAAACACGCCAAATGCACCTGGAAGGAAAAGTTGGGGAAAGGGAAAATGGAAGTCAAAGAAATGCAAATATTCTTTCAAATGTGTAAATAGTCTCAAGGTATGTGCAAAAAAAGATCCTTTGGGCTGAATGCTAGGCTTCAGAAATTATTTCTCTGTGGCACGCATTTCGTACTCAGGATACTCTGTCAAGTTGTAAATATTTTAAAGTTACAATGTTTTCTGAAGGGTTTTTTTTTTTGTAGTTCAGACTGCGTATCTATTTTAGTCCATCCCATGTTTAGTTTTTTGGTTTTGTTTTTTGTTGTTTTAATTTAAATATGTGACAGTGTTGCAGGATGTTTTTGCTTTATTGTTTGCATTCAAATTATAAGATTTGGGTAACTATTACTCTTTATATTTTAGTAAAACTTAAAAAACATAAGCCACTTCTGGCATCAGTTTTTAAAAAGAACTGAATGTAACCCATTAACTTTGACTAAGTATAAATTGAAACAGATGTTTTACTTTGTACAGTTTCTGTCCTTTGTTTTATTTATAACTGTTTTCAAAGAAAAAGGTGTAAAAAATTTTTAAACTTTTTAATATTAAATATTTAGGGAAAAGGGGGTTTTGGTTATTTAAATTAATCTGTCCCCAATAGTATTTTTATTTACTTTATAAAAGGGGTTACTGGTGTTTAAGATATTTTCTTTTATATATGTCCAGTTTGTTTTTTAAATGTGAGGCTATTTTTTTCTATACTGAGGAAAAATGTGTATTATCTCATACATATGTAAGTTAAAACCTTTTCTAAATATCCAAATATATTTTTTATAAGTAAAGTTTTGGGAAAGCATAAGAAGCTATGACTATGACATTTTTCTGTCTGTGTAGCAAAAATTCGATGCTCAGTGTGTCAGATTTTGCTCCTGTAAAAGGAGAGAAATTAATCTCAGCATATTTTTTAAAAGTCAATTATAGTTTCATGTGCATATTTATTTACATTAACGTACTACTTTTAGGTACTGTACCTGGAAGATGTTTTTAGCTGCCTTTTATACTTAAGGCAGTATTTCAAAATCCTAAAGCTGTGGCTTTTCAAATGATGAGAAAACGAAAGACGTACTTTAAAAGTGAAAACAGTGCCTTAAACTGCATCTGAAAGTCAGTGTTAAATGCCAGAAGTTGGCCAGTAAAATCCTAAAGCTGAAAAATAACTTTGTGAACAAAAGTGCATAATTGTTCTTTGTACATCTCCTATAGCCTCCTGGTAACTGTGCAGTTACAGTTTATTTCTTCCCCTAGTCCCCAGTGTTCAGATATTCTCATTCTGACTAACAGAAAACAGTGATTTGAATGGAGTCTGCTATGCTTCACTTTACAAGGGAAAAATTTAGCCTTATAAAATTTAGTGAATGCCAGAGAAGCTATTAAGGCCATCTGTTAATTTCCTGTTTCAGAAAAATAAATTGTGTCCTTTTGTATCCACCAAAATTATCCAGTTTATTGTGATTCAGAATATGATTGGCTTATTAAGAAAAAGGCAAATATTATAAGTGTTTTCGTAGGTAAGCGGTTATTACCTAACTTGTGATTTCAGCCTTTGGTTGTGATAAAACTTTATCATACACAATATTTTAAAATGTGAAAACTAGACTAGTAGACATCTTTTAATTTTAGTGTCAAAAGTTAGCTTATGTATGATACACAAAATAATGTATTGCATTTTGGAAAAAAGAAGGGGATAGGTTAGTTTACTGTCATTTTCTGGTTTGTAAGATACATTAATCTTTTCTTATTTCATGATTATTTTATAGGAAGATCATAACCAACCATTGTTTGGAGTTCAGTTTAACTGGCACAGTAAAGAAGGAGATCCATTAGTGTTTGCAACTGTAGGAAGCAACAGAGTGAGTGTTAAGGGGTCTATTTAGTATTTGGCTTGATTTCCAGATCTGGTGTTAATGTAATATTGAAATAGAATAATTTCAAAGTGCATTTTGTGAAGCTGGTTTAGCAATATGATTCTTTCATGTAAGAGTGAAGGTTTCTAGAAATTAATTAAAACTAGTATGCATGGCTGAAAATACATCTATATTTAATATATTACCCCTAATTATTTATGAAACAGGTTTTATACTTGTATTTGTCTTCATAAATACTTGGTTGAAAGAATTGGCGTCCTTTTTTTTTTTTTTTAATTGGCGTTCTTTTTAAAGTGATTTTGGTATTTATCATTCAAATAGCGTAAGAACTGGCTGTGATTTTTTTAAAATTAAGGTAATGAATGGCTCTATAAATGAAGCATAAATCCAGTGGATTTAAATAAGTTATTGAGATGTTTTAATTACTTGCAGTAAACATTTGAGTTTGCTGGGTTTTTTTGTTTTGAGACAGGTAGTGTTTGGTGGTGATTGTTGTTGTTGTTGTTGTTGTTTGTTTTTGAGAGAGAGAGAGTCTTACTCCTTCCTCCAGGATGGAGTGCAGTGGTTAATCAAGGCTTACTGCAGCCTCAACTTCTGGGGCTCAGGTGATCCTCCCATGTCAGCCTTCTGAGTAGCTACAGGCATGCACTACCATCCCTGGCTAATTTTTTTTGTAGGGATAGGTTTTCACCGTGTTGCCCATGCTGGTCTTGAACTCTTGGGCTCAAGCAATCTACCTGCCTTGGCCTCCCAAAGAGCTGGGGTTGCAGTCATGAGCCACCATGTCCAGCCTTTTAAGGAAATTTTATAATGACATGTAAGGCTCTAGGCCTTTTACTATTTGACAAGGTCAATTCATTGAAACTCTAAATATTTTTAAGTTACCACTGAAGTTGATAACATGAAATAATAGCTTTTTTTCTTCTGTTTTTGGTGTTTAGTCAAATGTAGGTTTTAAGATAATGTAGTCTGCTTATAGTTGTTTAGTTCCTAGATTCTTTGAAAACAACAATTCAGAGGAAAAATTTTGCGGTTTTAAGAAAAGGTTGAGGTTATTTTTTTCCTAGTTGGGAATGTAGTGCATTAATTAAATTTGAGTCCACTTTTAAGACACCACTGTAAACCTAAGTTAATATTTAGCTTTGATAGTATTATAATTGGTATAGTTTGTGCTCCAGTGTGCTGATTGCAGTGTTTTAGGTTTTCTAACAAAAAGAATCCCTATTTTTATTTAAAGTGACATAAAGGGGTGTCATATAGTTTATTGAATTATAAAAAGTTCTGCTGTTAGAATTTCTTTAAAAGGAAGAAAGAAAACAAAAACAATTACCACATAAGACATAACCTAGTTAGCAGCCATATAAAGAATTTTTTTTGAACATTAACATAGAGGAGATAATGAATTAATAGGTTGTGATGATACACAGGATCTTCAGAGGTCTTCAGTACTATTATAAAATAATAATAGGTTTTTGCTAATGTGACTGACTATAAGCTATAAGAAAAATGGGGCCGGGCACAGTGGCTCACGCCTGTAATCCCAGCATTTTGGGAGGCTGAGGCAGGTGGATCACCTGAACTCAGGAGTTCGAGACCAGCCTGACCAACGTGGTGAAACCCTGTCTCTACTAAAAACACAAAAATTAGCTGGGCATGATAGCGAGTGCCTGTAATCTCAGCTACACGGGAGGCTGAGGCAGGAGGATCACTGGAATCCGGGAGGCAGAGGTTGCAGTGAGCCAAGATCATGCCATTGCACTCCAGTCTGGACGACAAGAGTGAAACTCTGTCTCAAAAAAAAAAAAAAAAAAAAAAAAAAAGAAAATGGAAAGAAATTTATAAAAGTTTAGTATTACAAAATTGTGTATGGTGTATGTATAGTTTTAATTTTAGAGTATGCAACAAATGAAAAAGGCTATCATACATGTGAAAGTTAATGTTTGATTATCTGTACCCATGAGAAAATAATTCATTAAGCAAATTGTAGACTTTTAAATATGTAACTAATATGTAAATACTCCAAAACTATCCAAAGACTTATTTTTATTTGAATTTTTATTTTTTATGGTTTTTTTTTTTTTTTGAGACTGAGTCTCTCTCTGTTGCCCAGGCTGGAGTGCAGTGGTGCAATCTTGGCTCACTGCAACTTCTGCCTCCTGGGTTCTAGCGATTCTCCTGTCTCAGCCTCCTGAGTAGCTGGGACTACAGGCACATGCCACCACACCCACCTAATTTTTGTATTTTTAGTAGAGACGGGGTTCCACCGTGTTAGCCAGGATGGTCTTGATCTCCTGACCTCGTGATCCACCCGCCTCGGCCTCCCAAAGTGCTGGGATTAAAGACATGAGCCACTGTGTCCGGACTTATTTTATTTTATTTTTTTTTGAGACAGAGTTTCGCTTTTGTTGCCAGGCTGGAGTGCAATGGTGCAATCTCGGCTCACTGCAACCTCCGCCTCCCGGGTTCAAGTGATTCACCAGCCTCAGCCTCCTGAGTAGCTGGGATTACGGGCATGTGCCACCACGCTCAGCTAATTTTTGTATTTTTGGTAGAGACAGGGTTTCACCATATTGGCCAGGATGGTCTTGATCTCTTGACCTCATGATCCGCATGCCTTGGCCTCCCAAAATGCTGGGATTACAGGCGTGAGCCACCGTGCCCGGCCTAATATTTATTTTTTAATAGAGATGGGGTTTTGCTATGTTGCCTAGGCAATTGAATGGATGAAATATAAGTTTAAAAGATTGGAAATCGAAACGACTATTACTGCAATATTTAATATGCTCTGTGTATTATGTAAAACATTCAGCTTTATAATGGCTTCTTTAAGCTCACAGGAGGTATTTTAAGGCAGTAGTTTCTGTAGTATATTTAAGATAGGATTGCGATTAAAATATGTTTAAAAGTTGGAGAGAGTATGTTTTCTATACTTGAGATGAAATTTACTGTATTTTTATTTTCATTAGGTTACCTTGTATGAATGTCATTCACAAGGAGAAATCCGGTTGTTGCAATCTTACGTGGATGCTGATGTATCCTTTCCTGGGTTTTTAATATCTTTAGTCAAAGGAATTTATTTTCAATAAGTGCACCAAAACTTTTATAAATTAATCATTTCCCTAAAGTTATTGTTCTTTCTTAACCGATTTCTTCACTATCACCCAAGAGAATCCTGTATCTAGTTTTCCTGACCCTTAGAAATCCATTGTGGTATGTGTCAACTCAGCTAGGCAAAAAGAAAAAGAAAAGAATCCATTGTGGGATGGATGTGCTGGTTGGGTGCAGATGTCTATAGAGATAGGAGCATTAGAAATCTAGTAATAGAAAATATTAGCAAAGACTGATTAAAACCTCCTTTTTCTTTGACCTTGCCTAGAATATATCATTTCATTGTAGTTATAATGATGAACTTGGCTTGTGACTGGTAGTCATTCTAAGTATTTGATCAACGAAGCCTAGGAAGAAAAAAAAAGTTTAGGAAAAATAAAATATATAAAAATAAAATAAAATAGGAAATAAAAATTGCAAAACAGGTTCATAAAGAAACAGAAAAATTTGAAAAGCCCGAGTTAGAGCGGTAAAAGCTAAGTAATAAGATATTTCTTCCAGATCCATTTGAAAAACCTAGCAAACAAGACAAGGCAAGGACATTCAGTCTTCTCTAAAAGATATTGAAATGTGACCTGTTGTTGTATTGAGACTGTCTCACAAAGAAAAAAGTGGAAAACTGAATTGTTCTTTTTTAGATATTTATAGAGGTATGGGGATAGAGCAGAGGTTAAACTACAGCGTGCAGGTTGGTCACCTGTTTTTGTAAAGTTTTGTTTTGAACACAACCATGCCCATTCATTTGTATATTTTCTGCAGTTATTTTGGTACTGCAACTACAGAGTTGAGTAGTTGTACAAGCAGCTAAAGAGTAAACAAAATTGAGTGGAGAGACTGTAATTTTGTTTGATCATTTGTTATGGATTTTAGACCTCAAATCACCATTGTATATATTTGGTTGTATAAGGAAAATTGAGAACTTTGGTGTCAAAAACTTTAGCAGTTCTTTATAAGTTTCTATTATAATTATTGACATGTTTCTTTTTCAAAAACATTATGTTTCTTAACTGTGGAATTTCTTAGGCTGATGAAAACTTTTACACTTGTGCATGGACCTATGATAGCAATACGAGCCATCCTCTGCTGGCTGTAGCTGGATCTAGAGGCATAATTAGGATAATAAATCCTATAACAATGCAGTGTATAAAGGTGGGTTTTTCTGGTTAAATTGTAGATCTGCTTCTTTTGAATCCACAACTGTAAAAACTTGTAATGTTAAATTTAAAACTAATGGTATGAATGTAACATTTCTCATTTGATTTGTACTTTTCTTACTGCTCTCTTTGGATGAGTCTTTTGAGACGTTTGTCACATTTGGGTAATGTAAATTAAGGAATAAGTGGGAAAATGTTAATATTTGTAGTGCTTTCTTTTTAAATCATTTCCCTCTTTCACCCTTGTCATGGTTTACTTTGAGAGGCTCTAAATGAACAATAAGAGGGAGTCCATTTTCCAAGACACCTAAACTGGAGGGGTGTTATCAAAGGGACCTTGTAACGAACATAAAGGTGAAGCCTAGGAAGTTGATAAGAAGACGGGTTTTTCAAATCACTTTCATCACCTGTTTTTAACTGTTGGGCTACATCACACTCTCCTGAGGATGCTTAAAACCCTACGCATATTGGAGCCTCCGCTAATCCGATCAGAATATCTGCAGGTGGAGTTTTGAGCATCTTTTTTTTTTTTTGTTCTGAGACAGATTCTGACTCCTTTGCCCGGGCTGGAATGTAGTAGCATGATTATAGCTCACTGCAGCCCGTCTCCTGGGCTCAAGCGATCCTCCTGCCTCAGCCTCTCAAGTAGCTGGGGCCAATTTTTAATTTGTGTGTGTGTGTGTGTGTGTGTGTGTGTGTGTATGAAGATAGGGTCTTGCTGCATTGCTCTGACTGGTCTTGAACTCCTGACCTCAAGCGATTCTGCCTTAGCTTTCCAAAGTGCTTGGATTAAAAACATGAGCCACCCACTGTGCCTGGGGTCTTTTTTTTTTTTTTTTTTCCTTTTCACCTCAAGTTTGTTGGGTGATTTTAGTATGCAGCCAAGGTTGAGAACCACTACTTTAAGTGAAACTATTTTTACATTCTCTAAAGATTTATGAAAAAAAATTTACTGATTTTGAGATAGGAAACTTGAAATGTTTTAAATTTATTGTAGCACTATGTTGGCCATGGAAATGCTATCAATGAGCTGAAATTCCATCCAAGAGATCCAAATCTTCTCCTGTCAGTAAGTAAAGGTAAGTGAAGCAAATGTTTCTTGAGTCTGTGCAATTTGTCAGAATTAAGATGGAGTCACTAATGTCAAGAAAACCCTGACAAATAGGAAAAACCATGAGAAGAGAGTCCACATGCTTGTATGTCTGATAATAAAAACTCACAAAAAAACACAACCACAACCTTGCACAAAGGCCATCACAGCCTTACACAGAAAATACTGGCAGTAAGTGCCTCTCCATCCTGAGACTGGCATCACCCTTGTTACTGATTTTGTGGCCAATCTTATTTCAAAACAATTATGTAATCCTTCTCATTTTTTTCTTTAAAAACCTCTGTCTTTCCTTTACGTCTCGGAGAACACACATAGTTTACTTTGGCATGTACATTCTCATTGCAGTGCATTATTTCCATATAAACATCTTTTATTTTAGAGAGCCTCTCTGTTACTTAGGTTGACAGGTCCTGTTTTATTTTAAGTCTAGTATCTGTTAGTTATTTTTCCTGATCTTCTTACTCCTCCCACCCTCTACCCTCCAGTAGGCCCCAGTGTATGGACAGATAGTGTTCTAAGGAAATAAAGCCAAATTAAAAAAAAGGTTATAACAGTACATTTTAGTAGGAAAATCCCAGGCTATGTTAGCATATCCAAATCATTTTGTCCAATCATGTAATAATAAATACTACATATGAAAATTCATATTGCTTTTTTATTTTTTAAAAAAGCTTTTGTTTTATAAAGGATTTCCTATAGAATTTCTTAAAAATGCTACGTTTTTCAGGATAAGTTATTTGAAATATTCCCATAAAGGGAAAGCATTGCATTTTGGAAATCACTACCTCTAGGAAGAGTTGATTACTTTTTCTTGTCTCTTGATAACACTAATTGGGGCTCAGATATTTCTGAACAACTGTATAGACCGTAATGCCTCACTTGTTCTAAATATTACAACTTTTTTTTTCTCTTTTCTTTGTTTTTTGGTTTTTTTTTTTTTTTTTGAGACAAAGTTTCGCTCTTGTTGCGGAGGCTGGAGCGCAATGGTGCAATCTCGGCTGACTGCAACCTCTGCCTCCCGGGTTTAAGAGATTCTCCTGCCTCAGCCTCTCGAGTAGCTGGGATTACAGGCATGTACCACCATGCCCGGCTAATTTTTGTATTTTTAGTAGAGATACGGTTTCTCCACATGGGTCAGGCTGGTCTTGAACTCCTGACCTCAGTTGATCCGCCTGTCTCAGCCTCCTAAAGTGCTGAGATTACAGGTGTGAGCCACTGCGTCCTGCCTCTATTTATTTATTTATTTATTTATTTTTGAGACAGAGTCTTGCTTTGGCGCCCAGGCTGGAGTGCAATGGCTCTATCTCGGCTCACTGCAACCTCTGCCTCCTGGGTTCAGGTGATTCTCCTGCCTGACCCTCCCGAGTAGCTGGGATTACAGGCGCCCTCCACCATGCCTGGCTAATTTTTTTTATTTTTAGTAGAGATGAGGTTTCTCCATGTTGGCCAGGCTGGTCTCAAACTCCTGACCTCAGGTGGTCCACCCGCATCGGCCTCCCAAAGTGCTGGGATTATAGGCGTGAGCCACTGCGCACAGCCCAACATCACAACTTTTAACCCTGGTCTTCCTCTATTGTGTCAGTAAGAGCATTTTTAAAAATCAGAAGTTTGAGCATGAATAAGAATTTTGCTCCAAGTGATACTATCAAGAAAGTAAAAAAGCCTACTCAAAAGGAGAAAAAATATTTATAAATCATTCTGATAAAGGACTTTGATTTTTATTTTTTGTTTTTGGAGACAGGGTCTTGCCCAGTCACCCAGGTTGAGTGCAGTGGTGTGATCATGGCTCACTGTAGCCTCAACCTACCAAGTAGTTAGGACTACAGGCACGTGCCGCCATACCTGGCTAATTTTGTAAAAAATGTTTTTGTAGAGATGAGGTCTCCCTGTGTTACCTAGACTGGTCCTCAAACTCCTGGCCTCAAGCAGTCCTCCTACCTTGGCCTCCTAAACTGCTGGGATTACAGGCATGAGCCATGATTCCCAGCTAATAAGGGACGTGTATCAAGAATTTTTATAGCTCAACAATAAAAAGACAGCCCAATTTAAAAATGGCCAAAAGTTCTGAATGACATTTCTTCACAGAGCATACACAGATGGCCACTGAGCACATGAAAAGATGTTTAACATATTAATCATTAAGGAAATACAAATCAAAACCATAATGAAATACCACTTCACACCTACTTAGGGTGGCTGTAATAAAAACGTTAGATACTAACAAGTATTGACTGGCACAAGAAGAAATCAGAGCCCTCTCAGACACTGCTGGTGGGAATGTAAAATGTAACTACTTTGAAAAACAATCTGGCAGTTCCTCAAAATGTTACAGAGTCACTAATCCTAGATGTTTACATATGTATGTATATCCTAGGGTTGTGTGGGTGGGGGTGTACATATGTATCCCCAACAGAAATAACATGTCCATACAAAAGCTTGTACAAAATTGAAATCAAGGAATCATTTTTACAGCACTGTTAATTTTCACATGTATTACTACCTCTGGGGTGTTTATGTGATGCATTTATATTCACAGACAGAATGAACATTGTTATATTTCAAGCTTACATGACGTGTCTTTGCTTTACATTCTTTCTTTTTTTTAAATACTGTTTTAGAGACAGGATCTCACTCTGTCAACCAGGCTATAGTAGAGTGATGTGATCACAGCTCACTGTAGCTTGAGCTCCTGGCCTCAAGCAATGTTCCCACCTCATCCTTCTGAGTAGCTGGGACTACATGTGCACACCACCATGCCTGGCTAATTTTTAAAAATTTTTTGTAGAGATACGGTTTCATTATGTTGTCCAACCTGGTCTCAAACTCCTGGCCTCAAAAGATCCTCACACCTTGGCCTCCCAAAGTGCTGGGATTACAGGTGTGAGCTACTGCTGTACATTCTTTATTAATGTTTAATATAACATTGCTCAAATTATAGCTGCATAATTTTTGAAGAGGGACTGTCATTCTATAAAATTGTGCATGATATATGTAGTTATGTTTTCAGCTTACTGTAAAAATCATAAATCTCAGTCCCCTTTCAATTTTTTAATGTGAGTATGGTGAAGGGAAAAGCTAGTATCTTGTTCTGTGGGATAAAATTGCTTATGTCAAATCTGTATTTTATTTCAAAAGTATATTTCCATCAAATTAGGTTATTTAAAGAAAGTTATTTGAGATAAATATGCTTAAAATATTTTTCAGACCACATGAATATTTCTGAACTTACTGTCTTAGTCCACTTTAACCTGGCATTAGAAAGTAAGAACAAGAAATTGAACTTGAAGCCTTTTTTTTTTTTAATATATAATTGGAATTAATTCATTCATAAGAGTGGTACTCTCATGACCTAACGCTTCTCATTAGGTCTCATCTCCCAACACTGCTGCATTGGGATTAAGTTTCCCAACCTGCTTTTTCGGGGGTTCATTTAAGCTGTAGCATTCTGCCTCTAGCCCCCAAAATTCAAATCCTCAATCAGATATGGGTGAGACTCAAGGCAGGATTCCTGCTGAGGTAAATTCTCCATCTGTGGGTCTGGGAAATCAGGCATCTTATCTATTTTCAAAATACAGTGGTAGGATAAGCATAGGATAGACAGTCCCTTCCAAAAAGGAGAGATAGGCAAGAATAAGGGTAACTGGTCCCAAGTAAATCCAAAACTCAACAGAACAAACAAGATTAAATCCAAGGCACCAGAATAATCTTCCTTGGCTCCATGTTTTGCCTTCTGGGCATGCTGGGTGTGGAGTTTGGGCCCCAGAGGCCTTGGGCAGCCCCATCTTTATGGGTTTGCCACGTGCAGCCCACATAGCATCTTATGAGTTGGAGTCGGGTGCCTGCAGCTCTTGCAGGCTGGTGGTGTGCCCTGGTAGCTCAGCAGTTCTGGGATTTGGGGGATGGCTTTTTCCCCATGGCTCCACCAGGTGTTGCTGTAGTAGGAACTGCTGTGTGGCTCTGCCCTTCTGAAAAGTTTCTGCCTGGAGCCCCAGGCTCTTTGTGATGTCTTTTGAAATCTAGAGAGGAAGCCGTGCCTCCACAGTTCCTGCATTCTCTGCATCTGCAGACTTAACACCACATGGACACTGCCAAGATTTGCTGCTTGTACCTTCAGAAGCTATGGCCTGAGCCATACTTGAGCCCCTTCAAGCTATGGGGTGACCAAAGAGCACTGCCTTGGAATAGGGGGAGCAAAGTGCTGAAGTGGCCCTGGACAGTGAATGTAGAGGTCCCATGGGTGCTACTCTGGAAACCTTGCCCTCAAGGTCTTAGCTATGTCTTGAAGATCTCTGAAATGCCTTTGTGGTCATTATCCCATTGTCTTGGTGAATAGAACCTGCCTTCTCTTCCCTATTAATCTCCTTAGCAATTAGTCACTTAGCTACATCCTTAATATTCTCTCTCAAACATGCTTTTTTATTTTATATATTTTTTGAAGAGACAAGGACTTGCTATGTTGCCCAGGCTGGTCTTGAACTTCTGGGCTCAAATGATCCTTCCACCTCAGCCTTCGAAAGTGTTGGGATTACAGGTGTGAGCCACCACACCCAGCCTGCTTTTTTTTTCTTTACATGGCCAGGCTGAGAGTTTATAAATGTTTCTGTTTTGCTTTCCTTTTTAATTACAAATTTCACCTTTAGATCATTTCTCATTTTATGATAAGCAGCCAGAAGAAGCCATGCATCACTGTGAATGCTTTGATGCTCAGATATTTCTTCTGCCAGGTATTGGATTCATTGCTCTTAACTTCTGCCTTCCACAAAGTCCTAGGGCATGGACACAGTCCTGCTAAGTTCTTCACAACTGTATTGCAAGGATGGCTTTTATTTATTTATTTAATTTATTTTTTTGAGGCAAGGTCTCATTCTTGTCACCCAGGCTGGAGTGCAGTGGCACAACCTCTGCTCCCTCACACCCTCTCCTTCCCTTTTGCTGTGAGACGATTCAGCATGAAGGCCCTCACCGGATGCCGGCACCATGCCAGTGATCCTTCCACTTCAGCCTCCCGAGTAGCTGGGACTACAGGCACATGCCACCACACCCCGCTAGTTTTTGTATTTTTTGTAGAGATGGAGTTTCACCATGTTGCCCAGGCTAGTCTCGAATTCCTGAGCTCAAGTGTCCACCCACCTCAGCCTCCCATGCTGCTGGAATTACAGGCATGAGCTACCACACCTGGCCTGGCTTTTTTTTTTTTTCTTTTAAAGACAGGGTTGGTCTCTGTCACCCAGGCAGTGCAGTGGCATGATCATAGCTCACTGCAGCCCAAAACTCCTAGGCTCAATTGATCCTCTTGCCTCAGTCCCCTAAGTAGCTAGAACTGCAGGTACACGCCACCACACCTGGCTAATTTATTTTCTGTAGGGATTGGGTCTCACTATGTTACCCCGGCTGGTCTTGAATTCCTGGCCTCAAGTGATCCTCCTGCCTCAATCTCAAAGTGCTGGGATTACAGGCATGAACCATCACACCCTGCCAACAGGGATAGCTCTTACTCCATTTTCCAATAACTTCTCATTTCTGTCTGAGACCTCACTGAATGAGACCAACCTCATTCTGTCTGAGACCAACATTGTTCTACCAACATTCTGATCACAACCACTTAAGTAATCCTTAAGAAGATAAAGGCTCTGCCTGAAGCTCTTGTCTTCTTTTCAGCCCTCACTGGAATTACCCTCAATGCTCCACTCACACCAATATAGGCTTTTTCTAGCCTGCTCCTCCAGATTCTTCCAGCCTCTCCTCGTTACCCAGTTCCAAAGTCATTTCCACATTTTCAGGTATTTATAGCAATAGTCCCGTTTCTGAGTACCAACATTCTGTCTGAGTCCATTTTGTGCTGCTATAACACAATACCACAGACTAGGTGACTGACTGATGGATTAATTAATTTCTTTTCTATTGCTCAGGCTTCACTAATTTTTAAATTTTTTGTTGAGACAGGGTCTTGCTATATTGCTAGGGCTAGTCTCAAACTCCTGGGCTTAAGCAGTCCTCCCATCTTGGCCTTCTGAAGTGCTGGGGTTACAAGCATGAGCCACCGTACCTGACTGGGTGATTTATAATGAACAAAAATTTATTTGGCTCCTGTTTCTGGAGACTGGGAAGTCCAAGAACATGGTGCCGGCATCTGGTGAGAGCCTTCATGCTGAATCGTCTCAGCAAAAGGGCAGGAGAGGGTGTGAGGGAGCAAGAGATTGAATTTATAGCCTCAGGCCCTTTTATAATCAGTATTAATCCATTTGTGAGGATGGAGCCCCCATGACCTAAATACCTCCCATTAGGCCCCAGCTCACACCACTATTGCATTGGGGATTGAGTTTCTAGCACATGCTTTTGGGGGGGCCTATTCAAACTATAGCACTTACCTAGCTAATTCTACATCTGATGTAAACATTTTAAGTTGCTATGTAATATGGATTCCATTTTTAGGCTTTACTGTGCATAACTTACATCTAGACTTTAGTAGTTTTTCTTTCACAAGATGTTGAAAGTTCACAGTAAATAAAAAACATTCGCCTAATTTTTGTATGTTTATACTAGATCATGCTTTACGATTATGGAATATCCAGACGGACACTCTGGTGGCAATATTTGGAGGCGTAGAAGGGCACAGAGATGAAGTTCTAAGTGCTGTAAGTTGGAAACTGCAGGGCAATGACTTTCAGGTTTACATAGCTGTGAACAGTCTCCATGGAACTGTTTCCTTATAAGAAAGTGTGTTTCATGTAGCCTGTCAGGCAGACATTCACTTACATTTGACATAGAAGATTTTAATCTCCAGATGAAGGAATAAAACAAGTAAAGACTATATTTATTTATTTATTTTTTAAATTACTTGCACTGTATACCAATCCCTGGAGTCTTATGAGAGCAGTATGATCTTGCTCCTTTCCTTTTAATCTAAAATCACTAAGTTAATGTTTGTTTTGCCATTTCGCAGTTATTAAAGAAAAAAATTAAACTATGTAGCCATTAAAGTGCTTTTCCATCTTTTGTTTGAAGTTGAAACATAACGTTTTTTGCTATTTGGAAGTGTTTTATTGTGCTCACACTGTTTTAGGTAACTTATTTCTAGCCATTCTCTTTGGGTGGCGTGGTATAATACAAGACCAGTTTAAAGATAAATACCACCTTTATATTGATGTATTGTAATCCATTGGTCCATTATACAAGTGTTTTTAGTTAGGTTTCAGATTTTAACATTATTTTTGCTTATGTTCCATATTTAGCTCATTTGATTCCTGTAGTAATTTCACATCTCTTAGGTTGTTTTCCATTAAACTATGTAAAGGGGCACCATATTTTACAGCATGTAACATTTTAGTTGAAGGTACTAAAATATTCCTATGTTGAAGTTTGGATTCCTTTGTGAGAATCATACCTTCCTTCGAATACCTTGTCAACTTGGATTTCCTAAAAGTTGCAGTAGCATTCTACGTCTGGCTTTATGTGTGTAAAAGCCAAGTGAACTGTTCTTTATTAATAACTCCAAATTAGTGGTATTGTCTCGAAGGATGTCTTGTTGCTGTTGACAGTGAGGTAATTAGAAGTACCACAACTGTGAATTCAATAAACATCAAGCCTAAAGTTCTTAGGCTCTTATAAAATGGTGCTCATAATTAATGCAAAGGCTGGATTAACATATAGTATCTAGGTTAGTAAGGAAAATATACTCCTTCAATAGAACTCTCTACTGTTATTTCTTAGAATGAGAGCAGGAGACAGTATGTAGCTCTTCTGTGTAATACAGGAGTTCACTGGAGGTGGATAGGTGTGTGAGATTTTCATTACTCATTATGTGCCTTTTGCTAAATTAAATAGCATCTCTGGGCCTTAGTGTCTGCCTATGAAATGAGGTTGTTACAATAGATGATCTGTTACATGCCTGTTAAAAATTAGTAAACAGCAAATGAAAAAAGTTAAAATCTGTTTTTTATTAGACTTTTAAAAATTCACTTAAAAGTGAACTCTAAAACTAACTTCAAAATATTTTGACTTAGAATTATAAAGTAAGATGTCAGCTCTTTAAGGATTCATGTATTTTCACATGCACATGTCAGTTTCATTGGTTGGTTGAGGTTGGATAGGAAAAGTAATATCACTATTCAGCTCTTTGTGTCAGAATAATTATTTTAACTTAGTATTCAATTTACCTTCAAAATAAGCAAAATAAATATTTTAGTGTAATTGAATAGATAAAACTAAGTTTAAGTAATTTTTTCTTGGTTTATACATTGTAAATGCTCTTATATTCCGATGTTGACAAACTAATTAAAGCTGTAAATCTTGAAAGTAGTAAACTCTGATTTATGGCCTATTTAGATGAAACCCAAAATGTAGTTTGTATTGTGATTTGAAATACAGTTTTCACTATGTTGCACATTAGGCAAAAATTGGATAAATATAATTTGGAGCTGTAATTTATATAAAACTTTTTGGTTTTGCATACAGGATTATGATCTTTTGGGTGAAAAAATAATGTCCTGTGGTATGGATCATTCTCTTAAACTTTGGAGGATCAATTCAAAGAGAATGATGAATGCAATTAAGGAATCTTATGATTATAATCCAAATAAAACTAACAGGTAACAGTTGTGGTATTTGAAACAATTTGCTATGTTGTGCTATTGAATATAAGTTTTATTTTTTCCCAAAATTGCTATATAAGCCCCAACAATGAGTTTAGAAGACCTTCTTTTAACTTTAAGGGACAATTTACATACTGTAAAATTCACCCCTTTAAGAAGTCCTTTATTTGCAGTGTTTGTGGCTTAGTTTTCAAAATCCCCTTTAAATTGTGTTGTCATCTTAACTTAGTAGCACATTTTACTTATTTGTATTTTGGTATGCATATGCTTGGCCTTTTAAGTTATAAATGTAAAAGTTTTAAATCACTTAAGCTTATTATGGACTAGGGAGAGTAAAGGACACTTTAGAATAATGTTAACTTTTTTTAAATGATGCTAATTCTAATTCAAGATGGTAAACCACAGTTTTAAACAATGGAGTTCTTAGCTCTAATTCATGATAATGTTTTTCCCTAAATGATGCTCACTTGATTAAATGGAGAGAATTCAAATGCAGGAGCCTCACTTCATGGTACTATAGGTTGGGGAATTTTGCAGTTTTCTTAGTATATTTTTGAAATGTCTCAATTCTTAATGCAGTAACTGTCTTTAGAATCTTATCAGGCTGTCATTAACACTTTCACTATAAACGTTGTATGTCTGCATGTTAACTTTGTTGGCACTTTTGTTTTAGCAAAGAGCTAGAATTCATTTTCTGGTTATCAAGCCAGATTGTTAATAGATTATTAAATTTGTAAGCATCAGTAAATATTTCAATGCACTAACATTCATCAGACCTAAGTGTCCTCTAAGAATTATTAAAAGTTTTACCTTTCTCCTTTAAAACACCAGGAGCTAGTAGGACAATGTTAAATTTATATTTTTAGATTATTTTCTAGATATCTGGAATAAATACAAACTATATTTCAGAGTTTTCAAAAAATAACAGTTGTACTCGTTTTTTCTTTGAGAGAGGTTTGGCCATACAATTATAGTATGTATTTAGCTAAAAAGCAATTAATATAATTATAGCAGAGTTAAGAATTTATATCAGATCACGAATAACATTTTAATGTTTCAACAAAATATCCCAGAATTTGAATTGGAAGGATTGTTTTGAGTTGCTCCAATCCAAAGTGCTTTTTTACATATCTGAGGGAAAAGGTAAAGAGAGGACATATGAATTGCCTAAGACAACTAATTCATGGCATATTATACTTATACAGCTATTTCTGATTTAAAACTGAGTATATTAGGAATGTTAAGTGTACTGTTAAATAACTCCAGAATTAATAGCAGCTTGTTTTGTTTCTTCTCACAAATATCTCTAATGAAAACAGTGTTGCCATTTAGTTTCCTAAATACAGAAATTATTTGGAAAAGTCCTAGGAAATTTTATTTTGTTCTATTTGTTTTTTTGAGACGGAGTTTTGCTCTTGTTTCCCAGGCTGGAGTGCAGTGGTGCAATCTTGGCTCACTGCAACCTCTGCCTCGCAGGTTCAAGCGATTCTCCTGCCTCAGCCTCCCAAGTAGCTGGATTACAGGCGGCCGCCACCATGCCTGGCTAATTTTTTTTTTTTTTTTTTTTGTATTTTTAGTAGAGATGGGGTTTCACCATGTTGGCTAGGGTGGTCTCGAACTCCTGACCTCAGATGATCCACCTGCCTCGGCCTCCCAAAGTGCTGGGAGCCACCGCACCCACCCCCACTTAAGAAATTTTAAATTCCTGTAAGGCATCATTTTCAGAAATTATTGCTCAAGGCAGGACTGTAGATGTATCTTTAGCAGACTTTGGAATGATGTTTAGTTGTTCCTGGAAAGATGACTATCTTTTGAAATAGTGTAGATATATTGACTTTCATAGATTATTAATGCTTAATTTTAAGGACTGAGTAGGTAGCTTAGTATATTTTCAGTGAGAAACTGATCAGGCCTTTATTATTGGTTAGGGTACCCAGAATTGAGGTGATTAATTTTGGGTTATATATAGTAAAACGCAGGAAACTACAATGTTTATAAACAAAGTATCTATCATAGGACAAAGATAAAATTGGATAATAATGGAGAAAAATAAACAAAAGTGGAATGAGACTTTAGCTTTCAATAAATAGATAAGGTGGTTGGTTATGTAGGAACACAGAGGAATTAATAGTCTTACATTTTGTTTTTCCAAGTTTTATAAATCCAAAAATGAAAAAGAGTATGATTCTACTATAATTTTTTCTTTTAACTTTTTACATTTCCATTCTTCCTTCAGGCCATTTATTTCTCAGAAAATCCATTTTCCTGATTTTTCTACCAGAGACATACATAGGAATTATGTTGATTGTGTGCGATGGTTAGGCGATTTGATACTTTCTAAGGTATGGTAACTGCAGTTAAGCTGTACTTCCATCGTGTGTGTGTGTGTGTGTGTGTGTGTGTGTGTATGTGTGTGCGCATGTTGGAACTTGGCAGGGAGCACTTTATGTAGTTTATTAAATTGAATGGCAGCTGGGAAGTTGCCTTTTTTAAAGTCTCATATTTTGATATATTTAGAAACTTGTTTTAAGAATAAAACATGCCATTGAATTATAATTCTTTGTGCTCCAGTAAGATGAGTATAGTTTTATAAGGTGATAGTATTCTCTGATAGTCAGTATTGTTACAAGATAACCAGTAACTAAAGCCAACAGAATTGGCTTTTGTTTTTTTGTATCTCTGTGACTATTTTAGTAAAATTTTATTTATAAAAACAGGTGGCTGGAGTTGGCTTATGGGCTGTAGTTTGCCAACCCCTGCCCCTGTTGATGGATTTATACAGATGCTCCTCAACTTATGATGGGATTACATCGTGATAAACCCATCATAAATTGAAAACGCATTTAATACACATAACCTACTGAATATCAGCTTAGCCCAGCCTATCTTAAATGTGCTCAGAATTAGCCTACAGTTGGGCAAAATTATCTAACACAAAGCCTGTTTTATAATAAAGCATTGAATATCTCACATACTGCATACTGCTAGCCCAGGAAAAGATCAAAATTCAAAATTCCAAGTACTTCAAAATTGCAGCTGTTTTGTACCATTTTGGTAAAGTTGAAAAATTGTAAATCAGACCATTGTAAGTCAAGGCCATCTGGGTGTGTGTGTGTGTGTGTTTGTGTGTCTGTGTATTTTTTTGTAGCTGATAATTTAGAGAAGCTATTGGTGATGTTACATGAGCATTTAGGATTATCAAATTTGGTGAAATTGCTGTCCGGTTTCTTTTCTTGATGTGAATTTCAGGCCACTTCACATTTTCTTGGGCAGAGCCTGATTTACTTTTTTCTTGGCTTTATGTGTAAACTGTTTTTTTCTTTTTTCTTTAAACTTTTGACCTTCAAATAACTTGATTCATAGGATGTTTCAAAGATTGTGCAGAGAGGTCCCATATGATCTTTATCCAGAATCCAAAGTTTATATATTATATAACTGTAATACAATATCAAATCCAGAAAATTGACACTGGTACAATGTGTGTGTTTAGTTTTATGTCATTTTATCACGTGAATTTTGTCATTTCAAGAATGGTACAGTTTGGGACCTTTTAAGATTGTTTTTTTCCACTCAAACCCTTGAGATCCATCCAGGTTGTTGCCTGTATCAGTAGTTCTCCTTTTTTATTGCTGAGTAGTATTCCATGGTATGGATTACCATAGTTTATGTAACTATCTATGGTAGGAGGTTTTGGTCATTTCCAGTTCTGGGCTATTGCAAATAAAGCTGCTAATCAGCAGTTGTGTCCAGGTTTTTGTGTGGACTTAAGTTTTCATTTCTCTGGGTAAATGCCTAGGAGGGCAATTGCTGGGTTGTGGTTAAGTTTGTTTAGTTTTTTAAGAAACTGCCAAACTATTTTCCAGAGTGGCCGTGCCATTTTACATTCCCACCAGCAATGTATGAGAGATCCAGTGTCTCCGAATCTTCGCCAGCATTTGGTATTGTCATTATTTTTTATTTTAGCTGTTCTGATAGGTGTGTAGTGATATCTCATCGTGGTCTTAATTTGCATTTCCCTGATGGCTAGTGATGTTGAACATCTTTTTCATGTGCTTATTTACCATTCGTATATCCTTTTTGGTGATGTCTTTTCATATCTTTTGCTCATTTTCTAATTGGATTGGTTTTTTGTTGTGTTTTTTTTTTTTTTTTAACTGTTGAGTTTTGAGAGTTTGAATATATTCTAAATATGAATCCTGTATCAGATACATAGTTTGCAAATATTTTCTTTCAGTCTGTAGCTTGTCATTTCATCCTCTTTAATAGGGTCTTTCACAGAGCAAATGTTTGTAGTTTTTATTAAATCCAGTATATTGATTTTTTAAAATTATTTTATGGATTATGCTTTTGATGTTTTGCCTGAGAACTCCTTACCAAGCTATAGACCTTAAAGATTTTCTCCTGTGTTCTCTTGTAAAAGTTTTATACTGCTATGTTTTACATTAAATGTGTAATCCATTTTGAGTTGATTTCCTTATGAAGGTGCGAGGTTTAGGTGGAAGTTCATTTTTCTCTTATAGATACTCAGTTGTTCCATCAGCATTTGTTGGAAGACTATTCTTCCGCCATTGAATTGCTTTTGCACCTCTCTCAGAAATTGTTTGGCTGTACTTACGTGGGGCTGTTTTTGATTTTCCTGTTCTGTTTCATCTGTATATCTGTCCCTCCACCAGTACTACATACACAGTCCTCATTATTGTAGCTCTATAATTATTCTTGGAATCTGATAGATTTTTCCCGCTTTTATTTTTTTCATAATTGTTTTGAGCTATTCTAATTCCTTTGTCTTTCTGTGTGTAAATTTTAGAATAATCTTTTCTACATTTCTAAAAATCTTGCTGGGAGTTGTTTTGAGGAGAAGGAGTTTTTAACTGGATTTGTATTAAACCTGTATATATAATTTCAAGGAGAATTAATATTGTGCTGAGTCTTCTAATCCATGATTGTGGTATGTCTCTTCATTTATTTACAACTTCTTTGACTTTTGTCATCAGCATTTTATAGTTTTTAGCATATAAGTCCCATTTTTGCTCTGTTAGATTTATACCTAAGTATTTTTTAAGCAATTATAAACTGTTTTATATTTTTATTTTCCATTTTTATGTGTTCATAACTAATATATAGAAATATAATTGATTTTTGCATATTGATCTTGAATCTTGTGACCTAGCTAGACTACATATTCAAGGTGTGTTTTGTGATTTTCTCTGTAGACTATCATGTGATCTGCAAATAAGGACAGTTTTATTTCTTCCTTTGTGATCTATATGCCTTTTCTTTTTTTGCCTTATTGCGCTGGTGAACTTTCAGTCCTGTGTTGAATAGCAGTGTTAGGAACAGATATTCTTGACTTGTCATTCAGTCTTTCACAATTAAGTATATTAGGGTTTGTTTTGTTTTGTTTTGTAGATATTCTCTATCAAGTTGGGAAAGTTGAGAACTGTTTCCTGTTCCTAAATTTTTGAGAGCTTTTTCATGAATGGTGTTTTGTCAAATGCTTTTTCTTCATCAGTTTATATGCTCATATGGTTTATCTTGTGTTGCCTATTAATATAGTAGATTATATTGATTGGTTTTTTGAATATTGATCCAGCCTTGGAACCCTGGAATACATTCCTACTTGATCATCCTGTGTAATTTTTTGTATTGCTGAGTTCTGTTTGCTAATATTTTGTTAAGGATTTTTGTGTCTGTATTCGTGAGGTATGATACTGGTCTTAACTTTTTTTTTTGGTACTGTTTTTTCTGGTTTTGGTATTAGTAATACTGACTTTATAATGAATTGGCAAATGATCTGTTTCCCATTTTCCAGAAGAGATTGTGCAAAATTAGTGTGATTTTTTTTTTTTTTTTTTTGAGACGGAGTCTGGCTCTGTCGCCCAGGCTGGAGTGCAATGGCGCGATCTTGGCTCACTGCAAGCTCCGCCTCCTGGGTTGACACCATTCTCCTGCCTTAGCCTCCTGAGTAGCTGGGACTACAGGAGCCTGCCACCACACCCGGCTAATTTTTTTATGTTTTTAGTAGAGATGGGGTTTCACTGTGTTAGCCAGGATGGTCTCGATCTCCTGACCTGGTGATCCACCTGCTTCGGCCTCCCGACGTGCTGGGGTTACAGGCGTGAGCCACCGCGCCCGGCCACTGTTGGTTTATTTTGCTCAACTTTTATCAGTTTCTTAAGATGGTAGCTTAGATTGTTGAGTTTTTGAGAATTTGTTTTATGGCTCTATTTTAGATATATTTGATGGGAGCTTGAAAAGAATATGTACTCTGTTGAGTGGAATGTTGTATAAGTGTTTAATTGGTTGATGATGTCGAATTCTTCTATATCCTTGTTCGGTGTCTACTGTTTTATCAACTATTGAGAGACAGGTGTTGAAATCTTCAGTTACAATGTGGATTTTTCTCTTTCTCCTTTCAGTTCTGTCACGTTTTGCAGTTCTATTGTTCATGCATTCACATTTAGTATTGCTATGTCTTTGGAATTGTCTCTTTTTTCATTACATAATCTTTTTTCAAACTTTTAATCTATGTATATTATAATTGAGTAAGTTTCTTGTAGATGATATAGTTGGGTCATTTTTTAAATCTATTCTGCCTATGTCTTTTAATTGGTGTATTTAGACCATTTATATTTAAGCTTTATATCAGTTATTATTTTAAGTCTGCCATTTTTCTTTTTGTCTTTTTCATTTCTCTCTGAGTTTTTTCCCCCCTAACTTTCTGGGTTACATGAACAGTTTTTAGAATTCCATTTTTATTTCTCTATAGTAACTCATTAGTCTACTATATTATCAGCATTTTACAATATTTTTTTTTCTCCAGAAATAAAATCTCACTCAGTCACCCAGGCTGGAGTGCAGTGGCACAGTCTTAGCTCTCTGAAGCCTGAAACTCCTGGCCTCAAGCAATCCTCCTGATTCAGCCTCCCGAGTAGCTAGGACTAGAGGCATGCACCACTATGCTCAGCTAATTTCTTTAATGTGTGGAGGTGGGGATCTTGCTATGTTGCTCAGGCTGGTCTTAAACTCCTGGCCTCAGGTGATTCCCCTGCATTGGCCTCCCAAAGGACTGGGATTATGGGCACAAGCCATTTGAGTGAAATTTAGAATGCTTCCTTCCCTTTACATCACTTTATTCTTCTCCATTTATAATTGTCTTAAATATTTATTTGTATTTGAGAACCATATCAGTTTTTTTGTTCTTCAACCATCAAACATAATTTAGAAAACCCAAAAGGAAAAGGAGAATATTATATTGACTCATTTTGCATTTTCTGTTGTTCTTCCTTACTGATAAATTCAAATCTTCTTAATTAATTTTCTTTCTGTTTCGAAAACTTTCTTTAACCATTCTTTTAGAGCAGGTCTGCTGTTAACAGATTCTCCTAGTTTTTCTTTATCAGAGCATGGCCTCATTTCTTCTTTATTTCTGAAGGATGTATTCACTCGATATAGGATTCTGGATTCACAGTTATTTTCTTTCAACACCTGACAAATGTTTTTGCTCCCTCTTTGGCCTCCATAATTCCGATGAGAAATTTGCTGTCACTGGAATTGTTTGTCCCCTGTAGGTAAGATGTTCTTTCTGTCTTACTGCTTTCAGGATTGTTTTCTTTGCCTTTAGTTTTCAGATTGAGCATGAGTATATTTAGTTTGAGGTTTGAGTGCGATATGACTTGATGTGGATTTCTTTGGGTTTGTCTTGTTTGGGGTTCACTGACATTCTTGAAGAATCTGTAGTAGATTGATGTTTTGTCCCAGGTTTGGAAAGTTTTCAGCCATTACTCAAATTGTTTTTCAGCCCTGCTCTCTTCCCTCATTTTGGGACTCTGATTATATGAATGTTAGATCGTTTGTTTGGTCCCTAGGACTGTCTTTTTTCTTTTTTTTTTTTTGTTCAGATTGGGTAATTTCTATTGTACTGTCTTTAAATTTACTGACTCTTGACCCTCTTCTCTTTTGATATTGAGCCCATCAATTGAGTTTTTTATTTGGGTTATAATAGTATATTTTAGTTATAAAACTTCCAGTTCATTCTAAGTATGTTTGCATTCATTGAAGCATTTTTATATTCCTGCCTTAAATCTATGTCAGATCTGACATCCATGTTATCTCAGTGTTGGTATCTATTGATTATCTTTTTAAAGCTGATTTTTGTCTTTTTAAAAAGTTGATTTTTATGATTCTTGGTATGAAGAGTGATTTTTGATTGAAACCTGGGTATTTTGGGTATTACGAGACTCTGGACCTTATTTAGATCTTCTCTTACAGCAGGCTTTCTCTGATACCTTTTCAGCTGGGGAAGGGAGGCGCATTGTGTTGTGCCAGATTGGGGTGGAAGTCTGGGTTCCCCACTCGGTTGACCTTGTGTTGGTGCTTCATTACTGCTCAGTCGGGGTGGGAGTTAAGGCTCTCCGTAGGCCTCAGCTGATACCACCCTAGCTGGGAAGGGCCAGGATGCCTAATTACTGCCCCCCCTAGTGGTCTCCATTTACACTCTGGGTAGTTGGTGGTGGCTTTACCAATGAATGGTTATGAATGTCCTAACTCTATTAGGCCTCCTCTGATACCACCCTAGCCCGAGAGGAGGCGGGTCACCCCATTGCTATAAGAGGTACAGGGAGAGTCATGGGGTAGGCACTTGGGGTGCTTAGTTACAACCTGAGCATGGGTTTTCACTGGTTCAGATGGAGGTGGGTCCACAGATTTTTCTAGGGTGTTTGGCTGGAGTAGAGCATTGTTGTCTGAAAATTTTGTCCTGTTAGGCTGCTACTTTTTTTGGTTCATTGGCTAGAAAAAGCAGGCTTTTATTGTTGTTGTTGTTGTTGTTGTCTTCACTCATTAGCATTTGTGAGTTGCTGCCTTCTCTCTTATCTAGTCTGGAATACATAAGGCAAAAGAAAACCCGGGAAACTCAACGGTTATCGTTTGTGTTCCAAGGTTTCTAACTTGTTTGCCTTTTCTCTACCTTTCCAAGTCTTATGTTTGCTTTGTGTATGATACTCCGACTTTTAAGTGGACTTACAGGAAAAAACACATCTGCTACATTGTTCCACCAGCAGAAGTAAAAAGCTATTAGCTTTTTAAAATTTCTGCTCTTAGAACTTAGATCTCTGGAAAGGATTTCTGAATTTTAGGTGGTAGGCTGAACTGAAATATATTGGTGGTCTCAAATCTGGCTCTGCATCGGACTCACTAGGAGAATGTTAGAAAAATAGATTTCCTAGACCTCACCTTCAGAAATTCTAAATCTGGCGCAAGGCCCTGGGAATTGGTAGTTCTAAAAAGCTCTTAGATGATTTTGAAGTGCAGCCATCCATTAGCTCTGGCAACATCTTTTTACCTCACTTTGCTTTAGTTTTTCCATCCAGGGACTCCAGTACTTAAAAATTCTTCACCGGTGCAGTTAGTAAGAAGCACTTGAAGAGCTATTTTACAGTTCTTCTGCTTTGGCCTTTCTCTTAGAGACTCTGAATCAGTAGGGGCTGAGAGACTCTGAATCAGTAGGGGCTGAGATGAGTCTTTTGAGAAAACTCCACAGACTATTGATCCAATTTTGCATTTAGCCAAGAGTCATCACACTGGGTGGTTTCTAAGGTCCTTTACAGTTAAAAACTTGAATAATAGATGTCATATAGCACTAGGATTTAAAAAGTCTAAATAAAAAAGGTAGAGAAGAAAAATGTGTTGTCTCCTCCCTAATCTTCAAGTGGCCATACTATTAAATTATTTAAATGCCTGTGAACCCCACAGGGCTGCCACCTGTCACTATATTATGTAGGCTGTCCAGTAAAACTCTAGGGGCACTGTTCACTTACATGAGGATTTCTGAATCCTGGTGCTATTTAGTTTAGGCCAGATAATTCTTTTTTTTGTAGGGGGTTTCCTGTGCATTATAAGATATTTAGTAGCATCTTTGGCCTCTACCCATTAGAGCACAGACACATTGTCAAATGTCCCTTCGTGGGCAAACCACTGACCTAGACAGTAATATGAATAGTGCCCACAGTTTTGCAATTTTTTCTCATTGTATTCTTTACCACTTACTGCTTAGGTATGTGCATACAAATTTGATTTTATAGGATAGGAAAAGTATAAGTTTGAAGCCTATTTCAATCCTATCCCCATATGAGTGTCTTGATGTTAAACAACTGCTTTACTTGCCTTCGATTGCCCTATTTATAAACTGAATTCTAAGGCTATTTATGTGAGTTCATCAACTTTCCTAAGATACCTGTTGAGTACCTACTGTGTGGCACAGATACTGGATGAAGGAATAATAGTTAATAAGGTAAAGGAAACCACCTGTGATTAGAAGCGAAATGGGAGACTGCATGGGGAAAGATGAAACTAGTGAAGTAAGCAAGAGCCAGATTAATGCCGGATTCTGAAAAGCCATGTATTCTAATTCTGTGTGTTTGTAATTGACCTGTGCTATAAAACACTTAAAGTCTCTGGGTGTCAGAGTATCTAGAGCTGAACTTGGTTTAACTTGAAAGAGAAATGTTGACTTCCAAAATGAATATTTCAGACAATGTGATTCTTTTGTATTATCGAATTCTGTTGATAATCAGATTTCTTGTCCTTAAGTATGGTCATTGACTGTAAATATAAATGAATGTACATCACTGTACTTGATAGATGGATTAACCAGGTTCTAAGAGCTGTGAATTCCAAAACAATAGAAAAGCCTTGTTTTTACTTTGTAAGATTCAGTTCCTCATTAACATTTCTTTTTCTCATTTCTCTCTCTGTTTTAGTCTTGTGAAAATGCCATTGTGTGCTGGAAACCTGGCAAGATGGAAGATGATATAGATAAAATTAAACCCAGTGAATCTAATGTGACTATTCTTGGGCGATTTGATTACAGCCAGTGTGACATTTGGTACATGAGGTTTTCTATGGATTTCTGGCAAAAGGTATCAACATACTTTTACATTTTGAAATGATCTGACTTATGAAAGACCATTGTAATTCTAGCTTTTTCTGTTGTGTCCATGTTCTTTTTCCTTTACAAATCTACCCTGATGTTTTGTATTGATTACTTTGCCCTTTGATGTCATTCATCAAATACTTTGGTGTTATTCATTCTACTTTTGTGGCTCTGCATATGATCTGCAGTGCTTACTTTAAATTAAGTTGGCAGTTAGGTATCAATGGTGGAAATTAGGTGTTTATGTTCCATAACATAAACATTATCATAACATTACTAAGACTTAATGTTTTAGTAATTAGATTGTCAGTCTACCTATGTAACTGTTTCCTAGAGAAAAATCAGGATAGAAGACAGATAAAATACTAGTTACCTAAAAATTTAAATAAATCTATTGTTAGGATTTTCTGGTAACAAATTACTTGGGTATTTATTTCTGTAAGAAAAGTTTGGAAGGCTTTCCACAGCATTTGCTGTATTTCTTGAAGGCAGAAGAAAAAGTAAGTACCATGCTAACAATGTAAATTTGTAAGGCCCTTCATAAATTTGCACAATGCCTTCTTACTTGCTCAAGACACTTGTGATGTATTAATTGCTCTTATTCATATTTACGAATCAGGAGTATAAGACCCAAAGAAATAGCCAAGAGCACAGAGGCTGGAACTGAGCTTTTTCTGAAACAAGAAAGCTGTCTGAGGATTCCTCCAATGCTTTAGAACCTGGTAATTTTATTAATTTGATGTTTTTAAAAATATGTTTATACAGATGCTTGCATTGGGCAATCAAGTTGGCAAACTTTATGTTTGGGATTTAGAAGTAGAAGATCCTCATAAAGCCAAGTAAGTATTTAGAAATTTCTGTTCAAAATTTCAGGCTTTTTCTCCACACTTGTATGCCAATGTAGAGAAGATCATTTATATTTGCAGTGCCATCCTTAAGTCATTTTTAACATTTACTGTTTTCAGAGTTAAAGTTATTCTTTTTTATTCCAATAATTTTTGTTTTTCCTAAGTACCTTGGTGACAAGTCATTTCTTGTTTTTATACAAATTATGTAGTGCTTGTTGAACTTAAAATATATCTAAATTTTATAAAATTTGAGACTGAGCTCTTAGTGAAGTATATTCTGGTTTTAAGTGCTTTTCGTATGACTTGGAACATCTGCTTATTTTCTAATCCGCTGTTTTAGGGTAGACACTGACAACGTTATGTGTGGTCTTTAACCTGTTGTCATGTTTTTTCCCTAGATGTACAACACTGACTCATCATAAATGTGGTGCTGCTATTCGACAAACCAGTTTTAGCAGGGATAGCAGCATTCTTATAGCTGTTTGTGATGATGCCAGTATTTGGCGCTGGGATCGACTTCGATAAAATACTTTTGCCTAATCAAAATTAGAGTGTGTTTGTTGTCTGTGTAAAATAGAATTAATGTATCTTGCTAGTAAGGGCACGTAGAGCATTTAGAGTTGTCTTTCAGCATTCAATCAGGCTGAGCTGAATGTAGTGATGTTTACATTGTTTACATTCTTTGTACTGTCTTCCTGCTCAGACTCTACTGCTTTTAATAAAAATTTATTTTTGTAAAGCTGTGTGTTTAGTTACTTTCATTGTGGTGAAAAAAAGTTAAAAGTAATAAAATTATGCCTTATCTTTTTATAATGGTTGTTTTTTGTAGTTCTCTTAACCAGAGAAAGTTTTGTAATACAGAGATTAAGTATAGGCTCTAGAACTAAAGTGAATTCAAATCTTGGCTCTCCTACTACGTGACCTTGGATAAACAACTTCTCAATGCTTGGTTCCTTGTGTATAAAACAGGGATAATAATACTTGCCTTGGGGTTATTGTGAGGATCAAATGATTCGTTATGTGTGAGACAGTTAGAACAGTATTTGACATATAATAAGCCCTAAATGTATTCTGTGTTTATAATTATTGGAGATTATAGTTCCTATGGTTTTATATTTTTTAATGATTTCTTATGTAATAGTTTCATAAGTAATATTTAAAATTCTACAGAGTTAGAACCTCTGATAATGTTTAACTGTAACCTTTCTTTATAGTTTAAAAAATATTACTGCCATTAGATTTGGAACTAGGCCATTGGTAACCTTAGAGGAGATATCATTAGGGCAAAGGAGGAGAGGATATAGAAGTTTAAATGCAGTGGGTTGGATCATGAAAGAGATGGCAAGTATGTCCATGTAGTGAGTTGTTGCCCCTTTTCTAGAAGGATGTTACTGGCTAAGAGGGATTAAGTAGATTGAGATCATAAGGTTGGGAATAGTTGGTTATTTTGTCTCCAACATAAGGCACACTGCATTTATTTGTGGGCAAAAATTCCCTAAAGAGTGAAGACCAAGATCACATGTGGAGGGGTTAACTTGAAGCAGAGGAGTGAAGAAAGCCTGAATGATCATAAAGCTAAGGTTGGAGGTGAAATGAGGTGAGCCAGAGAAAAATACAAAAGACTGAATTTTGTCAGGTTTTTAAAAAGATTCATGAACTTGTTTCTATAAATATGTATATTTTTAAAGTTTAGTTTTGATATCTTGTACAGTGTTTGATACTGCCCCTTTTTGAGCTATCTCTGAAGCACAGTTTACTTCTCTGATAATAGTATAATGCTTAAGTCTGAATAAACAGGAAAACTTACTGCCTTTTACTGTCTTGGTCCAATGAACGCTTCAATTGTTTTTTAGAAATTTTAATAGGAACTTCAAGAAGTAAACCTTTATAGCAAGTAAATTCTTACGTACAGCATCACAAAAGACAAGGAATACTGTCATATCCTTTTAGCAAAATGAGATTGCCTAGGTTCTTGTTGCAAAATACCACATAATGAAATCCTTCCTGTTGCATGATTAACTGGGTGAGAATATCATCTTTCCTTTTGGTCCGTAGAAATGTATTATTCACTACTCCATTCTTGAGGTTTGTTTTTTAATTTTTTTGGAGACAGTCTCACTCTGTTGCCCAGTCTGGAGTGCAGTGGTGCGGTCTCAGACGTCTCACTGCAACCTCTGTCTCCCAGGCTCAAGTGATTCTCGTGCCTCACCCTCCCAGGTAGCTTGGATTACAGGTGTGTGCCACGATGCCCAGCTAATTTTTGTATTTTTAGTAGAGGCGGGGTTTTATCATGTTGACCAGGCTAGAATATCGAGTGTTAAAGTTAGTGCAGATAATGAAAGATCCAGGAGTCAGAACTCACAGGCCAGTTATCAGCCACATGTTTATACTCTATTTTTGCCCTCTCTCCTTTCCCTGAAATACTAAGGAAGTAACATCTCTTTTCCTAATGGATGTTATCCAGAGGCCCCAGTCACCAGTTATCTCATTAGCCTACAAAAACACATTATTTTCACTCAAGTGATCTCAAGGTTCTTAGAAGTTATATCAGGAAATGGAAATCAAGAAGAAATTATATTCTCAAGGGTCTTAGAAGTTGTATCAGGAAATAGAAACCAAGAAGAAATTATATATATGTCTTTAATTGACCATTGTGTATATTTATAGGGTACAATGTGATGCTTCATACATGTATACAATGTAGAATGAGCAAATTGGGCTAATATATCCTTCACTTTGTTCCTCATCTTAAAGGAAAAGCCTCCAACTTTTCACTAATGAGTATGATGTTAGTTATTGGCATGTCACACATGGCCTTTATTGTGTTGAGGAACATTCATTCCTTCTATACCTATTTTGTTGGGAGTTATCATGAAAGGGTGTTGAATTTTGTCAAATGCTTTTTCTGCCTCTATTGTGATAATGTACAGTTTTTGTCCTTCATTCTGGTAATATGGTGAATCACATTTATTAATGTGCATATGTTCAAACATCCTTGCATCCCAGGGATAAATCCCACATGGTCATGGTGGATGATTCTTTTAATGTATTGCTGAAGATGATGGTTTGCTATTATTTTGTTGAGTGTTTTTGTATTTACGTTCATCAGGGATATTGTTTCTGCTAGTGTCCTTGGTCTGGCTTTGGTATCAGGCTAATACTGTCCTCGTAAGATGAGTTTGGAAGTATTCCTTGCTCTTCATTTTTGGGAAGAATGTGAGGATTGGTATTAATTCTTTAAATGTTTAATAGAAACAGAAAAGTGCCGTCTTGGGCTTTTCTTTGATGAGAGACTTGGTGTATTAACAGTTGTAATATTTCCTCTTTCATTTCTGATTTGAGTCCTTTTTTTCTTATTAAGTGTTGCTATAAGGGTTTGTCAATTTTGTTTAGCTTTTTGTTTTTTCATTTTTTTATTTTCTATTTCATTTATTTCTGCTCTGATCTTTGTTATTTCCTTCCACTAACTTGAGGTTTAGTTTGTTCTTTTTCTAGTTCCTTGAGGTGTTGAGGTTTAGGTTGTTGGTTTGCGATCTTTTTTAATGCAGGCATTTAATGCTATAAACTTCCCTCTTAAAACTGTTTTTGCTGCATCCCATAAGTTTTGACATGTGTTTCCATTTTCATTTGTCTCAAGGTATCTTTATATATGTTTCTAGAGTCGGGGTCTTGCTATGTTGTTCAGGCTTAGAGTTCAGTGGCTATTCGCAGGTGCAGTTATAGCTGTCACTGCACCCTCGAACTCCTGGGTCCAAGTGATCCATTCCTGCCCCAGCTTCCCAAGTAGCTACGACTGTAGGCATGCATCACTGTGCCAGGCTTTCAAGACATCTTTCATTTTCTCTTGTAGTTTCTTTTTTGACCCAATAATTGTCCAGTATATTTCTTACACAGTGTCTTAGGAAAGATAAAACCAGCTTTGATATGTTGAGTATTATGTTTCCGAAAAGACAAGACAGGGTTGTTTTTCTTAACTTTATACTTGAAAGTTTCAAACATATAGAAGAGTGAAGAGAGTAGTGAATACTATGAACCAAGTCAAGCTTCAACAATTATCAATACATAGCCAATCTTGATTTATCTATACATCTACACCAGATTGTTTCGAAGCACATCCCAGACTTTATTTTAACTGTAAAAATTTACTCTATATTTCCAAGAAAGACTTTAAACAAAATATCAATACCATGCTCACCCTTTAAAAAGTAATTTCTAAATTATATATGCAGTTTATTTAGAAGTATAAAGAAAAAAGTAAAAACTACCTTTAATTTTTGTACACAGAAATAATTGCTTTTAGTGATGGGATGTATTTTGTGTGTGTAAGTTTAAAGAATTGTGATTGTCTGAATATATTGTTTATATGCTGCATTTTCAGATTCCCAGTAATTCTTAACAGATTATTCTGCTTGCATATCTTTTAATACATTTCCATGAATGTACCATTATCTATTTAATGCCTTGTTGTTGGACATGTTCATTTCTTCCAGATTTTTGCTATTATAGGTAGTATTTTGAATAACAGGCCAGTACACAAGTCTTTGTGTAACTCTCAGGCTCATTTTATAATTAGATAGGATATTTCTTTCTTATTAAGTTTGTACCAAATTACACTTGCCCCAACACATATGGTAGTACCCATTCCAGTTTTGTTGTTACTAGTTTCCTGTATATTATCTCTGCAGATCAGGGTGTTTTTTCTGTAAAGAGCTAGATAGTACATATTTTAGGCCTTGCCATACAGTCTCGTCATAACTATTCAACTCTGCTGCTGTAGGGCGAAAGCAGCCGTAGACAACTGGGTATGGCTGTGTACCAATAAAACTTTACTTACCAAAACAGGCAGTGGTGGAGCATAGTGGCTCATGCTTGTAATCCCAGCACTCTGAGAGGCTAAGGTGGACAGATTGCTTGACCCCAGGAGTTCAAGACCAGCCGGGGCAACATAGTGAAACCCCACCTCTACTACAAATACAAAAAAAAATTAGCCAGGCATGATGGTGCATGCCTGTATTCTCAGCTACTTGGGAGGCTGAGGCAGGAGGGAAAAAAAAGAACAACAAACAACAGGCAGTTGGCTAGATTCTGTCCACAAGCCATAGTTTGATAACCCCTTCAGTGGATACTAGTTATTAAAGCAAAACAAACAAAATAAGTCTTAAGGAGGCCCCTAAAGTTGTTGAAGATTTAAGTCAACCGAATAGTTTATAATCAAAGATCACCAGATTGACAATGAAGCAAGCTCTATGGCTGAGGGTTGAAACAATAAAAAATAAAAAAATAAATAAAAATAGACCACCAAAGACTTTAGATATTGCAATTTTCAGGTAATATAAAACAGCCACCTTATTTTAAAATTGCAACTCTCCTTCCTCTCTGTACTTTCTCCTTGTTTTGTTACTCTCCATTTCAATTATCACCTACTATACTGCGTAATTTGCTTATTTGGTTTATTGTATTTCTTCTGCTACTGTGATGTAGTCTATATGAGAGCAGGGTTTTTATTTCACTGCTATAACCCCAGCACCTAGAGCAGTGCCTTTCATGTAACAGGGGTCAGAATTAAACAGTCATAAAAATAAGCTAACAGTAAGAGGCTATGATGACTGACGAGGTGAATATGAGAGGGAAACAAATAGAACTTTTACAAATGAAAAATACATTTGTTGAAGTAAAAAATTCAACGGACGGGTTAGATTAGTCACAGCTGAATAGAAATTAGTGAATTGGAGGTGATCTGTAGAAATTACCAGAATGTGGCACAGAGAATCAAGAAAATGGAGAATATGAGAGGTTAAGAAATATAGAGGATAAAATGAAAAGATCTAACAATATATTTAATTGGAGATCCAGAAAAAAAAAAAAAAGAGAATGAAGTGAAGGAAATATTTGAAGAGGTAATTATCTTACTTGCTACCAGGATACTTGAGTGCCATGTGGGCATGTATGATAGAGCTAGGAGAAATAGCAGGTGGTTCTGGCATCTTCCTTACCATCGTGTCTCCCACTTTGACTGCAGTCGTGACCACTGATGTGCCAGTCTGCTTCAGTCTCTACCAAGCCCAGAACTTCACCCTCTATCGGGTCCTGAGGAAAAGCAGCTTCCACGGTTTATTTCAAGCTGGATGAGGATCCAATTGATGCCATATCCCTGTTGTAGCCTTTTGTGGTGAGACAAGGCGCTCATCAGGACAGCAGATTCTTCAAAGCCTTCCACACCAATGTGAAGGACAGTAAGATGTGGAAG
This sequence comes from Homo sapiens, assembly GCF_000001405.40. NCBI lineage: Eukaryota > Metazoa > Chordata > Mammalia > Primates > Hominidae > Homo > Homo sapiens. Next base: position 86,284,248 of record NC_000011.10, read on the forward strand.
TTCCTGGGTTTTGTTTTTGGACAATGGGAACCAAGGGTGGCATCCCTACACTCCATAGTGTAGGGCCTGACACGATGTAAACTCCCTCCTCCAGTAATCATTCATCAAGAGTTTCAGTGTTGTGATAACCTGTGAGTTCTCCACATAGTGGCACATCATGGACCTCATTTCCTTCCTGGATTACAACTGCACCTTGGACAGTGAGGGCTCTTTTGGAAGTGCACACCTAGCTGACCTGCCCTCCAACTCAAAAGTGGACAAGACCTGTTCAGAGGTGTTAAGCACCCCCACACTCAATGTCCATTCAGGCCAAAAGTATGCTCTTTGCCCCAAGGGAACCAAAGTCATGATGACATATGCCAGAGCTTGGGTAAAGGATACAGTGAGGATTCTTGGATTTCAGAACAAAGTATTCCTGGAGCCCCCTGTACTTCATGAAGCCTATGTCCAGCTTGTTGTCAAAGAAATGTAGATTAATTCAAAAGGAACACAGGATTCTATCGGTCCTTTTCCTAGTCCTGAAGACAAGGTCAGCTATGTAATATCCAGGGCCCAGTGCAAAATGAAAAGGCAAACTCCTTGGGCCGGGTGCGGTGGTTCATGCCTGTAGTCCCAGCACTTTGGGAGGCTGAGGTGGGCGGATCATCTGAGGTCAGGAGTTTGAGACAGCCTGGCCAACATGGTGAAACCTCGTCTCTACCAAAAATACAAAAGTTAGCTAGGCATGATGGCATGTGCCTGTAATCCCAGCTACTTGGGAGGATGAAGCATGAGAATCACTTGAGCCCGTGAGGCAGAGGTTGCGGTGAGCTGAGATTGTGCCACCACACTCCAGCCTGGGCAACAGAGTGAGACTCTGTCTCAAAAACGAAAAACCAAAAAACAGAAAAGGCTGGGCACGGTGGTTCATGCCTGTAATCGCAGCACTTTGGGAGGCCAAGGCAGGAGGACTGCTTGAGCCCAGGAGTTTGAGACCACCCTAAGCAACATAGCAAGACGCTGTCTCTACAAAATATTTGAAAATTAGCTGGGTGGAGTAGTGTGCACCTGTAGTCCCAGCTACTAGGGAGGCTAAGGTGGGAGTATCACTTGAGCCCAGGAGGCTGAGGCTGCAGTGAGCTGTGATCACACCACTGCAATCCAGCCAGGGTGACAGAGCAAGACCCTGTCTCAAAAAAAGAAAAAAAAATTAAAAGGAAAAATTAGGTTAAAGGTACTAACTATAAAGCTTTTTCCATCCTTTAACAATTTCTCAACTGGTCGTGGTTTTAAATTTTGCTACTTAATGCCATTCTAAGTAAAGTAAAATTGTTAGCATGAATTTTATTATTCATTTTCATATTGTGTAATGATCATTTTATTTTTTTGAGACAGAGTTTCGCTCTTGTTGCCCGGGCTGGAGTGCAGGGGTGTGATTTCAGCTCACTGCAACTTCCGCCTCCCAGTTTCAAGAGCTTCTCCTGCCTCAGCCTCCTGAGTAGCTGGGATTACAGGCGTGCGCCACCAAGCCCAGCTAATTTTTGTATTTTTAGTAGAGACAGGGTTTCACCATGTTGGCCAGGATGGTCTCGAACTCCTGACCTCAAGTGATCCAACCTGCCTCAGCCTCCCAAGGTGCTGGGATTACAGGTGTGAGCCACCAGGCCTGGTGTAATGATCATTTTAAATACAAACATAAGAGCCTTTACCTCTTATGTGAAATTAGAAATTACAGAATTGATATTTGTGTCTCATACACACAAGTATTTTGTTCTTACCAGGGGAGTGGAAACTCTGCACAAAAGTAACTCCACTTTTATTTGAGACAGAGTCTCGCTCTGTCGCCCAGGCTGGAATGCAGTGGTGCAATCTCGGCTCACTGCAGCCTCCACCTCTCAGGTTCAAGCAATTCTCCTGTCTCAGCCTCCTGAGTAGCTGGGATTACAAATGTGTGCCACCACAGCCAGCTAATTTTTTTTTTTTTTGGTATCGTTAGTAGAGACGGGGTTTCGCCATGTTGGCCAGGCTGGTCTGGAACTCCTGGCCTCAAGTGATCCGCCCGCCTCAGCCTCCCAAAGTGCTGGGATTACAGGCGTGAGCCACTGTGCCTGGCTGAGATGACAAATAGGATGAAGTCTTGGGGTGTTTCGAAGGAAAAAAAATGGGGTGAGAAAGGAATAAGAGGTGGCTTTGAGTATATCATCTACTACAAAATACTGGAAAAAGGCTGGTAGAAACTCAGTGACTTTAAAATTATCTTTAAGCAAATGCCTGAGAAAGGCAAAAGTCTAAAGAAATGATGGTCACTTTTTCCAGAAGTGCTTAAAGAATTGAAATGCTCCTTTGAGGCAAAGGGGACAGTCATTCTGCTTAATTGCATCTTCAGGCTTGAACAAGGTATCATCTAGGACAGTAGGTTTTAAATTTTTTTTAATGCAACCCACAGTAAGAAATAGACTATACAGGCCAGGTGCGGTGGCTCAGGCCTGTAATCCCAGCACTTTGGGAGGCCGAGGCGGGCAGATCACGAGGTCAGGAGATCGAGACTATCCTGGCTAACACGGTGAAACCCCGTCTCTACTAAAAATACAAAAAATTAGCCGGGCACGGTGGTGGGCACCTGTAGTCCCAGCTACTCGGGAGGCTGAGGCAGGAGAATGGTGTGAACCCGGGAGGTGGAGCTTGCAGTGAGCCAAGATAGCGCCACTGCACTCCTGCCTGGGCGAAAGAGCGAGACTCCGTCTCAAAAAAAAAAAAAAAAAAAAAAAGAAATAGACTATACATAATAACCCAATCATACACACATATAGAAAGTCCCATGAAACAATATACTTACTAATATGATGCATTCTGAAATTTTCTATTTCTTTTTTTTTTTCTTTTTGTAATGCTGGTTGTAACTCACTAAATTGATTTCACAACCTGCCCATGGATCTCAGCCTGCAGTGTGAAACACAGTAACCTAGGGAAAATGAGTCTAGATGGCTTTTACCAAGGGTAGTGGAAGTGGGGCCCACATTGTGAGAAATACAACCATAAGTAAAAAGTGCTAAATGGCCTCTCTTTAACCAGAGACCACAGTCTGTAACTTCCCCTGCTTTCAGTGGTTACCTCTGGGTTTCCCCTGTTGTGATTTATAGAAAATGACTATCACTTTGGAATTGAGCTGGTGGATTTCTACAAAGATTCTTGGTATTTCATGGTTATTTTCTGATGTAGAGCAAGACTTCATGTGAATGAAAGCAGATTCATTTTGCCTTTCTTGCTTGGGTACCCCAGGCTGATGTGGAATAAAAAATTGTTGGGTGATTTCTCTTACATTTCTGCATAATGAGTGAGGGAAGTGTGTGTGTTTAATTCCGAAACCAATAAACTGGGTTGCCAGAAAATCATTGATCATAAGAAGTGTATGGCACTGAACTGACACCCTGTGCTATATGGGCCATTATTTTTCTTCATTGCAAAATCACTATTTTTTATTTATTTATTGTTTTTGAGACAGAGTTTTGCTCTTGTTGCCCAGGCTGGAGTGCAATGGCGCAATCTCAGCTCATGGCAACCTGTGCCTCCTGGGTTCAAGCGATGCTCCTGCCTCAGCGTCCTGAGTAGCTGGGATTACAGGCATGCGTCTCCATGCCTGAATTTTGTATTTTTAGTAGAGATGAGGTTTCTACATATGGGTCAGGCTGGTCTCGAACTCCCGACCTTGACCTCCCAAAGTGCTGGGATTACAGGCATGAGCCACCGCGCTCAGCCATGCAAAATCACTTTTTAAACTGTTAATATTTCATATAAGAAAGGCTTGGCTTATCTTACTGAATCTGGTTGCAAATTGTCTTAATAATCCCAGTTCTGAATAGCAACCTGCAGGGGATGGTGGCTCAGGCCTGTAATCCCAGCACTTTAGAAGGCTGATGCAGGAAGATCACTTGAGCCCAAGAGTTTGAGACCAGCCCTGGCAACATAGCGAGATTCCATCTCTACAAAAAACAACTAGCCAGGTGTGGTGGCACATGCCTGTAGTCTTAGCTGCTTGGAAGGCTGAGGCAGGAGGATCGCTTGAGCCTTGAGCCATGATCCCGCCACTGCACTCCAGCTCTGGTGACAGAGCGAGACCCTGACTCTAATGAAAAATAATAAAATGAATAACTTATGTAAGAGTTCTGCATTATTCCCCTTAATCCCTGAGTAAATCTGGCTGAAATACAGAGTTTGTGACCCTTGGGAAGTCAAAACTCTCTGTGAAGGACCCTTCAAAATACTTTTTTGCCTTTGCTCTAAAATGTTAGCTCCTAGTAGACAGGAGAGAATCATTTATTCATGTATTTAATTGGCCAGGTGTGCAAAGCACTGTATTAGTGATGGCCCTATATAGACCTTTATTATGCAGTGGTTCCCACATGTGAAAAGAGTGAATGTACCATAATCATTTAGGGAGTATTTTAATAATAAACTCTCAAAAGTTTTGCTAAACTGCAATTTTATATTGGCTGGGCACAACACAAAACAGCCCAAAGTAGATATAATTATATAAAGTTGATTTCAGCCCAGCCCAGCCCAACTTTCCACAGTCAACTTGAAATTTTCTCACTGTTACTAACTGGTGTCTTTCAAACCCATGTCCAAGGTTACGGGTGGGAGTGGTAGAGAATTGTCACTAGCTCTGCCGCCTATTGAATTGCTTCTGTGTCTAGGATTTAGCAGTTCCTGTCCCAGACTGGGGCCTGACTCAGCTTTCTGCCAGGACTCTTCTCGTCTGTGGCTGTGCTTTCTAGTCTTCTGGGCCATAATCAAGGCCAGTACATCCAAGACGCCAGCTGTGAACAGACTAGGATTTGATAGGGCCCCTCACTGTCTGATGCCTCTTTCTGGTGGCCTTGCCAGGTTTAGAACAGGCAGCCTGCTAGGCTGCCTTCCTGGTAGTAGAGGCTTTCCAGGTAGTCAGGCTGCTTTCTACATGCATGATGTTGGGCTCAGTTAATATTTGTAAAACAAATGTCCTCTGGAAAGGGCTCTGCCTTTCTGAGTTACTGCCTCTCTTCTACCTCCTTTAATGACCTGCTCATTTTAGCATCTCATTGAAATGCACACATCTTGTGGTTTCCTATGCTCTAAAATCAGTGCCAGACTAAGAGCTCTTCAAACAGGAGCCTTTCCCCCCTCCCCGTCCTTTTTTTTTTTTTTTGAGACAGAGTATCACTCTGTCGCCCAGGCTGGAGTGCAGTGGTACGATCTCCATTCACTGAAACCTCTGCCTCCTGGGTTCAAGAAGTTCTCCTGTTTCAGCCTCCCAAGTAGCTGGGACTACAGGTGCACACCACCACGCCCAGCTAATTTTTGTATTTTTAATAGAGTCGGGGTTTCACCATATTGGTCAGGCTGGTCTCGAACTCCTGATCTCAGGTGATCCACCCGCCTTGGCCTCCCAAAGTGCTTGGATTACATGCATGAGCCACCGCGCCTGGCCCTTTCCTTATTTTTTGAATGCCCGTTGCTTAACACACTATATGACTCATAATAGACATTCAAAGAAATGTCAAATGAATGAAAAAATCAGCTAAACAATCTTTGCTTAAGTGAATTTCTGATGATTTTCAGGCTATATAGAAGAGAGTATAGGGGAGGTGAAGGCATGCTGGAACACCACTAGGTCTAGTCCCTTATGTAAAACTGTCCTGGGAAAAGAAGGGGAAGATTTGTGCCCCATTTGCCCCAGTATTCTTAGCCCCAATACACACACAGCCTCTTATGTTTTCTTCAGCAGTGTTTTTCAAATGTTAGCATGCATTGGGATCATCTGGAGGGCTTGATAAATCAGATTGCTGTGCAACATCCTAGAATTTCTGGTGCAGTAGGTTTGGCGTGGGGCCAGACAATTTGCATTTTTAGTAAGTTCCTAGGTCTGTTGATGCTGCTGGCCCAGGGTCCACACTTTCCAGGGTTCACACTTGGAGAATTACTGTATTTTCTTTCTTTTCTTTTCTTTTTTTTTTTTTTTGAGATGGAGTCTCACTCTGTTGCCCAGGCTGGAGTGCAATGGTACGATCTTGGTTCACTGAAACCTCTGCCTCCCAGGTTCAAGCGATTCTCCTGCCTCCGCCTCCCAAACAGCTGGGATTACAGGCGCCTGCCACCATGCTCAGCTAATTTTTGTTTTTAGTAGAGACAGGGTTTCACCTTGTTGGCCAGGCTGGTCTCGAACTCCTGACCTCAGGTGATCCACCCACCTCAGCCTCCCAGAGTGCTGGGATTATAGGCATGAGCTACCGTGGCTGGCCTGTATTTTCAATAGTAGTAGCTACACTATTAGTTGAGTACTGACCAGCTTATTCTTTACCATGCACTGTGGTAAATTCTTTATATATGTTATTTCATTTCCATTCAACAACCCCATGAAGGAGAAATTGTCATCTCAATTTTACAGATGAGGAATCTGAGGAATAGAGTTGTTAAAAAACTTGCCTAGTATCTTATGTACAGGGTTGAAATTTGAAGTAAATTCTGTCTGATTCATAGTAAGTGTACAACAAATACGTAATTGTTGAAAACGAATGCATAAAGTATCTAGGCAAACCTAAAACTTGTGAACCAAGTAGGTACCTGTTCACATATACAGACTGAGCGTGCAGAAATCCTGTATTAGACTGATGGGTATTTACTTCACTCCAACTCAAGACTTCTGAATTAGCAAGGCAACTTTATGTATGAGACTATATTGCCATTGTTTCTCAAATTGTGGCTCCTGAACCAGCAGCATGAACATCACCTGAAAACTTGTCTAAGACTACCAGATTTAGGGATTTAGGGATGCCAGATTAAATTTGAATTTCAGATAAACGATGAATAATGAAATCTTTGAGACATACATATACTAAAAATTATTCATCGTTTATCTGAAATTCAAGAATCTGATATATGGGAATTCTATATTTTATTTGGCAAGACTATTAGAAATTGAAATTCTCCAGCCCTAGCCCAGACTTAATGAATTAGAAACTCAAGTGAGTCCCAGCCATCAGTGTTTCAATAGGCCCTACAAGTGATTCTGATGCACCCTCAAGTTTGAAAACCAATGACCTAGGCAATGCCTTGTTCACCTAAAGCAGTGGTTAGCCGAACCTGGCCAGCTGTCTGTTTTTGTCAATAATTTTTGTTTTGAAACACAGTTACACCCACACCCATTCTTTTGCTTATGCTTTTATTTACTTACTTATTAAGTTACCTGCCCTCTTGAAGCTTATATGGTCTAGCTGTGGACAGTTGTGTTAATTATATCTTCAGGTGTAAGTAACAATAAAACAAACTAAAATTGGCTTAAGTAATAAAGGAATACAAGATCTTGCATAGCCAGAAGTACAAAGGCTGCAGGGATGCTTGGCTCAGCAGTTCTTGTGTTACAAGGGCATGACAGGACAAAGACCTTATGGCCCTAGAATGTTTGCTATCTGACCTTTTACAGATAATGTTTGCTTAACCCTGACCTAAGAGAGCATCCTCTGATCATAGAAGCATATTCTCAGCCCTCTCTAACAGGTGCTGGAAGCTGGGATAGGACAGACACTGAGTTTCCGAAAATTGAAAAGTCCCTTCTGAGCTTTCTTGCATTGCTGTGTTCCTTGGCTCCAAGAGGGGTTCGGGGGAAGATGAAGGGCAATGCAGCAAAGGAGGGGCTGAGGAGCAAAAAAAAAAAAAACAAAAAAAAAACAAAAAAAACCAAAAACTTCCCAGAGCCCAGAATACCTGGTTATGGGCACCCCCTGCTGGAGAGTTGGCAAAATTCTGTGACATTGGTCAATTTAGTCACCAAATGTGTAGAGGTTGACTGTATGCCAGATTGTGGAAAGCAAAGGTAAAGTTCTCTTGAAGAACTGACTCACAGTCAAGAGTAGTCAGGCTCCCTAATTAGATCTTTATGCTGTCTAGTCAAGTGTCAGTTGCAGTCGTACTTAACAAATGATGATTGATATAATATGCTTATAGTCACTCAGTAAATAACTATTACATGTTTGCTAGGGGATAGGTGCTGGACTACACACTGGAGACAGAGTAGTAAACAAAATAGACACATTCCTTGCCCTCTTGGAGCTTATATTCTAGTGGATGTTGTGTTAATTATAACATCAGTTGTAAGTAACAACAAAGCTAACTAAAACTGGCTTAAGCAATAAGGAATATATTATCTCACATAACTGTAAGTACAAAGGTAGGATAGGCTTTAGGGCTAGTTGATTCAACAGCACAAGACATCAATAAAGACAAGTTATTTTCATCTCATTCTCTGCCTTTCTGATTGTACTGGCATTTTCCTCAGGTTGTTCCTTTATTATTATTATTTTTTCTTTTTTTTGAGATGTCTCACTCTGTCTCCCAGGCTGGAGTACAGTGATGTGATTTCAGCTCACTGCAACCTCTGTCTCCTGGCCCCAGGTCAGGGCCTCCGCCTCCTGGGCCCAGGCCCTCCCACCTCAGCCTTCTGAGTAGCTGAGACTACAGGCATGTGCCAACCACCCAGGTAATTTTTGGTTTTTTTTTTTTTTTTTTTTGCCATGTTGCCTAGGCTGGTCTTGAACTCCTGGGCTCCAGTGATTGAGCCTCGGCCTCCCAAAGTGCTGGGATTACAGGCGTGAGCCACCTCACAGGCCTCAGGTTGTTCCTTTTGAAGTTTCAAAATGGTTGCTACAACTCCAAGTATCACCTTCAGATATGTCAAAGTACAGAGACAGAAAGTGATCATCTCTTTGTATGGCTTTTTCTATTTTGTTTTAAGAGACAGGGTCTCACTTGCTGCCCAGGCTGGAGTGCAGTGGCACAGTCATAACTCACTGCAGCGGCACAGTCATAACTCACTGCAGCGGCACAGTCATAACTCACTGCAGCGGCACAGTCATAACTCACTGTAGCCTTGAACTCCTAGGATCAAGAGATCCTCTAACTTCAGCCTCCCAAATTTCTAGGATTACAGGCGTGAGCCACTATGCCTGGCTGTGTAACTTTTTTTTTTTTTTTTTTTTTTTTTGAGACAGGGTCTCACTCAGTCACTCAGGCTGCAGTGCAGTGGCACAATCACAGCTCACTGCAGCCTCAACCTCCTGGGCTCAAGCGATCTTCCTGCCTTAGCTTCCTGAGTAGCTGAGACTACAGGCCTGTGCCACAACACTTGACTAATTTTTTACTGTGGCCTTCTTACAATGAAGACACTTTTCTCAGAAGCTCCCAGAACACTTCCTTTCAGGTTATGGGGCTGATCCTAAACCAATCACCGCAAAGAGAAGAGTAAATTGTTGATTAAAATAGGGGCTTCCCCTGGGGCTTCTGAGTCACAGAGAGGAGAGATGGATGCCAGGACAAAATTGGGGTTCTGTTAACAAGGAAGAAGGGAAGAAGTGGATGTTAAATAGACATCTACCAGCATTTGCTATAGGAAAGGGAAACTAATACATAAAAATTATTTTCATGGGCCGAGCCCAGTGGCTAACACCTGTAATCCCAGCACTTTGGGCAAAGCCAAGGCGGGTGGATCACCTGAGGTCAAGAGTTCGAGACCAGCCTGGCCAACATGGTGAAATCCTGTCTCTACTAAAAATACAAAAAATTAGCTGGGCATGGTGGTAGGCACCTGTAATCCCAGCTACTCAGGAGGCTGAGGCAGGAGAATCACTTGAACCCGGGAGGCAGAGGTTGCTGTGAGCTGAGATTGCGCCATTGCACTCTAGCGTGGGCAACAAGAGTGAAACTGTCTCAAAAAAAAAAAATTTTTTTTCATATGATGAAGGAATTACAAAGAAGTTAGCTTTTGCTGCTGAACAAAACACCTCCAACCTCTATGGCTTAGGACAGCAATTTATTTAACTCATGATTCTATTTGGGCTGAGCTCAGCTGGGTGGTTCTTTTGGACTTGACTGGACTTACTCATGACTGTGGTCAGCTGCAAGTCAGCTAGGTAGCTTTGCTCATGGGATCTGGCTGTTAGCTGAGGAAATGAGTCCAGGTGTCTTTACTTATCCAGCAGGCTCTCCTTGGCTTATTCCTGTAGTAAATCAGCAAACTTACAAGGACTAGAGCAGATGCTTGCAAGTAGTTTTGAAACCTAAGCTTGGAACTGGAACATTATCAGTTCTGCTGCATTCTTTAGGTCAAATCAAGTAAGAAGGCCAAGAGGGTGAAGAAATAGATTCCATCTCTTGAGAGGAGGAGCTTCAAAGTCACATTGCAAGGGCATGGACCCAGGTAGGGAAAGAACTTGTGACACTTTTGCAATTTATCACAGGTGGTAAGAGTAACAGGGAAAGCTACCTAGATCTGCCTTCAAGAGAGAACTATCCTTTGTAAAGTTTCAAATCAACAATATGTCTACTCTGAGCTGAAATTCTTATACTAGTATAACTGTTACTGATGGTTTCATTACACTGTTCTAGGTAGCAAAAGTTCAGGGGTTGTGATGCTGTGATTTAAAACAATAATATTAGGGTTTTCTGAGCTTCTTCCTGAGGGGCAAGGAGATCTGTGGTCTCATTTTTGGCATTTCCACACAACATGGCCCCCCAAATCCCATGATTTCTATTTCTGCTTCAAAAGAAAAAACCAAGAGCACCTTCTGCCTTGAGGCTGGAAGAGACATCAGTCTGTCTGGGCTTGCTGAAGAAGGGAGAAAAAGAACAGCAAGAAGCAACTGAACATATTGATGAAGTACAAAATGAAGTAGACTTAATAAGCCAATGAGGAGACTTTGAAAACAGAACAGAAATATAACAAACTCGGCCAACTGTTTTTTCAGATGAGGTCTGAATTGATAGCCAAAATCCCAAACTTTGGGGTAACAGCATTTGTCAACCATCCACAAATGTCTGCACTGCTTGGGGAGGAGGATGAAGAGGCACTGCCGTATTTAACCAGTGTTGAAGTGACAGAATTTGAAGATATTAAACCAGGTTACAGAATGTTTTTATTTTGACAAAAATCCTGACTTCAAAAATAAAGTTCTCTCCAAAAAATTTCATCTGAATGAGAGTGGTGCTCCATCTTCAAACTCACTAAAATCAAATGGAAATCTGGAAAGGATTTGATGAAAAATGCAAGTCAAATGCAGAATAATGCCAGCAGGAAGAGGCAGCATGGGGAACCAGAGAGCTTCTTCACCTGGCTTACTGGCCATTCTGATGCAGGTGCAGATGAATGAGGAAAGGTCATCAAAGATGGTATTTGGCCAAATCAATTACAGTATTACTTGGTTCCCAATAATGGATGATGAGGAAGGAGAAGGAGAAAAAGAAGATGAAGACAGGGATGAGGATGAAGGTGAAGATAAAGGTGATGAAGGGGAGGAAGGAGAGGAAGATGAAGGAGAAGATGACTAACAGAACACCAATGGATTCCAACCTTCCTTTTAAAACATTTTATCCAATCCCTGGGAGCAACTTGCAGTCTTTGTGTTTTTGCTGTTGTGCTCAATCACCCCGTTGTTGAGGTCTTTTCTCCATACCATGGTCCCTAACTCATTTTCGGGAGAAATATATTGAGCAAAGGTGGGCATTTTGACAACATGATTTCTCCTTTCATATGGATGGAATCATATATGTGGTCTTTTGTGGCTTCTTTCACCTAGCACAATATTTTCAAGGTGTATCCATATTGTAGCATGTATCAGTACTCTAATTTTTTATGCTGAATAATATTCCATTGTATGGATATACCACATTTTATTTATTCATTCATCTGTTGGTAGAGATTGGGTTTTCACCTTTTAGCTATTATGAATAATGATGCTGTAAACCTTCATGTACAAGTTTTGGTGAGGACATGTTTTCATTTCTCTTTATCTTAGGAGTAGGTTCACAGGGTCACATGGTAGCTGTTTTCCACAGCGGCTGCACCATTTTATATTCCCATCAGCAGTGGATGAGCGTTCCAGTTCCACATCCTTACTTCCTAGTGGGTATAAAGTGTTCTATTGCGGTTTTGATTTTCATTTCCCTAATGATATCCAGCATCTTCTCATATGTTTATAGGCCACTTATGTATCTAACTTGGAGAAATGTCTACTCAGATTAGTAGAGGACTGAATAGACCCTCCCCGCTCCCCTAAATTCATGACTATTTGGTACCTGTGAATGTTGCCTTTTTGGAAACACAATCTTTGCAGATGTAACCAATTTAAGTTGAACCCATACTGGAGTAGGGTGGTCTCTAAATATAATGACTGGGGTTCATACAAGAAACACAGAGACACAGTGAGGAATGCCATGTGAAACAAGCCAATGAGGCAGAATTTGAAATTTATCTATAGGTTAAGGAATGCCAAGGACTGCTGCCAACGCCCAGAAGCTAGGAGAAAATCATGGAATAGATTCTCCTCTGGAGCCTTCAGAGGGCACATGGCCCTCCCAACACCTACTTTGACTTCAAACTTCTAGCCTCCAGAACTATAAGAAAATAAATTTCTGTGGTTTTAAGCGTCCCAGTTTACAGTGATTTGTTACAGCAGCTCTAGGAAATTAATAAAAACCCATGGCCCATTTTTACATAGGGCTGTCTTATTTTTTTTTAAAGATGGGGGTCTCACTATATTACTCAGGCTGGCCTTGAACTTGCAGGCACAGGTGATCCTCCTGCCTCAGCCTCCTGAGTAGCTGGTACTATAGACATGTGCCACTGTTCTCATGTTCTTAGCTTAGTGTTATCTTCTTTTTTTTTTTTTTTTTTTTTTTTTTGAGACAGAGTCTCGCTTTGTCGCCCAGGCTGGAGTGCAGTGGCGTGATCTCGGCTCACTGCAAGCTCCGCCTCCCAAGCTCAAGTGATTCTCCTGCCTCAGCCTCCCAAGTAGCTGGGATTACAGGCATGCACCACCACACCCGGCTAATTTTGTATTTTTAGTAGAGACGGGGTTTCTCCATGTTGGCCTGGCTGGTCTTGAACTCCTGACCTCGTGATCCACCTGCCTCGGCCTCCCAAAGTGCTGGGATTACAGGCGTGAGCCACCGTGCCCAGCAGTGTTATCTTCTTATTGAGCTGTTAAGTCCTTTAAATATTCTGGATACAAGTCCCTTATCAGATATATGATTTGTAAATATTTTCTCCAATTCTATGGGTTTTTTCATGGATCTTTTGAAGCACATTTTAAATTTTGATGAAGTAGAGATTATAAACTGTGCTTCTCTTGCTCATGGTTTTGGTGTCATATTTAAGAATCCTTTTCTAAATCTAAGGTCATGAAGATTTAACCCTGTTTTCTTCAAGAATTTTATAGTTTTGACTTGTATATCTAGATCTTTGATTCATTTTGGGTTTTTATATATATTATGAGGTAAGGATCCAAGTTTATTTTTTTGCATGTGGCCATCTAGTTGTCCCAGCATCATTTATTGAAAAGACTATTCTTTCCCCCCATTGAATGGTATTGGTGCTCTTGTTGAAAATAAGTTGACCATAGACATATGGTTTTATTTCTGGACTCTTGAATCTAATCATCTATATGTCTACCCTTATGCCAATACCATAGTGTGTTATCTTGAACTCCTGGCCTTAAGTGATCCGCCAGCCTCGGCCTCCCAAAGTGCTAGGATTACAGGCATGAGCCACCCTGCCCCGCCTTTTAAATACTATACTGTCTTGATGACTGTTTCTTTGTAGCAAGTTTTGAAATCAGGAAGTATGGATATTCTTAGTTTGTTCTTTTCAAGATTGTTTTGGCTATTCTGGATCCTTTGCTTAAGAGTTTTAGAATCAGGTTGTCACTTACTACAAAGAAGTCAGCTAGGAGTCTGATGGTAATTGCATTGAATCTGTAGATCAATTTGGGGAGTACAGCCTTCTAAACAATATTAAATCTTCTGACCCATGAATATGGGACGTTTTCCCATTTATTTAGATGTCCTTTAATTTCTGTGTTACTCCATTTGCATTGCTATAAAGAAGTACCTGAGGCTGGGTAATTTATAAAGAAAAGAGGTTTATTTTGACTCAGTTCTGCAGGCTGTACCAGCATGGCAGCAATATATGTCCAGCTTCTGGTAAGGGCCTCAGGAAGCTTACAATCATGACGGAAGCGGAAGGGGGAGCAGGCATATCACATGGCGAGAGGGAGCAAGGGAGATGCCAGGCTCTTTATTTTTTATTTTTTTAAACAATCAGCTCTTGAATGAAATAATACAGTGAGAACTCATTACTGCAAGGATAGCACCAAGCCATTCACGAGGGATCTGCCCCCATGCTCCAAACACCTCCCACTAGGCCAACCTCCAACAATTAAGTTCACATTTCAGCATGAGATTTGGAGGAGACAAATGTCCAAGCCAGATCAATTTCTTACAACAATTTTTTGTAGTTTTCAGAGTATATACTTTATACTTCTTTTGTTAAATGAGAATTTTAAATGAAATTATCTTCTTAATTTCATTTTTGGATTGTTCACTGCAAGTGTATAGCAACACAATTTATTTTTGTATATTGACCTTGTATCCTTCAATCTTGCTGAAATTGTTTATTAGTTCTAATAGGTTTTTAGTGGATCCCTTAGGATTTTCTATATACAAGATCATGTTGGCCAGGCGTGTTGGCTGACACCTGTAACCCTAGCACTTTGGGAGGATGAGTTGGGTGGATCACCTGAGGTCAGGAGTTCGAGACCAGCCTTGCCAACATGGTGAAACCCCATCTCTACCAAAAAATACAAAAATTAGCCAGGCATGGTGGTGCATGCCTGTAGTTCCAGCTACTTGGGAGGCTAAGGCAGGAGAATCGCTTGACCCTGGGAGGTGGAGATTGCAGTGAGCTGAGATCGCCACTGCACTCCAGACTGGGCAACAGAGTGAGACTCTGTCTCAGTCTCAAAAAAAATAAAAAATAAAAAGATCATGTCATCTGTGACTAGAGATTGTTTTACTTTTTCATTTCCAGTTTTATTTATCTTGCCTAATTGCCTTGGCTGGAACTTCCAGTGCAATGTTGAGTACAAGCAGCTATAAAAGACACCTTTGTCTTGTTCCTGATCTTTCACCATTAAGTATGAGGTTAGCTGCGGAGTTTTTGTAGATGTTCTTCATCAGGTTGAGGAAGTTCTCTTCTATTCCTAGTTTGTTGACTGTTTTTATCATGAAAAGAGTGTTGGATTTTTCCATCAATTCTTAAAACGTGACCCTTTTCCCCTATGGATGAGGGATGTAAAAAAGAGCTATCTCTGCATGGATGATATAGTACAAAGCACTCTCACGTGGATGCTTCAGAAAAAGCCACCCCTCTTTGGGTGGACATAGTCTGGGATATGTTTGACTTGGTGACCAAGGACTCCTCTCTCATTTGGGTGTCCTTATTTAGGACCGAATCTGTACATGGTGGCCTTAATTTACAACCACTTTTTTTCAGTATATGGTTTCCTAGTACCCAGGGTGCCTCTGATTTAATTTTTTTCCACAGAGATTTCATACCAGTGGCCTTTTGCAAGGTGTGGATGAGGAACAGATATAAACATCTTAACACTGATTTTAAGCAATCTACCTGTCTTACCCTTGCATTCTGTGGCCCCTGATATCTCCAGTTCCTGAGCTTCTCTGATATTTATCTTTCTCTGTAGTACCTGAGTTTGATCTTCCACGCCTCTGCTAAGTCATTTGCCTTTCTTTTATCTACTTTCCATTGATATCTGTTGTGACTTGGGGTTACAGATATCTCCCAGTTCAGGGAAGACAGAGTTTGTGTGTCTATTTGTTGTTCTCCTTGTTTTGTAAAGAAAAATTTTTCAGAGAAGAGAAAAAATATTTTTTTGCTCTCTTCAAGTCAGAATTCAACCTAGAATTGGAAGAAACATAATGGCCAAAATGATAAAATAAATGATCTCATCATTAGGTTAATTAATGAAGAGCTAACACCAGGATTCAGAATCCCTGATACCCTGGCCACAATTAAACTATAACTGGTTCTTACTCCATAGAATCATATAGTTTGAGATGGGGGGGAGTACCTCTGAGGTTTTCAGCCAATTTCCCCAATTTTCCGTAAGTCTCCTCAACAATGTAAGTGGATTTCAGCATTGGTTACAATATCAATGTGAATAGGAGCATTCACTCTATTCCATGACTATCTATTCTTATTTCAGAGAGCTCTGATTATTGGAAAGATTTTTTTCCCTGAAACATTTTTTCACTTCCTCACACTGTATCTAGTTCTGCCCGCAGAAGTTACAAAGAACTACTGTATGTACAAATAATATAGTTTGGTAGCTGGAATACTGGCTACTCTAGAGATATGATACTGTACTCACTGCCTCTAACTCTTTGTACAATCTATAACTAAGACAGTTGACCAGCAAAATGGAGAAAAAGCTCATATCTCACATAACAGAGATTGAGACAATTAATAAACATCATCTGTAATTTATAAAAAAAATTCTAAGCTAGCTAGTTCTCAATCCACTAAATATAAGATTGCTGGGTAGGAGAAGAAATGACTATCAGGTGGGTCATAGAAAGGTTAGTGAAGAAAAGTGAGAGGATGTGTAAGAAATAACCAAGTGAATATTACAGGGAGATAAAACAAGTTGCATAAGCACATACAAATTTAAAAGTAGGAGTTGCTCAGAGAATTCAAAAGTATGGCTAGTGCACAAGGTGGGTATGAAGAAGACATGGAAAATTAGTTAGGAAAGGCAATAATGCTAAATATTAACATTTATTGAGTAAGCTACATTCTGGCCACTATTGAGTACTTTACGTGTAAGAACCCTCAAAACAACTTTATGAGGTAGATACTACTATTACTTCATTTTAAAGATGGGGAAAAGGAGGTATGGGAGTGTTAGGTTAACTTGCCTGAGATTATGTAACTAATAAATGGCAGAGATGGGCTCTGAACCCAGGTAGTGTGGGTGCCTTAATTTATGAAGTGGTCTTCATATGAATGGCCTTTTTATTCTGAAGGTTCTAGGACTTTTTAGATAGTAAGTTGGAAACATTGGTAGATCCTTTCCTACCTCTTCACCTTTGGCACAGCTATCTCAAAGGAGTATCGGTGATAAGATAGGTGATCAGTTTAGGGATCCACAGTGGAGGCCAGAGGACTGTTCCAAACACTGATCCCCCATATATAAACTGAGAACTGGGAAGACAGACCTGCTTTACGGCTGGTGGCCAAGCTCAGATATTTCAAATTGGACAGAGACCCTTTACTATCCTATTCAAGAAGAAAAGGAATTGGAGCTGTGAAAGGGAGAATAAGTATTGGTGGCAATCGGTACTTAATGCCAGTATTTTTTTTTTTTTTTTTGGCTATTGTTTTGTATTTCCTATGAAACTTTTCTGCAGATCCACATAGAAAAAAAATAGACATTTTTACAATAAAACTCCCACTAATTAAGCACAGCCAAGCACTGTTTTAAGTGTTTTATACATATTAGCTCATTTAATCCTCACAGCAACCCTAGGCAATAGGCTCATTATTTGTCTTTTGCAAAGGAGGGGCACTGAAGCACAAAGACATCTACAACTCGTCCACAATTGTACAGCAAATGAATGGGAGAACTAAGTGAAGCTGGAAAGAACTACTATAAATTGTAGACAAGTACAAAACAATTGGTTAAAGATTAATACTTCTGAGACACTGTGTAGCAGAAAGAAACCCGGATTTGGATTAGGACTTGAATTCAGCCTCCAACATTTACTGCTGTGTAAAGATTTGAGGCTGATCACTCCTATAAAATTTGGATTATAATACTTACCTCATAGGGTTTTTGTAAAGATCTAGTGACGTGATTATTGTAAAAGTGCACCGTTAATCTCTCAGATGTCACAGAAACGTTAGAAGCATCTCTTCCCAGGATTGTACATGGAAATGAAGGATCCACAGATTTTGTGGCTATAAAACACCCGGACTACCGATCCCAGTGTGCAAAGCCTCCAGGCTTACCTTCCCGGAAACTGGCGCGGTGCCCTCTGGGACTTGTTCTGGGACTTGTAGTCTTGTACTGGCGCTGGCCCGCCTTTCTTCCTTAGTGGGGAAAACCGGGTGTAAGCCCCGGAAGTACTTGTTGCCTGAGCAGTGGGCTGCTTAGGAAGAGAAGGTCAGAGTTCGCGGGGGCAGAGGCATTCTTGCCGCTGGCCCAGTCACTATGTAGTGGAGGGGCAGACACCCTCCCGCAAATTCTGGAAGGTTCTTAGTCTCGACTAGGGCAGTAGCCCCAGGACTCCTAGTCGCCGGCTTCAGGTCACTGCCGGCTGAACGGAGCTGCCGTCGCCATGTTTGGCTGCTTGGTGGCGGGGAGGCTGGTGAGGATGGGACCGGGTGATATCAGGAAGGGGTCAGGATACCGAGGGCGAAGCCCTACGGCAGGGAGGGTGCGCAGGCGCTAGGGATGCGGGGAAGCCCACTTATTATATTTTGGGTGGGTATGTGAGGATGGAGCGTGGGAAGCTGGGTGCTCTCCTTTGCCCAGCTCTATTCAGATTCTTTCGAATAGTAGTCACAGTATAAGTTGGCATTTATTAAGTGTGCATTTTGTACCAAGTACTGGGCTAAGTGCAATGCACGCCTTTGGTCACTCAGCCTTATGTGTGGCGCTTATTTGGCACTTTGAACTTAATCCTCATAACTCGTGAGATGGTCTTTATCTTTGACATTTTGCAGTTACAGAACTAAGTTCAATCGCCAGTATAAATACCTTCTTTATTAACTTGAGGTAGAGGTGAATTTGGGATTGAATTTGGTCTATAGCAAACTGTTTTTCAAAGATTAAGGTGCTCAGGGAATGTATATCTTTTGGGTCCCTTTGGAAGAACCCGAGTAAAAATAAGCTTAATTTAATTGGAAGTTGGCTGAAACTTAACGTGTGAGCCGTATCTGAGATAACCAGAGAAGGATGCGAGTAGTGTGTTTCCTTATGGGTCAAAATAGATAACTTACCTTGCCAAATTGTTAGAGTAAATGAGAACAGCACCTGGAATTCTTTAGGAATAATCTGGAAGGTGAATCTTGTTTGTTTCCTTAGAAACCACACAGACATCAATTTTCAGGCCTGATTCCTTTCCCCTAGAAGTATTTTTCCTTCTTTTTTCTCCTGGCTTTTTAAAATGTTGCAGTCCCTTTGCTGAATTGTCTTTTTTTCCCATCAAGTTTTGATAATGTATTGTATTCTGTACATATACAGTTCTAAGAAGCCAGAAAGATAAGTTGGAGATGACTAGCCTCATAAAGTTTGTCTCTTGAATGACTGGGAGACCCCTGTGGTGATGGTGGTAATTCATAATCCTGGTGAGATAATTTTGCCCTGCTCTTAATAGGGAAAAAGGACAAACCTGGAATGATTGTGTGACTCAGACGAGTGAGTGTTATTAATGAATGACATTAAAATTGTGTTTCTTAAAGAATAAAAAGCCTATTTGGAATCCATGTATCTCTCACGTTGTCAACTAATTTGGAAGGAAATTTAGTTATGGTAATACCTGCCTCTATATATTGGGGATACTTGGTCCTTTAATTATGGAGTATTAGGACACATCAAAGTGAAGGACAAATAGACCTAGTGGCATCTCAAAACTTAACTACACGACTCTGTTATAAGAAAAATCTACTTATCTAAACTTATGAACCCAGTTTTTATTTCTTAAGATTTTTTTTCTTAAAGAGATACACCTTTTCTTAATGTCAAAAATTAGAGTGTGATGATACAGATTTGCAGACTGTTCAGTACCTATACAAAGTTGACACTTAAGAAATATTTATTTTGCCTGGTGGTTATTTCAAGACTCATAAATAATAATTTCCCATGCTTTTTAGGTTATATGCATGCCAAAGACTGGTGAAATTGAATTTAATACTAATACAGGCCATTTGGTTTGTGTTATTCCTTTGTTTTATTCTTTATACTAAAGCTGGAGGATTTTAAAGTGGGTCAGAATACTTCTGAAGAGGGAATCAGAATTTGACTTTAGGAACACTGCCTTTGTATCTTGAGACTTAATTTAGGGCAGCCAGTTGATACTACTTTATAACTAATAGATAGTTGAAATTACATAGCAGTATATTTTTCCTAAGTTTATTTGTATCGGTAGATAGGATATTATAGAGGGAAAACTTACCTAACACACATATTTTCTCTGTAAGGCATGTCATAGCCTTCTTGCACTTAGGAAGACTAGCCAGCACTTGAACTTGGTCATTTTAAACAGCACGATCACCAACAAAAATCACAAAAATGCTTTAAATAGATGAGACTGTGAAAAGGACACTTTTTCATATTACGAGGACTGAAACAAGATGGCATGTTCTACCTCAGCTGCCAGTGTGTGAGTTGCACAACTCACTTTTTTTTTTTTTTTTTTTTTTGAGACGGAGTCTTACTCTGTCAGCCAGGCTGGAGTGCAATGGTGTGATCTCTGCTCATCGCAACCTCCGCCTCCAGGTTCAAGCAATTCTCATGCCTCAGCCTCCTGAGTAGCTGAGACTACAGGCATGTGCCCCCATGCCCAGCTAATTTTTATATTTTTAGTAGATACTACGTTTCGCCATGTTGGCCAGGCTGATCTGGAACTCCTGACCTCAGGTGATCAACCCGCCTTGGCCTCCCAAAGTGCTGGGATTACAGGCATGAGCCACTGTGCCAGGCCTACAACTCACATTTTTTACTACTGTTCATATGAGTATGTCCATGAATGACTGCAGAAATGCAGCAAGCATTGATTTGGGATTACAAGTGAGTTTTAGTGAGTAGGTGAATTCAGATACAGGATTTGTGAATAAGGAGGATTGCCTAATTACTTCTGGATTGCTTACCTGTTTTAATTACCTGAGATTCTTTTATTTATTTTTGAGACAGGGTCATGCTCTGTCATCCAGGCTGTAGTGCAGTGGCGGGACCTCGGCTTGCTGCAGCCTTGACATCCTGGGTTCAAGTGATTATCTGGTCTTAGCCTCCCGAGTAGCTGGGACCAAAGGCGCATGCCACCACCCCTGGCTAATTTTTGTAGTTTTTGTAGAGATCGGATTTTGCCATGTTGCCCTGGCTGGTCTTGAACTCCTGAGCTCAAGCCAGCTGACTGCCTCGACCTCCCAAAGTGCTGGGATTACAGGCATGAGCCACTGTGCCTGGCCCCTTTATCTTTAAGCTGGAGGGTGAGAGCTTAGGTGATGTGTTTTGAATAACCTTTCATTTTTACAACATTCTGAAGCTATAGTTATTTTTATTTATTTATTTTTTTGAGACGGAGTTTAGCTCTTGCACCCAGGCTGGTGCAATGGCGCGATCTCAGCTCACCGCAACCTCTACCTCCTGGGTTCAAGTGATTCTCCTACCTTAGCCTCCCGAGTACCTGGGATTACAGGCACGTGCCACCACGCTTGGCTAATTTCGTATTTTTAGTAGAAATGGGGTTTCTCCATGTTGGCCAGGCTGGTTTCGAACTCCTGACGTCGTGTGATCCTGGCCTCCCAGAGTGCCAGGATTACAGCCGTGAGCCACCGTGCCTGGCCTAGTTATTTTTTATGTAAGTAAAATCCTTTCAGGGCACCTCTGAAATAATTTATTTTTATTTTTATTTTATTTTTAGTTTTTGAGACAGTTTTGCTCTTGTTGCCCAGGCTGGAGTGCAATGGTATGGTCTCAGCTCACTGCAACATCCACCACCTGGGTTCAAGCGATTCTCCTGCCTCAGCCTCCCGAGTAGCTGGGAATACTTATGCATGAGCCACCATACCTGGCTAGTTTTTGTATTTTTAGGAGAGATGGGGTTTTGCCATGTTGGCCAAGCTGGTCTTGAACTCCTGATCTCAGGTGATCTGCCCGCCTTGGCCTCCCACAAAGTGTTGGGATTACAGGTGTGAGCCGCTGTGATCTGCCCGAGTTATATTTTTAGAAGATTGCATTTAGTAGATTATGATTGTAAAACTAAGTATGTATTTAAGACTATCAGATTTAACATTCTATTTGGTAGAAAGACTATAATGGATTATGCTGGTAATATAACTTATAAATGATACTGTTAAGAGTTACAGAAACTCATAGAACCATTGAACTGAGACAAGTTTCTTATTTTCTAGGTGCAAACAGCTGCACAGCAAGTGGCAGAGGATAAATTTGTTTTTGACTTACCTGATTATGAAAGTATCAACCATGTTGTGGTTTTTATGCTGGGAACAATCCCATTTCCTGAGGGAATGGGAGGATCTGTCTACTTTTCTTATCCTGATTCAAATGGAATGCCAGTATGGCAACTCCTAGGATTTGTCACGAATGGGAAGCCAAGTGCCATCTTCAAAATTTCAGGTCTTAAATCTGGTAAGAATAATATATTAAAGTAGTTTTATAATTAATCAAACTTTTTTCTTAAATAGCATAACATGGAATATGACTTTTCCCCCTTTAGATTGTGTTTTTCTGGTTGTTAAAGTAATACAAAACATTGTTTTTTAAAAAAGACAATACAGAAACATTTGAAAAATAGTGAAAGACTTCCTGGGCTCCTCTTGTTGTTCATTTTGTGTAGTATAACCTTCATAAAAATATTTTTTTTGGCCGGGCGCGGCGGCTCATTCCTGTATCCCAGCACTTTGGGAGGCCCTGGCGGGCGGATCACGAGGTCAGGAGATCGAGACCATCCTGGATAACACGGTGAAACCCTGTCTCCACTAAAAAATAAAAAAAAATTAGCCGGGCGTGGTGGTGGGCGCCTGTAGTCCCAACTACTCGGGAGGCTGAGGCAGGAGAATGGTGTGAACCTGTGAGGTGGAGCTTGCAGTGAGCCAAGATCCCACCACTGCACTCCAGCCTGGGTGACAGAGCGAGACTCTGTCTCAAAGAAAAAAAAAATATATATATATATATAAATATATATATTATGTATCAAATATATATTATGTGTAATATACATCATGTATCAAATATGTGTAATATACATCATGTATCAAATATATATTATGTATAATATACATCATATATCAAATATATATTATGTGTAATATACATCATATATCAAATATATATTATGTGTAATATACATCATATATCAAATATATATTATGTGTAATATACATCATATATCAAATATATATTATGTGTAATATACATCATATATCAAATATATATTATGTGTAATATACATCATATATCAAACATATATTATGTGTAATATACATTATATATCAAATATATATTATGTGTAATATACATTATATATCAATATATTATGTGTAATATACATTATATATCAATATATTATGTGTAGTATACATTATATATCAAATATATATTATGTGTAGTATACATTATATATCAAATATATATTATGTGTAGTATACATTATATATCAAATATATATTATGTGTAGTATACATTATATATCAAATATATTATGTGTAGTATACATTATATATCAAATATATATTATGTGTAGTATACATTATATATAAAATATATATTATGTGTAGTATACATTATATATAAAATATATATTATGTGTAGTATACATTATATAAAATATATATTATGTGTAGTATACATTATATAAAATATATATTATGTGTAGTATACATTATATAAAATATATATTATGTGTAATATACATTATATAAAATATATATTATGTGTAATATACATTATATAAAATATATATTATGTGTAATATACATTATATAAATATATATTATGTGTAATATACATTATATAAAATATATATTATGTGTAATATACAATATATAAAATATATATTATGTGTAATATATAATATATAAAATATATATTATGTGTAATATATATTATATAAAATATATATGTGTAATATATATTATATATAAAATGTATATTATGTGTAATATACATATTATAAATATATAATTATATATAAATTACATATAATATATAATATGTATATTACGTAAAATATACTATATAAATATACTATATACTATATATACAGTATACTATGTATTACATGTAAAATATATATTGTATAAAATATATATTACATATAAAATATATATTACATATAAAATATATATTATATATAAAATATATATTACATATAAAATATATATTATATATAAAATATATATTACATATAAAATGTGTATTATATATAAAATATATATTACATATAATATATATTATATATAAAATATATATTACATATAAAATATATATTATATAAAATATATATTACATATAAAATGTGTATTATATATAAAAAATATATACACACACATACACGTGCTAAGTGAGAAGATAAACCAGATAGACTTGTATAAAGCAAATAGAATAGAAGTACTTATTTTCTTCCGTTAAGATTGTTGAACGAGATTTGATCACCCTGCCAATGTTCTTCTTTTGGTTCTGTTGACATTGCAGAGCCATAATTCTTTTTATTTATTTATTTATTTATCTATAATGCTTTAACTTCTAGGGTACATGTGCAGAACGTGCAGGTTCATTACATATGTATACATGTGCCATTTTGGTGTGCTGCACCCGTTAACTCGTCATTTACATTAGGTATATCTCCTAATGCTATCCCTCCC
This sequence comes from Homo sapiens, assembly GCF_000001405.40. Classification (NCBI taxonomy): domain Eukaryota; kingdom Metazoa; phylum Chordata; class Mammalia; order Primates; family Hominidae; genus Homo; species Homo sapiens. The sequence continues at coordinate 86,308,717 of NC_000011.10, forward strand.
CACTCCCCACACCCCACAACAGGCCCCGGTGTGTGATGTTCCCCTTCCTGTGTCCAAGTGTTCTCATTGTTCAATTCCCACCTATGAGTGAGAACATGCAGTGTTTGGTTTTCTGTCCTTGCGATAGTTTGCTCAGAATGATGGTTTCCAGCTTCATCCATGTCCCTACAAAGGACATGAACTCATCCTTTTTTACGGCTGCATAGTATTCCATGGTGTATATGTGCCATATTTTCTTAATCCAGTCTATCATTGATGGACATTTGGGTTAGTTCCAAGTCTTTGCTATTGTGAATAGTGCCACAGTAAACATACACGTGCATGTGTCTTTATAGCAGCATGATTTATAATCCTTTGGGTATATGTCCAGTAATGGGATGGCTGGGTCAAATGATATTTCTAGTTCTAGATCCTTGAGGAATCACCACACTGTCTTCCACAATGGTTGAACTAGTTTACAGTCCCACCAAGAGTGTAAAAGTGTTCTATTTCTCCACATCCTCTCCAGCACCTGTTGTTTCCTGGCTTTTTAATGATCACCATTCTAACTGGCGTGAGATGGTATCTCATTGTGGTTTTGATTTGCATTTCTCTGATGACCAGTGATAATGGGCATTTTTTCACGTGTCTGTTGGCTACATACATGTCTTCTTTTGAGAAGTGTGTGTTCATATCCGTTGTCCACTTTTTGATGGGGCTGTTTGATTTTTTTCTTGTAAATTTGTTTAAGTTCTTTGTAGATTCTGGATATTAGCCCTTTGTCAGATGGGTAGATTGCAAAAATTTTCTCCCATTCTGTGGGTTGCCTGTTCACTCTGATGGTAGTTTCTTTTGCTGTGCAGAAGTTCTTTAGTTTAATTAGATCCCATTTGTCAATTTTGGCTTTTGTTGCCATTGCTTTTGGTGTTTTAGTCATGAATTCCTTGCCCATGCCTATGTCCTGAATGGTATTGCATAGGTTTTCTTTTAGGGTTTTTATGGTTTTAGGGCTAACATGTAAGTCTTTAATCTATCCTGAATTAATTTTTGTATAAGGTATAAGAAAGGGATCCAGTTTCAGCTTTCTACATATGGCTAGCCAGTTTTCCCAGCACCATTTATTAAATAGGGAATCCTTTCCCCATTTCTTGTTTTTGTCAGGTTTCTCAAAGATCAGATGGTTGTAGATGTGTGGTATTATTTCCGAGGGCTCTATTCTGTTCCATTGGTCTATATCTCTGTTTTGGTTCCCATGCTGTTTTGGTTACTGTAGCCTTGTAGTACAGTTTGAAGTCAGGTAGCGTGATGTCTCCAGCTTTGTTCTTTTGGCTTAGGATTGTCTTGGCAATGCAGGCTCTTTTTTGGTTCCATATGAACTTTAAAGTAGTTTTTTCCAATTCTGCGAAGAAAGTCATTGGTAGCTTGATGGGGATGGCATTGAATCTATAAATTACCTTGGGCAGTATGGCCATTTTCACAATATTGATTCGTCCTATCCATGAGCATGGAATGTTCTTCCATTTGTTTGTATCCTCTTTTATTTTGCTGAGCAGTGGTTTCTAGTTCTCCTTGAAGAGATCCTTCACATCCCTTGTAAGTTGGATTCCTAGGTATTTTATTCTCTTTGAAGCAATTGTGAATGGGAGTTCACTCATGATTTGGCTCTCTGTTTGTCTGTTATTGGTGTGTAAGAATGCTTGTGGTTTTTGCACATTGATTTTGTATCCTGAGACTTTGCTGAAGTTGCTTATCAGCTTAAGGAGATTTTGGGCTAGACGATGGGGTTTTCTAAATACACAATGTCATCTGCAAACAGGGACAATTTGACTTCCTCTTTTCCTAATTGAATACCCTTTATTTCTTTCTTTTGCCTGATTGCCCTGGCCAGAACTTCCAACACTATGTTGAATAGGAGGGGTGAGAGAGGGCATCCCTGTTTTGTGCCAGTTTTCAAAGGGAATGCTTCCAGTTTTTGCCCATTCAGTATGATATTGGCTGTGGGTTTGTCATAAATAGCTCTTATTATTTTGAGATATGTGCCGTCAATACCAAGTTTATTGGGAGTTTTTAGCATGAAGGGGTGTTGAATTTTGTCAAAGGCCTTTTCTGCATCTATTGAGATATCATGTGGTTTTTGTCTTTGGTTCTGTTTATATGATGGATTACATTTATTGATTTGTGTATGTTGAACCAGCCTTGCATCCCAGGGATGAAGCCCACTTGATCATGGTGGATAAGCTTTTTGATGTGCTGCTGGATTCGGTTTGCCAGTATTTTATTGAGGATTTTTGCATCGATGTTCATCAGGGTTATTGGTCTAAAATTCTCTTTTTTTGTTGTCTCTGCTAGGCTTTGGTATCAGGATGATGTTGGCCTCATGAAATGAATTAGGGAGGATTCCCTCTTTTGCTATTGATTGGAATATTTTCAGATGGAGTGGTACCAGCTATTCTTTGTACCTCTGGTAGAATTTGGCTGTGAATCCGTGTGGTCCTGGACTTTTTTTGCTTGGTAGGCTATTAATTATTGCCTCAATTTCAGAGCCTGTTATTGGTCTATTCAGGGATTCAACTTCTTCCTGGTTTAGTCTTGGGAGGGTGTATGTGTCAAGGAATTTATCCATTTCTTCTAGATTTTCTAGTTTATTTGCGTAGAGGTGTTTATAGTATTCTTTGATGGTAGTTTGTATTTCTGTGGGATCGGTGGTGATATCCCCTTTATCATTTTTTATTGAGTCTATTTGATTCTTCTCTCTTTTCTTCTTTGTTAGTCTTGCTAGTGGTCTATGTATTTTGTTGATCTTTCAAAAAACCAGCTCCTGGATTCATTGATTTTCTGAAGGGTTTTTTCTGTCTCTATCTCCTTCAGTTCTGCTCTGATCTTAGCTATTTCTTGCCTTCTGCTAGCTTTTGAATGTGTTTGCTCTTGCTTCTCTAGTTCTTTTAATTGTGACGTTAGGGTGTCAATTGTAGATCTTTCCTGCTTTCTCTTGTGGGCATTTAGTGCTATAAATTTCCCTCTACACACTGCTTTGAATGTGTCCCAGAGTTTCTGGTATGCTGTGTCTTTATTCTTATTGGTTTCAAAGAACATCTTTATTTCTGCTTTCATTTCATTATGTACCCAGTAGTCGTTCAGGAGCAGATTGTTCAATTTCCTTGTAGTTGAGCGGTTTTGAGTGCGTTTCTTAATCCTGAGTTCTAGTTTGAATGCCCTGTGGTCTGAGAGACAGTTTGTTATAATTTTTTTTCTTTTACATTTGCTGAGGAGTGCTTTACCTCCAACTATGTGGTCAATTTTGGAATAAGTGCGATGTGGTGCTGAGAAGAATGTATATTCTGTTGATTTGGTGTGGAGAGTTCTGTAGATGTCTATTAGGTCTGCTTGGTGCAGAGCTGAGTTAAGTTCCTGGATATCCTTGTTAACTTTCTGTCTCGTTGATCTGTCTAATGTTGACAGTGGGGTGTTAAAGTCTCCCATTATCATTGTGTGGGAGTCTAAGTCTCTTTGTAGGTCTCTAAGGGCTTGCTTTATGAATCTGGGTGCCCCTGTATTGGGTGCATATATATTTAGGATAGTTAGCTCTTCTTGTTGTATTGATCCCTTTACCATTATGTAATGGCCTTCTTTGTCTCTTTTGATCTTTGTTGGTTTAAAGTCTGTTTTATCAGAGACTAGGATTGCAACCCCTGCCTTTTTTTGTTTTCCATTTGCTTGGTAGATCTTCCTCCATCCCTTTATTTTGAGCCTATGTGTGTCTGCACGTGAGATGGGTCTCCTGAATACAGCACACCGATGGGTCTTGACTCTTTATCCAATTTGCCAGCCTGTGTCTTTTAATTGGAGCATTTAGCCCATTTACATTTAAGGTTAATATTGCTGTGTGTGAATTTGATCCTGTCATTATGATGTTAGCTGGTTATTTTGCTTGTTAGTTTATGCAGTTTCTTCCTAGCATTAATGGTCTTTACAATTTCCATGTTTTTGCAGTGGCTGGTACTGGTTGTTCCTTTTTATGTTTAGTGCTTCCTTCAGGAGCTCTTATAAGGCAGGCCTGGTGGTGACAAAATCTCTCAGCATTTGTTTGTCTGTAAAGGATTTTATTTCTCCTTCACTTATGAAGCTTAGTTTGGCTGGATATGAAATTCTGGGTTGAAAATTCTTTTCTTTAAGAATGTTGAATATTGGCCCCCACTCTCTTCTGGCCTGTAGAGTTTCTGTGGAGAGGTCCACTGTTAGTGAGATGGGCTTCCCTTTGTGGGTAACCCGAGCTTTCTCTCTGGCTGCCCTTAACATTTTTTCCTTCATTTCAGCTTTGGTGAATCTGACAATTATGTGTCTTGGAGTTGCGCTTCTCGAGGAGTATCTTTGTGTTGTTTGCAGAGCCGTAATTCTTTGCTTTGATACTTTGAGGCATTTTGTGAAGAAATGTGAGAATGAAACTAGATTCGGTGCCATTTGTATCTATTGAATCTCTGGTTCCCTTGAAAATCTAGATGAAGACAGACCTGAAATTTCCTTTTTAAAAATTTTTAATTATTTTATTTATTTTTGAGATGGAGTTTTGCTCTAGTTGCCCAGGCTGAGTGCATTGGCACAATCTTTGCTCACTGCAATCTCCACCTCCCGGGTTCAAGTGATTCTCCTGCCTCAGACTGCTGAGTACTTGGGATTACAGGCACCCGCCACCACACCTTGCTAATTTTTTGTATTTTTAGTAGAGATGGGGTTTCACCATGTCAGCCAGGCTGGTCTTGAACTCCTGACCTTAGGTGATCCACCCACCTCAGCCTCCCAAAGTGCTGGGATTACAGGCATGAAAATTCTTAAAATAAAAAGATATATTCTCCTACAAACTGTTTATGGAGTCCAAGGAAAATTATGTTTAGGTACCATGTAGGTAACATGTTTATATATTTACCAAACATTTGTGTATCTGTTATGGGGATATAAAGGTAGTGATTAAGTTCTTGCCTGAGATAACTCATAGAGGAAGACATTTCTGTAGACCAGTAATTGGAATGGTGAAAAGTAATAGTGGATGTTTGTACAAAGTGTGGAGGGAGAATAGAAAAGGTAGCAATTAACTCGTAAGTGGGTTGGGGAAGCTTTCCTGGAGGAGGTGATATTGGAGCTCTTTGGCAGACAAGTAGGACTTTGTCAGGCCTATGAGAGATCTATTGGGCATTCTTTTCTAGGTGGAGGTAATAGAGGCATAAGGTGAAAGTTCGAAAGCATTGTGTCCTCAGATTGACATCAGGGTATATGTGAGAAAGATAGGCATGGATTATGAAGTTTTATGTAGCACACTGACTCACTGGGAATGTAATAGGTCAGCAGTTTTTAACATGCTTAGGTCACAGACCTATTCCATAGTATTCTACAAAGTATGTGTACCATAATGTAAATACTCAAATATTTGCTTCGACTCTGAAGCCCATTCATGTATCCCTCCCCCAAAACAACTGCTCTTGTAGGTGTAGAGAAGCCAGTGAACAATTTTGGGTAAAGGAATGATATCTGATTTTATTTTGCTCTGAGGCGTCTGTGAAGAATGAACTGGGACAGTTCTACCTCCTCACAGAGGAGGTAGCTGTTAGTGTTTTATATAGTTGGTATTCTACAAGGAGAAATGGGAGGCTGGGTGTGGTGGCTCACGCCTGTAATCCTAGCATTTTGGGAGGCCGAGGAGGTGGATTGCCTGAGCTCAAGAGTTCAAGACCAGCCTAAACAACATGGTGGAACCCCCTGTATAGTAAAATACAAAAAATTAGCCAGGCATGGTGGCATGTGCCTGTAGTCCCAGCTACTCGGGAGACTGAGGCATGAGAATCGCTTGAACCCAGGAGGTGGAGATTGCAGTTGCAGTGAGCCAAGATCATGCTATTGCACTCCAGCCTGGGTGACAGAGTGAGATTCCATCTCAAAAGGAAAAAAAAGAAAGAAAGAAAGAAATGGGAGAGAGCAATATTTAAAGCTAAAAATTGTTTAGAATTGATGATAAATACTAATCTCTAATTTTAAGGAGCAGATTAAGTCCCTATAGTCCTTCTCAGTGGGGGTTTCATGAGATCATTATCATAAATCCCTACGGCTATGGTTCTTAAAGCATGAGCTCCTTCCTGATCTGCAGTGTCAACATCACCTGGGAATCTGTTAGAAATGCCGATTCCTGGCAAGACAGCAGACCTGGTGACTGAGAAATTGGGTGTGGAATCTAGAAGTCTGTACTGTAAATAAGTTCCCAAATGTTTGTGTTGCAAGCTAAAGTTTGAGTACTTCTGCTCTAGGGCATTCATGGTACACATACCCTTTATACATATGACATAGTATTTGAACAATCTTTGGGAAAATTAAGATGGTAGTGTCTCTTAAATCATTTTTTATTCTTCGCTTTGGTTGTGCCTAGAAGTAGACAGTGTATCTGTAAGTAGAAAAATATAAATAGATAATTCAGTACATTCTAGTAAAATTACTGAACATTAAATATAAAGTAATAAAGCAGCGAGAGAGAGAAAAGTCATTTATAGCTGAACAGCAGTTAGTTTAGCAGACTTATCAAGAGCATTAATAGAAGCCAAAACCAAATAGAATAATATCATTAAAGTGCCCAGGAAAAATAAAATAACTTCCTTTTTTTTTTTGAGTCAGTTTCGCTCTTACTGCCCAGGCTGGAGTGCAATGGCACAATCTCAGCTCACCACAACCTCCGCCTCCTGGGTTCAAGCAGTGCTCCCGCCTCAGCCTCCCAAGTAGCTGAGATTACAGGTGCACACCACCATGCCCGGCTAATTTTTGTATTTTTAGTAGAGTCGGGGTTTCACCATGTTGGTCAGGCTGGTCTCGAACTCCTGACCTCGTGATCCGCCCACCTCAGCCTCCCAAAGTGCTGGGATTACAGGCATGAGCCACCATTCCCAGCCAGAAAAATAAAATAACTTTCAAAACTCATTCTAAAGTGAAGAAATATATTTTCAGATGAAGATGAAGACCATTAGCGAAAGAACTACTTACCGGAGGTAGTTGTACTTTATAAGAGGAAGTTGAACCCAGAGTGTAGAAAAGGATGCAAGACACAAAGTTAGCACAGAAATTGGTAAACCTATAGACAAATCTGGACAACTTGATTGTGTAAAACAGCATAACAAACACACAAGAATTAATTACTGTTCTAGAAAAAAACATATAAGACAGGAGGGGTGGTATCTGAGTTACTGTTTTTTGAGGTCCGGTTCTTAAAAAGGAGAGTAATAATATTGATTCTCCTTACAAGTAATCCTATTAAAAATGTAAGTAAAAGTAAGCTGGGTGTGGTGGCACGTGCTAATAGTCGCAGCTACTCAGGAGATCAAGGTGAGAGGATTACTTGAGCCTAGGAGTCCAAGACCAGATTGGGCAACATAGCAAGACTGTCTCCATTAAAAAAAAAAAAAAAAAAAAAAAGTGCACCTTCCCTATCATTAGACTAAGTGGAGGAAAGGTAGTAGAGAAAACAGTCCACTAGAATGTAGGAAAAGAGGAAAAAGAAAAGAAGGCCGGGTGTGGTGGCTCATGCCTGTAATCCCAACACTTTGGGAGGCCAAGGTAGGTGGATCACTTTAAGGTCAGAAGTTCAAGACCAGCCTGGCCAACATTGTAAAACCCCGTCTCCACTAAAAATACAAAAATTAGCCGGGTGTGGTGGCAGGTGCTCGTAATCCCAGCTACTTGGCAGTCTGAGGCAGGAGAACCGCTTGAACTCGGGAGGTGGAGGTTGCAGTGAGCCGAGACCCCACCACGGCACTCCAGCCTGGGCGACAGAGTGAGACTCCATCTTCAAAAAATAAAATGAAATAAAATAAATTTTAAAAAGGGGGAAAGCAAAGAAAAAACATAGTGTAGTAAAAAGAAAATAAGGCATTGGAAATAATTTCAACTTTATCAGTTGTATAAATCAGTTTATATAAGTGTTTATATAAATGTAAACAGATTAAACTTACCAGAGAAAACAGAGATTCCAGAATGAGATTTTTTTATTTAAAGGCAGCAAACAAAATAATTATGTTGCTGTTTATGAGTAATGAATCTGAAACATTCTTTTTTTTTTTTTTTTTTTTTTTTTTTTTTTTTTTTTTTTGAGACAGAGTCTCGCTCTGTTGCCCAGGCTGGAGTGCAGTGGCACAGTCTCGGCTCATTGCAAGCTCCACCTCCTGGGTTCATGCCATTCTCCTGCATCAGCCTCCCGAGTACCTGGGACTACAGGTGACCACCACCATGCCTGGCTAATTTTTGTATTTTTAGTAGAGGCAGGGTTCCACCTTGTTAGCCAGGATGGTCTCGATCTCCTGACCTTGTGATCCACCCGTCTTGGCCTCCCAAAGTGCTGGGATTACAGGCATGAGCCACCACGCCCGGCTGTGAATCTGAAACATTCTAACACAAGGAACCAAAAGAAAGCTTGCATAAGTATATGAATTTTAAGAAAAATTAGAAAATTAGATTAGGCAGAAGTATTATCAAGGATAAAGAGATTCACTCACAAGGAATGAGATAATTTACTAGGAAGACTTAAGTATTTCTAAGAGGTTCAGTGAGCGGAGATTGCAACACTACCCTCCAGCCTGGGCAACAGAGCAAGACTCTGTCTCAAAAACAGAAACAAAAAAATGTGAGGTTGAAGTGAATGATCTAAGTATTTAACATAAGTATTCCAAAGAAAGAAGAAAATGATGATGCTAAAAGTAGAAATTAATGATGGAAAACAAACAATAGAGAGGCTCAATGAAACCAAAATCTGGTTCTTTGAAAAGACTGATGAAAAGATGAGCCTCTAAAAGGTTGAATCAAGGGCTGGGTGTGGTGGCTCATGCCTATAATCCCATTGCTTTGGGAGGCCGAGGCAGGTGGATCACCTGAGGTGGGGAGTTCGAGACCAGCCTGGCCAATATGGTGAAACCTTGTCTGTACTAAAAATACAAAAAATTAGCTTGGTGTGGTGGTGCGCGCCTGTTGTCCCAGCACTCGAGAGACTGAGGTGGGAGAATCGCTTGAGCCAGGGAGGCAGAGGTTGCAGTGAGCCGACATCACGCCACTGTACTCCAGCCTGGGCGATAGAAAAAAAACAAAAACGAAAAACGATGAATCAAGGAAAAAGAAAGCACAAGTAATGTTATTAAAAATGTGAAGAACAATAACTACAAGTTTAATAGAGTTTCAAATAAAATTTATAAAGTTTTATGCCAGTACATTTGAAATGACATAGGAACAGACAAAATTGGCTATTTTCTAGAAGAATATACCAAACAAAACTGAAATAATTTACTTTCAAGAGTAGATTGAAATCCTGAAGGCCGGGTGCAGTGGCTCACGCCTGTAATCCCAGCACTTTGGGAGGCTGAGGCGGGCGGATCACGAGGTCAGGAGATCAAGACCATCCTGGCTAACACGTTGAAACCCCATCTCTACTAAAAATACAAAAAAATAGCCGGGCGTGGTGGTGGGCGCCTGTAATCCTAGCTACTTGAGAGGCTGAGGCAGGAGAATGGCGTGAACCCGGGAGACGGAGCTTGCAGTGAGCCAGGATCGCGCCATTGCACTCCATCCTGGGCGACAGAGCAAGACTCCGTCTCAAAAAAAAAAAAAAAAAAAATCCTGAATAGATGTAATATCAATAAAATTAAAATAATTAAAATCAGTAATTAAAAATATACCTCTTCCTTCCTCATGCAGCCATCAGATGGGTTTACAAAGTTCTACTATACCTTTAAGAAACAAATTGTTCATATTTTCTATAATTTTCAGAGAATAGAGAAAGAGGCAAAGTTATTCAGTTTAATAAATTTTGAAGCCAATATAACCTTCATACCAACAATGGCCAAAGACAATATGAGAGAGGATATTGGCCTTTGTCAATTTTATTTATTTAGAATTTTTATCTAGTACCTTAAATAGTTACAAAGTAAATTGAAGTTATTTAAAAAATTTTTATTACTAGAAAATTCAAGCATATAGAAAAGCAGATTTAAGTGGAATATTGAACCCCATTCTACTCATCCTCCAGCTTCAGAAATGACCACCTCATGGACAATGTTATTTTATTTAGATGCCCATGTACTTCTCCCTTTTCATATTATTTGAGAGCAGATTCTACAATTAGAACATGTAATCTGTAAATATTTTAATGTATGTCTTTAAAAGACAGTTAAAAAAACTGTAATACTGTTATCACATCTAAAGATAATTTTTTGTTTGTTTGTTTTAGAGACAGGATCTTACTCTGTTTTCCAGGCTGGAGTGCAATGTCCACATTATAGCTCACTATAGCTTCAAACTCCTGGGCTCAAGCCATCCTCCTGCCTTAGCCTCCTGAGTAGCTAGGACTACAGGTATGCACCACCACTTTGGCTAACTTATTTTTTGTAGAGATAGGGTCTTGCCATGTTGCCCAGGCTGGTCTCAAATTCCTGGCCTCAGGTGATCCTCTTGCCTTGGCCTTCCAGAAGTGCTGGGATTATAGGCATGAGCTACTGTGCCTGGCTTAAAAATATATATATATATATATATATATATTTTTTTTTTTTTTGAGACCAGTCTCACTCTGTGGCCCAGGCCAGAGTGCAGTAGCAAGATTTCAGCTCACTGCAGCCTCAAGCTCCAGGGCTCAGGTGATCCTCCCACCTCAGCCTCCCGAGGAGCTAGGATCACAAGCACACATCACCACACCTGGCTAATTTGTGTTTTTTTTTTGTTGTTGTTTTTTGTTTGTAGAGATGGGGTTTTGCCATGCTGCCCAGGCTGGTCTCGAACTCCTGGGCTCAAGCAGTCCACCTGCCTCAACCTCCCAAAGTGCTAGGATTACAGGCCTGAGTTATAGCACCCAGCCCCAAAATGATTTTTTAATATCAAATTGAATATCTGTAATCAGTGTTCAAATTGTCAATGGTCTCAAAAGTTTTATGTTTATATAAGTTTTTAAATACTTTTAATCAACATCCATGTAAGGTCCTTACATGGCAATTGGTTGATCTCTCAAGTGTCTTTTATACAAAGATAATGTATTCTCTCTTCTCCATTTCCAAGAAACTACTTGGACTTAGAGGTTTAATCAGATTTTAGTTTTTTAAGTTTTGGCAGGATTCTTATAGGTGGTGGTGTGTTTTTCCACCAGGAAGTACATATATGGATATGTTTTTGTGTGAAACTTAGCAGCCATTTGTTTGTAATTTATTAATTGAGTAGGGGTTCAAAGTGATAATATTCTAATTTTGTCATTTTTTTTAATATCTGTAAAGTCTGTAGAGATAAACTTGCATATCTACTGTTTTGTTACCCAGGGGTGGAGTTGTCATAGGAAAGGCAGGATAAATGCTTCATTCTTTCTCTTTATGTATGAATGTTCAAAAATGAGTTGATTCCCTAGCATCCTTCAAAGGTACTTAAAACAATTTTTTTAAAGAATTATGAAATCATGGATATATGTGTTTAGATATATTTGATTTATATATGATGTATTCTAACTATTGATACACCATCAGAATCCATTGGACCCAATTTTAATTTTTCAGTTTCCTTTTTAAGCAGGCTTTTATCCTTTCTTAAGAAATCTTGTAAAGAACAAAGAGGGCTGGGCATGGTGGCTCACGCCTGTAATCCCAGCACTTTGGGAGGCCGAGGCAGGTGGATCACTTGAGGTCAGGAGTTTGAGACCAGCCTGGCTAACGTGGTGAAACCCTGTCTACTAAAAACACAAAAATTAGCTGGGCGTGCTGGCAGGCGCCTGTAATCCCAGCTACTCGGGAGGCTGAGGCAGGAGAATCGTTTGAACCTGGGAGGTGGAGGTTGGAGTGAGCCAAGATCGTGCCATTGCACTCCAGCCTGGGTGACAACAGTGAAACTCTGTCTCAAAAAGCAAAGCAAAGAAAATTTATTTTTTATTAACAGATTGTGGTAGCTTTATTGATGTATAATTGACACACAGTTAATTGCACATATTTGAAGTGTACAGTTTGATAAATTTTGATATAGCTACACTTGAGAAACTGTCACCACAATCAATGAATGGACCTGTTTCCACCACCTCTTCTCCACTCTAGGCAACTACTGATGTACTTTATGTCACTATAAAATAGTTTGCATTTTCTAGAGTTTTATATAGATGAAGTCATACAGTATGCATTCTTTTTTTTGTCTGGCTTTTTTTACTCAGAATAATTATTTTTACAGTCATTCATGTTATGTCGATCCTTTTGATTGTGGTGTTCATTTTTTTCACTTTTTTTGAGACAGAGTCTCACACTGTTGCTCAGGCTGGAGTGCAATGGTGTGATCTCGGCTCACTGCAACCTCCACCTCCTGGGTTCAAGTGATTCTCCTGCCTCAGCCTCTTGAGTAGCTGGGATTATAGGCGTGCACCACCATGCCTGGCTAATTTTTGTATTTTTAGTAGAGACGAGGTTTCACCATGTTGGCCAGGCTGGTCTTGAACTCCTAACTTTGTGATCCACCCGCCTTGGCCTCCCAAAGTACTGGGATTATAGGTGTTAGCCACTGTGCCTGGCCCGTTTTTTTCACTTTTATATGGTGTTCATTCCTTTTTATTGCTGGGTAGTATTCCATTGTATGGATATGCCACAATTTGTTTAGCTGTTTGCCTGCTGATGGACATTTGGGTTGTTACTAGTTTTTGGCTCATAAAAATAAAACTGCTGTGAACAGTTGTCCGCAAATCTTTGTATGGACCTATGCTTTCATTTCTCTTGGGTTAATATCTAGGAGTAGAATGGCTGCATCATACAGTAATTAAATGTTTTACCTTTTAAGAAATTGTCAAACTACGTTCCAACATGGTTGTTTTGTTTTACATTTTTTTTTTTTGAGACCACGTGTCACTCTGTTGCCCAGGCAGGAGTGCAGTGGCATGATCTCGACTCACTGCAACCTCTGCCTCCCACGTTCAAGTGATTCTCCTGCCTCAGCTTCCTGAGTAGTTGGAATTATAGGCACCCGCCATTATGCCCGGCTGATTTTTGTATTTTTAGTAGAGATGGGGTTTCACCATGTTGGCCAAGCTGGTCTCGAACTCCTGACCTCAGGTGATCTGCCTGCCTCAGCCTCCCAAAGTGTTGGGATTACAGACGCGAGTCTCCACGCCTGGCCTTGTTTTACATTTCAACCAAGAGTGTATGAAAGTTCCAGTTCTTTCATGTTCTGATCAACACTTGGTATGGTCAGTTTTAAGCATTCTAATAGGTGTGTGGTAGTATTCCCTTGTCGTTTTAATTTGCATTTTTCTAATGACCAGTGATATTGAGCAGTTTTCTTTTTTTCTTTTTGAGACCAAGTCTCACTCTGTCACCCAGGCTGGAGTGCAGTGGTGCCATCCCAGCTCACTGCAACCTCCATCCCCAGGTTCAAGCAATTCTCCTGCCTTAGCCTCCTGAGTAGCTGGGATTACAGGTGAGCACCGCCACACCCTGCTGATTTTATATTTTTTTTAGTAGAGAGGGTTTCACCGTGCTGGTCAGGCTGATCTCGAACTCCTGACCTCAAGTGATACACCCACCTCAGCCTCCCAGAGTGCTGGGATTACAGGTGTGAGCCACCATGCCCGGCCTCCGAGCATTTTTTAATGTTCTTATTTGCTATTTATATATCTTCTCTGGTTAATATCCAAATCGTTTACATGTTTTTAATAGGGTTGTTTTCTTAAAGTTGTTTTAAGAGTTCTATATGTGTGTGTGTGTATGTATATATATGTGTATATGTATATGTGTGTGTGTGTGTATATATGTACATGTGTATATATATTCTTGATACAAGTTCCTTATCAGGTATGTGATTTGAAAGTATTTTTTCCCAGTCTGTTGCTGTTCTTTTCTCTAACAGTGTTTTTGTTTTTTCCCATCCCCTCTAGCAGTGTTTTTTGTAGAGAAGTTTTAAATTTTGATGAAGTCTAATTTTTCAGTTTGTTCTTTTCTGGGTTGTGCTTTTGATGTAAGAAATCTTTGCCTAACCCAAGGTTGCAAAGACTTTCTCCTAGAGGTTTTAATAGTTTTAGATTTTACCTTTATAACTGGGATCCAATTTGAATTAAATTTAATATTTATTGCAAGGAATCTGTCAAAAAAATTTTTTTTGGCAAATGGATATTTAGTGGTTCCAACATTGGTTGAAAAGACAAAATCATGAACATATTTTTCTGCATCCATCATCAAGCATGTTCTCTTGATACTCACTTGGGAGCTCTCAACTGCTTATTTTAAAGTAAAATATAGGCTGGGCACGGTAGCTCATGCCTATAATCCTGGCACTTAGGGAGGCCGGGGCAGGTGGATCACTTGAACTCAGGAGTTCAAGACCAGCCTGGGCAACGTAGCAAAACCCATCTCTACAAAAAATTCAAAAATTAGCTGATTGTAGTGGCTCATGCCTCTGGTCCCAGCTATTTGGGAGGCTGAGGCCTCAGGAGGATTGCTTGAGCCCAGGAGGCAGAGGTTACAGTGATCTGCAATCATACCATTGCACTCCAGCCTGGGGGACAGAGTGAGACCCTGTCTTAAAAAAAAAAAGTAAAATATAAATATATGAGTATTTATGTATTGATTTTAAAAGGAAAGAAATAAATGTAAATAGATACTTTTATAGTTTTTTTGACAAACGTGATATCAGTTGGAAAACAGAAAGATTCAGTTGGAAAACATGAAAGATTAAATAAATACTTATATCTATATAATAATCATAAGCAATACAGTAGGAGAAGCAAGCTAATTTGTACCCAGAGTACATTGCATTGATTAAGGTGAAGTTGGTCACCAGCCACTAGACCAGGACACATTGGTTGTTTTTTGAGACATACCAATCAAATTGTCAATTTAATTTCCCCCATCTTTGCCTGTTCTTGCCACAGTTTTGCCAATGTTTTGAATTTGGAATGGGGCACAGTATTTCTTTTTGGTTATTCCCTACAGGAGATGCTTAGGGAACAGTGAAAATGTTCTATCCTTTTTGTACTTTTGGCTGTCTTTTCTCTTGTGACACGTAAGAGATTGGGGAGGCACTTTAGGATCATAAGAACACAGACATTTCCTTATTGTATTATTTCATCCAATCTGGAGAAAGTTCAATAAAAAATGAGTTAATCCAATTACTGTATCTGAAACTTTAATAGTTTCTCAGTGACATATGTTTTCTCTTGTAGAGTTAAACAGTCTAAAACTCAATCCCAGAGTAATACTTGATCCAGTATGGGAAAATGGATTTGTTTTCATTATGATAATACTAGTTCTTTTATTGTCTGCTTTTTATTTTATTTTTACATTTTATTTTTATTTATTTTTTAAGAGATGTGGTCTCACTATGTTGCCCAGGCTGGAGTGCAGTGGCTATATACAGATATGATCCCGCTATTGATCAGCATGAAGTTTTGAACCTGCTCCATTCCGAACTAGGCTGTTTCACCCCTTCTTAGGCAACCTGATGGTCTCTCATTCCTAGGAGGGCACCATATTGCTACCAAACTTAGTGTGGACACCCAACCAGCGTAGTGCACTACAACCTAGAACTCCTGCGCTCAAACAGTACTCCCACCTCAGCCTCCCAAGTAGGTAGGACCGCAGATGCACACCAATATGTTTGGCCCATTGGCTTTTTAAAAAATAAATTGTTTTTCATCATTTCCATTATAACAAGACTATTCATAGTTTTATTCATGAAAACAAATTTTCAGGGCAATATTTGTGATGGTAAAGCAGAATGTTTTATTACAGAAAAATAAAGCAACTTAATATATTTAGAGACTTAGAACATACCAACATTAAACAAATGATAAAATGCTATTAAAATGTTTTGGGTGGTTCTTTACTAGTTGTTTGGAAAACTTTTTGAATGTTTAAACTGTCAGAATTCTTAATTTATATATAAAAGATTAGGCTTAGTATTCATAGTAGGAAATGGTGTATCATTAAAATATAAGAATAGGTGAATTTGTAATAGGTTTATATTTTTCAGCCTTTCAGGTGCCCTTTCAAGCTTGTGGGTTTAAGTTTGATTATATTGGGAAAACCTTGCTAACTAGCACATCAGGGTTAGGGAGAGGCTTGCTAAAGTAACTTCAGGCACTTGATTGAACTGAGAATTTATTAAGTAATAAGTCTAGCATAATTTTATGGGAGCTGGAGGGTAGAGAGTTATTCAAGTGAAACAAATTTCATGTTAAGAAATTTGGGGCCAGGTATGGTGGCTCACGCCTGTAATTTCAGCACTTCGGGAGGTTGAGGTGGATGGATCACTTGAGCCAAGGAGTTCCAGACCAACCTGCGTAACACAGTGAGAATCTGCCTCTACAAAAAATAAAAAACTTAGCCAGGCATGGTGGTACGTGCCTATAGTCCCACTACTTGGGAGGCTGAAGTGGAAGGATCACTTGAGCCTAGGAGGATGAAGCTGCAGTGAGCCAAGATCGCACCACTCTTCTCCAGCCTGGATGACAGAGTGAGACCCTGTCTCAAAAAAAAAGGAAAAAAAAAAGAGAAAAATTTTGGCAGTGCTTATGATTCTGTACTGAATGATGTGATGTGAACAGATTTCTTAACTTCACACAGAACAGTTTTTGTTGGAGAGGTCAAGAGAGCTCTGTTGGGAGAACTACATGTACTTGTAGGGTGTCTTAAAGCCAGTTACTGTGAGTTTTGTTTTGCTTGAGGGATGATTCTTTGTGACTCCTGGGTTCTGTAAAGGAGTTATGTGATAAATACATTTTACCCCGTTGCTGGAACAATCTGTGGGTGATGGTTAAGAACTCAGGTAGGACTAAATTTGAAAACATAAAATAAATGTTTTGATACTAAGAAACAAGAAGAAACTTTTTTTTTTTGGAACATGGGATATGAAATCCTAAAATAACAAAAAAGTGGCACATGTGGCCGGGTGTGGTGGCTCACACCTGTAATCCCAGCACTTTGGGAGGCCTAGGTGGGTGGATCATGAGGTCAGGGGTTCGAGACCAGCCTGGCCAATAGGGTGAAACGCCATCTCTACTAAAAATACAAAAATTAGCTGGGCGTGGTGGTGTGTGCCTGTAGTCCCAGCTACTCGGGAGGGTGAAGCAGGAGAATGGCTTGAACCCGGGAGGCGGAGGTTGCAGTGAACCGAGATGGCACCACTGCACTCCAGCCTGGGCAACAGACCGAGACTCCGTCTCAGAAAAAAAAAAAAGGCACATGCTTAGTAGATAAGGTTTGGTAGTTGGAAAATTTGGGAAGGTTTAAAGAGGTTCCTTACAGTTTTGGCTTCAGATGCTGGTTTTAGTCTGTAATGTGGAAGGGGCATTTAACTAAAAACTTCAGGCCAGGCACCGTGGCTCACGCCTGTAATCCCAGCACTTTGGGAGGCTGAGGCGGGCAGATCACTTGAGGTCAGGAGTTCAAGACCAGCCTGGCCAACATGGCAATACCCTGTCTCTACTAAAAATACAAAAATTAGCTGGGTGTGGTGGTGCATGGTTGTAATCCCAGCTACTCTTGAGGTTGAGGCAGGAGAATCACTTGAACCCAGGTGGTGGAGGTTGCAGTGAGCCAAGATCGTGCCACCACTCTCCAGCCTGGGCGACAGAGGGAGACTCCGTCTCAAAATAATAAATAAATAAATAAAAAATAAAATAAAAAGTGGGAACCTGCAGGTACTATAATATGTGTGGCTATAAGGTCTTTTGTTATATTATGTAATTATCCATTTACATTGTGAAAGCTTGGGAAGTTACTTTCGGCCTTTCTGTTAAGTAAATTACAGAAGAAAAATTTTCTGTTTATGTAGTGAAGACTTTGTTGTGTTCTCATTCATCAGGTAATTATTGAACATCTACTTGCTGCCTACTTTCAACATCTGCATGTGTGTGTGAATATTAAATATCACACCAAGACATTGTTCAGAGGAGACAGAATAGTGAGCTGAGATAAATGAGAATCTCTCTATGGAAGATTAGACTGGAGCATGAACTTGAAATATGAGTAAGATTTGGATGGGATGGAAGTGGGTGGATGGGAATCACACTTGGAGGTGATTAAAGTCATAAAACTAGAAATATGCAGTGCATCTTCAAGTGACAGTGAGGAGGAGACTTTTAAGGGTGGCATGATAGGTTCCTGTTTGGGTGGAGTGAAAGGTGAGGTGTTAACGGTAAATTGGGACTGTTGTATGGATGATCATGCTAATGTGGGGTTTAAATTTTTTCTTGTAAGCAAGTGTTTGAGCAAGATCTTAATATGGTATTTTAGAGCTGGGCATGGTGGCGTGTGCCTATAGTCCTAACTACTCGGGAGGCTGAAGTGGGAGGATTGCTTGAGCCTAGGAGTTTGAGACTGGCGTGGGTCAACATAGTGAGATCTCTTCTCTAAAACCAAACCAAAACAAAACAAAATGGTGTTTTGGGAAAATAATTGTCTGGAATGGCTTGGGGAATCTTATTAAGATTAGAGGCAGAGAAACCAATTAGGAAGGTGTTATAATGATTGAAAAATGAATGAAAGGGTAGCATATATTGAATATCTGCTATGTGTAATGCAGTGTTCTAGGTTTTCATATGTATTATATATTTATCTTTCACAGCATCCTTAAGAGGTTGGTGTTAATAAGCCTCTGGTTTTCCTTTTTTTTTTTCTTTTTTGAGACGGAGTCTCGCTCTGTCGCCCAGGCTAGAGCGTAGTGGCGCAATCTCGGCTCACTGCCAGCTCCGCCTCCCGGGTTCACACCATTCTCCTGCCTCAGCCTCCCGAGTAGCTGGGACCACAGGCGCCTGCCACCACGCCCGGCTAATTTTTTGTATTTTTAGTAGAGACGGGGTTTCGCCTTCTTAGCCAGGATGGTCTCGATCTCCTGACCTCGTGATCCACTCGCCTTGGCCTCTCAAAGTGCTGGGATTACAGGCATGAGCCACCGCGCCCAGCCAAGCCTCTGGTTTTCAAGACACTGAATTTCAGGGAAGTTAATTTTTTTGCTCAGACAGTCTGCTAACTTTTAGTGGGTATGCATAGATCTACCGCTTTCAAACAGGTATATGTTATATGGCAATACTGTACTTTAATTCCCTATTAATGGAAATCTGGGTTTCCATTTTTTAATTGTTTTACTAGCAATGCTATAATAAATATTCTTATACATATCTTTGTACATAGTTTCTAGTACTGTATTTCTGTAGAAGAAACTCCTAGAAGTGGAACTAAGTTCCTGGATTAAAATGGCCTTTAAAACAAATGGTATAGGAGGAAGGATCCTGAATGGGTAATGGATCATGATTGTCATGACAGTTTTTAGAATCTTAGTAAAGATACAGTGTACTTCGTACTACATGAAAAACTAATAGAGCATATCCCTGCCAGGTATAACAGAAAGCCATGAAATATTAGAATGAAAGGCCCTAAAATAATTAATTCCTTAATTTTACTGTTAAGGCTCTTGAAATCTAGAAAGTTTTTATTGTTCCTGAAATAGAGCAGGGATTAGGATCTAGATACTCAGATTTTTCATTTACTATTCTAAGTGTAATATTTTCCTTTCCTAAAGTAAATTTAAGGAGAAAACAACATTTACATTTCTTTTCTTTTTTTTTTTGAGATGGAGTCTCACTTTGTCACCCAGACTGGAGTGCAGTGGCACGATCTCAGCTCACTACAACTTCCGCCTCCCGGGTTCAAGTGATTCTTATGCCTCAGCTTCCTGAGTAGCTGGGACTACAGGCACTCACCACCATGCGCAGCTAATGTTTTTTGTTTTTTTTTTTTTTTGAGACGGAGTCTGGCTCTGTTGCCGAGGCTGGTGTGCAGTGGCATGCAACCTCTTGGAGTTGTATGCTCACTGCAACCTCTGCCTCCCAGGTTCAAGCAATTCTCTGCCTCAGCCTCCTGAGTAGCTGGGATTACAGGTAACTGCCACCACGCCCGGCTAATTTTTGTCTTTTTAGTAGAGATGGGGTTTCACCATCTTAGCCAGGCTGGTCTTGAACTCCTGACCTTGTGATCCTCCTGCCTCGGGCTTCCAAAGTGCTGGGATTACAGGCATGAGCCACCATGCCTGACCCTATTTTGTATTTTTAGTAGCGACAAGGTTTCACCATGTTGGCTAGGCTGGTCTTGAACTCCTGGTCTTGAGTAATCCACCTGCCGTGGCCTCCCAAAGTGCTGGGATTACAGGTGTGAGCCACTGCGCTCGGCCCCACATTTCTTTCCATTGTGTTTTGTGTTTTGTGTGTGTGTGTGTGTGTGTGCGCGCACACACACACACACGCTCCTCACATGCTTGTAACTGCTGTTTTCTGCCATTTTTACTTAATATTACCTCATAATGGGTTATGAAATTTTGATGGGTTCCAAAAGTATTAAATGTTTAGTTACTCTTTCTTTTCCTCCACTCCTTTCCTATTAACCAAGTAAAGTGATAAACAGATACATTCTTATGTTTAGGTGAGTTAAGATGGGAAAAGAAGATGAGATTTTCATCTTTATTTAAAAGGAAAACGTGATGAGTTAAAAAAAAAAAAGCTTTCAGAAACGGTGATCTGGAGGATTAGTCCACCCACTTTTTTTCCTATTTGTTTTAAATTGGTAGTCTAGAATTATATTTTGTTGGTAAGCTGTGGTTTGATTACCCATTCCTCATTGGGCATTTTGGCTTTTTTTCTAAATCTCAAAACATTTTAAATTTCCAATTATTTGTTGCTAGTATTATAGAAGTACAATTGATTTTTGTATGGCTTTGTATCCTGAAGGATGAAGGAAAGGGTATGATATATATTGAATATCTTGTTAAAGTCCCTAATTAGCTCTAGTAGCTTTAGGATTTTCTGTACAGATGTCGTGTCTATGAAAAAAACTTTTTACTTCTTTCTTTTCAATTTTTATGCCTGTGATTTCTTTTTTTTTTTTTTTCTTTTTGCCTTATGGTATTGTCTAGGCCTTCAAACACCATTTTGAATAGAAGTGGTAAGAGTGCAATGAGATAAACATAAATGCATAACAATGGTTTTTTCTTCCTCTGCTTTCTGAGTTTGTATAAATTGATGAATTGTTTCTTTTACCAATATGAAATGTCTTTTATCTCCAGTAATAATACTGTCTCAAAGTCTGCTTCATCTAACATTTATAGCTTCTCCAGCTTTCTTATAGTGTTTACATGCTATATTTTTTCTTTTAACATAAATTTCCTTTATAACATACTTTTACCTTTTACTTTTAATGTAAATCTCTGTCTCTTAAATAGCATGTAGTTTGGTGCTGCCTTTTCTTTTTTTAACTTAGTTTCTGCTTTTTAAGTAGGGTGTTTAGTCCATTAATATTTACAGTTATTTATATGGTTAGGTTTATATTTTTATCTTGCTGGTATTTTTTTTCTCCCCTTTTTTGGCATTCTTTTGGATTGTGTTTTTAGCCCATAAATCTTTGGTTCTTTCACTATATACCTTTGCATTAGTTTTTTAGTGGTTCCTCTAGGGATTACAATATACATTGTTAACTTTTCACAGTGTTCCAAGAATTAATATTACAGAAATAAATGTTTATATTTGACAACTATGAAACCAGACTTGGTAATTTTTATAGGGTCTTGTCAACTACAAGCAAGTTTTCCTTGTTTGTCACCCCACTTAGTGAAGTTCTGAATATAATGACAAAAACTTCAGGGCAAAAATCTTGGTGACTTATTTTGAATTAAAGATATTTATCTTCATTCTCATCATATTTGTACCAAAATTCAACATTGCAGCCCTTCATAGCATGCAAGGGAGTTAGATAACAGGAAGCCAAAAGCTCTATTTAGATACTCTGCATATTTTCTTCAAAGTCTAGAATTTGCACATCCTTCAGAGTTGAATAACAAGAAGCAAAAATATCATTTACTCACTTTTATTTTGATTTAATCTGGTCCAGAGAAGCATTTCATGATCAGGTCCAGGTTGTCCTGAGAATTTTCTCAGTGGACTACCTAAGTCTCCTCAGTGAAGTTCTTTGACTAGCCTTAGCCTGCTTTTCTGATGAATTAGAAATCACTTGTACCTAAAGTATTTTCTTCTAGTTCTATATTTGTACTGTCAGTACTTTTTGAAATTTTTTTTCTTAAAATATCTTACCAAAGTTCTGAAAGTAATTTCTAGCCTTAGCAGTATCATAAATTGTCAGATGCATGAGAAAACTTGATAGTCTTTTCAGTATTCAGACAGTCAACTGAATATTGGTTTCCACTTATAACAACATAAACATCTGTTAAAACCTGTAACAGCTATGAACAGTGATATGATTCGTTATGGATCTCAGTGATACTCATTACTGGTTGTATAATCTTAACCAAGACCTTTAATTACAGAGGAGAATTCAGGTAAAATGGAGATAATACCTGCAGTGCAAGTTTTTTTTTGTTTTTCTTTTTAGGGATAATGTACACAAATGCATGGTAGTACCTTGTACACAGTTGGTACTTAATAAATGGTTGTTATATTTTCGTAAAATCATAGAATGTCAGCACTAGAAAGGATGTTAGAAATTACCCAGATAGGGCCAGGTGCAGTGGCTCACGCTTGTAATCCCAGCACTTTGGGAGGCCGAGGCGGGCGCATCTTTGAGAACAGGAGTTCGAGACCAGCCTGGCCAACATTGTGAAACCCCATGTCTACTAAAAATACAAAAATTAGCTGCACATGGTGGCACACACCTGTAATTTCAGCTACTCAGGAATATGAGGCAGGAGTATCACTTGAACCTGGGAGGTAGGGGTTGCAGTGAGCTAAGGTCACACCACAGCACTCCAGCCTGGACAACAAAGCTAGACTCTGTCTCAAAAAGAAAAGAAATTACCCAGATAATGAAACCAGTTCAGAATGGTTAAGTGACTGTTACTGCCCTCCCTCCCCCGCCACATTAGGGTGTAAGCTCTTTGAGAATAGGGATGTTTTATATCTTTTATTTTGTGCTCTATAGAGGACAGTGATGGACTTTAGATACTTTGCTTCATTAAGTACCTTTCAGACATACTATGGTATCAGATAAATTATATTTTTATCTAGTGTAAAATTACTGATAAGCCTTTGAGAGTCACATAGCTCTTAGAATATACATTAGTGAAAATGTAATTTCAGGTTTGTCTAGGTATCAATAGAAATGAAGCAGGGAGTTTTTAGAAATACATATTTCTAAATTTGTATATTCAATACTAGGAATGCTTTCAAGCAGGCATATTTAAGTTGTTTCTGTGTAGTTTTTTAGCTATGTCATCATAGTGAAATGCTACTGCATAGTGAATTCCTTCCTTTTGCCATAACTGTTTTCTTTTCTTTTTTTTTTTTTTTTGCGACGGAGTCTTGCTCTGTCGCTCAGGCTGGAGTGCAGTGGCACTCCGCCTCCTGTGTTCATGCCATTCTCCTGCCTCAGCCTCCCGAGTAGCTGGGACTACAGGCGCCTGCCACCATGCCCAGCTAACTTATTTTTATTTTTTTTAGTAGAGACGGGGTTTCACAGTGTTAGCCAGGATGGTCTCGAGCTCCTGACCTTGTGATCTGCCCGCCTCGGCCTCGCAAAGTGCTGGGATTACAGGCGTGAGCCACCGTGCCCGGCCCGTAACTGTTTTCTTTAGTCCTCATCTCTTTGCTGCTATGCACACTTACAGACATCTCAACCAGTGGACTTTTAATTTTTAAATTTCCCTTTTGAGCATTTTTACCCATTAGAAGGATTGGTACTTCATGAGTTTTATTCTTTTGTAGAGGTCTTAAAGAACAGAGAGGAAAAAAAAATAAAGAATAGAGATAACATTTACTTACATGTTTTTTAATAGAATAAAACTCATTTTATCTTGCAATTACCATATGGACCACTTTGTAAATCTAAGAAGCATTTGGGGATATTACTGGTCTTACTTTACCTATATATTGAAGCATTTTGTTATTTCATCCAGGAAATTATTTTATCAGTACTCATCAAAACTATACTTACAAAAAGGGGGCTAAAATAAAAAAAGAAAAATGTTGGAATTAGCTAGAGTAGAAGTTGGCAAACTTTTTTGTGAAGGATCAGTTAGAAAATATTGTAGGCATTGTGGGCTACATTTGATCTCTGTGGCATATTATTCTTAAACAACCCTTTAAATATTTGAAAACCATTCTTAGCTCCCACGTCATACAAAATAGGTTGTGGGACCGATTTGGCCTGTGGGCCTTGGTTTGTCATTGCATTAACCTACAATTTTCATGTTGCATTGCCCAAAAGATTATGCCACCTTTTAAGTAATATAAAAGGAGACTGGAGACACCATCTTTATGGTCTCTTTTTAGCTTTTATTGAACAGAATGTAAATTCATACTTTTAAATATTTTGTTCATAATGGCAAAGAGAAGAAAATTGACAGAGGAAGAAGTTTCACAATTATTAGACAAATCAGAAAATGAATACTGAAAGGTAAATTCTACACTGATGACGATGGTAAAGTGGATCATATAAGCAAAATTACCTACTATGAATCTTCAAATAAGATCTCATTATCTGAGTTTTCTCAACTAAAAATTTGATGATTGAACAATGTATTTTTAAGGATCAAGAGAAAATATGAGGCCGGGTGCGGTGGCTCATGTCTGTAATCCCAGCACTTTGGGAGGCCGAGATGGGTGGATCACTTGAGGTCAAGAGTTCCAGATTGGCCTGGCCAACATGGTGAAACCCCGTCTGCACTAAAAATTTGAAAATTAGCCGGTGTGGTTGCACAGGCCTGTAATCCCAGCTACTCGGGAGGCTGAGGCATGAGAATTGCTTGAACCCAGGAGGCGGAGGTTGCAGTGAGCCAAGATCGTCCTACCGCACTCCAGCCTGGGCAACAGAGTGAGACTCTGTCTCAACAACAACAACAACAAACAAACAAAAAAAAAAAAGAAAAGAAATATGGTATTCTACTCAGTCATTTAAGAAGAAGGAATTTCTCACATAATATTTTGTCATGGACAAGTAGTAAAGGATGTGTTCTGCTATTCTTTTATCTCTTATATTTGTGTTCCAAAATAGACTGGATATGGTTTTATAAATAGACAAATGCTGAAAGCAGGGGTGTATAGAGAAGTGATTGGAAGGAAATAGGTATAGGAATGAAAAAAAAAATAATTGGCTTGATCATTCTAAATAATGGTTATAAATCTAAAAATGAAAATATTTTGCAAAATGTAGATCAGAGGATAGCCATCCTTCAACAAATTATGAGCCGTTAAAGGTTTCAAAACTTCAAGCTTTCAGGTATTATATTATGGCAATGTAGATGCCAAAAAAAGAACAAGATACAACCATAAGCTATAACTTTATTAATAGATATCTGACTTATGAAATTTATAAAATGGATGTGTTCCATAAGACGCATGTGTTCCATGTTTATCCATGATGGTTGATGGGCAGTTGTATTCACAGGACATAGCCCATTTCAGCTATATCTTAAAAACAAGGAAAATGTGGAATGACTATCTGGATTTGCTGTACTTAAATACTTAGAAAAAATCTAATAAAGTTGTTTTCCACTATTTCCTGATTCTTCTCAACATTCTTTGTAAAATATGTGTGTGTGTGTGTGTGTGTGTGTGTGTGTGTGTGTAAAGTTTCCATTAGATGCAAATAACAAATGATGGTGACTGCTTTTCCTTGTATACTGAGAATAAAGAACTAGCTCCCTGTAGGAATTTTTCCTCTGAGTTGTGTTTTGTGTTAGGCTCTTGATTTACATGGAGGAGGGATGCTTTGAGAAAGAGTCTTAAAAAAAATTAGCTGCTGCATTTACTGTTAACAGTGTTTTAAAGAACTTGATCTAATTTACATTTGTTTTTTATATTAAGACTAGGTCATATATTTTGCTTGCTCTTCTTTGTATTATGATTTATAATTTATTATTTTTGCATCTATTTGATGATATGCTTTGATAATGATATGTTTTCTGGATTTTAGCATAATTCTAGATTTAAAAGAAATCAAACGGTAGAGTAAGGAGCTCCAGAAAATCCAGTCTTCCATAAAAGCAACAACAACACTGTCAGAAGATCACAGCTCACTGTAGTCTCGATCTCCTAGGCCTAAGCGATCCTCCCACCTCCACCTCCCAAGTAGCTAGGACCACAAGCATGCACCACCTCGCCTGGCTAACTTTTGTAGAGATGGGGTCTCCCCATGTTGCCCAGGCTGGTCTCAAACTTCTGGGCTCAAGCAGTCCTCCTGCCTCAGCCTCTGAAAGTGTTGGGATTACAGGATATGAGCAACTGTGTCTGACCCAGAATCAACTTTTTTGGAACTCTGGTAACTAACCAAAAGCTTGTAGCAATCAGGGGAACATTTAATCAAGAAAATACACTGAATCTCAGTAAGAACAGTGAGCTTTGTGGCATTTGGCTACCCTTGTCCCATCTGCTTCTCAGCTCAGTGATAGCCTTGAAAATAACAGACTCCATTCCTGGTACTGATATAGGGAGCAGGATAGACCTAATTCAGAAAGAATTGTAATTAACTTGTTTTCATCTGTCTGGTGGCTTGCTAGAAGACTGTTTAAAAAAAAAGAGGTCTGCCTTTATGTCACCTAACTTGGAACTCTTCATGGAAAAGTATCTACCTTGGGGGTGTTTGTTAAAAGTATTTACAGACATATGTTTTAGCTACTGTTGCCCGAGGCAAAGGAAAACAGTTGGAGTAAACCAAAACTAACCAGAAAGGTTGGGAATGAGATGCTTTGGGGAATGAGGGCTTTGAAATTCTCTGACATATTCTTGGTAATCTAGAAGGGTACGTGCATTCCCAGAGCTTTGTGCATGCTCAGGAAAGACCCGCGAAGACCCAGAGCTCTCTCTTCTGGCTCACTTTAAGTCTCCGCACAAGCAGGAAGTGAAGACTAAGGTGGAGTTATAAACTGCCTGGCTGAATACTAAAGGCATGTCCCAACACGCAGAGCCCATCTGCAAAGACTGGCAGAATTTTTTGGTTGCAGAGGTTTAAGGAAATTTCTTTCTAATCACTAGCAGACTACTAACTAATGGAACAGAGACTTCACTGGCCACACATAACAAAGAAACAGACTTTACAAAATTAGTTCAGATAAGTCATTAAATGAGGAAACAACTACAATAAACAGCAACAACAAACCCCTAGAAGGTGGAAACATCTGATTTATAGCGTCGTCACATTGTAATATTCAAAATGTCCAGTTTTCTACAAAAAATTATGAAACATACAAAGAAACAAAGTAAGGCTCTTATACAGAGGAAACGAACAGAAACTTCCCCCAGGGAAGCACAGGCAAAGACTTTAAGTAAGCTGTCTTTATTATGCTCAAATTGCTAAAGGAAACCAGAAGAATGATACATCATCAAATAGAGAATATCAATATAGAAATTATAGAAAGGAACTAAACAGAGTTTATAGCTGAAAAGTACAGTAACTGAATGGTTCACTAAAGGGCTTAGATAGCAGAATTGAGTAGACAGAAGAAAGAATCAGTGAAGTCGAAGATAAATTAATTGGAATATCCAGTTTGAAGAGCAGACCCTTAGAGACCTGTGAGACACCCTCAAGTGCACCAACATGCACAGCAGACACAGTGTAATGAGAGTAACATATGGAAAGGCGGGAGGGCTGGAAAGAATATTTGCTCTGGTCTGAATGTTTGTGTCTTTTTATATGATGAGGTCTTTTAAATTTATATGCTGAAATCCTAACCCCCAAGGTATTGGGAGGTAGGGACTTGGATGGTGACTGGGTCATGGGAGTAGAGCCCTCATGAATGGGATTACCACTCTTAGAGTAATAAGAAGATCACTTGCCCTACTACCACGTGAGAACACAGTGAGAAGGCACTGTCTGAACCAGAAAATGGTCCTTCACCAGATACCAAATCTGCCGGTTCCTTGATCTTGGACTTCCCAACCTCCAGAACTGTGAGAAATAAATTTCCGATGTTTATAAGCTACCCAGTTTATGGTGTTTTGTTATAGCAGCCTGAACAGACTAAAACAATATTTAAATAAATAATGCTCAGAAACTTCTCAAATTTGAGGAAAAACATTAACCACATTTAAGAAGCTCAAGAAACTCCAAGTAGGATAAACTACACCAAGACACACGATAATCAAACTGTCAAAAGGTAAAGAGAGAATGTTGAAAGCATCAAGAGAAGTAACTCATCACATGCAAGGATCCTTGCTAAGATTAATAGCTGATTTCTCATCAGAGACCCCATAGTCTTCTAGACGGTAGTGGATTGGCATATTCAGAGTTCTGAAAGGAAAAAAAAAAAAGCCATCAACCAGGAATTATATACTCAGCAAAACTGTCTTTAGAGATGAAGGAGAAATACTTTCCTAGATAAACAAAAACTAAGTCATTGCTGGCAGACCTGCTCCATAAGGAATGCTAAAGGGAGTCTTCTCTATTAATTATTTATTTTTCCCACACTCTGTTACTGTCTGTGTCTAGTTGCAGTAGTTTCAATACATTTCAGAAATGTGACAGCTATTTTTCTGGTGGGAAACTTTTAGTTCTTTTATTCTTTGTTAATATGCTAAAAACGAAGTAGGCTTTTGCATTTATCTGAAAAGAGGGACAAACTTGGACATAAAACTTTTTCATGTATATAAATTAGAGGTTCTTTATAAATTTACAAAGGAAATTGTGTGACTACAAGTTTAATTTGAAATGTGTGTCATATGTTAATTTCTTGCAGGAGAAGGAAGCCAACATCCTTTTGGAGCCATGAATATTGTCCGAACTCCATCTGTTGCTCAGATTGGAATTTCAGTGGAATTATTAGACAGTATGGCTCAGCAGACTCCTGTAGGTAATGCTGCTGTATCCTCAGTTGACTCATTCACTCAGGTAATGCAACATACATTTCATTCTTTACCTCCCCCTCCACTGCTTTATTAAGGTATAATATACAAGTTAAAATCGTAACTTAGGGTATACAATGTGATGTTTTTGATACATGTTTACATTTTGTTTTGTTTTATTTTGTTTTTGAGAGATGGAGTCTTGCTCTGTTGCCCAGGCTGGAGTGCAGTGGCGCAATCTCGGCTGACTGCAATTTCCGCCTCCCGGGTTCAAGCGATTCTCCTGCCTCAGTCTCCTGAGTAGCTGGGACTACAGGCACATGTCACCACACCCGGCTAAGTTTTGTATTTTTTTTTTAGTAGAGACAGGGTATTGCCATGTTGGCCAGGCTGGTCTCGAACTCCAGACCTCAGGTGATCTTCCTGCCTCGGCCTCCCAAAGTGCTGGGATTACAGGTGTGAGCCACCACACCCAGCCTATATTTTGACATAAAATCAAGCTACTTAACATATCAGTCACCTCACACAGTCATCATTTTTTTGTAGAGAACAGTTAAGATCTGATCTCTTAGCAAATTACAAGTATACATTATTAGTAACTGTATTCTCCATGCTGTACAATAGATTTTCAGAATTTATTCATTCCATTGAACTGAAACTTTGTGCCCTTTGACCAACATGTCCTCATTTTCCCTTCCCCTCCACTCTTCAACCCCTGGCAACCATCATTCTACTGTCTGCTTCTGTAAGTTCAACTTTTAGATTCCACATATAAGTGAGATCAATCATGCTATTTGTCTTTCTGTTCCTGACTTCTTAGCCTATTATCAAGAGGAAAAATTGATGATGTAGGAGAGCAAGGAGAACTGCTAAAGCAGTGTCCTTGAGTAGAAAATAGCAGCATATATGGAGGTGTTCACTTTAGACAGGATAATGGATATATGGGTACAGATTCAGGAGGCTGGTAGATGTGGTGATGAGAACTTGTGCAGGCTGTCTCCTGATTTCTTCTTGCTTAGTGAAATAGAAAGGACGATCATCAGCTAAGATCGAGGTAGTAGAAATTGAAATAAAAAAAGACTACTAAATAAGTCTTCTAGCAGAGGAGGAGTGAATGGATTAGGGAAACCATATGTGTTTGCCTGGCAGTACCAGAGGCGCACTTTTGAAGGTTGTGGTCATGAATGTAAAGGTAGATTTGTCACATCTTTGAAAATGGACTGAATTGAGAATGACAGACTCTGGGTCTCAAAAATGTTTTTTTTCCCATAATTTTACAAATAAGCTGCTGTGCTGAAAACAAACTATAAAATAATCGTAGTATCCTGTGTAGACAATATTTTAAAAGTGTCTGGAAAATACACATTAAAATGTTATCCCTGGAGAAGGGTAAGAAGACTTTTTTACTGTACATGTTTATAAATTATTTGAGTTTTTAAAATAAAACTATAGTTTTAATTAAATGTATTACGAAATATTTTAAATACAGAGAAAATAGAGTAACTTATATTTTCCACAAATAGTTATTATGTAACTACTCTGTACCAGGCATGTCTTTTTTTCTTTTTCTTTTCTCTTTGAGACGGAGTCTCACTCTGTCGCCCAGGCTGGAGTGCAGTGGCGCGATCTCGGCTCACTGCAAGCTCCGCCTCCTGGGTTCACGCCATTCTCCTGCCTCAGCCTCCCAAGTAGCTGGGACTACACGTGCCCGCCACCAGGCCCAGCTAATTTTTTTTGTATTTTTTCGTAGAGATGGGGTTTCGCCGTGTTAGCCACGATGGTCTCGATCTCCTGACCTCGTTATCCGCCTGCCTTGGCCTCCCAAAGTGCTGGGATTTCAGGCGTGAGCCACCGCGCCCAGCCTGTACCAGGCATTTCTAAGCACTCATAGATACAAATAGGTCCACAAAATAGAATAACACCTGTCTTTACAGAGCTCTCTTTATGGTGGGGTATACATTAAGACTTCCATTGTCTTCCCCCTGGATTTAACTGTTATATTTTGTCTTATTTGCCACTAATTTTTAAAAAAGAAATTAAGGCATTATAGATATAGCCCACTGCTGCCTGCTTCTCTTCCTGCCTTTTACCTTCTAACTTTTTATATCTTTCCTATTCATATTTTAGTACTTAAAAAAATTCCTGTGTATCCACAAAATATGTATAGTACTATCTGTATCTGTTTAAACATGTTTCTAATTTAATTACTTAGTTACTCCAAATTTTTATGAGTATTACATGTATTTGGTTTAAATAGTCAAATAGTTTTTTTTTATTATACTTTAAGTTCTAGGGTACATGTGCAAAACGTGCAGGTTTGTTACATATGTATATATGTGCCATGTTGGTGTGCTGCACCTATTAACTCGTCATTTACATTAGGTATTTCTCCTAATGCTATCCTTCCCCCTGCCCCCCACCCCAAGACAGACCCGCCCGCCGTGTGTGATGTTCCCTGCCCTGTATCCAGGTGTTCTCATTGTTCAATTCCCACCTATGAGTGAGGACATGCGGTGTTTGGTTTTCTGTCCTTGTGATAGTTTGCTCAGAATGATGGTTTCCAGCTTCATCCATGTCCCTGCAAAGGACTTGAACTCACCCTTTTTTATAGCTGCATAGTATTCCATGGTGTATATGTGCCACATTTTCTTAATCCAGTCTATCATTGGTGGACATTTGGGTTGGTTCCAAGTTTTTGCTATTGTGAATAGTGCCGCAGTAAACATATGTGTGCATGTGTCTTTATAGCAGCATGATTTGTAATCCTTTGGGTATATACCCAGTAATGGGATCACTGGGTCAAATGGTATTTCTTAGTTCTAGATCCTTGAGGAATTGCCACACTGTCTTCCACAATGGTTGAACTAGTTTATACGCCAACCAACAGTGTAAAAGCGTTCCTATTTCTCCACATCCTCTCCAGCATCTGTTGTTTCCTGACTTTTTAATGATCGCCATTCTAACTGTTGTGAAATGGTATCTCACTGTGGTTTTGATTTGCATTTCTCTGATGACCAGTGATGATGAGCATTTTTTCATGTATCTGTTGGCTGCATAAATGTCTTCTTTTGAGAAGTGTCTGTTCATATCCTTTGCCCTCTTTTTGATGGGGTTGTTTTTTTCTTGCAAATTTGTTTAAGTTCTTTGTAGATTCTGGATATTAGTCAAATAGTTTTTTTGAGATGGAGTCTCACTCTGTTGCCCAGGCTGGAGTGCAATGGCGTGATCTCGGCTCCTGCAACCTCTGCCTCTCAGGTTCAAGCAATTCTCCTGTCTCAGCCTCCCAAGTAGCTGGGATTACAGGCGCGTGCCACCAGGCCTGGCTAATTTTTGTATTTTTAGTAAAGATGGGGTTTCACCATGTTGGTCAGGCTGGTCTTGAACTCCTGACCTCGTGATCCACCCACTTTGGCCTCCCAAAGTGTTGGGATTACAGGCGTGAGCCATCACGCCCAGCCTCAAATAGTGTAATATGTGAAACAGCTGTCCTCTGTTATGACTCTTACATTCTACTTCTATTCTGCTCCTTAGAAGCTATGATTTTCAACTTCCCTCCCCTTTTTAATCTATTTTTCCTAGTGTCTGTTATTTCCATATATCAGAAAAAACCTTGCTTAAAATCTGTTAGTTTTTCTGTTATAGATGTTTTCTATTTATTTGCTAATATAAGACATGATGAAACTCTCTCACTTCCCTGCTTCCCAACATGTACATACTTCTTTTCTCCCCACCTTATCAGTATACATTTTTGTTAAATCAGTATTAAAAGTTTACAGTATTATGAGAAGGTAAATATTTTTCAGAATTGAGCTATGTGTGGTACAACGATTACATTTCTTTTCTTGTATAATTTTTCATTTTTCCTCATTTTTTTCCTTTGCATAGATTTCTATGTTTCTACTTCTAATTTATGCTCAAACTCTACTAAGTGTAAATTCTCATTCAGTTTATTTAAACATATCAGTTTCAAATTGGTCTCGGAAACATTCCACTTGGAATTCTCCTTTTTTTTTTTTTTCTTTTTTTTTGAGACAAGGTCTTGCTCTGTCGCCTAGGCTGGAACGCAGTGGTGCAATCACAGCTCACTGCAGCCTCAAACTCCTGGGCTCCCACTAGTAGCTGGTAGCTGGGACTACAGGCAAGCATCACCAAACCCACCTAACTTTTTAATTTTTTGTAGAGATGGGGCCTCATTATGTTGCCCAGACTGTCCTTTCTTTTTTGTTCTACTGTTGACTGACTATTCTCTGGACCTATTGTATAGCCATAGACAAGGTATTATTTCACCATTACTACAGAAATTCTTTTTGTTTCTCTTCTGTGTTGAATCCTTTGTTTTTCCTTCTTGTTGATTTGTTCTTTTGTGTGTTTTAAAAATGAATATAAATAGTATTATTCTGTATAACTTGCTGTTGTTCACTCAACATTATTTTAAAGATTTATCGATGTTGATACATGGAATATACTTTGTTTTGATTGCTTCATAGTGTGCCATTGTATAAATGAGCCAGTTTTTTTCATTTCCTTTTTCATATGTTCTCACTAACATTTATCAGACCTTTAAAATTTTGCCAAACTGATGAGTGAAATTAGAATATCATACTTAGTTTGTGTTTCTTGATTACTGGTGATATTGAGCATCTTTGCACACTTTTGGCTGTGTTTGTATTTCCTTTTATAGGAATTGACTTTATATATTTTGTCCAATTTTCTGTTGTATTGCTTTTGGCACTTTTTAAATTTAGTCTTTTGGGAAAAAAACCTAAGATGCCTTTATGTGTTCTGGATAATAATCCTTTGTAAATACATTGCATTTTTCTCCTTCTAGCATGGTGCTTGTCTTTTAACATTGCTTATAGTGACTTTTACATACAGATATACTATATTTGTATATAGATAAATGTATTGTTTCTTTTATGATTTGTGGATTTGTGGGTTTTTTAATGTTTGAGAAATCCTTCTCTGTCCTGATATGTAAAGATATAAAGATGTTCGTGTGTGTGTGTGTGTGTGTGTGTGTGTGTGTGTGTGTGTGTGTAGACTGGGGGTCTCGCTATGTTGCCCAGGCTGGTCTCAAACTCCTGGCCTCAAGCAGAGCCTAAGATGTTGTCTTTCAGTTCTTAAAGCCTTAAGGTTTACTTTTTGAATATGTTTGTGTGCAGTATGGTAAGGGAATTAAATTCATTTTTCCCCTTATGGAAAACTAGTCCTAGCCCCATGAATTGAGTAATTTGTCCCATTTTTTTTTTTTTACCATGAGTAATAGCATCTTTGTCATATATGCTTAGGTTTATTTCTGGGCTGTCTCTTTTATTCCAATTAGTTTATTTGCCTGTCTCTTTGCCAGTGGGGCAAGTTCCTCCTCACAGTCATCAAAATATGTATAGGTATTCTTCATAATAATTGTGTAGGTATTCTTCATAATAATTATATCAGCTTGTTGAGTTTCATTAAATAGTATTAGCTTGTCAAGTTTCATGAAGAACCTTGTTGGAATTTTGTTGGTAATAACATTGGATATATGGGTTTAATTTGGGGAGAATTGGCCACCTTTACCACATTGTCTTTCCATATGTGACATGTTATGTCTTTCCATTGAACATGGTATATCTTTCCATTGAAAATGGTATATATAGGTCCTTTTGTTTTCTTTTCTGTCTCTTAGTAGTCTTTATAATATTTTCCACAAAAATCTTACTAGTTTGTCTTAGCATTTTTTCTAGGTATTGGAGAAAATGCTTTGTTTATATTCTGAATGGAATCCTTTTAAAGATTTCAGTTACACTTAAAAATTATTGTCACTGGTGTGGAGGACTGCTGTTGATTTTTTTTTTTTTTCCTAATATTGATCTTTTAGTTGTGACTTTAGTCTGGGTACAGTGGCACATGCCTGTAACTCTAGCACTTTGGGAGGCTGAGGTGAGAGGATTGCTTGAGCCTAGAATTTTGAGACCAGCCTGGGTAACATAGTGAGACCCTGTCTTTATAAAAAGATAAAAAATTACCCAGGCATGGTGGTGCATGCTTATAATCTCAGCTACTTGGGAGGCTGAGGCAGGAGGATCACTTGAGCCTGGGAGATCAAGGCTACAGTGAGCCATGATTGTGCCACTGCATTCCAGCCTGGGTGAAAGAGTGGGACCCTGTCTCAAAAACAAACGAAGAAACTGTTAGTGACTTTACTGAACTTTTGATATTAATCAGGTGCCTTCGCAGCAGAGTCTCTTGGATTATACTGCCTTCATATTATTCAACAACTGAATAAAAAAACCTAATAAGACCAATTCTCTTGTGTAGAGAAGAGAAGGCATGGCTGATTTTGTATATTTGAGAAAGTGATGCTGGAAAGGTTATTTTTGAGTGAGTAGAAGGTAGTATTATCTTCAGAAGTTCAGTTACTTTTAGGGTTAGTACTTAAGCCCATTTGATTCTCAGGAAATGTGAGTCCATTTACTTCTAGCTTCTACCAAGGAGACTTGGAGTATGTTAGTGAATTTGATCATTTTAGAGTCAAGGAAGGGAAACAGATTAGGAAACAGAGGAAATGGAATAGTGCTGCCTTTATCTTCTTTCCAGCAATGGAAATAACCAGTTGCTCCTTTATAATATGTAAACTCTTATCTTTCTGGCAGGTAAAAGACTTCTTAGAGATGGTTACTATTTTATATGAGAAAATAGGTTGATTTGAGGAGAGTGATAATTGAGGAGGGACATAGTGGATGCAGACATGGAGATGAAAGAAAATATTTTGAAGAAAAATTTTTTTCTTTTTTTTTCCCCAAAGTGAGTAGCATATTTCACAGTGTCATTGTATGTATGATTACTCTTAACATTCTTTTTTATTCATTTATTTAATTTTATTTTTTTGACACAGGGCCTCACTATGTTGCACAGGCTGGTCTTGAATGCCTGGCCTCAAGTGATTCTCCTGCCTCAGCCTCCCAAAGTTTTGGGATTACAGGCATGAGCCACCGCACCCAGCCAGCTTTCAGCATTAGACTCTCTTAGAACTGACACTCCCTATAAACAAGTTAATGTGAGAACACTTTTAATTTAAAAATATTGAGTTCTAAATGAAGTATTCAGTATAATCCATTAATCTATTATTAACTTTTCAGTTCACACAAAAGATGTTGGACAATTTCTACAATTTTGCTTCATCATTTGCTGTCTCTCAGGCCCAGATGACACCAAGCCCATCTGAAATGTTCATTCCGGCAAATGTGGTTCTGAAATGGTATGAGGCATTTTCTGTCTCCAATATTAAGGCTTTTTATAACTGAATATCTATTTTGTCTATGAATATATTCCTTTTTTGACATTTAAACATATTCTTTTATTGTGAACATCAGCACTGCATGCCATTAAAGTATGTACTATAGAGATCTGATGAGAAACAGTTCTTACCCTAAATATTTTGTTATATTGTCGCCATTATGAATTTATAAAGACAGGAAAATATAGTTGCCTATGTTTTAGGGACCACTATTAAAGCTTATAAATATTTGTGTATTTTCATTTAGAAGTACCATCTATGAGAGTAGTTTATACTGCACTGTGTACATGAATGGCTAATGAATCTATTTTCCAACTTTCCCGTGTTTTATAGATATTTCTTTTCACTTTGAGTATCCTAGAGATGGGAGGATGCCTAGGAAGAGTTTGTTGAGAAGTGGTACCATGGTGTAGCATGGAGAGCATTGGAATGCACTAGGTTTGAATTTTGGCATAATGTAGCTATGTGACCCTGAGCAAATTTCTCTCATCTGCTCATCTGTGGAATGAGGAAATAGGAGTTGAATTTGATTTTTTTCCTTAGGTCCCTTCTAGGTCTTAAATTTGCAGAAGATAAACAATTACTAAAATTTCTTATGATTTGTGCTCTCTGATAAAAGCTAATCAAAACTGCCCCGATATTTAAATTCCTATGCTTGCTGTCTTTTTATAAGAATAATTACATTTCCAGATTATCTTTTTAGATTTTTTATAGCTTTTTAGAAATGACATGTAAAATTGTTTTGGATAAGTCATTTGGCAGTTAATGAAAGATCCTATTTTAATTTTCTTGTGAATGTAAATATATGTGTTTTCTTTTCTAGGTATGAAAACTTTCAAAGACGACTAGCACAGAACCCTCTCTTTTGGAAAACATAATTTGAATAAAATAATTTTTAATGGATTCTGAAATTTGTCATGTTTTGAAGATAACTGACTCCATCTAAAAGTATGAGGTCAAAGGATCACGAAACCTAAGTTTAAAAACTGCTTAGAGACTGAAGCTTAATTAAAAATCTTTATTAAAAATTAAAAACATTGAAAAATGAAAATATGTTCATCATTAAAGACTTTTTTCCCCTTAAGCTTAAAATACCATTCAAAGGCAAGACATTTTGTTTTGGCTATGATTCATTTTTTTTACTTAAAAATAAAACCTATACCAAACAGTAGTGTGCCAAGTACCATTGCATGTGTAATCATTCATTTATTGAAATGAAACAATGGTTTGCTGGAGTAGTTAACTTTTCAATTACCTATTTCAAAATTTGGGAGACTTGAAAAACATATGAAGTATACATTTTTAAATATGGAGAAATTATTTTCAGAGATTATTTCTTAAGATTGTCAGTTTTTCCAATTAATACAGGTTGGCTGTCACTTTTTATATCTGCAGATTCATATAAGTTTAATAAAATTGCCATATTGGTGAGCTTTTATTTAATACTGGTAGGCATTTATGTGTAGAATATAGGATTCTTCTTGTTAATGGATGGTTAGTAGTTCATTTTTTGTTGATTATAACAATACCCAAAACTGGGTAATTTATTGACTTAAATGTTTTTTTTTTTTTTAAGACGAAGTTTTGCTTTGTTGTCCCGGCTTTAGTGCAGTGGCGTGATCACAGCTTATTCCAGCCATGACCTCTTGGGCTCAAGTGCTCATCCTGCCCCAAGCTTTCCATGTAGCTGGGACTGCAGACGTGCACCCCCATACCCAGCTAATTTTTTTGATGTTTTTGCAGAGACACAGTCTTACTGTGTTGCCCAGACTAGGCTTGAACTCCTGGGCTCAAGCAATCCTACTTCAGCCTCCCAAAGTGCTGGGTTGGTAATTGATAAAGAAAAGGATTTTTTTTTTTTTCCTACAATGATGGAGACTGAGAATTCCAAGGCCAAGGGGCTGCAGCTGGTGAGAGGCTTCTTGCTGGTGGGGAGACTCTGAAGAGTCCTTAGGCAGTGCAGCGTATCACACAGTGAGGGGGCTGAGCATGCTTTTGTGCCAGCTGAGGTCACTCTTCCTCTTCTTATAAAGCCACCAGTTCCCCTCCTGTGATAACTTAACCTATGGGCAGAGCCCTCATGATCCAATCACCTCTTAAAGGCCGCACCTCTCAGTACTGCCACATTGGGATTAAAATTTCAACGTAATTTTGGAAGGGACAAATATTCAAACCATAGCAATTGTTGAATCATGAGACTTGGCAATGGCTACACAACAGTCTTTAATACTCTGCACAGAAAACATCAGCTAATTGCAATACAATTTCCAGAAGCAAAATGATTATTCATGTACTACAACTTGTATCTAGGACCTAGATTGCCAAACCCAAGCTGAAAAAACATCCTGAAGTTCAGTTGTGCCTCTTCTACAGTCAGGTAGCCTCTTCCCAGTGATTTTTGTAGTGATACAACAGGAAATACTAAGTAAACACAAACTATTCCTTGGTCTGCTAAGAAATCAAAAGAATATATGATTATTCATGATAATCTTGGGTTGTAGTGAATTTAAACTAGTTTCTTGGGCTTCCAGAGCAGATGATGGGAGTGAAATTTTGGGCCACATTTTCTAGTATTATTCTTACTTCTAGAATAGTATCTTGCACAGTATGCATAAGGAGTCATCACTTCTGGGAGCTTTCCTGAGTAGCCTATACCTGCCTTATTTTGGAAGTTTCTGGTTATTCTCGGAGACACGTGATATGCTGGAAAGAAAAGGGCTTTAAATATCTGAACATCTAACAATTATTCTATATATGCAAGGTAGGTTTGTGTACAGGAGGCAGGTAAAAACCTGGTGTTGACATAAATAATGCCGGCTGGGTTACAGAAGATAGTAGAAATATAAATATTTATCACAACAGGAGTGAGCCAAGAATTGTTTCCTTGAGGTGGGCATATTCTTAGAGGAGTTAAATAGTTCCTACAGAGAAGTCTGAAAAATCTGGAGAAAACTGACTAGTGCAGTGAGGATAGCTCCAACATTTGTCCCCTGCCTTGGTGAGCTTGATTCTGTCTGCTGACAGTGCTGTAATGATTGTAGCAGAAGTATATTTGTTTAATTAAGGTAGAGATCCAGTTTTTACAAGAATGAAGAGTGAGGTTAATGATATGAAGAAAATTCAAATACCAAAAGGGACCTGTGGGAATTAACTGGCCTCCTCAAGAATTTAAAGGAAATATATATATATATATATTTTATGGTGGAATTTGAAAGATTCAGGGAGTAGCTATAGTTTGAGAAAACTGCTCAAAATTCTTAAGGTGGCCAAAAAACACCATAAAGAATTAAGTATAAAATGATAAATGTGAGAGAATACTGAGAAACCTTTAGGCAATCTCTAGGGAGTACCAAACTGTAATAAGCAGAAGAGGGAAAGTAGCAAAGGTATCAGAAAATTAATCTTCCTTGTTGCCTTGTAGCCTTCCTTGTTGCCATGCTGTCTACTTTGTATTGTCATTTGTTTGATTTGAAGGTCTTGATTAGTAGTCTTCCACCAAAGATGTTGGCTTCTGGAGGATTCCTAAGAATCATTGGTTTAAGGTCTCCTGATGGAGTGGTTGTTTAGCTGTCTGGAGAAGGTACTTGTCATTTAGTTGGGAAACATAAACCCAGTGATCATCATCTTGGAGTTTACTGCCATGCTAGTTGTTACAGTATCTGCTGAGCTAATTTTTCACTGAGGCCAGTTTTTCCCTGATGTCTCTTCCAGAAGACTAAGTTTGCTGATAGTTGAGGATGTTGCAGACAATGATGTTTTTCTAGATTAGAGAAGAGTGGAATCCACTATTGAGGAACAATACAATTTATAAAATGATTATGAGAGTACAACATATTATGGACAATATTCAGTGATAATTCTCTTGGTCTGTAATCTCGTAAAGTATATCTTTTTGCAGACAGTTATTGTGTTAGTCTTTACATGAACATGAGCATGTTTCTTTTTACCTGAAATGAAACACTGAAACATTTTTATTCACAAATTTTACCTGGCATAATTAACAGGAGAAGGCTAATCTCTTGATTTGTTAAGTTTTCTTTTTTTCTTTTAAGTTTGATTTTTTTTAAAAAAAAAGTCTTAAAATGATTGGGGATTAATTAAAATTTGTAGAGTGCCAAACAAACCTAATTTTTCCTATTGTCTTTTCTTCCATAATGTGAAGGAAACCTGAAGAGTTCAGGCATAAAAGACATCTTCATAGTCTTACTGTGCCTGAATTTGGGAAAGGCCAAAATTATAAAGAGTTGTCAGAGGAGAGAAGATATGAATATTAGTCAAAAATATATAAAGGTGGCTGGGCATGGTGGCTCACGCCTGTAATCCCAGGACGTTGGGAGGCCGAGGTGGGTGGATCACTTGAGGCTAGGAGTTCAAGACCAGCCTGGCCAATATGGTGAAAGCCCATCTTTACTAAAAACACAAACATTAGCCGGGCATGGTTGTGCATGCTTGTAATCCCAGCTACTCCAGAAGCTGAGGCAGGAGAATCACTTGAACCCAGGAGGTGGAGGCTGCAGTGAGCCGAGATGGTGCTACTGCACTCCAGTCTGGGTAACAGAATGAGACTCAGTCTCAAAAAAAAAAATTTTTTTTAAATTAAAGAATTTAATTTTTAAAAGATTTATTGAGATATAATTCATATTCCACACAGTTAACCCATTTACAGTTAACCCATTTAAAGAGCCAGGTGCAGTGGTGCACAGCTGTAATCTCAGCTACTCTGGAGCCTGAAGTGAGAGAATTGTTTGAGCCCAGGAATTCAAGACCAGCCTGGGCAACAGCAGAGACCTTGTCTCAATTGAATGAATGAATGCTTTTTAGTTTAGTCTCAGATTTGTGCAAATGTCATCACAATCTAATTTTTATTCCTCCAAAAGGAGCCTCATATCCATTAGTAGTTAATCCCCATCTCCCAGCTTCTAGTATCCCTAAGCCACCACTAATCTTTTTGTGTCTGGATTTGCCTTTTCTGGATATTTTATATAAATGGAATCAGAGAGAGTGGTCTTTTGTGACTAGCTTCCTTCACTTAGCATAATGTTTTCAAGATTATTCCATGTTGTAGCATGTATCTGTACTTCATTTCTTTTTATCTTTTTTCTTTTCAATTTTTTGAGACAGGATCTCCCTCTGTTGCCTAGACTGGAGTGCAGTGGT
Organism: Homo sapiens; assembly: GCF_000001405.40. Lineage (NCBI taxonomy): Eukaryota > Metazoa > Chordata > Mammalia > Primates > Hominidae > Homo > Homo sapiens. The sequence goes on from NC_000011.10 coordinate 86,349,918, forward strand.
GCGATCACGGTTCACTACAGCCTCGACCTCCCAGCCTCAAGTGATACTCTCACTTCAGCTTCCCGAGTAGCTGGGACTAGAAGTGCGCACCACCATGCCCAGCTAATTTTTTTTTTTTTGGTATTTTTTGTAGAGATCTAGTCTCACTCTGTTGTCCAGGCTGGTCTTGAACTCCTGTGCTCAAGGGATCCACACACCTCAGCCCCCTGAAGTGCTGGGATTATAGGCATGAGCCACTGTGCCTGGCTAGGAGTTTATTATAGATACAAGTCTCTTAAAAATAGGATTTGCAAATATTTTCTTCTGTGAGTTATCTTTTCACTTTCTTGTTGATATCATTTGCAGTACAAAAGTTTTTAATTTTGATGTAATTCAGTTTATCTTTGTTTTTCTTTTCTTGTTTCTGTTCTTGGTGTTATATCTAAGAAACGATTGCCTAATTCAAGGTTGTGAAGACTGACTCCTGTGTTTTCTTCTAAGAGTTTTATAGTTTTATCTCTTTCATTTAGGTCTTTGATTCATCTTGAGTTAATTTTTGTGAATGGTAAATGAATATGCACATTCTTTTGCGTGTGAATATCCAGTTTTCCCAACATCATTTGTTGAACCGTTAGTCTACATTTGAACCATATCAAGTTAATTTTGGTGCACAAACATAAAAGATAAAAGAATATGTGACTAGGATTATTAGGTATTTTAGTTTTTCCAAATTAGTATTTTAGCTTTTTTAAAAAATGACTTAATATGTCAAAATGCTTAGTGATAGAATGTTACAGTGATAGAAGAAATCTTTGTTATCTCACCAGAGATAGCTTTGCTGTTTTATCAGAAAGAAAATCCAGATTATAGTTTTACTCTTGTTACTTGTCTTCTATTTAACAATATGTAGTAATGGCTTCATAAGCCTTTCTTCCTGTGAATACATCCATCACATTTAACCAGCTTCGTCAAAAATTTTGACACATTTATTGATCCTTTCCAACCCCTAACTTGTCAAATACAGTTTACTCCTCAGAACTTCTACACTCTCTGAATACTTTTTTTCTGAGATGAAATCTCACTCTGTCTCCCAGGCTGGAGTGCAGTGGTGTGATCTCAGCCCTCCTGAGTTCAAGTGATTCTCCGGCCTCAGCCTCCTGAGTAGCTAGGATTACAGGTGTCTGCCACCATGCCTGGCTAATTTTTGTATTTTTGGTAGAGATGGGGTTTCACCATGTTGGCCAGGCTGGTCTCGAACTCCTGACCTCAAGCGATCCACCCACCTCGGCCTCCCAAAGTGCTAGGGTTACAGATGTGAGCCACCGCGCCCGGCCTGAATACTCTTAAGTTTAAAAAATACTCTTCAAATGGTATTTCTAGTTCTAGATCCCTGAGGAATCGCCACACTGACTTCCACAATGGTTGAACTAGTTTACAGTCCCACCAACAGTGTAAAAGTGTTCCTATTTCTCCACATCCTCTCCAGCACCTGTTGTTTCCTGACTTTTAAATGATCTCCATTCTAACTGGTGTGAGATGGTATCTCATTGTGGTTTTGATTTGCATTTCTCTGATGGCCAGTGATGATGAGCATTTTTTCATGTGTTTTTTGGCTGCGTAAATGTCTTCTTTTGAGAAGTGTCTGTTCATATCCTTCACCCACTTTTTGATGGGGTTGTTTGTTTTTTTCTTGTAAATTTGTTTGAGTTCATTGTAAGGATTATAAATCATGCTGCTATAAAGACACATGCACACGTATGTTTATTGCAGCACTATTCACAATAGCAAAGACTTGGAACCAACCCATATGTCCAACAATGATAGACTGGATTAAGAAAATGTGGCACATATACACCATGGAATACTATGCAGCCATAAAAAATGATGAGTTCATGTCCTTTGTAGGGACGTGGATGAAGCTGGAAACCAGCATTCTCAGCAAACTATCACAAGGACAAAAAACCAAACACCGCATATTCTCACTCATAGGTGGGAATTGAAAAATGAGAACACATGGACACAGGAAGGGGAACATCACACACTGGGGCCTGTTGTGGGGTTGGGGGAGTGGGGAGGGATAGCATTAGGATATATACCTAATGCTAAATGATGAGTTACTAGGTGCAGCACACCAACATGGCACAGGTATACATATGTAACAAACCTGCACGTTGTGCACATGTACCCTAAAACTTAAAGTATAATAATAAAAAAATACTCTTCTAGGCTAGCATAACCAGACTCTCCTTAAGGTAAAATAATTCTTTTTTACTTAGATAAATAAAATTCATTACCTTGCATACACATCCCATTACCTATCCACATTTAAAAAATATCTTCAAAACAAGTATTCACATCAACATAAAGCCATCTATACATCCTTTTTAACCTGGTAGCTAACAGCTACACCAGTTATTAAAGCACATATGTCATAAAATTGTCCAGTTTTCCAAGGTTACTTACAAAAGAATATTCATATCCTTAAAGTTAACTAAGGATCTGGAAATCACAAATGAAGCTGACACAGGAAGTCCTTATGGTTGTAGCTTAAGAATTAACAAATTTAGAATCTTTTAAAAGACATTTGTTATAAGTCCATTTTGTTAAACACAACTTGAGCTTTTTGTAATAAATAATTTGTGGAAAAGAGATAACACTTAAAACCTATATAAAAATTTAAGTTTAAATATGGAATAAAAGTCATTTATATACATTTTCTGACTTAAACATTCATTAAAACAGTTTCATGACCTGCTATTTCTCCTTTTCCATTTAGAGCCTGTGGTGGACAGATATGTATGAGATAATATGAGACATCACTAAATTCAGCTTTTTTTGTGTGTGTTTAATGGATAAAAGAACTAACATTTCTAAGCAAGAACAGAAGTTTTCTTAGATCTCAATAGCATTAGCCAATTGGCTTTATTTTTCCAAAGAAACAAAATAAGAAAAAATTATGTGAGCATCTGTTTTTTCTTCAGTGATGCACAGAGAACCACAAAATTGCATTATAGTGTAGTGGATAAGGTTATGGCCTCTAGAGTCAGGTAGCTTGTGTTCAAAATTTGGCTATACCATTTACTTACTGTTTTGATCTTATCAAGTTACTTCGCCTCTCTGTGTCATAGTTTCTTCATCTGTAAAATGAATTGACCACAGTATATATCTTTGAAGTTTGTTATAAGGAATAAACTTACCTAAAACTTTTAGAATAATGCCTGATACATTCTTAGTGCTCAATAAGTATTGGAAATCAAATTGTTGAAGTATATCATATTTGATATCAGCCAGGGTCACTCACTGGCCAAGTAACCCACCACATACCAGCATCAAAGATCAATTAAAATTGTCATATTCCTTTGGGGCTGCTTTTGAATGATAAAATGTCTGATAACTATTTGTACACTAGGTATGTATTATATTTCTAAAAGCCTAAAGAGAACTGCATAAACAATAGGGTTGCATAGTATAACAAAGCATTTGTTTCTTGTTTGGAATTTTATTTTATTTTTTGAGATGGAGTCTCACTCTGTTGCCCAGGCTGGAGTGCAGTGGCGCGATCTTGGCTCACTGCGACCTCCACCTCCTGGGTTCAAGCAATTCTCATGCCTCAGCCTCCTGAGTAGCTGAGATTATAGGCATGAGTCACCACGCCCAGCTAATTTTTGTATTTTTAGTAGAAACGGGGTTTCACCATGTTGGCCAGGCTGGTCTCGAACTCCTGATCCCCCTGCCTCGGCCTCATCTTCTTTGGAATTTTATTTTCTTGTGGCTTGGGTACTTGGAGTTTGGGAAAAAATGAAAAAGACAGTGGAGACGAAAATCCTTCAAAAGCTGAGGGTCACTAGGGAGAAATTGAAAAGGAAGAATAGACAATCTGAATAGGACTATATCTACTAAAGAAATGGCATCAATAGCTAATCTTCCCAAACAGAAAGCATTAGGCCAAGATAGGTTTGCTGCTGAATTCCACCAAACATTTAAGGAAGAAATTTTTCCAATTCTCTACAATATCTTTCAGAAGTTAGGAGAGGGAGTCCTTCCTTCCTAACTCATTCTATGAAAAACTAGGACCTAAAAGTAGTCAAATTATGAGTAGATAAATTTTACTTTAAAAGTGAAAAATTACTATTTATTTATTTAGAGACAGAGTCTCGCTCTGTCGCCCAGGCTGGAGTGCAGTGGCATGATCTCGGCTCACTGCAAGCTCCACCTCCCGGGTTCACGCCATTCTCCTGCCTCAGCTTCCCCAGTAGCTGGGACTACAGGCGCCCGCCACCACGCCCGGCTAATTTTTTTGTATTTTTAGTAGAGACGGGGTTTCACCGCATTAGCCAGGATAGTCTCGATCTCCTGACCTCATGATCCGCCCGCCTTGGCCTCCCAAAGTGCTGGGATTACAAGCATGAGCCACTGCGCCCAGCCTGAAAAATTATTTTTAAATGAAAGAATATTTATGGTCAAAAATAAAAATGCAAGCCTGGCTGGTCACAGTGGCTCATACCTATAATCCCAACACTTCGGGAGGCAGAGGCAAGAGGATCATTTGAGCCCAGGAGTTCGAGACCAACGTGGTGAGACCCTGTCTCTACAAAAAATAAAATAATTAGCCAGGCATGATGGCATGTGCCTCTGGTCCTAGCTACCTGGGAGGCTGAGATAGGAGGATTGCCTGAGCCCAGGAGGTTGAGGCTGCAGTGAGCCATATTCGCAACACTGTGCTCCAGCCTGAGTGCCAGAGCAAAAACCTGTCTAAAAAGCAACCCTGAACTACCATTTTATATTAAGCCTCCAAAATTTTTTTACCATCTCCTCAAGCATTTGTCATTTCTTTGTGTTAGGAACATTCCAATTTCACTCTTTCAGATATTTTAAAATATACAATAAATTGTTGACTGTAGTTACCCTGTTTTGCTATCAAATACAGATCTTATTCATTCTTTACCTGTTTTTTGTACTCGTTAACCATCCCCACCTTCTTTCTGCTCAGTTTTGCTGTGAACCTAAAACTGCTCTTAAAAATAGTCTGTTAAAAAAAAAAGAAAAGGAAAGAAGGACCTTCGTGGTGAAACAACTGGACCATTGGGCTTTTATCAGGTTTTTTCAGTCATGTAAAAGTAGCTTTGCATCCATTGACAGATGAATGAATAAACAAAATGTAGTATATACATACAATGAAATTATCATTCAGTCTTAAAAAGGAAGGAATTTCTGACACATGTACAACACATAAGATACACAAATAAAATTAAAATCACTTTACGAAGTAATTATGCTATTTTTTAATTGATGTTTTTCCTAGAGAACTTGGAAGGCCTTTGATTATTTTTATTGGCTTTTACATTTATTTCACAAAAATTCAAAAACCTTTTTAGCATTTGAATTGTGAAGTACAATTATGTGTACATTTAAAAGTAAAATAGCATTTTATAATTTTTAACTGCCATTAATTACTGTTTTATGCCTGTGCTTTTGTGAGTTTCTCAGTCACATTGTTACAGTAGGTGGCTAGTCAGGCATGAGCAGGTCAGGAGAGGGCGTCGCCTGACCAAGCATGTCAGGCAACCACGAGCTGATGGTCAAGGGGTTATTAACTGTCTCTCTGAAATAATAATTGGTCACAGCCAGCACCAGGGAAAGTCAGTCTCCCTATAGATAGAAAAAAACTGAAAATGGTGATCAGTAGCTTCCCAGTAGGATCTCAGGAGTTGGGCAAACGGGCTCAAGTATGTGCACTGAGAGGTGAAATGGCAGGGTTTAACTGGTATATGACCTTCTGGGGGCATTCCATCAGTAAAGGGAAGAAAGCCTCAGGTGAGCATGCATACAGCTCCAATATGCACACTGCGCATTCTCACCTCCCAAGTGCTGGCAGGCCACTGTGTATGCAGGCAACCCACCCCAAGGGAAGAATCAGGGGAGAGGGGATGCAAGACCCTGAACGTATGCCAGCATATAAAACCCCAAGTCAAAAGGTCCTTCCTTCAAGTTGCCCATTTGGCCCTCTGCCAAGTGTACTTTCCTTTCTTTTGTTCTTGCTCTAAAGCTTTGTAATAAGCTTCCACTCCTGCTCTAAAACTTGCCTTGGTTTCTCCTTCTACTTCATGCCCCTCAGTCAAATTCTTTCTTCTGAGGAGGCAAGAGCTGAGGTTGCTGCAGACCTGTATGGATTCGTCACTGTAACAAAATGGTTTGCTTATGTGATAATGATTATTCTCAATAATGACAAGCCCAAATGACAACTGACTATTTTGTCACAACTGATTATTTGTTTGTTTTTGAGATGGGGTCTTGCTCTGTTGTCCAGGCTGGAGTGCAGTCATGCAATCTCAGCTCACTGCAACTTCCGCCTCCCAGGTTCAAGGGATTCTCCTGCCTCAGCCTCCCAAGTAGCTGGGATTACAGGTGTGTGCTACCACGCCCAACTAATTTTTGTTGTATTAGTAGAGACAGGGTTTCAACATGTTGGCCAGGCTGGTCTCAAACTCCTGACCTTAAGTGATCCACTTGCCTCAGCCTCCCAAAGTGCTGGGATTACAGGCATGAGCCACTGTGCCTGGCCACAACTGATTATTTTGTTAGAGCCTGACCCAGAGAATCCATTACCAGTTTTAGTTCTGTAGGTTTTTTCTTTAATCTCCTCTTTTCAAGAACTTCATCAAATACCTAATTGAGCACTGAGGTTCAGTCCCAACAAATGTTTGATGCTGTCAGAGGCATGTGAACCACAGCAACTCCATCTTAAATAGGAACTAGGCAAAGTGGGGCTGCATTCCCAGATGGTTAAGGCATTCTTAGTCCCAGGATGAGATAGGAGGTCAGCACAAGATACAGGTCATAAAGACCTTGCTGATAAAATAGGTTGCACTAAAGAAGCTTGCTAAAACCCACCAAAACCAAGATGGCAATGAGAGTCACCTCTGGTTGTCCTCACTGCTGCAATCCCACCAGTACCATGACAATGTCATGCCATGGCAACATCAGGAAGTTACCATATATGGTCTAAAAATGGGAGGCATGGATAATCCACCCCTTGTTTAGCATATCATCAAGAAATAACCATAAAAATGGGCAACCAGCAGCCCTCAGGGCTGCTCTGTCTGTGGAGCAGAGATTCTTTTATTCCTTTACTTTCCTCATAAACTTGCTTTCACTTTATGGGCTCGCCTTGAATTCTTTCTTGTGGGAGATCCAAGAACCCTCTCTTGGGGTCTGGATCCAGACCCCTTTCCTGTAATAATACCCTTGTAAACCAAAAATAAAATTCTAAGCCACTCAGCTTACTGAATGGACTCCTTTTGGCCAAGGGGATCCCAAATAAAAAACTTGTTAAGGCCATGATGGGAAGTGGAGGTTGAGGCCAGACATGCTTTGTTATGCCCTCCTCCCTTTGGAGTTAAGGCACAACTGACCAGCATTAACATTAAAACAGAAATCATAAGATTGATAAAACAGACTGTTGTTAGTAATAAGATACCCAACTCCAGCCTGACTCTGGTATAACATCACATGACAGCGGCCCTAAAGGAAATCAAAGTATTTTATCCCAAAATATATTTCTTTGACGTATTTTGGAATGGCCCTGCAAAGCTGTCTCCTGTGGGGGAAATTTGCATTCTTTAGAGAATCCCCTTCTCTTTACAAGTCTTTTCCTAATCCAGGAGAGATTTAATACCTTTTAAGGTCTGACAGACATTTATTATCTATTCTCCCAGAAGCCTGTTACTTACAGGCTTCATCTACATAACAAGAACCTTGGCTTCCAGGTGGTGAGGTAGCTCGTGCTTGTAATCCCAGCACTTTGGGAGGCCAAAGCAGGTTGATCACGAGGTCAGGAGCTCAAGACCAGCCTGGCCAACATAGTGAAACCCTGTCTCTACTAAAAAATACAAAAATTAGCCAGGCATGGTGGTGTGTGCCTGTAGTTCCAGCTACTTGGGAGGCTGAGGCAGGAGAATCGCTTGAACCTGGGAGGCGGAGGTTACAGTGAGCCGAGATTGCACCACTGCATGCCAGCTTGGGCAACAGAGAGAGACTTTGTCTCAAAATAAATAAATAAATAAATAAATAAAATAAAAAGAACCTTGGCTTCCACAACCCCCCTTATCTTAAGCATTTCTTTATGTCGACTTCCATTTCTCAAGCAAAGCTTAATCCTTTTAATCGTCAATCAGAAAATCTTTGAATGCATCTATGACCTGGAAGAACTCCTCCACCCACATCCCCCACTCTCTGCTTCAAGATATCCTGCCTTTTATACCTTACATGTATTGATTTATGTCTTTGCCTATAACTTCTGTCTCTCTAAAATGTATAAAACCAAGCTATAATCCAACCACCTTGGGCACATGTTCTCAGGACCTCCTGAGGCTGTGTCACAGGCCATGACACTCATATTTGGCTTAGAATAAACCACGTCAAATATTTCACAGAGTTGGACTTTTTTTTTGCTAACACCCTCAAGCCTCAAATAACAAAAGCAGTCCAATAAAGCATTGAAGTGAGGACCAGTTGTTACAGGAGAGGGGTCCCAATCCAGACCCCAAGAGAGGGTTCTTGGATATCATGCAAGAAAGAATTCAGGGCGAGTCCACAGTGCAAAGTAAAAGCAAGTTTATTAAGAAAATAAAGTGGTGAAAGAACAGCTACTCCATTGATAAGAGTAGGACGTTCCTGAAAGTCAGAAGAGGAATGCGTCCACCCTAGGTACAATGCTTGTATATACGGGGAGATGTGCTCTGCTACAAGGGTTTGTGATAAAGGATTAATTTTCTTAATTACTATATTTTGCAAGAATTGATACTATTATCTTTAAAGCAAAATCAGGAATGCCTTTCTTCTCCAGATATCAGGATATCTGGACACTCCCAAGTCTGGGTCTGTTTAGGAAACATTATTAATTTGTTCCCTTAACCGTAAACATTTAGAGGCTAGGAATGCCTCATTTTCTGAGAATGCAGCCCAGCAAGTCCCAGTCTTATTTTCCTAGCCCTCACTCAAAATGGAGTCACTCTGGTTCAAACGCCTCTGACACAGTGACTGAGTATGCCCTTGGGTATGCCCTACTTATTTTCTAGTGTCAACTCTTTCGTTGACAGTTTCTCTGTATTTCTGAGAAAGGGATATCCCAGGGAGTCAGAAAGGGAATCAGCCTTACAATCTCTCCAGCTACTGACACTTCTCCTCTATAGTGAGCCACAGTGAGGGGGAGGCCAGTCAGCAGCCATATGGAGTGGGGTTCTGCTTCCCTGATCCAAATAGGTTGTTTTCTCTGTGTACAAACTAGACCTTTATAGAGCTTCAAGCTGTTCTTTACTAAAGAGTCAAGTGAACATTCCTGAGTCACTTGGAGTCCATAGGCAGAGATCAGGCATTCAGCTTTTGGTCTAGTCTCTCCCCACCTCTAAGCAAGAGGAAGGCAGAACCTCACCTCATAAGCCATCAGATGACAGGCTATCTCAGGAGCAATTCTCCGTTTCTTTTACACAAACCACCCTTTAGCCCTCCGAATAAAGTTTCAGCCCCTAGTTTCTTTTGCATTTCATAGATTTTCTTGCTTAATATAGCCACTGGATGTACACATGTATTCTTTCTGCTTTTTTGTCTCCATTTGTCTCTTCAGGGAGAGAGATTCTGTAAAGACTGAAGAACAGGGGGAGTCCACTGAGTGCTTTCCAGCTGCAGCTGGTTTCCCCCTAAAGTACCACAAATCAATGTGCCATTATGAGGATTAATTGAGGATTAATTTTCGTTCCATCACTCTGCAATCTAATCTACATTAGAAACATCTAATCTTCCTATTGACATTTGTCCTTTCCTTTTTCTGGTTTCCATTTCAAAGGACCCTCACATTAACGGCACATGGCTCTACTTAAGCAACCTGGTTAACTAAAGCTAGGATTTAAATGTTTCTCTTTAATCCTCAAGTTTATTCTCTGATAATGGGGTGGAGGGGTGGATAGTCTCCTTTTATGCCACCACACTAGTTGGATATTTAGTGGTTTTATAAACTTGTAAGCAGACAAGGCCACAGATATTGATTTGGACTAACTGAAGCAGAAGGAAATTATTGGAAGACTGTTGGGATGCTCAGAGTGATGGGAGCTAGGACAATCAGACCTGGAAATGGGCAGGAATCAAGAGGGATCTGGGGGATTGGCCATTAGGAACCCAGGCAATTTTCTTAAAGCAAGATAGTGAAAAGTGCATACCATCCCTGTGGAAATAACTTCCACATTTTCCTGCTGTCTGCCTGTCAACAGCTCAACAGTCTGAGCCCCAGAAAGAGCATCTGATGACTGATATTGGGTCACATACCTGGCCCCTGGTCCTGCAGAGTCAAGGAGGGCAAGGATCTGTTTCCTTCGGCTTTGGTAATGGAATGTAGTCACCAGGAATGGCAGCCCCACTAAGATTACACACAATGTAGATCTGTGAATTCCAAAAGGAAATGTGGAGGCTCTTAGGGCAGCCAAAACAAAACAAATGCCAACCAGAACTGTTTTTTTCTTTTGAGGTGGAATCTAGCTCTGTCACCCAGGCTGGAGTGCAATGGCACGATCTCGGCTCACCACAACCTCCGCCTCCTGGGTTCAAGCCATTCTCCTGCCTTAGCCTCCCAAGTAGCTGGGACTACAGGCACACGCCACCACGCCAGGCTAATTTTTGTAGTTTTAGTAGAGACAGGGTTTCACCATGCTGGCCAGGCTGGACTCAAACTCCTGACTTCAAGTTATCCACCTGCCTCAGCCTCCCGAAGTGCTGGGATTACAGGCGTGAGCCACTGTGCCTGGCCAGAACTGTGTTTTCAGTGGGCCAGTTGAAATGTAGGAGAAAGAAATTGAGAAATAAGGATGGAAGGAAACAGGGAGAAGGGTGGTAGAAAATGGAAGTGAGCAAGAAAGCAGAAAACATTCACTCAAGAAAAACTGTTCTTTGGCAATAGGTACATCTCTATGCAAGTCAGTGTGGCTTTTTTCCTCTAACATGATTTTAAAAGCTCTCTGAAAGCTCAGAAAACAGAAAACACATCTTGGTGACCTAGAAGTATAGTCATCTTCTTTCACCACCAGATGGTGCTTTATGTATAGAATGGAGGACAAGGATCCTGAGGACATTCCCAAACACTTGCATATTTAGGAAGCTCTTTTACTTAACAGTGATTCAAGAAATATTGGGGAAATGCAAGCCCAGATGAGGGACGCCTAACCTAGCTATACAGATAGGCAGGGGAGGGCGTCCTTAACCACAGTTGAGGCTTGCACCCAAGGACAGGATAGAGATTGGGAGGGGAATTCCAATTTAAGAAAGAACCACCAGAAGTAGAGAGGCTTAAGAAAGCACATTGCCTTCTAGGAATCACAGGTTGTAGGCTGGGAATGGACAGTATTTCAGGTGGAGGAAATAGAATGAACAAAGGTGTGAAAAATGTACAAACAGATTTGGATTTAACTATGGTTATTCAATTGTTTAGCTTATTATTGGGATTGTCTCAATTCTGCATCATATGACCTGACCTTGGAAAAGCGGGCCATCTGTTTAGGGTAACAACTATGATTCTATCCCTCAGAATACTCAGTTTTCCTTAGCCAGTCCTTGCTCTTTAGCTTCCCCATTTTCTTGTCCTTTTCTGTGCTAGAGGTGTATTGAAACTGATGCATTGCAAAACTGGTATTACATTAAATACACTGAACCTCAGATGCTTATGGAACACTTACACTATTTATACAGAAGAATAAGCAAAAGTGTCCAGGCACGGGGGCTCATGCCTGTAATCTCAGCGCTTTGGGAGGCCGAGGCGGGTGGATCATGTGAGGTCAGGAGTCTGAGACCAACCTGGCCAACATGGTGAAACCCAGTCTCTACTAAAAATACAAAAATTAGCAGGCTGTGATGGCAGGTGCCTGTAATCTCAGCTACTCGGGAGGCTGAGGCAGGGGAATGGCTTGAACCCAGGAGATGAAGGTTGCAGGGAGCCAAGTTTGTGCCACTGCACTCCAGCCTGGGCAACACGGTGAGACTCCATCTCAAAAAAAAAAAAAAAAAAAAAACCAAAAAAAAAGAATAAGCAAAAGCTCCTACCCTATAACACTGATGCATTCTGTTTGCATTTTATTCCATGATTTACACAATAATTATATATTGTATCCTTATGATATGTCAGATACTGTGTTGGCACTTTACATATATCTCACTTAATCCTTAATACCATCTGGAAATAATAAACATTTTATGGATGGTGAAACAGAGACACAGAGAAATCGAATAGCCTGCTCAGGGTTTCCAGAATAGCAAAATTAAAGGCCTAGGGTTTAGTTTTCCACTAAAGATTCTCATGGCTGGCTTCTTCACGTCATTCAGGTCTCTGCTCAAATGTAATCTTAGAGAAGCTACATTAATCCATCTGAAATAGACACCTCACTGTGCATCCAATTGTCCTGCCTTATTTTTCTTTGTAACATTATTATATTATTTATATTTGTATTGTCTGTATCTCCTCCTAGACTATGATCTCTGTTAGGACAAGCTCTTGGTTGTGTTTGCTGCTTATTACCACACTACCCAGACCAGAGCCTGGCACATAATAAGGAGCTCAACAAATTTTTGTTAAGAATAATTGACTCTTAGACCCAAACTCTTAGCCACTATGCTATATTTTGTCCCTAGATGGGATTAAGAAGGTTTACATTTTGAATATCCTGATACCAAAGAGCATGCTGCACAAAGCCTGTGCATGGAATGTGCCAAATAGTATGTAAACTGCGCCAGACGCGGTGGCTCACGCCTGTAATCCCAGCACTCTGGGAAGCCGAGGCGGGCGGATCACAAGGTCAGGAGAGTGAGACCATGCTCGCTAACTCGGTGAAACCCCATCTCTACTAAAAAAAATACAAAAACTTAGCCGGGCGTGGTAGCGGGCGCCTGTGGTCCCAGCTACTTGGGAGGCTGAGGCAGGAGAATGGTGTGAACCCGGGAGGCGTAGCTTGCAGTGAGCCGAGATCGTGCCACTGTACTCCAGCCTGGGTGACAGAGCGAGACTCTGTCTAGAAAAAAAAAAAAAAAAAAAAAAAAAAAAAAAAATATATATATATATATATATATAGAGAGAGAGAGAGAGAGAGAGAGAGAGAGAGAGTATGTAAACTGCCACTCTATACTCTTAAAATTCGAGTTTAATTTACACACAGTAAAATAAATAAATCTTAAGTATGTATGTATTTTTACAAATGCATACACTTTTGTAACCACCAATCATATCAAGATACAGAACATTTTTTAGCCTCCAAGGAAGCTCTCTTGTAGTAACTCCCAGTCAATACTCTACTTTGCAGAGATAAATATTCTGACTTCTATCAAATAGGTTAGTTTCTGGGTCTTAAGCTTCACATAAATGCAGTCATACAGTTTGTACTCTTATGTCTCTCTTCTTTTGCTCACCATAATATTTTGGAGATTTATCTATGTTCTGTATATCAGTGGTAGTTTATTTTTTTATTGTTGTGTTATATTCCATTGTATGAATAAATAACAATTTGTTTATACATTCACCTGCTAGTGGATGTTTAGGCTGTTGCCAAGTTTTGGTTATTAAGTATAAAGCTGCTTTAAATATTGTTGTAAAAGTTTTTACAGACATATGTACTTCATATGTTATTTTAGGGGGTATATAATTAGGAACAGAATTGCTGCATCATAAGGTAGATGTTTGTTTATCTTTCTTTTCTGAAGAGTGCCTGTTCAAGTGTTTTGCCCATTTAAAAAGCTTTCTTATTGATCCGTAGAGTTATTTATGTATATAATCCTTTAACAGATATAAGTATTGCAAATATATTCTCCTACTTTGTAATTGCCTATTCAATTTCCTGCTAATGTATTTTGATAATAGAGGTTCTCAATTTTAATGAAGTCAAATTTATCAATTTTGTCTCTTAAGGTTAGAGCTTTTTCTGTCATGTTTAAGAAATCATTGTCTACCCCAAAGTTATGAAGTTATTCTGTTTTCTTCTAAAGCTTTCTGTTTCAGATTTCACATTAGAGAATATGATCCACCTTGAATTAAGTTTTGGATTTGTTGTGAGTTAGAGTTTATTTTCTTTCCCATATGGATATACAGTTGTTGAAGTACCATTTAATAAAAACACTATCATTTCCCCATTGAATTGTAGTAACACCTTTGTTATAAACTAAATGATGTATATGTAGAGGGTATTTCTGGACTCTGTTTTGTTACATTGGCCTATTTGCCTCTCCTTGCACCAATACCACCTTGTCTTAATTACTGCCGCTTTATAGTTAGTCTCGAAATCTGATAGTAAAGTTTTCAACTTTATTCTTCTGAAAGATTATTCTTGGCTATTTTAGGTTCTTTGCATTTCCATATAATTTAAGATTTATCCTGTTGATGTCGACCAAATATTTTATGTGGGTTTTTATAGGTTGGGTTTGCATTGAATCTACTTATCAAATTGGGGGAAATTGACATCTTATCAATTTTGAGTCTTTTGATTCATGCACATGATATAGCTCTTCATTTATTTAGGTCACTTTTAATTTCTCTCAGGAATATTTTGTAGTTTTCACTATTAGCCTTGTGGAACTCTTCTTAAATTTGTTCCTAAATATTTGATTTTTTAATGTTACTATAAATTACATTTTAGAATATTTCATTTTCTGATCATTTCTTGATAGTATATAGAAATATACTTGGTTTTCATGTGCTGACTTCGTATCCAGAGAGCTTGCTAAATTAATTCTAATAGTTTGTATAGTTTCAGATTTTCTGTCTTCACAATCATGTAATACATAAATGAAGACAGTTTTACTTTTTGTTTTTGATCTTTATACCTTCTATTTCTCTTTCTTGTCTTGTAGAACTCTCTTGGGCCTACAGCATAATGATGAATAACAGCTGTGGTAGTAAAGATCCCCATCTTATTCTTGACTCTGGGGAGAAAATGTTAACCATTGATAATGACACAGCTACGGGGTTTTATTACTAGATAACCCTTTGAGATTAAGGATGTTTTATTCAATTTCTCCTTTGTTGAGGATTTTTTTCTAAAATCATCAATGCATGTTCAGTTTTATCAAATATATTTTCTTCACCTATTAAGATGATTTTATTCTGCCCCTTCTTCCCATATTATTCTGTTAATGTGGTGAATTATAATGACAGAATTTTTAAATGTTAAATCAACCTTTTATTCCTGGAGTACATCCTTCTTTGTTATGGTATGTTATTATTTTTTTATATTCCTGGATCCCATTTATTGATTTTTGTTTTGTTTTGTTTTGTTTTGAGACAGGGTCTTGCTCTGTCACCCAGGCTGGAGTGCAGTGGTGTGATCATAGCTCACTGTAACCTCATACTCCTGGGCTCAACTGATCCTCCCACATCAGCCTCCTGAGTAGCTGGGCCTACAGATGCATGCCACCAATGTAAACACATTTTTTAGAGACAGGATCTCACTATGTTGCCCAGGCTGGTCTCAAACTCATGGGCTCAAGTAATCCTCTCACTTTTGACTTCCCAAAGTGCTGGGATTACAAGCATAAGCCACTACACCCTGCCAATTTATCGATATTTTGTTACGATTTTTATATCTATGTTCAAGAGAGATTCTAGACTATAAATTTCCTTACTTGTACTGTCATATTTTGGTATCAATGTTTTGCCAGTCTTAAAAAGTGAGTTCAGACATGTCTCTTCTTTTTTAATTGTCTGGAATAGTTTGTGTAAATCCAGTATTATTTGTTCTTGAATTATTTGTAAGAATTTAGCATTAAAGCCATATAAACCTGGCATTTCTTTGCAGGAAAGTTATTTTTTTTAAACAAACATATGGAAGTAATTTGCTTTGTTTATGTCAGCACAAACTTAGTCATTTTCCACATACACCCTCCCAAGACTAAACCAGGAAGAAGTTGAACCCCTGAAAAGACCAATAACAGGCTCTGAAATTGAGGCAATAATTAATAGCTTACCAACCAAAAAAAGTCCGGGACCAGATGGATTAATAGCCGAATTCTACTAGAGGTACAAAGAGGAGCTGGTACCATTCCTTCTGAAACTATTCCAAGCAATAGAAAAAGAGGGAATCCTCCCTAACTCATTTTATGAGGCCAGCATCATCCTGATACCAAAGCCAGGCAGAGACACAACAAAAAAGAGAATTTTAGACCAGTATCCCTGAGGAACATCAATGCAAAAATCCTCATTAAAATACTGGCAAACCGAATCCAGCAGCACATCAAAAAGCTTATCCACCATGATCAAGTTGGCTTCATCCCTGGGTTGCAAGGCTGGTTCAACATACACAAATCAATAAACGTAATCCATCATATAAACAGAACCAAAGACAAAAACCACATGATTATCTCAATAGATGCAGAAAAGGCCTTTGACAAAATTCAACAACCCTTCATGTTAAAAACTCCAATAAACTTGATATTGATGGGACGTTATCTCAAAATAGTAAGAGCTATTTATGACAAACCCACAGCCAATATCATACTGAATGGGCAAAAACTGGAAGCATTCCCTTTGAAAACTGGCACAAGACAGGGATGCCCTCTCTCACCACTCCTACTCAGCATAGTGTTGGAAATTCTGGCCAGGGCAATCAGGCAGGACAAAGAAATAAAGGGTATTCAATTAGGAAAAGATGAAGTCAAATTGTCCCTGTTTGCAGTTGACACTGCATATTTAGAAAACCCCATCGTCTCAGCCCAAAATTTCCTTAAGCTGATAAGCAACTTCAGCAAAATCTCAGGATAGAAAATGTGCAAAAATCACAAGCATTCCTATACATCAATAACAGACAAACAGAGAGCCAAATTATGAGTGAACTCCCATTCACAATTGCTTCAAAGAGAATAAAATACCTAGGAATCCAACTTACAAGAGATGTGAAGGACCTCTTCAAGGAGAACTACAAACCACTGCTCAACGAAATAAAAGAGGACACAAGCAAATGGAAGAACATTCCATGCTCATGGGTATGAAGAATCAATATCATGAAAATGGCCATACTGCCCAAGATAATTTATAGATTCAATGCCCTATTTAATAAATAAGGTTAATAAAAGTCAATAAATTGACTTTTATGTACCTATGTGTCATTTCCATTGTATTTATCCTATTTGGGACTTGCTAAGCTTCTTGAAGATTTTGTTAATACTTTTCATCAATTTGGAAAATTATCAGCCATTTTTCTCAAATGATTACTTCTTATTCTGTCTTCTCTTCCTGGAACTTCATATATTTCACATTTCTTACTGTGTGAGGTTCTTTTTACCTTCTTCCTTTTTGAGGTTCAATTTGGATAATTTCATTAAGTTCATTCTTCTTGACATATGTTGTTTTCTGTCTACTGTTAAAATCCTCAAGTAAGTTCTTTACTTTTTAGTCAACTTATGAATTAACTAAATTTTATTTAAGTTTGCATTTATTAAGCTTTTAAGTTTGCTTTCCTAGAATTCTGGGTTTCTTCTTAAAAAAAAAATCCTCATCAGGATACATACAATAAGCTGCACCCATTTAGAGTGCACACTTTGATGAATTTTGACAGCTGTAGACTCCTGTGAAATCACTACCACATTCAAGATACAGAATATATCCATTACACCCCAAAATATTTCCCATGCCCCCTTTGCAGTTCATTTCTCCTTCTGATCCTGGCCCCAGCCAATCACTGATTTGCTGGACTCACTATAAATTAGTTTGCATTTTCTACAATTTATATAAATGAAACCACACAGTATGTATTCTTTGTGTCTTGTTTTTATCAGCCAGCATGATGATTCTGAGGTTCATCCATGTTATTACCTATGTCAGTAGTTCACTCCTTTTTATTACTAAGTAGTGTTACTTTGTATAGATATACTACGACTTGTTTATCCATTTTCCATTTGATGGACACATGGGCTGTTTTACATTTTTGGCTACTGTGAATAAGGCTGCTATGAATATTTGCATTTAACACTTTGTGTGAACACATATTTTTTATTTCTATAGGTTGAATGCTTAGAACTAGGATGGCTGGTCATATGGTAGGTGTATGTTTAACTTTATAAGAAACTGCCAGTTTTTTGAACTACTTTACATTCACACCTTGAGAGTATAAGCTCCAATTGTTCCACATCTTCACTAACATTTGGTATTATCAGTCTTTTTAATTGTAGCCATCCTAATGTAGTGTTGTCTCATTGTAGTTTTAATATGTGTTTTCCTAATGACTAACCATGTTGCAAACCTTTCCATCTCCTTACTGACCATTTATACATCTGCTTTTGTAAAATGTATGTTCAAATATTTTGTCCATTAAAGAAATTGAATTATCTTCTTATTATTGAGCTTTGGGAGATTTTAAAAATACATTTTATATACCAGTTGTCAGGTATTGGTAGTGTGAATATTTTCTACTATTCTGTGACTTTTCATTTCTTAATGATGCCTTTAAAGAGCAAAAGTTTTGAATTTTGATAAAGTCCAACTTATCAAGTTTTTAACTTTTATGATTAATGCTTTTTATCTTAAATATTTGCTTAACCTCAAGATCACAAGATTTTTCTTTTATGTTTTATTCTAGAACTTTTATGTCTTTTACTTTTAGATTTAGGTCTATGAACTATTTTAAGTTAATTTTTGTATATTGTGTGAAGTGAATTGGCTGACCAACTTACCATACATTGCCTAAAGTCACTTATTTTACAATTTTTCAAAATTTATTTATCAGTAGTCTCCATTTTAAAAAATAGTCAAGGTATTCTTTTGTTTATAGAATATACATTTGGTTTTGCCTATGTAAAGTGGTATAATCTTATGGTAAAATGGGGCAAGAATCTGCAGGTTTAGAATTTTTGGAAGCCAAAGAGCTTTTTTTCCTATTTTTACTTTTATCATTATTTCTTTAAGTTTACTGGGATATACTCTGTTAACATTTACAGTCATTATTACTATTTTAACAACAAACAGGCTCAGAAATATTAAGATTTTATTCAGTTATAAACACAAGCCTATTTATGTTAATACTAGACTTGAGCTCAGATTTCCAAATGCCAAATTCCTCACTTTAGCTTAAGTGAAATAGAAAAAAGGTGCAAAATGCTTATAAGAGGTGTAGGTCAGATGAGTACAGCTTAAATATTAACTTTCTCTTCTAATCATAAATAGATAATGTTATATACACGGGTATTATTATCATATTTATTATTTATTGAGACAACATCTATTAAACATAAGAAAGCCCTATTGTATGACTTTTATTCTGCAAAGAGTCCAGGTAGAATAACAATAGTGTGTTAACTCCTACTTGAAATGGTCTATTTTCAAATAGTCTGAATTGATGAGTTTTCTATATTTTTTCTTTGGGAGATCATTCCACAGCTTAATGTCAAGGTAATCTCATTTATCACCTTAGCTAATTTACTTTTTTTCATTTGTATTGTAAGAAAATGAATGCATCTTTGCAGTTTCATCTGTCAAAAGCTTCTAAATGGCTGTCACTCAACCACATTAATCATTCTGTAGCCAGCCTTCCTGTGGTTATCCTTTTAGTTATTTGGTAGCTTTCCCCTATCTCTCTGAGAAATTTCTCTGATTAGTTGTTATCTGACATATGGATTACTTATAACATGTAATGAAATTCAAACTTCTTTTTAATGTAATACAGAAGAATATAGTGGTGATTAGGTCATTCTCTTATTCAAGGCCTTCAGGAACTATCCACACCTTCCAAATACAATTCAAGCTTCTTTGTTTAGCATTCAGGCCAATCATCCCAGTTAGAAGCAGACATAGTTTGAATATCTGTCCCTGCCAAATCTCACATTGAATTGTAATCCCCGTGTTGAAGGTGGGGCCTGGCAGAGAGCGTTTGGATCATGGGGGTGGATCCGTCATAGCTTGGTGCCATCCTCACGGTAGTGAATGAGTTCTTGCGAAATCTGGTTGTTTAAGTGTGTGGCACCTTCCCCCACCCACTCTCTCTCTTGCTCCTGCTTTCGCCATGTGATAAGCCTACTCTTGCTTTGCCTTCCACTATGAGTAAAAGCTCCCTGAGGCGTCCCCAGAAGCTGGGCAGATGCCAGCACCATGCTTGTACAGCCTGCAGAAACATGAGCCAATTAAACCTCTTTTTAAAATAAATTACCCAGTCTCAGGTATTTCTTTATAGCCATGCAAGAATGGCCTAACAGAGATATAATCTTCCTCCCCTTGAATTCCCATTACACTGTCTTCATGCCTCAAACATGACATTTAACATATGCTACGGTTTGATGTCCCCTCCAAACCTCATGCTGAAATTTGATCCTGGCCCAATATTGGAGATGAGGCTTAATGGGAGGTGTTTTGGTCATGGGGGCGAAACCCATGAATAGAGATATATGACCTCCCTCGGTAGGGAGTGAGTGCTCACTCTATTAATTCCTCAGAGCTGGCTGTTAAAAAGAGCCTGGCATCTCCCTTACCCGTCTTTTGTTTCCTCTGTCACCAAGTGATCTCTGCACAGCTGGCTCCCCTTTGCCTTGGCCTTTTGCCATGAATGGAAGCAGCCTGAGGCCTCCACCAGATGCAGATACCCAATCTTGAACCTTCCAGCCATTCTTAACTGTGAACCAAATAAATATGTTTTCTTTATAAATTACTCAGTCTCTCCGGTAGTCCTTTACAACAACACAAAACAGACTAAGATAAATCTTTACAATACAGTTGCAGTGCACAAATACATAATTTATGTGAATTCAAGTCTAAGTAAAACTTAAAGAGAATACTTTAAATTGAAATACTTTAGTTTTATCTACCAGTTCTGTATCATTCAGGTTCAATCAGAGAAGCAGAACCTGTAAGAGTGATAGAAAATATAAAATTTATTATGAGCACTAGCCCTTACATAGTTGTAAGAGCTGGTTAAGTCATCTCTGTCTGGTGTTGGCCTCTGTGTCTGGTGTAGGGCCTAAAGACAGCAAGGCTAATAGGAAGAAAAGATGGTCATGAAATGGGGAAGAATAAGGAAAGATTGGAACTGGTGAGAACAATCTGGAACCTACAAGTGAAACCGCCTTTGCAAAAATTATGACACTGAGAAAAATCTGACATAGGAAAATTATGGCAGTAAAAGAAATCTGTCCTAACCAACTCCATCTTGCTTCTAACCTCCAAGCTGCCCTTGTTCGTTCCCGGGCATAGGCTGAACTAACTTTGGGAGGAATTTATAGTTTAACTTTGAAACAAAGATGATAACAGCCCCTCCCTGAAACAAACTCCCTTCTTGCATGGGGACAAGATTGTTCTTTGTAAAACCAACAAATTAGCCACAAGCTCAGAAACCATGGCCTAGGAGTCATGCAGCCAGAGGCCACAAGATTGCTAACTTCCCCAATTGCCTCTATAGATAACATTACTATTGTAAAACCTAAGATTGGTGTTTGAGCCGATTTTTCTGACCCAGCATTCTGATGGGTTAGCTGGCACATTCCAGACAGAAAAACTGGCTCATCTGGTCTTGTGGCCTCCACCAGGAACTGACTCAGCACAAAACGACAGCTTCAACTTCCTATGATTTCATCACTTGACCCAACCAATCGGCATTCCCCATTCCCTAGCTCCTTTTCCACCAAACTAAAAAACCCTAGCCTCTGAATTTTCAAGGAGGCTGATCTGAGTAATAATAAGACTCCAGTCTTCCATTTAGCCAGCTCTGCCTGTATTAAACTCTTTCTCTATTGCAATTCCCCCATCTTGATAAATCAGCTTCATTTGGGCAGTAGGCAAGATGAACCCATTGGGCGGTTACACACAGGCAAACTAGATCCTGTGAGGACAAATTGCAACCTGCATCTGTATTTCCTTGCGTCCAACCTCAGTGATGTGAGGGACTTATAGGATTAGGTAGTACCTTTGGCAACACTGCTGCACATGTACCTGGTCTAAGATTGAGAGAAGCAGAATGAGGAGATCTGGCAGGAGCTGCAAAGCTGCAGGCCAGGCTGCTGGCCCATGCCTACACGGTGAGCCAGCAGGTCAGTGCCTGGCCCTACAATGACCTTTAGGGCTTCAGATCACATGGCTGCTGCTTTACTTCTGCCTTCCAAATCTCACACACATTCTCTTTTGACTAACCCTAACCTAGAATCATATAGGAAAGGGAATTCTGGAAAATGTAGTTCTATCTTGGCTAAGTTCACAGTCTATGAAGCTACCGCAAGTCTGTTTCTGCATAAATCCTTGAGTAAGCAAGGGACAGAAGATATACATCTGCTATATTTTCAATCTGTCTCAGTTCATGAGTGTGTATCATAGTGTAAGCATGGCACAGTGTTGAGTACATACAATTCTATTTGGTTGAATTTTTAGAATAAGACTGCTTTCCTAAACTCTAGCCAACTGTTTCATTACATCTCTCCTGAAGAAAGTGATCTGCTCCAGTGTGAGGAGAGAAAGACTGCATTGGGTCTATAAACTGAGAGATGGCATATGTGGGTCTCTGATATGGTCCCTTCCTAAGAAGGGATTCCTGGAGTAGTTTTCCCACATCCAATTTTCAATTTACACTTTAACTTTGAAACCCAATCCTGATTTTAGAACCTCCTGCAATAAATATTTGTTAAAATGGTGAAAAATGAATTGTGAACTTCTTATCTGTAGGGGTTTTCTGGTTAAGTGTCTGTATTCCTTTTAGCAACTAGCAAAGTGCTTGGCACAAATTAGGTACTCAATAGATGTGGTTAAATTATTTATTGCAAATTTCTATTCTGGTGTTGTATAATGAGTATTATGTTTTCTTTTTCAATAGTTTTTTTTTCCAAGTTGCCTTTAATATAAGCCACTTAATATTGTGTGTGCCTTGGGGCTTGGGTAAAAATGACTGCCCATTCAATGTGGGTTTTGCAAGGCAAGTTGGAGCTTGCAGAAAAGTAAATGTACATTGAAATACTTGGGAACATTTTGGCCCTGTTTGTTTCCTTCAGTGTTTGCATAAATCCCTACACTCTACCTGTACCTCTCTCTCTTCCTCTCTTTGGTAAATTATCTTAAATATTATAAAGTAATTCATGCCCTTGTTAAACAGTAAATAAAGGAGAAAAGTGAATATAAAAGTTCTTGGAATGCCTCCTCCACCATACAAAATTTTGCCTGATCCAAAATTCCACTGTTAATATTTTTGTGTATGTATCTTTCCTCAAATATCCCATATGTTTACAAAAATATATATGAATACGTATGCATACTTATATACTTATATTTGAAGGAAACAGGATTACATTATATAAAAATACTATGCTGCTACTGGTTTTCACTTACTATATTTTGAAACTTTTTCAACATCAGCACGTAAATGTGCAGTTTCCTTTTAAGTAAACTCTTGAAATGTATTCCAATGTATGTATTCACAATTTAACCAGTTCCCTATGATGGTCATCTTAGGCTAATTCTAAGAATTAACATTATAAACAATGTTGCATATACATATATCTTTGTATGTATCATGCTAATACATCCAATTTTATATCCAAATATATCCAAATTTGTAGCAGTGGAAGTACATAGTTTGCCTGAGTTTTAATAGCAACTGAAAAGTATGTATTTTCAGGATATATAATATTTATAGCTCATTAAAAGTTTCTAGTCAACACAGGGTTACATGTATCTACACAGCCTCTTTTGTCAAGAGACCTTTGACAAAAGGAAAGTAAAACCTTGGAAGAAAAGTCTTTGTCCTTATTCTTTTTACAGCTTCCTTTAGCCATCTACAATTCACTAATAATTAGCATCCACCACCATCTTCTGGAACTGAAGACAGCTTTTCTAGAGATTAAAAGTACCACTATATTTAATTCAAAATCTAATGTATTGTAAAACAATTATTTTTATAATTCCATTATCTTAATGTGGAACAATAATGCTGATATTGCCACTAAAAATTAGCTGGCATTATCTATTAAAATTGATCATATGCATTTCTCATGACCCATGAATCTACTCCTAGTTATATACACATCAGAAATGAGTACATCTATCTGTCAAAAGTGTTCTGTGAGACTGTTTGCAGCAGCCTTATTCCCAGTAGCCTCAAAGGGAAACAACGCAAATGCCCTTCAACAGTGGAATGCATAAATTGTGCCATACTCATAAAAAGGAATAATATGCAACAGTGTAAATGAAGAAATTATTACCATAGAAACTATGGATGAACCTCATAAACATAATGTGAATTTGAATAGAGCCAGACAGAAAAGGATACATACTATATGATTCCAAAGATTCAACAGGCAAAATGAATCTGCAGTATGTGTTGGCTAATGACTGGAGGGGTAATGAAGTGCTGATCTGTGCAATGTGCTAGCATTCTATTTTTTGACCTGGATGGGTTTTGCATAGGTATGTTCAGCTTGTGATAATTACCAGCAGAGGGGAGAGCATGCACGCAATTCTTCAGGATGAGATTGGTGACATGTAGAGAAAAGGGGGAAATGACTGTAGTTTAAAAAAAGTCAATTCCCTCCTCCCCACTTCTCCAGCTCTCCATTTCCTAGGAAGAGAGCCCAGGGAAAAGCAAACCAAGAAACAAATTCCAGCTCAAACTCAAACTCTCAAACAGATCTGGAGACTCAAATATCGATCTCTCTGGGCAAAAGGCATTCCTAGATTTGTCCAAGGTACAAAAACTACCACTCTAACCACGTTTCTTCGCTGCCCGGGGTCAGAGAAGTAAAAACCCATTATTTATTTATTTTTAAGTTACTTCCAACCTCGCTGCCTCGAGCTTCTGAATCGCCTGGGCAACCTGGAAGCCGCCCATCTAAGGGGGTGAGGTCGAATCCCAGCCTTGACGCCTTAGCAACCGAGCGAGCCTTTCTCGCGTCCCAGCAACGCGCCCTTCCCTCTGCCGGGCCTATTCTCCCTGGTGCCCCTCCCTTCCTCGAGGCTGCAGCTCACCCCTCATTGGGTCTCTCGTTGGTCAGGAGGGCGCGGGTCTGCACACTCTCACTCGGTGCCGGACATCAGTTCCTGCGGCTCTTGCTGTGGGAGCTGCCCGAGAGCCAGAGCAGTGGGGAGGGACGGCGAGAACCAATGTTTAAGTTTATTTAAGAAAGAAGAAAAAGAGTCAAGAAGTTCAAGATTTTCGTCACTCTTATTTTTAAGGCACATCCAAAGCTCCGTGGAGAAGGGGCTGGAGGGTGGGAAAATTATTTTTGTGCACATTCCATATAAGAAAGAAGAGACCCATCGAACATTCAGTACGGAGTCACCTGGAAATTGGAGATGTTGGATACGATCGCCCGTGCCCTGCAGGACCTGGGCAGGCAGGTGCTGCCCACTCTGCCCTCGCTGAGCCAGGAGGGTAAGCGTGTTGGGTAGCAGGGGGTGGCCCTGGGGATTGAATCTTCATCTGCTTGCAGGGGAGGCGGGGGGACCCACTTCCCAATTCCCTGGCTCAGGCCTGGCCTGCCGTGGCTAAGTTGCCTTGACAACCAGCTGGTAATCACATCCTGCCCACGTTGGACGCCCAGAGACCCTTTTCTGGTTTTGATTAAACCAGGGGATGCGTAGACAGCACAAAGTAAGTGCTCAATAAACGGACTAGCACAAAGTAAGTGCTCAATAAAGGTTAGGTAAAAACAGCCACTCCCACACCACTCGCTGGGATGGATCACAACCCTTTTGCCTACCTAGAGAAAAGAGATGCAGGGACCCTAAATGGCTCCTTTTGAGAGTTCATGCAAAGACGGTTGATTTTGTTGCCTTTGACATCATGCCGTTGTATTAAGAAAATGAGATGATCATAAAAAGCTACAGGGTAAGTACTTTGGAAGGGGACCTGGCACCTTCTCAGAGAAAACTCATTAGGCTTGGTTAGTAGCAAGACAAGATCTGTTTTTAGCATCGTTTGTAGAAGAGTCACCCCAAAGTGAGGCTGAGATCTGTCTGCAAACCACAGGAGAAGAGAGGTGCTGCAGGAATGCAAACTCATTATTATCAAACCATTGTAACTTAGAGATGTTGCTTAGGCTTTAACCAAATGACCGCAGAAAACAAATAGGAATGGCTGCTTCTTTCTCTTCCCCTGCATCACTCCTATCTTTTCCTCTCAAATCATCCTGAAAGATGCATTGAAGATAATGGCTTAATGAATTTAAAAACATTTGCTATATTTGTAAATTTATGTATAGTCATTCAAGGAATTCTGAAACCCTGCTATATGCTGAGCACTAGTTAACTTACGGTGAACAAACATCTTGGAATTTACTGTTTAGTGGGGAAGATGCACATTAATCAAATAATCACACAAATCAATGCAAATTTACAATTTAGGTAAATGATACCAGGGAGGAGGTAAATGGTACAGTAAGAACTTTTTTTAAAGATGATTTTTTAGGGTAGTTGTAGATTCACAGTAAATTAAGAAGGAGGGACAATATATTAGTTTATTTGTACACTGCTATGAAGATACTATCCCAGACTGGGTCATTATAAAGGAAAGAGGTTTAATTGACTCACAGTTCTTCATGGCTGGGGGAGCCCTCAGGAAACTTAAAATCATGGCAGAAGGGGAAGCAGGCATGTCTTACATGACGGCAGGAGAGAGAGAGAGAGAGAAGCCCGGGGGACCAGGGGAAACTGCCATTTATAAAACTCTCAGATCTTGTGAGAAATCCCTCACCATCATGAGAACAGCATGGGGGAAACTGCTCCCAGGATCCAATCCCCTCCCACCAGGCCTCTCCCTCAACACCTAGGGATTACAATTCAAGATGAGATTTGGGTGGGGAAACAAAGCCTAACCATATCAGACAGAGATGTCCCACATACTGTCTAATCCTACACTTGGATAGACTCTCCCATTGTCAACATCCCTCACCGGAGTGGTACATGTGTTACAATTGAACCTACATTGACACATCAAAATCACCCAAGTTTCATAGTTTACATTAGAGTTCTTTCTTGGTGTTGTACATTTTATGAGTTTGGACAAATGTAAAATGACATGTATCTATCATTATAGTCATATAGAGTATTTCACTCCCCTTTGTTCTGCCTATTCACCCCTACCCCTAATCCCAAAATCTGGAAACCACTGATCTTTCCACGGTCTTCATAGTTTTGCCAGTTCCAGAATGTAATATAGTTGGAATCATATAGTTTAAGCCTTTTCAGATTGGCTTCTTTCACTTAGCAATATGCATTTAATATTCCTCCATGTCTTTTTGTGGCTTGATAGCTCATTTCTTTTTAGTTCTGAATAATATTCCATTATCTAGATGTACCACAGGTTTTTTTTTTTTAATCTGTCCACCCACTGAAAAATGTCTTGGTTGCTTCCAAGTTTTGGCAATTATGAATAAAGCTGTTTTAAATATCTGTGTGCAGGTTTTAAAAAACTGGATATAAGTTTTCAATTCACTTGGGTAAATACCCAGGGACATAATCGCTAGATTGTATGGTAAGAGGATGTTTAGTTTTGTGAGAAACTGCCAGACTGTCTTCCAAAGGGGCTGTACTATGTTGCATTCCCAAGAGCGATGAATGAGAATTCTTGTCACTCCATGTTATTGTCAGCATTTGTTGTTGTCAGTATTTTAGATTTTGGTCATTCTAATAGATGGTGTATTGGTATCTCATTGTTTTATTTTGCATTTTCCTGATGATAAATAATGGGGAGCACCTTTTAATATGCTTGTCATTTTTTGATGAGATATATATAAAGGGCTTTGGCTCATTTTTAAATTGAGTTTTTCTTTTCTTTGTGTTTTTAAGAGTTATTTGTATATTTTGCATGACAGTGTCTTTTGCAAATATTTTTTCCCAGTCTGTGGCTTGTCTTCTCATTCTCTTGACATTGTTTTTCACAGAGCAGAAGTTTTAAATTTTAATGAAGTCCATCTTATTATTTCTTGCTTGGATTATGCCTTTGGTGTTTTATCTAAAAAGTCATTGCTATACCCAAGATCATCTAAGTTTTGTCCTATGTTATCTTCTAGGAGTTCTGTGGTTTTGCACTTCATATTTAGGTCTATGATCCATTTTAAGTTAATTTTTGTGAAAGGTGTAAGGTCTGTGCCTAGGTTCTTTTTTTTTTTTTTTTTTTTTTGCATGTGGATGTCCAGTTGTTCTAGCAATGTTTGTTTAAAAGACTATCTGCTCCATTGTATTGCCTTTGCCTCTTTGTCAAAGATAAGTTGACTGTATTTATATGGGTCTATTCCTGGGCTCTCTTTTGTGTCCTTTTAATCTATTTGTCTGTTCTTTTGTCAATACACACTGTCTTGATGACTCAGCTTTATTGTAAATCTTGAAGTTGGGTAGTGACAGTCCTCTGACTTGTCCCATGTGTTATCTAGATGCATATTATTTAGTCCCCATGTATTTTGGGATTTTCCACTTATCTTTCTCTTATTCATTTCTACTTTAATCCCATTGTAATCTGACAGCAGGCATTGTATGATTTCTATCCTTTTCTATTTGTTAAGGTGTGTTTTATGGCCCAGAACATGGTCTGTCTTGGTGAATGTTCCATGTGAGCTTGAGAAGAATGTGCATTCTACTGCTGTTGGATGAACTAGTCTGTAGATATCAACTATATCCATTTGATTGATGGTGCTGTTGAGTTCAACTATGCCTTTACTAATTTTCTGCCAGCTGGATCTGTTCATTTCTGATAGGTGAGTACTGAAGTCTTCAAGTATGATAATGGATTCATTTATCTCTTCTTGCAGTTCTACTAGTTTTTGCTTAATGTAATTTGACATACTATTTTTAGGTGCATACATATTAAAAATTCTTAGGTCTTCTTGAAAGATTGACCCCTCTATTATTATGTAATGCTCTTTATTTCTGACAACTCTCCTTGATTTGAAGTCTGTTCTAAAATTAATATAGCTACCCCTACTTTCTTTTGATAAGTATTATCATGCTGTATTTTCCTCCATCCATCTACTTTTAATCTATATGTTTTTAGATTTAGATTGGGTTTCTTTTAGACAAGATATAGTGGGGTTTTGTTTTTTGGTCCACTCCAGCAATCTTTGTCTTTTAATTGGTACACTTAGCCTATGTTCAAAGTGATTACTGATATAGCTAGATTAATACCTACCATATTTGTTATTGTTTTCTACTTTTTGCCCTTGTTTTTTGTACCCATCTTTATTTTCCACTGAGCATTTTACGATTCCATTTTCTCCTTTTTCAGCATATCAGTTATACTTTTTTTTTTTTGAGACATAGTCTTGCTGTGTCACCCAGGCTGGAGTGCAGTGGTGTGATCTTGGCTCACTGCAAGCTCCGCCTCCTGGGTTCATGCCATTCTCCTGCCTCAGCCTCCCCAGTAGCTAGGACCACAGGCACCCGCCACCATGCCTGGCTAATTTTTTGTATTTTTAGTAGAGGTGGGGTTTCACCATGTTAGCCAGGATGGTCTTGATCTCCTGACCTTGTGATCCGCCTACCCCAGCCTCCCAAAGTGCTGGGATTACAGGTGTGAGCCACCGTGCCAGGCCCAGTTATACTTTTAAAAAAAATTTTAGTAGTTGCCTTAGATTACAATATATATTTACAGTCAATTCAAGTCCACTTCCAAATAACACTGTACCACTTCACAGGTAGTGTGATTGTTTTATAATAACAAAATCTTAATTCCTTCCTCCCATCCCTTGTATCATTGCTGTCATTCATTTCATTTCACTTATATATAAATGTAAATATATATGATATATGCATAAGCATACATAATTGAATACATTATTGCTATTACTAGACAAACTGCTATCTGTTAGGTCAGCTAAGAATAATAAAAATAGGCCAGGTGCAGTGGCTCATGCTTGTAATCCCAGCACTTTAGGATGCCAAGGTGGGAGAATCGCTGGAGTCCAGGAGTCCAGGATCAGCATGGGCAATATAGTGAGACCTTGTCTGTACAAAAAATTAAAACCAAAAAAATTAGATGGACATGGTGGCACACGACTGTAGTCCCAGCTACTCAGGAGGCTGAAGTGGGAGGGCTGCTTGAGAGCCTAGCAGGTGGAGGTTGCAGTGAGCCAAGACTGCACCGTTGCACTCCAGGCTGGGCAACAAAATGAGACCCTGTCTCAAAGAAAAAAAAAGTTTTTATTTTACCTTCACTTATTCCTTCTTCGATGGTCTTCCCTTTTTTTTTTTTTTTAAATGCAGATCCAAGTTTCTGACCTACATCATTTTCCTTTTTTCTGAGGAACATCTTTTAACATTTCTTGAAAAGCAGGTTTACTGGCAATTAATTCCCTTAATTTTTGTTTGTCTGAAAAATAATTTCTCCTTTGCTTTTGAAAAATAATTTTACAGGATGCAGAATTTTAGGTTGGTGTTTTCTTTTTCTCAACACTTGAAATGTCTTATGGTACTCTCTTTTTGCTTGGTTTCTGAGAAGTAGTTCAATATAATTCTCATCTTTGTTTCTCTATAGATGAGGTGTTCCTTTCCCTCTCTCTGCCTGGCTTCTTTCAGGATTTGTTTTTAGCTCTGATTTTCTGTACTTTGAAAATGATATTCCTAGGTATCTTTTTTTGGGTATTTATCCAGCTTGGTGTTATTTGAGCTTCCTGGATCTGTGGTTTCATGTCTGACATTAGAGGGAAATTCTGAGTAATTGTTTCAAGCATTTCCTCTAATATTTCTCCCTCTTCTCCTGGTATTCCCATTATGGGTACACACCTTCTGTAGTTGCCTCACAATCCTTGGATATTCTGGGTTTTTTTTTTCCAGTCTTTGTTCGCTTTCCTTTTGAAGTTTCCTTGTCACATCTTCAAGCTCAGAGATTTTTTACTAAGTCATGTCCAGTCCACTAGTAAGCCTATCAAAGGCATTCTTCATTTCTGTTACAGTGTTTTTAGTTGCTAGCATTTATTTTTGGTTCTTTCTTAGGATTTCAATCTCTCTGCTTATGTAGCCCATCTGTTCTTGCATGCTGTCTACTATATCCGTTAGAGCCCTTAGCATATTAGCCATAGTTGTTTTAAATTGCCAGTGTGATAGTTCCAACATCCCTGCCATGTCTGGCTCTGATGGTTGCTCTGTCTCTTCATATTGTATGTTTTGCCTTTTAGTATGCCTTGTAATTTTTTCTTGATAGCTGGAAGTGATGTACTGGGTAAAAGTAACTGCTATAAATAGGCCTTTAGTAATGTAGGGGTAGAGTGTGGGGGGTGGGAAAGCATTCTATAGTCCTATGATCAGGTCTCAGTCTTTTAGTGAGCCTGTGCCTCTGGACTGTGAACTTTACAAATGTTTCTCAGATTTTTCCTTTCTCCTTAGGTGGGACAGAATGGCTAAAGTGGACTGGAGTTGGTCATTTTCCTTCTCTCAGGTCAGTTAGGCTCTGATAATATCCCAGCAGGTTAGGCTCTGGTGAACTAGTTTCTTCTGAGGGCAGGTCATTAAGGACAACAGAGTACTCTGGCATATTTAAAAATGGTATTTTTTTCTTCCTCCCACCTGAAGCACAAGGAGATTTTTCTCTTATATTTACCTGGATATTTGGCTGTGGGAATCTGGTTGAGCTCTGGGAAGTAAACCTTAAAATATGTGGGGACCCTCCCTCCATGACTGGGTTCCCCTGGAGGTTTTAACTCTTGGTGTTGTCCACACTGAGCCTCCAGAAATTTGTCAATTACACTTTGAGTTTTCTTACCCAGCATTGGTTCTTGATGCTGTTTCTGCATGTGAGTCCGTTTCAGGAAGCCATTCCTCCTGGTATTTGCCTTTCTGTCTCTCCAATTTTAGGGGCAGCAGTTTGTCCTGTGTCCTCCCTCATCTTATGGACCCAAGAAGAGTTGTTGATTTTTCTGTCTGGTCAACTTTTTAGTTGTTAGGATGGAGTGGTGACTTCCTTACATACAGCACCAAGAAATGGAAGTCAAATGAGAACATTTAATAGAGAGTAAGGATGGGGGTGTGTGCCAAGAATGGCTAAAGAAGGGATAATTTGAGCTGAGTTGTGAAGAATGAGTTGGAATTAAGTAGATGAAATGGATCAGAGAGGTAGAGAGTGGAAGTGAGTTGAAAATGATTTTGGCAAAGGGAATGACAGGGGCAAAAACTTATGGTGAGAGTATGATGTGATGGAGCAACTGAAAGACAGTTGACTGGCTGCTCTGTAGATGTGGGGAGGCAGTGTATTCTAAAGTAGGCTAGAGAGAAAGGAAGGGGTCAAGTAATACAGGGCCTTGTAAGTCATATTAAGGATGTTGACCTTTATGTTAAGCCTGATGGGAAGCCATTAAGTGTTTTGAGCTGGAGGTCAAGGAGAAGTTGAATTATATGATCAGTTTATATTTGGAAAAGATTACTCTGGTTGCCATGTGGGGAATGAATAGGAGGGTCAAGAATACCTATAGCAATAGTCTTGGTGAGAACAAATGGTAGCTTGGTCTAAAACTGGTAATAGTAGAAATGCAGAGGAATGCAATGAATGAGGGGCAACTTGGAGGTAAAATCTACAGATTATGGTGATGGACTGGATGTTAGGGGTGAGGGATAAGAGAAGTCTCAAGGATGACTTCTGAGTTCCTGGCTCATATAACTGAATAGATAGTGGTGCCATTCACTGAGACCGAAATCCTGGATAAAAGACAAGATTTAAGAGAAGAAAGATTGCGGTTTTGGGCAAGTTGAAGGGCCTTTTTGTGATATATAAGCAGGCAGTTGGATAAACGGGTCCAGAATCTCAAAGAGGGGGTGGCAAGGAGTCTGGGTCTGTAAATAAACATTTGGGAATCATCCTGAGTGTGGGTGTGACTGCTGAAGTGGAGAGTATAGAGTGAAAAGAGAAGCAACCTAGGACTGTACCTTGAAAAACCCTACCATTTAATGGTTGGGTGGAGGAGGATAAGCCTGCAAGGGAGACTGAAGAAATGGCCAGACAGTTAGGAGAAAACCCAAATGAGAGTAGTAGTATAAAAGCCAAAAGGAGAGGTGCTTAAACGGGGAGGGAGTGATCAATAGTGTCAGACATGGCTGAGGGCTCAGAATTAAATACGTTTATTGAATGTATTGACAAAGAGACCATTGGTGACTTCAGCAAGAGCTGAAGTGAAAGTCAAACTACTATTTATTACCTTTCACAAATTATCTATTGCAACAAGGATGAAGATAAACTTCAAACTGAGCAAAACACATAAATTAACTTTCATCAGTGTATATATTCATCATTGTATATTCCTGCTGCTTCTGTAT
The DNA here is from genome assembly GCF_000001405.40 of Homo sapiens. NCBI lineage: Eukaryota > Metazoa > Chordata > Mammalia > Primates > Hominidae > Homo > Homo sapiens. The sequence goes on from NC_000011.10 coordinate 86,383,105, forward strand.
GTTTTAGCAAAGTTTAATATTATGTAATTATAGTTCTTAGAAGGCCCTGTCATCATTTTACAGATGTGAACTGGGTAAAAGTTGAGTCCATGGAAGCAGGAAGGCTGTGGGTCTTCCACGTAGCACACTGCTCTTTCCATTGCATTATGCTCTGGGAATATGTTTCTTTGTTCAAATCATCCTTTACTATTCTGCTATACTATTCCATATATCAGTATTTTAATTTTAGAAGATAAGTTTTATAACATCAGGAAACATATCTGTTTTTTGACATTAATGACTTTTTCAAGCATATAGTATTGTATAATTTACAGAACAGGCATGTAGGATTTTTAAATAATGATCATATGTAAGATACAGTATCCTGTTACTTGGCACGGTGTTTAAACATATGGTTTTGAGCGCATGGAATGTTAAGAATTTGAAGCCAAATGAAGGTTGAACTGAATATAGAGTATATGTCTAGGGATTAGTTCTTTATAAGAGTGATTCTTGGCATTTCAGTGTTTGATTGAAATAAGTAAGAACCCTGGCTTCCCTTAAAATATGAAAGTAGTATATCCTTCAATTTGCTTTTTAGACTTGATATTTTTCATTTTGAGATTTAATGATATCCTCTCTGACTCTTTGGGATGTCAGAAAACGTCAAATTTAGAAATTACAGTCTGTAAGCTTTCCAAATCTATTCCGATTGGATTGCAGGGGCCTAAAGCCTCCTAAGGCAAATGATATGCATAGTTTTCTTTCTCTTCAATGAGAAATAGCAAATTTTAGTTTAGAATAATTAGTTCTGCTCTTATGTAATGTTATCTGTTAGGCTTTATGGAATAAAACAGTACAGTGGGCTTGAATATATCATCCAAATGAAGAAAGACAGAATCCTCAAATTTTCAATTAAACTCAGCTGAGTCTTTTCACTGGGGTTTGGTTGCAAACTATACACTTTCTCCTGGCTCTAATGAAATCATTTCATCTTCAGTGTAGTTGTTTTCCTAAAATACGAGCTTTTAGAGGTGAAAGACTGTTAGAGTCATAAATTTAACAATTTTGACTTAATAACTTTGAAAGTTCTCCATGTACATCTGGATACTGAGATTTTGCATTTGTGAATTAATGAAATTTTTGGTCATGATGAAAGTTTTAATTCAGTATACAGTTAGGACTGGTTCTTAGTTCTTAGCAGCCTGTAGTAGAATCTATGGGCTGTGGGGGTGGGGAGGAGTGGGGAACAAGGTAGGGTGGGCAGAGTAAGGGAAATGCCTGATTATAGAAAGTGATTAATGAGGGGCAGAATCTTGGCCCTCGTGCTCACTGTAGCTTGCAGCCCTAATTTTATTAATGGGTGAGTGAGTTTCCATCACCAAACTTGTTCCCAGATAGTCATAAAAGTCATTGCTACTTCTCATCCACCAAACCTGCCCCTTTCCTGGCCTATTAATAAAAATATTTATAACTCTGATATACCAGAATTAAAAGATTGCACTCTCCGTGTTTTAGCTAGTGGTTTAAATTGTTAGAAAAAAGATAAACCAATAAACCAATAAAACAAGCAGTTTCCAAAGTGGAAAAAGGATTGGGCTTTTGTCACCAGCTGCATCTATGTCCCTAAATGGCAAGTTTGTTAATGTCACTGTTCTTGATTTTTTATTTTGAGAATTAAAACGTAACAGTCTTGATTTGCAGAGAGTTCTTAACTGGAAAGTATCTTTGATAAACACATGGTTAGGTCTGGAAGGGCGATGTTAACACAGATATAATTTTCTAGACTTTGAAATATTAGTCATACTACAGTATAGGTTCATATCATACATTAACACTTTCATTATTGGCAACTACCTATTTTTCTACCACACTTGTTTGGAACACAGCTCAGAACAAGAAGATAAACTTGGAAGGCTTTCCTCCAGTCAGTCAAAATTGATAGTGCCAAGTGTATGCATTAATTCAAAGTAAAGCTCCTTGTCCTACTCAAATGTGTGTTTTTAAAAAATTATTATTTGAGGCTGGGCATGGTGGCTCATGCCTGTAATCCCAGCACTTTGGGAGGCCGAGGCGGGTGGATCACCTGAGGTCAGGAGTTGGAGACCAGCCTGGCCAACATGGCGAAACCCTGTCTCTACTAAAAGTACAATTAGCCAGGCATGGTGGCTGGCGCCTGTAATCTCAGCTACTCGGGAGGCTGAGGCAGGAGACTCGTTTGAACCCGGGAGGCGGAGGTTGCAGTGAGCCGAGATCACGCCACTGCACTCCAGCCTGGGTGACAGAGTGATACCCTGTCTCAAAAAAAAAAAAGTTATTTTAGACATACTATTAGTATTTGTTATTTCCAGAACACAGTAGATAAGAAGCAATGAATTATGACTGGTCCAGGAGCCCACAGAGTACTAGTAGAGCAAGTGACAGCTGGTAGCTTAGCAGTGAAAAATGAGAATAAAATGCAGATTTGAGGATTTAGCAAAAATAGAAGTGTAGGAAAAGTTAATGTACACACAACAGCCTTTCACGCCTTAGTGGCCTTTTGCCTTATTCCTGTGTTGTGGAATGGTGTGAGAATGAACGTTCTTATTAATCAGATGGCACAGAATAGACACCCGATAAACGGTTGCTGGGTCATTAAGAAAAGGTTGGGTTATACTTGATTAACTCTCTTTACAGAATAAAGAAAAGGGTGTGACAGAGTTCCCTTTGCTGTAGAAATATTTTCTTTAAAAATGTATTATTATTATTATTTTAAATCACATCTTCTGAACTTAAGGGAGTAAGCCTTAGTTACCAAGAAAATTAACTTTTGGGAATGGCCTTGTTTTTTGTTAATTCTAAATTAATCAGGAATTAATGTCATTTGCTTCCACATTTCATATTTACATTTTTATTTATTAGCACTAAGATACTGTCACATGGGTGCGCATATAAATTGAATAATTTCTGGTTACTTTTGAATTTCAGAAGTCTCTATTATCTGGGGGAATGTATCAGAATTTGTGAGACGGCAGTTAACCCTGCACAAGGTAAGATTTATTAATTTATTAATTTATTAATAAATTAATTTATTAATTTTAATGTAGGCATCTAAAGGATCCTTCCTTCATAGTCTTATATAATGTTGCTGGGAGCAGGGCAGTAGACTTTAGAGCCATCCTGTTTAACTTTCAGTCCTATGTTTTTTGATGCTCATGTTCGGACTTGTGGGTAATAGATTTAACAAACATGAATTTTATTTTTAGGTAATGAATTTGTAAGTTCTGCTCTTCTAGTGTTACAGAGTGTAGTGCTGATCAGCCTGGGTGTGTGTAAGGAAACTAGATGAGTTCTGTTTGTCTGTGATCTGATAGTTCCTGGCATAGCTATAGAAGGATATAACGCTTCTTGTCTTGCCTCCTTGCAGGGAATGGATTTTAACTGAAATAGAAGACTTGCCAAAATGAGAAACTTTGCCTAGGGCTGGACTGTTCCCTCCTGTTAAGTCTTGGGTTTAGATGCCATAGAACTGGACAGAGATTTGGGGATGAGCTTGGGGGAAGCTGGGAAGTTGTGGAACTTTTATACCCCATTCAGAGGTCCTACTATGAGAGCTCTTGGGCAGAATTCATACTTCAAATTTATTTTGTTTTGTTTGAGAATTTGAATTTGTTATCAGCACTTAAACTTGGGAAAAATCATATAATGTTTTGGATTTTTTCCCTCCCTTTCATTGAAAAATCAGCAGATCTAACAGTACTAGTCTTCCATTGCTACGTGGTGACACATTTGGAGCTCAAGATGTGCTCTCCCCTTTAGACGGGGTGTGCAGTCCATAGCCATCACATTCCCTGGCTGGCTACTTTCACTCTCTTGCTTTCTTTTTTGGCTCCTGTAGGCATTTGAGTTTGTAGTTCTTGATGAATGATATCTCCAGGGAGACAGAAACCCAGTATGAGAGGCAAAAACATTTGCTTCTACTCATCAGCCAGGATCACTACATTGCAGCATATGATTTGGATGCTGGTTGTCTGCTGTGGCAGACATAAAATCTAAAAGTAGGAATGAGAAAGCAGAGATTCTCATGCCCTCTTAAATTCCTCTAATGGCAGATGATTAAAATTTAAAATGTCACACAATTTAGGACAGGAGTAATCTGGGTTAAAGATTAAAAGATGCTATGGCATTCACACCAATTTCTTAGCCTTTTGATGATACAGAGATGAGCGATCTGATGTCTGCAAATCATCATGGACCAATGTATTACATTTTATACTAAGCTTATTTGAAAACTTAGAATTATAAAATGCTATAGCTCTGAAGAGTCCTAGAGATCACTGAATTTTTAAGGCCTAAGCTTACTTCTCTTCGTGTTTTTTAGATAATAATATTAAGGATTATTTTTTCTTCACTCCTTCAATGAATTCTGTTTTGTTTTGTTTTTTCCTTTCAGGGGGTTCAGATTCCAGCATTTGGAACTTTCACTTTCATAAGACAAAAGCTTGAGGTGGGAAACAACAAATTTATCTTAATCCAGAGGCCTGTGTTTATCATGGTGGAGAAGCTAGTGCAGATTCATGGACTCAAACAAAACAAAGTATATACTCCTGGTAAATAATTCTGATATGTAGGATTTTCCCAGAAGGTTACTGTCCTGGGGATAAAAAATGAAAGGGCAAAGCGTAGCCAGTGCTGCTGTCTTACCTTCTTATTTGAGGAACTCACTTTTCACAAGGTGCTTTTGGCAGAGGGAGGGGCCAAAGTGGAAAAATAATAGAGTCTTCCTGAAGGCCATTTTAAACCCCAGTAACCTAAGAGGAAGGAGTGAAAAAACCTGATGTAACGTAAAGGAAAATTTATGTAAAAGCCACACCACAGAGCTGTAAGCCCTTTATTTCAGATCCTAAGAAATTAAAAGTGGTTACAAAGAAGAGAAAGTTAATTAGGATCTCTGGTTGGGAGAACTACAGTCAGTATCAGCTGTCAAAAAGATAACTGTCTTTCTATCATATGTATAATCCAAATCATTAAAATTTAAAAGTTAGAAGTTGAATAATTCTATAAAGACTTAATGCATACCTTATATACCTTTCGCATACCCTAAAGCCAACCTCCCTCCCTCCCTCCTTTCCTCCTTCCCTCCTTCCCTCCTTCCTTCCTTCCTTCCTTCCTTCTTCAAATATTTATTGAGAGCCAACTATGTGTCAGACCTTGTTCCAGGTGCTTGAGATATAGTGGTAAACAAAATAGGCATAATCCCTGCCACAGACTGCTTCCATCCAGCTTTAGTGTGTGGGCTTCGTAACACCTCCCTTGGTTACTTAGCAGCCTTTGGGTGCATACTTCCTGATTCCTGGCTGTGTTCCTTTCGACCTTCCTGATTGTCCCCGCCCCCAGCATCAGACTCACTCCTGGATAAATGGAGACAATCTATCTCCGATGGCAACAGGTGAAAAGGCTGAAACTGTCCTCTAAGATAATGTTCCTGAAAGTTAATTTTCAGAGTCACTTGAGTAACTTTCTACTTTCAAAAGAATGATATATTAGAAAAACAAATGTCAACAAACCATACTTAGAATTTCTTAGGTATATATTCAGTATGGTGGGCTTGATGAACTTTTCAGCTATTTTTACCTAGAATTTTTTTTTCTTTTCTTTGTTTCTCCCTTTCATGGGAACAAAAAGAAATACCTAGAGTTTTATGTCAGAAGAAATATATCCTATTTCATCAAAAACCTATTAAAGAAAATGAAAATAAAGCTAACATTTTTGCAAAAACATCTGTGCATTAAAATTAAAGCTCATTTTCTATCTTGGATCTTGTACTGTAGTCCAAAAAAGTAGTTTAGATCTAAAATTATATTTTTTACTGGGTGAGGCAATTTCAGAATTAGACATATATGACTGAATTAGTTCAAAAGAATAATTCTAGGCCGGGCATGGTGGCACATGCAATGGTGGCACATGCTTGCAATCCCAGAATTTTGGAGGCTAAGGAGGGAGGATCACTTGAGGCCAGAAGTTCAAGACCAGCCTTGGCAACATAGCAAGCTCCTGCCTCTACAAAAAATTATTTAAAAAACTTAGACGGGCATGATGGTTCACACCACCAGTCCCAACTACTTGGGAGGCTGAGGCAAGAGGATCACTTCAGCCCAGGAGTTGAAGGCTGCAAAATAATAATAATAATAATAAGATAAATAAGGAAATAAATAAAAATTTAAAACCCCCAAAGAAAAATTTCTGTCTACAGTTTAGCTTTGGGGTTATGATTCTTCATCATTAATTAACTAGGTAACTGTATTAGTCTGTTCTCACACTGTTATAAATAACTAGCTAAGACTGGGTAATTTATGAAGAAAAGAGGCTTAATTGACTCATAGTTCTGCAGGCTTAACAGGAAGCATGGCTAAGAGGCCTCAGGAAACTTACAATCATGGCAGAAGGCAAAGGGGAAGCAAGCACATCTTACCATGGCGGAGCAGGAGAGAGCAAGCATGAAATGGGGAGGCACCACACACTTTTAAACCATGAGATCTCATGAGAACTCACTCACTATTATGAGAACAGCAAGGGGGAAATTCACTCCCATGACCCAATCACCTCCCACCAGGCCCCTCCTCCAATTAGACATGAGATTTGGGCAGGGACACAAATCCAGACCATATCAGTAACTAATCAAACATTTTATAGTGGTTTTTAAATATTAGTAAGACATAGTTCTTTTAAATCTAGCATAGATAATTAATATATAAGAAATGGGTTGGGTACGATGGCTCATGCCTGTAATCCCAGCACTTTCGGAGGCTGAGGCAGGCGGATCACAAGGTCAAGAGATTGAGACCATCCTGGCCAACATGGTGAAACCCCATCTCTACTAAAAATACAAAAAACTAGCTGGGCGTGGTGGTGCATGCCTGTAGTTCCAGCTACTCAGGAGGCTAAGGCAGGAGACTTGCTTGAACCCCAGAGGCGGAGGTTGCAATGGGCTGAGATTGCGCCACTGCACTCCAGCCTGGCGACAGAGTGAGACTCCATCTCAAGAAAAAAAGAAAAAAAATATGATGAAACATGATTAAGTGCTATGAAAGCCAAATTGATCAGAACTGGATCAAATGCTATGACGCCCGGAGGACAGCATGCCTAACTCTGCTTTACGAAGATGACATGTGAAGAGGTCTTAAAGGATGATAGGACTCTGTGAGCAGAGAATCTGTTGGAAGATATTTCAGGAACAATATGAACAAGTCAAGAACATGGAATGAAGCCTGTTAAGGAAGTAACGGGTACTTCCGTATGGCTGAGGCATATGATTGTGGAGGCAGGCAGAGGAAGATAAGATGAAAATGGTAGGTAGGGACCAATTGTGAGGGGCCTTATATGGTGTGATCGGACTTTAGAATTCATCCTGTAGGCACTGAGGAGCCATTGAAAGTTTTTGAGCAGGGAATTATCTGTACAGATAGGATTAATTTAGAAAGATACTCTTTCAGTTACAGTAGTTTGGTAAAATGCAGTAAAAGCCTGAACGAAGACAGTGATCAGGAGGGGAAATGAGGGTATCTACTCATGAGATATTACTCATGAGACATTTCAGATGTAGAATTGTTAGGGCTTAAGTTGAGAGTGGTGGGTAGGAAGAGGAAGGAAGGCGTTTAGTATGACTCAGATTTCTTGGTTGGAGAACAGATGGATGCTCATGCTATCAATTACCTTTATAGAGAATGAAGGGGAAAGGTGGATTTCGGTGGTGGATAAAATAGTGAATTTGCTTTTGCACATGCTGAATTTGAGATACATGTGGGGATATTTAGGTAGAGGTGATACCAGAGCTTAGGAGAAGAGTGGAGACTAGAGATCAAGATTTGGATGTTTACCTAGGAGAGAATATATACTCAGCAGAAGAGATAAACAAGGACAAAATCCTATAAAACAAATAAACAAACCTCAGTATCTTATAAGAAGTAGAAGAGGAGGGAAGCCAGCAAAGGGGGCCAAGGAGTCAAACTATCCATTGACTTGACAATCTATGAGATGATAGTGTCCTAACTCAGATAAGTGATCTGAAAGACAGATTGCAGAGAGGCAGTGGGCAAATGGGAGGAGAAAATCCAGAGGCAGGCAAGACAGCCTTCTTTTTAAGAAATGTGTATTTTTTTTAAAAATGGAGGGTGGTGGTTAGAATTATTGTTAAATTGTGCAGGAGACAGCAGGCTGATGCAGTGAAGCTCAGGTCTTGTTAATTTTCATCATTTAGCAGTGGTGGACATTTGAAAGGATATAACTCATGCTTACTGAGTGAATGTTTAGAATATTCTCATCTTCTCTATGTCCTCTTTATCAGTGGACCTTGTTGTTGTCTCTCTTTGGCTTTGTCATCTTGATCCTCTTTGCTATTTACCCTTTTTCTGACTCGTGAACCTTGTATTGCTCCTACATCTGTTCTAGTTGGATAGACCCTGTGCTTCTTTCAAGCTAGATATAATCGTATTCCTTTGTAGTGTCATATATGGGCTCATTAGAGAGGAAAAGCTTTCTGTGAGTCATTTAGTCTGATACCCTTGTATAAGACCCTATTTCATTTAAATGATAACTTCTAGTGAAGATGGGTATCTTTTCAAAATATTTAACACTTGTAGGTATTTGTAATCATGTAAAAATGGCATGATAACTGGAGGAGATAGGCAAATGTATCAGTTCATTCTTGCATTGCTATAAAGAAATACCTGAGACTGGGTAATTTATAAAGAAAAGAGGTTTAACTGACCCACGTTTCCACAGGCTGTACAGAAGTATGGCTGGGGAGGCCTCAGGAAACTTACAATCATGGCAGAAGGTGCAGGGGAAGCAGTCATGTCTTACAAGGCTGGAGCAGGAGTAAGAGGGAGGATGGAGGGAGGTGCTACACACTTTTAAACAACCAGATTTCATGATAGCTCACTCATTATCATGAGGACAGCACCCAGGGGGATGGTGTTAAACCATACATGAAGGATCCACCCCCATGATCCAATCACCTCCCAATAGGCCCCACCTCCAACACTGGGGAATACAATTCAACATGAGATTTGGGTGGGGACACAGATCCAAACCATATCAGCAAATATTGCTGCAGTATGTCCTAAAAGATAAGGGGGATGAAAACTTTAGGAAACCCTCTGAGGAAGAGAATCAGTTGATTATTATATGTTTCCTAGAGAAAATCAAAAGCTTGTCTACAGTGTTATTTAGAAAGCTAACTGTTCTTATTTTGAGCATTGAACCTTATACTTTTAGAGAAAATTGTACTGATTAATATGTTAGTAACTACTTAATTGTCTGCAGTAATAATATTACATTGGGTACAACTAAAAGCTTCATCCAGAAGATTCTATTTTAGGGCATTGAGAATCAGATAATTATTTGTGAGTGTGTATGATATGTCCTTATGGTAATCACCACTTTCTTTCTCCCACCCCAACTGTCTTTTCTCCTTTAGGTGAAATCCCAATTGTTCCACTTAATTTTGTCATGATATCCCTGGAGGGTCCATTTAACAGAGATGTAGTGGAAGGATGTGTGAAGGAGACGTTGCTTTTTTTATCGCGTTCCATTTCCATGAAACAAAATGTGGAGTTTACATTCAAAGGAATTGGGGTCCTCATGATCAGAGACAGCAAAGTGAAGATGAGGTTTTATAAAGACTTCCTTTGTACCATGGATGGAAGTGGGGCTTTGGCAAAGGCCCTAGCAAATGTAAATTAATATTTTCCTTCTCCTAAGTCTTCTCCTAATTGTGGTTCTGACTCATCTATAGGTGTGTTGTAATTAAGAAAAACGAAGGTTGACATATTTTGAGTGACAGTTACCTGAAGTACATGGAAGTGCTTGTTTATACTTGATTAACTCTTTGACAAAAAAGATCAGGAAGGCAAAGGAACATTAAGAATCAAAGTCAATTGAGGGATATAAATAGTAACGGAAACTCTTAGAATTCTGAACATTTTATAGTACCTTATAGGTTTTTTGTTTGTTTTTTGAGACAGAGTCTCACTCCGTCACCCAGGCTGGAGTGCAGTGGCACGATGTTGGCTCACTGCAACCTCCACATGCCGGGTTTGAGTGATTCTCCTGCCTCAGCCTCTCAAGTACCTGGAATTACAGGTGCGCGCCACCATGCCCAGCTAATTTTTGTATTTTTAGTAGAGACAAAGTTTCACCATGTTGGCCAGGCTGGTCTCGAACTCCTGGTCTCAAGTGATCTGCCTGCCTTGACCTCCCAAAGTGCTGAGATTACAGGCATGAGCCTCCATGCCTGGCGTATGGTTTAAAAACTTCTTCCACATGTATTATTTCATTTGAGCCTCAAAATAGCATACAAGCAGCATTATTATCATCCTAATTTTACAATTGAGAAAAGTAGGGGCTCAGAGAGGCTATGTGGGAATCCCAAGGTGAACTAGAACTGGAATTCAAGCCCAGACTTCCTAACCACTTGGTTTTTGCTGGTTCTACTATTTTATTTTTTAATGTTGGTTCTACTATTTTATTTTAATGAAAGTTCTATAACAAAATCTAATTTGAGTCATGGAGTTTTTGAATCTTTAGCTTTTAATTTGCCATGTTGTAGAAGAAATTTCCTAATTGGCATCATTATTGTCAACCATTAAGTAGCTGGTGTGACCTTCATGCTAAGTTGGATACAGCAGAGTTTAAACAAATGAAATAGTCAATCTACCAGACTTACTGAATACTTAGTGTGCCTCAGGTACTCCTCTGGAAACTAACAAAGTAGACATGAATGAATTGAATTATTATGGAATGTTATATAATCCTATATCCCATAAAGCCAAACTCTGATTTTTTTAATGAAAAGGCTATTAATATCATCTCAGTCTACCCATTTCTCCTTTTATGAAGCTTTGGGATGGGGATTTAGGAAATGAAGTTGTGCATAATGAAACTCCTGGTGTTTTCTACACAATCTGGTTTCATACAGGATTGCTAAGAGGATTGCCAACCCTGTGTGTGGAAAGTGGGAAACACATGCAGGAAAAACCCTTGCTTTTCCATGAAAACACAAGGCAAGATTTGCAAGTCCATAAGCAAGGCCAAAGTGGCTAGCTCATCTCTAACCCTCAGGGATTCTGCTGAACTTTGTAGCTTCAATACGTGTTTAAAAGAGAAGACAGCATTTTCCTTGACCTGCTGAACTGTAAAGCACATCTTTTACAGAACGTTTTCCAAAAGAACTAGTCCTGAAAAATACTCTATGAAAAAAGGGTTTGGAGGTCAAAGCTGACTGAAAACTGCTGATCGAATCAGTCACCCTCATGGACAGAGGGACAGAGCACATCAGCATGTTAAAGGAGCTGAGAAGTCTGGCTGGAAAGCAGTCAGTTTAACTGCCTGAATGTATTTAATCATGGAATTGTAGGTTAATCCAATATCTCATTAGCTCTGTAAGACACATTTTGGAAAACTGCTGTGAAGTGGTGTGAGTGAGAGTTTATTCCCAAATGACCCGTAACTTAAAACTGTCTTGTAGGGTAGTCCCCTTGGAAAGCTGTGTGCTTATTTCAGTAATGCTGCTTTTATTAGAAATATTTTCTATACTTCTTTTTGGGAATTCACTTCAAAGGCTTTTGTAAGTGATAGCATTCATGCAAAAATAATAATTTTATATATTATTCTACAGTTAAAATGTGACAATGTGACTATTATGTTTACAGTTACATGAGAATTAAAATAGTCATTTGTTCAGTATTTACTATGTGCTAGCTACTTACATAGAGGACCTCATGGAAGTGCTATTAGATCCTTTTATTATCCCCAGAAACCTAGTGCCTAAGGCCACATGCCTGTTAGCAGTGTGGGGATTTGAACATGAGCCCACCTGACTCGAAAGCTTTTCTCTTAATTGCCTAATTTTAGTTATTTGGGTCAAGAGTGGAATTAGACAGCTTGCTCACTTTCCAGATATTTTTACAAAGTCTGCTATCTTCTTAAAGACATCTAAAAGAATCTGTCAACTCTGAAGGCAATTCCCTAAAAGGAAATGGTTTGAGAAAAGGCAACACCGAAAGAATTGCTGTGCAGCTACCCAGGGTGATTGCTCTGATGAATGAGATCATTCCTCATTGGATTTTTAAGCTCTGGACTTATAAGCGCTTAACATAAACAACAACAAGAAAAGTATCGTGGTAGCCTTGCCTATGAGCCTGCAGTTTTTAATTTGTCTGAGTCCTGGACCTCAGCCTAGATGTAACCTTGCTCTGTTGCTGTCCTCTAGAGGCCTGGCACTGTGGACTCGGTGTTGTCTAGCAGAGAGGCCTTGAGGAAGTGGCCCAGCAGTGTGCTTGCGTTTCCAAGGTGAGTGCTTTGCTTCACGGGTTCCTCTAGGCACTAGCACTCCTTGCTGATCTGCTGATCTCATTGGGCAGTGTTTCTCAATGTTTTGTAGCTCATGTTCCTTTTAATGTATTCTGTCTGTCTCTCCCTCTCTAAATCCACCAACAAAGAAGAGTTTATTGCATACACTTTCTGTAGTTAAGTTAAATAACAATGGACATTTATTCTTTTTTATCCCCCCTCACCGCGACGGAGTCTTGCTCTGTCACCCAGGCTGGAGTGCAGTGGCACGATCTCTGCTCACTGCAACCTCGGTCTCCTGGGTTCAAGCAATTCTCTCCTGCCTCAGCCTTTGGAGTAGCTGAGATTACAGGCGCACGCCACCATGCCTGGCTAATTTTTGTACTTTTAGTAGAGATGAGGTTTCACCATATAGGCCAGGCTGGTCTCGAACTCCTGGTCTCAAGTGATCCATCCGCCTCGGCCTCCCAAAGTGCTGAAATTACAGGCGTGAGCCACCAGGCCTGGCCCATTTACTCTTTTTTAAAACTACCCTTGGCTCCTGGAAATTCTGATACTACCTTCCATTAACCTTAGTCCCTGCAGTATTAGTAAAACTCTTCTCACCTGCTGAACTTTCCACTACTTTGTACCACTTCTTCTGCCCTAGCTGCTGCTTCTTCCTTCAGTTCAGCCCATTTCCTGTCCTTGCTCGGATTTTTACCACTAAACGGGTTAAACAGATAAGTTAGAATAAGGAAACAGCTTTACTCCATGAGCACAGTGGTTGTTACTGGTGGTTGCATATTACTGTATTTAATCTTCACGACAACCATGTGACTTATGTATTATAATTCTCCATTTTATCATGATACAAAATTAATTTTAATTTTTTTCTTTTACATGAATGAAGCAACATGGTGCACTATTGAGAACACTGGAGTAGGAGTCAGGAGACTTTAGTTTTATTTCCAGTTTGGCCATCACTTATTCATTGTGTGCCCTTAATTATGTTAATAATCTTAATTGCTGTGCCATTAACCACTGTGCATTTCAGGTGGAGGAAGTTTGGGGAATAACAACTAGCTTCCTAAAGCATTATTACTTTAGGAAGTATGAGTAAAGTATAAAAGTATGAGAATTTCTGAGATGTTTTGAGTGTGACATTCTCTTGTTTGTTGCTTTGGAACAACCCCCTCCTGGAAGAGCTGTATGACACATACCTCAGAAGATTCAGTGTGAAGTCCAGAGTAAGCCTTAGAGGTTGTTTTCCAACCGCCTCATCTTGCACACGAAATGGCCATGCAACTAATAAGCAGCCAAGCTTATAGAAATAAAACCATGGCTCCTGGTCCAGTGTTCTTTCCATTGCACCATATTGCCTTACTCACTAAAAATAAATCAGTGGATTGAAAAGAATTTTATTTTGATGGTTTCGGAAGGCAAACATGGCTGTTCCCTTTGACATATTTTGGCTTAGGCACTCCAGGAGGGAAATAATTATAGTGGGTCAAAGAACAGAGATGGAGTCGCCATCAAGTCAAGGGCCTAGAAATGGACATGGGGACTTAAATACTCAAAACAATTGTTGGTGTTTTATTTATGTGACATTTGGCCCCTGAATTGACTGAAGGTACCCCCACCCCCACTCCCTACTCCAACCTAGTACTCCATACCTGAGGCCAAAGAAATCCTACAACTACACACACCAACTGAACATCCCCCTTCCTCCCTGCTGCAAATTGTAGCTTTGCAAGTCCTTCACTTTTGCCTGGGGAGAGAATGATGAAGTGAAGTGGCAAAGGAGGGAGGAGACAAATGGTTATTTTGGGGCATACTCTACCAGGCTATGAATCTTTGCCTTCAAGCTATCCAACAACCTTTTTTCCACTGTATCACCCCATAGCATCTAGTTAAAGAAGTAGGATATAAAAATTCAAATTGAAACAAAAACCAATAACCTAAATAAAGGACTTTAAGGCAATTTCTCTATATGCAAGCTGCTTTGAGACTATGGTATAGAGGGAAAGGCCTTGGTCAGCTTCCAGAAAGCCTTGGAGAAAATTAATCTATGATATGTACTTAGCACATCAGAGCACTCACCCCTTGAAGAAAGTGGGCTTATTTCAGAATCAGCCAGCTGGCTGGGTTGCTTCCAAAACTTGAGAGTTCACACAGTTACCTGTTCAGGTTCAGTGCAGCAGAAAAACATATTGGCTCATTCCTAGGATTGAGCTCAAGGAGATGGAAAACAAACTGCCTATGGAGACCCTTGTAGAAGAATGTGGAGAGAATAGAGAAAGGAAGTGCAAGTTAAAAGACCAGTCAGACAAAGAAGAAGGCACCAGAGGTAGGCCAATGATTTCTGGGTCCAATCTGTCACTCTTTACTGCTATGAGCCCAGCCATATTGCTTAGCCCAAGGTAAATAAAGTTAAATTTACAAATAATCACTATATTATTATTACTTTTTTTTTTGAGATGGAGTCTCGCTGTTGCCCAGGCTGTAGTGCAGTGGCATAATCTCAGCTCACTGCAACTTCCACCTCCCAGGTTCAAGCGACTCTCCTGCCTCAGCCTCCCGAGCAGCTGAGATTACCATCATGTGCCACCATGCCTGGTTAATTTCTTTATCTTTTGTATAGATGGGCCAGGCTGGTCTCAAACTCCTGGCCTGAAGTGATCCGCCCACCTAGGCCATCCAAAGTGCTGGGATTACAGGCATGAACCACCGCACCCAGCCACAAATAATCACTATATTATTTCTAACAAATACGTTCTATTCCTAGAATCCTGCATTTGACCTTAATTATGAGCTTACTTACTTTATGAGCCTTAGATCCTATGACTCTCAGGCTCTTAGATCATCATCTCTTTGCTGGCTCCCCATTGCTCAAAGGGGCCAAAACTCAGATGACTGCAGGCAGGTAACGCAAATGCAGGAAGTGGTCTGGATGTAAGTGGGTTGGAGACATGTTAGCTTAGTTAACATTTCTAATGAAAAACAAAGAGTGGCAGTTTTATCACTTTGATGTCTGTAGAAGAAAGCTGGATTCTCATACCTATGTCTGCATCTAATCTGTTGTGATAGGTTGTTTTGGTGGAAGCAAATGAAGAAAATCCTAGGACTCCAAAGATTTTTTTTTTTTTTAACCAAAGACTTTTTATTTTCTTTTTGAGATGGAGTCTCGCTCTGTCACTCAGGCTGGAGTTCAGTGGCACAATCTGGGCTCACTGCAACCTCCGCCTCCTGGGTTCAGGTGATTCTCCTGCGTCCAAGCTATTCTCCTGCATCAGCCTCCCTGGAAGTAGCTGGGACTACAGGCGCGCACCACCACGCCCAGCTAATTTTTGTATTTTTAGTAGAGATGGGGTTTCACCGTATTGGCCAGGCTGGTCTCAAACTCCTGACTTCAGGTGATCCGCCTGCCTTGGCCTCCCAGAGTGCTACAATTACAGGTGGGAGCCACCACACGCAGCCACAGACATTTTGAAAGGGTCCTAGGGACCCCAAAAAGTATGGCTTGCCAGGCCACACTTTGAGGACTGTTCCTCTAGCAGATTGTTGCTTTGCGGAAATGTGGCCCAAGTGATATCAGATCTTCTAATTTTTCTAATTTTACTATATGTGCTACTAAAGTGAGCACAATCTTCTGATTTTTCAAAAGAAGCAGAGATCCTGACTTTAATGTAAAATCTATTGGCTGTTAAAAGTTGACGACTTTTGTTGATATTGAAACAAAAAATGCTAATTAGGCCAAACAAAACATACCAATGGGTGAACATTGGCTTGTGCATGTCTGTTTTCTACGTGTGGCCTACAGGATTGCATATCAACTTTTAGCCTAATATTCATATGCTTTTATTTCTCTAGTCTCATCTCCCACTGTGCCCTATAGAGACCCCTTTTTTGGGAAAAATTATCTATTCATGTTCTTCTTTTTCTTTGAGGTGGGGTCTTGCTCTGTCACCCAGGGTGGAGTGCACTGTCTTGGCTCACTGCAGCCTCAACCTCTTGGGCTCAGGTGATCCTCCCACCTCAGCCTCCTGAGTAGCTAGGACCACAGGTGTGCGCCACCATGCCTGGCTAATTTTTGTACTTTTTGTAGAAACAGGGTTTTGCCATGTCGCCTAGGCTGGTTTTGAACTCCTGAGCTCAAACGATCTGCCCACCTCGGCCTCCCAAAGTGTTGGGATTACAGGCGTGAGCCACTATGCTTGGCCTATTCATGCTCTTCTAACATGCCTGCCCTTCCCCAACTTCATCCTTTTGTTCATTTTTTTTTTCCTGCAGCCTGAATTGTCCTTCCTTTTCTTTCAATCTATCTCCATCCTACTCACCTTTTAGTACCCTTTTCACATCTCACTTTCTCCATGAAAACTTATCACTGAATTCTGAAGTGGCTTCTCTCCTCTGAACATATCAGATCCTTAAAGACTACAACATTTGGCTGGGCATGGTGGCTCACGCCTGTAATCCCAGCACTTTGGGAGGCTGAGGTGGGTGGATCACCTGAGGTCAGGAGTTCGAAGCCAGCCTGGCCGACATGGCGAAACCCCATCTCTACTACTACTACAAAAAAAAAAAAGTTAGCTGGGAGTAGTGGTGTGCACCTGTTATTCCAGCTACTTGGGAGGCTGAGGTGGGAGAATTGCTAGAACCTGGGAGGCAGAAGTTGCAATGAGCTGAGATTGGGTTACTGCACTCCAGCCTGGGCGACAGAGTCAGACTCCATCTCAAAAAAAAAAAAAAAAAAGAAAAAGACTGCAACATTTATTTGTGACTTATACATTTTGCATCACTGTCCTAAGTTGTTATTTATTAAATGTATATTATAAAGCACTTAGCACTGTTAGCACATAAGATGACCTCCAAATGGGAGCTCTCACTTTTTTGTTTGTATCTTATTTTTCTCTTCAACTATATCTATCGAAAGATCTTTACAGGCAAAATGTCTAAATCTACAGATATCAAAGTTGTAAAACTACCACTGTTCATTTTTCATGAGAAATGTTAACTAAACTAACACGTCTCCTGGTCATGTTATATCCAGCCCACTTCCTGCATTTATGTTATTGCCTCTTTTTGTCCTCTAAATGCTTAGCACAGTGCTTTCTTTGCGAATATACAGCAAAAACATTTTTTTATACCACAATAGAACAAGGGGTGATTATTTAAAGATAAGAGAGTGTATCTTATATGAAAATTTCCCTTGGTAAAAACTACACAGTTAGTGGTTTGAGAGTTGAAAGGAGACTCGTTTTCATTCATTCTTTATTCTACAGATATCTCATCACCCAAAAGACTTCGAGATAGACAAGCTTTGTTCCCTGCCAAAGTGACAAATGTCAGCTTGCTGGAAAAGTTTGAACGAAGTGAGAGTGGTGGGAAGATTATGACCCCTGAAAGGTAATGCATTGACTTTTTTTTTTCTGTTGTACTTTACTAAATATATTTTTGAGTCGTTGCTTGATGCGGGGAACTGTAATTGTTCATTAATTCATTTATCCAGTGTTCTTTAGAGCTTTCTATATGCAACATGATGGGAATAATAAAGGTGACCAAGGTTCACCATCTAGTGGGAAAGCCAGACATATGCAGAGGGATAAATTACGATTCAGTGGAATAGATGTTATGACACAGGCGGAAACAAAATAGCACAGAGTTGGGATCATCCAACTTTTTCTGTAGATTTGGGCTTCCCAAATCTACAAAACTTTCATGTTTTCCGAGTGCTTGGATATTATGATGTGACACAATGTTATATTTACATCAAATTGGAAAGTAGTTTTGCCAAACATAGCCAGCACTCCATTAGTTCTCAATAAACATTACTTGAATGAATGAGTGTATTACAATTTATCATGGTCGTTTTCTTCTTGTGATGGTATGTCAAAAGATTTCTAAAATATTTTATCCTTCTCTCTGAGTAGGATACTTTTTAAGACCTCAAATCAGTCAACCATACTCAACCATGCTCATTCATTGTTTACTGAGCACCTAACTATGTACTTTGCATTGTGCTGCCAACCTTTAATTTATTAATGTGTCAAAATTTATCAGCTATCATATGTGCAATTTATGTACTTTGTGGATTACTAAAGTCATGTTAAAAACTCTAGGAATGCTTGTTTTGGATAATATCACTGTTATGAAAGATAATTGAGAATTAGATGTATAGTACTTGGGAATTTAATTCAATACAACAAATATTGAGCACCACCATGTGCCAGGTAATATTCTAGGCACTGAAGATTCAGAGTTACAGATGTATAAACCTGCTTTTATAAAACTTACAGTGTTGCAGGAAGACTGAAATTAAAAAAAAAATGCATGCGACGAAGACAACAAAAGTACAGAGGCTGCAAAAGGACAGAGTAATTGTTGGAAGTGGTTGGTAAAGGTTTCCTATAGAAGTTGACTCAAAAATGTTTGTTTCCTGTAGAAGTTAACCAAAAAATAGGCCAGGCGCAGTGGCTCACGCCTGTAATCCCAGCACTTTGGGAGGCCGAGGCAGGCGGATCACGAGGTCAGGAAATCAAGACTATCCTGGCTAACACGGTGAAACTCTGTCTCTACTAAAATAAAAAAAATTACCCGGGTGTGGTGGTGAGCGCCTGTAATCCCAGCTACATGGGAGGCTGAGGCAGGAGAATGGCGTGAACCCGGGAGGTGGAGGTTGCAGTGAGCCAAGATAGTGCCACTGCTCTCTAGCCTGGGTGACAGAGCAAGACTCTGTCTCAAAAAAAAAAAAAAAAAAAGAAGTTAACCAAAAAATGTTTTTTTGTGCTGATTACTAAAACAACACGTTTATCATAGAAATTTTGAGAAAACCAAAAAAGCAAGAGTTATAAAAAATCACCCATAATCCCTCTACATAGAGGAAACTTTATATTAACCTTATGATGTATGTCGTTTATTTCAATGCATATACAATATATACAGATACTTACACTTGGAATATACACAGTTTTTAAATAAAATTGAGATATTATATGGATTTTTGTTACATTTAATAAGTGGTGATTTCCCCATGACATTAAATATTCTAAAACCTTAACAAATAATTGCACATCATCTTAATGAAAGGTTAAACCTTTTGTTTAACCAATCTCCTATTGGATATTTAGATGGCTTCCAGTTTTTAAGTACTATAAATAATGTTGTGAAAATATAATTAAACATAATTCCTTGCATACAACTGGATATTCCATAGGATAAAAACTTTAAAGTTAAATTTCAGAGATAAGAGGTGAGTCCATTTTCATGCCTTTGATACACATTTCCAATTATCTTCTTCATGGTTGTAGCAAATTATCCTCTCAGCAACAGTAATATGAGAGAGTGCTATATTTTCTACAGCTTTGCTAATACCATAGCAAAGTGAAATGATGGTATTTCATTATTGTTTTTAACCTATGTTTGTTTGATTTCTAGTGGGTTTTTTTGTTTTGTTTTGTTTTTGAGATAGCATCTCACTCTGTCACCAAGGCTAAAGAACAGTGGCATGATCATGGCTCACTGCAGCCTCAACCTGCTGGGCTCAAGTGATTTTCCTGCCTCAGACCCCGAGTAGCTGGGACTATAGGTGTGCACCACCACACACCAGCTAATTTTTTGATTTTTTTTTTTTTTTTTTTTTGTAGAGATGGGGTCTTAGTATGTTGTGTAGGCTGGTCTAGAACTCCTGGCCTCAAGCAATCCTCCCACTTCGGTCTCTCAAAGTGCTGGGATTACAGGCATGAGCCACCACACCTGGCCTGCATTTATTTTTATCTTGTTTCTTGGCCATTTGTAGTTCTTTTACAGTTTTCCTGCTTGAATCCTGTGTCCTTTTTTAACTGGGAGCTTTACTTTTTCTTAAAAAAAAGTTGTATTTTTATAAAGAGAACTTCATATATCATAAGTATGAATAGTTTTCTGATGTGTATGTTTTAAACATTTTCCCAATTCTTTTTTTTCTTTTTAATTTTGTTTCTGCACCATTTAGTGCACAGAAGTTTAAAATATATCTTTTCTGATTTACCAACCTGTCCAAGTCCCCAAACACCATGTTTGGGAATGTCAGTCCATGATTACATTTTCATTTTGAAAAAAATATTCTTTTAGAAGAGTAAAGAATGATTTAGAGGGATAAGATTAGCAGCAGAGGAAGAGGTGTAATAAAATGGAAAAGTGTAGCACAATTTAGCAGATCAAGGCAGTAGTCTAGGCAATCTGTTTCCAACAAATGACCCTAAGGCCTCAGAGGGCCTTAAGAGCATATCAAAGGCTGAGAGTGAGGTAATATGGGTGGGACTCTGGGCTCTATTTCCTCACTTCCACTGGAGGATGTGTGCTGTTTTTCTGTTTTATATTATTGGGATTTGAGTAACATTTGTTTAAACTAAGAAGGATAGGACTTTCATTGTTTAACAGTTGAGTATAACTCGTTTGGGGAAAGGTAATAAGGGTATGAAACAAAGATCAGATGGAAAGCTTTAGCTTTGTTGGGGATTAGTTAAGGGAGGTTAAGAAGGAGATGTCAAAGATGACCCCAGATTTTGGCTTAGGTAACTGGGAGAAGATGGCACCATTATTCAAAATAGGGACTACTATAGGAAGTGCAAATTTGGCTGGTGCTGAAGGGCATGTAGTGGTTAGTGAGTCTGTAAAATTTTCACTCCGAGTTAGAGGATTAAAAAAAATACAAATGAATCCTCTTGGATCATAAGAAACCAGATTGAGACATATTTCTTATTACTTCCTCATGTCAGTTGCATCTGACAGGTTATTTAAATCAAACCTTTAGGGAATCAGCATTCGCCCCACCCCAGATTTTGAGGCCTAAGAGAAGTTATTAAAAAATAAAGTGTTCTGCTTATAGCAATATGGTGGTCTAAATAATCTGAAAAGGTCCTCTACTGAGAGCCAAATCTAGTCCACCATATATTTTTATAAACAGTTTCACCGAAACACTGCTATGCCCATCCATTTGCATATTATCTGTACCTGCTAGTTGTGTCAGGGACTGTATGGCCCTCAAAGCCTAAAACATTCACTCTCTGGCTGTTTTCATAAAAAGTTTTGCAACCCCTGCTCTAAAGGATCTTATTTTCATCTCAGGCTCCTGACTTCTGACAGATGGAGTTGGGCTAAAAATGAAGTCAGAATCCAAAATTACAAAGACCACATGGAAATAAGCTGCCACATAATGAGAGCCATCAGAAACAAAAGATGGAAGAATTGAGCTCTCAAGGATTGTGGATCCTGAATATTATAAAATACAGAATATAGAATAAGATGTTTAAAATCTTTACATAAATTAAAAGAATGGAGAGTATGAACAAGGTATAAGAAATTAGAAAACATGACCAGTGTGGTCAGAGTCGAGCATTTGCATTTTGGAATTGCAGTAAGGGAGTGTAGACTTATACAATACTTAATTCATTGGTTATTCAGAAGACACATTTTATTACTTTTTCCAAATGAATAGAGGTTTGTAGTGGGGCGCTTTCTCATTTTATGCTGTGGTTCATTTAATGTTAGTTATTTGGTACTTTGTAATTTGCTGAACCTTCTTTTCTAGCTTGAGTACTTTTACAGTAATTGTTTTATGTATACTTGAAGACATTGTATACTACTATTCCTTAGATGTAAATTTCTAGATATTTAGATATTAGCTAAACCTTGTTAAAATAAGTTGTTAAAAGCTTTTAAATCCTCACTATTTTTTTCTTTGAGAGAGATATTAAAAATCTTTCACCATGATGGTATATTTTTCAGTAATTACATCAATTTTTGCTTCTTAAGCAATATTAAATTCTACATGTCTAGGATTTTTTTTGGTAGATAGTTCCTTTTATCATTATGAAATATTTTCCTTCATCTCTACTAAAATCTTTTGCCTTCATTTCTGTACTATGTAATTAACAGTGCAACATCTGATTAGTATTTACCTGGAATAGCCTTTTAATGCCATTTTAAGAATTTTTGTGTGTGTTTTATTATTTCATGTGTGTCTCTACTAAATAGCTTATATTTGGATGTTTTAAAACTCAATCTAGACTTTAATTTCAGTTGTAATTATTGGTATATTTGAACCTATCTTTACTGTCTTATTTTGTATTTTCTATTTACTGTGCATTTAACTTCATTATTACCCCTTTTCTGTTGGACTGATCTCATTTCTTTAGTATGCTTTGAATTTCCTTTGACCATGTTTCTTCAGTATGCTTTCAATTTCCTTCAAACTGTATCCCCTTCCAAACCTGTATTTTTTTTGTCTAGAACTTTTGTTCCAATTTGGTTTTAAGTGTTAAAACATTTTGTATTATTTTATGGTCAATGATTAATTTGGATTTGTCAACATGTTTTACCAATTTCTTTGGTCACCATCATTTCTTCTTTTTTCTTTTTTTTTTTTTTTTGCCCAGGCTGGAGCGCAGTGGCGTGATCTTGGCTCACCGCAACCTCCGCCTCCCACGCTCAACCAATTCTCCTGCTTCAGCCTCCTGAGTAGTTGGGATTACAGGCGCACACCATCATGCCTGGCTAATTTTTGTATTTTTAGCGGAGACAGGGTTTCACCATGTTGGCCAGGCTGGTCTCGAGCTCCTGACCTCAAGTTATCCACCTGCCTCGGCCTCCCAAAGTGCTGGTATTACAGGTGTGGGCCGCCATGCCTGGCCTGTTTCTTATATCCCTGTCCTTCCTCCTAGGTTCATTTTTCTTCTTGCTAAAGTATATCCTGTAATGGTTCCCTGTCTTTTCAGTACACTTATTCTTTGTATTGCTTAAAATGATTCTTACTGTGTTGTCGCTCTTGAGTGCTGATTCTTGGTTCACAGTTATTTTCCTTCAGCATTTTAATGATATTGCTCCATTTTCTCCTGACAGTTGTCCTGATGCAACGTCCGAATCAATCTGGTTGTCATTCTTTCTTGTAGCTTTTAAGAATCTTTCTTATTTCTTGATGTTCTGCATGACTATTCTTAGGAGTCATGATTTTCTGGAAAATTCTTATCTGTTATTTTCTAGAATATTGTTCTTTGCCATTTCCTTTATTCTAAAAATTCAGCACTTCTATTAAATGCATGTTTGAGCTTCTGAATCTGTTCTCTATTTCTCTACTTTTAAATATTTTCATTCTTGGCCTGGCGCGGTGGCTCATGCCTGTAATCCCAGCACTTTGGGAGGCCGAGGTGGGCAGACCACTAGGTCAGGAGTCCGAGACCAGCCTGACCAATATGGTGAAACCCCGTCTCTACTAAAAATACAAAAATTAGCCCAGCATGGTGGTGTGCACCTGTAATCCCAGCTACTCAGGAGGCCGAGGCAGGAGAATCACTTGAACTTGGGAGGCAGAGGTTGCAGTGAGCTGAGATTGCGCCATTGCACTCCAGCCTGGGTGACAGAGCGAGACTCTGTCTCAAAAAATAAAATAACATAAATAAAATTAAAAAATAAATATTTTCATTCTTCGAGCTGCTTTTTAGGTGATACTATCTGTCCTATTTTCTAATGAATTAATACTAGTATTAATATTAATACTCACCCCTAATTCATCTCCCTCCACCACACTGACCATAGGCACCTTCCACCTGAAGGACTGCACTGGTTTGTTTGCTTGGAATGTCTTTTCCATCAGATATCTACACTGTTGTTCTCTTACTTCCTTCAGGTATTTACTCCTATGTCACTTCCTTGGTAAGAACTTCCCTGGCCATTCTCTTTACAGTTTAACACTCCATTCCTCCAGCATTGCAAGGCATTTATCATCATGGAACATACTATAGAGTGCACTTATTTATCTTGTCACTGGGCTGTCTATCCCCATCAGAATGTTAATTCCATGAGGGCAGGGACTTTTGTATGTGTGTATTTTGTTCTTCATTGCTTCTCCTGTGCTTAGAACAGTGTACATGGTAAGCACTCAATACATTTCTGTGGAATGAATACATTTCATCCCCATTTCACATGACTGGTAACTGGGACTTTGCAAGATTACACAGCTGGTCTGATGTCAGTCATCTTGCAAGCAAGAAAGCTGGGATTCAAACCCACCTTTATCTGACACAAATTCAGATTCTGTGGTACATATTCTTAACCTCTATACATATAGCTGTTTTGAAGTAAACCACTGAAATATTTTTCTTCATCTTATACTTGCCTCTAAAATTATTATTGCCCTTGAGGTCAGATTGTATTAAACATTAATTAATGTTGCATTGTTTTTATAGCTTATCATATCCAAGTTGTCTGAAACACGACAGTGAGATGAAGCCCCAAACATCTCCAGCTTGCCAGGATCATAACAAGGCAGGACAGGTACAGTGTTTCCAAACAAATAAGTCCCATCAGAATCTTATACTGATTTTTGTTTCTCAAAGAGAGTTCTGGGAATCTCTCTTCCTTAATTATATGAGTATGGCTCAAGTACTCAAGTACTCAGGCTCAAAACTAGACTGTGATAAATCTATCTACTAGTCAAGATGTACTGGTAAACAAAAAAAGAGTTGAGAAATCCCTTTCTAAGTTTCAGCTGCTATAAATACTTCTGATGAAGTGAGAGTTCAGAAGATCCTTTAGAGTATTTCTGGGGTCCACTCTGCAAATCTCATTTTGCTGTCACTAATATATCCATTAATAATAGGTTTCTTGATATACCTAGCCTTTGGAGAGCTTGTGAAGGGAATGCGAAAGCAAAAAGGTAAAATGTAAAAATTTATTTGTCCTGAAATTTGGGATTGTAGGAAATGTGCTATGTATGTTTGCAACGAGCACAACGAAATTCCCTGTTGTACTACAGTGAGGAAAGGAGGAGAGAGATAGAAGATGAGAGACTCATACAGCAGTATCAGATGTTAAAGGATCAGGAGGCTCTCTTCAGACACCAGGTAGTCCAACACCTCGATTAGTCTTTAATATGGGGCAATAGAACATGATTATATAATGTAATTTATTATTATTTTTTATTGGCGCAGGGTCTCACTCTGTCACCCAGGTTGGAATGCAGTGGCACAACCTCTGCTCACTGCAGCCTTGACCTACTTGGGCTCAGATGATCCTTCGACCTCAGCCTCCAGATTAGCTGGGACTACAGGCACACGTCACTACACCTGGCTAATTTATGTATTTTTTGTAGAGACAGGGTTTCACCATGTTGCCCAGGGTGGTCTCCAACTCCTGGGCTCAAGCATCCAGAGGCTCCAACTCCCGCCTCTGCCTCCCAAAGTGCTGGGATTACAGGCATTACCCACTGAGCCCAGCCTATAATGTAATTTAAAAATGTTCCATCATATGTCTGTACTGTGGGATATCTAATCACGTATTTACTGTTAGACTAAAACTTGCGTTGAAGTTTTCACTAATAATAAACAACACTGGGATGAATTCCATGCAGTCGAATGTTTGCACATATCACTGATTTTCTTTAACCTAAGGTCTGAATTTTAAAGGTGGAATTATTGGATTTATGTTTCTTTATTTCTGATAAAATATAACTCTGGTGAAGGCTTTTACCCTTCAGATTCATGTCCTATTTCAAGCAAAGACAGAATGGCACTTTTACACTTGCTGTATCCAGATTTATGTGGTGTCTAATAATTGACCCTGCTGCCTGCCCTTTCCTGCATTTGTGATGAATTCTTCCATTCCTTAGATCCCTCTAGTGGTGGTACCTAAAGGCCAAGAAAAGGAAATAAAATACCTTTCCCAATCTACTTTTATAAATCTATAGAGATATCAGAAAGTACCACTGCCTCCAAAAGGCAGGTTTCTACCATGGCTGGATTATTTTAATGTAATAGAATTAAAATTTTTGGGGGCTCCACTTCAATATGTAATTTAAAATTTAAAAATAAACTTTTTTTTTTTTTAAACAATAGATGAAAAGTCTGGCTACTAGAGAACAGAATCAGAAAAATGCTGCCTATAATCTTGGAGTTGCTGAAGCTATAAGAAACCACAAGAATGAGAAACCGGAATTTTATGTAAGTCTTTTAAAAATTTCTGTTGCTAACACCTGGCCCATCTGTGAGCCTTTGGATCCACTCCCTGTGTTGCAGGTTGTGCCTTATTTTTTATTTTTATTTTTTGAGATGGAGTCTTGCTCCGTCACCCAGGCTGCAGTGCAATGGTGTGGTCTCAGCTCACTGCAACTCTGCCTCCCGGGTTCAAGTCATTCTCCTGCCTCAGCCTCCCGAGTAGCTGGGATTACAGGCACCCGCCACCATGCCCCGCTATTTTTGTATTTTTAGTAGAGACAGGGTTTCGCCATGTTGGCCAGGCTGGTCTTGAACTCCTGGTCTCATGATCTGCCCGTCTTGGCCTCCCAAAGTGCTGGGATTACAAGTGTGAGCCACCATGCCCAGCCAGTTGTGCCATTTTTTTTAAGCAGCGGAGTTGAAAAGTGGGTGGTGCAGTTTGAAGCTTTCTTCTAGGGCAGGTGTTGTCCAGTGTCTATAGCCACACCACTCACATTCACTGTACCATTCCTACTAGTCACTGCAGGTCTTGTTAATTATGGTAATTCTCAACCAGGACGTGGGATGGGTGGAGAGGAGGGAGCAGTATACTACTAAAGTCCAGCCCAAGGACCTAAGAGAACCAGCAGTATCAGCATTGCCTGGGAACTTGCTGGAAATGCTGAATCTAGGGCCTCACCCCAGACTCCCTGAATGGGCATCTATGGTGGAATAACATCCCCAGGTGATTTGTATTTGCATTAATGTTTGAGAAACTCAGATTCAGATGGTGGTGAGCCAACTGCTTCACTGCTTGTTTTAATGTTTTCAATCATCATGTGCCTACCTTTATTTCTGCCTGAATCTTCCTCTTTATATATCACCATCTAGGTAGTCGACACTCCGGACATAAATCTAATAAATTATAATTTATTTATTCATCATCAAACATTTATTGAATTCCTCCAGGCCAGCCACTGTGCTGGTGTCTAGGAATACAAGGTTCCCTCTTCTGAAGAGGTCTCTAGTGGGAGAGACAGACACTTAAAGAGACAACTGTGTGGTATAATAAATGCGATGATAAATCTCTGAAAAAAGGGCACTATATGAGCAAAAGAAGAGATTCATTAACCTAGACCAGAGATCTGGAAAGACTTTCTGACATACAAGAGTTAGGTAAAGAAATCAAGGGAGGAAGAGCATTCCAGGCAGGGAAACAGGGAAGGAAGGAGAGAGCGAGCGAGCATGGGGCTTCTGAAATTTAGGCATGATCTTTCTCTCTCTTTATATATAAGCTCCAGATTATATTTATTACTGCTGTGTATCTCTTCTTTGATATATCTATACACATCTTAAATTTAAAAAGACCTAAACAGAACTTTTGATTCCCTCCTTAACCTGTTCCTTTCTGTCTTCTCATGTTAGTAAGTGGCATCACCAACCAGCCATTTTTGCACAAACCTGTATTTAGTCATGATCACAATATTCCTTTCTCTGTTCCTGACTTCCGATCATTTGCAAGTCCAGTTGCCTTTACCTCCAAAATGTATCCAATACCTGTCCAAATGTCTTCATCTTTAATGTTGCCACACTGAAAGTGTTGCCAAGCCACATTGTTATGCTCAACTTCTCCAATACTTCCCTTAGATTCACTGCTTGCATTCTTGCTCTCCTATAATTTATTCTCCACACACCAGCCAAAGTGATATTATAATATTGTTAACCAAAACATACTATTCTCCCATTTAAAACCTCCACTGGCCTCCCATTGAGTTAAAATGAAATTTAGACTCCTCACCTTCAACTATCAAATTCTACACGCTTTGACTCCTGCCTTCCTCTTGGTCACTATGCCTTCTCCTTTCCCTTGGTCACTATGCCTCAGCCACAGAGACTTTTTTTCTGCTCATTGAACATGCCTAGCTTGTTTCCATCTAGTGTCTTTGCGCTTAATGTTCCTTCTGTATGGAACACGGGTCTCCCTGATATTTACAGTGAAGGTGATTCATTTTCTCCATGGAAAAACCTTCCCTAATAACCAACCAGTTTAGCTCTTTTCCCACCCAGCCACTTGCTATCATAAGGGCTTCCTAGCACTTAGCACTATCTTAAATGACCTGATGTACCGTTTCTTGCTCATTGTCTGTCTCCTGCATCAGCATGCAGGCTTGATGAGTGCGAAGATCTCTGTTGTTGCTCACTGTTGGATCACCAGGGTCTAGAATGGCCAGGCCCACAGTAGGTATTCAGTTTGCCCTCCTTTCAGCTCCTCTCTGTCCTTGCATGATTTCGCATGCACTCAGAATTCCTTCTTCCTTCCATCTGGATGTTGTAAATGCTAACTCACAACCTACTCCAGGAGTCCTTTTTCATCTCTGTCTCAGCAATGGGATTCCAGTTGAAACTGACCCAATAGTCCCACAGACAGGTTTTGTTTTTGTTTTTGTTTTAAATAAACATAGAAATTGACCCTTTTGGTCTTAAAGCTTGAAACTTAACATTGTTTTATCTGAGTTTCTTCCTCAGAAAAGAACCACTAGGCCTTCCAAAAAGTGTCAAAGAATTGAAACTCACCAGATGATTGCATTCAGACAATGAGCCAGGCCCCTCCATTGACCATGATTGCTTCCTTATCCCTCCCGAATTCTGGTTTTCCCATACATAGTTTCAATTCTTCCCTGCTATATAAACCCCTACTTTTAGTTGGTCAAGGAGATGGATTTGAGACTGATCTCTCATCTCCTTGGCTACAGCACCCAATTAAATCCTTCTTCCCTGGCAATAATCATTGTCTCAGTGATTGGCTTTCTGTGCTGTGAGCACCTAGACCAAACCCCTGGTGTTTTGGTAACACAGCTCAGCTCAGCTTCATCCTTGAACACACTCATATGATTCTATGTGTTACCTCAACACCAGCTGGTCCGTGTGTTGAGGGCTGGGCAAATATTATAAATTAAGAAATACTTTCTGATTTATCTTAGTCTTCTGAATTATTAACCTTGTTTTTCAGTACTCTAGCATAAATGAATTGCTTCTCTTTCATTCTAGAAATCCTTCCTATTTGACAAACGGCCACTCAGTCCTGCGCTTAATGCTCTTAAGCAAGAGGAATATTCCCGGAGTCTCCTGAAACAAATGGATAACAGACAGGAAAACGAAATAAAGCAAAGACAATACAGAGAGTTGATGGACCGCCTGGAACAAGTGCAACTCACAGAGGAGTGAGTCCAGCTACACACGCTCTGACAAATGGATTTGGAATTTTCATGTGAAGTTACTTTTCATGTAGGATTGAATCAGCATTGGTAGTTTCATTAGCACACTGTAACCAACTGAGCAAACTAACCCAGTTAGCAGCCAGTACTGAAATGGGAAAAGTTCCCTCGTCCCCCTCGCAGGGCATGCAGTGGGGGTGTGGCTTGCTTCTTCAGTGCCCTGCTGCTCAAACCTCTAGGAGAGCATACAGATGGGCAGGCTGTGGGGCTCTGGCCACACGGCAGTATCTAGGGGTGAATGTTTACAGCTCCTGAAGCCCCAGTGGGCATGTGTTACAGAGTGCTCTTTTAGTTTAGCCATCTGTAGGTGGCTTGTGTTAGTCAGCGCAATAGACCCCTGTCTTATCACAAGGAGAGAGGGCTTTCTGTATCCGAGGGTTCTTGCCTTGGTGTACCAGAAGAATTGGATCACATGTGGGCTTGGAGAATGAGTGCAAGGTTTTATTGAGTGGAAGTAGCTTTCAACAGATGGATGAGCCAGAAAGGAGATGGTATTCCCCTGAGTCGGGCTGCTGTGCGGCCCGGGTTCCCCTCCAACCACCCCAGCCAAACTCCACGTCATTCCACTGGTTGATGGCCTGCTGATGTGCTCTGGACATCCTCTCAGCATCCAGCCACTTGTGTGTTCCTCTGCTGATGTGTTTCTCTCGACGTCCAGCCGCTTGTGTGCCTGCCTGCTAGGGTCTTGGGGGATTTTTATAGGCACAGGATGGGGGTGTGGCAGGCCAGGGTGGTCTTGAGAAATGCAACATTTAGGCAGGAAAACAAAAATGCCTGTCCTCATCTAGGTCCGTGGGCACAGATGGAACCCTAGCCAGGGACCATGTCCTAGGGTGGAGCCCTAGCCAGGGACCATGCCCTTTCCCCACTTCCATATCGTTTAAAGGGACCACGCTCTTCCCTTCCCAGCACTTCCCTTCTGTATCAGTACCACAATTTTTTATTACAAAAATGAAAAAGCTGTCATAGTTATCATTATGGTAGTGATGGTCAATCTGTAATTACTATAATATAGAGCATCATTTTGTATTGTTTTTGCAATCGCCAATACCAGTAGATGAAGAAAGGGACTCGTCTTGAGCAGCTGTTCTTAGCTATTAGATGTTCAAATGACCTCATGGCAAAGCTGAGGTTTTATTATAATTATGTAGGGGTGTCCCATGGAACCTGAGGGCAGGAATGTACAGGGAACATAGGAAGGACTGGAACCAGAGACTAAAAATCCATGTAGAGCGGCTTTCCCTCTGCTTACATACATATGCCTAAGGGGGCCCACATTTTTGCTGCTGAGATTGGGAGAGCAACTATGGAGGCCATTATAGTGTGAACAGAAACTCCTAAAACAAATAAGAAGCAAGTTTCTGTGATGAAAAAAATCTATTTCTATAAAATGTATATGTTCCATTATACTCACTTGAAAGATCATATATGGGTTCTTTAGAAGTTACATATAATAGAACCATAATTTTTAATAGGATAGGTAACTTAAGAGATTTCAAAATAAATCAGTTTATAGAATGAATAGTCACTTCCTGCTTTCTTATGTAGATTTTTAAAAGAACTGGTGGGTGTGGGAAGAGGTGGAGTGGTGGTGATGTGTCTGCTGTTTTAGTAGTAAGGCATTTGGACAATATGGTCGGTCACCTGCCTATACTTGTTTGTCCTGTGTTCAGCACATTGTTCACTAGCGTATGGAATTTTTTTTTTTTTTTAGATGGAGTCTCACTCTGTTGCCCAGGCTGGAGTGCAGTGGTGTGATTTTGGCTTACTGCAACCTCCACCTCCCAGGTTCATGCAATTCTCCTGCCTCAGCCTCCTGAGTAGCTGGGATTACAGGCACCCACCACCACCCCCGGCTAATTCTTGTATTTTTAGTAGAGATAGGGTTTCACCATGTTGGCCAGGTTGGTCTCGGACTCCTGACCTCAAGTGATCTGCCCACTTCAGCCTCCCAAAGTGCTGGGATTACACACATGAGCCACTGTGCCTGGCCGCCTATGGATTTGAATTACTCTTTTCTTTCTTAAAATGAAAGCTACCAGAATAAAACATCAATTTTTATTTACCAGACTCTTGTTCCTATTTAATACTTATTAAACATGTTTTGATGATGTTAATCCATATTACTAAAGACTGCAAAACTGTGGTCCATCTTCTCTTGTTCTTAACTGCCAGACTTGCTGCGCAAAGAGCGAAATTTTTAAAAGATAAGATGGAAGAAACACAGTGTTACAAGAGAGCTTTGGATGCACAGGTAAGGGGACAGACAAATATTATTTTTAAAATTATGCAATGCATCAATAACATCCTAAAATATGTGTAAGTTGTTACGAATATTTTTATGTGTTATGCATTTGGTAGTTTTTGTGCCCCGCATTCCTTCCTGTAAGATGCTGGTATTTTACCACATTACAGGGTTGTGCATAAAGCTTATTCCCTGGTAGAATGATAACCTGCATTATGTGTATCTCTGTTTAAGATAAAGAACAAACCCTCTCGGCTGCCCCCCTTTGAGCCAGACTCCTCTGAGCCCATCTTTGGTAAGAATGAGGGTGAACTGATGGTGGAAAAGCAAAAGCGAGAACAAAATTACATGAAACACCAGCTGGAGGCAGCTGCTAACCACAAGAGGAAAGCCATCCTGCATCAACTAGTGGACCAGAGGCGGGATTTGCAAATGCTTCAGAGGACACAAAGAGAGTAAGGAGACCCCTGATCTTTCTCCCTCCACTTCTCCTCACTTATTCCGCTTCCTTTATCTCTCTTTTTCCACCCTGTCCCTGCCCCTCATCTTTCTCATACAATAGTGGAGAAATAAGAATAATAGCTAACACACTGAGGAGTTATTTGTGCAAGGCATTGTTTTAAACTTATTACATGCTTCATCTTGTTTTATCTTAATTCATTATATGAAGAAAATGTTATTAAATAAATTTTTAAAAACCTCTCTTGACACTTTAGTGTTTTCCAAAGTGGCTGTACTACTTTACATTCCCAACCAATAGCATATGAGAGTTCTAGTCCTCCCCATCATTCCCAGAACTTGGTGTAATCAGTCTTTATTTTATTTTATTGATTGAGACAGGGTTTTGCTCTGTCACCCAGGCTGGAGTGCAGTGGCATGATCATGGCTCACTGCAGCCTCAACATCCTGGACTCGAGCAGTTCTCCCACCTCAGCCTCTGGAGTAGCTGGGACTATAGGCGAGTGCCAGCACGCCCAGCTAATTTTTAAACTTTTTGGGGAGACAGGGTCTCACTATGTTACCCAGGCTGGTCTTGAACTTCAGGGTTCAAGCAATCCTCCTGCCTCAGCTTCCCAAAGTGTTGGGATTACAGGTGTGAGCCACAGCACCCAGCCTGATCAGTCTTTTTAATTTTGGCTGTTCTAACAGGTGCATAGTGGTGTCTCATGCTTTAATTTGGATTTCTTTAATGACTAGTGATGTTGAACATCATTTCATGTGCCTATTTGCCATCCGTGTATCTTCTTTGGTTAAGGGTATAATGTATCAATCCAAATCTTTTGCTTATTTTATAAACTCTTTTCTTATTGTTGAGTTTTGAAAGTTCTTTATATATTCTGTATATAAGTCCTTTATCTGATATATTTGTAAAGCCTAAACATGCCTGAAAGGAAGATGTCTTTCCCACTGATTTTTTAAAAAAATTTATTCCCTTAGGTAAGCATTCAGCTCCTCTTTAGCTTCTGTTTTATAACAGCAGAACCACCATCACTTGTCCCATAGTGGGAAGCAAAGTGTGCTTTCCATAGCCAGATATGGGACCCTCTGTATTTGTTGCTAAGACTATTGCTACTTCCTCTTCTGCTTCTATCTGTTGGCTTCTCTAGTTATTTCCTAAACTTGGAGGGTTAAAGTGTCACTTTTAAGTTGTATGACTTGGGCCAGATCACATGTAAGGTCTCTGAGCCTTATTGTCCTCATATGAGAAAGAAGGATAATCACATCTGCCCCTCCTAACCTTACTGGGAGAATTAGATGAGATTATGTATGTGAGAGCATTTTCGGAAACTGTAAAGCTCTGAACACATCCCTGTTTCTGTATTGGTCAGATCCTTGTTTTCTATTTACATATTCTTTACTGGTTATGGCAGATTCTCTCACTTCCCTTATCTTTTCCAACTCCCTGGTCCTTCTCTGGTTCATCTTAACATGTGATCTCAGATTGTCTTGTGACTCATAGAAGGCCACTTTCTTTCAGAGGGGATAATTTAGTCAGGGTGATCCAGACAGGACTGCTAAGCTATTTATACTTGTTTTTTTTCTTTTTGCTCTTATTTTCAAAAGTAACAATTCATGCTCATTAAAAGAAGTCAATTGAAGGTTAGCCGGGCACGGTGGCTCATGCCTGTAATCCTAGCACTTTGGGAGACCGAGGCAGGCAGATCACTTGAGCCCAGGAGTTTGAGACCAGCCTGGGCAACATGGTGAAACCCCGTCATTACTAAAAATACAAAAATTAGCTGGGCGTGTTGGTGTGCGCCTGTAATCCCAGCTATTCGGGTGGCTGAGGCACAAGAATGCTTGAACCTGGGAGGCAGAGGTTGCAGTGAGCTGAGATTGCGCCACTGCACTTCAGCCTGGGCGACAGAGATTGCCTCAAAAAAAAAAAAAAAGGTTAATAATCTCCCCTACTAAGTAGCCAATACATATGTGCATATTGCTTAAATAGGAAAATTTTTTAAATTTTTTTTGTAAAAAATAATTTAAAAGTAGGTTACATATTAACCTTAATTATTTATAAAAAAATTTAAACAATTTTTCCTTTTTAAGCAATATGCACATATATTTTTCCTTCTACTTTTGTAAATGAAATAGTCTATGAGATCTTATATATTACTCTGCAAACTAATCTTTCTTTAACCTAGCAATGTCATATACAACTCAGTACATATATATGAGATTCATTCTTCTTTAATAGCAGCATATTATCTATAATATAGATGTATAATAATTTAACTTTTGCATTATTGATGAACATTCACTTTGTTTCCAGATATTTTGTATTAAACATTTTTAATATATATTTTTATACTGGTTCTTTTGTTTCTATCAGATAAATTCCCAAAAGTGGGGCTGCTGTGTCCAATGTACGGTACATCTAATTTTCCTTTTTTTTTTTGTTTTTTTGAGACAGAGTCTCACTCTGTCGCCCAGGCTGGAGTGCAGTGGTGCGATCTTGGCTCACTGAAACCTCTGCCTCCTGGGTTCAAGTGATTCTCATGCCTCAGCCTCATGAGTAGCTGGGACTACAGGTGCATGCCACCACTCCTGGCTAATGTATGATACATTTGAAATATTACCAGAAACTGACAGTTACATTTCTAAGAAGGCATAGCAACTCGCTTCTCAGCAATGTTGTGAGAATGCTAGTTGTCCCCTGCACAATCTCTGCCTCATTTTCTTACTTTCTGGGCATTTAAAATTATTTTAACCTATCCTTAAAAAAATAACATAATAATGGCCAACAAGCAAATGAAAAAATGATTAACACCACAAATTATTATGAAAGTGCAAACCACAATCACAGTGAGATACCATGTCACATCCATCAGGATAGCTACTATGAAAAAAAATAACACGCGTTAGTGAGAAGTAGAAACCTTTGTGTACTGTTGGTGCAAACATAAAATGGTACAGTTGCTATGGAAAACAGTATGGTGGTTCCTCAAAAAATTAAAAATAGAACTACTGTATCATCCAGTAATTCCCCTTCTGGATATGTATTCAAAAAAATTGAAAGCTGATCTCAAAAGATATCTGTACAGCCATGTTCATAGCAGCACTTTTTGTAACAGCCAAGAAGTAGAAGCATCCCAGGTGTCCACCGACAGATGAATGGATAAACAAAATGTAGTGTGGGTATATATATACACTGTACAA
The DNA here is from genome assembly GCF_000001405.40 of Homo sapiens. Classification (NCBI taxonomy): domain Eukaryota; kingdom Metazoa; phylum Chordata; class Mammalia; order Primates; family Hominidae; genus Homo; species Homo sapiens. The sequence continues at coordinate 86,418,519 of NC_000011.10, forward strand.
TGGAATTGTTATTCACTTTTAAAAAGGAAGAAAGTTCTAACACATGCTACACTGTGGATGACCCTCAAGGTCATTATGTTAAGTGAAATAAACAAGTCACAAAAAGACAAAATACTGTATGACTCCACTTATATGAGTTATCCAGAGAAGTAAAATTCATAGAAACAGAAAGTAGAATGTTGGTTGCCAAGGGCTAGAGGAGGCAGAAATGGGGAGTTGTTTAATGGGTGTAGTTTTAGTTTTGTAACGTGAAGGCGTTCTGGAGATTGGGTGCATAACATGAATGTATTTAACACTAAGTAACTGTACACTTGGAAATGGTTAAGATAGTAAATTTTGTTATGTGTTTTTTTAAACCACAAAAAAAAAATCTACGAAAAGAAAAATAACTTATGAAAAAAGTAATAGGTACTCTTCAGTCATTGAGCTCCAGTTACATGATAGGCACTGGCACTTCCTGTGTATCATTTAGTCTTTATAATAACCATACAATAGCTGTTCAATCAATGCTTGTTAGATGAAAAGGTGTGCCGTTTAAGGAAAAAGTGAGACAGTATAGAGGACATTAACTGATTTTTATTGGAGGATCCTGACACCCAGTGGTCGTTGGTACCTGTAACACAAAGCCCTTCAGAGCAGGCTACATCAACAGTTACATTTTGTGAAGCTCCTTCTAGATTTCAGTGAGAACTGACAGCAAAGGTTTCAGTTTAGCAAGAAATAGACACATAATCAGAACCAGGCTTAAGGTGATTCACAACAGTAGTGATGGAGTGTTTGGAGACCAGTGATAGAAACACAACACTGGGAATATCTCCCTTTGAAGACAGAGATTATACTGCAGTCACTTCTTCGATGACATGGCCTTCACCAAACATTCCTGTTTTATTTTCTTGCCTTCTTCACAATGTTAATGTTTTCTCTATTTTCTTTTCCCTTGCTTAGTCACTTGTGTTTATTTTCTCTTTTTGTAGACTTTCATTTGTATACCTATCTATTTTGCCTTGTAATATGTCTGCAGTGACTGGTAGGCTGAGTACTGGCAGCTGAGAGGCTGGACTAAAAGGAAAGAAACAGAGTATAGGAAATCCATTTGGGATGATTCTTCAGATAAGTTAAATTAGCCTCAAAGGAAATTAATGGTTTTACAGGTTGAAGTTGTTAACTGGAAAAAGGTTTCAATCCTATTAAATCAAACCAGGATTGAAGATAAAAGACCTTTGATCCATAAATTATTTGAGAGCTAGGAATTTCAGTATGCTTTTACAGTGTTCATGCTTTTTAGTATATTTCAGAGTAGTGAACAAAACCAGAAGGTTTTTTTTGTTTAACATAAAAGGAATGGGGCTCCCAAATTTGGTGCATGCTCTTCCAAGTATTATGGAGCCAGGCTGTTCTTTTCTCTCCAGGCACTTGGCAGACAGAACCGCTGAGCTGGAGCGAGTAAATAGAGTCAACCAATGCTTACAGGAGGACTGGGAAAGGAGTGCTGCGATGAAGAAGCAGCGAGACCTGGAGGACAAGGCTTTTGAACGGTAATGCCTGATTGGAACCCCAAAATTCTCCTGCTCCTTGTGGGACAGCAACAGGTTTCAAGTGGAACTCCACTTGATTAGCAGTGGCTGCCTAGAGAACCTTGTGGAGAAAGCAAGTCTGTATTCCATGGGAAATACTGCCGTGATTGATTAGAAATGTCTGTTACAGACATGGGATTGGAGAATGCTGAGTTGTATGCTAGGTATTTACTAACCGTGCTCTAATATTTGCCTCTGCTTAGGGTGGCTTTATTTGCTTTTTGTGGAGAGTGAAGATTCTCTTTGGAAATAACTATTTGGAAGTAGGGGGAGTGAGTTTCCAATCTGAACGTTTTCAAGGCTTAGAGAATCGTTATTTAAGAGCAGGGTCAGGGGTTGTAAGATTGGCAATTGGAAAAGTAAGATGCCTATTATGGAGCCAACCAAGAGCATCTTTCTGAAATTATTATATGCCTGCCCAATCCTCAGCTTAAATATTCACATCACTACTGTTGTATTACATCTTGAAAAAAAATTAAAATACGAATGTAAGGTATGATTTTATAGCATGTTAAAAATGTGATGAAACAGATCAAGTCTATACAATCAAGTTATTAAAACCCAAATATACCAAAATAATAGTTTAAATTGCCAATTATCAGTTTTTAATCATGGATAAAATTTGTAGAATGGATCTTGATCTGTAACTCTCCTTTTCCTTTTAGGTTTTCTTGTAAAGCATTTCTCACCTGTCTTTCTAATGAGTAGAACCCATATTTTGTGACAATGAAAGTATGAGTGATGACGTGGAAAATAGGTTCCAAAGGAGAAGTGGACTCATTTGGCTTAGAGAAAAGGAGAGGAAAGGGCAGTTGGGGATTTCAATTTTCTCAGTGATTTGGGAAGGCAGGTAAAAGTCAGTGAGATTAATGCCAGGGAGATTTTAGTTGTGTCTAGGAAGAGTGCTTGGCCAACATGGTGATAAAGGACTGAGGAGACACAGGAAATAATGTTGAGTGGCAGGCTAACAAATCTACTCCTGGTATATCGTGGAGCAGACTTCTCTGAGGACCTAGGCCAAGTGTGGACAGAGACTTGAGCACGCAGCAGTAGCAAGAAGGAATTGGTTGGCACAAAAAGAAAATAAAGCAAAAGTAAAACCAAAGTCCATATGTATGCAGTTAGCACATGATACTCTGTTCCATTACCAAGCCAGGTAGGTCTTCCCCTGCTCACTTCCAAGGTAGTTTATTCTTTTTTCTTTTAAGACTGCCCTTGATAATCCTTTTTTTTTTGAGATGGTGTCTCACTCTGTCGCACAGGCTGGAGTGCAGTGGCGCGATCTCGGCTCACTGCAAGCTCCGTCTCCTGGGTTCATGCCATTCTCCTGCCTCAGCATCCCGACTAGCTGGGGCTACAGGCGCCTGCCACCAGGCCTGGCTAATTTTTTGTGTTTTTTAGTAGAGACAGGGTTTCACCGTGTTAGCCAGGATGGTCTTGATCTCCTGACCTCGCAATCCGCCCGCCTCGGCCTCCCAAAGTGCTGGGATTACAGGCGTAAGCCACCGCGCCCGGCCGATCATCCTTCTTAAACAGAATTCTGGCTGGATGCCATGGCTCATGCCTGTAATCACAGCACTTTAGGAGGCTGAGGCAGATGGATTGCTAGAGTTCAGAAGTTTGAGACCAGCCTGAGCAAACATGGTGAAACCCCATCTCTACCAAAAGTACAAAAATTAGCTGGGTGTGGTGGTGCACACCTGTCATTCCAGCTACTCTGGAGGCTGAGGTGGGAGGATCGCTGGAGCCCAGGAAGTCGAGGCTGCAGTGAGCTGTGATCGCACACTCCAGGCTGGTGACAGAGGGAGACCTAGTCTCAAAAAAAAAAAAAAAAATCCACCCATGGAGAAATTTTGATGGGGTAGAGGAGCACATGAGGGACTGTTTTGCGTAACGAAGAAAAACCATCAAAGGGGAAAGTCAGTTACTACTGCCTCTTTATTTCTGCTTTTAGTTGCTTTTGTCTTCCTCTTTGTCTCCACTCCCTCTCCTGCCCTTAACTCTCCAGAGGCTTCTGGCCTCCTGGGATAGTTCATTGTAAGTCCTCTCAACTCTCTGCTGTTGTTAGCTGATAACCAGCAACTTAATGGTTGATCTGCCTCTCAAATACTGTCTCCCAGGAGCTCAACAGGTAGAGGTGTAATCCACGTGGGAAAGCAGTCAACAGAGAGGCTTTGGAGCCACTGTCTGCTGGCTGTGTGACCTTCGGCAAGTTCTCTGTGGGCTTGGGTGGTTGAGGCTGGGGAGGGGTAGGGTCAGACTGTTGTGAAGGCACAAGTCGTGGCTTTTTATTTAGTAGAGAACGACAAGCCAGCAGAAGTCTGGAAGCAGGGGATGCCAGGATGGGGTGAACTGCAGCATACAGGCAGAGAACGCAAGGTGTCACTTTTCTTTTGTGTACCTCCTGCCATACCAGCTTCCAAGTTGGGCCTCCAGGAACTCCAGGAACCTGCTGATCGGCATTTGCTCTCCTCTCCTCAGGGCTTCAGACAAGCTGTTTCTCCTAGACCAGTGTGAGAAGTATCGGCGCTGCAAGCAATGCCAGAGGCGCACCTCCAACGTGGGCGAGAGCAACCTGTGGCCCCTGAACAAGTTCCTGCCTGGCTCCCGGTTGCTTGTGTAAAACTCAAAGTTTGGCTCTTCGTTTCCCGGGGAAAGTTTTTATCTTTTACATGTTTGGGGGTGATTGTGAAACTGCGTATTTTTACCTCAGAGAAAAAAATCATTGTTTAGGTTTGGTGCTTTCATTAGATTGCTTGTTAAGCCCTTATTGAATTCACTCCTGCTTTCCTCCCACCCCCAATTATTTCCTATACTAGTTTCTGATGGCAGTGAAGGTGTCTGAATGGTCCTGAGGGCTAGAACCTGCTGCACAGGGGCTGGGAATGGGATCCAGCTTCATTATGGCTGCTGGGGTGCTGCTGACCCAGCCCTGCTGCTGCTCCATGACTTTGTGTACAAAACTTTTTTCATCTGTAATGAATAGTGGCAATAATAAATATTTTTTAAGCGCCTGACTGTGCATGACAATTCATAATGGTACATTTTACCCCTCCCTCTTCCCCCAGTCCTAGACTTTTCCAGAGGGGTATATGTGTGAATATCACAGAGATGGGTTAGACTATTTACCCCCAGGAGGCCAGAACAATGCTCCCTGAGTTTTCTCATTGATGACATACCTGGGACTTTAGTGGGCCTTCCCAAGATATCATTCCCTTGTCCAGCTATTTCTACACCCTTGGAGTAACTGTGCACTGTGAGGTGAGTCTCCCACTACTTCACTTGCATTCATTCTTAAGCTGTAGGTGCTGTTCAAGAGGACTTAACTCCCTGTCAGAGGACTGACTTTCAGTTAAGGTATGGCTGTTCTCAACTAAAAACTTTCTTCGTTTATCTTCATACTTTTGTAATGCCCAACCTTGTTTTTACTAACCCTGTTTTTAGACTCTCCCTTTTCCTTTAATCACCTAGCCTTGTTTCCACGTGAATTGACTCTCCCTTAGCTAAGAGAGCCAGACAGACTCTATCTTGGCTCTTTCACTGGCAGCCCCTTCCTGAAGGACTTAACTTGTGCAAGCTGCACATCCAAGAATGCAATTAACTGATAAGATACTGTGGCGAGCAATATCCACAATTCCCAGGAATTCGTCTGACTGATAACGCCCAAAGCCCTGAGTCTATCACCTTGTAATAGTCTTAAAGCCCCTGCACCTGGAACTGTTTACTTTCCTGTAACCATTTATCCTTTTAGCTTTTTGCCTACTTTATTTCTGTAAAATTGTTTTAACTAGACCCCCTTCCCCTTTCTAAACCAAAGTATAAAAGAAAATCTAGCCCCTTCTTCGGGGCTGAGAGAACTTTGAGCGTTAGCCGTCTCTTGGCCACTGGCTAAATAAACCGACTCTTAATTTGTCTCAAAGTGTGGCGTTTTCTCTAACTTGCTCAGGTACAACACTTTCTTCTCCTCTCCCTGCCCTGTCTGACCAATTGAAGTAAAACAGAGTGAAGTCTAGATTTCTGAAATACAAAAGCTAAGAAGGATGTCTTTTAGACTATTTGCTTTCTGCCCGCCACATCTCTCCCTTGGGAAATAAGGGAAAGTTTTTGTGGGAAGATGTTTGTGAACATTTAAACTTTCATTTTGCCCTACAAATACAAAATAGGAATGTGTTGAGCCCTGAATAATTGTGGAGAAAATATTCACTCAAGCTGATATTGGGCAAATTTTGTTGCTAATGTTATCTTTTTCTATGAAAACAAGCATACCTGCTGATGATCACAATTTTTTGGAACGTCTTCCCTAATCTTTCTCCGTTTCTGCCTTTCATTTCCTCAAAAAATCATTCTATGGAGGGCCAATCATCATTAACCAATATTTAAAACAATAGGCTTTCCCCAAGACTGCCTGACCTGCCTGAATCTATATCTGCTGCACCCTTGAAGTAATTTGTTTCTAATATATAATAAATTACTATAATAGTGTTGTACTAATATATTTTAAAAATATAGAATGCTGGCCGGGTGCAGTGGCACATGCCTGTAATCCCAGCACTTTGGGAGGCCGAGGCGGGTGGATCAAATCTTTTGACGAGGTCAAAAGATTGAGACCATCCTGGCCAACATGGTGAAACCCTGTCTCTACTAAAAATACAAAAATTAGCTGGGTGTGGTGGCACGCGCCTGTAGTCCCAGCTACTCAGGAGGCTGAGGCAGGAGAATTGCTTGAACCTGAGAGGTGGACATTGCAGTGAACCGAGATCGTGCCACTGTACTGCAGCCTGGTGACAGAGCGAGACTCTGTCTCAAAAAAAAAAAAGAATTCCTTGTTAAAGAAAAAAAAGTTAATTTTGGTATGTTCAGGTGAGCAGATTTAACTTCATAGACCTTTTCACTGGAGGAATTGAACTTACAATTTACTGTCATAGGTAGCAGTCAGTACTACAGTCAGACCCTTTAAAAACTATTTTTAAAAATTATATATTGACAAATTATTTGTAATATTTATGTTGTATATATTTATGGGGTATAAAGTGATATTGTGATTTTTGAATACAATGTGGAATAATTAAATCAAGTGAATTAAAATGTCCATCACCTTATTTAACTTTTTGTGATAAGAATATTTAAAATTTATTCTTTTAGTGATATTGACATGTACAGTGCTCATTATATTCACCACACTGTGCAACAGATCTCAAAAATATATCAAAGTTGGCTTGGCGTGGTGGCTCATGCCTGTAATCCCAGCACTTTCGGAGGCCGAGGCAGGCAGATCACCTGAGGTGAGGAGTTCGAGACGAGCCTAGCCAACATGGTGAAACTCTGTCTCTACTAAAAATACAAAAAATTAGCTGGGCGTTGTGGCATGCACCTGTAGTCCCAGCTACTCAAGAAGCTGAGGCAGGAAAATCACTTGAATCCAGGAGGCAGAGGTTGCAGTGAGCTGAGATCATGTCACCACACTCCAACCTGAGTGACAGAGCCAGACTCTGTCTCAAAAAAAAAAAAATCAAACTTTTTTTTCCTGAGGCTTTGTACAATTCAACTATCATCTCGTCATTCCTCCCATCCCCCACCCTCTGGGAACTATCATTCTACTCTCCACTTATATGAGTTGTAGATTCCACATATGAGAACATGTGGTATTTGTTTGTGTTTGGTGTATTTCACTTAGCATAATATTCTCCAATGCTATCCACATATCCTTTTTATGTCTTTAAGATCAACTATTTTTTAGCTTCCACATATGAGTGAGAACATTCAGTGTTTAACTTTCTGTTCTTGGCTTATTTCTCTCAGTTCCAGTTCCATCCATGTTGCCATAAATGACAGCATTTCATTCTTTTTCATGGCTGAATATTATTCCATTGTGTATATATACCACATTTTCTTTATTTATTCATCTATTGTTGGACACTTGGTTGATTCCATATCTTGGCTGTTGTGAATAGTGCTGCAATGAACATCTCTTTTGATATATTCATATTTGACTTCAAATCTTTGGGACAAATAACCAGAAGTGAGATTGCTGGGTCATATGGTAACTGTATTTTTAGTTTTTTGAGGAATCTTCATACAGTGTTTCATAATGGCTGTACTAATTTATATCTCCCACCAACGGTGTACAAGGGTTCCCTTTTTCCCATATCTTAGCCAGCACTTGTTATCTTTTATCTTTTTGATAATAGCCTTTCTAATACATGTGAAGTGGTAGCTATTTGTAGTTTTAATTTTCATCTCTCTAATGACTAGTGATGTTGGGCATTTTTTTGTGTATTTGTTAGCCATTCACATGTCTTCTTTTGAGAAATGTTTATTCAGGTTCCTTGCCCATGTCTCTTTTTTTTTTTTAATAGAGTTGAGTTCCTTACATATTTTGGATATTAATCCCTTATCATATGTATGGGTTGCAAATATTTTTCTCCCAATCTGTAGGTTTTCTCTTCACTCTACTAATTGCTCTCTTTGTTGTGTAGCAATTTTTTATTTTGATGTAATCCCATTTGTCCACTTTTGCAAATGTTGCCTGCATTTTTGGGTCAAATCTAAAAAATCATTGCCCAGACCAATGTCATGTAGTTTTCCCTGTGTTTTCTTCTAGTAGTTTTACAGTTTCAGGTTTTATGTTTATGTCTTTAATTCATTTTGAGTTGATTTTTGTATATGGTGTGAGATAAGGGTCCAATTTCATTCTCTTGTCTATGGATATCCAGTTTTCCCAGCACCATTTATAGAATAACTTGTCCTTTTCCCATTGTATATTCTTGGCACTTTTGGTGAATATTAATTGGCTGTAGATACATGGTTTCATTTCTGGGTTCTTTATTCTGTCCATTGGTTCAAATGTCTATTTTAATGCCAGTATCATGCTGTTTTAATTACTATCAGTTTGTAGTATAGTTTGAAATTAGGTAGTGTGATACCTCAAGCTTTGTTCTTTTTGCTCATGATTGCCTTGGCTGTTTTGTAGTTCCATATTAATTTTAGGATTGTTTTTTCTATATCTATGAAAAATAACATTGGAATTTTGATATTGAACTGAATCTGCACATCATTCATGTAGTATGGACATTTTAACAATATTAATTCTTCCAGTCCATGAACATGGGATATATTTCAATTTATTTGTCTTCTTCAGTTTCTTTTATTAATGTTTTACAGTTTTCTTTGTATAAATCTTTCGCCTCATTGGTTAAACATATTCCTCAGTATTTTATTTCTAGTAGCTACTGTAAATGATATGTTCTCTTGATTTCTTTTTTGGAAAGTTCATTGTTAATGTAAAGAAATGTTACTGACTTTTGTGTGTTGATTTTGTATCCTGCAACTTTCCTGAATTTGTTGATCAATTCTAATGGCTTTTTGTTAAAACCTTTAGGGTTTTTTTCTTTTTGTAGAGATGGGGTCTCACTATGTTGACCAGGCTGGTTTCAAACTCCTGGCCTTAAGTGATCCTCCTGCCTTGGTTTCCCAAAGGGTTGGAATTACAGGCTTGAGCCACCACACTTGGCCTTAGGTTTTCTGTATGCAAAATTATGTTGTCAGCAAATAACAGTAGTTTTATTTCTTCATTTCCTACTTGGATGTCTTTTCTTTCTTTCTTCTGCTTCATTGCTCTAAGGACTTTCAATATTACATTGAACAGAAGTGGCAAGAGTGCACATCCTTGACATCCTTGGTCCAGATCTTAGAAGAAAGAGTTCCAAGTTTTTACTGTTGAGTATAATGTTAGCTGTAGGCTTATTATATATGGCCTTTATTGTGCTGAAGTATATTCATTCTGTAATTAATTTGTTGAGTGTTTTTATCATGAAAGGATGTTTTGTCAAATGCTTTTTCTGCATTTAATGAGATGGTCATATGATTTTTGTCCTTCATTCTGTTCATGTGATATATCACATTTATTGATTTGAGAATAATCAACCATTCTTGCAACCCAGGGATAAATCCCACTTGATGATGGTGAATAATCCTATTAATGTGTTGTTGGATTTGGTTTGCTAGTATTTTGTTGAGGATTTTTGCATCTATGCTCATCAAGGATATTGGCTTGTAGTTTTCATTTCTTGTGATGTGCTTGTGTGGCTTTGGTATTAGGGTAATACTGGTCCTGAAAAGAATTTGAAAGTATTCTCTCCCATTCGTTTTTTTGTTTGTTTGTTTTTTTCTGAGACAGTTTGTAGAGAACTGATATTAGTTCTTCTTTAAATGTTTGGTAGAATTCAGCAGTGAAGCCATCTGTTCCTGGGCTTTTCTTTGGTGAGATACTTTGTATTAATGATTCAATTTCCTCACTCATTATTGGTTTGCTCAGATTTTCTATTTCTTCATGATTCAGTCTTGGCAGGTTGTATGTGTGTAGGAATATATCCATTTCTTCTAGGTAATTCAAGTTTTTGGCATATAATTGTTCATAATAGTCTCTCATGATCCATTGTACTTCTGTGTTGTCAACTGTAATGATTTCTTTATTTCTGATTTTACTTGGGTCTTTTCTCTTTTTCTTTTCTTGGTTAGTCTAGCTAAAGGCTGTTTGATTTTATCTTTTCAAAATATGAACTTTTAGTTTCTTTTGTATTTTTTTTTAATCTCCAGAGCAGAAATAAAATAGAGATTAGATTATTTCTGGTCTGATCTTTATTATCTCTTTCCTTCAACTAACTTGGGCTTAGGGTTTTAAAGAAATTTCCTAGAGGTGTAACTTTTAGTTATTTGTAATTTTCTTTCTTGGTGCAGGCATTTATTGCTATAAACTTTCCTCTTAGAACTGCTTTTGCTGCATTCCATAAAGTTTGGTATGTTGTGTGTTCCTTTTTTTTTGTCTCAAGATACTTCTAGATTTCCCTTTTAATTTCTTCACTGGCACGCTGATTGTTCATGAGCATATTTAATTTCCATGTATTTGTGAATCTTCCAAAATTCCTCCTGTTAATGATTTCCAGTTTCATACCATTGTGAAACCTCTGGTTTAACAAGGTAAAAGCTAGAAAACCCCTGTATAACAAGGTAAAAACCTAATATTATTGTGCATTGGTTGTTAGAAGAACAAGGTAGATTCCTTCTGGTAAGTTTACCATGGCACAGAGAGGGAAAGCTTTTTGAGGAGATGAAGCCCAAGCTGAATTTTAATGACCAACGGGAAAAAGCCAGGTGAAGAGAAGAAGGGGTCATGACAACAGATGTCAAGGCTGTGTGCTCCAGTCTATCAAGACTGAGATGGAGGCATGGTTATATGAATTATATAGATATGAGGTCTAATATGTTTTCTATCATTCAACCATTTTAAGAATCAAACTTTATTATAGTCCTTCACTAAACAGCTGATTTCTGAGCAAGTCTTCATAATTTGGATCTTCTTCAATGATCCTCATTGTTAACTATTATTCTTGTATTAGTCTAACTCTGTAATTAGCCCCGACTTGCTATCATCAAGTTCTGTCTTTTCCAGAAATACAGCACAGCCAGACCAGATTAATGTATCAAAGGTTTCCCTATTTCAGTGGTTTTCAATGTTTTGGACAGTCATGGACTCTTCTAAGAATCTGATGAAAAATATATACTCTTCTTCTAAAAACAGGTATATATTCCTATACAACATTTTGCATGCAGTTAGAAGTTTCCTAGAACCCCTGGACCACAGGCCAAGAATCCCTGTTCTAGATAGCTTTCCTTCACCATTTTTACAGGCTTAGGCTATCAAAAGTAAAGGATTTAATTTGCTTTTGAAAATTCCCTTTCACTTTTCTTTTTTGTTTTTTTCCCTAAAATTCTGTTACTTTGCCTTCATTTTTACATAGTTTTTCTGAGTACACAATTCTATACTGACATTTTGTCTCAGTCCTCTGAAGATATTCTTATTCTCAGGTTTCTTCTCTAACAGCTGTTACAATTTTCTAAAATGTCTAGACTTTGCTTCCTGACCTTCACATGGCCCCTTGCAATAAAGCCCTATTTCTTCTTTCCTTCAAAGGGCTGAGAGAAAATGTCAGTGAAGAATTGTGTACCCAGCAAAACTTTTAACAATGAAGGGAAAATAAAAGAATTTTAGAAAAAAGCCAAAAAAGAAACCTGAAGAAAAAAACAAAATACAGTTTACTAATATTAAGGGAAATGGATTCAACAGTGAGAGATTTTCTAGCATATATAAAACATTTATCAACGTATCGATACCCAAAGGAATCTCCAAAAAAATGCTTCTGGATAAAAGAAAGTAACCTCAGAAAGAATGGAGCTCCAAGAAGGAATAGTGAGCAAAGAAACTGATAACATGAATAAATGTAAACAAACATTGATTTGTACAAACAATAATGTCCAATTTGTGGCGTTAAAAGATTAAGATGCTTGACGACATTAATAGTTAAAGCATGCTGAATTCCTTCAAGAGGCAGGAAAAGATTCTGAACCATGTTTGACTTTTTCTAAGTTAGTTAAGCACTAAAAGAACAGAAACAGGGTATATAATAGACCATCTGTATTAGAGAGGGAGACTCCACAGCCAAAATCGCGGGATTCAAATCTTAGCCCTTGCAAAATTACCTCTTGGGTACTATGCTCACTATCTGAGTGACAGAATTATCATTCATACTCTGGGTCACGCAATATACCCATGTAACAAATGTGCACGTGAACCCCCTAAATCTATAATAAAAGTTAAAATTATTTTTTAAAAAAGTCTCATCTCTGCCATTTACTAGCTGTGTGACCTTGGGCAAATTACCGTTCTGTGCTTAGGTTTTTAAAGTCAGGACAGTAGAAATGACACTAGTATCTAATTCATAGGGGTTTTGTATTACATTTATATAAAGCTTTGAACAGTGCTTACCCTAAAATAAGTGCTAAGGAAGTATTAGCCCCAATGAAAACTTCCAAAAGAGTAGAGGGAAAATCGTAATCCAAAAGAGGTCAAGAAAAGGTAAAAAATATAGAAATATGGGTCAAATAGCATAAAATAAGAGGGCAAAAATGCATACGTGCACTTTTTCAGCTAAAAAAGTCTGTCAGACTGGACTGATGCGGAAAAAAAGCTCCATATATTATGTTGTTCCCAAGAGACATACTTAAACATGAAGCAGGTAGAAAAAGATACACTAGTCAGAGTCAATGGCTGGGAAACCTTTCGCTACCTTACCTGTCTTCCTTCAGTTTCTCTCCAGCCTCTTCCAGGCTTCCTATCCCACCACCCCCACGTCGCTCCTCAGCCCCTCTCCTCTCTAGTGGGAGACAAGGAAACTCAGCATTCATCCAGCGTTCCTTCGCCTCAGCAAGGGGCTCCCGTCGGCGGCGGCCGTGATGACGTCCTCATTGGTCCGCCCAACCACGATTGGTGAAGGGGTTCCTGCGTCGCGCGCAGTCTAGGAAAGAGACGACTTGGGACGCAACGACACCTGCGCGTGTGCGTATTGCCTCAGTGGAGGCGCTCCGCTGGTCCTCCTAGAGTTTGGTGCCCTGCCGCCGCTGCCCCGCCACGACTGCGGCTGCGGCTGCTCCGGGCAGTGCTGCGGCCGCCGCGGGCCCAGCTGTATGGTTAGGCCACCATCGTTCGTGAGTAAACATATTCCTTTCTGTGGTGTTCTTGATAATGCATTTATAGAGTTTCTAAAGGGCCCTGGAGATTACTGCCAGGTTCAGCACGAACTTTATGAGGACAAGTGAATGGTGGAAAGTCATTACTGCCCCACCAAGAAGCCCCCACAGAGCGGGTCACCTGGACACAGAAGTGTAGAATTGAGATCATTAGAGCATTTTACAAGAGTTCTGACCTAGATGGGGTAACCCTTGGTGCACTTCCTTTCCATTGGCCCAGAATTACTGAATTGAAGAACCGCAGCTTCTTGTTGGTAGGTTCATTTCATTTCCTGTCACTACCAACTTCATATTCAAAGCTCTGTGAATTTCAAGTGGAGTATATTGGCGTAGACTTCAGTTTCTTGACATCATTTCTGTATTCAAAAATTTTTAATTTTTTTCGTAACCATATCAGTTTTTTTTTTTTTTAACTAAATTAACATGGCTCCAATGAATCACCCAGCTCCAGTGGAAGTCACATACGGGAACATGAGATTTCTTATTATACACAACCCAACCAATTCGACCTTAAACAGATTTTTAGAAGAACTTAAGAAATACGGGGTTACCACAATAGTAAGAGTATGTGAAGCAACTGATGACCCTGCTCTTGTGGAGAAAGAAGGCCAATCCAGTTTCTGGATTGGGCTTTTGATGATGGTTCATCACCATCCAACCAGATTGTTGATCACTGCTTAAGTCTTCTAGACGTTAAGTTTCGTGAAGAACCTGGTTGTTGTATTGCCTTCACTGTGTTGCAGGTCTTGGGAGGACTCCAGTGCTTGTTGCCCTAGCATTAATTGAAAGTGGAATGAAAAACGAAGATGCAGTACGGTTTATTAGAGATAAACGGCACGGCGCTTTTAACAGCAAGCAACTTTTGTATTTGGAGAAATATCATTCTCAAATGCGGCTTCGCTTTGTGTCCGGAATTGGTGGGTTCTTGGTCTCACTGACTTCAAGAATGAAGCTGCGGACCCTCGCGGTGAGTGTTAACAGTTCTTAAAGGCGGCGTGTCCGGAGTTTGTTCCTTCTGATGTTCGGATGTGTTCGGAGTTTCTTCCTTCTGGTGGGTTCGTGGTCTCGCTGGCTCAGGAGTGAAGCTGCAGACCTTCGTGGTGAGTGTTACAGCTCTTAAGGCGGTGCGTCTGGAGTTGTTCGTTCCTCCTGGTGGGTTCGTGGTCTTGCTGGCTTCAGGAGTGAAGCTGCAGATCTTTGTGGTGAGTGTTACAGCTCGTAAAGGTAGTGTGGTCCCAAAGAGTGAGCAGCAGCAAGATTTATTGCAAAGAGCAAAAGAACAAAGCTTCCACAGCGTGGAAGGGGACCCTAGCTGGTTGCCACCGCTGGCTGGGGCAGCCTGCTTTTATTCTCTTATCTGGCCCCATCCACACCCTGCTGATTGGTCCATTTTACAGAGAGCTGATTGGTCCGTTTTGACAGGGTGCTGATTGGTGCATTTACAATCCCTGAGCTAGACACAAAAGTTCTCCATGTCCCCACTAGATTAGCTAAATACAGAGTGTAGATTGGTGCATTCACAAACCCTGAGCTAGACACAGGGTGCTGATTGGTGTGTTTACAAACCTTGAGCTAGATACAGACTGCCGATTGGTGTATTTACAATCTCTTAGCTAGACATAAAGGTTCTCCAGGTCCCCACCAGAGTAGCTGGATACAGTGTCAACTGGTGCATTCACAAACCCTGAGCTAGACATAGGGTGCTGATTGGTGTGTTTACAAACCTTGAGCTAGACATAAAGGTTCTCCAAGTCCCCACCAGAGTCAGGAGCCCAGCTGGCTTCACCCAGTGGATCCCGCACCGGGGCCGCAGGTGGAGCTGGCTGCCAGTCCCGCGCCGTTCGCCTGCACTCCTCAGCCCTTGGGTGGTCGATGGGACTGAGCGCCATGGAGCAGGGGGCAGCGCTTATCGGGGAGGCTCGGGCCGCACAGGAGCCCACGGAGGTGGGGAGGCTCAGGCATGGCAGGCTGCAGGTCCCGAGCCCTGCCCCGCGGGGAGGCAGCTAAGGCCTGGCGAGAAATCGAGCACAGCGCTGGTGGGCTGGCACTGCTGGGGGACCCAGTACACCCTCCGTGGCTGCTGGCCCGGGTGCTAAGCCCCTCATTGCCTGGGGCCGGCAGGGCTGGCCGGCTGCTCTGAGTGCGTGGCCCGCCAAGCCCATGCCCACCCGGAACTCCAGCTGGCCCACAAGCGCCGGGCGCAGCCCCGGTTCCCGCTTGCGCCTCTCCCTCCACACCTCTCTGCAAGCTGAGGGAGCCAGCTCTGGCCTTGGCCAGCCTAGAAAGGGGCTCCCACAGTGCAGTGGCGGGCTGAAGGGCTCCTCAAGCGTGGCCAGGGTGGGCACCAAGGCCGAGGAGGCGCTGAGAGTGAGCAGGGGCTGTGAGGGCTGCCAGCACGCTGTCACCTCTCAGCTTCAAAGACTCCAGTGGTCACAGAAACAACTGTTGTATTCAATAAACCTGGCTGCCTGATGCTATTGCCTTGAAAGTGGGACTTGAGAAAAGACCTAATTTATTGTACATTTTAGCCAACATATGGGCTTAGTGAATAAGTCTGATGAAGCTTCCATAGGGATATCAAAAAGCCACGAATTTAACAGAAATGCAACTTCTATGTTTGGCTTAGTGCTATTCCTATGCCAGAAAAAATACATAAGAAATCTAGAGATTAGATGCCAAGATCCCCAGCACAAAATTTGTATATTTTTAGTATCATACAGAATTAAAACTCCAGGAACTATAACTTTATGTAGCTCATCCCTTAAGTCATATCAAACACTGCAAGTAGGGCCTATATGATTATTTGCCTGCTTCATGTTTACCATCCTACACGGGTCCCAGTATACATCAGGTTTGTCCAACAGGTGATTTTGTTGGATTCTTTACACATCTTGTGGTTATTTGATGTCTTTGTCTAATCTCATTTTGTTATGAAAACCTCCATTTTGAAAAATCGACATCTGATTGAAAGTTCATGCAAAATCCATGTTGTACAGAAGCACATGTGTTGAATGTCTTCAAATAAAAAGGCCTTACCGTTAATGTTTACGGTTGGGGTGTAACTTAACACAGAGGGCCCTGAAGACAGAATGAGAGGAGACTATGAAATATTTCTAGTAAAATGTTGTTTTGATCTTGTGCAGAACATATGGTCTAGGACTTTTAATTTAGTAAGTGTTTGTTAAAAGGTAAAGATGCATTGGTCCAAGGTAAATAGAGCAAATATGGACAGAATTACAAGGAAAATTGGCAAGTTTACCGTAGCAGTGGGAAGTTTTATTGTTCCTCTTTCAGAAGCAGATCAAGTAGACAAAAATCAAGATTTTGCATATAGATTTACACAAAACAGTCAACAAACTTGATCCCATGAACATACAAAGGGCATTGCATCCAACAATGGGAGAATACATATTTATAAGAGTACATGAACTATTAAATTTGACCATATATTTGATTATAAACCCATTTCAGCAAATTTTAAGCTATTTGAATAATACAGAACACCTTCTCTCACCACAATTCAATTAAATTAGGAGAAAAGCTAATATCCACACATCTGTAATTTTGAAAATCTCTCTAGAGACTTCCACTTCTAAATAGGATATAGTAGGTCATGGCAGCCTAAAACTTTGCCTGCAACAACTAGAAAAAGATGGAAAAATTATAAAGATCATATTTAAAGATATGTGAGAGCTATGAAAGCAATAAGGACTAGGTGAATGGGAATTCCAGAGAGGGAGGAGTCCTCCTGAGGTAAGTGGCCATTTTATTTTCTAGGGACATTTACTGATTCTGGACATGGACTAATAAGGATCAAGCTTGGTCTGTGAAGAGGGTCTCTCCTGAGGGAAAGGGAAACCCAGAAAAGCTTTTGGTGGTCACGTGGGGCTGGTGCAACAAATTGGAAAATTAAGAACTTTGGCCAGTTTCTTCTACGTGTTATAAGTTGGGTTCCTCAGGAAATAGACACTGAATCTGAGATTCGCATCCAGAGGATTACTGGGGTGTCTTCTCAGAGAACATCTATGGGGGAGCAAGAGAAACAGGATAGGGCATAAGAAGTTGAATGGTGATACATAGCAGTTGCAACAGTAGCCTCAGCCAGTCTCATAGGGAGCTCTGAGGATGGGATGGCTATTTAGAGATGTTCTCAATTGAGGCTAGGAATCTGGCCTTTGGGCCCTTGAATCAACCAGTCATTGCCTGTAGGCTTCCCTTGGGGATGATGGCATAATCTTGGGTGAAGCATTCACCTTCAGTCGAGGGCAATTCCTAGAGAGCGATGCAGCTGGTGGCCCTCAGCTGACAATGGCATCTGGAGGAATGAGTGTTTCAGACCCAAGGCAGGATCTAGGTGGTGCAACCACAGCATCCACTCTCTTAAATGACACTTGCTGAATACTGGGGCTATGTATGGGAGGCTGGGGAGTTAGAGTGAAGACTTACAAGGCAAGGGAACTCTCCCTTAATCTAATAGTGCTTAGGAGACAAAGTTCTCCACATTCTTACCAACAGATCTTTTTTTTTTATTATAGCCATTCTGGTGAGTGTTGTTATGCCATTGTGGTTTTAATTTTCTTATTACTAATAATGTTAAACATTTTTCATGTGCTTGTTAGCCATTCACCTATCTTTTTGGATAAAATGCTGATTTAAATATTTTTCTCATTTTAAAATTTGAATTGTCATCTTCTTATTAAGTTGAAGTAGTTCTTTATATATTCCGGATCCAGTGTCTTCGTCAGATATATGATTTGCAATTATTTTCTCCCAGTCTGCTGCTTGTCTTTTTCCCTCCCAAAAAAAAGTGTTTCAAAGTGCAAAATTTTAAATTTTGATGAAGTACAATTTATTTCTTTTATGAATCATGCTTTTAAAGTTGTATCTCAGAACTCTCCTCAACCTAAGTCATAAAGATATTCTGCTATATTTTATCTTAGAAATTTTACAGTTTTAGCTCTCACATTTAGGTCTGTGATCCATTTCAGGTTGATTTTTGTTTGGTTTGAGATGTGTAAAGGTTAATTTTTGTGTTTAGTGTGAGGTGTCTAAGTTAACTTTTTTTTGCATGTGGATATTCAATTGTTTCAGCACAATTTGTTCAAAAGACTCTCTTTCCCCCAATGAATTACCTTAGTAATTTTGATTAAATTAGTAAATTTGATTAAAATTGATGATCAATTTGCCATAAAGGTAAAAACTTATTTGTGAACTCTCAGTTCTGCTTCATTTATTTATATGACCACACAGTCCTTTTTTGGTATAAATTTAAGGTGTACAAGTGCAGTTTTGTTACATGGATATGTTGCATAGTGGTGAAGTATGGACTTTTAGTGTAATCATTACCAAAATACTGCACATTATACCCATTAAGTAAATTCTTATCCCTCACTCTTCTTCCACTCTCCCACCCTTCCAGGTCTCCAGTGAGATTCCACATTCTTTGTTCATGTGTACACATTATTTAGTTCCCACTTATGAGAACATATGGCATTTCACTTTCTGAATTATTTCACTTAAGGGCCTCCAGTTCTATTTATGTTGCTGCAAAACACATGATTTTATTCCTTTTATGGCTGAATAGTATTCCATTGCACATATATATTCATTTTCTTATCCATTTTCTTTATCCAGCCATCGACTGATGGAAACTTAGATTAATTTCATGTCTTTGCTATTGGACCACACAGCCTTGATCATTGTATATTTATAGTAGGTTCTTGACATTGAATAGGGCACTTTGTTCTTCTTTATAATTTTTTTGACTCTTTGAGATCCTTTACATTACCATAAACATTTTAGAATCAGCCTGTAAGTTTCCACCAAAAAACCCTACAATGGTTTTGATAGGTATAGTGTTCACTTTATAGATTTGAATATAATTGCAATTTTGACAATATTGAGTCTTCAAATCCATGAACAAAGAATCTCTCTCAATTTATTTAGATCTTTAATTTCTATCAGCAATGTTTTGTAGTTTTTGGTATACTATACTTGCACTTCTAAAATTTATTTCTAAGTATCTTTTCTTTTTGATGCAGTTGTAAATGAAATTGTTTTCTTAATTTTATTTTTAGATCATTTGCTGCCAGCATATAGAAATAATGTTGACCTTGTATTTGGTGACCTTTCAAAACTAATTTATTAGTTCCAGTAGACAGAGAGAGAGAGAGAGGAGAGAGAGAATGAATGAATGAATGAATGTGTATGTGTTCTTTAGTGTTTTTTACATGCAGGATTAGGTCATCTGTGAATCAAGGCAGTATTACTCTTTCTTTCCAATCTTGACACCTTTAGCTTCTCTTTCTTGCTTCATTGCACTGGCTAAACACCCTCCGTGTTGACTAGAAGTGGTAAAAACAACGTCCTTGCCTTGTTCCAGATCTTAGGGAGAAAGTATTCATTCTTTTACCATTAAATATGATGTTATCTTTGGCTCTTTATAGATGTCCTTCGTTAGGTTGAAGATGTTCTTTTCTATTTCTACTTTGTTTAGGGTTTTTTCATAAATGGGCGTTGGTTTTTTTCAAATGCTTTCTTCGTATCTATTGGCATGATCATATGATTTTTTTGTCTTTCATTCTATTAATGTAATTGAACAACCATATTGAACAATTTTTGAATGTTAAAAAACTACGTTTCTGAGGATAAAGCCCACTTGTTTGTTGTATGTAATTTTTAAATTTCATGTTGCTGAATTTGGTTTGCTAATATTTTGTTTAGGATTTTTTCATCTATATTCATGAAGGATATTGGCCTGTACTTTTCTTGTGATATGTTTATCTGGCTTTGATATGGCAATACTAGTATCATAGAATGATTTGGGAAGTGTTCCCTCCCCTATTTTCTGAAAGAGTTTCTGCATAATTGGTGTTATTACTTAAGTATTTGATAAATTCCAACCAATGAAGCCACCTGGACCTGGTTTTTCTTGGGGGAAAGATTTTTTAATTACTAATTTCTTTACTTATTATAGGTATATTGATTTGTGCTCTAATCTTTGCTTGCTTTGAATTTTGTTTGCTTTCCCCCACCCCCATTTTCTTAAGGAGGAAGTTTAAATTATTGACTTGAGACTTTTTTTCTTTCCTTTCTCTCTTTCTTTCTCTTCTGATATAGGAATTTGCATTAGTCAGGGTACTCCAGAGAAACAGAACCAATAAGATCTTTCTCTCTCTCTCTCTGTTGATTTATTATAAGGAACTGGCTTGGCTCACATGATTATGGAAGCTGTCAAATTCTAAGATCTACAGGGTGAGTCAGCAAGCTGGAGATCTAGGAGAGATGATGGTATAGTTCCTGTCTAAAGGCAGGAAAAAGCCAATATCCCAGTTAGAAAGGCATCAGGTAGGAGTAAGTCTCTCTTACTCAAGGGAGGGCGAATCCATTTTTTCTATTCAGGCCTTCAACTAATTGGATGAAGGCAATTAGTGGAGGGCAATCTACTTTACTTAGTTTAATGATTTAAATGTTACTCTCATCCAAAGATACCCTCACAGCAACACCCAGAATAACATTTGATCAAATTTCTGGGCACCCTGTGGTGCCGTAAAATTAACCGTGACAACATTTAAAGCTATAAAGTTTCTCTCTAAACACTGCTTTAGCTACATCTTATTAATTTTGATATGATTTTAAAAATTCAGTTCAACATATATAACTTGGCTTGTGATTTCTTCTTTGATCTATGGGTTATTTTGAAATGTACTGTTTTCCAATATTTTGGAATTTCCCATAGTTTTCTGTTTATTGATTTCTAATTTAGTTATTAATTCTGTTACTCTATAGAGCCAATTGCATTTGAATTCCAAGGATGAATGCCGTTTCCAGGCAGAAAGCTAGAGTGAACTAAAATTTAATCAGTAAAGAGAAAAAAAGGGAAGGGAAGGACTTCCCAGAAGGAGAGACCAAGCATGGATAGTATCAGCACAGGCTTGAAAGCACATGTGCTTAGGGCTGGCAAGATGTTCAGTGTGGCTGGAACAAAGGAAGTGTAATTTGTGTCTTCTTTGTTTTTGTCTTGGTTAGTATAGCTAAAGTTTGTTAATTTATTTGATCTTTTCAAAGAACCTATTTTGCTTTCATTTGTTTTCTCTACTATTGTTTTTCTTTTCTACTATATTGATTATAAAGGATATGTAGCAGCGATACAGAGGAAATTGTGGGACATGATGTAAAAAGGTAGTGTCAAAAACTCCATGGTGTTCAGATTCCAGCTTCACTCTTCAAACTCTCTTCTGAATAGTTTTTCATTCTCTATGATCCCAAGGATCATAGAGGAGGGATGTTTTCTCAGGATATTCTTGGCTGAGCACCAGCACCAAGGAAGCAGTTCTTGGAAGAATAAGACCTGAGCAAGAAGTGAGTGGTATCTCTGCTAATTACTCTTCTAGAAGTCTAATAGTCCATCTAGCCTGTCCTTGAGAGTTGGTCATATAGGACCTATTCGTTGCTGGCAGTGGAGATCCTGAGGCTGAGGTAGCAGCAGGAGTAGGACCCTAAGCATGATTTATTGATTCCTTGATTATACAATGAAATTAGAGGCAGGAAGCTGCCATCTCCACATGTCTTAACATCTTAGCAGTATCTAATTTCAGGGGGCTGCAAGCTCTCTCCTGCCCCCACCCCTATGATATGGGCTCTGCTGAACATGAGAGAGATGAAGGCTAGCACTGAACTTGGTCTAAGAAACACCCAGGATGGACTGATATTACTCACTAAGAAAACTGCTTTGTGTTGCTCAACTACTTCAGAGAGTGAAGGATGGAAGCCAGAGTGTGTTCCAGAGCCAGGAAAATGAAATCAAGTCTTCCCTAGATCTCCCTATGGTGCTGTTCCTCTCACTGCCTCTCTTCCTCCTCACTGCTTGGCAGGCTGACCCTCCCCACCCACATTTCTCTGGTTTTCCTTTTAGAAAAAAGAATGTCTAAGACTCAACAACCCACAGGGCAGTGACCTGAATAGTTAGCGAGCTGCCGTTAGCCACTCAGCCTTCACACACTGCCGAGACTTGAAGGGTGTGTATGGCTGACATGGACTAAACTCCCTGATGGGTGGGCTGTGCTTTCTGGCTAGTGGCTGTGCTCACATTCTTCATCTCCCCATGACTCCCACCCATCTTTTCCTCTTGGGACTCAGTGTAAACACTGCTCTCCCTGAAGCCTTCTCTTACATTTCCATAGGAAGTATCCTCTCCCTTTTCTGACTGCCCTCAGTTTTTATCTGTTCTTTCATGAACTTACCACTTTCTCCCTTATGGCAAAATGAATTGTGTCCAATCTCCTCCACTAGATCCCGAGCTCTGTAAAGGCAGGATTCTAGATGAGATTCTGCATTTCCCACAAGGCCTGGCCAGTAGTTGGTGATTAATGGTTGAAGAAATGCTTAGGAAGGAACTCAGAGGAGGGTTCAGAAAAGTGAACTCCCAGGGCCTTCAGAGACAAGGCTTTTATTCACTGTATGCCTTGGCATCTCCTCTCACACCAGAAAGTTTAAAAGAAAAAACACAGCGACAAGGATTCACTTGGGCCATTTTGGAACCCATTTATATTGTGGGTGTTACTCTGGGCTTCATCTAGCCCCATACTAGCCTCTGAGACTGCCTCAGACCGTCTGAACATTCATGGCTTCCTTGGGCCAAGTGTAGCTGTCCAGTGTAAAGGAGTCATAGTCTGGAGTGTAGACCAGGGATCTTACAAAAGCCTCCTTGTCCTTAGGCTCTGGGTAGTAGGAAGCCAGGTTGTGTTTGTACGCGTAGTCGAGAACCTAGAGAAAAACATGTTTGGCTAAGGAACCGGATCTAAGGGGAAACCTGCTTAAGGATCCTTGCTTGGGAGCATGGGGGAGGGGAATACACCTTAAGGAACCAGACTTGTTTCTTTCATGAGTATGGCTCATGAAACAACTGGATAGGAAGGATTTTAAGCTTTCTTTCTGGACAGGCAGCTTTAACATAGTGGAATAAATACTGAGCCAGGGTCAAGAGGCTTCAGCATAAATTCTGCCTGCTTCCAAAGGCCTGTGGGTCCTCAGAGCTGATATTATCCTTGCTGAGCCTCAGTTTCCTCATCTGTAAAATGGGAGTAAAGAGACCTTTCTCTGGAGCAGTGTTAAGATAAAATTAGACAAGAGGCAAATGTGTCCAGAACCTGATTTTTTTTCCACTTGAATATGGGTTAAATTGGATGAACAGCCTGGACACTGTTCTCTGGGTATTAGATTTGGCTTCACGAGAATGTGAATCTAAATATCGCCCAAAGGAAGAAACTGACGGGGTGAAGCTGGACCCTGAGCTGGACTGTTAATCTTGAGGCTTGATTCTGGATTCTGTACCAGACAACTCATGGGTGTGTGTGCTGTTGTACGATGCATTTTCTGAAATTATTTTTAAAACTTATAGAAAATGTAAAACATGCATACTAATAGAAATAATAGTATGATAAACTGTCATGTATCTATTATCCAGCTTTAACAATTATCAATGTTGGGCCAGTCCTTATTGCACCATGTTCTGATTCTTTGAAAACCCATCATCTCTGCACAGTCTTATAGTCTGGAATATTCCATGAAGCTGATCACCCCATAGCCAGCCATTCTGAGAAAAAGGGGAAGAAAGAGATTTACCCTGGCTGAGAGAGCACTGGGTATGGAGCTTTTTCACTGTTCTCTGCCAATCTCCAGAATTCTGAGAGTGAGGAACTACTGGCCCTTTGAAGAAGGAGGAAACTGAGGCTCAGGGAAGTGAAGTGATTGGGCCAATATTATACCATTGCTGATTGGGAGAGCTGGGACCCCAAAGCCTGAGCTTTTTCCGTGATGCTATGCAAGCTGACCTTTCTTATAAATGGGCGCTTATGAGTCATTTCTAAAAAATTCCCATATTCTGGTCCACAGACATTGATGACCTTTCTGCTTGGTGTATTAGGGGAAATCCAGGAGCTTTCCCAGAACTGGCCTGGGTGGGTGTTTGGGGTGGAGCTCAAGCTGCAAACAAGAGTTTGTCACCCAGCCTCTGGGTTACAGGTAGTGCAGCTCAAGGAGATCCAGTGTCTCCACAGTTTCCATCCCCTTAACCCTCCTAAAGTCACAGACAGAGAAAGTGGTTGAGCCTCACTACCCATATTACAGGGGTAGGATGCCCCTTACTTTGATGGCAATTCTCAAAGACACGTCTCGGATGGTGCTGAGTGGTGGGTAGAGTCTCCCCTGGGACAGATGCTGCTCAGAGACTTCCTGGGCAATTTGCTGGGGAGAAGGAGAGAACCGAGAGGAATAAGCTGAGTCTCTGCCTTCCCAAAACAAGCCCAACCCGTTACCCCAGAGACTCACCCCACCCTGCATAGTTGGTCAAACACTGCAGTTCCAACTGTTGACTCTGTTACCAGGGAAGCTTAATGCTTGGGCGTAAGAGAGGACACATCCTTTCTGTACTATAAGACTGGCTGAGGCTTAAAACAACATTAAGTGTCTCTGAATTCCAAAGGAAAATCACTAAAGCCAAGATGAATAAATCTGTGGCCTGCAAAGCAAAGGCTATGAGATCTCCTCTTGGCTGGTCCAGCCTGTTGCATAGGGATCCCTGGGTCCCTCACTTCCTGGGTCCCAGCCTCCTTCCACGTGCTTGGTACCATCTTGAGTGACCATCTAGGCTATGTTATGTCTTTGTGTTCAGTCTCCTGGAGCTCTTCCTTCCAGCCCTGGTCTCAGTCTGAGGAAGGCCTCTCCTCCAGTGAGTGATTGAGTCTTACACCTTATTGGAATAAATGTCCTAAGCACATCATCCTGAGAACAGAGCCTCCCGTAGCTTCCCTTCCAGGTTCAGAGCTTGCCTCTGAGGGTTAAGCCTCATCTGCCACAGGGCCTGATCCTCCAGGCTCAGATGCTGGAGTTTGTTCAGCCTTGCAAATCAGCCTCTTTAATGTGGTGGTTCTGAATCTACTCCCACTGAGGCTTCTGGTGTTAAATTTAGACTTGGGAAATGCCACTGGTGCTCTCTGAGAACTGTGTGTCTCAGAAGTGACAAGGCTAAGAAGTTGGTCTCCCCTCAATGTTTTCAGATATTAGGGAAGTGGGCCTCCCTCTCTACCTCCTTCTCACACTTCCATCTTTCTTTTCCATTCATTCAGTCATACATTCACTGTGCTCTACTATATCTTTCAAAACAGAGAGAAGGCCAAGTCTGTCTCCTAATTTCAGACCTTTATATGGCTCCTTCAAACTCCTTCCCATGGTGTCCATACAAGGCACTTCATCACTGGGCCCTCCTTTCCTCTTCAGCCTCACTTTTAGTGTCTAGACTCTGTGCTAGGTGCTGAGGAGCCATATAAGGAAGGATTCTATGGTGGAGAAGCCATAGTCTTTTCTCTTATGGAGACTGGTGTCAGTGGACAAGTAACAAATGATTATAGCAATTATAGTGGGTGAGTGCAATGAGAGGGGACATACAGGCATGGAGGATGGCAGGATCCTGTCTACCATGTATAGGAAAGGCTTCTCAGAAGTGTCACAGGCTGATACCTGAAGGACAAAGCATGAATTAGGGGAGAGAGAATGGCCCATGCAAATGCTGGGAGGTGAGAGAGAGCATGGACAAGAGATTGAAAACAGCACATTGGTTAGGTCGATGTTAGGGAGACACCAAAAGTGAGGTTGGAGAGGAAAGGAGGGCCTGGTGATGAAGTGCCTTGTATGGAAATCATGGGAAGGAGTTTGGACTTTATCCTGTATGCACCAAGGAGCCATACGAAGGTCTGAAATTAGGGGAGAGACTTGACCTGACCTATGTTTTGAAGGATTCTCTTTGTGAAGGTATAGAAGATGGATTGATAAGAGAGAAGCAAGATTTCCATGGCTAGATATGCATCTAGAAAAGTTATCCTGAGAAGAGATATATCATGGTATGTGTGATCACATCTAAGACGGTAGGCACTGGCAATGCTCTTCAGCAGGGAGTCAAGTTGTCTGGAGCCATCCTGGGCTCACAAGACCAGCGATCTTGAGCAAGTGACTTAAACTCACATATGAGTAAGAATTTTACCTATTTTACAGAGTTGTTACAATGAAAGGAGGTGGTGAATGCACATCTCCTTAAAGTCTATATTAATTTTCCATGGGAAAATCAAATTCAACTTAAATTATCTTCACTAAAAGTACCCTTTTCAGAAATATAACTTGCCAGGCCTTTGAAGACCATAATGTGAGCTCCTATAGGGGAGGGACCTTATCTTGCTCACAGCAGGTGATAATAAGTAGATCCAGGAGAGGTTCCTGTGTAATTGATGGACACTGTTCATGAAATGTTGGAGCTGAACTGTCTCACAGCACTGGAGGTAGTGGGGCAGATGTGTGGATGTCCCATGGTATTATATAGGCAGGACTGTAGCAATTGTGTTTTTACTCAACAGAGGACTTTGCTTTCAGGCTGACTTCAAGCAGAAAGTGACTCTTTCCATCCAATGGGGACTTCACACAGCTCTGCCCACAGCTACAGGACAAGAACACCCATCATAGCAATGAGAAGAAAGACAAACAGAGTACTCAGACAAGAGGAACAGAGAACTGTAACACAAAGTCATAAGTAGTGTGCGTGGGGCTGGGGGAAGCTGAAAAGCCTTTGGAAGACATTATTTGCACAGCCTTGGAGAGCCAGGGCTCAAAGACTAGACATAGTAAGAAGGGACCTGGTGCATGAGGTAGCTCCCTGTGGGACTCACAGAAGTGGATCCAGACAGGGCTGTGTGGAAGCCATACCCATGTCTCATTGGTTTCAGGCTTTCACCAGTGCCTCAGTGAGAAGGAAATGCAGAAGGATGTTAGAAGTCACAGGAGAGCCTTTGGAGCTTGTTACGTGTAAATATGTTTAATATTTGTATATGGCTTTGATTAGCTTAACCTCTCAACAGAGACATTTCTATGCCTTGCTTTTGTCAGAGTGAGGATAAATGTCAAGTGCCTGGCACTTGGTAACTACCTGGTAATTTCAGCCACTGTAACTGTTATCAATAACCATGAGTGTGAATATAGGCTGTCATTCTTAATGGATTCTTTCATGGTTTTCATCATGTCTAGTAAAGAACTCTTTTGTGCGCTTATCTAGTAAGATACCTGGAATAGGTACATCTCCAATACTTCATATCAGTGCTCAAGATCTGGGTCCTCCAAGGAGAAAAAAACAAGTATGACACCCACCCCCTCCCTTACAGAAAGCTGTCCTAGTGGGGCTTACTACCGCCAGTTACCCCAGTGATTTGGTTAAGGCCTGTGGCTGGAAGAATCCATCACCTATCATGGTCCACAAGCCCTCAGTTTCAGGTGGCTTTGATGGCATCTCTTCTGTCTAGGCATCTAGATGGCATTGCTAGGACGCAGGGGGCAGTATGAGGCATGTCTCCTCCTCTGTCAGTGCCTCTTGCTAATACCCTTCACCACTATTCCCCATTCCCCCTCAAAAGCCCCATGTGTGATTGAAGAAGTCAAGCTTCAAGGTGGCCATGAGAGATGCTTGAGGTTTAAGCACTTTGGGAATCCACTGGCAATGTTGGGGCAGATGGGCAGAAGAGATAAGAGAGATCTGGTATAGGACCCAGTGTCAACCCACAGACCCTACTGCAAGCATTTGAGGGAGCAAGGACAGTGATACCTCTGCTGTCAGGAGGAAGATCTCATCTGGGATGTGCCGGATCCCGCCGGCGATGACTCCCAGTGCCACCCCGGGGAACACGTAAGCATTGTTTCCCTGCCCAGGAATGAAGGTCTTGCCATCTTCCAGAGTCACACTCTTAAAAGGACTTCCACTGGCAAAAATCCCTCGGCCCTGGAGGCAGGAAGAAAACCAGAGATGAACTTGGAGATTGGTTTGGGGTAATAATAGTGGCCTATTCTTATCTTCCAAATGTTGGACCCTTCTTCATCCTCTCCCAAACGCCCAGCACTGTGCTGAGAACATGGCAGGTATTTAAAGCACATTTGTCATTTGACCAGAAAGCTCAGCCCTCACCTGTTATCTAGCAGCCAAGAAACTGCTGAAAGGTGATGGGGTTCACAGCACCATTTTTGTCACCTCCTGGTGGGGCCAACCCAGGACATGACAGGATGTGGCCTAGAGTCTACAAGTGCCTCAGGTTTTGGGTGCTGGTCAAAGCTCTGTGTTATTTAGGGTGAACCTTGAGCAGCATAGCACAAATGTAAGAACTTGGGCTTTGGAGTCAGACCTGGGTTTGACAGCCAGCTCCACTCCTTATTAGCTCTTTGACCTTGGGCATGTTACTTCATCTTTCTGAAATTCAGTTTGCTCATCAGCGATGTAGGAGTATTTTTCACCCTCATGAGGTTACTCATTGTAATTGTTACTATGTCCTCTCAGCCGGGGGAAGGAAGGACTCCCCGCTGACCTCGGTGACCCGGTAGCACTTCTCAGCCGTGCACTCGGCCTTGCTGGTGGGGTTGCTCAGGGCAAAGATGATAGGGCGCTCGTGGAAGGAGGCCATGTCCCTCAGAATCTGCTCCGTGAAGGCTCCTGCGATGGCAGCAACACCTACAGGGAAAAGGCGGGTAGTGGGGATGCCTGCTCTCTATAAACAACCCATTCCTCTTCTGCTGGTGGTGGTGGGGGAACTAGGAATACCATGAAAGACTCGGTCTTGGGCCCAGCATCTGCCACAAGGACTGAAGGAGCAGAAGGGAAAATGATCTTCCTGCTTGAGCTGCCTGAGACCTCCTTTTCATCTCTAAGGGACCACTGGTCCACCTCAGGTCCCTGCCAGTTAAGCTGCTCCTGTGAAGGCATTCCTGGGCATTTCCATGGAGAGTGAGCTGCTCCTCAGGACACAGGGAGATGCCAGGGTCTGCCTTGGGAGAGAAATGCCCATCTCATTGTGGTTAGAGAGACCAGGCCAGGTGTGGTGGCTCATGCCTGCAATCCTAGCACTTTGGGAGGCTGGGGGGCAGTGGGGTGGGTACAGATCACCTGAGGTCAGGAGTTTGAGACCAGCCTGGCCAAAATGGCGAAAACCTGTCTCTACTAAAAATACAAAAATTAGCCAGGCATGGTGGCGGGCACCTATAATGCCAGCTACTTGGGAGGCTGAGGCAGGAGAATCACTTGAACCCAGGGGGCGGAGGTTGCAGTGAGCTGAGATCACACCACTGCACTCCAGCCTGGACAAAACAGCTAAACTCTGTCAAAAAAAAAAAAAAAAAAAAGACAGAGAGAAAGAGAGAGAGAGACAGACTAGCCCTGCACTTACTCACTGCATTGTATATTTCTGCATCACTGAGCCCTAAATCTGGTGCCTTAGTTTTGTGGTTTCTATACAATAGTCACTCAATAAAAGTTTGTGGCATTGAATTGCACATGGGATAGGGGAAAGAGCTGTTTCCATGGGTTACTTAGGCTTCCTAGCTGAGCCTCTGTCTCTCCATCTGCAAGTCAAGAGGGTTAGCTGGGCTGGGTAGTGGGTACCCTCCCTCCTCCTACCTATGATGGCTGTGGGCTTCACCAGCCTCACCACCTCCTCCAGGGAGTTGACTTCAGGATGGTCTTGGGCAAACATCTCCTTTTCATGGTTCAGGTGGCTCCTCCCCTACAGGAAAAGGAACACAGAGCAGTTGTGGTCGTGATGGCCTGTTGGGTAGGAGTACAGATGCATTTGGAAACTCTGAGAGCGTTTCCTGCTGAGCCCCATGCTTTGGTTTGAGCTGTCAGATGTTTTGGGGCCCATCTTCTTGACTACATTTCCTGGCAGAACCTATGGTGGGACATAAGTGTGAGAGTGGGGTGTGTGTGTGTGTGCATGTTTCTTTAACCCAAACCACATATGGAGAATCCATAAAGAATTTATTTGAGCTGTTAGGATTATGGCTTCCTGGGCCAGGACAGAAAGGCTTTTGGGCAATGCCTGAGTCTCACCAAGACCCTTTGGCCCAAGGCATCCAGCACCAAGCTCAGTTGAGGGATGGGGACCTGTGCCACCCAGGGTCAGGGAGCTAATTTGAATATGCTTATAAGAGCCATTAATTCCCCTGTCAATAATACTAAACTAAGCTCCAGGAAGGTCTTAGAATGACAGGCCATGCCCAACCAGCTCCAGTTCCTTACATTTCTTCAAATGGAAGTTGGTAGGTGACAGGCTGGCATAAGTGCTGGTAAATGGGTTCAGATGCTTTTGATGACTGCTTTGGATTAGCTGGCCTCATAGGAACCAGTGCAAAGATGTCAGCTTTGAGAGCTCCTTGGCTAGGGTTGATGGAATGAGAAAAATGATGTTGAAAGATGGATAAGAGGGAAGAGTGGCTGTCTCTGGCAGCTTACACCTGTGGCCAGATTATGCTCTGGAAAGACGTAGGGGTGGGTGGGAAGAGGAATCTCCAAGGCTAAGTTCCTTTCAGCAGAAATCTGGCCCCATATGGAACAATAGGAAGCTCAGTTCTGCTGAGGATCTCTGCCATTCTTGGTCAATGTCCTTATGTACTTCCTCTGTTCCCATCTCTGCCATAATTTTTCATCTCTCACTGACATTCTATGTTAGTGAAATTCTGGGAATTAAAGCACTGAGTGTAGCTCTAATGGAGGGGTCCTTCAGTTGTGTCTCTCAACACGTGCTAGCTGGAAGCTGGACTGTTTCTCTCTCATTCATGCTTTCATTCATGCCTCACACATTAATTATGCACTTACCATGTGCCAGGCATTGATATCAAGACTAGTCTAGTGGGGAAACTGGAAAGGAACAACTTCTCTACAGTGTGGTAAGTACAATGTATGGAGCATAGATGCAGGAAATAAGCTTTTTGGAGGGGGTAACATTTGAGCACTATCAGAAGATAAGGAGGAAACTGGGAAGGGGTTAAGGGTTGAGAGTTGGCATGTGGAAAAACAGAGGAGAGCAATTCAGGCAGAACAAGATGTGTAAAGATGTGGAAGACAGAGAGCAGGCTGCTTTTGGAAACTATGATTTAATGTGGCTGGAGGCTAGTGCAAGTCAGGAAGTGGTGGGGGACAAGACTAGAAGGGGCACACATCTACACACTTGTACAAACTTTTGGACAGAAGCAATTAAGGCTACTTTGGGATGAATCTTTTGCTTTGGAGCTTAGGCCATTGCCCTCATTTTGCTCTCTATTCTGTTTGAGCAGTTGACTTCTTGGAGACCTCTTCCAGTCCAGTTCCTGGGAGCTATAAGGTGTCAGGAAACCTCCAGGTCTCCAGACTGACAGTACCTTGACAATGAGCCCTTTAGAGTCCACCATCCAGATCTTTCTTGTGGCCTCTGCCTTCGGTACACCTTCTTTCTCTAGGGCCATGACAAGGAGGTGGGCAATGCCCATAGCTGCCTGGAAGGTACCATAGGGTAGATGTTCAGACACAGGGCAAACAGCTGCTGAACATTTATCTGATGTCTTGCCATAAGGACCCCCTTTTCTTTCCCCCACCTCAATGACTCCCAGGAGGCCCAATTAAGTCCTTGCCTTGAGACACCCAATTGTCAGAGCCTAGGCAGCTGCAATGATCACAATATGTCTGTGCTGCTTCCTCTTTTCAGAACCCCAGAATGCCTCCCTTTTTTGGTATGCTTCCACCCATTCTTATTCTCTTCCTGGAGCAACCAAAGAAACCCTCAATGCCACATACCTCGCCTGCACCTTGGAAAACAAACACGTGATTGGAAAGCTTGTTCTTGGTGATTCGCAGAGCAGCCAAGATCCCTGCCACAGCAACGGAGGCTGTGCCTGAAACAGAGTGGCCTGAGATCAACCTCTGGCCACAGGCCGCCAGCTCCCAAGAGAAGACCCTTGGCAGAGTTCCCCACATCTGGGACTGTGGAGGAACAGGCAACTTTTCTTAGCCCTTATGCCCTGTAGGCATGCAAGTTTTGGTGCAAATCCATGCTCTCTTTTGCAGATAACTTTTTTGTTGTTGAAGTTGAGAAACAGCTCCTGATTTGTTACTTGACCCCATAAGATGGGATCAGATAGCCAGGTGCTGCTACCATCATCATTCATAAAGAAAATGACAAGGATAAATATAATGGAAGACAAAAAGAAGCATGAGCCTCATAGAATTATATAAGGGCTAAATGGATAAAAACATTTAAAAAAATGAGAACACAACCTGACCATGAGGCATTAAATGACCATATGGCCTGAGCTGCCCATCTTATCTACCAAGTCATAAGGTTGGCTGTGTCTGGTCGCACACCATCGTCAAATGGCTTGAGTATGTCTGGAAGGGACAAGTAAGTTGTATAAGTAGGTGGCTCAGATTCATTTGAGCCACTGCTACATGACTTCTTCTCCCTGAATCCACATCTAAGGCCTCACTGGGGATTCCTTAAGAGCAGCTGACCAAGGAGAAAAAACTTGGGCTTGGTTTACAAGTTGTTGTGAATAAATGTTGGCACCAACTAGAAGTGTAAGGTGGCAGCTTCACAGCCCCAATAAAAGGTAATGGTGAAGGACAGTGGACATGACTTCAAGTGGTAAATTTAGTTGTATACTTTGGTCCAGGGGATGGTTAGCACTACATTGATTCATGAGCAGTTGCTAATGGTTTAGCTGGATGATCAGGGACTTGGAAAGAACAAAATAGCAAGACTGGTGATAAGGAGGTCTGGGGAAAAGGTAGGTGGATGGACCTCTTGGGATAGGTACAGAGTAAGAGGATATTTGTGCCCCATGTGAGAGTTTATCAAAGGACATGATGAAAACAGTCTTTCAATAATCAGGTGGACAAAATGGCATGACCTATGTATGTTAGACAGCATCTTTCTTTAGTCACCCAGGGTTTGCTTAACGGACTTATGCATAAAACAGCCATGGTGGTAAGGATGGAGGCTATGCATGGGCTTCCTCTTACCAAGCTGGCCTGATACTGTTACTGTTGAATGATTAACCTGTCAAACACAGAGAACAATGCTGAGCTCCTTATGGGCACCATTCCCTGGGGGGGACCATCCACCTGGTGGCAAGATGATTGCAATGGATTACTCCCATCATGGACAGGAAAGAAATCTGTCCTAACTGGAGCAGATATACATTCTGGATATGGATTTCTTTCCTCGTCTGTAATGCTTCTGCCAGCACCATCATCTATGGATGTTTGGAATACCTATTTGCCATCCAGATATATTACAGACAGCAAGGCTTTTAATCAAGGACTTTAATTCACAGTAAAAGATGGGCAGCAATATGCTCATGCCTATGAAATTCACTGGTCTTAACATGTACTCAACCACTCAGGAGCAGCTGGCTTAGTAGATCAGTAGAATGGCCTACTGAAGAATTACCTAAGACTTAAGTAGAAGCAACACCTTATGGAGATAATGAGCTTCTGTTTTATGGGATGCAATGTATTATGACTTAGCAAGCAAGACATTGTGTTTTTCTCTCATAGCCAAAATGTATGGGTCTAGAAATCGTGGGGTGGAAATGGGAGTGGCTCCTCTTACCATTTCACCTAATAACCCACGTACAGAATTTTTGCTTCCTGTCTCTTTAATTTTGTGCTCTACTGGATTGGAGGTCTTAGTTGCCAAGAAGGAAATACTTCCATTAGGATTTACAACATGGTTCTATTGAATTTGGAGTTGAAACAGCTCCCTGGCCAGCTGGGGCTCTTCATGCCACTAAATCAGTGGGCAAAGAAGGGGATTACTTTTCTGGCTGTTGTGATTCATCCTGATAATCAAAGGGACAGTGAGGACAGGGAGGACTATGTCTGAAGCTTAGGGGAGTCTTCTAGGGGCGTATCTTCATATTTCTATGCTCAATAGTAAATATTAATAAATATATTGCAAGTAAGGATATTCAGGACTATGGAGGATTCAGATCCTTCAGAAATGAAGGTTTGGGTCACTCTACTGGGTAAAGAATCCCAGCCACCTGAGGTCCTGTCTGAGGGCAAGAAAACATGGAATGGAAGGTTGAGGAAGAAATTTATAAAAATCATCTTTGACTTCATGACTGGTTACAGAAACAAGGAATGTAGCAGCCAGGCATATTTTTCTTCCTTGATCATAATGTGACTATATATAATGGTACACATGGGCTAATTTCTTCTCCCTTCTCCTCCCTATTATTTTATATAAGTTCTGTTGGAGGTTAATTCCACATGTTAGTCTTTAGATAACAGAGTTTTCAAATGTGACTGAATTTTATGAGCTATTAATTCTGCTTAGAGGTGGATACAGTGACTGTCTTCCAGAGATGACTAAAATGTCTGTTGGGACATTGTCTATCCCCATGTTGGAGAAAAGGTGAGAATGTCTTCATTTGTTGGAAAAATAGTTGAATGTTGTGAGGCATTTTGTTAGAGGTTTTGTTTTTGTTTTTGTTTTTGTTTTTAATTTCAGACAGAATCTCACTCGGTCGCCCAGGCTGGAGTGCAATGGTGTGATCTCGGCTCACTGCAACCTCTGCCTCCTGGATTCAGGCAATTCTCCTGGCTCAGCCTCCTGAGTAGCTGGGATTACAGGCACCCACCACCATGCCCAGCTAATTTTTTGTATTTTTAGTAGAGACAACGTTTTGGCGTGTTGGCCAGGCTGGTCTCGAACTCCTGACCTCAGGTGATCTGCCTGCCTTGACCTCCGAAAGTGCTGGGATTACAGGCGTTAGCCACCACACCTGGCCAGAGTTGTTTTTGTTGTGTGGAAGTACACATGTGCCAGACAGTGTATATGGATGCTGGGTAGCCAGAAGGATGGACTGTACCAATTATTGGGTAATTGTTTATTAGCTTCTTTACACTGCTTTGTCTGCAAACCACTTTTCAGCTTTGCCAACTTGCTCTATGCTGGGCTCTGCCAATAGTAGGTGCTAGAGGGAGACAAAGGCTAGATGAGGGGGATAATATGCTTCCCCCCCACCACCCCAGCATCATCCATCTTGTTAGGATTGCAAGGTAAAATGTAGGACACTTTGTAAAATTTGAATTTTAGATAAACAACAAGATTTTTTTAAGTATAAGTATGTCCTATGCAATATGAGCATAAATACACTAAAAATTATTTGTTTCTAACACCAAAATTTAACTGAGTGTCCTGCATTTTGGTTTTGCTAAATCTGGCAGCCCCACAGCCTTAGTTCTTCAACTCCATGGCAGCAGTTTGTTCCTGAAGCAGAAGTTGAACCCGGTTTGCAGTTTGGCTGTCACTGAGAGAACTAGTCTCATAGCTGCCACTCAGTGACACCAACGCCACTAACTGCCACCTCCTCTTTCCTTTGTTCCCTTAGCCTCAGAAGTTGTAGCAGATCCTTAGTGTTTCTTTTTTGGCTTTTGAATTCTTTAATAGACAATTAACATTTTAAAAAATATTAAGTGTTCTCTATTAAAGCAAGTGGTATAGACTCTGATACAGAGAGCTCACAATAAAGTAATCACAATCAGCAACACTCCACGATGGTGAAACCAAAACAAAACAAAGCAAAAGGAAATGAAAGTAGGACTATTTATGGCTTACTACATTTGGATAATTTAAAAAATTGTTGTCATCTATGGCTGGTGAGGAAGGAATGAAAAGTAAAATGTTCCAATATACTTTGTGTTTTAAAGTGCTACAATCTTTAGTGAGAACTGTTTCCCCATCTAGAGCAAAGGCATAAAATATTTTTGCCCTTTGACCTTATACTTCTACTTTTGAGAATCTCTATATAGAAAAGTCCAAAATGTATATACTAGGATGTTTATGACAGTGTTATTTATAATACAGAATGCCTGGAAATAACCTACACATCTAACAAAGGAGTAATGATTAAGTAAAGTAGCCAGTGTAGACACAGTAGACTGTTTTATAGCTATTAAAAATGATCATCATGAATATTATGCAGCAACATGGAAAATGCTGTGAAGCTAGTCACTAACATCAGATATTGTTCCAAGTACTTTATATGTCTTAACATGAAGACAGTTATTCATTTAATCCTCATTATTGCCATCCTCATTTTACAGATTGGGAAAATAAGGTATGGTTTGCTGAATTGTACAAGATCATATAACAGAGCCAGGATGTGAATCCAGGGAATCAAGCTCTAGGGCCTGTGTGCTTAAGCACTAACCTATGTTCCATTGAGTTGGCTGGAAGGAAGAGAACATTAAATAGTATACATTTATCACACACATAGAATCCAGAAGGAACTTACAAAATACTAATGGTTGCAGGGTGGGAGTATGAGTGAATTTTCTATATTCTCTGTTTCTAGTTTTCCAGGTGGCTTATTTTTAGCTAGCTCTAGGGTGGGCCTTCTCCTAGATTTATACTTGGCTCAGTGGCTGAGATAGGGGGTACAGCAAACAGTTGGTGGCCAATAAGTGCACATTCATCATTGTGGACATCAGAAGGCGGGACTCTATGCAGGATCATACTTCTCAGAAGATGGGGTGCAGGCACCCCTGTCTTCACACAGCTGTGGCCTAGAGGGAGTGCTGAACTGTTGGCAGTGTCACAGAGACAGGGCTAAGGATACTGGGACTTCCTAACATCCTTCCCATGGTCTGCAAAGTACACAGTGTGCACCCTCTGAGGGCCTACAAAGTGACAGGCACCATGCTAGGCACTGTCGAAGACAGATGAATCAAACATGATCCCTGCCATCAGAGAACTCCCAGTTTACTAAAACTTGGGCACAAAACAGTAGAACACAGTGGGTAGTCAGAGATCACTGGAAATTGTTACATTCATTTATTTTTTGAGCATCAATTATGAACCAGGCTCAGGTACTGAGGATACCATGGTAACAAAATAGACCAAGCTCATTTCTGTTTGTAAGGAAAGAAATTACTAAATGATTACAAGTGTGATGGCTTTTATAAAACAGTTGTTCATGACATACTTTTTGTTAGTTTATGTACAGAAAAGTATGTTATCAGTATCAACCTACCTCTGCAGTGCCTCCCCGTGTACTCCATGTACCAGTAGCTTTATTCATTGTTCCCTACACATATCATGCATGTTTATACTTAGGTACATTTCCCCTGCTATTCTACCTATCTAGAAGACCATTTTGCAGTTCATTATTCCTTAAGACTGCCCAAATGATCAGCAAGACATTCCTTGCTACCCCAGGCATCCTTAACCATGCCTCCTTTTCCCATATCTACTTTTTTATCTAACCTGAATGAAGCTGGACTATATCATGGTCAGGCTCAGCACTGTACTGCATTCAAAAGAAACACCAAGCTGACATCCAAGGAAGTATCAACAAGCAGTTTAAATAAGTATTTAAATCACTTAAAGAAAGGGCGAGGAGAATTGCATTGTATGACCCTCTTCTGAAATCCCCAAATCCCCTTTGTCCTTAATTTTCTCCAAAGTCCACTTATTATGTGGCACTCCCTATTTTCTCTGCCTCCCTCCAAGTAACTCCATACTTCTTACTCTCCGCCCATAAAACTCTCTTTCATTTCAGTTCTACGGAGTCAGAATTTGTATTTAAAAAGATCTCCAGATGATTTGTATGCCATTCCAGTTTGAGATGCACTGAACTAGATGGCCTCTCTAGGTGAGGTACTAGTTTCCTGCCATTGGCTAGCGGGAGTTTTCTGCTCATCGGAGTCTGTTTCAGGACAGCCTTTTGCCTCCCTGAAAGGAGGGGTTGCGCAAAGCATTTGCCACCAGATGGCGCCAAAGGTATTCCATCAGAGATGATCCCGCAGACACTACACTCTGGATGGGTCTTTTTCTTTTTGGGTGTCAACCGTCTTCTGGGGTTATTTGCAGGTTGAATAACTGGGCTTCCTCACAGAAATTCGGTGCTGGATGGGGATTGGAGATCATGGCATTTAACAGTTGTACAGATGAGGAAATTGACAGAGAAAGGTGGCTTGGCCCTGTCAGTCACCCAAAGCAAGGAAACCTGGGGGTTTCCTTCCCAGGTTTGCTTCCATCCCTTCATGATCTCTGCTGCTCAGACAGCCCTTCCTGACTATAGTTGAAGGCAGCAGGAGAGGTGTTATGGGGTTTCTCTGGGGAAGGACGGAGCAGGGTGGTAGCAGAGGCAGAGGGAAGTGAACTTAGGCAGTAGATGTCAACATTCAGCTGTACCTCTGGAAGGGGAGGGGAGCTCAGAACAATGGGAAATCTGATGGGAAAGAGTCACACATTACAATAAAAGGATGCAAGGTCAGCTGCCATTTATTGATCACTCTTACTGTGGCCTTGGCTCTGTGCTGTGTGCTTACCAGCACAGGATTTGCTCAATTAATCTTCCCAACAACTCCATGAAGTAGGGACTACTGTGCTCCTATTTTTTGCCCTTAAAAGTGGAGAGTGACGCTCAAGGGAAATGGAACTAATCAGGACAGAACTTCTGAATCCTTTCACCACCAAGTCTTCAGACCCTCTGCCTCCAATGTCCAAGTACTTGCTTTTCCCCCTGTTACCATCGATGCCTCCCTGCTTCTAGCTAAAGCACCACTTGTCTAATGGATCCCATCATTTTTGCCTACTTGTCCCATTATTCCCACTCCTATTTCCTGCATATTCAATTTTGCCCTCTCTACTGGATCATTCTCATCAGCATACAAATACACTGTAAAACTTCCATCTTTAAAAGGCCCTCCCTTGGTCCTATATGTCCCACCCTATTTCTTACTCTCCTTTATAGGCAAACTCTTCTAGAGAGCTGAATATATTAACTGCATCTAGTTCCTTCCTCCTTGGTCCCCATGAAACCCAGTCCAATCAAATGACTGACCCACCTCTTGTCAGGGTCCCCAAGTACCTCCAGGTGGCCAAATTCAGTAATCAGTTCTCAGCCTTCTTCTTTCTTGACCTCTCAGCAGCATTTGGTACTGTTGCCCATTTTTTTCCTTTGGGAAGCTATTTCTGCACTTGGTACAGGCCAGAACTCAAGAGGAAAAACAGTGGTTCTTAAGCTCCAAATTACAAAATTTGGCAAATAAAGTTATCTCCATCATTAACCTGCATTTTTGGGGTGCTCTTGGGCTATGCACTAGGGGTTTAAAACTGGAAAGGAAGCTACTTAGCTGTTTCGAGGTAACCACTCTGAGAAGCCCATGGGTCCAGGGATGTGCTGGAACATGACTTGTGCCCATAAATGCCATGGGCAGCTGAAAGTGTGGCAGGTTGTTCCTATTCATGGTAAAAGAAAAAGAAGTTTTTTTTTCCAGAGGGAGATTTCCATAATTACATTTCCTGCAAACTGAGTACTTGAGGTTGTAGCTTCAGGAAATAGCACAAAAGGACATGCTGAAAATGTAGTTTCTGCTTTTAATAGTCAGATTTGACAAAGTTAAAGGAGTTGCCATGCTGAACAATAGATTATTGGAGGAAAGAATTTACTGCTTTATCAGGTAAGGGAAAACTTCTGACCCAGGCAGCAAGAAGGACAGAAAGAGTTAGGCTCTGTCAGGGTCTGGCCACGGTGGCTTTGGAGGCCTGGATCCCTATTGGGACAGAACAACCTCTGCTATGAGGCCACACCTGCTTCCACGATCCATAAGAATTACCTTTCTACAGTAGATACTGCCATTCATTTATTCATTAGTATGTGCTGAGTGTTTGTTCTGGGCCTTCTCTGGGCTAGGCCTTGAATAAATAAAGACAAATAAAAGTCTTGTTCTCAAATAAAACTCTCAAGGAGTTGCTAGCATAAGTGTTCCAAAAATTCAGATTCCCCTTTATTGGACACCAAGCAAAGGCTTTCTACATTACTTCAGTGCAATTTTGTGTCATAAGGGAATTTTCTGGAGCTCCTGGACTCTCTAGAGGGCACTTCTCTGGCCAATGGAGAAGATAGGGTTAGGCCTGTTTTGCCACAATTTGGAAAGAACCAGAAGGAATGATGATCATCTTCTTGGCTTCTCTGGAGGTTCGGCTGTTGCAACAGCTAAAAGGGGAGATCTCGGAGGAGCCAGATACATGAGATCCACATGAACTTCAGGACTAGGAACAGCCCTGGAAGTGAAGAACAGCCTCAGAATACAGGACTTAGTGAAAAGGAAGGCTTTGGGAACAGAGGAGAGAAAAGGTTAAAGAGACCAGGGGAAGTTTCATGGCAGGGGGAGAGATCAAGGAAAGGCCTAGAACTGCTACTCAGTGTGTGTAGTGGTGGTGGTGGGTGAGAGAGAGGGCAGTTGACCCCCGACAGCTGGAAATAATCCCTGGCATCTTGTAAACAAGACAAACGAGCTGCACGGTCTTCAGAGATGAGCCAGCCATTCCTGCCTGTCTGCCTCTTCCCTATTGTGGCATCTGAAGCCTGTGCAAAGTCCCCCACACCTTCCCTCTCCAACAAGGTCATTATCTTCCAGGGATGTATTTTGCATTTCTTGGCTGAGAACCCTACCCCTGGCTCACTTTGAAGCCTTCTGTAAAGTGGGTGACCACCGTCCAGTGTCACTCCCAGATCCTGGGGAAGAGTGGGATCATTTAGAGTCTGTGGCTTGGCCCTGGATGCATTATCCTGGGGGAAGTGAAATGAGCCTTTATGGACAAACAGAAAGTAGTGAAGAACAGGAAGAGAATTCTAGGCAGAGGGACCAGCACATTCAAAATCATGGAGTTGGCAGAAAACTCACAGAAGAGTGACTAATACAATGGGCTGGAATAATAGGGAATATGTGGGAAAGGGGAGAAAAGTGAGATGGGGCCCTGCTTCTCTTCTCCCCAGAGTTCCCCAGTCCTGTGCTCACATGTGGCCCTCTCCTCACCTCCATCAAAATCTCTGCCTTAAGTCTCCTCTTTCCTTCTTCCCTCCCGTATCTGTGTGTCACGAGCCTATTAGGCATCAGAGATTATAGTAATAGGTACCATGAACTGAGTACTGCTACATGCCTGTCCCTACCTATACATCACTTCAATCCTTACAACAATTCAGTGCCATAAACGGGTGTTGGAAATACTTAGCAAGGAATTGGCATAGGCTGCAACCAACCATAACAGATGCTGGCCTTATAAAAAAACCCTGACCATTCTGGTGGTACTAGCTGATGAGCAGTTGTGGCTGTTAAAACTGTTAAGTCCATTTTACAGATAAGGAAAGGAAGGTACCGAGAATTTCAGCCACTTGTCCAAAGCCACAAAGCAGGAAAATGGGGATTCAGACCTAGGCTTGTCTTGGTGAAATGTCTGATTGTTAAGCATTGGACTCACAGGGGGTGCTAATAGCCTGACATAACACACAGGAGCCTTTATGGGCGTCTGGCCTGGAGATTTAGCAGGATTGGTGGACAATGCAGGTCCAGGGAAGGCTGGCCAGGTGGAGGAAGCTGCAGAGCTGATGAGCCAGTGGGGCTTTCCTGGCTCCAGCCATGCTGTGTGGTCAGCTTGCAGGTGGAGGCCAGGGACCCACGGAAACTGGGTCAGCAGCACCCTGGACCTGGCCCCTTGTGTGGCTCTCCTTCCTTCCCCTGTCCCCAGTGTGACCATTCCCACTGCCTTTCCCCTTCTAGGCCTTTCTTTCCTCCCTAAGAGCAGAGATGCTTCTCTGGTCCCAGCTGAAACAACAAAAGTCACCTGAGCCTCTGCCTTTTCCAAAATTCCTGAGAGGCTGCCAGCAATGAGTCAGTGCATTGGCAGCTCTGATCACCAAGGACCAGCCTGGGCCTGGGCCAAGGCTTTATGTGGGTCTGAGCTGGGGTGGGAGGCAGAGATGATGAGAAGCCCTGGGGAGCTCTCTTCCCTTCAAGTGCTCGGGCTTCAGAGGCCCAGCCCCTTGGGGTCAGTGATTCTGAGCACATGGTACAGTGGGACTGGTTGGGAGACAGTCAAATAATGTGCCCTAGGCTCCTGCTCTGCACCAGGCATGGCCCTGCCCTCTGGGAGATCAGTAGAGTGGGGCTCCCGAGGATTGAATTCTATCTATCCACTGAGGATGTGAGGCTAGGCTGGTGTTCAGAGTAGGTAGCATGACCCTAGTCTCATTTTCATGTGGGTTGCTCGATTCCAGCCCCCTCCATGTGTGGTTCCCAAGAAGATTCTGAGAATCTGTCTCCAGCTCCCACGTGTGGTGTGATTTGGTTTCTGTTTACAACTATGATTCTGCATCGCTTCCTCCTCCTTCCCACACTCCCTCTCACCCCTTCACTCCCAACCCTCTGTGGTTCTGTGCATGGAGATGCTCCTCTCCCATTATGAGCATGGCTT
Source organism: Homo sapiens (assembly GCF_000001405.40). NCBI lineage: Eukaryota > Metazoa > Chordata > Mammalia > Primates > Hominidae > Homo > Homo sapiens. The sequence continues at coordinate 86,460,775 of NC_000011.10, forward strand.
GTAGTCTTAAGTGGCATTGCTCCTTACTTTGTATTTGGAGATAAAGGGGGACCATTGCAGCATGGGCTGTATCTGCCATGTTGGCTCATTAGTCCTGGAATTCCTTACCAGTCTTCTCATTGTCTGCTTAACAATGAGAACACACATCACAGGCTTCTGGCCTGGACCCATCCCTAACCAGCTTGTGACTGTGGGCCTCATCTTCAGGTCTGCATTCTGTAGGAGTTAGAGGAAGGAATGGGAACGATGGGGAGGGCAGGATGACAGCAGCAGGATGCCAGGGAGCAGTGACACCCACACTGTTTCAGCAGGGTCTGGAATTTCATCCTTAACGAGAAGATACCCTCCACCACTTCACACGTGCAGGAGCAACAGGCAGCCTGATGCCATGGAGAGAGTGGAGAATTCCAAATCAGACATAATGGGGTTCCAGTTCCAGCTTTGTGTCTTTTGTCTGGCTGTGTGGCCGTGAGCAAGCTTTAACCCCCTGGGCTTCAGTTTCCTCATTAGTGACGTGGGACAGCTGTGTTTGTCCCCCAGTGAGGGAGGGGGGGATGTTGCCAGGCACTTGTAAGATAGTGAGGATGAAAAGCACTTTCAACCTTAAGTTCTGTGTGCATGCAAAATGTTATTTGGTACAGTTTGGGTCCCCTGGAAGAAGATTCTGAGTTATATTGGAGTGTTCAGGATGTTTTTAGGAAGTGCCCTTGTGGGAAGGAAGGGAAGGAAGCAGAATGAGTTGAGAGGGAAGTTGAGCTGTGATGCAGGCCCCAAAGCCTCAGCCAGCTCCATGGGGAGCTTGAGTTGTCCTGCACTGGGCTAAAATAGTTAAGCCTTCATATTCCCTCATCACTGGGTGAGGCCAGGCCCTGGTGGGATGGCGAGGTGGCTCTCTCTCTCTGAGGCTCTGCATGATGTGCTGACAGCCTTGCTGTCAGCTGGGCAACAAGTCTTTCCTTGAAGGAGGATCTGGGTGGCGCATGCTCCTGCCCACCTCTTTATGGTTGTTAATGATATGGTCACACCTAAACATCAGGCTGAGCTGATCAAAGGCTGGTTCTTACAGGGCTCCTGCCATTCCAGCACTATTTGCCAGCTGTCCTCATGAGTTCTAGATTGATGGCTTTAGTCTTGAATTTCTGAGAAAAGAATGGGAAGTCCTTCTTCTCTTTGCTCTGGGACCCAGAAAACCATCCCACTTGGTTTTGCCTGGGAGCAAAATTGGCTATAGAGGCAAGACACAAAAACCAATGAATGTAAACAAATGGATTGATTTAATTAAAAACAAACAGCTCCATGTGTCTGCATGTGGGGTACACATGTGAATATGTATGAGCACATGTAGAGGTGCATTTATATGTGAGCACAGTCAATCCTTGAACAACATGGGGTTGAGCTGTGTGAGTCCACTTATATGCAGATTTTTTCAATACATATATTTTTTAAAATTTTGGAGGTTTGTAACAATTTGCGAACACTCACAGATGAACTGTGTAGCCTAGAAATATCAAAAAAATTAAGAAGTTAGGTATGTCATGCATACATAAAATAGGGATAGATACTAGTCTATTTATGTGTTAATCCACTACTGATGTTATTAGTAAGGCTTCTGGTCAACAGTAGGCTATTAGTAGCTAAGTTTCTGGAGAGGCAAAAGTTATGCAGATTTTTGACTGTGTGGGGCATTGGCACCTGTAACCACCACCTTTGTTCAAGGGTCAGCTGTACATGAATGATGACCTGGATAACAGAGAGGCTGCAGGGGCAGGTGTCCAGTGTAGACATACTCACATGAACAGGTGGGTGTGCTTATGAGGATGTCAGTTTGTATGTGTAGACATCATTCATATATTCTTTAAACATTTATTAGGCATCTATCATGTAGCAGGCGCGGTGCTGGGAGCTGGGGAACAAGAATGGATAAGGCATGGTTCTTGCCTCCAGAAGCTTATTATCTTCTGGGAAGGCAGACAATGCAATACAGGCTTTTGGGGTACAATGAAGTAAGAGAACTGACAGAGGGGAACACCTGAGGGGCACCCAAATCAGACTGAGGGAACAGGGGCTGATGGGCCTTCCCTGGGCAGGAGACCCTGGAGCTGGGTCTTTAAGGGTGAGTAGAAATTACTCAGGTAAAGATGATGGGAAAGGGTGAGCAGGGCTTTCAAACACAGAAAGAAATGGCAGGTAAGGAGGTCAGAGGAGTAAAATAAAGGGAAGGGCAGAGAGCAGAAGAAAGATCCCGAAGTCTTATATTTTCATTGAAGGGGTGTGAACTTTCTCATGAAGAGAGGGTGGCATAGTGAGTGATAGTTTCATCTCAGAGGCACATTATCGCAGCAGTTTGGGGGCGGATGGGCCTGGGGGGCTGCAGGGCCTGGCCGTGTTCCTGTGCCTGTGTTTAGGAGGATGTATACACATGTGGCTGTCTGTGTGTCTGTACAGCTGGAGGCTGTGCACCAGGTGTGCCGCCTGCATGGACTTGTTTTCCACTTCCACCCTCTGGCCTTGGCAGCCCGGTGGGCTCAGGGGACTGGCTGTCCTGCTGCTGATTCATGGGTGAATTCATGCTGGGGAGCCGGTCAGGCTCTAGCAGGCAGGTGCTTCCTCAGGGCCAAGGCACACTCCCACCTGCTGAGCTGACAATGAGGTGAGTGAGGGCAGTGAGAGAATGCTTCCCCCCACCAGCGCATCTTCCTGAACTGCACAGCCCTGTCTGCGCAGTGTCCTGGCTTGTGTGGGTGAGGCCTGTCCCAGGCCTATGCAACAGGGTAAGGGGGAGACAGAATGGAGAAAGGCTGGCAGGGGGCACCATGTCCCAGCTTTCTCTTTTGGGTCTCCCCTCCCTCTGGATACCCACTCTTCAGGCACTGAAGTCATATATTTTAAACTAAATTTTCTAATAGTGTGTTCTAACTGTGCTATCTTGCCTCTTGAAAATGTATGACAAATACAAAAAGTCGTCTATCACATTTCTTATACCCTGTAATATGGACCATAATGGGGAAAAAAGGGCAACTTGGTTTGTAATATAAGATCTGGGAATGGCATGGTGAATGGTTATAGACTGCAATTTAGAGTCTGAATGCCTGGGCTCAAATCTCAACTCTATGCTTAATGGCTATAAAAGTTACTTACTCTTTTTCTGTCTCAGTGTTTTCATTCATAAGACAGAGATGCTAATGTCTCATCGGTTTAAAACTGTAGAGTGCTTAGAACAGTGCCCGACATACAATAAGCGTTCAGCGATTAACCTTAGCTGTTATTACCTGAGTTTGAGTTCTTTTCTTTTAGATCTATCCCTGACTCACTTGAAGAAAAGTTGTGACCTCTTTGGGCCTCTGGAGAAGTCATCTGCAAAATGAGAAGTTGGCCAACCTTTAGCAATCCAGGGCCAACACCTGTCTCTTGCCAACTTATTCTTTCCACCTGACATGGATCTTTGATTTTTAAAAGATTGCTTGGCAAACTTCATTTGTTAAAGCATCATCAAGGTTTCTCTCGGACTTTACAAAATGCTAGGAACAGCTCACAGTGCTCCTTCCTGTGCACTTCTAGATCAAGTGAGATGAATCCCTTTCCACTCCAGCTTTGGACACTGGTAACTCCACAGTAAGAAGCAAGTACCTTCAGATATTTCTGGGTCACAGAATAGATGACCAAAGGGAACCTGAACTAGAAGCTGCTTCATGTTGGCTTTGGAAGGCTCTGGGTTCTTGGTGTCAGTGTCTCTCTCAGGGTCATTATGAGCAACAAACACTTCAGTCAAAACCAGAGAAGGAATTGTCCTGACTTCCTGACAGAGACACGCCTTGTATTTGGAAAGTCTAAAAGCAAGTTATTATGGCTGGGGAAGGCCATTTTTATGGTGATTGGTGCTTCGGTCTGATGAGTTTTATGGGTTAGTACTTTCTATAGCATTAGCCTTGTAAATTTTCACCATGCTCTTTCAAGGCAGTTGTTATCCTCTCCATTGACTAGATGATGAAACTGTGGTCAGAGAAGTGACTGGTTCATGTTTAACTTGCTAGTGAATTACAGCATTGTTTAGAATTTCTTACATACATTAAATCACATAATTCTTACCTACCTCTGAAGTAGTAATGATCTTCATTTTGTAGAAAAGGAAACTGAATTCAGAGAATTAAGAATTAGCCAAGTAGGAGTTGAATCTAAGTTTAATATTCTTTTTTCAACAGCTGCTGGCAGCAAACCAACTATGGGGTGACAGCCTTTCCTCACCCCTTTGGCATCCCAGTGAGGTTGAGAATATAAGTTAGTCCCCTGTAGCTTCATCAGGTGGGGTGGAAACCTACCTTGGATGTCATCATTGAACATGCAGTACTTGTTACGGTATTTGTTGAGCAGGCGGAAGGCATTGGCATTGGCGAAGTCTTCAAATTGGATGAGGCAATTTATTCCAAACCTGTGTGGAGGGAGAGGAAGAAACCCATGATTGCCTCTCTGAGGCAGATCCCTGACAGATCCCAGCTTGCACAGTGGGGTGGGGAGGTGCAGGCCTGGGGGTGGGAGGTGGCATGGCTCCTTCATCTGTGTTTTTGCCACTGGTTGGCTCCTGGACTCCTGGGCTTGGAGCTCTGCCTGCCCTATCATGGATGAGGATGGGGAAGGGAGAGAGTAGGACCCTGGCTTTGGTGGTCAGCCAAGGCAGCATCACTATAGCTAAGGTGCGCTGGTGGCTCCCATGGCTGCCATGGCCAGCCCTGGGAGTGACAAGAGGGCCAAGGAGGGGCCTGCCCTCTGTGTAGCCTGTGGCCATCTGAGATCCCAGAAGAAAGCTCACTCCACATCCAAGTGCATGCAGACAGACCAGCTTCCCCACCACAAGTAGGTGGGGAGCCCCTGCATCCTCCAAATATCTCTCTTGCTGGACCCTGAGGCCTGGAGCTCTTCCACTAGAGACTCCTCTGGCACCAGGCATTGTTCTCTGGTAAGATGAAAGGATGGTTAGGAAAGGCCACTGCATTAAGACACTGTTATCTACTAACATCTTGGTGAAGTTGTTCTCCAACTTGCAGGTGTAGAAGAATCAGTTACTGACCTTGTTTAAAAAGCAGGTCACCAGGCCCATCTCACAGAGTCTCACTCGGAGTGTGGGATGGGGTCAGGAACCTGCATTTTGAACAAGCACCCCAGATGGTTCTGATTCTGACAGCCCAGAGAACCCTGAGAAACAATGCCTTGTGGGTGAAGACAATGGCCATTAAGATGCTTGATATGCCTTATTTAAAATCCATGCTAGCATTGCCTCCTAGATTTCATGGCCTTCCCTTAAAAATGACTGAGTTTGTTCGAGTTTTGTAACCTATTTTTCCTTTTAACATTGCCTGTAAGGAAGCTGAGAGTGAAGTTTTTGCTCATTTGCTACAGGCCCCCTCAGCTTCTGTGGGCTTCTGCACACAGATTTCCCCTTTACTCCATTCTTGCTCTTTGATGCTGGTGTTTGATAGTTTTGTTTGTGTCTTTAGCCTTTCTGTAAGCAAGTGTAGTATGGATTATTAAAAACTACTTAATACATGGATAAAAATAGGTTTCACCTCATGGGTCAATTTGTGGCTGAGTAACAGCATCTGAGGTCATGTCATTGAGAAAAAATGTCCTGATTGATCCATAAGAGGTGTCAGGGCATGTAACAGGTAGAAGTGGCCTGCCCTTCCAACCTGGTGACCTACAGGCTTGGGAGCAGCTTGGGACTGGCTGTGGAAATATTTATTACCTTGTTAGAGAAGGTGGGTGGGGCACATGCTTGGGGGGCTTCCTGTGCTCTCGGGGCATCTTTCTGATGAGGCTGGTGGCTATGAGGGAGTGAGGAGCACTGAAATGGCCCACAAAACATTTTTTCCAGCCTTATAATTTTGTGCATGGCTTATGCTGTCCAGCCCAAATACCAGTGGGTGGGCAAATATTTGTTCCTGCCGTGGTCCTTCCAGAACCTTAGCTAGTCAAGGCTGTTGGTAGAAGGACTGGGAGATGGATTCACATTACAGGGGCAGAAACACAGGGGCAGTGACTTGCCACAGTCCAGTGCTTAGAGTGCTGGGCGTGGGTTAGAAGGCCATAGGCCGGACCTGGCTCTCCACATTCAACTGAGTTACCTGCACATGTCACTTCACCTCTCTATTCTACCTCAGTTTCCCATCCATCAGTGGGCACAATAATATCTGCCTGGCTAACATCTGTGAACTATTGTGAGGGTTAAAAGCTGAGGGTGAGGTTTTTCCCCCAGCTTTACTGAGGCATAATTGACAAATACAAATTGCATATATTGAAGGTATAAAATGTGATGATTTGATATATGTGTACAGTGTGAAATGATAACCACAATCATGCTAATTACCACATCCATCACCCCATATAGTTACTATTTTGTGTGTGTGGTAAGAAAACTCAAGATCTACTTTCTTAGTAAATTTCAAGTATACAATACAGTATTACTAACTGAAGCCTGAGGGTAATTTTTAGACCATAAAATGCTAAACACAAATGCCATTCTGGCCACAATTCTTCTTCACAGTCATAGAACAAATGCTGATGGAGGTTTGGTGGGGGGCTCACTGTGTCTCCCCACCCACCATCCAGCCCTCTTTTGCTTGTACTATGAATAGAAATGATAAATAAAACCTCCCATGCACAAATATAATGCCATGCTCACCAAGCCAAAATTTATTGTGAATTTCAAGTATTTGGATTGGGTGGGGAGGAACACAATGTCTTTGGTTGCTGGTGACATTTTGCTATATATAATTTCTACAAGATTCCCAGTGTTGCCCCACAACTGGCCTGCAGCTAAAATGCTGAAAAGGTCAGACAACAAAACAATGTGATGAACGTTTTCTGTCTCTCTCTGTGTGTCTGTCTCTCTCTGTTTCTCTCTCTCTCTCTCTCTCTCTCTCTCTCTCACACACACACACACACACCCCTTTAAGCAACACCACCATTCATTCACTGAGGTAAAAATAAGGCAAGAATTATAAATAAATACCTTTGTTCAGTGTATGATTATTATTTATATTTAATTCAGTTTTATATAAGAAACCCCCCTCCCTCCCATGGAGCAATTTGATGGAATATAGAATAAAACCTCATTAATTGAGGTCACTTTAATCCTAGCTTGGAATTGCATAAGAGGCCATGTGAATCACTCATCCAATAATCTGGATTCATAGTTCCTAGAACTCACCGGATTTAAGGAACCCCAGAACTCCTCTCCACCTTGGGTAACCATCCCCTGGCTGCTTTCTGGACCTTTTATTCCCAGGAACTACTCCTACTCTAGGATTTCACACTGTCCCATCTCAGTCTCTGACCACAGCCTTTCCTTCTATGTCTCTTCACTTCCACTGCACCTGCTGTTTGTCTGCACCAAGACCTCTGAGCCCTTCACCATGTTATCCCAGTGCCTCAGGCCCTCCATTATGGCTTTTCATGAAACCAGACCACTATCCAGTCTGAACCAAAGGTGGTTACTTCATGGTGCTACTATCTTAGCACCATCCATTTAACCACCATCCACCTATTCATCTATCATCATCCAACCATCCATCATCCATCCATCCATCCATCCATTTTCCATCCATCCATCATTCATTTATCCATCCATTCATCATCCATCCATCCATCCATCATCCATCCATCCTTGATTTATCCATCCATCCATTCACCCATCCATAAATTCATCCATCCAAACACATTCATTGAGCACCTGTGATGATCTGATACTATAGTTTAATGTTTTAGGAAGGGGTGGATTGGATCTATGAAGGAGTTGGCGGAAACTTAATGTTTGGAGTTTGTCTGCCAACTCTTTAAACTAATTAAAAACCAATTAAGAAGAGAAAATTTCAAAGTGGAAATTTAAATGGCTTAGTGGATAAAAAAATGTTTCTCAATTCATCCCTGTACATCCAAATACAGGTAATGAGCTTTCACCATAACACTAATTTAAATGTTAATTATCAATTGCCTTACATATTCATTAAAATGCTAACAACAATGGTAAAAAAAATAGCTAGCTTTTATCTAGTGTTTATTACCTGCTGGGCACCGTGCTGAGCTCTTTACATACATTATCTTAATTAATCTTCACATCACCTTATGATGTAGGCGCTGTTTCCAGAGAAGGAATCTGGAGCTACAGATTGCAAGTTATTTGCTCACAGGCTATGTACTCTATTGCACTTGGTAAGTGGTGGAGCTGGAATTTAAATCTGGTTCTGTCTGACTCAAGAACCAGCTTCAGTTTAATTTTGATAGCCTTACAGGTTCTTAAAAAAAAAAGCTAAATAGGTAATAAGGCTGGATTTCTTTCTCCATTGGGAAAGATCATAGGTATGGTGAAGAAAACATTGACCAGGGAGACAGAAAAAATGCAGGAGTCTTGGCTGAGTCCCCTTTCTCTGTCTGGGTCTCAGTTTCCTGGTCTGAGAGCATTGGAGGAGTAGCACAACCTACTTAATATTTGGGGCTGGAATTGAATACTAGAAGCTTCACTCAGGTATTTCTACAAGTCCAGAGCAGGGAGGTTAGACATTTCTCTGTGAGAGCAACATGTGAGGAAAATATGGGGGGTGAGTGTCTTAGAGCCCTTTGTGCTTACACAAACTGGACCAGCTGAGTGAGCAGGGCAAGGCAGCCACCCTCCAGGTCATACTGTGGAACAGAGGCAGGACCCCTCCCAAGAAGCCGTGCTCTCAGCTCCCTACTCAGGGCTCTGGGCAGCTTCCCGATTCTAGTGCTGGCAGCAGCCTGATGTCTATCCTTCTGTCCTGCGAGAAGCTCCCACTTACCGGGGAGGCTTCTGCTTATCTGTCCCCTTTTGCAATTTTGAACTCTTCACCCTCCAGCCCTGGCAGGGGCTGAGGAACATCTGATGCTTCTCCAGTGGAGAATTCCTGCAATGGAGAAAGAGGCACCTTCCCAAGCCACACAGATAGCTTCCCAGACTTCCCAACCCTGGGGACTCAGCTGGGAAATGGCCTTGGAGTGGCCAGGGAAGGCATTCCAAAGCCAGGGCTCACTTAGAGACACAAGGCTAATGAGTGGATGTTTGATTTTGTTTTTTTTTTTTTCCCTCCAGTACTCAGGCAAGGGGAAGCCAGCAAACAGTGACCTGTGCCTGGGAGTTCTGGAGTTCTGGTGAGCTGTGTGTGACGGTGTGATGATACCCAGGCCACAACCAACAGTGCCAGCACCTGCCACCTGGGATGCATCCTCCCATGGGTAGGAGGGTCTGAGGTGGCTGTTCTGCCCTTCTCCCCAGTGTGTGAACCAAATGCAGAGTGAGGGATGTTGGTGGTGCAGAGCATTCCAGGGGCTGCAGACCTAGTTTCTCTTTTCCATAGGTCAGGACCTGCCATTTTTTCAAACACCTGGGTCTGACCTCTTTCAAGCCTGAACAAACATGAGGGACTGGGAAGAGAAGGTGAACTTGCTCAACCTGCCTCTAAATAGAATGACTAAAAGCTACCTCTGGTATTTCCATGGTAGTCCATGCTGTTCCCCTCCCCCCAGAAAAAAACCCACATGCAAGACTTCCACAGCAGAGCGTTCAGTGAGATTATCAGTTGTCACCCAATGGAAAACTATTTCTTTTTTTATTTCCTTCCAGGAACTAGATCTGACAGAATCATAAAAACTCTTGGTCTTTTTTTTTCTATTTTACATATTCCATTAAACTCTAGTCCCTTGAGATGGTCTTAGAGAGAGGTTCTGTGGTTAAGTAAATTTGGAAAACTCTGTGTGTTACACATAGCATACACAATGTGTATTAAAAGCTCTGAAAAATCTTGCAATAAGAAACCTGTTTAACCCAGCATGTTCAAAGCTTATTTGACCAGACACCTTACTCTGTTGCATCTCATCCTCACCACCTATGGTGGAACACACTTTGGGAGACATGGCTCTGCAGGAAGAACTTTGTGCAGGGGGTGCTGGGTGGATTCAGGGCGAGGCCATCTCTCCCCAGGATTACTGCCATTGCTGCTTCTGTCCAGGACCCTACAGTGACTGATTTCACCTCCTTCAAGTTTATTTCCCCTCCCCCAATCCATCTTCCACATATTTCTAAACACAAGTTTATGTCGGCTACTTATTTTCTGAAAATCCTAAGAGGGCTTCCACTGCCTGTGGGGTTATATCCAAATTCCTTAGGTAGTGTTCATTTTGGCCCCAGCTCTATTGCTGAACACCTACTCAGGTCTTCTGACATTCTAGGCACGTTTTCCTGCTTCCTAACCACTGTGGGCCTTTGCACGGTCCCCTGTCTTTGCTCAAGCTGCTGGTTCTCTCTGTCTAGAAGGCGTCTTTTTGTCTAGGCCAACCCCTACTTAAACTGTAAGGCCCAGAGCTTTTTTTTTTTTTTTTTTTTTTTTTTGAGAGACAGAGTCTTGCTCTGTTACCAGGCTGGAGTGCAGTGGCAACCTCCTCCACCTCCCGGGTTCAAGCAATTCTCCTGCCTCAGTCTCCCAAGTAGCTGGAACTACAGGCATGCACCACCAAGCCCAGCTAATTTTTGTATTTTTACTAGAGACGGGATTTCACCATGTTGGCCAGGATGGTCTTGATTTCTTGACCTCATGATCCACCCACCTTGGCCTCCCAAAGTGCTGGGATTACAGATGTAGGCCCAGATCTTAAACTGTAACCTCTTTTAAGAAGTCTTCCTTGACACATCTCTTTCCCTACCCTTAAAATAGTGCTAATTCTTGTCTTCTCTGGGGTCCCGTGATATTCTGGACATATCTGTAACAATATATGTCACATTGTATTACAATTACTTATTGACATTTCTGTTTCAATTAAAGAAATGTATTCGGCAAGTTATCTTCTTTGTGCCAGAAACTATACTAAGTATGATGTAATAAAAATTCAATTCAACAAACATTTTATGCTTGATATGGTGGCACATGCCAGTCATCCCAGCTGCTCAAGAGGCTAAGGTGGGAAGACCATTTGAGCCCAGAAGTTCAAGGCCAGCCTGGGTAACATAGTGAGACCCATATCTTAGAAGAACAAAGCAAAACAAAACAAACATTTCAAAGTGTCTACTATGAACAAGGGACTGTACTACTTGCTAAAACCTCACAGATTTCACAGTTGAATGGGGACACAGGAAAATAAAAAAACAGTTGCAATACTCTGTGGCATCAGTAATAATAAAGATATGTGCCAGGTACATGGGAAGCCTCAAAGAGGGCAGGCAGCTCTGCAGCGGGGAGAGGCAATGAGGGCTTCACAGGGCAGGAGATTAGGAGGTGGGGCTTGAAGGAAGAGCAGAGGTTCCCAGACAGACTGTGGATGGGTGCGGATGGAAGGAGGGAGGAGGGCATCTCAAGGAGAGGGAACAGCATATGCATGAGGACTGAGTGAGTATGGTGCCTTCCTGGAGCTGCAGGAAAATACACAGGGCCGGATCTTGCCAGAGGAGGCTGAAGATGGGGAGGACATGGGGAGAAATGAGCCTTGGTGGAATGCAGGAGCCACCCCTTTCATGCCCATGTAAACAGCCTAAGCAATCTGGAGGGCAAGGGGGACCCACTGAGGGCTTTAGGCAGGAAGGTGGCGGGTGTTTTAGGAAGTTTATTCTGGCAGAAATGGATGATGGGATGGACAGCTGGGAGGACAGACTGGAGACAAGGAGGCATGGAACTGCAGTGAGAGATTGTGAAGTCCTGGTATTAATATAAGGCAGTGCAGACATGTAGGCAGAGAAGAAGCTGGGTAAAATATGTTAAGGAAGTGAAAAGAGTAGCCTGGAGGAAAGACAAAGTGTGGCAGAGCATAGACAGCTTTGAGACTGAGCAGGTGTGGCTCCATCACTTACTAAACGCATGACCTCAGGAAATGTACTTGATACAAATTTCAGTCTTCACTGATAATAGTGGGCTAATAATACCTCTCTTGCAGTCCTGTTGTGCAAATTAGATGAGATAATGTACATAAAAATCCAGCACACTATAGGCACTGAGTCCTCGGAGGCAATGATTATTAAGGACAGGATTTAATAATAGACCAGATATGGAGATGAATGAGAAGGAGGAGCCCAGGAAGGGCCGAGGATGGAGGGTGAAGTCCTTTACTCATCAAGGTTGGGGATGGGGAAAGAAAGGCAAACTTACTTGATAAGGCGGAGTTGGCACATGAGGAGTCCCAGGTTCTGTGGAACGTTCTAACGAACGTGTTCATGAAGCAATGGGCTATACATGAGGTCAGCGGAGGGGAACAGGCAGCTCAGGGCACTGTGAGCAGTTGAAGCCATGGGATTGGGTGAGGGTTCTCAGGCAGCGCCTGTGCACAGAGCAGGGAGCAGGGCAAGGACACAACCCTGGGACACCCTGCATCCACGGAGCAGAGAGAGATAGTGGAAGAAAGTCCAGCCAAGGATAGCGAGCAGGTTGGGCCCACACAGCAGCTGCTACCAGAGCCACGCAATGGGCCGTGGTCGGGAGCATCAAATACTGCCAACATGTCAAGTGAAACAGGGACCACAAAGTGTACATTGGAGTCGTTGTTTAGAGGATCACTGGTGACCTTCGCAGACCACTTTTGGTGGGGAAGGGAGGGAACCATCTGGCATGGGGTTAAAGTGAAAATGGAAGGGGAGGAAATGTTGGTCATCACAAATTTCAAGAAGCTTGGCTGTGAAGTAGGCAGGGTGACAGCTGTTGGGGGAAGTGGGACTGAACGGTGAATTTGTTTTGGGGATGGGAGGTATACATATGAGATACAGGAGTCAGAATGGAGGGGAGATGAGAGATGACAGGGCTGGTGAGATCCTGAGAGCTAGGAGGAGGTGGGGGCTAGAGCACAGTTAGAATGGGAAGAAGACACAGTCAGATGTCATAGGACAGATAAGAGGCCGTCACAGCACAACTCTGCCACAGACTTGCATGAAGAGTGACTTATTCTGCTGGGGGTGTGAATCAGCAGAGGGGGTCATGTTTTGCGGAAGGATTCACAAGGATGACAGGGAATCTATACCATGGGTGAAAAAACTGGATACCGTGGATTGGAGAAAGAGGGAATACGGAGCCTGAGAAGGGCAAGTGTAATTGGGCATAATGATTATCTTCAATCATAGGAACGACTGTTTGTGGACAAGGACTTAAGCAGATTGATTTTGTATGGCTTTGAGGCAAAAGCAGAGCCAATGAGTGGAAGTCAGAAGGACACAGATTCCAGTGCCATATAAGGCAGAGATTTCAAACACTGGTTGGAAAGAGACTGCTGGTCACTGGAGGTGAGTCCATGGTCACCGGAGCTCCACTTGGCACGGAAGTCGTGGAAGGGATTTCAGCCCATGATGTGAGGGTGGACCTCTGAGGCCCTTCCCTTCCCAGCTCCCAGACTGGGAGATTCCCTGGTGTGCTGGGGTCTGGCAGCCAGACTGGCAGGCTCCTGAGACTGGGATTCTGGCCTAAGGGGGAAAACTCCCATTGACTCGCAACATAGTCACAGGAAGCAGTAACTTCTAAGCAAAAGTCCCAGGATAATGTGGCCATTCCTCAGTCACAGCTCTGACGGCAAGTCTTGGCCAGACAGAAAACACTCAGGAACAGCTTGGCTTTCCTCCTGATTTTCCCTGTTTGTCTGAGTTCCGGGGCAAGCACACCAAATGGCGCCAGAAATCTCATTGCTGGGGAGGGGATGGTGGCTGACCTGCTGACCTCTCAACCTCCCAAAGGTCAGTGGCAACACAAAGGTTTTCCTCTAGGACATGGCAACTCACTCCTCAACCTCCTGCTTATAAAGCTTTCTTGGCCACCAACCCACTGGCTGGCTTGGGGGCTTCAGCATGTATGTCAGCCCATATTTGTCCTTAGATTGTGCATATCAGGTTGGCATGAGGCCACAGGTGTCCTCCATGAAGGTTTTTTGATTAATGAGGCCCTTTCTGAGTGTTCTCTTCAGTTGCTAGCGCTTTCCTGGGAATAAGGTCATGACTTTTAAAGTCCAAGTAAATGTCCCAGATCTTTTGATCACCTTATGCCCTTTATCAACCTTGATCAACGCTGCAGGCAAGGCCATTGGCTGCGTACACATTAAATCTATGCAAACCCAGCAGTAATTATTTGGGAATTTCCCTTGTAGTTTATAAATTCCTTGACAGCAAAGTCTACTTCTGACTTCTTGCCATATTCAATAAAGGAATTAATAAATGGATGGATGAATACATGAATAAATAGGAAAACAAATAACTGAATGTGGTCTTAAACTATTTTTCTGGTGACTTTATGTGTCCATGTTATAATCACAGGGAAAATTGAATTCTTCAGGACAAGTCTTTTCTTTGTTGATTTAGTTTGGATGTATGTTGCCAGCCAAATCTCATACTGAAATGTAATTCCCAATGTTGGAGGTGGGGCCTGGTGGGAAGTGATTGGATCATGGGGGAGGAGTTCTCATGAATGGTTTAGTACCATCCCTCTGGGTACTGTCCTCGTGATAGTGAGTTGTCATGAGGTCTGGTTGTTTAAAAGTGTGTAGTACCTCCCCTTTTGCTCTCCTGTTCCTGTTTTCACCATGTGATATACCTTCTCCCGCTTTGCCTTCTGCCATGATTGTAAGCTTCCTGAGGCCTTCTTAGAAGCTGAGCAGATGTTGGCACCATGCTTCCTGTAAAGCCGGCAGAACCATGAGCTAATTACACCTCTTTTCTTTGTAAATTACCCAGTCTCAGGTATTTCTTTATAACAATGTGAGAAGGAACTAATATATTTGTATTGGCCACATTGTGGGGTACAGGGAAGGCACGTGATAAATATAGCCTGAATGAAAATTTGGAGGAAATTTCATGAATTACATGAAGGAGGGCACATAATTGGATAAGTTTTCCTTAATTTCCCACAGCTTTTCTCATTATCTGGCCTTGGGGAAATAATTTTCTCTTTGGGTCTCAGTTTCCTCATCTAAAAAGTGAGGAAATTGGATCAAATGAGTGGGTTGTTTCTTGCTCAGATATTCCAAGAATGCAAGATTAAAGTCCTAGGCTGGATCCAGTGAGAAAATGAGAATTCTAAGATACAGACTGAACCACAGAAGGCATTCCTAATATTCAGTATATATATATATATATATATATAGAGAGAGAGAGAGAGAGAGAGAGAGAAAGAGAAAGAGAGAGAGAGAGAGCAGTGACCCTCTATGCTGAGAGGGACTCAGAATGTGAACACCCCTGTGAAACATTGCAATCGGGGCTTAGACCTAACAGCTTTTCACAATCTTTTAAAATTAACATAAAATCCTCATTAACTTCCTTTGTAGTCTGGATGCTATATGCCTAGGGATTTTTCTTTGCATATGTTGTGTTAAAACCAACAGGAGAAGCTTGGAGCTACAGAACCTCAGCTAAGCTTTTGGCAGGACGCTCAGTTCTAACATCCTGTCTTGTACAGACCTCCACACTTGACCTTGCCTGCTGTGGACCTATCTGCAGGCCTGAATGATGAGATGGAAACAGCCCTGAAAATGAAAGGACATTCAAGGCTGGGAAAATAGCGAGCACGAAGGCTCTGCCTCTGTAACAGAGACAACACATTTAAGGAGCGGCAGGAACAGGGGTGGGAGTTGGAGCCATCAAAGGCATCCTTCCAGCTCTGAGGGCAAAGTACAAGGCTTCTATATGTGGAGCCTCTGAATAGGTCAGTATCAGTGGGTGATCTCAGAGCAATTTTGCAGCTTTCTCTTGGGCAAGCTTCTGTTTCTCATTTCTGTACAGAGAACTGTGTCTCATGAAAAGATGTTTGGTTACTTGAGGGGGTGACTGACTCTGAGTGGTGAGTTTGAAAGGCCCAAGTAACACTCAGCTTCAAACAGCTGCAAAAAAATATAAGAACACCTCACCCTCAGGAACACACGGACCATACTGCTCCCCTCTATGTACACATGAATCTACACAACACCGTCCACTGGAGGAGGGAGAGCAAAACTGAATAGGTCTGTGTTGGGGGTGGGGATGAAGACCAAGCATTTACTAATTGCACATACCAGGGATCTAAAATGGAAATGGATCACACCTAGGGCTGTTTCATTTTTGTTTTTGTTTTTTCCTTCCTAGGTTTAGCACTGGGGAAGAGAGGAAAAGTAATATTGGAATGAAGGGGAGGGATGGGTGAGGGACTGTGGACAGCAGTGTTGGACATGTGAATGGATATATTAACTCAAACATGAATGCGTGAATGTGGGCACAGTGAAGCACTGCCTAAAGGAGAATGGCTTTGGAAACTGCCTAAATTAATAATAATAGCAAACATGATTTTTTTACTATCACTCAGGTGTATGTTAAACATTTTACATGGATGGCCTCATTTATCCATCATAAGTACTCTCCCAGTCTTAAAAATGCATTTTAGAGAGGAGGAAACTGAGGCACAGATGAATTAAGTCACTCGTTGATAAGTGTTAATAAGTAGCTTGTTAATAAGAGATTGGAACTCAGGCAGTCTAGCTCTAGAATTCGTGCTTTTAACAATTGCAGTTAGTGGGTAGGGTCTTAATCAGGCTCCCCTTTCTTAGATGAGGTACTTGTACTTTGTAAACTTCAGTTTCTTCATCTCTTAAAATAAAGTGAATAGTACCTAACTCATACAGTTGTTGTGAGAATTAGACAAGTTAATATTGTGTGAAGTGCTTGTATCAGTGTCTGCTTATGGTAAGCAATTAAATAATTAAGAGTTATTATTGTTATTATTGGTACTTATTCATTGAAAGGGATCAGATCCCTGCTCCCCGCCACCCATAAGACCCTTATATTCCTTCATCTCTTCTGCCATAATCTAAAAGTTTCAGTTCTGGGGATGATTTTGTTCCTATTCTTGATACCAAGCGATAAAATCAGGCTGCTAAGAGAAAATGAAAAGGAAATAGCCAGCTAGTGTCATTGAATCATATCCCGAGGCAGTGAGTTTCTTCCAGCACATTTTGGCCTCAGTCCTGAGGCTGGACCTTAACTAGTGAACTGCAAACTCACTCAATTATGCAGTCTGCTTGGTGCGATGGAAGTGAAAATGTCCTAGAGAGTTGGGTGCTAGTATGCATTTTGATAGTCTCCTAGCCTGTGACCCAGGACAGATTCCTTGCATGCATAGGAGTTTGTCACCATGCAAAATCTGGCTGTTGTTCTTCTGAGAACATGGGGGAGCTGGACTGTCAACAATGAGCCATATCAGGCTGAAACTGGGAAACTGTTCTGCTCCTTCAGAGTCAAGACAAGCCAGAATGAGTGTCAAATTTCCTTCCTCTGTGCTTCCTCAGATGTGGTCAGATTCATAGCCTTCAGTCTATTCTAATTGGTAGCTAGCCTGGTGTGGACTTTTGACCACCCACCAATCAACCAACTCCCACCCTCACCATTTACTGCACGAGTAAAGCCACGCTTCCTAGGAACTACCATTGGTAGAGATGTTACTGAGTCATAGGCCCTGAGATAGGAATGATCTATAAAGGCCATCCACGCCAGTTCTTGAACCCTTCTACAACAGTCCAGACTCATCTTTGCCCAATCTCTCCTCTGACAATGAAAGCCTAAGGACCAAAAAAAAAAAAAAAAAAAAAAAAAGGTTAAAGAAAAGCAATAGGCCATTTTAGCAGAGATGTCACAATGCAGTGCATGATTAATTAATTAGCAAATGAATTCTACAGCCAGTAAGATTACAGTCAGGGCAAGAGTATCAGGCCAGGCTGGTCAGAGTAGATTTCCCTAGGGAAGGCAGAATTTGAATTGGGGCATTGTTATGGGTTCTGCCTCTAATCTCTTCCCACATCTTGTCAATTTTAATACAATACTTTTGTTGCTCAAGAACCTACCATGCCTCCCTATTGCTCACTACATCAAGTCTCAAATAAGGTATTTTGTGGATTGGTAATTTTCAAACATTTTTTGCAGAATAATTCTTTAATAAAATATTGAGCAGAAACCAGATATAGAAGGCAATGAAAAACAATAAAGTGTTTCCTCAAGTGGTTTACATTTTTTATGGTTGGTGGAAAGTATTTCATTTCTAGCACTCCTGATATGCTTCTTTGGAGTCCTGGGGCCCAGGGAAGCTTGGTTTAAAAACCACTGCATTAGATGACTGTAGCCCCTTCCACTTTTGAGCTCTCATAATCATGACCTTCTGCCTGGATTGCAAGGCCTATCTTAGTGTGATGGTTAATTTTAGGTGTCAACTTGGCTGGTTTAGGGGATACTCAGATAGCTGGTAAAGCATTATTTCTGGGTATGTTTGTGAGGGTGTTTCTGGAAGAGACTGGTATTTGTATTAGTAAATTGAATAAGGAAGATTCACCCTCACCCCATATGGGCAGGCACCATCCAGTTGGTTGATGGCTCAGATAGAACAAAAAGGCAGAGGAAGGGTGAATTCGTTCTCTCTTCTGAATTTGGAACACCCATCTTCTCCGGCCCTTGAGCATCAGAACTCCAGGCTCTTTGGCCTTCTGACTCCAGGATGTGCACCAGCGGCCCCACTTTGGATTTATACTGAGCTATGCCACCAGTTTCCCTGGTTCTCCAGCTTGCAGACACCATATCATGGGATTTCTTTACCTCCATCATCACGTTAGCCACTTCTCATAATAAATCCACTCTCAAGTATCTAAATACCTAATATCCTATTGGTTCTGTTACTCTGGAGAAACCTAAATAATAGATGTAGCCAGCACCATTCTTATTTAACCTTATTTAAAATCACTGAACATTCATTTTTAGTTGGCCCATTCTTGTAGATACTCATTGCCTTCCCTGTATATTCATTGCTTTTCCTGTGTTCTTGCTTTTCTCATGATGTACCTTCTATATGGAACATCATTTTTTCTCCTGCTGCTTACTTGAATTCGGTCCTAAATTTGTACAACTTCCATTTCTTCCCAATCATCCCTGATTGTCCCTTTCTCTGAATTTCCATTGAACTGAGGGTCAACACCAAATAGTTGGGTACTGAAGTCTTCCCTAATTATTTTCTATTCAAAAATGTCTTCTTGGAAGGACTGTAAGGTTGTTGAAGACACAGCTGATGTCTTTTTTTCTTTCTTTTTTTTTTGAGATGGAATCTCACTCTGTCGCCCAGGCTGGAGTGCAGTGGTGCCATCTCAGCTCACTGCAACCTCCACCTCCTGGGTTCAAGCAATTCTCATGCCTCAGCCTCCTGAGTAGCTGAGATTACAGGTGTGTGCCACTGTACCTGGCTAATTTTTTTTTGTATTTTCGGTACAGATGGGGTTTCGCCATGTTGGCCAGGCTGGTCTTGAACTCCTGACCTCAAGTGATCCACCTGCCTTGGCCTCCCAAATTGCTGGGATTGTAGGCATGAGCCACCGCGCCTGGCCTAGCTGATGTCTTTTATTTCTTTTGAATCTCATTACAGTGCCTAGTAGAATGTTGGATATGTAGTCATTATTCAGAAGCACTGGAAATGCATGATCAGATACATGCTTTGTTAGTGCTGCTTCAAGCTTCTATGATGAGTTTTCTCATCTGTTATGAAAATAAAGCTCACTTCCCAGAGTTTTGGTTGCAGTACCTACTGTTTCTATCTCTTTGCTGGCAAAATGTATTCCCTCACGGGATAAGTATACCCTTTCCAGTTTGAAGAGTCAAATTCCCAAATAGGCATATTTTTTGGGAAGGTGATATGATTTTGTGTACTTTCACAGGAAGCCATTTAGAAGAAATTCCCCAAACAAGGCAGTCACCACTGTCTTTACCTAACTAATGAGTTTGCCATCTCCCTCTTCCAAGCTCACTGTCCAGAAACTTCCCAAGCAGGCCGTTTCACTGTCATGAAGTCAAGGCACTTTGTGGGGAATCAGGCCCAACATGTGCCTGCTTGTGGAGAAGGGCAGGCCTGATTCTTGCCCACGATGTGTCTTTGGGGCCGAGGTACCCAGATGTGTGAGTGCTTTCCCCACATGTAGAAATGCAATTATTCCCCGCATGAAAGCAGCTGAAGTTCCTCAGGGCAAAGGGGATTCCAGCAGAAACAATGGGCACAGCTCTGCTTGGGAAGTTTCCAGACTAAAAGGAAGCTGCCAGAGCTGTAGGTGTATTGCAAGGTAGACCTCCATGGCAGGGTGAGCTCAGAGAACACACTGGGTCTTTCCTAATGTAGGTCCCTGCTGATAAAACTGTGGAAAGTCTCTGTGTATTGGTCCTTACACCCTCACCTTGGGCTTCAGTCTGACTCTGAAAGTGGGAGGAGCTGGGGCCGCACAAGTTGCCTCTTCTGGGGATGTGGTCCATTAGTTTCTCTTTTTATTTTATTTTATTTTTAAGAGGGTCTCATTCTGTTGCCTAGGCTGGAGTGCAGCGATACCATCATAGCTCACTGCAGCTTCAAACCCCTGGGCTTAAGTGATCCTCTTGCTTCAGCTTTCTAAGTAGCTGGCAATAAAAGCGAGTGCCACCACACCCAGCTGATTTTTTTTTTTTTTTTTTTTTTTTTGGGAGACGGGGGTGTCACTATGTTGCCTGGGCTGGTCTTGAACTCCTGGCCTCAAATAATCCTCCTACCTTGGCCTCCGAAAATGCTGAGATGACAGGTGTGAGCCACTGTGCTCAGCCGAAGAGTTTCTCAAATTTCAGTCTTTGCACAGCTCTATGAGAATCATTAGGACAGCTTCAAAAATACAGATGTCCAGGTCTCAACCCAGGCCTTCTGTGGCATAGGAGCCTGAAGTCTGTATTCTTGACAAGTTTCCTTGATGACTCAGAAGCAAAGCCAGATTTAGGAACCATAGGTCAGTATTAGCATATTAGACCCACTGCTTTGCTCCAGAGTGTATTGGGAGTGGGTGTGGGGGTGGAGTGTACCCAAGAGAGCATATTCCTGCATGTTTTTGTAACTCAGAAGAAGCAGCTGCAGCTTCATGTGGACTAAAATAGAGGCCTACTTTAGCTCTTGAAATATCCTGAACACCTGGAGAAAAATAACCCAGAGCCTCCTTTAGCCTCGGAGTTGCTATTTAGTTGTGGGAGTTGCAGGATCAGCTGGCATGAGTGCTCACAGAGTCACAGATGCTTAGGTCACAAGGCTCCTCACAGCTCCAAAGGGGGCAAAGGATAGCACACTGCTGCCACCCCTTATTCCATGCTCAGGGCAGACATTGCTAATCAACCATGATGCTCATCCCTGTTGAACCCAGAGAGGTTCAGAGTCCTAAGCAATCAGAGCTGGCACAAGGAATGAAACCTTTTACCCTCCTTGCCATTCTTACCAACAATATCCTAGTCTAGTCCTAAAATTTGTTGAGCACTTTGACTTGCAGTTATCCATAGGACACAGTTCAGAAAACCATGGTGAGTCATATTCTCTTCTCTTTGGGAAATCTCAATCATTCCCTTGATATTAATACTATCTATGGGTTGGCAACTCCCAACTTTATGTTTCTGCACCAGAACTCTTCTTGAGCTCCAGACTTACACAGACACTTAGAGGCTAAGAAAGTGTAGAGTCTCAGGTTATCTAAACTTCAATAGATACATACGAAATGTTTTTGACTATGTAGCTCTCTGAGAGGAGGACTGTTTATTTCTCTGTGTATTGCTCACTATGCCTGGCTCAGTGTCTGGTGTACAGCAGGTACTAGGTAGACATGCTCATTGATTTTATATACCATTCCCCTGCTTATCTGTGTAACTGAGTTATTCTTTTCTCACGCCTTCCTATAGTGAGGGCTGCCCCATTCCTCATCCTACCCAGGCTAGATAGGGTGTGGCAGTCTCTGACATTGGTGGCCCCCAATGCACCATACCTCCTAGTATTTATTTCCTTGTATAACCTCCTCCCTTGGAATCTAGTATGGACCTATGATTTGCTTCAACCAGTATAATGTGGTGGAAGTTAGACTGTTCCAGTTCCAGGTCTCATCCTTAAGAAGGCCTGGCAGCTTCCACTCTTGTGTTCTTAGGAGCCCTAGACTATCATGTAAAACGTTCAGCTATCCTGTGAAGAGAAGAGGCCATGTGAAGAAGGAGAGACCCTAAGACTCAATGGAAAAACAGAGGAGCCCAACCTTTCCAGTGTCCCAGCTGAGCCCGCTCCCAGCTAGTTAGCCAGCTGAAAGCAGCCATATGTGTGACCATTGGCAAGACCAGGAGAAGAATCACTCCAGCTGAGTCAGTTCAGCTTCCAAGAATCAAGAGCAAATAAAATGTTAAGCCAGTAAGATTTAGGATGGTTTTTTAACACAGCAAAAGAAACAGATGTGTTCCTTGACACCACAGATCAAGAGGCAAGTGAACAGTCTTGGAATCTTATCTCCTTGTTTTTAGCTTTAACTTTGGTGCTCTGCTCTGCACAAAGGCCCGACAAGTAACAATTCCTTTGATCCCTGTAAATCTGATCAGGGCACAGTAGAGACATCTAGTCATTTTGACAGTACGTATATTTGAACAGAAACCTTTAGGGTAGCCGTCCAAATGTAAAGGTAGAAACAAGTGGGATGAGTAGCAGAGGAGAGATGGAATGGGAGGAGTCCCATTTAGGTTGAAGTGACACAGAGAATGAATGCTGGAGCAAGCGGGGTTGGCTCTGGAAGGACAGGGGCTCACATCAAGTGTGGAAGGTAACATTAAGGAGTGGGCCTGTGGTAACTGGCTCCAGATATCAGAGAGGCCAAGGGCTGTCTGAATTTCTCTGAAAACTAGAAGTTTCTACAAAGAGCACTAATAGAGAAATTGTGATTTCCAATATGGTGTGTATCTCAGGGATTACGTGTGTGTGTGTGATTATGGTGAGGGGAAAGAGAGAGAGAGAATGAATGAATGAATGCACAGAGACAACAAAATGGAGAGACTAAAAAAAAAATTTTCCTAGAGCTAAAAAGTAGATGACTTTTTAAAAAGGTTTATTTATTATTTCCCTTCTTTAACACTCTCATCTAAGCAGCTTAAGAATCCCTGTATTTAGGGTTTGGGAACTAGGGAAGAAGCGGGTGATTTCCTTTCCTGGCCTGCCTAAAGGCCAAAGCTGCTGCTGACATCAAGTTTCTGTCCAGCCCAGGCCAATTATCAGACAGAGTTAGGGCTCCAGGTGCAAACTCAGAACACAGTCAACTCCCATCCTTGCTACTGTAAGTAACAGAAATGAAAAATGTGAATGGAAACCATCAGGGAAAACTCGTGACAGCAGGAGGTGGTGCCCGGGTACAATGCACCCATCCACTGCATGACAGGGAAAGAGCGGGAAGAGTGGGGCAATCAGTCCTTGCCATCAGTCTTTGTCTCAGCTTTGAGAAGGACACTCCCAGCTGTCTGTTGCTGTGGTTCACAGACTAAATGGAGATTCCTTCTGTCCTGGCAGGTTCTCCTCAGTGGCCAAGCTCCACGGCAGGAACTGAGCCATAGTAAGTTTATTTCAGGCCAAAAAATCTTAACATACATCCCCATTAGTGGGTAGGGGTAGGAAGGTGGAGCTTTTTATTAGCAGGATGTTTGGACAGAGATGAGGATGTTGAAAGCAGGAGTCAACATTTCCCAAGGTTCTTTCTTAAAATACATTGTGTTTGACTTTGGAACTCCTGACTCACCCCCAGGCTGGGCATTCTGTCTTGGAGCTACTGTATTCCCAAGAGTGCTTGGGGAGACCAGCTCATTCCCCACCTACAGTATCCACAGAAACATCTGCTATAGCTTATTAGAAAGTCAAAACAACCAACCATCAATCCATCATGTTTTCTGTTTAATGACACATTCCTGTTGGCTGACGCATGCCCCTCCCCAAGGATCCCGCCCCCCGCTCCCGGACTGCCTGTGTGTGTGTGTCTGTAAAACTGTGAACTGATTTTGAGGATAGTTTGAACAGCTTCTTACATCCTAGTTTATTTAACCTTCTCACACGAATAGCAATACTTTTCTGTGGGGAATCACAGAATGATTACTGACTCATTAGATAAGCAGTGAGCCCTGGAAACAGGAAGCAAAAAGTGGGCTTTCAAAGCCAATTTCATTCCCTTCTCTTTTCATCCACAGGTGACACAGCATTGTAGAAAGAGTCTGTACTTGGAGTCAGTAGTCCTGGGTTCAGCTTGTAGTCCTGACAGGTACTGTGTGACCTGAGATAGCTAACTTGGCCTCTCTGAGTCTCAGTTTTCTCTTGCATAAAATGGGAATAATAATACCTATCCGGTTGGCTACAGAGGATTTTTTTAAGAGGTTAGAATAGAATACTGGGGTGGGAAGGCAGCTTAAAGAACATCTGATGCTTGAATTCCTTCCTATAATATCACCACAAATAAGCCATGCAACCTATCCTTGAACTCTTTCTGTGACAGGGAACTCATTCCCACAGACAGTCCAGTGCAATGTGAGACAGCCCTGATTTATTTTGAGCTGAAAAGTGCTTCCTTTAGCATTCCACCAATTGGTTCTTTTCCATGTAGATACATACAAACAAGTCCAATTCTCTTCTGAAAGAAGAGCTTTTAGAATCTGGAGGTACTAGCACGTCCCTGACATAGACAGAGCAGTCTCTGAGTCTTCTCTCTACCAGGCTCAGCTTTTGGTTCTCTTCACTATCGTAGTTATTGCACTCCAAAGGCACTTTAGGTAATTTTTAACCCTCAATGTAGCTTCTCTAGCACTGGATGTGGTATTCAGGATTTCTGAAATGGAGATAATGAATTGTGACATTCACCTCCCTTGTCCTAGATGCTATGCCTCTATTAATGCAGCTGACCCTTGAATTTGCTTTATTTAGTGGCCATATCCCAATAGCAGCCCTTCCTCCATAATCTTAGCTGCAAACATCTAACTTTCTGATCACCACCTCCTTTCTTTCCAGCTTATTCCACGTACTATCCAACTCAACAGTTTCTAAACCTCACCAGGACTTACTATCCATTGATCACCCTTTCACTGTCCCTTGTCCCTCCCCTTTACCACGTCCTCCCATTCTCTCCCCTTTTACCCAGCCTAGAGCTCATGATACAATTATAATCATTCCCTTGAATAGACTCTCAACTCCTTGCTCTTTCCCGTTTTCTCTTGCCTGGCAAAATCCCCAACCCTGATTACACCCTGCTCTCTTCGTCTTCCTGCCCTTGGACCCAGACAGTTGAACCTGGCTTGAGGAAGCAAGAAACAGGTTAACTAGCTTAAGTTAAATTCATAAACAGTAACCCCAAGGGGGCCCAGAGAGCTGCCCAGTGATCATGATCCAGCTTCCCAGTCTGGACATTCTCCCACTCTCCTAGATAACTAGGTCCCACTTCCTCTATCCTTAAACCTCCCCATCCTCACTCTATGCTGATGTCCTTGTCTTCAAGCAGATGGGACTCCCCCTCGCTCCCACCACCACATCTACCCACCTGCCCCATCAGTGCCCAGTACTCTGCCTTCCCTTTCTCCCTGTGGATGATTTTCTGTGCTCCAAGACTAAGCTCTTCAGGTGTGCACTGGATCCTTTTTCCTGCTTGCTTACTCAAGGACTTTTTCCCCCCATCCTACAGTCCATCATTCATTTTGTCTTTTGACAGGATCATTTCCACCTTATATAACCACAATATTATTTTGCTCTCATCTTAAAAAACAAAACACAACACCAACAAAACTCTTTTCTTATCTCCAGATAAGGAAACCCAGAAAAGTTTAGTAACCTGCCCAAGGTCACATATCTGAAAAGTGGAGGGGTCAAAGGTCAAATTACAGTTTGCCCACCCCTGAAGCCCACCCAGATGAGACTTTGTGCAGAGTTTGTGGGCTCCAGCCCACTGTTCTGGTTGGAGAAGCTGAGCTTGGACAAGGGAGCACTTTGCCAAGGATGGGCAGGCCATCTCTGCCAAACCTGTGCAATCTTCAGGCAGCAAGAAGGCTGGAGATTTGCAAGTGAGAGGGGAACATGCTTTGTCTTCAGAGGCCCACTGAGCTGCTGAAACTCTGGCTTGACCAGCTCTTCTCTCAGAGTAAACATGGGTGTGTGAGGGCTGTCATCAGGCCTCCATCCCAGCGGCACGTCAGCCACAGCAGTGTGAGCGGGTGGCCACGATGGCAGACAGATGGGGCAGGCAAGTGGGGTGGAAGCTGCCAGTACTGTGAAGCTTCCCCAGTGAAGAGATGACACCTCATAAATCTTGCAGGCCCAGAGCCCGTGTGGTCTGCCACAGTGCCTCATTAACACTTCCTTGTTCTCACATAGAGGTGGAAAATAACCAAATGTGACAAGCTGCCTTCCAAAGCCATTTCATCAGAAGGGCACACATTTTTCCTCCATCACTTGCAACATCCCTAATTGTGCTGAGAACCCTAAACAGCTCAGGCCAAGGGGGTTTTTCTCCTGGGACAATGATACTTAACTACCTCCAGATCACAGCCTTCAGCCATCAACCCTCTCATTCCCTCCCCTCACTGCTCCCAGGGATTCTCTCAGAGAATGAGCCCATTTGGTGTCCAGTCTTATCACTCCTAGGGGTCAAGTTGGAATTTTCAGAATACCTGGAAAAGCATGCATCTACTGCCTTTACTTTGTATATCAGCCAAAACCAGTGTTGACTTTAGTCACGGCATCTCTTAAAAGTCCTCTTTCAAAAGGGACAGACTGGTCCACTTACTTGTCTGTCACAGCCTGCATGAACTCATCCAGCAAGTCATCGTATGCCTTCCCGTGCACGCGCTGGTGTTTCAGGCCGATGTACAGAGGGTCTCTGAGCAGCTCCTGGAACAGACAGCACCCATTGACTGAGCCTACTCCCGGTGTTCCTGTTTTTTTTTTTTCCAACAAGTATCCAGGATTATTAGGAAGAACCAGAAGGTGGGAGGAGAGGGGGGAGTAAGAAGGTAACTGGATCCCCCCCGCCCAGGTGTCATTTCTGAAAGGGTCTGGAGGCTAAGCCAGTGATTGAGGTTGGACTCTTAGATGGTCCTCATTTTGGAAACCAAGGATGCTTTGAACCAGGCAAGCCTCTGTCAGACACAGTCTTTCAACCTCTGTCTGCAGGCTTTAGGGTTATTTCAGGATTTCTCAACAGTGGCATTACTGACATTTTGGCTGGGATAATTCTTTAACGTGAGGCCTGACGTGCACACTGTAGGATATTTATCAGCATCTCTGGCCTCTAGCCACTAGATGCCAGTAACACTCGCAGTTGTGGCCATCAAAAATGACTTCAAGGCCTGATGCGGTGGCTCACGCCTGTAATCTCAGCACTTCGGAAGGCCAAGGTGGAAGGTTCTCTTGAGCCCGGGAGTCTGAGGCTGTCCTAGCCAACCCAGTGAGACCCCATCTCTACAAAAAATTTTTAAAAATTAGCTGGGCATGGTGGTGTATGTCTTTGGTCCCAGCTGCTCAGGAGGCTGCGGCAGGAGGCTCACTTGACCTTGGGAGGCCAAGGCTGCAGTGAGCCATGATTGTGCCACTGCACTCTAGTCTGGGCAACAGAATGAGACCCTGTCTCAAAAAAAAAGAAGAAAAAATGAATGTCTTGAGACATTGCCAAAGGTCTTCTTAGGGACAAAACTGTCACCGGTTGAGAACCACTGTAGCTGACTTCAGGCAGAATTTCATTGAAGTATTGGGTCGCATCCAGAGTCCCTGGTCTGGACTCATGTTAGAAAACCAACCCACCCTCCTTTCCTTTCCATTCCTCTCTTTTCCTCCCCCTTCCTCTCTTACTTCTCTCCCTCCCTCCTTGAAATCTTACTGAATACCTACCATGTGCCTCACATTGTGCTGGGCCCTGGGGATACAAGCATAGAATGAAACAACCAGGAATTTCAGTTCAAGAGAGATGCTCACCTTAACACCTAGCCTGTGTTCAGGGCCCCTCCACCCCACCTCCTGCAGCTCCTTCCATCACAGCAGTCATACGCTATTGGGTTATCTGTGTGTGCGTTGGTGTGAATGACCACTCCTGCTGGCCAACTTTCCACGTCTTCCATTCCTGCCACCCCTACACAGAGTCAGTGGACTCATTCATGCATGACACATTTATTTCTCATGTACTATTGCTGACACTGGGCCCAGTGGGGGATTTGTAGAGGAGCAAGGAATGATTGTTGCCTTCTAGGTGCTGACAGGTGGCTGCTGAGTAAACAGACACATTATACTGCAGGGCAGAGTGACGCTGGTTTGGAACAAAGTGTGGCACATGGAGGCACAGTGATGAGTGAAGAAATTCCCTTTGGGGGGCAGATTGGGATTGTGTCATGGAGAAAATGGTCAGGTAGGAAGAGATAGGCAGATTTCAGCAGGTGGGCCTCCAGGCTGAGAAGACAGCACAAGGAAAGGTTGAGGGCTGGAGGCAGGAGGAAGAAATACCTGGTGTATTTGGGAAATGGGAGGTAATTCCATGGGTTAGTTTCCTGGAATTATCTACTTTTTTGTCTAACTCACCAAAAATATAAGTTCCTAGAGAACAGGATTTTGTGTTGTCTTCATCTCCATCTGAACTGCTGCTGCAGGACACAAAGATAAGGACCAGTGGGCCTACACTCCGACCCTCGGGGGCTTACAATCAAGTCTCACCTCCACCACAGCGAGCTGTGTGACTTTGGGCAAGTCGTGGGGCCTCTTGAAGGCTTCTTCTCATCTATCAAATGGGGATAAAATAGGGGCTGCATGGGGATGATTGTGATGATCAAGTGGAAAAATATATATGAAAGAGCTTGGTGAATTATAACATATGCTATAAAACAGTGGTAGCAGTTTTAGCTTTCACAGTGCCTCCAATGTGTCATGTA
The DNA here is from genome assembly GCF_000001405.40 of Homo sapiens. Lineage (NCBI taxonomy): Eukaryota > Metazoa > Chordata > Mammalia > Primates > Hominidae > Homo > Homo sapiens. The sequence goes on from NC_000011.10 coordinate 86,489,465, forward strand.
CTGCCCTAAGTGCTTTACTTAACCCAATGAGGTTGTGTCAGCCATGGAGGTGTGTGGCTCAGAACTATCTTAAGGGAACCTGCTGAGGGAGGGCAATTGGTGGACAGCCTTCAGCCGCCACACTCTCCCTGGATTGCTTAATGACTGAGCATGGAGGGGGTGTGGGGGAAACCATTCCTGCCCAACCGAGACTCTGCTGGGGCAGGAACTTCTCACTGGCCTGACTGAGCTGGGGAGACTCTCCCTGGGCTCTCTTACTCAGTCCTCGCTCCCTTCTGCTCTCCCTTCACAGGTGTCTGACCTGTACTAGAGTTTGAAGGCCCCACTCACCCCCAACTCCTCCCACTCCCTCCCCCTTTATTCTTCACAGGTGTCTCCCCAGTACCTTTCTCACTCATCTATTTCTCAAAGGACCCGAGAGGTAGGTCTCATCGTTTCCCCCATTTTTTAAATGAGGCAACAAGACACAGAGAGGTGAAGCAGCCTGCTTAAGACCTTGGACTCGTAAGTGCAGGAGTCAGGATTCAAAGCTGGGCTGTTGGGTCCAGAGTCTGTGGTCTTAAGCACTCAGTCATGCTGCATGGGTGGCTCTTCTGCATACCAACAAGAATCAATTTTTCTTTTTAAGGACACTGTTCTGGGTCCATACTGCTTTCATATCACTGTATTAGGTGTGGGGGAGGGTGTAGTTTAAGGGACAGAAAAGAACAGGAATTATCTGTTAACCCTTCACCCCAAGGCCTGGGTACACGTAAGATCTGAGCTGGGTTTAGCACTTTGTCAAAGATACCACAGGTTTACATTTAGAAAGATGGTGGGTCCTGGCCTCCTCTCTCACTCTCCTAATCCCCTGGATTGGACACCCTTGAAACTGTTTAGGATTCTTCACTGATAGGGGTGTGTGCGTGTGTGTGTCAGTAGGGGGGACCTAAAGGGTGAAAGTGGTGCATACATGGTGCCTACCCTTCCACATGCTACCTTCAAAGTGACCATCAAAGGTCACTTAGAAGCATCAAACAGCCAGAAAGAAGAAATGATAAATGATAGTAGAGTAACATGATGAATAGCTAGGCAGTAATTAAAATTGGTGGTTTTAAGACTTTGCAGTCACCTGGACAAATTTGTAAGAGACTATTTAAAGTGGAGAAAACAGGATACAAAATTACACAGATATCATAATTATAACTCTCTGAAGCACATACATACAGAGCTTGGAAGGACATACATAAAAATGACTGAAAATAGTGTTACTCTTGGCATTGGCAGAAAACATTCACTTTGGCAGTTCTTACAAAGATTAAAAGGGTCCATGGTGAGTTATAATTTGGAATGTTGCCAAGTCACAGATTTGAATCTTAGTGCATCAAGCAGCATAGAGTGAATTTCTCAATCCTGCATATGCAGTTTCTGGGGTAAGTTAAGTTCCCCAGTGGCACTAAGGGATTTTTAGATTTTCAAAAAATTTCTCAGTATACTGCAGTAAAGATCAAAGGTCAACCATAATGAGATACTGCTGAGATACAAGGGTGACTATAAAAAGCTTTTAAAAAGTCCTTATATTTTGCTTTCCTAATAAAATGTTCTATGTCTCAGATACTTTAACCACAAAAAATGAAAAAAAGTTCCCATATGGATATGACGTTAAAAAATAGATTCTTATGTTTGTATAGAGCTTTCAAGTAATTCACTCATTTGTTCCTTCTAATAGTCTGACCTCTTCTCATCCCATTTTAGAGGAAGTTGGAGTTCAAGGGTTTAAATAAACTGCCCAAGCTCACAGAGCCAGAAAGTAGCTACCCTGAGATTGAGCTTTGACTGGGTCTCATGACGAAGCATCCTCTTCGTCCCATCACTTGATATTGTGGGGGCCAGGGAACCAGGGAGCCAAGGGGCAGCTCCTCACCCTCTGCCGGGTCCTCCTGGAGGAGGTCAATTGTGGCTGGGAAGGTCCAGACTCTTGACTTGCAGACCGGGCTGGGGAACGGGGAGAGCTGGAATGAGTTCAGAGGAAAGGCTGTGTATACATCTCTAGTCAACTGGTTCTCCTTTAGCAGGAGTGGAAATGGCTTCTCTAAAACAGTAGTGGGCAGAGCTCCTATGGCTGACTTGGCACAACATGGAACAAGAAGCCCACATTCTGCCCTGTATCCGCCAACTGATTCAGATATAAGAATGCCTGACAGCAAGGGGTAGGAGTAGTAACCTGCCTGGACCCCCTCCTTGCAGTCCTCCTCTGTCTGGACTTCTTCATAGGTGTTTAGAGGAGAAGATTTCAGCAGACAGTATTGCCAGATAAAATACAGGATGCCCAGTTAAATTTGAATTTCAGATAGGCAATAATTAAAAAGAAATGTTTAGAATTAAGTGTGACCCATGTATTACATGGAACACACTTATGCTAAAAAATGTTGAATTGCTTCTCTGAAATTTAAATGTCACTGGTGTCCTGTATTTTTATTTGCTAAATCTGGTAACCCTATCTACAGAGGCAGAGGAATCTTCAAGTTTGGAGGCAACGTGCCGCAGGGGAAAGGACACTGCTGGTCCTGGTGGCTGTGGTCAGGATGCTCCCCTCTGAGCATCCTCAGTAGGGCCCAAAGGGGCTCTAGGCTTTCAAATCAGATAGACCTGGGTTTGAATTGAGGCTTTGTCACTTGACTAGCTCTGTGGCTTTGGGGAAGGTATTTAACTTTTTTCTGCTCTCTGTTAAATAGGGAATAATGATTTCTATCACACAATGCAAGCTCTTTGAGCTCCTCATTCATCCGCATCTCCCCAGCTAATTGTACAGTGATGGCACACATAAGCCCTTGAGAAGCATTTAGTGATATGATTGCAGAGTCCTGGGACTGGGCTAAGGAGATGCTGAATTAAAAATTAAGAAGGTCTTAGAAATCACTTGGTTCTGCTTCCTCCAAATGAGTTTTTGAAGGTTGGAAAGAATAAATGAGCTGCCCAAAGTCACAAAACACATTTGTGGAAACAACAAGGCAGAAATCATGGTTTCTAGACCAGGACTCTTCCCAGGGTGGGGACCAGGCTTATTCACTTCCATACTTTAGTGTTCAGTGGGTGCCTGGCACCTAAATATTGAGTGACTAAATCTTTCCCCTCTGTTAGATAGTTACTAAGTCCCCTTTGGAACCAAGTAAGTCAATGATTATAATTTTAGGTGAAGGCCTTTATTCAAAGTGGGTGAAGCAGAACTTTCTCCTCTGCTGTGGGAGTTAGAGGGTTGAATGTGCTCTCTATGGCTGTTTGCCCAGCTCTGCCTCCCGTAAGGTTTTTCTTGGAGACAAAATGTCATGGAAAAAGAAATGGTTTCCTCCTCTTCACTGCCCATATCAGTGAGCACTGGATTTCAGCTGGAAGACAGATAAACCTCCTGGTTGAAAAAATATTTATCTTGCATAGCAACAGGCATTCTGTGATGTTACTTAGGGAACCTGGGGGTCTGGGAGGTCACGGGATTGGGTTCACGCTGTGGGCACAGCACGCTTTCTCCTCACAGTGGCAGTCCCACCTACCACTCATTCCTTGGGAAACTCAGCTAAGCCTGGGGTAAGATACAAAGATCCTAGCAAGGGCATCCTCATGGGTTACACGTGTGTAGAGAGTGAGCTCTATGATGGCACCACATGGTGAATGCTGAATAATGATAATCTTGCAAGGTAGAAGAAACCCTGCAATACCCAGCTTGGTTGTCAACTCCATGCTTCCTTGGCGATCCAATAACATCCAAAGCACTATTTACCAGGCTCTGCTAATGATCTGCTCCCATGTTTGTTTCCCTAACCAAACATGACTCCCCTCCCTCCACCCATTCTTCAGTTCCAGAAGAGCACACAGCATCTCCTTCTGAGTTGAATTCATAGAGGCTCAAGACTTCTGCCAAGAGAAGATCTCCAAGGCTCAGCAGGGTCATTTTAAAGCCAAGCTCCATCCCCCGGGATTCCCCCACCCTGCCTTAGCACAGGGTGGGATAACCACTGGGTTTCGAGTCAAACCTTGGGGAAGCGCTTTCTGCTCTGAGCCTCGTTTCCCATGTAAAACAAGGGGGTTGAACGAGATGGTACTCAGGCCCCTTCTAACCTGAATAGTCTGTGACTGGCTGCATGTGGATGAAACAAAATAAATCCAATCCACACGTAGCCATGATGGAAGGCTGAGCAGGCGCTCCCTTCCCCTACCCACTTGGAACTTAATCATGGGATGTCCCTTCTTCATGGGATCATGGCGCCACATATTTATTTTTCCAAATCTCCTTGGTATTGGCAGGTAAAAGTGATGCAGAGTTTCAGGGCTGTGGACAGCAGATGTTTTCCTTCAACAGGAAACCTGGAGGGGTGTTGTCTTTGACTGTGATTAAAGCTCCTGTTGCCTCAGGAGTTTTTATAGAGACATACATACACACAGATGGTCAAGTTATTCTGACATTAAAAACCCTCATGACAGCATCCTCCCTGCACGGACATGTGAGATAAAAGTGTAGAAGGCCAAGCTTCCCTCTGTTACATCTCAGGCTTGCTCTGAGCAAAAGGTGTGCCCTGGGACTTCTGGGGGGAATATCTTGCAAACGGTTTCATTGAAAAAAAAAAAAGGAACTGTAGTTGGGAGATCACATAGTGAATCCATTTGAAAAGAGAAAAATCACCATCTTCCTAATGTTGGTCACTTTATAACTTTGAAAATTTTGTGTCCTGAGTTTCTTCAAGTGGGTCTGGAGGGGGCCCACCATTCCCTGGAGGGGAGGATGGTGTAAACAGCATTGCTATCCTCTGACTTGATCCTGAGTGTCCATGGGATCCTGCCTGTGTGAAACACTCATTCTCGGCCCCCATTTCCCAGTCTATAATGCAAACACCTGACCCCTTGGAGCAGTGCACCACAGTGGGCAAGGCAGCTGTGGAGCCAGACAGCTGGGTTCCAATCCCAGCTCTGATACTTAGAGCTGTGGGACCTGAGGTAAGTAGTTGACATGTTTCAGTCTCAGTTTCCTTATCTGAAAATTGGGAGAATAATATACTGGGGAGGAACTGCTTCCTCTCACCCCCGGGGCACATAGGAGGGCAGATCAGGGCATGTTCCCTCCTCCTAGACAGGGGTACTCTGGTCCCTCCCTGACATAAGGATCAGACCCAGGGAAGGTTCTCTCCCCTCCACATCCAGGAGGGAGAGGTGATTCTAGAGGCCTAAAGCACCAGAAGGAGAAGCAGACGCTTTGAGTAGATGTGACACGCGACTCATTAAAGTGACCAATTAGGTGACAGTGTTGAAACACTGACAACTAGAACATTCTATTCAGGCTGACCCTCATTTGTCTCCCTCAGGCTCAGCAGGGTGCCTGATACCCACTAAACACTCAATAAACTTTTATTAAATAAGGCAAAGTGTTCACAAAATAATCTTAATTGAAAAAATTAGAACAAAATTACATTATGATTACACCTAGGTAATAACTATCTTTATGTATAGGCATAGAAAAATTTTGGAAAGAAACACAAATGCAACATTGTGGGAGAAATACCATTTCCTTTTTCTTTAAAATTTTGAATAATGTTCTAAATTCATTTTAGCAATAAAAATTCTAAAAATCAAGAAATAATCTTTACTTATAAAGCAACAGAAATTAGGCACAGGTGTAATGTGGGGAGAGGAGCACAAACTTGGATTCGGCTCCTAGCCCTGCCGCTTCTAGCAGATCTTCTTGGGCAAATAAAACTCTCTGGGCCTCAGTTTCCTATGCTGTAAAAAAGAGGGTAATGATAGATGCTCCACTCACAGGGTTATTGCAAGGCTTAAACTGAGTGGTCCATAAAAAGGGCCTGATCCACAATTACTGCTACTTTCCAGTCATTTTTTCTGGTGGATTTGTTACAAGTTAGAGCCAGCTCTAAACTTCAGCATATCATTGCTGAGTGCTGGACCTTCAATGACAAAGGATCCCAATGCACCAGGGCAGACAGCACCCTTCCAGTGGATGCAGTGGCCTCAGAATCAAACTCAATCTGTTCCAATTCTTGCCTAAGGCCAGCTTTTAGAAGGAATGAAGGTCTCAATTAAATCCAGCTGGAACACAGCAGGAGGTGTTGGAAAGGAAGAATAAAACAAAGTTTGCTGCGCTCATCCACGCCTGCAAAGAAGCATTCTTTGAGGCCAAAAGACAATTTCAGCAAAACTCAGATATCTGGCTGGGGGAAGGGCATTGCTGTGCAGAGCAAAACTTGAAGACTGGTTTTGATGAGCAGCTGTAAAGCATGTATCCATATCTAACCTCCTGTCTCCTGAGCTGGTGAGGAGACACATGGAGACCAGGTGGTTTTAGAGGTTGAAGGATGCTTAGTAACTTTCTGGTCTAGTCTCTCAATATACTGAAAGGCAATTAAGTCTAAGGAGGTGCAATGACTTACCTGGCTCATCATGGTACTGGAACCAAGGTCCCTGGCTTGTCATGGTACTGGGAACCAAGGTCCCAATCCAATAGTTTTCCCACTTTCTTGCTCTCCCTCATCTCATTCCCACCCCCAGGATTTCCCAGCTGTTAAGCAAGGTCTGCCCACCGTTCCATCATTTGATCATATCTGCAGATGAAGCCTGAATAAGCATCATTCCTTACTAGGATCTAAAGTGCTTGCTTTTATTTGAAATGGGGATGCCTGGGCTGGGTGCAGTGGCTCAAGTCTGCAATCTCAGCACTTTGGGAGGCTGAGGCGGGCAGATCACTTGAGGTCAGGAGTTTGAGACCAGCCTGACCAACATGGTGAAACCCCATCTCGACTAAAAATACAAAAATTAGCTGAGCGTGGTAGCACATGCCTGTAATCCCAGCTACTCAGGAGGCTGAGATAGGAGAATTGCTTGAACCAGGGAAGCAGAGGTTGCAGCGAGCCGAGATCACGCCACTGCACTCCAGCCTGGGCAACAGAGGGAGAGTCTGTCTCAAAAGAAAAGAAAAGAAAAGAAAAGAAAAGAAATGGGGATGCATTGTGTTTAGGGAAGAGGAAGGCCATGTAAAGAGTCTTGGCAAATTTTCTTAAGAGAAATCACTGCAGAATGCAAATAAGAATAACTTCTTGACACCGTGAATCAAGAATTTACAAAATGACCATTCCTTTTGCTTCAATACTTACTTCTAGAAATTTATCCTAAGGAAATACTCAGAGATAGGGACAAAGACTCATCTGCAAAAATGGGTACCAGAGCACAATTTATATTTTAAAAGACTAGAAACAACCTAAGTGCCCAACTGTGGGGGTTTTCTTATGTAAATTATGATACATCAGGTAGCTATTAAACCGACACTATGGAATAATGGTTAATAGCCTGAAAGAAAACTCATGACAGATAATTAAATTTGAAAAAGAAATATAAAATACTGTATATATAATAAGAACACCACTTTTATTTTATAAGTGCGTGGAAAAAAAAAAGGCTGGGGAAATATACCAATATGTAAACAATGATTAGTGCTTGTTATGTGGCTGATATCTTATTTTTAACATTTCTCTGAATTTTCTCTATTTATTTATTTATTTGAGACAGAGTCTTGCTGTGTCACCCAGGCTGGAGTGCAGTGGTGTGATCTCGGCTCACTGCAACCTCTGCCTCCCAGGTTCTCCTGGGATTCTCCTGTCTCAGCCTCCCCAGTAGCTGGGATTACAGGTGTGTGCTACCACACCTAGCTCATTTTTGTATTTTTAGTACAGATGGGATTTCACCATGTTGGTCAGGCTGGTCTCAAACTCCTGGCCTCAGGTGATCCCGCCCCGATCAGCCTCCCAAAGTGCTGGGAACACAGGCGTGAGTGACTGTGCCCGGCCTCAATAATATGCACTGATCTCAAAGATAAATGTAATTAAGAGGGAATCCTTGGATATTTTTTCATGTTTTCTGACACAGAGACAGAGCTGCGAGTCACAGACATGCCCATGGTGGTTCCCAGAGCAGAGAAACCCTTGGCTGGGGCCTGAGCTCCTTAAACCACAAACTGCCAGGACTCCTGCAGCTGGATCTCACCTACGCTTGGCTCAGTTTCTCTCACTGGGTTTGCAGGACACTAATCTGTCTGATTCAGACATTTTGGCCCCTGGTGCTTTGAATTCCAGTCATTCCACTGGGGCAGCCTGCCTTGAGAATGCTAAAAAACACAGCCCAGTGGTCACACCCACCTCAAGGGAAATAGAAACTGCCTGGGGTAATGGGGGTCAGAGAGGAAGGAAGCCCAAGCAGGGGTCATTGTGGGTACAGAGGGCCTCATGGAGGTAGAGGAGCAAGGGGGCCCAGGAGTGGGAGAGGGAACAGGATGGAGCTAGGGGTGGGCAACCAGGGAAGAAGGTCCTCTACTCCACAACTGTGTAGGGGGAATGCCCTGGTCGGGAGGATGCCAAGAAAGAAATGGCCCATTGCTGTGTAGATATAACCACCCACAAACATGCTCCTCACCCTGTCCCAGTTGCCACCTTTTGGCCCCAGAGCTCCTGCCCTGGGCAGTGGGTTACCTCATTGTTGGTGCCGACGTCCAGCAGCACAGGGAGGCACTGCTGCGGGTTCACCCCTCCGCATGCCGTGTACAGGGCCAGCTTGCCCACAGGGATGCCCATGCCGTAGCAGCCCAGGTCTCCCAGGCCCAGGATGCGCTCCCCATCAGTCACCACCACGGCCTGAAAAACAGCAGGGCACCATCAATCAGGGACAGCACTTCCTGTGACAGGGTGCTCATTTTAGCAGCCCCAGCCCATCAGGCTTGGCGACTGGATGCCCACTGACTTTGCCGGTGTGAAAGAGCTTGTCTGGGATAAGGCCGGAGCATTTATTCACCTGCAGGTGACCAGTCCTTCCTGGCAGGCTGGTGACAAACCCTACTGAGAAGAGATGGCAGAAAGATGCCTGCCTTGCATTCTGAGCTTCAGGTGGGGGCTGCAGAAACAGCTGGAGGGAAACCACATTAAGTCACTTCACTCTCCCTCAAGGAAACTAAATAGACACTCTCAGCCTGAGACTCGGGGTGGTGGGTAGGGAAGGGCATAATTAAAGGAGAAAATAAAAAATACGTGTTCGTGCTGCTGCTACAGCTCCAGGGTTTAGAGGCTAATCCAAGTGCTCTCCGACCTACTCCTGGATTATGAAAAATCCGATCTGCAAAGAACAGGGCTCCTTGTGACATCTTCTAGGATCACTATTGCATATGAAATCAGGAAGAGTTTCAAGCTACACTGGGATTTACCTTTTGCATTTGGCAAAGAATTGCTGAGGGCCTACTATGTGCTAGATGTAGTGCTACTTCAAGGCTTACCTACTGTGAATTAATAGATATGAATGAAGCTGATGATGATGATAGGAATAATTGTATTATTATAATGGATATTCTTTTATTCATTCATTTAATACATATTTATGAAGCACCTACTTTGCATAAGACACTGTGACAAATTCTGTGGGAGCTTCAGTTTGCACATCTACAAAAGCAAATATGCATGGACACAGCCCTTAAAGGATTAATGGGCTAAAGGAGAGATGGAATGTATATATTAATAATCATGATTCTGGGAGGGAAGCTGGACTGCAGCAGAATAGCATAAAGGGTGGCAGAGATTAGAAGATGGGAGGATAACCCTTCATGGGTGAACGGACACACATGCCCTACCTTGGACAGGTGGAGATTGTGGGGTATGGGTGGGGAGAAGGGCATTTGATACAAAAGAAAGTTAAAATCCAGGGTAGAGGTGCTGGGGGTGGGGACAATGTAGGATGTGTTTGGGGAGCGAGGAGATGTAGGTTGCAGGAAGGGAAAAAATGGGAAGTCAGGCAGGAGTCAGACTGTGAAAGACCTTGAATGTCTAGCCAAGGAGAGCCCCTCAGGGTAACGGTGAAGTTGTTTGTAGGCCACTCTCACCTGCTCACCAGCACTAGCTATCTCTATCTCTAAAAGAGTTAAGTTTATAGGTCCCTCATCCCTTCATTGGAACCTGGCTTTGGATCCATTCTAGGCTACAAATGTCCTGATGGGCTATGAACACCATAGGGTTTGGTTAAATCCATGAAGGTACATTGCTGGGCAATGGGGGTAAAGAGATGAAGACCCATTCTTTCCCTGGAAGAGTTTATGATCTGGTACCCAAAGGGCTACGGGATCTTCTCACTTCCATTCTTTCTCTTTTAGTGGAAATAAGTGTAGAGATTCTTAAAAACATTCCTCTGCTTCTGGAAAAGGGTCTCTGGAGAGTGCAAGAGATCCATGAAAATCATGATATTCTCCCTTAGATTGGTCTACTGCCTCTGTGGAGAGTGCTCAAAGACTGCATCTCATGTGACCTTCCCCATAGCCTGGGCAGGTAGGCGGATCTGAGATTGTTATCTCTGCTTCACCGGTGAGCAAACAGAAGCTCAAGACCTTTATTTTCTCCATATATTTGTTAAGTGTCGGCCACATGCCTGGCACTGGCTGGATGTTTCCACATCAGTTATCTTAAAAGATTAGATGACTTTGCAAGGTCATCTTTCTAGTGAATGTGACAGGGCAGGGTTCCTGGTTCAGGGCTCCTTCTACCACCCCAACTGGCTGGGGTAAAGTGCCTGTGATCTTGGCAAAGTCCTGCCCTGCTTTGGCGCCACCCTCTCTGCAGCCTGCATCTGACCTCCTCTTGGTAGATCTCCCTGTTAGAGACTATGCCCTCATGCTGCCTCTGGGTGTCCAAACTCTGGGCATTTCTCTATCATCTCTCCTAATTAGAGCTTCCTTATTATGGTTCCCATTCTGTCAGAATCCTTCTCTGTGCTGAAGGGGCAGTGAGTGACATGAAGTTAAACAGAGGAAATCTGCTACTCCAGGCTGTTATCCCCACAACCCTAGGATGGTGACAGGGCTCTGTAGTGGCACTCTCCCAGCCTGGACATGCCCCAGGGCACTCTACTGCATGCCCAGCTCCTCTGAATGAGTGTCTCACCTCCATCTACTGTCCACCCGCAATCCTACCATGGTTATAGTTGAGTTATTCCAACAGTTTCACAACCAGACTCCTTGCCTCTCATCTTCCTTCCTTCCATTCTCTCCTGCCAACCAATGTCAGATTCATTGTGTCAAAAGCCCATTTTCATTATGCCATTCCCAGGCTCAAAGACCTTTAGTTACTTTGAACTGTCCATAGAATAGAGTCCAAAATACTTAACTCTTTAATTATCTGAATCCAACAGACCTTCTGAAACTTATCTCCTGCTATACATCTGTACACAATTGCCTTCTCTGGCTGTGCTGGCCTTCTCATTCTTCCCAGGCACACTCTGAATTTGCCTACCACCTCTCCATCTCAACCTCTCTATTCCTTTTTCCTGGAGGGTTCTTCTCCCCATTCGTCAGCAGCATAAATCCTGCCCATTATAATCTACTGAAATTTCTCCTTCCCCTGAATTGCCATATCTACCACACACCCTTCCTGTCTGCTTGCCTGCCTTTCACAAGCGTGTATTAAGGACCCACTGCCTGCCAAGACCCGCACAAGGTGTTATTTAAACCTTTGATGGTGAAAGCAGCTGGGTTGTTATTTAACTTTGTTTTAAAATGCACATTTTATCTCACAAAACAGCCTTTGTGGTTAATGGCAGGTGCTTTGGAGTCTGATAACCAGTTTTTGAATATAGGATCCTTGATGATGTGCCATGTGTAATTTTAGACAAATAGATAACTATTCTGAGCTTCAATTCTCCATAAAATGCATATAATAATAATAATAATAATACTTAACTCCTCAGGTTGTTGTAATGATGAAATAAAATATGTCTCATTTTAACCTGGTGCCTTGTATAAAGTAAGAATGATGAATAAATGGTTGCTGCTCTTATGACTGTAATGATGATGATTATTTAGGGCAAAGATTATATCTCAGACTTTGAAATTATTTCTGATCTCTCCAGTTTATCATTAACACAGAAAGACCATGCAATAATTATCTGTTAAATGAATGAATGAAAAAGAAACCAAGGGGAGACCTTGGCAAATGCAACATTTAGTAAAGTCTGGCCATGTGAAGCTTAATGGCTTTAACCTTGGCATCCTCATCCATTGTTATGGCTCCTACTGTCCTCTCTAAGTAGATGACACCTGTAGATAACTGTCTGCTGGACATTGCTACTCAAATGTCCAATAGTCTTCCCAATTCCCACAAGTCCCTAACCAAATGAATCCTCTTTTCCCTCTTACTCCTTTTGAGCCTTTTTACTCTGCTGTCCTCCTGCTCTCTGTTACCCTGTATCTTCCAAGTTCAAAAACGTCCAGTCTTCTTTGATTCTTCTCTGTTAGTCAACCACAGCCAATTGGTCACCAAGTTCTGCTGATTGTGCCTGCTTCCTATTTTAAACATCTGTTCCATTATCTTCATATTATTGCTACTGCCTCGGATCAGATCATCCATCTTCACTTGAGCCACTGCACTGTTCTCCTAACTGGTCTCTCTACTGGATTTTCCCCATTCCATTTCATTTTTTCTGAAGCATGCCCAGATATATCACTTTCTTGCCCCCAAATCTCTAATGGTCCCTGATGTCTGTAAAATAAAACCCAAACATCTTAGACTGGCACTTAAAGCCTTCCATGGGCTAGGCCCAAGCTGCCCTTTGAATTTCCCCTTTATTCTTTCCATGCTCCATCCAAACTGAAATATTTCCAATTTTGTATAAGGCTTGTACTTTCTTGAATACATGCCATTTTACTTCTCAATTTCTTTATCTCCTTGATACAAATCTTACCACCCTTGCATGTTTCAAGGAACAGTTCAAAAAGCATTTCCCTCCAGGAAGCTTCCCTTCTGAATTTTATCACTTCCTTCTCTGAATTCCCATAGCATTTTCCTCACCTACTAAACCTATCACTCCCTTCCTTGTATTATAGTTATGTACATTTCCTTGTGCTTCACAGTAGCTTGAAGCTCTTCTAAGGCCAGTAATGGGTTGTGTCATCTTTGATTCATCAGCACTTAACTTGGTGTCTGTAATGTGATACACACTCACAAATGGTGGGCAATGTGATAGATCCAACAGAGAAAACAAAGTGTCTTCTGCGCTGAACAGAGTTCAGACCTGCTGTGGATTAACAAGTTCAGAGAGAAGACACTGCACCCTGTTTTTCGTGACATCAATGGACCTTACGCTGGGAGCCACTAGTTCTGCAAATTGTCAAAAGGCTGAGGGCAAACCTGGGCAGCATCCTTGAACTTTAAAGCCAAGCAAACTTTTCTACAACAACAGAATCACATTTTCCTTGTTTGGAAGAGTTTTATAATTCATAACTCCCCTGTCTCTCTGATGGCTCAGGGGAGGTTTGGGGGAGGCTGTGCCATATTCTTCCTTTGCCCACCTGCCTCAGACCTAAGGCCTTTTCTGAATTATTGCCCACACCCTTTAGTTTGGGTGGACCCAATGGGACTGACCCAATACTGACCTGAGGATCAAATGTCCTTGCTTGCTCTGGAGCTTCCTTGGACTTGTAGCTATGGTCATAGCTACAAGGGTTGCCCACAGTGCTGTTTATACAACCCTCTTCTTCCTCTTTTGTTTCATCCTTCCTTCTCATCTTTCCTTTTATCCTCCTCCTCCTCTTCTTCTGCTTCTCCCTCTCTCTCTTTCTACCGCAAAAATAATGCACACTTCTTAGTTTCAAATCTTGGTTCCACTTCTCCCTTGCAAAGAACCTAACCTCTCAGCTTCCTTGTCTATAAAATGGGGATAACAATAGTCCCTACCTCTTACAGGGTTGCCATGAAAATCCAATGAGTTAATCTATGTAGAGCACTTGGCATCATACCGCATGAGGTGGATACGATGATGTGCTGCCCAGATCCTCCTGCAGGAATGAAAGAGTTATTTTCCCAGCTGTATCCTCAGATATCAGCCCACTTAGGGGAATTTCCTCTACTGAAAAGAGCCACCTTGCCCAAAGCCACACCTCCTTCCAAGGGCAGCCCCATATAGGAATCTAGAGACCCACTCCTCTGCCTCACTTCTGGATGCATTTGAAGGGCCATCCCAGGTCCAGAGCCTCCTCAGGGGCTCAGCGAGCCTTGCTTGAGATCTTACGGCAGCCCAACCTCTCCTTCTGCTCTATCCTGTTTCCTTCCTTGCCACAAGTGTTGACTGACAAAAGAGCACTCCCTAATACGTCTCTGAGACTGTTTTTCAGGAAATCTAACCTCTGACAATGAGCACAGAGTGGGGTTTAACACAGACTGGGCCAATGCATGATAGGTAGGCACTTGGCACTAGCAATCCGCTCTAAGTATAAACACCTAAGTGGCTGTTTACAGAGGATGTGCCCAGTAGCAGAGGAGGGTCCCTTGGCTCTCAGAACCTCCTCCTGCGAAGCTCCTGGGACTGGGGTGAGGGAGAGATTTAGGAGCTTGGGAAAACTGTTAGGGAGGAGGCTATTCTCAGCTGGACCTTCCTATAGGCTCCAGGCAATGGCCACTGTGGGAAAAAGTCAGAAAAGCAGTTCTCACTCCTCTTTGTGATTTACGCTGGACAGCTCAAGGCAGCCTGGCCTGGCCCGCCCCCTCCTTCCTGAAAAGCAAGTCCCACAAAACTTCGTGGTCTCCCCAGCCCTGGGCTTTGGCTCCATTTCCATCGCAGCCTACTTTTCTTACATTGCAGTTTTCAACTCTGCTTTCTTGCTGGGAAACCATAGAAAGTCATTTTTTACTTTCTGAGTTGATTCAGAGGCTCCTCTGAACCACTCCTCTTTCTAGGCAAGCAGCTAGCAACAGGCCTAAAGATACCTGTGCCTTGAAAAACTCTGTCTCCCCCACTTAGCAGTTGCTGGAGAAATGACTTAGAACCACAGCTCTGGGCTGGGCACCAACACTTAATTGTGGGTAACCTCAGACAAGTCACTTAACCTCAGTTTGCTCATCTGAGACACAACCCTATACATTCTTTTTTTTTTTTTTTTTTTTTTTTTTTGAGACAGAGTCTCACTACTCTCTCCCAGACTGGAATGCAGTGGCCTGATCTCGGCTCACTGCAACCTCTGCCTCCCAGGCTCAAGTGATTCTCCTGCCTCAGCCTCCCGAGAAGCTGGGAGGACTACAGGTGTGTGCCACCACACCCAACTAATATTTGTATTTTTAGAAGAGACGGGGTTTTACCATGTTGGCCAGGCTGGTCTCAAACTCCTGACCTCAGGTGATCTGCCCACCTCGGCCTCCCGAAATGCTGGGATTACAGACTTGAGCCACTGTGCCCAGCCCTTTTTTGTTTTCGTTTTTGAGACAGAGTCTTGCTCTGTTGCCCAGGCTGGAGTACAGTGGCACAAGGTTCACTGCAACCTCCGCCTCCCGGGTTCAAGCTATTCTCCTGGCTCAGCCTCCTGAATAGTTGGGACTACAGGCGCCTGCCACCACGCCAAGCTCATTTTTATATTTTTAGTAGAGATGAGGTTTCACCATGTTGGCCAGGCTGTGCTCAAACTCCTGACCTCAAGTGATCCGCCCGCCTCAGCCTCCCAAAGTGCTGGGATTACAGGCGTGAGCCACCATGCACAGTCTCACTCCTACACATTCTTCAGGACCCACACTGGGGGTTTCAGAAGTCCTTACTCCAACTTCTCCCAGTGACTGTGGGAACAGAATGAAGTAGTGAAGAAGAGGTTCTGCATCAGTTCCCAAGTGCTATGAAAGAATGATGAGCAGAGACTCCCTACCTAGGTAGGGAGACCTTCCTCTCCACTTTCTAAAGTAACTGAAAAATACACATCAGAAAACAAGAAAGACTGTGGCTTGGAAATTCTAAACCTTTAAAAGGGCACCTAGGGGTGGGGGGGGAGGAACCTCCAGAAAAAGGCCAGTGGGTAGGGCAGGGAGGGGTCTGGGGTAAGCCAGAGGCAGTCCAATCAGCTCTAGTGGACCTGTTCACATGCCAAACT
The DNA here is from genome assembly GCF_000001405.40 of Homo sapiens. Taxonomy (NCBI): domain Eukaryota; kingdom Metazoa; phylum Chordata; class Mammalia; order Primates; family Hominidae; genus Homo; species Homo sapiens. Next base: position 86,505,369 of record NC_000011.10, read on the forward strand.
ACAGGCCCAATATTCAGAGCTCCTGGCTTTTCCAGAGAAGCCAGAAATCCAAGTGCTTGGATATATATTTCTCATGAAATCTCCTGATTTAAAAATGTTGCCTACAAATTCAAAATGTTGGAAAACCACTAAGAGCCAAATCAAATATGTTTAGGGGTCGAATCATTTGACTGCTCATTTGTGGCCTGTGATTCCCAGGTTAAGGGAGCCCCCTCAGGCCCTGACTGTACTGCGGTGTGGGCTACAGCTGCCTCCACCACCTCCAGTGATGACAGTATCCATTCAAGTGCCCTTCGATGTGTATAGACTTTATCATAGTTAATCCTCACAATAGGAAAGCAAAGCTCAGAGAGGATATCTGCACACGCAGCAGGTAAGTGAAGCTTCATGGCCAGAATCCAGGGCTGTCTTATTGCAAAGCTGGGTCTGATTCCTCTACATAGTCGCTGGGACTGATCTCCAGGTTTCTTCAAAGTGAGACAGGAATAAAGGATGGAGGTGGTCCCAGGCACTCACCTGTGTACTCTGCGGTACCACAGGGTGGGTGGGCAGCCAGTCACCTGTCTGCCCCTTGTCCTCTGGGGTCCTCTCTTTGGCAGCACAGATGCAATGTACTGTCACTGTTTCTGGATCAGTCTTTCTAACTAGACTTCGAGCTCCTTGAGTATGGGCTCCTATACATTCTCTGTATCTGAACCTCCAGGGAGCTCTTCCAGAGTAGATGTTTACTAAAAGATGGTTGAATGCAACTGAATTCACTATCATGGTCCCGGATCTGCTCATGCAACTTAACATTCTCCTAGAGGCTCTGGATGTCTCTCTTATTTGGGGCCTGCTGGAGTCCTACCTCTTCCAGGGTGCCCAAAGCCCTGTTTCTCTTCCTCTAAAATCACAGCGGTTGTGGTCTTCATCTCTTTGGCAATTAGCATTCAGTATTTAGAAGGTTCTCAAAATATGTTTATTGAAGTCAATAGATATTTAGCTCCTAAGGTTCTATTTTGAATTTACATCTTGGTTTCCCAACCACAATACGAAGCAATTTGAGGGCAGAGTCCATGTTTTTCTCATTTTGCATTCCTCACAGCAAGGCCCTTGATACAGTTGTGCCCTGATAAGAGGAACAATTGAAACCTGAAATTGAGTCCATGATCCCCTCACCAAGCCCCTGTGTCAGGTTGGAGGAAAGGGTGCCTTTTTGTTAAACAGAGGTACCTTTTCATCATTCTTTCTAGTTCCTCATAATTTGCACAAAAGCACCGAAAGTATTAGTGGAGAACCTCCTGGCACAGTATCTGTGACATGGAAGATGCTCAGCATGTCTATCAACTGAATTCATCCAACTCTGTGTAAGCATCTACTGAGTGCCTCCTATGTCCAAGTTTTCCCCATGGTTGAACTGTCCAGGAATGTGAGTGAAAGAGATAACTTTACAGGACCCCAGCAGCATATCCACTCAGATTAGTCCATCCAGTAAGCTGGCTTCCCTTAATGTCCTCAAGATTTTATTATAGATTCATGCTAGACATGCTGTGGAAACTTGCTTCTCTGGGCCTGGGACCAAAACCTGCAGGGCCTGCAGGACATATACCTGGAGTCTAAGCAGATAAGCAGGAGGGAGAAGCACAAGGCAAAATGATACCCAGACACAGATGTAAAAAATGAGCTAGGACTAGGGCCTTGGCTATGGCTCGAGCCTGGCTCCTGAGGGCCAAGGTTCTGTCCCCAACCTGCTCTGTTTTTAAGTAATATCATTCCCTGGAGAGAACCAGGAGTGGGTAGGACATAAAGGGAGGTAGACAGAAAGAAGCTATATTTGGTGTCCAGTGGAGAAGGGTGGAGGGGCTCAGGGAATGGGCAGGGAAAAAGAGAGAGAGGCCATGGTTCTCTCTTTGGCAGCACAGACACAGTGTACTGTCACTGTTTCTGGATCAGTCTTTCTAACTAGACTTTGAGCTCCTCAAATATGGGCCCATATACCTTCTCTGTATCTGAACTTCCAGGGAGCTCTTCCAGAGTAGATGTGTTGGAGTACCATGGCCTCCCAGGCAAGGCAGGGTGATGTGAGCATTGGCCTTGGAAGTTCCTTGTACTATGCTTGGTCAGCACCAACCCCTCCCCAGCTCAGGTGCCAAAAATGCCCTTACCACCCAGCCAGTGGATGTTCTGCATTTTTGCCACACCCATTTTGTTTCCAGAAGTAACAATGATCTTAGATACCAGAACCCCTCAAACTCCTCCATAGACATCTCTATAGCAGGAGGAGATCTGGGGATTTAGCCAGAGGCTAATACATTTCTACAAAGTTGCATGTTTTATGTATAAAAATTAACATCACTAGGCACGGTGGCTCACGCCTGTAATCCCAGAATTTTGGGAGGCGTCGATGGACAGATCACTTGGGCCCAGAAATTCAGGACCAGTCAGGGCAACATGGCAAAACCCTATCTCTGCAAAAAAATACAAAAAATTACCCAGGCATAGTGGCCCATGCCTGTCGTCCCAGCTACGGGGGAGGCTGAGGTGGGAGGATCACCTGAGCCCAGGAGATTGAGGTTGCAATAATCTGTGACTGCACTCCAACCTGGACGACAGAGTGAGACTCTGTCTCAAAAAAAAAAAAAAATATGGCAACTTTTGCATTCTATAACGTATATTGTTTGGTATACAGAAATGTTTTCTTCTTAAATTTTTGAGTAAAATGGATGCTCCTGGAAGAAGTGGCAGGTTTATTTTGTCATTCTACATTTATGCCCCTCATCCCCACCCCCACACTGCTGTGTACTCCCAGGGTACACATACCCAAGTGTGAAGATATTGTCCATCATAGGCTTTTACTCTTGGTACAGAATGTCCTCACTCCACAGCCTAGTCTCTCCACTACCTAACTGTCCACAGCCTACCCCTAAATTCAAGGCCCAGCTCCACTGTCACTTCCCCCAGGAAGTCATCCCTGAATCTCCTCAGGCTAAAAATCGTCATTGCCTCTAGAAGAACACCCTCAGTTCTTTTCGTGTACTTTATTTATCTCTGGACAAGTTCCACCTTGTTAGTCTTTTGTGCCTTTGGCTTATTTTCCATATAACATGTCAGCTACTCGAGAAGAGGGTCTATGCCTGATTTCTCTCTGCGTCTACCATGGAAACTGGCACCATATATTTAGCAAGGACTCAACACATGCTGAACATATCTTCAGACTAATAATCACAATAATGAAGGGCAATGTCACATGGATGCCTGGTTAATGCAAACCTCTGCTCTGTGGTGTATTTGTACTTGGCTATAACAGGTCTGTGGCTTAGGAATGGGAGGTAGTATGCTGCCTTCAGTGTCATAATGGCTCATTTTATAGATGGAAATGACTCTGGTTTAGGCTGAAATGATTCACCCAACAATGATTAAATAGCAATGAAAACGGGATCATACCTTAATATTGTCTTCTGGCCAAGAATTCAGCATTGTTGCAAGATGACCTTTGTCATGAATGGTGATGAACAGTCCACTAAAAGAAATAAAACACGTACACACAGAGAAACCAGGCAGTCAGATTAGGAACTGAGCAAAGTCCATAGTACTAGGTATTGCATTAATTAAATTTGCCCATAGACCTGGGCAAGAAAGATTCCTGCCCGAGGCCCCAGCAGTTTAGAGGGTCATCCTCTGGCTTTCTTCCAATTGCTTCTCTCCACAGGGCAAGGAGTCCATGGGGCCATGGGGTGTGCCCACATGGAGCCTGTGCTCCCCAGAGTCTGTGCCCTTTTTTCCTTCCTCTAGACCAGTACCCAAGATGCCAGAATTCCCTGACCAAATGACCCCAAGGCTGATTCCAGGGACTGTTTGGGCCTCTTTTCCAGGTCCCTCCTCCCAAGTACAGACCACACTGCAGTAGCTGGATCCCTAGGCCTGAGTCCGTGACTGAAACTTGGACATGGGGGTTGGGATGTTCAGACACATGTGCATGAGGTTCTTGCAGTGGGGGATGGAGCTGGGGATGGGAAGAGAGGTTAGTGACAGTCTTGAGCTACTCCATCATCACACACACACACACACACACACACACACACGCATGTGCGAAGGCAATGGGGTTTGGTCAAGAGCAGACAGATATTGGAGGGGAATCAAGCTTTGAAAGCAGGAATTATACCTTTTGGGATTTGCAAGTTTGCAGCTTTTTGCCTGAAGGCAGTCCAATCTGCAGGCAACTTGGGGCAACAGGAGGCCAAAGTCTTAATAGCTTGAGGTATCAGATAATAGAGTTGGGGCTAGAAGAGAAGCCAGGAAATGAAGAGGGGGTGGGTTCTGGAAGGGAATAAGCCGCGGAAAGGATAAACTCCCCAATCTACCCAAATTATTGGCTGACCACTAAACTATGCACACACAGGGGGATTGGCAAAAAAAAAAAAAAAAAAAGTACAGCTGGAATCTGAAAGAACCAAGCAGAGATTTAAGTTGTTGCTGATTAGGAGAGACAGAGTTGAGAATTTGAGTCCAGCCAAATCAACTCCCTCCTAGAACAAACATTACTCATCTGAGAAATAAAAGAGAATCCAGAGTCCATAGAATCTAGGGTACATTGAAGTCCATTGTAATATTCTGCTTACTTTATATATGTAAGAAATTTTCCATAATAAAAAAATTAAAACAAAATAAAACACCAAAAAAATCACTGAACCCCAAACTGTTCTTGACCTCCACATTTCTTGCCAGGACTGTTCTTTCACTCTCCTCCCTTCCATTGCCAAACTTCCTAAAAGCATTGCCTACACTAACTGCTTCCATTTGTTCATCTTCCATTCATTTCTCAACCCACTGCAGTATGTCTTGTCTCAACATCGTCCTACCAAAACTGCTCTTGCAAAGGCTACCAATGACCTTCACATTCCTAAGTGCAATGAACACTCATCAGTCCCCATTTCCTTTGTCTTCTTGGTAGCATCTGACACTTTTCATCACTCCCCTACCCAAAATTTGGCTTTTGTGACTCCATTTTCTTTGAGTTTTCCTCCTACTTCTCTGTGGCTCCTTCTCAGTCTCTTATGTTGGGTAAGTCATCCCGCCATTATGCATTAAAGTTCCTCAAAAATCTGTACTATGCCACTTTTTTTCTTACTCTTATTCTTTCTATTTGTGATCTTATAAATACCCAAGGCTTTTGGCCAATGACTCTCAAATATCTATAGACCAGCGTTTCTCACCTTTGGCACTATTGACATTTTGGGTTGGATAATTCTTTGCTGTGAGGGGTGTGGTTGTCCTGCACATTGTAGCATGTTTGGCAACATCCTTGGCCTCTACTTTCCAGATACCAATAGCACCTCTCACTACATTGTGACAACCAAGAATATCTCCAGACGTTGGCAAATGTCCCCTGGAGGAAAAAAATTATCCCTGATTTTAGAGCCACTGCACTAGACCTTTTATTTAACTGCCTACCTGATATTTCCCTGTGCATACCTCAAAGGTACTTCAAACTTAGCATGTACCAAACCAAATTTATCATCTAATCTTCCACCATTATGACTCAAAGACAAGAAAAAACAAAGACTCAAGACAAAACTGATTCTCTTTCCTACTCCCTTTCTCAGTGAATATTTCCCCGACATAACTAATTTAACAATTCCAACCCCTTGAAATCATCCTTGATGGTCTCCTCCCTTCTTTTATACAACCCGTTGCCAAGTTCTTCATTTGTACTTTCTAAATAACTCCTGGTTCAAACACTTCTTTCATCAGTAACACTACCTCCTTTATCCACGCTTCCAATATCTGTTGCCTGAAGTGCTGCAATAATCTTGTAACATCCACTCTTGCCTCTCTCCTATTTTCTATATGCTAGTGAGAGTGATGTTCTTGAAATCAATGACTCATTGTTTTACTTCTTGTGCTAAAAATAGAATAAAGACCAAAGTCCTCAACACGCCTACAGAATCTTGTCTGGGTCTTGCCAACTTCCTTACTTCATCTTGTTCCACTCCTCTTCTCACTCCACACTCTTCAGCCACACTGGTCTTTTTCCATTCCTTTATGTGCCATGTTCTTCCTACTCCAGTGCTACTTTGAAACCGCCTTTGCAAAGATTATGACAGTGAGAGAAATCTAGCATGGCTGACTTCATTTTGCTTCTAGTCTCACAGGCTGGCTGTCCTCACTCATTATTGGGCAGGGCCAGGCTAACCATGGGAGGAATTTAGTTTCTAATTTAACTTTGAAGCAAGTGTGATAATAGTCTCTCCATGAAACTGATCCCTTCCTTGTTCAGTTTTGGGGGCTGAAACTGCCTTTGTAAGACTAAGGAAAGGCCGCAAGATTAGGATTATGGAAAGGGCCTGACCTCTGCTGAAATGTAGGCATAGTTTCTATAATCCCTTACTGCTCAACAGCCATGTGGCTCGAGGTCACAAGATTTTTGACTTCCCTAGTTGCTCCTGTAGATAACATCACTATTGTAGGACCTAAGATTGGTCTTTTGAGATGTTTTTCAGATTTTTGCATTCTGGCAACCAGCTGACCCCACCAAGACCCATGACTCATGACTCAAATGGTCCTGTGGCCCCTACCTGGAGGTGGACTCAGTGCGCAAGAACCATTTTCCACACTCTTATCATTTCATCCCCAATCAGCAGTGCCCATTCCCTAGCCTCCTGCCCACCAAATTATCCATAAAATCCCTAGCCTCTGAGTTCTCAGGAGGCTAAGCCACTCCCTCCTCTCAGCTGCCTTGTGTTAATTAAACCCTTCCTTTACTGCAATACCATGGTCTTCGTGAATTGCTTTTGTCTGTACAGTGGGCAAGAAGAACCCATTGGGCAATTACAAGTTCACATACCATTCCTTCTGCCTAATACGCATGCTTCTCCTCACTCTTTAGTTAATTCATACTCATGCTCTTGATAACTTCCAATTCAAAGTAGAGGCTCTCTCCTGTATGCTCTCAAAGTACTCCATCCCTACATAAACAAACTTGTCACATTTATTTGTGTGGCTATTTGATTAATAATCCCCATCGCCCTCATTAGACTGTGAACTTCAGAGGGCAAAGTGTGCATCTATTTTTGTTGTTATTATTCACCACTATATCCCTAAACTTAGTCCATAATAGATGTGCAATGCACAATTTCTGAATAAATGGAAAATGGATACATTAAAGATGATAATGATAGTTGAGGGATGAGGATGAAAAGTGTTGAATAAAGCTGGAAGAGAGTTGGAACAAAGGCAACTTGTGTGTGTGCTATGTTGTATCATGTTCAAGGGATCATGTGGGTTGTGCTGTTGCCTGTGGCTTAGAGCAGGAAAATAAGCATGTGGAGATGGTAGATGAACCAGGAAAGAGGAAAACACCAGACTTTAAGACTTGGGGAGTGCAGGGCTCCATTTACCGCACTAAAGTGGGGCAGGGTAGGTATTTGAATTAACTTACTCATAAGGTTTGAGAGCAAGGTCCAGGTGAAGGGTACCAGAATATGCCATCCTAAAATGTGTCTGTTTGACCTGTAGATTATTTTGAGCTAAAGACCATCTAGAATAACCAGAGGCAGGAAAAGCTCTAAAAACAGGGCACAAGTTTTTCTTTTGTAAAGGAAATTTACTTCTGTAAAGGAAATCTCCACTTGAAGAGATGCCTCCTTCTCTCTTACCAGGAAGAGGAAGACTCTTAACAACTCTTATCAATGGAGAAGGCAAACAAAGGGGTAAGATCCATGCACTATTTTAGACCTTACCAAAGCTCTGGTGTGGTTAAACACAGGATAGGTGTGAATACTTAAATTATCTGTGTACATTAAAATAGGCCCTCTTTGTTGAAGATAAGAAGGAGAGAGAGGAGGGACACTTAAAATGAACATTTTTACATTTAAGTTTGAGCTACTAAAATTTCAAAGTTCTTTTTTCTTTTTCTATATGTATAATTTCATGCTCTGCTCTGCAAAAATAACACCTTTTGAAATGTGTTAAGAGCTTTTAACCACTTCTCAAAGTGCTTTTCCATCTATTGCCTAAACTGCGGCTAGCTACAAAGGATTTTGAAAGGATTGCCCTGGCTGGGGATTTTGAGATGTCTAGTCCAAAGACTTTATTTTATAAATAAGGACACTAAAGTCCAGAGAGGTGAAGTCACTTGTCCAAGGTCACACAGCTCATAAGCAGCTGGGTCCACCTGAACCAGGATCCTGAGTCCGATGCACTTTCCACTAATGCAGAATATTGGTTTTCTCAAGGATCTAGTTCTTGACAGACACCTAGAGGTGGGAATTGTACCAAACAGAAATGCACATTGGGGTCCCTAATAGTTTTCTTTGAAGTATATTGAGGAAGTAAAATGTGCGGGGCTAGGGATTATGATGATAAGCAAATGTATTGCAGGTGCCAGTCAGAACCTTGCCCATCCTTCCATTTCCTGGTAGTACTGCATCTAAAGCAGCTCAGAGAAGATATAGTACCCCCAGGGAAGAATACCTCTTCAATGACCTCAGCAATGTATTTACAGATTTAGCCTATTTTCACTCAGAAGATACCATTTTCTCCAGCAGTAACTAGTGATGGGGTTGGTTCTTATCTGTTTCCATGATGATATGGTGGTTCTGGGTCCCCACCCAAATCTCATCTTGAATTGTAATCCCCACGTGTGAAGGGAGGAACCTGTAATCCCCACATGCAGAGAGAGGGAGGTGAATGGATCATGGGGGCAGTTTCCCACATGCTGTTCTTGTGATAGTGAGTGAGTTCTCATGAGATCTGATGGTTTTATAAGCATCTGGCATTTCCCCTGCTTGCATTTCTCTCTCCTGCAACCTTGTGAAGAAGGTGCCTGCTTCCCCTTTGCCTTCCACCATAATCATAAGTTTCCTGAGGCCTCCCCAGCCATGTGGAACTGCAAGTCTATTAAATCTCTTTTCTTTATAAATTACCCAGTCTCTGTTATTTCTTTATAGCAGCATGAGAATGGACTGATACACATGAGATTCTGATCACCTGAGAAATGCAGACACTAACCCCTCTGCATTCCTTCTTAGTGGCTTCAGGAAGAATATTTAGGTGCCTCAGGAGGTGCTCCTACCTAGGCCTGCTTAGTTTCACCCTGAGATCTCAGACCCACAGGAGTTCCTGAGGCTGGAATGGGGATTTTCAAGTGATTTCCAATCATACAAAGCACTGACAAGTGATGAGGCTTCAAACAACTCAAGTGATGGTTCACAGAAATGTTAGAGAGAATGTAGCATAGACTAGGGGTTTAATGTATGTGCTTTGCAAATGCAGGCTCGAAACCCAGCTCTATTACTTCCTAGCTACATGGCTATGAGTAAGTTACTTCCCTTCTTCAAGCTTCAGTTCCTCATGTGTAAAATGGAAGAAGTGACACCACCTGCACCATACACTTATTTGTTACAATGATTAAATAAGTCAATGTATCTTTAAAAAATACATTACAGTGTCTGCTGGCCCATAGTAAATACATAACAAATGGTAGCTGTTAGTGTTGCTGATCTTAGTTCAGAGGTTAAAAGTGTGGGCTCGGGAGTCAGATCGCCTGGGCTCAGATGCTGGCAAAATGTCCAGAGAGATATTTGGCTCATAGTAAGTATTTGGTAAATGTTTGTAAATAATTACAAATTAGTGTTTTAGCTAGAATCATCCATTTTAGTATGCATGTTTGTCAGGAGCCATGATGAATAGTTATGTGTGTTACTGAAATAAGAAGACGGTTGTAAATAAAGTATGGCAGGTAGAAAATCTTTCATTATATGGGTCACTGAGTAGGAACAAAATATAAGGATCTTTGGTGATGCACAATTGGGACTAATTTTCCATGTTCCCCGCAAAAGCTAATATTCAGTGAGAAAGAGATCAAGGGAAAACATGTCACACACAAAAAGGCAACATTTATTTTTATTTAATGAGCTTTTTTTGAGTATCTCTGTTCCAGGGACACTGGCAGGCCCTTTATGTACATTGTCATAATGCTCTTGCAACACTATCCAGAGGGCATCGCCATCATTTTACAGATGAGATTAAGAGGTAGATCTGTGAAGGTGGAGGTGAGATTAGAACACAGGGCTCTTAGATCCCAGAAACATGGCCCCTATAGGTGTGTGACTTGGGACTAGTCACTTCACCTCTCTGTGCCTTAGTTTTCTCAGCTGTAAAATGGGGACATTGGTTTCTCCATTACGGGAATGACTGTGAGAATCAAACAAGGCAAATTTGCAAAATCTCTGCACACTGTAAAACCCTGTAGACACTTGAATCTTAATATTTGTCTAACCTCGTCCAGTCTGGTAAGTCTGAAGGGGGTGCTAAAGTGAGCCTCCCTGAGATCCCGCTGATATGGTTTCCTGGCAGCTCTTTACGGATGATTGGGGTAGTCATTTAGGTGCCAAGGAGCTCTCTGTATTCCACAGCTGGGTCTGTTTCAATCTTCTCTCCTTGAGAATGAGTCAAAACCCCTTTGACAGCTAATGTGACATGTTTAAAGTGGTATTATCCTGCTCTGAGGCACAATGGGAGGCAGGAAGGTGGGAAAACACAGGAAGCCGCAGGCCAGGCTCTGCAGAGGTGCAGAAACATTTCCAGCTTTTGAGCAAATTATAGGCTGCCCGGGGATCCCAAGGCACTAAACATCCTGCAGTGAGTTACTGCAATCTGAACACTCATCAAGGCTAATGACTCCTCTGAGTCATTAGAATGCAACTTCTTTTGCTACTCCTAGAGCTGAGAACATGGGCATCTGGAATAGAAGCAGTCATGGAAATCTTGCTTTTAATAGCCATTAACTGGAACAGGACAAAAACAAAAATAATTTTAGCTACTGATTACTTCTCCCAAGTTTTTCCTGTTTACTTCAGGGAATCAATTTTGGAACTTGAGGGATGGAAAAATATATGGTGGATATGGCATGCTACCTACCTATGGAATCCAGGGTTTAAACAAATAGATGTCTTGCTTTACATAAAATACAGTTTATTCCTGAAAAGTTGTGAGTAAATAAAATCTCTCTCTCTCTCTCTCTTTGTGTGTGTGTGTATATATATATATATGTTTTGAGAGATGGAGTCTCACTCTGTCACCCAGGCTGGAGTACAGTGGCATGATCTCTGCTCACTGCAACCTCTGCCTCCCAGATTCAAGTGATTCTCCTGCCTCAGCTCCCCAAGTAGCTGGGACTACAGGCATGTGCCACTATGCCCAGCTAATTTTTTGTATTTTTAGTAGAGATGGGATTTCACTATATGTTGGCCAGGCTGGTCTTGAACTCCTGACCTCAAGTGATCCACCCACCTCAGCCTCCCAAAGTGCTGGGATTACAGGCATGAGCCACCGTGCCTGGCCTAATATCTATATCTAAAATTATATTGTATGTGTACTCAGGAGGTTGCTGTTTAAAGGGAAGCTACAGGGAATTGCTCAGGAACATACATCACTGTCCCCTGATTCATGGCTTTCACATTTGGACTTTCCTACTTTCATTTCCAAAAAAGACCACAGGTTCTCTCTTAGCTAGTGCTTGGTCATCAGGGCCCACTGACCAAATGAGTGGCCAGAGAAGGGGCATGGCTTCTGCTGCATGGAGCTTTGGGTTAAGTAGGCAGAGAGGGAAGGGAATGGTCATTTAACAAAAATTGCACGGAGTACCTGATCTATTCCTTCAAATACTTATTTCATTTGGTCTGAAAGGCATATTTGTTATGGGCTGTTCATCCTGGAACAGGGTTAAAACTTCTTTCTGTCCTTCGTGGAAGCAATTCATTCTGTTCTGTAAATATATTCTGTTCTCTCTTGCAAGCACAAGGCAGGCTGCCCTTCCATGATTTGTTGAAATAAAGCACAGCCCGGTGACCTGCTTTGGCCAATAAAATGCAACATGGCACCTCTGGGTGGGAGTGTTTCAGAGTCAGTGTGATTTACCATCTTCTCTTTTTCTTTTTGCCACATAACCTGTAGAGTTCCAGATAAGACTACTTCATTAGCCTGCATCCAGTGTGAGGGTGACATAGAGCACAGTCCCTAGATGTGGGGGTCAGAGACACATGGTGCAGAGCACAGAATAAACTGTGCTTTAGGCATTGAGATTTTAGGGTTGTTTGTTCCTCAGCATAATATGGCTAAGAAACATTTTGTTTGTTCAATAAAGATGTCCAGAGATGCTCAGTTCCAATTTAATCAGAGCTCCAACCTGTCGACATGTTGGAGCTCTGATTAAAGTAGAAGTGAGGGAACCCCCTTTTTGAGGGACTTTGCACTGCTTTTCATCTCAGCATCCACTGTTCTTTCAACAGACCTCTGGCAATGAGAGCAAAGGAAAAGAATTCCTTGTGGGAAATGATGCTATGACACTGGGAGGTAGTAATTGATATTTAGGAAATTATATCTCTGATGCATATCTCCTTCCACTAGACTCATGTTCCCTGAGGGCAGGATGACATTTGTTCCCAGGGCCTAGCGTAGCACCAGGCACATGGCAGGTACTCTATAAGTGATGTATGTGTTAGGTATGGTAAGTTGTTCAGAATATGGGTGCTGGAAGGAGGCAGAGCTGGGCCTTTATTTTGACAGTTGTAAACTAGGCATATAATAATGTTTACTTCAAAGTATTTCTATGAAGATTAAATAAAAGAATATATATCAGGAACATGACCTAGGGCTTGGCATGTGGTAAATTCTCCAAAAGCGGTAGCTGATATTGGTTACTTATGGTAGAGAGTGGAAAAACACCCAAACCTTTTCTGAGTGAGAAAAATTTCCAGCCATTTGAGTTATATCCCTCAGGAAAATATGTTGAAATTTGAAGTTGTGAAGGCTGTCCCATCCTCAAATATGCCATCTCGTTAATTGATTATTTAGAGTTGAAAACACTTGGAGAAATTGTAGTTTCAGAAAGGGAGAGCTGACCTGTCTTTTCCTGCATGTAGCCTATGATAAAGATTCCTCTGGGAGGGGTAACCTCTCCATACCAGGTGAGAAAATGCCCTTATCATGAGAGACTTGGAAATGGAGGCTGCGATCGACTTGAATAAACATACTTAACAAAGTAACGCTTATCATCGGCCACCTGTTTTACATTCCCCATATATCTTCCAGTGACTCCCCTAGGAAATTTACTACGCCCAGCCAGATTTTCTTTGTCCTGTCATTTCTTCTCGAATTTATCATTCTTCATCCAAAATGCACAAAAGCATCTTGCTTTGGCCACTTCTACAGACTTCACTCTCTTAAGATCTCCATGTATATGTAAAACTAACACAATTTGTGTATTTTTCTCTTGTTTATGTGCCTGGTGTCAATTTGACTTCTAGAACCAGCTGAAGAGCCCACTAAAAGCTATAATGGGGTGGTGGAGGTGATCTTCAGCTCTCCACAAATTCTAATGTCGGGTGCCTGTGACCCTATTTGGAATAGGGTCTTTGCAGATGTGGTCAAGATGAAGTTAGTGTGGGCCCTAATCTAAAAGCACTGGTATCCTTATAAGAAGAGGAGAAGACAGGGACATGCAGGAAGAAATAGCCAAGGGATGATAGAAACAGAGATTGGACTGATGCATCCAGAGGCAAGGAATGCCAAGGATTGCCAGCAAATAACAGAAGCTAGAAGGGGCGGCAAGGAGTGTCCCCCACAGGTGTCAGAGGGAGCACGACCTGCTGACACCTGATTTTGGACTTCTTGCTGTTAGAACTATGAGAAAATAAATTTCTGTTGTTTTAAGCCATCCAATTTGTAGTATTTTGTTACATACAGTAGCCCTAGGAAGCAAATATGCCAACCATCCAATTTTTGTGTAGTAGCTATGAGTAGTGGTGATATCACAATTCCTTCCCTGTACATTTCTTAAAGCTCAAAGTCTGTTGGAATTTCATCAAGGCAAGTGTAAGTGAAGTTTCCTCCATCTGACAAAGGCATGCAAATTACATCACTATCTTCAGTTTCCATCAGGAGCCAGAAAAATCCTCTTGAATGTTTGAATTCAGTTACACGAGAGAGAAAGAAAAACAAAGATAATGTTCACTTAGGAGAATGTTATTTCTTGAGAAAAAGACTCTTAACCCTTATCTCGGCCTGTAGAAGAGTGATTCTTGCAAATTTCCTAAAATAGAATTGAAAAAAGAACCCTGAACAACACCCACTCAAGTAGACATGTTCATTTAGGCTTCTTGGCACCAAGTCCAGCAATAAAGGGCTTAATTAAAACAGAGTCAGTGACATTAGGCAAACCCCTGCAGCTGGGCTCAGGAGGAGGGATATGCACTTTCAACTCTAACAAAGGCTCGCTGTTGCCAATGGAACCACCATTCCACATATTTTTTGGCAGGAAGGGAACCTGTCCTCTGAGAACCTGCAAGATGCTATTTTTAGAGCTCAGTAGCAGTCTCCCAGAGGCAACAGTACAGCAAGAAAACATAGCTAGGTCTAAGAAGCCCAGGAAGCAGATCTAAGAAATCCTCGAAGGCTGTGTAGGCCTGGAGGGCAGAACTGGAGAGACTCAAGTGAGGTAACTGTCCATGCCTTGGAAGAGCTTTAAAATCACACTTTCCACTGCTTTCTGTGGAACGTCCTCAGGGACGTGTGACTGAAGTGCGGGATGGGGTGGCCACAGACAACTGAACATGTTAGTGGTGGTTCACTCATAATCCTTCTTTGGTGTTATTTTCTATCCTGAAGAATATTTTGATTATTTGAACCCACTGAACAACCATAGCTAACTTCCTGTACCTTGGAAAGCCTATCCTGTTCGCCTCTGAGGTGGGAAGTTACAGAGGGAGTGGCTATGTCCCCCTCCCAGCCCCATGGAGGCCCCCTTTCCTTCTGACCCTCCCAGATAACCAGTGGATGTGGAGTGCTCCTGACTTTAGAGCCCAGGTGTAAAGGTGTGGACCCTGACATCTGTCCATGTGACTCCATCAGTGGGACCTCCCTGGAATGGATGGGGGTTCCTCAATTTCCCACACTTGAGATTAACAAGTGCTTAGGCCCTGTACTGATTTCATGCATTCTGCTTTGCGCCAGGCATTGTGCTGAGTACATGGAAAACAAGTGTGAGCAAGACTTCATCTCTGATCCAGAGTGGTTTTCTGATCTAGTCAGATCAGAAACAAACAAACAAAAAACCCCAAAAAACCTTGCAATGGGGTATAACAGAAACATTATTTGAAGACCAACGAGAATTAGAGAACAAGCGGGCCCAGAATGGCTAATTCACAGAGTGCTAGAGAGCTGCAGAGCTGGGCCTGGAGTCCCTTCTAGGGCCCCTTGGCCCTGCCCTTTCTCTGCCTCCCTCTTGTTCCTGCAGGATGATTTTCCTCCAGTAGACTTGAAGCTCAGAAGGGCAGGAACTGTATCCTCCACTTCCACTGATTGCATGGGTCCCCTAATGCAGCCCTGCAAACATAGTGTTTACTTCAGAAAGGGATTTCTGCATAGATGGTCTATTCCTTTCTCTGAATGTGAGAATGGAGCATTTAGAACAAGGGCAATGTAAGTTTTTCTACGACTATATCTAACTATGTGAGTTTGGGAAAGTTACCAGACCTCTCTGAGCCTGTTCCTCAGTCGGTAAGATGAAGAAGGTAGAACAGATAACTTCCAAAACTCTAGAGTTCCATGACTCTAATCTACCAAGGCACGCAGTTATCTGTGACTCGGAGCTAGACAGACCTGGGTTCAAAGCCCAAATCCAACCCTTATTTATTGTGCAACTTTGGCATATTATTTAACTCCACCGAATCTCCATTGCTTATTATTAAAATGTAGCTGTGGCCGGGTGTAGTGGCTCACGCCTGTAATCCCAGCACTTTGGGAGGCCGAGGCGGGCGGATCACGCACGAGGTCAGGAGATTGAGACCATCCTGGCTAACACGGTGAAACACTGTCTCCACTAAAAACTACAAAACAATTAGCCGGGCGTGATGGCGGGCGCCTGTAGTCCCAGCTACTTCAGAGGCTGAGGCAGGAGAATGGCGTGAACCCAGGAGGCGGAGCTTGCAGTGAGCCGAGACTGCGCCACTGCACTCCAGCCTGGGCGACAGAGCGAGACTCCATCTCAAAAACAAACAAACAAAACAAAACAAAACAAAACAAAAATAATAATAATAATAATAATAAAAAAATGGAGCTGTAATCATTAAATCTATCTCACTAAGCTGGTGTGAGCATTAAATAAAATAATACATGTACAAAGTCAGTCGTAAAGGAGCCTCTCTTTAAATTTTCAGGTGGAATTTAAGAAATGTTTGTCAAAGGTATGAATGTCACTGCCTCTCCAAGAGACACAGAATTTCATGCTATGGTTCATGGACAGGGCAACCACATACTTTAGTTTCCCTGTGTCTTGACACAATTATTAACACAATTATTTATTTTTCTTTTCACTCTCAAAAACTCACTGATCTGTAGATCCAGTCTACTAATTTCAAAACTACATTTTCTAGGTGTCTACTATAGAAAGTCAAGCTCATTCTCTTAGCATTATTTTGAGTCCTTTCCCTGTGTAGTCATTAATTAAAATCCTGGTAATAACACAAAGCCTCTGTGAAGTGGCTTACAGTTGGCCATCCATATCCACAGGTTCTACATCTTGGATTCAACCTACTGTGGATTGAAAATACTAGGAAAAAAGGCCGGGCATGGTGACTCATACCTGTAATCCCAGTACTTTGGGAGGCCGAAGTTGGTAGATCACCTAAGGTCAGGAGTTTGAGACAAGCCTGGCCAACATGGCAAAACCCCATCTCTACTAAAAATACAAAAATTAGCTGGGTGTGGTGGCACGCACCTGTAGTCCCAGCTACTCAGGAGGCTGAGGTAGGAGAATTGCTTGAACTCGGGAGGCAGAGGTTGCAGTGAGCCAAGACTGCGTCATTGCACTCCAGCCTGGGTGACAGAACAAGACTCTGTCTCAAACAAACAAACAAACAAACAAACAAAAAACCAGATTAAGAAAAAAAGGCCAATTAAAAAAATGGTAAAAAATAACACAAATTAAAAATGTAGTGTAATGACTATTTTTTTCTTTTTTTTTTTTTTACATTAGGTTCTAGGATATATGTGCAGAATGTATTGTTACATAGGTATACATGTGCCATGGTGGTTTGCTGCACCTGTCAACCTGTCATCTAGGTTTTAAGCCCCACATGCATTAGGTATTTGTCCTAATGCTATCCCTTCCCTTACCCCGCCCCCTCCTTGACCCGCCGACAGGCCCCAGTGTATGTTATTCCCCTCCCTGTGTCTGTGTGTTTTCACTGTTCAACTCCCACATGTGAGCGAGAACATGTGGAGTTTGGTTTTCTGTTTCTGTGTTAGTTTGCTGAGAATGATGGCTTCCAGCTTCATCCATATCCCTGCAAAGGACACAATCTCATTCTTTTTTATGGCTGCATAGTATTCCATGGTGTATATGTGCCACATTTTCTTTATCCAGTCTATCACTGATGGGCATTTGGGTTGGTTCCAAGTCTTGTAACAACTATTTACGTAGAATTTACATTGTATTAGATATAGTAAGTAATCTAGAGATGATTTAAAGTATATTGTAGGATATGTATGTTATATGCAAATACTATACCATTTTATATCAGGGATTTGAGCATCCATGGATTTTGGTATCCGGGGGGAAGGGGGTCTGGGAGGTTGATTATATATCACCCACAGTCTTTTGCCCTTCATGACTTTTTGGTAGTCTTCAATTCACTCTTTGCCAAACTCTATGGAGGGAGACTTAAAGGTGTTAAACCAGCAAACCTCAGTCCTACTGTTGGCTCCTTGAAGACCTGATCTTTGGACTGAGGCAAGTCATGTCATTATTGCCTTAGTTGCCATATGTAAAAAGTAAGAAAGAAGAAAAAAAGAAGCCAACATTTATTTAGCTCCCATTGGGAACATTTTATAAATGCTATGCCATTTACTTACTGCCACAAGTCTGGGAGGTATATGTTGTTGTCCTCATTTACACCTGAGATTAACGAAGCTCAATAAAATGAGGTAATATCACTGAGGTAAGTTGGCAAAGTAGTAAGGGAAAGCAGGTAAGAAACCATTGTGCCTTCTTGCCTTTCTTGTTGGAGTTTCAGGTGATGATTGTAAAACACTAAGCCCTATAGAAGACAGGCTTCTATTAACACAGAGAAAAACTGAAATAGGTTTCTAATTGTTTGTACTCTTTTTTTTCTTCCTGGAATTTGCAAATCTCAGATATTGCTCTATCCTCTTTTTTGATTATGAGATTTTATTTTTGGCAGAAAATAATTGTTCCAGTTGAGTTCCAAGAGTTGAAAGAGTTTCTCCATCTGTTCTTCTTGAATAAGAAGAATGCTGATAAGGTGTGCAAATAGCTGAAGAAGTATACATGCAATTTTCACTAAAAATCGTGAGTACATGGAAAAGCTGATGAAGAAGGCCTTGAACCTCCATCACATCATTAGCTGACTGAACATTTTATAATCAGGAGGGGGAAAAAAGGCGGAATAGAAGGAAATTTCAGCTGAAATTGACACCTCTGTCCAAATAGAATATCACTTCAGAATCTAAAAATTCTAATTCCACAAGTCACAGATGTTTCCAATTAGAACAGAGAAAGTTAATGTAGTTTCAGCTGTTACTTAGAATATTAAAATGTGCCAAGAAACTCAGAGAGAGTTGGTACAAAGAAGTTTCTTTTTCTACTAAAATATTTACTCCTTCAGAAATAATAATCAGAGGCTTTAGGCCCCTTTCCCTGAAAAGTCACACTTAACACTCTTCACTTTCTTTTATGGCTGTGAACATGGCACAGACCCACACATGCCTCCACTTTATAAAACAAACACCTTCCTGACGTCTAGAAGGCCTCTAGTGAATCTGGGTCTCTGGGCAGTAAGTTGTTTGGAATGTGTCTCTGTTCTAATACAAACATTTGATATCCAAAGCAAATAATCATCAAACCTGCGATTCTGAAATTACTGTCCCCCTGACTCAGAGGCGCAGCCAATGAGTCATTTATTTACATGTAACTACAAGATAAGGAGAGAAAAACATCCTATCTGCTTGTTTTTCCAAAGCAGGTTTGAGAAGTAGTCACACATTTTTTTCCACTGAATCATAAATCTGCAGCCTCAGTTTAAGAAATAGGCTAGGAGCTCAGAACCCTGTGAAGATACACCAAGATAATAGTCCCCTAAACCAAGAAAAAGCTGAAATTGTAAAAGCTCGAATCCATTTTATGCTAGCATTTATGAGGCAGTTCTATGGGCAGGCATCTGAGTCCTATCCTGAAGTAATTTGTAAGTGGAAGACCCCACCCACTTTAATTTACCAGATAAACATTTCTGGAGCTATCATTGCATATTAGTTATGAAAGCTGGAATTTAATAAGAGAGAACAGAATGCAGTTTTCAAAGTGCACAGAAGTTCACTGGGAAAACATATGCTTAAACTTCAGGGACCATGATCCCTGGAAGCAAATGTAAGAGACAGCTAAGTGCCTGGAATTATATGTCTGAAAGGATTACTCATCAGATGCAATTAAGCAGGGGGAAGGGGAGAAGCACACATTTGATCTAATGTGTTGTTTTGACTAAGTTCCGCCTCCAAACTACAAATCCCTCGAAAGGAAGGAATCTCAGAACATTCAAGATCAGGAAAGTTAAAGGCCAAAAAAGTATTTGCTTTGAAATGATTGAGAAAAGATGTGTGTGTCTCTGGTCAGGGATAAGTTCCAGTGAGACCCACTCCAACTTGCAAAACATTGATATTATTGGGAAGCTTCAGAGCAGACAGTCAGACAGACTTAGACCCAAATTCTAGGTCATCTGGTTAGTAGTGACCTTGACAAATGACTACAGTTGAGCCTCAGTTTTCTCATCTGTAAAATAGGGGCAATGAAATGTTTCCAATAGAGCAGTGACAATTAAAGATAATATATGAAAAGTAGTGAGCACAATGCCTGATACATTTCTATTCAAATACCTAATTCTTTGAAGAAAAGTTTCTAACAGAAACTTTTGATGTTGACAGAAAACAGTCAAACCACAACAGCAAGAGAGGAAGAAAGGAACAGAGGATCCACAAAATAACCAGGAAACCATTAAAAAAATGGCAGTAGTGAGTCCTTACTTATCAATAATTACTTTGAATGTAAATGAATTAATTCTCCTATCAAAAGGCTAACGTGGCTGAATGGTTTAAAAAAAAAAAAAAAGACCCACTATATTTTGCCTACAAAAGATTCAGTTCACCTTTAAGAACACACAGAGGCCGGGTGCAGTGGCTCACGCCTGTAGTCCCAGCACTCTGGGAGGCCAAGGTGGGTGGATCACCTGAGGTCAGGAGTTCAAGACCAGCCTGACCAACATGGTGAACCCCATCTCTACTAAAATACAAAAATTAGCCGTGTGTGGTGGCAGGTGCATATAATCTCAGTTACCGAGGGAGACCGAGGTAAGAGAATTGCTTGAACCCAGGAGGCAGAGGTTGCAGTGAGGTGAGATCGTGCCATTGCACTCCAGCCTGGGCAACAAGGGCAAAACTCTGTCTCAAAAAAAAAAAAAAAAAGGAGAGGGTGGAGCCAAGAGGGCCTAATAGGAACTGCTCCAGTCTACAGCTCCCAGCGTGAGCAACAGAGAAGACGTATGATTTCTGCATTTCCAACTGAGGTACCGAGTTCATCTCACTGGGGAGTGTCAGAAAGTGGATGCAGGACAGTGGGTGCAGCGCACCGAGCATGAGCCGAAGCAGGGCGAGGCATTGCCTCACCCAGGAAGCACAAGGGGTCAGGGAGTTCCCTTTCCTAGTCAAAGAAAGGGGTGACAGACGGCACCTGGAAAATCGGGTCACTCCCACCCTAATACTGCGCTGTTCCAACAGTCTTAGCAAATGGCACACCAGGAGATTATATCCCGTGCATGGCTCGGAGGGTCCTATGCCCATGGAGCCTTGCTCATTGCTAGTACAGCAGTCTGAGATCAAACTGCAAGGTGGCAGCGAGGCTGGGGGAGGAATGCCCACTCTTGCTGAGGCTTGAGTAGGTAAACAAAGCAGCCGGGAAGCTCGAACTGGGTGGAGCCCACTGCAGCCCAAGGAGGCCTGCCTGCCTCTGTAGACTCCACCTCTCGGGGCAGGGCAATGCCAAACAAAAGGCAGCAGAAACCTCTGCAGACTTAAATGTCTCTGTCTGACAGCGTTGAAGATAGTAGTGGTTCTCCCAGCACACAGCTTACATCTGAGAATGGCCAGACTGCCTCCTCAAGTGGGTCCCTGACCCCCAAATAGCCTAACTGGGAGGCAACATCCAGTAGGGGCAGACTGACACCTCACATGGCTGGGTACCCCTGTGAGACAAAACTTCCAGAGGAACGATCAGGCAGCAACATTTGCTGTTCACCAATATCTGCTGTTCTGCAGCCTCTGCTGCTGATACCCAGGCGAACAGGGTCTGGAGTGGACCTCCAGCAACTCCAACAGACCTGCAGCTGAGGGTCCTAACTGTTAGAAGGAAAACTAACAAACAGAAAGGACATCCACACCAAACCCCATCTGTACGTCACCATCATCACAGACCAAAGGTAGATAAAACCACAAAGATGGGGAAAAAACAGAGCAGAAAAACTGGCAACTCTAAAAATCAGAGTGCCTCTCCTCCTCCAAAGGAACGCAGCTCCTCACCAGCAATGGAACAAAGCTGGACAGAGAATGACTTTGACAGGTTGAGAGAAGAAGGCTTCAGATGATCAAACTACTCTGAGCTAAAGGAGGAAGTTCGAACCCATGGCAAAGAAGTTAAAAACCTTGAAAAAAGATTAGACAAATGGCTTCCTAGAATAACCAATGCAGAGAAATCCTTAAAGGACCTGATGGAGCTGAAAACCAAGGCACGAGAACTACGTGACGAATGCACAAGCCTCAGTAGCTGATTGGATCAACTGGAAGAAAGGGTATCAGTGATGGAAGATCAAATGAATGAAATGAAGTGAGAAGAGAAGTTTAGAGAAAAAAGAATAAAAAGAAACGAACAAAGCCTCCAAGAAATATGGGACTATGTGAAAAGACCAAATCTATGTCTGACTGGTGTACCTGAAAGTGACGGGGCGAATGGAACCAAGTTGGAAAATACTCTGCCGGATATTATACATGAGAACTTCCCCAATCTAGTCAGGAAGGTCAACATTCAAATTCAGAGAATGCCACAAAGATAATCCTTGAGAAGAGCAACTCCAAGACACATAATTGTCAGATTCACCAAAGTTGAAATGAAGGAAAAAATGTTGAGGGCAGCCAGAGAGAAAGGTTGGGTTACCCACAAAGGGAAGCCCATCAGACTAACAGCTGATCTCTTGGCAGAAACTCTACAAGCCAGAAGAGAGTGGGGGCCAATATTCAACATTCTTAAAGAAAAGAATTTTCAAGCCAGAATTTCATATCCAGCCAAACTAGCTTCATAAGTGAAGGAGAAATAAAATACTTCATAGACAAGCAAATGCTGAGAGATTTTGTCACCACCAGGCCTGCCCTACAAGAGCTCCTGAAGGAAGCACTAAACATGGAAAGGAACAACCAGTACTAGCCACTGCACAAACACACAAAAATGTAGAGACCATCGAGGCTAGGAAGAAACTGCATCAACTAACAAGCAAACTAACCAGCTAACATCATAATGACAAGATCAAATTCACACATAACAATATCAACCTTAAATGTAAATGGACTAAATGCTCCAATTAAAAGACACAGATTGGCAAATTGGATAAAGAGTCAAGACCCATCAGTGTGCTGTATTCAGGAAACCCATCTCACGTGCATAGACACATATAGGCTTAAAATAAAGGGATGGAGGAAGATCTACCAAGCAAATGGAAAACAAAAAAAGGCAGGGGTTGCAATCCTAATCTCTGATAAAACAGGCTTTAAACCAACAAAAATCAAAAGAGACAAAGAAGGCCATTACATAATGGTAAAGGGATCAATTCAACAAGAAAAGCTAACTATCCTAAGTATATATGCACTGAATACAGGAGCACCCAGATTCATAAAGCAAGTCCTTAGAGACCTACAAAGAGACTTAGACTCCCACACAATAATAATGGGAGAGTTTAGCATCCCACTGTCAACATTAGACAGATCAATGAGACAGAAAGTTAACAAGGATACCCAGGAATTGAACTCAGCTCTGCACCAAGTGGACCTAATAGACATCTACAGAACTCTCCACCCCAAATCAACAGAATATACATTCTTTTCAGCACCGTGCCACACCTACTCCAAAATTGACCACATAGTTGGAAGTAAAGCACTCCTCAGCAAATGTAAAAGAACAGAAATTATAACAAACTGTCTCTCAGACCACAGTGCAATCAAACTAGAACTCAGGATTAAGAAACTCACTCAAAACCGCTCAACTACATGGAAACTGAACAAACTGCTCCTGAATGACTACTAGGTACATAACAAAATGAAGGCAGAAATAAAGATGTTCTTTGAAACCAACGAGAACAAAGACACAACATGCCAGAATCTCTGGGACACATTCAAAGCAGTGTGTAGAGGGAAATTTATAGCACTAAATGCCCACAAGAGAAAGCAGGAAAGATCTAAGATTGATACCCTAACATCACAATTAAAAGAACTAGAGAAGCAGGAGCAAACACATTCAAAAGCTAGCAGAAGGCAAGAAATAACTAAGATCAGAGCTGAACTGAAGGAGAGAGAGACACAAAAAACCCCTCAAAAAATCAATGAATCCAAGAGTAGTTTTTTGGAAAAGATCAACAAAATTGATAGACTGCTAGCGAGACTAATAAAGAAGAAAAGAGAGAAGAATCAAATAGACGCAATAAAAAATGATAAAGGGGATATCACCACCAATCCCACAGAAATACAAACTACCATCAGAGAATACTACAAACACCTCTACGCAAATAAACTAGAAAATCTGGAAGAAATGGATAAATTCCTCGACACATACACCCTCCCAAGACTAAACCAGGAAGAAGTTGAATCTCTGAATGGACCAATAACAGGCTCTGAAATTGAGGCAATAATTAATAGCTTACCAACCAAAAAAAGTCCAGGACCAGATGGATTCACAGCCGAATTCTACCAGAGATACAGGGAGGAGCTGGTACCATTCCTTCTGAAACTATTCCAATCAATAGAAAAAGAGGGAATCCTCCCTAACTCATTTTATGAGGCCAGCATCATCCTGATACCAAAGCCTGGCAGAGACACAACAAAAAAAGAGAATTTTAGACCAATATCCCTGATGAACATCGATGCAAAATTCCTCAATAAAATACTGGCAAACTGAATCCAGCAACACATCAAAAAGCTTATCCACCATGATCAAGTGGGCTTCATCCCTGGGATGCAAGGCTGGTTCAACATATGCAAATCAATAACTGTAATCTAGCATATAAACAGAACCAAAGACAAAAACCACATGATTATCTCAATAGATGCAGAAAAATTCAACAAAATTAAATAACCCTTCATGCTAAAAACTCTCAATAAATTAGGTATTGATGGGACATATCTCAAAATAATAAGGGTTGTCTATGACAAACCCACAGCCAATATTACACTGAATGGGCAAAAGCTGGAAGCATTCCCTTTGAAAACTGGCACAAGACAGGGATGCCCTCTCTCACCACTCCTATTCAACATAGTGTTGGAAGTTCTGGCCAGGGCAATCAGGCAGGAGAAGGAAATAAAGGGTATTCAATTAGGAAAAGAGGACGTCAAATTGTCCCCGTTTGCAGATGACATTGTATATCTAGAAAACCCCATTGTCTCAGCCCAAAATCTCCTTAAGCTGACAGGCAACTTCAGCAAAATCTCAGGATACAAAATCAATGTGCAAAAATCACAAGCATTCTTATACACCAATAACAGACAGAGAGCCAAATCATGAGTGAACTCCCATTCACAAATGCTTCAAAGAGAATAAAATACCTAGGAATCCAACTTACAAGGGACATGAAGGACCTCTTCAAGGAGAACTACAAACCACTGCTCAATGAAATAAAAGAGGATACAAAAAAATGGAAGAACATTCCATGCTCATGGATAGGAAGAATCAATATCATGGAAATGGCCATAGTGCCCAAGGTAATTTATACATTCAATGCCATCCCCATCAAGCTACCAATGACTTTCTTCACAGAATTGGAAAAAACTACTTTAAAGTTCATATGGAACCAAAAAATAGCCTGCATTGCCAAGACAATCCTAAGCCAAAAGAACAAAGCTGGAGGCATCACGCTACCTGACTTCAAACTATACTACAAGGCTACAGTAACCAAAACAGCATGGTACTGGAACCAAAACAGAGATATAGACCAATGGAACAGAACAGAGCCCTCAGAAATAATGCTGCTTATCTACAACCATCTGATCTTTGAGAAACCTGACAAAAACAAGAAATGGGGAAAGGATTCCCTATTTAATAAATGGTGCTGGGAAAACTGGCTAGCCATATGTAGAAAGCTGAAACTGGATCCCTTCCTTACACCTTATACAAAAATTAATTGAAGATGGATTAAAGACTTAAATGTTAGACCTAAAGCCATAAAAACCCTAGAAGAAAACCTAGGCATACCATTCAGGACATAGGCATGTGCAAGGACTTCATGTCTAAAACACCAAAAGCAATGGCAACAAAAGCCAAAATTGACAAATGGGATCTAATTAAACTAAAGAGCTTCTGCACAGCAAAAGAAACTACCATCAGAGTGAACAGGCAACCTACAGAATGGGAGAAAATTTTTGCATTCTACTCATCTGACAAAGGGCTAATATCCAGAATCTACAAAGAACTCAAACAAATTTACAAGAAAAAAACAAACAACCCCATCAACAAGTGGGTGAAGGATATGAACAGACACTTCTCAAAAGAAGACATTTATGCAGCCAAAAGACACATCAAGAAATGCTCATCATCACTGGCCATCAGAGAAATGCAAATCAAAACCACAATGAGATACCATCTCACACCAGTTAGAATGGCCATCATTAAAAAGTCAGGAAACAACAGGTGCTGGAGAGGATGTGGAGAAATAGGAACACTTTTACACTGTTGGTGGGACTGTAAACTAGTTCAACCATTGTGGAAGTCAGTGTGGCAATTCCTCAGGGATCTAGAACTAGAAATACCACTTGACCCAGGCATCCCATTACTGGGTATATACCCAAAGGATTATAAATCATGCTGCTATAAAGACACATGCACACGCATGTTTATTGTGGCACTATTCAGAATAGCAAAGACTTGGAACCAACCCAAATGTCCAACAATGATAGAATGGATTAAGAAAATGTGGCACATATACACCATGGAATACTATGCAGCCATAAAAAATGATGAGTTCATGTCCTTTGTAGGGACATGGATGAAGCTGGAAACCATCATTCTGAGCAAACTGTCACATGTTCTCACTCATAGGTGGGAATTGAACAATGAGAACACATGGACACAGGAAGGGGAACATCACACACCGGGGCCTATTTTTGGGTGGGGGGAGGGGGGAGGCATAGCACTGGGAGATATACCTAATATTAAATGACGAGTTACTGGGTGCAGCACACCAACATGGCACATGTATACATATGTAACAAACCTGCACATTGTGCACATGTACCCTAAAACTTAAAGTATAATTAAAAAAAACCAAACCAAAAAAAAACCAGAAACTGAAAGTGGAGGGATGGAAAAAGATATTCCACGCAAATGTAAACCAAAGAAGAACAGGGTTAGTTATATCAGACAGAACAGTATAGATATTAAATCAAAAACTGTAAAAAAGAGACAAAGAAGATCATTATATAATGATAAAGGAGTCAATTCATCAAGAGGGTGTAACTTCTATAAATATATTTGCACCTAACCTTGGAGAACTTAAATATATAAAGCAAATATTAAAATATCTGAAGGGTGAGATAGACTGCAATACAATAATAGCAGAAGACCTCAATCTCCAACTTTCAATAATAGACAGATCAGACAGAAAATAAATAACATTCGACTTGAATTACACTTTGAACAAAATGGATCTACAGATATATACAGAACATTTCTTCCAACTGCAACAGAATACACATTCTTCTCCAATGCATACAGAACATTCTCCTGGATAGATCATATGTTAGGCCATAAAACAGGTCTTAACAAATTTAAGGATGTTGAAATCCTATCTATGGAAAGTATCTTTTCTAATCACTATGATATAAAACTAGAAATCAGTAACAGGAGGAATTTTGGAAAATTGAAATACGTGGAAATTAAACAACATTCTCTGAACAACCCTTAGGTCAAAGAAGCAATTTAAAAAGGGAAATTTAAAAATATCTTGAGATAAATGAAACTGGAAACATAGCATAATGTAACATATGAGATGCAACAAAAGCAATTCTAAGAGGAAAGTTTATAGCAATAAACTCCTACATCAAAAAAGAAGAAAGGGCTCTGGCGTGGTGGCTTACGCCTGTAACCCCAGCATTTTGGGAGACCAAGGTGGGCGGATCAACTGAGGTCAGGAGTTCCAGACCAGCCTGGCCAACATGGCAAAACCCCGTCTCTACTAAAAAATTAGCCGGGCATGTTTCAGGCGACTGTAATCCTGGCTACTCAGGAGGCTGAGGTGGGAGAATCGTTTGAACCCAGGAGGCAGAGGTTGCAGTGAGCTGAGATCGCATCATTGCACTCCAGCCTGGGTGACAGAGCAAGATGGGGTCTCCAAAAAAAAAAAGACTCACAAACAAGTAACCTAATCTTATACCTCAAGGAACTAGAAAAAGAAAAAACTGAGCCCAAAGTTAGCATAAGAAAGGAAATAACAAAGATAAGAACAGAAGTAAATAAAGACTAGAAAAATAATAGAAAAGATCAACAAAACTAAGAGTTGGGTTTTTTGAAAAGATAAGCAAAATTGACAAACCCTTAGCTATACTATGAAAAAAAGAGAGAAGACTCAAAATCAGAAATGAAAGAGAAGATATTACAGCTGATACTACAGAAATACAAAAGATCATAAAAGACTGTTATGAACAATTATATATCAAAGAATTGGATAATCTACAAGAAATGGATGAATTCTTGGCAACATAGTACCTGCCAAGACTGAATCATGAAGAAATAGAAAATATGAACAGATCTAAGAGTGAGTAAGGAGATTGAATCAGTGATCAAAAGTCAACCATCAAAGAAAAACCCAGGACCAGACAGCTTCACTGTTGAATTCTACCAAATATTTAAAGAAGAGCTAATGTCAATCTTTCTCAAATTCTTCCAAAAAGAGGAGGAAATACTTCCAAACTCATTTACAAGGCCAGCATTACTTTGATACTAAAGCCAGACGAGGACACTACAAAGAAAAGAAGACTACAGGCTAATATCCTTGATGAACACAGATATAAAAATCTTCAACAAAATACAGTCACAGTGGATGTATGTTTTGGAAAATGCATAATTAGACAATTTCATCATTGTGTGAACACTGTAAAGTGCACTTACACAAACCTAGATGGTATAGCCTATTACACACCTAGGCTACATGATATAGCCTATTACACACCTACGCTACGTGGTATAGCCTATTACACACCTAGGCTACGTGGCATAGCCTATTGCTCCTAGGCTACAAACATGTACATCATGTTACTGTACTGACTACTGTATGTAATTATAACAAAATAGTAAATATTTGTTACTATCTGAACACCCAAACATTAAAAAAGTATGGTAAAAATGAGGTGTGTGTGTGTGTGTATATATATATATATATATATATATATATGTAAAATGGTGCACCTGTATAGGACACCTAAAATGAATGAAATTTGCAGAACTGGAAGTTGCTCTGGGTGAGTCAGTGAGAGATGAGTGAATGTGATGACCCAGGACATTACTGTATACTAATGTAGACTTTATAACACTGTATACTTAGGCTACACTAAATTTTTTTCAAAAAAAATTTCTTTAATAATAAATTAACCTTAGCTTACTGTGACTTTTCTACTTTATACACTTTTAAGTTAATTTTTTTCTCTTTGACTCTTTTTAAATAACACTTAGCTTAGGCTGGGCGAGGTGGCTTACGCCTGTAATCCCAGCATTGTGGGAAGCTGAGGCTCACAGATCACCTGAGGTCAGGCATTCGAGACCAGCCTGGCCAACGTGGCAAAACCCCTCCTCTACTAAAAATACAAAAATTAGTGGGGCAGGGTGGCGCATGCCTGTAATCCCAGCTACTCGGGAGACTGAGGCAGGAGAACTGCTTAAACCTATGAGGTGGAGGTTGCAGTGAGCCGAGATCATGCCACTGCACTCCAGCCTGGGCAACAGAGCAAGACTATATCTCAAAATAATAATAATAATAATAATAACACTTAGCTTAAAACACACGCTGCACAACTGTGCAAATATTTTTTGTTTCCTTATATCCCTATTCCATAGGGATACAAAGTGAGAATAGTTGAGTGGACTTCCACTTGGGTTTGCTCTCTGAGGCTTTTGTTTTCCCAGGGTAATGTTTAAGAAAATATGGCCCATCTGTTACTTGTGTGGAGAATAAGCTTCTTGCAGGAGAAGAACTTGTAAGTAGTTTTAAAATGGAGAGTTTGGGCCCTACTCCTGACACAGTGAATCAGAATTGGCAAGAGAGCTGGAGTCTAATTTTTCATAAGTGAATTCTTAACGAAGGTTTAAAACCACTGGCCTAGGTAGAGGTTTACTCTCAAACACTGCCCTCTCAGTTCAATAATCAAAATCATTTACCTATTTATCTTAATTATTTTAGCCAGCATTTTACCTGTATTTGTCCTGCTATTACTTGAATTCAAGCTTCCTGCATCTTTGTCTAGTAAAAGGTAATTTTCTCTGCTCCTTACTACTTCTTACCTCCACTCCCACCCCCTTACAATCCAAGGAGGTTCACCCTACCTTCATCTGTTCTTCCAGTCAGTAAAAATGTTACCATGCCAACATCACATCTATGTCGTCCACTTGGCTGCACGTGGGAAGCACAGATTGGCTTATCCAGGGTTCATCCTGCAGCAGCAGGCCAGGGCAATCTATGGAACCTCATTTGTGATGAGGACTGGACATTATTATTAATTTTCCAGAACCAAGGATTCTGGAAGTGTAGGACATAATCTCATTTCACTCTAGCTATTGATTTCTCCCCAGCTGATAGGCTGGATTTGGGGATAAAGTTACTTTGCAAATAAGGGATAAAGTCTATCCTTTATCCTGGTAACAGAAACTTTTTGAAAGTACTTTTATCTCGCCATCCTAGCATTTAAATCCAATTAAGTTTCAGAAACATTTACTGAGTGCCCACTAAGCCCTATGCAAGTCTTCTTGCTGAAGATCCTTAAAGGAATTTTTACACTTTTTACATTTACTTTTTACATTCATGTTTTAAAAATTTAACATGCAATGCATTTTAAACAAAGTTATAGAGTTAGAGCTCTGTCTTTAAGTAGGGAGCCATGGATAATAGAAGCTCACTCCTCTAGGATTCTATTGGAAGTCATCAGAAAAATAAAACTTCTTCTATCTATCCACTACTCCTTCCATCCATCCTTCCTTCCATCTGACAAGAACTGTATGGAAGGCCCTGTGCTAGCTGCTGGGTATAAAATGATGAGCAAACAAATTTGTCTCCTGACCACTGGAAGTTTATAGCTTAGTAGCAGAAAGAGTCCTGGAGGCAAATAGAAACTCCAACCCTAGATTCAGCTATATCTCTATTTGTACAGGTTTGGGGAGTCAGTGAATTTCCTGAATTGTCTATTTCCTTGTGTGGAAGGGGGCTGCCTTGTCTGTTGCACAGGGCACTTGGCAGCATTGTATTTGAGTTCACCCTGGAAGAAAACCTAGGCATTACCATTCAGGACATAGGCATGAGCAAGGACTTCATGTCCAAAACACCAAAAGCAATGGCAACAAAAGACAAAATTGACAAATGGGATCTAATTAAACTAAAGAGCTTCTGCACAGCAAAAGAAACTACCATCAGAGTGAACAGGCAACCTACAGAATGGGAGAAAATTTTCGCAACCTACTCATCTGACAAAGGGCTAATATCCAGAATCTACAATGAACTCAAACAAATTTACAAGAAAAAAACAAACAACCCCATCAAAAAGTGGGCGAAGGACATGAACAGACACTTCTCAAAAGAAGACATTTATGCAGCCAAAAAACACATGAAAAAATGCTCATCATCACTGGCCATCAGAGAAATGCAAATCAAAACCACAATGAGATACCATCTCACACCAGTTAGAATGGCCATCATTAAAAAGTCAGGAAACAACAGGTGCTGGAGAGGATGTGGAGAAATAGGAACACTTTTACACTGTTGGTGGGACTGTAAACTAGTTCAACCATTGTGGAAGTCAGTGTGGCGATTCCTCAGGGATCTAGATCTAGAAATACCATTTGACCCAGCCATCCCATTACTGGGTATATACCCAAAGGATTATAAATCATGCTGCTATAAAGACACATGCACACGTATGTTTATTGCAGCATTTTTCACAATAGCAAAGATTTGGAACCAACCCAAATGTCCAACAATGATAGACTGGATTAAGAAAATGTGACACATATACACCATGGAATACTATGCAGCCATAAAAAATGATGAGTTCATGTCCTTTGTAGGGACATGGATGAAATTGGAAATCATCATTCTCAGTAAACTATCGGAAGAACAAAAAACCAAACACCGCATATTCTCACTCATAGGTGGGAATTGAACAATGAGATCACATGGACACAGGAAGGGGAATATCACACTCTGGGGACTGTTGTGGGGTGGGGGGATGGGGGAGGGATAGCATTGGGAGATACACCTAATGCTAGATGACGAGTTAGTGGGTGCAGCACACCAGCATGTCACATGTATACATATGTAACTAACCTGCACAATGTGCACATGTACCCTAAAACTTAAAGTATAATAAAAAAAAACAGTTCGAAGTGCTACATAAATATAATATTATATATAATATTAAATATGCATTAAATATAATAATTGCAAATTAAGTTTGATTCAAATAGTGGAGGGAATAACTATCACTGTGCACAATGGAGAGGAGTAAAGACTTTTGAAATAAGAGGCAGGAGGCCTGAGTTCTAGTCCTGTCATTTCCACTGATTTGTGCCCATGCCCTGCCCGTGGGGCAGGGAGTCATTTTTCCCCTTGGCCTTGATTTGAGCTGATTAATTTATAGCTTCATGAACCTCTCAGTGTATGCTACTAGGAAAGGCAAAGCTGCAGAAATGCAGAGCTCAAGGGTCTCTTAAAAGCTAATCAATTCCATCTGTTCCCATGTCAGGCTTGCTGAAGAGATCTTTCTTTTCAAAGGCCTCTTAGGAGGCAATTTCTCAGCCTGTCTTGGAACCCAGTGCAGGGAGTTGTCTAGGAGTGTTCAGGAGTGGGCTGCAGGGGGCACACAAGTAACATCTGTATTGGCTAGAGTGCTCCACAAGCTGTGCAGGGAGGTTTCAAAATGTGGAGGCCATTAAACATCCTGACACCTACTTAAGGGGGCATCTTGGGAGCAGGAGCTCCATGAAGTGTTTGGTGTGTACTTACAAGGCTCTGCCTGTGCAGGTCTGAAGAACCTGCCCAAGGTGCAAGCCCTGGCTTTCTTGCTGAGGCTCTTTAACATGGCACCTTGATGTGGCATGGAAATTCACAAATCCATTTCACCCCATGTCCCTGCAAGGGACTCTAGCCCTGAGACTGATGCACATAGACTCCTGCAGATACCTGTTGCTGATTTCATTCACTTTAGGAATGTGTTTGCTTTCTTGTGGTTGTTTGGGGAGAGGGAGCATATTTATGGGGACACACATAATTCAGAAATGCTGAGTTTTAACAATATAGGATTGAGGGATTTCAATATGGAACAAGGAAAGACGTTGGAATAGAATAGATTCAGGTTTGAATACTGCTACTTGCTTGTCATATGGCCTTAGGCAAGTCTCTGCCTCCTCTGAACCGCTTGTCTAAGGACAATAATGCACTCTCACCTCCTAGGACTGTTGTATGATTCAAAGATAATAAAGACAACTTTATTATCTTTTACTGAGTACTGGCCACTCAGTAAAAGTAGGTGGTAGTAGTTGTTTTAATCATTGTTCCATTTCTGGAGCCCAAGCTCAACTTCCCACAACCGTCAGTCCACCACAACACAGTTCACAATCTGACAATTCTTCCTCTCACTTTTACCTTCACATCCAGCTCACCCTCACATACCACAGACTCCTCTTTCTTGGCCTCTTGGATTTCCATCTCTCATTTCCACATCTAGGAACTCATCAGGCTCTTCCCTCCTCATGCTTCGGTTAGTACTGTAGTTCCCTGTGGGCTCTCCTCTTTAGTCCTCTTGAGAATTAACATCCTCAAAACTTGCTTTGAAATTAGAGTCTACCCCACTGGAAAGTGCATCATGATCCCTGACCCAATCCAAACTCCTCACTTTGCCCTACATCCAACTTTACCTTCCCTACCCTGGCCAGTGGAGCCATTACCCAGGAAATGTCCAGGGAAGAAGAGGGGCTTTCTTGTGATGAGGAAAGCTTTTCCCAGAAGTCCTGTGGCAAATCACCCTCACATTTCTTTGACCAGAATTAGGTCATATATCTACACCTAAAGTAATCACTGACAAGGAACCACAACACTATGATGGCTTGGATTTGAGACCTACTGGTTGATTCTGGGAAGGGCCAAGACTCCCTCAAAGTGCGTGACCATTTGGAGGAAGATGGATAACTGAAAAAATTGGGGTTGTTAATAAGGAGGAAGGGGCAACCAGCAGTGTCCCTTACACTCCCAATCCTGAGAGTCTATGATTCTTGGCTTTTCCAGCCTATAGCCTTGCCTATGCAGTTTCTCCTGCTTGGAACTCATCCAGTAAATCTTTGTATGCCAGAGATTCTGATGGGCCATCTTCCC
Organism: Homo sapiens; assembly: GCF_000001405.40. Lineage (NCBI taxonomy): Eukaryota > Metazoa > Chordata > Mammalia > Primates > Hominidae > Homo > Homo sapiens. The sequence goes on from NC_000011.10 coordinate 86,539,289, forward strand.
AATGTGAATCAAAATCCTTCTCTCAAGGTTTAGATTAAGAACCAACAATTCAATGGAGGGATTTCCTCCTATAATGAATTACCTCATTACTTGCAAAGTAAACTAGACAACCCATGCCACACTTCACACATTGGCTTATATTGGCTTAGAATTGTTCTCAGTTGAGCTGTAAACTCCTCAAAAACAGAGACCATCAATGAATATCCTTATTTCATTTGAATCATACATGTACTTATGGTGGCCAACCACAAAGATGGTGCTTAACCAATGCTTGTTTAATTTAATAAGAAGACAGTCTGTATGCTCTTTCTCTGGTAGGTGCTTGAAGACACCATGCTTAGCACCATGGCAGATATAGGGAAGAACAATGCACAGCTCCTCCTCTCCTATAGCTTGTTTCAGGAGACGAGATCATATACACTGTGTGAAGCTGCAGAAGTCCATTTTCCACCACCCACATTATTCTTTGTCCTTTTAATCTTTTCATATGTCCCCATCAGTAACCTTCTGGACCACAGGTGTCCAACCTTTTGGCTTCACTGGACCACATTGGAAATAGAAGAATTGTCTTGGGCCCCATATAAAATATAGTAACACTAAAGATAGCTGATGAGCTTTAAAACAAATCTGAACAATGCTGACAACACCTCACTAGGGCACCCTGCCTGAGCCTTGTTTCCATCTCCAGCAAGCTGTATGGTAAACGTATCTGATAGCAATAACTTAAGCATACCCTAAATGACTCAGTATGGCAGATGCACCTGAATGTCTTTTCTGAGCTAGGGAATCTGGAAGTGGCCAACCCAGAGATTCATCCTTGACTATAAGGAACATCTGAGCCCCTGTCCCATCCTGTGGAACACAGGCCATACAGGGAATAGAGGCCCCGAGTTCTGGATTGAATGATGGTTGCCAGGTGGAGGTTGTTAGGGAAAGGTGGTTAAGTGAAAATGCTACATAAACTGCATGCTTTTTTTGTTGTTGTTGTTGCAAGCTGTTGCGGTTCTACTGTCCAGCCTGCCACCACTGGAACAGTGGTTCTCCTATCCAGTCTACCGCTACTGGACATTCTCTCTTACATGTTAGCCCTGTATGTAAGCCCCATGTCTTGACCCAAGGCTCTGGGTCTCTTCTTTGGCCTCTTGAACCTGGTGCCACCCCCAGTGGAGTGGATAGGGGTTTGGTATGACACACCCCAGATAGGACCTTCTTGATCTATTCCTTCACATCCCTCTATGAAACAAAACCAGTCATTCCTAAATCCAAATCCCTATGGGCTTGGGAAATGCTGGATTAAGAGTCTATAAGAAATCAGTTCATAGATAAAGATTTCAATGTTACCACTTCAGAGCACAAAGTAAATATGCAAGGGAAATTTACTGTAGGTACAATGGATTAACACAAGGACATGAATATAATAATGCATCTTAGGGGCTGGCCAGCTGAGGTTCTTTTCTGGCAAGGCAACCTTCAATTTTCAATGATCCTTTACTCTTCCTCTACCCCAGAACATTTGCACTGCTTGCAGTTTCTCTTAAGCCACTACTGAAGTGGCTGGCAAGATGGCCGAATAGGAACAGCTCCAGTCTGTAGCTCCCAGTGAGATCAATGCAGAAGGTGGGTGATTTCTGCATTTCCAACTGAGGTACCTGGCTCATCTCATTGGGATTGGTTAGACAGTGGGTGCAGCCCATGGAGAGCAAGGTGAAGCAGGGTGGGGCATCACCTCACCCAAAAAGTGCAAGGGGTCAGGGAACTCCCTCCCCTAGCCAAGGGAAGCCATGAGGGAATGTGCCATGAGGAACAGTGCACTCTGGCCCAGATACTATGCTTTTCCCACTGTCTTCAAAACCTTCAGACCAGGAGATTCCTTCCGGTGCCTACACCACCAGAGCCCTAGGTTTCAAGCACAAAACTGGGCAGCCATTTGGGCAGACACCAAGCTAGCTGCAGGTGTTTTTTTTTTCATACCCCAGTGGTGCCTGGAGTATGAAACACCAGTGAGAGAACCGTTCACTTGCCTGGAAAGGGGGCTGAAGCCAGGGAGCCAAGTGGTCTAGCTCAGTGGATCCCACTCCCACAGAGCCCAGCAAGCTAAGATCCACTGGCTTGAAATTCTCGCTGCCAGCACAGCAGTCTGAAGTTGACCTGGGACACTTGAGCTTGATGGCGGGAGGGGCATCTGCCATTACTGAGGTTTGAGTAGGTGGTTTTCCCCTCACAGTGTAAACAAAGCTGCTGGGAAGTTCAGACTGGGTGGAGACCACTACAGTACCACAAAGCCACTGTAGCCAGACTGCCTCTCTAGATTCCTCCTCTCTGGGCAGGGCATCTCTGAAAGAAAGGCAGCAGCCCCAGTCAGGGGCTTACAGATAAAACTCCCATCTCCCTGGGACAGAGCACCTCAGGGAAGGGGCAGCTTTGGGCATAGCTTCAGCAGACTTAAACGTTCCTGCCTGCCGGGTCTGAAGAGAGCAGTGGATCTCCCAGCACAGTGCTTGAGCTCTGCTAAGGAAAAGACTGCCTCCTCAAGTGGTTCCCTGACCCCCATGCCTCCTGACTAGGGTGGGGGACACCTCCCAGCAGGGGTCAACAGATACCTCATACAGGAGAGCTCTGGCTGGCATCTGGTGGTTGCCCCTCTGGGATGAAGCTTCCAGAGAAAGGAGCAGGCAGCAATTTTTGCTGGTCTGCAGCCTCCGCTGGTGATACCCAGGCAAACAGGGTCTGGAGTGGACCTCCAGCAAACTCTAGCAGACCTGCAGCAGAGGGGCCTGACTGTTAGAAGGAAAACTAACAAACAGAAAGGAATAGCATCAACATCAACAAAAAGGACGTCCACACAGAAACCCCATCTGAAGGTCACTAAAATCAAAGACCAAAGGTAGACAAATCCACAAAGATGAGGAAAAAGCAGCGCAAAAATGCTGAAAATTCCAAAAACCAGAATGCCTCTTCTGCTCCAAAGGATCACAACTCCTTGCCAGCAAGGGAACAAAACTGGACAGAGCATGACTTTGATTAATTGACAGAAGTAGGCTTCAGAAGGTGGGTAATAACAAACTCCTCTGAGCTAAAGAAGCATGTTCTAACCCAATGCAAGGAAGCTAAGAACCTTGAAAAAAAGTTAGAGGAATTGCTAACTAGAATAACCATTTAGAGAAGAACATAAATGACCTGATGGACCTGAAACACACAGCATGAGAACTTCATGAACAATACACAAGTATCAACAGCAGAATTGATTAAGCGGTAGAAGGGTATCAAAGATGGAAGATCAACTTAATGAAATAAAGCGTGAAGACAAGATTAGAGAAAAAATAATGAAAAGGAATGAAGGAAGCCTCCAAGAAATATGGTATATGTGAAAAGACCAAAACTATGTTTGATTGGTGTACCTGAAAGTGACGAGGAGAATGGAACCAAGTTGGAAAACACTCTGCAGGATGTTATCCAGGAGAATTTCCCAAACCTAGCAAGGCAGGCCAACATTCAAATACAGGAAATACATAGAACACCACAAAGATACACCTCAAGAAGAGCAACCCCAAGACACATAATTGTCAGATTCACCAAGGTTGAAATGAAGGAAAAAATGTTAAGGGCAGCCAGAGAGAAATGTCAGGTTACCCATAAAGGGAAGCCCATCGGACTAACAGAGGATCTTTCTGCAGAAACCCTACATGCCAGAAGAGAATGGGAGTCAATATTCAACATTCTTAAAGAAAACAATTTTCAACCCAGAATTTCATATCCAGCCAAACTAAGCTTCATAAGTGAAGGAGAAATAAAATCCTTTACAGACAAGCAAATGCTGAGAGATTTTGTCACCCTCAGGCCTGTCTTACAAGAGCTCCTGGAGGAAGCATTAAATATGGAAAGGAAAAGCTGGTACCAGCCACTGCACAAACATACAAAAATGTAGAGACCATTGACACTATGAACAAACTGCATCAACTAATGGGCAAAGTAACAAGCTAGCATCATAATGATAGGATCAGATTCACACATAACCATATTAATCTTCAATGTAAATGGGCTAAATGCCCCAATTAAAAGACAAAGACTGGCAAATTGGATAAAGAGTCAAGAACCATTGGTGTGCTGTATTCAGGAGATCCATCTCACATGCAAAGACACACATAGGCTCAAAATAAAGGGATGGAGGAAGATTTACCAAGCAAATGGAAAGCAAAAAAAGCAGGGGTTGCAATCCTAGTCTCTGATAAAACAGACTTTAAACCTAGAAAGATCAAAAAAGACCAAAAAGGGCATTACATAATGGTAAAGGGAATTGAGGCAACAAGAAGAGCTAACTATCCTAAATATATATGCACCCAATACAGGAGCACCCAGATTCATAAAACAAGTTCTTACAGACCTACAAAGAGACTTAGACTCCCACACAAGAACAGCGGGAGACTTTAACACCCTACTGTCAGCATTAGACAGATCAATGAGACATAAAATTAACAAGGATATTCCGAACTTGAACTCAGCTCTGGACCAAGTGGAGCTAATAGACATCTACAGAACTCTCCACCCCAAATCAACAGAATATACATTCTTCTCAGCACCACATCACACTTATTCTAAAATCAACCACATAATTGGAAGTAAAACACTCCTCAGCAAATGCAAAAGAATGGAAATCATAACAAACAGTCTCTCAGACCACAGTGCAATCAAATCAGAACTCAGGATTAAGAAGCTCACTCAAAACTGCACAACTACATGTAAACTGAACAAACTACTCCTGAATGACTACTGGGTAAATAATGAAATAAAGGCAGAAATAAATAAGTTCTTTGAAATCAATGAGAACAAAGACACAACGTACCAGAATCTCTGGGACACAGCTAAAGCGGTGTTTAGAGGGAAACTTATAGAACTAAATGCCCACATAGAAAGCAGGAAAGATCTAAAACTGACACCCTAACATCACAATTAAAAGAACTAGAGAGGCAAGAGCAAACAAATTCAAAAGCTAGCAGAAGACAAGAAATAACTAAGATCAGAGCAGAACTGAAGGAGATAGAGACACAAAAAAAATTCAAAAAAATCAATGAATCCAGGAGCTGGTTTTTTGAAAAGATTAACAAAACAGATACACTGCTAGCCAGACTAATAAAGAAGAAAAGAGAGAAGAATCAAATAGACACAATAAAAAATGATAAAGGAGATATCACCACTGATTCCATAGAAGTACAAACTACCATAAGAGAATACTATAAACACTTCTACGCAAATAAACTAGACAATCTAGAAGAAATTGATAAATTCTTGAACACATACACCCTCCTCCCAAGACTAAACCAGGAAGAAGTCCAATCCCTAAATAGACCAATAACAAGTTCTGAAATTAAGGCACTAAATAATAGCCTACCAACCAAAAACAGCCCAGGACCAGACGGATTCATAGCCGAATTCTACTAGAGGTACAAAGAGGAACTGGTACCATTCCTTCTGAAACTATTCCAAACAATAGAAAGAGAGGGACCGCTCCCTAACTCATTTTATGAGGCCAGCGTCATCCTGATACCAAAACCTGGCAAAGACACAACACAAAAAGAATTTTTCAGGCCAATATCCCTGATGAACATCAATGCAAAAATCCTCATCCCTTTCGATGAGGCAAAAATACTGGCAAACCAAATCCAGCAGCACATCAAAAAGCTTATCCACCACGATCAAGTCGGCTTCATCCTGGGGATGCATGGCTGGTTCAACATATGCAAATCAATAAACGTAATCCATCACGTAAACAGAACCAATGACAAAAACCACATGATTATCTCAATAGATGCAGAAAAGGCCTTCGATAAAATTCAACACCCTTCATGCTAAAAACTCTCAAGAAACTATCAATGGAAAGTATCTCAAAATAATAAGAGCTATTTATGACAAACCCACAGCCAGTATCATACTGAATGGGCAAAAGCTGGAAGCATTCCCTTTGAAAACTGGCACAAGACAAGGATGCCCTCTTTCATCACTCCTATTCAACATAGTGTTGGAAGTTCTGGCCAGGGCAATCAGGCAAGAGAAAGAAATAAAGGGTATTCAAATAGGATGAGAGGAAGTCAGATTGTCTCTGTTTGCAAATAACATGGTGTATATTTAGAAAACCCCATCATCTCAGCCCAAAATCTCCTTAAGCTGATAAGCAACTTCAGCAAAGTCTCAGGATACAAAATCAATGTGCAAAAATCACAAGCATTGCTATATACCAATAATAAACAAACAGGCAAATCATGAGTGAGCTCCCATTCATAATTGCTACAAAGAGAATAAAATACCTAGAAATACGACTTACAAGGGATGTGAAGGACCCATTCAAGGGGAACTAAAAACCACTGCTCAAGGAAATAAGAGAGGACATAAACAAATGGAAAAACATTCCATGCTCATGGATAGGAAGAATCAATATTGTGAAAATGGCCATACTGCCCAAAGTATTTATAGATTCAATGCTATCCCCATCAAGCTACCATTGACTTTCTTCACAGAATTAGAAAAAACTACTTTAAATTTCATATGGAAACAAAAAAGAGCCCATATAGCCAAGACAATCCTAAGCAAAAAGAACAAAGCTGGAGGCATCATGCTACCTGACTTCAAATTATACTACAAGGCTTCAGTAACCAAAATAGCATGGTACTGGTACTAAAACAGACATATAGACCAATGGAACAGAACAGAGGCCTCAGAAATAATGCCACACATCTACAACCATCTTGATCTTTGACAAACCTGACAAAAACAAGCAATGGGGAAAGGATTCCCTATTTAATAAATGGTGTTGGGAAAACTGGCTAGCCATATGCAGAAAACTGAAACTGGACCCCTTCCTTACACCTTATACAAAAATTTACTCAAGATGGATTAAAGACTTAAACGTAAGACCTAAAACCATAAAAACCCTAGAAGAAAACCTAAGCAATACCATTCAGGACACAGACATGGGCAAAGACTTCATGACTAAAACACCAAAAGCAGTGGCAACAAAGCCAAAATTGATAACTGTGATCTAATTAAACTAAAAAGCTTCTGCACAGCAAAAGAAACTGTCATCAGAGTGAACAGGCAGCCTACAGAATGGGAGAAAAATTTTGCAATCTATCCATCTGACAAAGGGCTAATATCCAAAAATCTATAAAGAACTTAAACAAATTTACAAGAAATAAACAGACAACCCCATCAAAAAGTGGGTGACAGATACGAACAGACACTTCTCAAAAGAAGACATTAATGCCACCAACAAAAATATGAAAAAATGCTCATCATCACTGGTCATTAGAGAAACGCAAATCAAAAGCACAATGAGATACCATCTCATGCCAGTTAGAATGGTGATCATTAAAAAGTCAGCAAACAACAGATGCTGGAGAGGATATGGAGAAATAGGAACGTTTTTACACTGTTGGTGAGAGTGTAAATTTGTTCAACCATTGTGGAAGACAGTGTGGCGATTCCTCGAAGATGTAGAACCAGAAATACAATTTGACCCAGCAATCCCATTACTGGGTATATACCCAAAGGATTATAAATCATTCCACTATAAAGACACATGCACACGTATGTTTACTGCAGCACTATTCACTATAGCAAAGACTTGGGACCAATCCAAATGCCCATCAATGATAGACTGGATAAAGAAAATGTAGCGGCCGGGCACAGTGGCTCACACCTGTAATCCCAGCACTTTGGGAGGCCCAGGCAGGCGGATCACAAGGTCAGGAGATTGAGACCATCCTGGCTAACACAGTGAAACCCCATCTCTACTAAAAATACAAAAAATTAGCCGGGTATGGTGGTGGGTGCCTGTAGTCCCAGCTACTCAGGAGGCTGAGGCAGGAGAATGGTGTGAAGCCGGGAGGCAGAGCTTGCAGTGAACCCAGATCATGCCACTGCACACTCCAGCCTGGGCGACAGAGCAAGACTCCATCTCAAAAAAAAAAAAAAAAAAAAAGAAAATGTGGCACATATGCACCATGGAATACTATGCAGCCATAAAAAGGTTAAGTTCATGTTATTTGCAGGGACATGGATGAAGCTGGAAACCATCATTCTCAGCAAACTAACACAGGAACAGAAAACCAAACACTGCATGTTCTCACTTATAAGTGGGAGTTTAACAATGAGAACACATGGACACAGGGAGGGGAACATCACACACTGGGGCCTGTCGGGCGGGTGGGGGGTTGGGGGAGTGATAGCATTAGGAGAAATACCTTATGTAGATGACGGGTTGATGGGTGCAGTAAACCACCATGGCATGTGTATACCTATGTAACAAACCTGCACGTTCTGCACATGTATCCCAGAACTTAAAGTATAATAAAATAAAATAAAAAATAATTCAAAACCAAAAACAAAAAAAATAAGAAGCCACTCTTTTTAGACAAAACTCAATGTGAGCAAACAGAACATTTAGTGCATTGTACAGGTCAATGGGAGATCAAGGTTATCTGAGGAATGGTCCACTCAACTCCTGCTTATATGTACGTATTTCCTTCTCAGGGCTAGGAAATTCTCCCCACACCTATCCTTTTGATCACCATGGCTGTGATTGCCAGGGACAAAGGAGGAAAAGGACAGAGCCAGATAAAAAAGAAACAAAAGTCAGTTTGTTTAAATTGCCAGGGAATAATGCCTTTGGCTAAAGGAAGTCAACCCAGAACATCCTGTTCTAGTTAATAAAGTTCATCTGTCTCCCATTTAAGTAAGGAAAACATAATGTCTGCATTTGTGGGGGCTGCTCAGCCATTGCCACCTTCACTCCCACCCAAACTCATGGATGGCTGAGGAGTGTCCGTCCTTTCCCCAGAGCAAGCTGCTCCTTCTGGATGCTAAAGTCCTAGGCAGGCCACATGCATTTAAGCACAAATTCACTTTTTCAGATGCAAATCTCAAAGCTTTCACTAAAAAAGTAAGCCAGTTCCCTCAGTGATTGAACTCTGTATAATTCAGACACAAAAATAAATGTTCCTTCTCTCCTCTACCTCTGTTCCAAAGTATTTCAGCAATGTGGGATCTAGATACAATTAACTTACTCCATGTGACATTCATGTCAAATAACAGCTGAACAACCTTATGCTTTGGAAGGACTCCTCCTCCTTCCACCTTCCTAAGATCTATTCCGGCATCAATTCCCAAGCCACGGCATCAAATAATCCATGACAGATTCTGGATTGCCCAGCTGGTCTTGTCTGGGAAGGTGCCCATTTGTGAATCAGAGCTCTCAGCAAAAAATGACACTTCTGCAGATAAGCCTGCAAGCTTTTTCTTGTCAGAAAATGAAAAGTATGTGTTTTCATTTACTTTTGCATTTTCCTCCCTTAAATGCCAGAAACATTAGAGGCAAATTTGTAGCCACAGTGCTCTAATCTGCAAGAAAAATGAAAGACCGTGAGGGTTGGAAGGAGCCCTGAGATCACCTACTAATATCCTCACTTTATAGATGAGGAAAGTGAGGCCCAGAAAGGGGGAGGGATTATAGGTCACGCTACTAGTTCATGACAGGAACCCATATTTCATGACTCCCAGCTCCTTCTACTAATGTACAGTGGGCCGTGGAAATGTCTTCTACTCCTGCCTCCTTCCGATGGTCTCTGTTCACTTTGCAGTGAGCTGCCTTTCACCATCCTTTTGTCCGGTGATTCTCAAAGTGTGGTCCCTGGCCAGAAGCATCAACATCACCTGGACTTCGTTGATACGTAAATTCTCTGGTCCCATCCCAGACTTGCTCAGTCTATTTTAACAAGCCCTCCAGGTGATTTTAATGCTCACTAAAGTTGAGATACTTACTTTAACCTGTTAGCTTCATCCAACCTATTCACAAGGGGATCAGATCCACCTGATTTCATAGCTCTTTTTCAGTTTGGCTGTTCTAGTTACCTAAGGCAGAAGTTCACTTAAGTTACCTCTGGAGAAAGAGTGTCTATTGTAAAGTTTTGACCAGGAACTGGAATGGAAAGCTGTCATGAACTGAGGCAGCTCTAGGGACCACTCTTTCTGTGTTTTTCCCTGTTTCTCTTCCATCTGCCCTTATCTCCTCTTTCCATAATATTCCTTTACTTCCAGGTCTATTACTTTCTGTTCCTTCTTAGCTGGCATTTGCCATTGGCCTACCACAACCTGACTCTAAAGTCTAAACCATGGTATCCTTTTTGCCTTAATTTTTCTTCCCAAGTGGAAAATTCTTTCTATATGACTGCTTTCATGTCTCATTTCAAATTCCTGAAAAGGACATTAACTGGTCCAGTGTATCTCTTGAGCCCGGCCACACGGGGTACACGGTTACCTAAATGATTAACCACCCTTGAGCCTGATGTTTGCTCCTATCTAATCTATTATTGACATCACATGAGTGGGCAGCTATTACTATTACAATGTGGGTAATTACATGAGGGAGTCAAGAGGATGAGAGTGAAACTTGGAAGTGAGACTTCTGTGTAGTGATAGGAACTTCAAGAGGAAATTGGGGAAGAGAGGAGGATGGCAGATGTAGAACTCCCCTCCCAACCCTGTGAATGAGATGAGGGGGCTTGGGTGGTGGGGCTGAACAATTTGGCTTGCTGAAGGTTGAGTTGGAGATGGAGGTTCTGTTATCTTATTATGACCTCAACCTTCAAGAGTACTTCCAGGTTGGGATGGGCTGGAAAATACGGGATGCAGATTATCAACTCCCTAAAAGTCACAGAAGATCCAAGCTGTAAAGAATTTCAGGGAACACTCAGGTCAGCAGTTCTCAGCCCTGGCTGCCCATTAGAGTCCTCTGAAGAGCTTCTGAAAGCCAGAGATGCCTGGGCTCCACTTCAGGGATTCTGATTTACAGCTCTCCAGACACGTTTAGTGCACAGCCGGGACTGAGAATTGGTGCTCTAACTAGACCCTTTTAATTTTACAGGTGGGGAAATTTAGGTTTGGCTGCATAATATTACCATGGATCACTTAAAAATCTATTTCTAACTTGTTTATAGAATTTGGGTTACTAGATCATAAAATGTTAGAGCTAGAAGAGATCACGGAAGCCATGCAGCAGAACCCTACCACTGTTACTACAGACTAATGAGCTAAGTGACTTGCCTAAGGAGTTGTAGCCAGAAAGGGGATGATTGAGGGCAAGAACCCAGATCTCCTGACTCCTAATCCAGTGCTCTCCCTATAACAGCCAAGGACAAGGGACTAAAAGGGCCAGATGAGAGGTTAACCAGAACCGGCTGCAGACCTTGTACACAGTCTACTCAAGGACGCCTTTCCAGCAGCACAGCTGAAAGTTTCGCAGCAGAGTCTGGGTGAAATTGGAATGTCAAGCAGTCTTGGCCAAAGGAATCAGTGCTTTGGTGCCCTGAGATTGGGCAGAAGGCTGGTTTGATGATGCTAGTCCTTGCTTTCTGCTTGCCTCCCAATTTTGCTGGGAGTATGTGTGTGTGTGTTTGTGTGTATTCCCAACCAACGGACACCTGGGTTGGAACTGTGTTGTGATGTGCTCAAAAACCATGCCCTGGGTGTCAGGGATCTCTCCATTTACTGGGGCAAGGTTGTCTTTGTTTTCCAGAGTGGCTTTGATCAAAGTGTTGGCATTCATTGGTCTTGTGTACAGCTGGAAATGGGCTCCAGTGGGTATTTAGGAAGCAGAGGTGTGTAATTCATGTCCCAGGGGTCCCTCTGGGTGTGTGTGCACATGCATGTGCATGTGGGGGTTGCCGGTGGGCTGGTGGAGGTGGTTGAAGACAAGAAGGTTCCAATGCAAGAAAATGAAGCATACCAGACATATTGAGCGGGAAGTAGGAAACTCCAAGGAGGTAAATGTGAACCTTAACCATATCCTCTTATGGGTATGGGGTGAGAGGGAAGAAGAGATGAAAAAGTAATACCCCTCCTTTAAGCTTATGAGGAAGTTTACAATTGATAAAGCATGTTCACATGCGTTTAGCCCTTCTGACCCTCATAATGATGCCACAAGGTGGATAGTTCCTGTGATCCGAGCTTGGAGCTGTGGAGTAGCTCCAAGGCCACATGGTATTTAGATAAGGGGGCTGAACCACTACCTCTGACTCCAGCCCAAGTGCTCTGTCCAACATGATATAGTATGTTTCCCAAGTGTGAGAGTGTGTGTGTGCACCCATGTGTGTGCCCCTCCTGGGTGCAGACTTATCTGGCAAGGGAGTTTAAGTGAAGGCCAGAATGATGTGTCATGTTTACCAGGGCCAACCAGAAGCTGGACTATGAATTCAGGAACAACACAGGAAATTGGCTCTTGGTCAGCTGTGATGTCTTAGATAAGTCAGCTTTCGTTTTCATCTCAGTGAAATAATAAGCACCTCAAGGAGTTGTTATAGGGCTCAACAATAATGCACACAAAATAGCTAGACCAGGGCCCACCATGGGAAGTACATGCATTCAATAAATGGTAACTCTTAATATCCTGTATGTATGTTATTGGCCAGTGTGCAGAAGACCACCTATTTGCAGATAAGAAAGACAGCAGCTTGGCTCAGGGCCAAGGGCTGCTGGCTTTGTCCAAATACATCTTCAGGTACTTTCCACAGAGCTTCCGACTACATAAAACCAAGTCCCACTTCCCAGCCTCACCTTTCTAACTCATCACAGCCCGATCTCTGATTCCTCACACATACTTGCTAATGATTTGCTAGTTAAGTGCAAGTACAGATGATTTCAGGTCTGAATCAAACAACAGAGTGTGGCGGTACTTCAGAGGACTGGGGTGGCCTCAGCAGGTTTACAGTGTGTATTCTTGGGTGGGGTGACTGAGTAGATGACAACTCCTGGGGTCCTGGGTCAAACAGATCACAGCTGCTGAGCTCCTACTAGGGCCAGGCCCTTTACATTTGGAATCTCATTGAATCCTCCCAAGCAGCCATGTGAATAAGTGTTATTTCCATTTCACACATGAGGAGGCTGAGGAGGTGCTAAATTAATTGTCAAAAGTCATCAGGAGCTGAGATTCAAGGCCAAGCCTGCCTGGCTTCAAAGTCCGTGCTGCTTCTACTACCTACAACCCAGCCCTCTGACAAAGACGCTCCTTTGACCAAAACTTTAGTTGGGCTCCTGAGTCCCCTCTGACTAGATCAGACATTGGGCTTCCCTCCCTGTCCTTGTAGAATCCAGTGTGAGCAAGAATCCTGCTAAGTCGGTTTGGCCAAAATCCTCCACCTGCCTTTGGTAACTTGCCACCCTTGTTATCTCAGGACCCTGGTCCGCCTTCAGCAATAATCCCATCCTGTCAATTTAACCAGAAACCCCTTATTCTTGATGTTTCCTCCTAGTAATTATCCAAGCACCGCCCCCCATGCTGTTCCTGGGTTATAAATCCCCATTTGTCCTTACTGGAGTCAGAGTTGAGTCCAATCTCTCCCTCACTGCAAGACTCCTCTGCCATAGTTCAAAATCTATCGTAGTCCTCTGCCCTCCAGCTCCTGAATAAAGTCTGCCTTACCATCTTTAACAAGTGTCATAATGTTTTCTTTCAGACCTCCATCACCCATACGGGTTGGACCCTACACCAAAGCTGGGAAATGTTAGGTCTAAAGGCGGGTGCAGCACATTGCTTGGAGCCCAGGAGGATGAGGCATGTGAAGACAGGGCTGGTCAACAGGGATGTGGCCTGGGAGAGGGAGAGTATTCACTGACACTGGACCCCATATGGCTTCCTCCCCATGCCCTTCCTCTGGGTTGAGTTCTGTCTCGGCCTCCACCCAGCCTCACCTCTGGCTTTCACCTCTTCCAGCTCACACACTAGTGACTGACCTTCATGGGGCGTTCCCTCAAGCCAGGCTCATGGAGGCGCATGCAGAGGAGTGTCAAGTGAGAGGCAGGATGAGGCAAAGGAGGCTCCACCAGAGCCCAGAACCTTCTGTGGTGCCTATCTGCCCAGAGACACTCAGGTGCCCCTGAGATACTCTTTCCCCGGTAATGAGGTGATGCAGAGCCCCAGGCAGGTTGGAGTCTCAATTTTAGCATCAGCTGGATGTAATTAGCTTTGGTGGGGGGCCAGACACCATTACAGAGGACTTCATTGTTCTTGGGAACCTGGCAGGAGTGTTTATCGTTTCAGAAACTGAGAAGGTGCTGGCTCTCTCCCTCTTGGCCTCGGGACTGTCCTCCCTTCAGATGCTAATCCACAAAGTAAGTCCAAGCCAGGTCTCAGATGAAGTTCAGGGCTTGGGTGGAGCCCAAACTTTTATTTCCCCCAGGAGCAAGGCAGGTGTGGAATCCACACCTGGAAAGCAGCCAAATGGAAACCTAGAGCAACAACTCAGAATGTCACATGTCAGATAACTTAATTGGGTAATCATCTGAAGAAGGGTTTGTGCACAACGTATTCGAGAAGTCTGAACCAAGAGTGTGAGGGACTAATCCAAGAAGATGGTTAAGTCTGCCCAAGCCTGCCTCAAGCTCACTCAGCTGCAGGCCCCCGGACCCTGCTGGATCAATTCCTCCCAGGAGAGCTCTAGAAGTGGTATCTAGCAATCCCCACCTGAGACCCCTGGGAAGTCAAACATTCCTGGAGCTGCAACGACATCCCACCCAGAATGCCCACCAGCTGTGCACAGTCCGAAACTGTAAGAGGCAGTGTAGTGTGGTGGTTGCCTGTCTACACTTTGGTTCAGATTGGCTTGGGCCCTGGCTTTGCTGGTTATAAACTATGTGTGACTTTGGGTAAGTTATTTCCCTGTGCCTCAGTTTTCCCATTTGCAATTGAGATGATAATAGGGCCTACCTCCTAGGGAGGTTGTAATCATTAAATGCATTAAGATATGTAAATTCAGTCCTGGTGGTGTCCCTGGATTCTGGAGTGGGCTCTGGAGGCAAATTCTACTTTTACAAGCCTGTTGCATATGCAAGGTCCTAACCCTTCTACTAGTTCATCTGGAACCACTGAAGCCACTACAATCTAGTTTCCATAAGAGCATATGGAGTGAGGGCTTCCACACATCCTGGCAATAGGGGCCAGAGTGGGGTAGACTTGAATTTCCATTAGATCTCAGTCAGGGGAGATGGTTAATCTTGCCTTAGGGGGATAAAGGTCCTCTTCAGGAAAAAGCTGGTTCTGGAAAAGCAAAATTGTGTATGTTTGCATAATTTTGGGTTTGGTTTCCTTCTGAAGTTAAAAGTGTTAGTTTGTTACATGTTCAATGATTCAATTTTCTTGGTAAATATTTAAACATGCATATGTATAATATGATTCTACATCTATCAATCCTTTCTCCTTTCTACAATAGTTACTGAAGAGAAATAGACACTGACATTTATCTGGTTCCAATTTTATGCCAGGTACCTGATCCACACTTCTCATTTTACCCTCATAATGATTGAGTTAGGTAGTATTGTTACCTCAATTTCATAAATGTGGAAATTAAGGCAGAGAGAGGATAAGAAAATCACCCAGGGTCAAGGAGATTAAAATTCGGGGCTGATTGCAAAGAACCAATTCTTCACACTGAGTACACAGCATTACTTTCCCAACCGAGTGACAATTACTTGCCAAGTATTGGTCTAGAATACCCAACAGATCCATCATGTTTCTTGACCCTTCAAGAAGTTTGTATTCTAGTAGAAGACAGTTATATACAAACAACTAAAAACATGAAAAACAAAAAGAAAACTATGGGATAGACGAAGTATGTGTAATGGATTTTGAGGAGGCCAAGAAAGGGGTGGTCAGTTCAGCCTGAGGGGATGGGGGAGGGCTCCGTGGAGAAGTTGACCCTTGGGGTGGGCCTTGAAGGATAACCAGAATTGTGATGAGTGGAGACCAAGGAAAGGGGAGATGCAGGAGTTTGAGGCAGACAGGACCATACGTGCCAAGGCATGGAGAAGAACATCAGTGTACTTGGGCATGGAGAACAGATCAGAGTAGTTAGAACACTGAATTTTGGAGCTGGGCTGTGACAGGCTTAGATATCTCAGACTGTTGGGCTTGATTCTTTAAGCCCTAGGGAGCTGCTAAATGCCTCAGATGAAATGCCATGAGCTGATCTGTGCAGAAAGGATCATTTCTGAGAAGGAACAGGGGAAGTACATAGAGTCCTGCATCCTTCAGAAATGTACCATCAGCTCCTAATGTCTCTACCACTATTGGTTTTGGGAATGAGAATAAGAGAACAGGAGTCTCCTTCCTGTTGCAAGAAGCATGTTGAAGACCAGAACTGTTATGGAGCCCTGGCATAGTGAGCCTCTATAGGTTTGCAAAAGCTTAGCTGTTCTGAGTGATGAGGATGTGTCTGCTGCAACAGCCAGACACACCACCATCAGGATGAGGTTTGATGTGCTATCCTTTGCCAACGGTAACAGTGGGATCCGGAAAGAAACAGGACTGGCATTGGGAACACACTGTGACCATCTTGTAATATTCAACCGAAATGCTGGCTACAAAACTAGAAGATTGTTTTTCCAAATTAAAAAAAGCTGTTTTGAATCCATGATTACATGTTCCCCATAAAACGCGTGATTTACAAACACTAACTTATAAATTCTACATAAATGTAAATTACATATCTGTGCACAGTATGTTGCATATTTACATATTTGAACGTAGACTAGAACAATGTTCCATTACATATACCAGGTAGCTCTTTTAACATTAGTGCTAGAACTATGTATTTATAATTATAAGGCACCTTGCACCAAGGACTCTACCATTTTTTCTTTTTTTTAAAACATATATTCTGAAGTCATTTTGAAAAAAAACCTGATTGCTTTAGAAAACTCCTCAAAATTCTTTGGCTCTGAGAGAAAATGGAGTGCCAAAGTTTTGTCTAATAAAATGACATTTAAAGTGGAATCTGAGTCAAGCCCAAAGGAAGATATGCTGGTTTTTCAAACATCAAAAGAATTCAGTCTTTGGTATCCAACACTCCATTATTCATTGGCCTGAATTGGCAGGAGAGCTGTTGGTACTTTGGAGGTGACCAGAGGGGGTGAGAGAAGTGACAGGTAGATAATGAGAGAAATACAACCTGAACTCTCTCTCAGGCCAACTCTGAGCATGCTGGGCATTTATTATTTGGAGGTGAAGAAGAGTCAATAAACCCTTGCTAGCTACTCTTTTCACTCATTTCTCTGCTTACGGGGTCATTTTTCTGAGCAAGTGCTTGAAATCAAATGTCTTTTTGTTGGACCACTGACCCAATCAGAGTTAGCCTCCAGAGTCCCAATATGCATGAAGGGCGGAAAGAATTTATTCCCCTCTATGAGGCAGCCCCTCCCAGAGCCCTCACTCCACGGGGGCTCACCGGGGCCTGCGGAAAGTCAGGCCATAGTGCTGACAGGCCAGCCCCACGGTAGGCGTGTACACGATTGGCATGAACTTCTCCACGTCCGAAGTCAGCACTCGGTAGAAGAGCTTCTCGTTCCGGTCTTGGAGTGTCATGAGAATGATGTACCTTGTAAAAGGAGAGAAAAAGCAAGCTGACATGTGGTAGCAGCAGGCCCTGATGCCTCTGTGGTGTGGTGCAAAGACCCAAGGCTCCTGTTCCTGCTCAGCCCGGAACATTCATGGGCAAGCCATCTGCCCTGAGCATGAGCTTCAACAGCTATGAAATGTGAAGATGACCTGCTTGTGGTGCTTATTATTATACATGGTGTAGATACTGTTCTAAATATTTTACATTAACTCCTTTAAAACTTCCAATGGCTTGTGAAGTAGGGATTATAATTCTTGCTATTTTAGAGGCAAGGAGACTCATGTAGAGAGAAATTGACTCACCCCAATTCTCATGGCGTGTGGGAATTTGAATCTAAGCAGTCTGACTCTGGAATCTGTGCTCTCAACCACTGTTCAAGATGCTTATGATATTATGTGAACATTAATGAATGACAATAGCATAATAATATTCTGGAGGTGGGGTAGGGTCAAGGAAAATTCTGGGCATATAAGCACTCTAGGACTGGCCTCTCCTACCACACTGGACTGGTTCCTGTCACGAGTTGTGATTTCCAAAAATAATCTCTCTTTTACCTAATCCCTGAGACCTGAAATCACTAAGCCAGGGAAAGAGGCTTCCATTCAGACTCCTAAGAATGCAAAAACCTCTGTGAGAGAAAACCTAGGGGTTGAAATTCACAATTAAGTGTGACTGCTAATATCACAACCTTTCTGGATAATAATCTTGGGGAGAATACCAAGGTACTTGATGCTCTGGCATGAGGTGGGATGGGAGAAATTTTCTAACAGGGGTAAAAAAGTCTGTGGTCTGGTGAAATGATCTCTGGGCATGACATCAGGATCCTATGTTTGAATCCCAGCTCTGCTGTTTATTAGCTGTGTGAACTTGGGAAAGTCTTGTGTGACTTCTTGGGTCTCAGCCTCTTCCTCTGTACCAAAGGAATTACTCCTTTGGTGGAAAACTAAAAACTGTGCTCTGGAAGGTGTTTTTAGCAAGAGAGGACTGATACTCAGGAAGAGCAAGGATCTCAGCCCATTGCCAGTGTGGGATTCTCTTACCCAGTGGCCATTTGTGCACATCTTTTCTCAATTCTACATTCAGTTATGTCAAACTGGTAACCTGAAATCAGCCATCGTACAAGTATTTACACTATGGAATCCGGCAGATTCCATAATTTCCTATCCCGCCCCTCACCCAGCACAGATAACCAGTTATTAAAGATTTACCAGCACACCACTGCCCTTACCCAAAAGAAGATGGCGAGTTTTCTTAGCGTGTCCCCAAGCACCTGTAAAATGAGGGACTCCTGGAAATAAGCGGGTCAAGGTGGTCAAGCAGCATCAGGGGCAAGCCCTCTAGAGCTCCCAGTAATGGGCACACTCTTCTGTCCCTGAGCCTGGAATGTTTCCCCAGGCCTATGAGTGAGGCCCATCTACCTGGAAATAACTGGGGAGAGAAGGATTTTTGAATTTAACTTTTAGAGCTTAATATCTGTAGGAAAGAGGATTTCACTTTGGACTTGATTTCTTCTTTATAAATTTAACAAAAGGAGAAGGTTCAGATTGTTCAAACTTAGGGTGTGTCTCATCCTGTTAGTTGATTTCATTGTGTAATTTCTGGCTTGCTCTTCAGAGTGACTTAGCTAGACCCAATCAGAGTGAGATAAAAAAGAGGGAGAGGATATTTGGCCTGACTACAGTATGGCCTTGGAGTTAATGTGACTAACATCCTTCGAGTTTAGAGCTTTGGGAGTAGGGGTGGAGGTATGAGCAGAGGCTTCTGTGCTCATCACCACTCAGAAGCAATGGATGGTATGAGGGAAACAGAGGAATATGAGTGCAGGGTGACCCTGGCATGCTGCTGAGCTCTGCTCCTAGGGGGACAGCCACACCCTCAGGGACCCGAAGTCTTGGCCAGTTTGTTCTATAGATAGAACTGGCCAAGTTCTATAGTTTGTTTGTTCTAAGAGGGGGATTCCTTATCTTCTTCCTACATTTCTGCTAGAGCCAATAACAAGGTGACATATTTACTTGACAAACACTGACATACGGCCTACTATGTGCCAGGCACTGTTCTCAGCACATCACAAATACTAAGGCATTTAATCCTCATAACAACCCTATGAGTTTTCCCTATGGTACTCATCGTACCAATGGGAAAAGACCCATAGAGGCTAAGTAACTTTTGCCATTAAGAGGTAGAATATAGATTTGAACTCAGTCTAGTACTAGAGTCTGGTCTTGTAGCCACTGGTCCCTGCTGCATCTTAGCTGTGGCATAGCAGAGAAATGAAAAGCATAGACTCTGGAGCCAGGTCTCTGTGTTCAAATTCTAGCCACGCCCATTTATAGCCATTCAACCTGGGAAGTGACTACCTTTAGTAAAGCTGATAAAGTTGACCCTGTGATTCCCCATTTTCTCTTTATGTCTGGATCCCCATTGGAGGAGAACTCACAGAGGAGGCAGGGTTATTAACTGTTGCCCATAGCCTCCAACAAATGACATCTAGGTCCATCCTAAGGTGTCCCCTGTCCATTTCCCTCTCCCCCACCACGTCCCCCTAATTCCAGGAACCCAAGCCACGTACTACTTCCTTAACAGGCCTGTCTCTACCTCTTTGCTCCAGTTCGTCCCTCTCAGTGAAATGTTCTCCCTGAACCCCATTGCTGTCTGCTGAAATCTTATCAGTGCTTCTTATGCTGACTCAGCTTCTACCACTTCCCAGAGGCCCTTCCAGATTCCACTAGTTGGAATGCAGTTTCCCTTCCCATTTCCCCCAGGACATGTCAGCTGTGTCTCAGTCATAACAAGCCTTGTCTCTCAGGGAGACCATGAATCCTTTAGAAGGTAGGGCTGAGTCTGGGATCTCTTTGGGCTCTCAGCCTTTTTTAGCTGGAGAGTTTCCAGAAAACCCTCTGTGAAGCACAGGAAACAGACAGCTCAGCCCAAGGACCAGACAGAGAGAACAGACACTAGGTACTGACTTGTCCAGGTCACTCTGCTGCCGCTCGTAATATCTCATGATTCGGAGGAGCTGGACGTCCTGGCTCAGAAAGCAGGGCGGGATTAGGCCGTGGATTCCAAGCTGCAGCCTTTCTTCAAGGGTAAAGGCCATCCCCTGGGAAAAACAGGAAAAGAACACCCACACATAAGTGCATACTCAGGAGACAAAGGAACAGAAGGGGTCCCACCCACAGATAGGTAAAAGTCAGTGTGACTCAGTAGAAAGGGCCCTCAACTCAAATTCCACCTCTGCTATTAAAGTAGGAGGGTCATCTTGTGCCAGTTACTTTGATGCTTCTGAACTTCAGCTTCCTCATTGGAAAAAATGGGGAAACTATCTGTATCATCAGCATTTTTCTTTTTCTTAATATATATGTTTTATTTTATTTTTTAGAACAGTGATATGGTTTGTCTCTGTGTCCCCACCCAAATCTCATCTTGAATTGTAATCCAAATCCATAGTCCCCATGTGTTGAGGGAGGGCCCTGGTGGGACGTGATTGGATCACAGGGGCAGTTTTCCCCATGCTATTCTTGTGATAGTGAGTGAGTTCTCATGAGATCTGGTTGTTTGATAAGTGTCTGGTGCTTCCTCCTTTTCTCTCTGTCCTGCTGCCATGTAAGATGTGCCTGCTTCCCCTTCACCTTCTACTATGATTGTAAGTTTCCTGAGGCCTCCCCAGACATGTGGAACTATGAGTCAATTAAGCTTCTTTCATTTATAAATTACCTAGTCTCAGGTAGTATCTTTATAGCAGTGTGAAAACGGACTAATACAAACAGTATTTACAGAAAAACTGAGAAGACAGTAGAGTTCCCATATACCCCCTCAGCCAGTGTCCCGATTATTAACATTTGACATTAGTATTATACGTTCATTAGAGTCAATGAACCAGTAATGATCCATTATTATTAACTAAAGCCTTTAGTTTATTCAGATTTTTTAAAGTTTTTATCTAACTGTATATAGATAGATAAATATATGTATATAATGATATGTGTGTGTGTGTGTGTGTGTATGTGTGTGTGTGTGTGTGTGTGTATATATATATAT
This sequence comes from Homo sapiens, assembly GCF_000001405.40. Lineage (NCBI taxonomy): Eukaryota > Metazoa > Chordata > Mammalia > Primates > Hominidae > Homo > Homo sapiens. The sequence goes on from NC_000011.10 coordinate 86,560,762, forward strand.
ATATATATATATTTCCAGGACCCATCCAGGATCTTGTATTAAGTTTAGTCATCATGTCTCCTTAGGCTCCTCTTGGCTTTGACAGTTTCCCAGATGTCCCTTGTTTTTGACAGCCTTGACAGTTTGGAGGAGCCCTGGTCAGGTATTTTGCACATACCCCTCTACTGGAACTTGTCTGATGTTTTTCTCATGATTGGATTTTGGTTATGGGTTTTTGGAAGGAAGATCACAGAAGTAGAGTGCCATTTTCATCACATCAGACCAGGGGTACATATAATAAATGTGATTATCACTGTTGATACGGACCTTGATCAGTGGCCAAAAGTCATGCTTGTCAGGTTTCTCCACTGTAAAGTTACTCCTAGCCTTGGCCATTGGGAGTGTTTTCAGCTGGCTCTTGGATTTCTTTGACATACTACCCATAATGTAGCAGTAGTGGGTTGGTTGTTTTTTTGTTTTTGTTTTTGTTTTGCAATTCCTTACTTTCTGGCACTACAAGATGCTCCAGGTTCATCTTGTACATTGCCAGCCGTGGTCCTAGACTAAGCCATTTCTCCAAGGATCCCCAATTCCTTTTTCAGAGCATGGTATTAGAAGGCAAGATTTGGGCACTATTTACTACTTGTGTCCCTTGCTTATTTCTAGTCCCTGTCAGTTGACAGAGCAAGGAAATATACATGTGTATATTAAGACTGGAGTATAACCACATATCTATAAATTTTTCTGTATTTAACCATCAGAACCTATATTAAGCTGAACATAAGTTCATACTAATGTCTCCAATGTGAATTCATTACCACATGGATCATTTTAGCCCCATCACCTTGCTAAACTGTGAATTCCCACTCCAACAATAAAAAGCTTGGCTTTGACCATCTCCCATTTATGTACTTAATTGCTTAATTTCAGTATACACATATAGCAGTTTCAAAATGGTTAACCTGTACCACTGTGGGAAACAACTTTATAAATTAGAGTACAGTGGTTATGTGCAGTTCCTTTTGCCTTTAGTCTAATAAACTCCACTCATTTCCGAAGTTACTCAAGTCAAAACTTTTTCCCTCTACCCTCTTCACTGAGATTGTTACATACATCTGTAATACAATTAGATTCTCTTGTCATAGTCTGCATTCCTTCCTGGAATCCCCCAACCTATTAAATAATTTTTTAAAAATCTGGACACATTAAGGTTCCTTCTTTATGCTGTAAAGTTCTATGGGTTTTGACAAATGCATGTCATGCATCTACCATGACAGTATCATACAAAATAGTTTCACTGCACTAAAAATTCCATGGGCTTTACTTGTTCATCTCTCTTTCCTTCCCCAAACCTCTGGCGACCACTGACCTTCTTTACTGACTCTACATTTTCATCTTTTCTAGAATGTCATACAATTGGAAGCATAAAGTATGTAGCTTTTTCAGACTGGCTTCTTTTACTTAGAAATACGCACCTAGAGTTCATTCATGTATATTTATCATTGAATAACATTCCACTGTACATTTATACCATAGTTTGTTTCTCCACTTATTGAAGAAAGCTTGGTTGCTTCCAGCTTTTGATGATTATAAATAAAGTTGCTGTAAATATTCCTGTGCAGGTTTTTGTGAGAACATAAGTTTTTTAATCAGTTGGATAATATGTTGGAGTGCAACTGCTGGATCATATGGTAAAACTGTGCTTAGCTTTGTAAGAAGCTGCCAAACTTTTCTAAAGTGGCTGTACCATTTTGCATCCCTGCTAGAAGTGAATGAGAATTTCTGTTGCTCTACATCCTCTCCAGCAACTGGTATTGTCAGTTTTTTGGATTTTAGTTGTTCTAGTAGATGTACAGTGATATGTCATTATTGCTTTAATTAGCAATCCTCTATTGACATATAATGTTGAGTATCTTTTCTTTTTTTCCCTTAAATTTCAGCCTTTATTTTAGATACAGGGGTACATGCGCAGGTTTGTTACACAGGAATATTGTATGATGCTGAGGTTTAGGGCAGAGATCCCATTACCCAGGTAGTGTGCATAGTACCTGATATGTATGTTTTCAACCTCCAGTATCCTCCTTCCTCCCCCATCTAGTAGTCTGCAGTGTCTATTGTTCCCATGTTTAAGTCCATGTGTGCTCAATATTTAGCTCCCACTTATAAGCGATAACATGTGGTATTTGGATTTCTGTTCCTGCATTAATTCACTAAGGATTATCCTCCAATTGCATTCGTGTTGCTGCAAAAAACATGACTTCATTCTTTTTTAAGGCTGCATAGTATTCCATGGTATATATGTACCACATTTTCTTTATCCACTCTATCATTGATGGGCACCTGAGTTGATCCCATGTTTTTGCTATTGTGAATAGCACAGTGATGAACATACAAGTGCATGTGTCTTTTTGGTAGAATGATTTATTTTCCTTTGGGCATATACTCAGTAATGGGATTGCTGGGTCCAGTGGTAGCTCTGTTTTAACTTTGAGAACTCTCTGGGCTGCTTTCCGTAGTGGCTGGACTAATTTACATTACATTTACATTTACAGTGTATAAGCTTTCTCTTTTCTCATCAGCCTCTCCAGTATCTGTTGTTTATTGACTTTTTGATAATAGCCATTCTGACTGGTGTGAGATGGTATCTCATTGTGATTTTAATTTGCATTTCTCTGATAATCAGTGATGTTGAGCATTTTTTCATGTTTGTTGGACACTTATATGTCTTCTTGTTTCTTTTTGTTGCTATTACTTTTGGGGACTTAGTCAAACATTCTTCGCCAAAGTTGATGTTGAAAAGAGTATTTCTTATGTTGTCTTTGAGGATTTTTTTATAGTTTGATGTCTTATATTTAAATCTTAGATGCACTGAGTTAATTTTTATATATGGTAAAACGAAGAGGTCCAGTTTTAATCTTTTGCATATGGCTAGCCAGTTATCCCAGCACCATTTATTGAATAGAGATCCCTTTCCCCATTACTTGTCTTTGTCAACCTTGTTGATGATCAGATGGTTATAGGTGTGTGGCTTTATTTCTGAGTTTTCTCTTCTGTTCCATTGGTCTACAAGTCTGTTTTTGTATCAGTACCATGCTGTTTTGGTTACTGTAGCTTTAAGTATAGTTTGAAGTCAGGTAGTATGATGCTTCCAACTTTGTTGTTTTAGCTTAGGATTGCTTGGCTAGTTGGGCTCTTTTTTGCTTCCACATGGATTTTAGAATAGCTTTTCTAGTTCTGTGAAGAATGACCTTGGTAGCTTAATAGGAATAGCATTGAATTTGTACATTGCTTTGGGCAGTATGGCCATTTTTACAACATTGATTCTTCCAATCCATTAGCATGGAATGTTTTTCCATTTACTGGTATTGTCTCTGATTTCTTTCAGCAGGGTTTTGTAGTTCTCCTTGTAGAGATCTTGCTTTTCCTTGGTTAGCTGTATTCCTAGGTATTTCATATGTTTATTTTCTATCTGTATATCTTCTTTGGTAAAGTATCAGTTCAAATATTTTTCCCATTTAAGGTTTGTTTCTTTCATTATTGTTAAATTTTAAGTGTTCTCTGATCTACAGTTGTAATGCAATCACTATCAAAATTTTAATGGCCTTTCTTTTGCAGAAATAGAAAAGCCAGTTTTCAAATTCACATGGACTAGCAAGGGACCCCGAACAGCCAAAATCTTTTTTTTTAAAAAGGGACTTTGAAACTTACTACAAAGCTACAGGAAAAAAAAAAAAAACAGTGTGGGACTGGCATAAGAATAGACATATAGGTAAATGGAATAGAATAAAGAGTTCGTAAATAAACTCATACATCTATGGCAAATTGATTTTTGACAAGGATTCCAAGTCGATCCAATGGGGGAAAGAATAGTCTCTTCAAGAAATGGTGTGGGGACAACTAAATTTCTACATGCAAAGAATAAAATTGGACCCCTAACTCACATTATACACAAACATTAACTCAAAATGGATGAACAACCTAAATATAAGATCCAAAACCATAAAACAGAAGAAAACGGGTAAATCTTTCTGATCTTGGATTTAGCAATAGATTCTTAGCTATGACACCAAAAGGGCTAGCAACAAAAGAAAAATTAGGTAAACTGGACTTCATCAAAATAAAAAAAGTCTGTGCATCAAAGGATACTATCAAGGATGTGAAAAGACAATCTGTAGAATGGAATAAAATACTTGAAAATCACATATCTGATAATGGTTTAATATCCAGAATATACAAAGGACTCCTACAGCACAACAAAAAGAAATATGACCCAATTTAAAAAGAGCCAAAGGACTTGAATGGACATTTCTCTAAAGAAGATAAACCAATGGCCAATAGCACATGGAAAGACACTGAACATTATTAGTCAGTAGAGAAATGCAAATCAAAGCCACAATATGATACACTGTACCACTTTACATCCACTAGAATGGCTGAAATTAAAACACACACGTACACATACACACACACACACCCCCCCTAGGAAACAAGTGTTGATGAACATGTGGAGAAATGAAAACTCTGACTGGTACATTGCTGGTGAGAATGTAAAATATTACAGCCTGTATGGAAAGCGTAGTGGTCCTCAAAAAGCTGAACATAGAATTACCATATGACCCAGCAAGTCTGCTCCTAGGTATATACCCAAAGGAATTGAAAGCAGGGACTTGAACGAATGATTATATGTCAGTGTTCATTGCAGCATTATTTACCATAGCCAAAATGTGGAAATAACCCAGGTGTTCATCAACATATGAATGGATGAACAAAATGTATATACATGCAATGAAAATTTATTCAGCTATAAAAAGGAATGAAGTTCTGCTCTGTGCTACTTCATGGATGAACCTTGAAAACACTATGCTAAGTAAAATAAGCCAGACACAAAAGGACAACTCTAAATGGGTGAATTGTATGGTATGTAAATTATATTAAAAACTTTTTTAAATATTTCTTTGCATGTTTTAAATATAAGCCTTTTACTGGACATGTATTATGTAAATATTTTTCCTAGTCTGTGGCTTGTCTTTTCATTCTCTTGGCAGTGTCTTTCACAGACCAGCATTTTCTAGTTTGAATGCTGGGGAGAGAGATGGGGAATAAGATGTCATGGAATCTCTGACCTGGTCACAATCAAGCCCTGTAGAGACAATGTTTGCTGGAAGAAGTTGCAGGAACTGTTCTCATAAGAGACACTGTGAGAATGGGACACGTGCAGCCCCACCTTTATCCCAAGATGAGAAGGTGCAACACATGGTGAAAAACAGAGACTTTTTCTGTGTAGAACTCAGGGTGGCCCTGCTGGAGTGAGGGCTGCCCTGGCACTGGAGCTCCTGAACACACTCAGCTTTCTCATGGGAGGCCCTAGCAACACTGACAATAGTGATCCCCTGAGTGGCTCCGTGGACAGCAGACATCAAGAAGGAAGGGGCCAGAATCCCCATGGGGACTGTGCTGGCCTGCTAATGTAACCCCTGTTGAATTTAAGGCTGATCATAGCTGGGGCAACTCTGGTTAAGCCTTTTATCTATACTGAGTCCCAAATAATGCAAGTTTCCTCCAAAAAGTGAAGAAAACTGTGCAGGTGATAAACGAGACCTCGATTATGCTGTTGACAGGCAGCTTCCCCCAGATTTCCTTGGGGAAAGGAAACTCACAAAGGTAGGGAGCATCAGAGCTCCCTTCATTCCTCTGCCACCTCAAAATGATTTCATCCAAAATTATTACAACCCCTTTGATAGGGAATTACTAACCATAGGGAGATCCAAACCCATATATTGATTATCCTCACCTTAGAGGTATTGCTATCATCAGTTCTAAAGAAGAGACTTTAATGAATATCTAATCTTATTCTATACTTTCCTTACAGCCACATTGTGAGGAAGATTTTACAACCTTCCCTTTACAGATGAGAAGGCTAAGCAAGAGAGGTTACATAATGCTCCTGAAGTTCCACGGCTGTTACTTCACACTCTATTGCTTCTTAAACCAGGATGCATTTTATAATAAATAAGTATATTTGGTGTGATAATTTTTTTCCTGATGATTTTCTTTGACTAGAGGTAAGTGATAAAACCATTTGTATTCTTGCCACTATAGTACACATCCTCCCAGGACGTTGGTGAGACGGACCTCAGAAAATGTGGTGGGGTGTCAGGGGAGTTGTGAGAAAGGAGTGGATAAAAAAAGAAGAGTGGCCAGGCGCGATGGCTCATACCTGTAATCCCAGCACTTTGGGAGGCTGAGGCGGGTGGATCACCTGAAGTCGGGAGTTCAAGACCAGTCTGACCAACATGGAGAAACCCCATCTCTACTAAAAATACAAAATTAGTCAGGCATGGTGGTGCATGCCTGTAATACCAGCTACTCGGGAGGCTGAGGCAGGAAAATCGCATGAAACTGGGAGGCGGAGGTTGCAGTGAGCCAAGATCATGCCACTGCACTCCAGCCTGGGCAACAAGAGTGAAACTCTGTCAGAAAGAAAGAAAGAAAGAAAAGAAAGAAAGGAAGGAAGGAAGGAAGGAAGGAAGGAAGGAAGGGAGGAAAAGAGTGAATGAAAGTTAGACTCCTTGGCTACTCCCAATTTCCTCTTTATTTTGTAATTTGGGATCTGTAAAACTTTGAATACTGGGCTTCTTTTGTATTTTTACAAAGTAATAAGGACAACTTATCATAAAAGAGTGCCAGAGACTGGGCACTTTCACCAAAAGCCTTTAGGCAGGCGACTGTTCACTGCCTCGGTAAAGACTATGATCATCTTTCCTTGGCTCAGAGCACCTTAGGGAGGCCCAGGTATCTAATTATGACATCATCTTTGTTAATGATCACTGTGGCTTTTCAGAACAGTCCACTTCTCTCTACAAGGAGAAATGTTTTTCTTGGCTGACTGCCGCCACCTTCTTTTGTATTTGAGGAAAAGGGATGACTGTTTAGCAGCTGGTAATTTCAGGGATTACAAGATAATACTTCTTGAAGCTACTTTTCATCCTGAAGCTAATATTAAGGCAACCTCAGATTTACAAGTCTGCAAAGCAGAAATGAAGGCACTGTAGTTGCACCACGGCCTCCAACATAGGACAGGCACAAGACAGTTCACTAGGGCTTAAGGGGGAAGTGTGAGAACTTATATTTCTCTACAAAAGAAATAAACTTTGCTAATCGGCACTCAGATGCTTGTTCTGTGTATGTAAAAAAGTCATGGGGTATATGAGGGGTCTGAAGGTAAGAGTAGGGACTGTACAACATGTACAAGTCAGAGGAGTTGATGCTGGGGCCCTTATTCATTCTTACCACATTGAGAAGTTACAGTTTCCGTGTGTCTAGTAAATAGAGTTACAGATTATATTATCTGGTTTTAACAAAACTCTCAATATAAGACAGGCGGCTTTTGAAAAATGGCTGATTCTCACAGTCATATTTTAACCTAATACCCTTGTGGAATTCAGCGAGGACATGCTGGTAGGGACCTGACTATTGTTACTAGTTTTGAATGTCTCATCTGTTACAGGGCCACTGCTCTGACCTCTCCAAGTCAGGTGTAGTCCCCACCTGCTCTGGATTCTCCCAGGGAACCTTTGGATCTCCTCAAGATCTAACAACCAATGGGTTAATGTCTGGAATAGTAGGAGGCCTCAAGACCCTTCCCTAGCACTAAAGACCTGTGACCATTTCGACTGGTCAGTGCTTATGCCGAACCATTTTAAATCTTTTACCTATCACTCCTGACTTTACCTATTTCATCAGCTTTCCTGAATGATCATCTCTGGTTCAGCTACTGAACTCTATTTACCCATGGGCTCAGCCATGCCCAAGTTACCAGGATGAAATTTACTGGCATCAGAGGGAGGATATTTCAATAGCTCCCACCATCAAATGGCAGGGCGCAAAGGCAGCAAGCCCCTTAGATGGTGCTTCTGTCCCAGCCTTCTGCTCTTCAGAGGCCTGGGCTTCCCAGTGCCCATTCCTTATGTCTGAGTTTGTCCAGGGGTCAGTCTCCCAGTACTGCTTTGTGATCTGCCTAGTGCCTCTAGACCCAGAGCCCTACTGTGTACTTGACAATCTCTTCTCCTTCATTCAACAAACACCCATGAGTTCCTACTTTGGGCCAGGACTGTCATGTTAGGCACTGGGGATTGTTGAACAGAACAGGTCCTGGTCACTGTCCTCAAGTGTCTACTAGAGGAGACATGTGGGTTAACATACAATACCAATCCTGGGCCTCTGCCTTGGGCAAGCTGCTTCTCCCACTTATTAAATGAAGTGCTGCCCATTTCATGTGTTGTGGGATTAGATGAAATAATGCAGGTAACATGCTTAGCACAGATATTGGCACATAGGAAGGGTTCAGTGAACACCAGCTGTTCTCCTTATTACTATTAGTATTGTGTTCACGGGGCAGGGTGACATAAGAGAGCTCATGAGCAGATGCTGGAGAGGAGCCTTGAAGGACGGTCCAGAGCTAGTCTGGCAGAAGGGGCTGCAAGACAGTGGCTGAAGTGACATTACCACATCACAACGTAACTGCTTGTCCATGGGCTCAGGCACCACGCCGGCCTTTGCAGCCCTGTGTGTTCTTCCCACACATGCATTCTGGCTGTTGCGCTTTGACTCACACCAGCACCCCTGTTCCCCATTCTCTGACCCCTTCCTCCTCCCCTGCTTCCAATCCACAGTCGACTACCTGCAACCTCCAGGAGGCCTCCCTGCCTCCACCATTCCACACAGCTCTCCCCCTTCTCTCAGAGTCAGTGTCACACAGTTTAGCACATGCGATGTGTCTCCTATTTGATTTCTTGAGTTGTAACTACTAGATAATAAACTCAGGGTGGTGGGGAGGTAGAGAGTTTGAAGAAGCTAATGCAAGGTTATTGCACATAATATCATCATCCATAATAACAATGATGACCTTTTATTGGATACCCACTAGGTTGGGTCAGGCACTGAGACAGATACTTTACACTCATCGTGTCCTCTCATTCTCTGACTCCGGCAGGAAGGTATGATGATTATTATCCCCACTTTGTGGACTAGGAAACTGAGGTTAGAGTGGTAAGTAACTTGCCCAAGGTCACACAGCAAGCTGGTGGGAAAACCAGGAGTAGAACCCAGGCCTAAATATTTCCAAATTTCTGAGTCTTTCCTCTGAGCTAATCAACAGCTTCAAGACTTGAAAGATTTTAAAAGTTGTTGACTGAGTTGAGTTTTTTTGATTAGGGATGTGATTATTTTTACCTACAGAGCCAGGTATCTTAGACTTCAGCTACTGTTGAGCATTCCTCTGTATTTGCCTCAGATCAGTCAGCCCACCTGCAAACAGGTGTGCCTGCACTTCTGAGTTCATGCACCTGGCCCACGGCACACACACAGCCATGTTTCCTTTTACCAGCATCATTACTGGAAGGAAGGATTAGCAGACACCGTGTAACAGTAAAGGTATTTTGTTCCATACATCATTACGTCATGCTCTGAGCTGACTGCTTATGCTATAACCGGCTTCCTCCATCAATCAACCGTGGCAGCATAGAGGGTAGCATAGCTGGGATAGAGCTGTGGGCAATTAGCTCTGAGATTGTACAGTTTAAGCTGATGAGCTGTTAGGGGACCAGGAGGCATTTCCTCCTCCTTGTGCATATTCCTTCTTGACTCTATTTGTTTGGGATTTTTATGAGTTAGGGTGATGGGGATTCTGGTTGGAGACAGGAAATGTGATTACTGAGGCTGCTGTTCCCTGCACTGAACCCCAGCTTTATGAGAGCCCCTGAGCACACTCCTGAGATGGATATATGGGGATCTCAGAAACACAGCATTGGGAAGTCTCCGCAGACACAGACCTGAGAATGGCCTTCCTCCCAGACATATTTCTGTGATCAGGTGCAACATTACAGATCCAGAAACACATCATAAATTCCTAAGAGGGGAGTGGAGGATATGCTGCTCATTACCGCCCAGAACCAACTCTAAACCAGCCTAAATCTCAAAGATTGGGCTCTGGTGCCATGGGCTGCACTGCCTGCAACCTTCCATGTATGACGTACACAGAAGTTCTTGTTCTGGTTGGGAGATAGGATTCAATTTTCCTTCCATGGGATTCAGCCAGTACATGGAGGTGCTGTGCTCACACAGCCAGCATGGGGGAGTGGGAAGGGAACTGGACAACAAAAGTTCTGCATTCAGTTCCTCCCCTGGCTGTGTGATCCTGGAGAAATTACTTGACTTCTCTGACTCTGCTGCCTTTACTGGGTCATTGTGTCAAAGGAGAATGTTAAAATTTCTGTGAATTCAAAGATGAGGTTTTAAAAAGTTTTTAAAAGGCTGTGCCTATTACAGTTTTAAATCTTTTTAGGTTAAGGGTTATAAGCAATTTGGCAATTGCACTTCATAGTCCCTTCTTGACTCTTTTCCCTGCAAGATGATAAGTTTTTTGAGGTCAGGGACTCTGTCTCAATGAACTGCATATTCCTTCTGCCTCGCACAGTAATTGATACAGGATAAGTATTCAATAAATAAATGGATGGATGGATTCATTCATTTCTTCAACAAAAAAGTATTAAGTGTCTTCTGTGCTTGGTCCTATTTTAAATCTTGGGGAACCAGCAATGGAAAGATATAGAAGGTTCCAGTTCTCTGTAGGCTCTAGGTGAGCCATTCCTATAACTAGTTTGTGGCAGCCTGCCCTCACTAGAACAGCAACATTAGTCTGCTCAGTGCTGCAATGAGGAAAATGTTCTGTATCTGCGCTGTCCAATGTGGTAGCCACTTACCACCACACTGTGGCTATTGAGCACTTGAAATGTGGCCAGTACAACTGAGAAATTGAATTTTGTATTTTCCTTTAATTTTAATTAATTTAAATATAAAGAGTCACATACTGTATTGGACAGTGCAGATCTTTCCCACATGGCGGATCACTCCCAGCCTGGCCTAATGGAAAGCATGGGAACTGCAGACTCAGAACCCTGACTTTGGGTCCGGCTCTGGCCACCTGGTGGAGAAACCCTGATCTGCCTTGATGCAGAGTGATGGTTTGTTTTGTGGAGTAAGCTGGGGAGGGCAGGGTAAATAGGAGTTAGAGATTAACGTAATGCAAGGGAAGGGCCCTAAGGGCCTGTGGCCACACCTGGGAGGCAGCAGGCAGGAGAGGCATTCAGAGGAGCTTGGGATCCTCTTTCTGGCCAGCCCAGCTCCTCCAAGGAAGGGAAGTTTAACGATGTGAGGCTAAGGGGAAACTTCAGAAGAGGCAGCACAACTTTCACAGTGAGTGATTTAAAAAGTCAAGGATGAGGAGACAAAACAAAATGACTGAATGTAAAATAGAAAAATAAAATCCAAGGAGCAGGAATTCCTATAACAGGTGGAACAAAGAATGAATCTTTCTTCCCAGAAGCCCATGTGGGTATATACTGGAAACAACTAGCACGTCTCACAGCTGGGTTTTGCTGGGCTTTGTTGCATCCAGTAAAGCTATGAAATAGTCTGCAACCTGGTGTATGAAGGCTCTTACTTGCGGGCAGCCCTGGACAAAATAACTAAAGGGAATTTTTTTTTTTTTAAACCTCTGGGATACATGTGCAGAGTGTGCAGGTTAGTTACATAGGTATACATGTGCCATGGTGGTTTCCTGCACCTATCAACCCATCATCTAGGCTTCAAGCCCTGGATGCATTAGGTATTTCTCCTAATGCTCTCCCTCCCTTTGCTTTCCACTGCCCAACAGGCCCCGATGTATGTTGTTCCCCTCCTTGTGTCCATGTGTCCGTTGTTCAACTCCCACTTATGAGTGAGAACATGCGGCGTTTGGCTTGCTGTTCCTGTGTTAGTTTGCTGAGGATGATGGCTTCCAGCTTCATTCATGTCTCTGCAAAGGATATGATCTCGTTTTTTATAGCTGCATCGTATTCCATCATATATATCTACCACAGTTTCTTTATCCAGTCTATCACTGATGAGCATTTGGGTTGGTTCCATGCCTTTGCTATTGTAAATGGTGCTGCAATAAACATATATGTGCATGTGTCTTTATAGTAGAATGATTTATATTACTTTGGGTATATACCCAGTAATGGGATTGCTGGGTCAAATGGTATTTCTGCTTCTAGATTCTTGAGGAATTGCCACACTGTCTTCCACAATGGTTGAACTAATTTGCAATCCCACCAACAGTGTAAAAGTGTTCCTGTTTCTCCACAGCCTCATCAGCATCTATTGTTTCCTGACATTTTAATAATTGCCATTCTGACTGGCATGAGATGATATCTCATTGTGGTTTTGATTTGCATTTCTCTAACGATCAGTGATGTTTAGCTTTTTCTCATATGTTTGTTGGCCGCATAAATGTCTTTTTTGAGAAGTGTCTGTTCATATACTTTGCCCACTTTTTGATGGGGTTGGTAGTTTTTCTCTTGTAATTTTGTTTAAGTTCCTTGTAGATTCTGGATATTAAACCTTTGTCAGATGAGTAAATTGCAAAAATTTCCTCCCATTCTGTAGGTTGCCTATTCACTCTGATGATAGTTTCCTTTGCTGTTGAGAAGCTCTTTAGTTTAATTAGATCCCATTTGTCAATTTTGACTTTGGTTGCAATTGCTTTTAGTGTTTTAGTCATAAAGTCTTTGCCCATGCCTATGTCCTGAATGGTATTGCCTAGGTTTTCTTCTAGGGTTTTTATAGTTTTGGGTTTTACATTTTAGTCTTTTTTTTTTTTTGGTATATATGAATGCTTGTGATTTTTGCACATTGATTTTGTATCCTGAGACTTTGCTGAAGTTGCTTATCAGCTTAAGGAGTTGTTGGTCTGACAGACGGGAGTTTTCTAAATATAGAGTCATGTCATCTGCAAACAGAGACAATTTGACTTCCTCTCTTCCTATCTGAATACACTTTATTTCTTTCTCTTGTCTGATTGCCCTGGCCAGAACTTCCAATACTATGTTAAATAGGAGTGGAGAGAGACAGCATCCTTGTCTTGTGTCGGTTTTCAAAGGGAATGCTTCCAGCTTTTGCCCATTCAGTATGATATTGGCTATGGGTTTGTCATAAATACCTCTTATTATATTGAGATATGTTCCATCAATACCTAGTTTATTGAGAGCTTTTAACATAAAAGGATGTTGAATTTTATTGAAGGCCTTTTCTGCATCTATTGAGATAATCATGTGGTTATTGTCATTGGTTCTGTTTATGTGATATGTTGCGTTTATTGATTTATGTATGTTGAACCAGCCTTGCATCCCAGGGATGAAGCTGACTTGATTGTGGTGGATAAGCTTTTTGATGTGCTGCTGGATTCAGTTTGCCAGTATTTTATTGAGGATTTATTGAGGTCATTTATATTCCTCTCTAAACTGGTTATTCTAGTTAGCAGGTCCTGGAACATTTTATCAAGGTTTTTAACTTCCTTCCTTTGGGTTAGAACACGTACCTTTAGCTCAAAGGAGTTTGTTATTACCCACCTTCTGAAGCCTACTTCTGTCAATTCGTCAATCTCATTCTTCATCCAGTTTTGTGCCCTTGCTGGAGATGTGTTGAGATCATTTGGAGGAGAAGAGGCATTTTGGCATTTGGAATTTTCAGCTTTTTGCACAGGTTTTTCCTCATCTTCCCGGATTTATCTACCTTTGATCTTTGAGGCTGATGACCTTTGGATGGGGTATTTGTTGCCGGGGGGGGGGGGGGTGTCTTTTTTGTTGATGTTGTTGTTGTTGTTGTATTTGCTTTCTGTTTGTTTATTTTTCTTCTAACACTGAGGCCCCTCTTCTGCAGGTCTACTGCAGTTTGCTGGAGATCCACTCCAAGCCCTGTTCACCTGGGTATCACCAGTGGAGGTTGCAGATCAGCAAAGATTGCTGCCTGCTCCTTCCTCTGGAAGCTTTGTCCCAGAGGGGCACTGGCCTGATGCCAGTCAGAACTCTTTTTCCGGCAGAGTTCCTATGTGACATATGACTACAGAAGAGTCATAAGTCACAGCATTCCAGACAACTGCTAGGCTTCCCATGTGGAGGCTTCCTCTTGTAATCTGAGAGAAGACTCAGTACGTCAACTTTCTCGTAGTCGCTCTTAAAAGGAAGGGGCGGGAAAGTTTTTAAAGTCAAAAAACTCTGTAAAACAGCTGCTGAAGAAGTTTTCTTTATAAGCTTCTGAGTTTCAAAGGAGGTACCACTTTAAAAAGCCTTCCATGTGAAGGTATCTGCAAATTCCAAGGATGTTCACTCCATTTTCTGTGAACACTGGCAGCTTGCAACCCTGACAGGTTGTCCAGCCTGGGCAGGGGCCAACTTGTTCTCAGATGCAGCAAGGTGTGGGTGTGGACACAGCCTGCTTTCAGTGTATGGGAAGCAGTCATAGTAAAAAAGGCATCACTCTCTGCCCTTGAAACATATCTCAAGGTCTTCATACAGCTTCTAACATTTTTAAAATGTGCTTCTAATAACTGTTGTGCCAATGCATTAAACAGCCATTGGAGACAAAACCCTTTGGAAAATGTGCTCCAGGGTGAACTCCTCATGCTTGCTGTCACCTCCACCCCACGTAAGCTTCTGGTTCCAAGTTACTAGGATAAATGCGGCAAAGATGTAGAGGGTCCACTTTAGCTAATGTTCTTACCCTCTTGTCACATTACGAAAGGGAGTTATTTCTCTAGACCTTGGTTTTACCTGTCTGGGAAATGGGAATAATATGTACCTCATCTACTTTACAGAGATGTAGGTGATTCAGCAAAGATAATGTGCAAGGAAATGATTTGGAATATAAATATTAAAGTTATTAACAATGATAGGAATAACTAATGTAGCATCATTGGCCCCTTTCTCTGAGATAAGAATAAACTTGGGACTGTTGGCAATCATTTCTGAGAGGACTTGGTTGCCTTTTAGAGGAGACAGAGATGAAGTGGATGACGTGCTCCCCCCCAGGTTGGGTGCAGTGACTCACACTCCCTCAGAGCTTCATGCACGCCTCTACCAGGCTTCAACATATTGCCTTGCAACTATCTATTTGTGAGTCTGTTCTCCCCGAAGACAGGGCCATGACTTGGTCTTATTCATTTTTGCAACCGCAATACAATGCTAGTACATAGGTACTTTATAGCATGTGTTAAATAAATGAACAAATGAATGAAAGTCTGTGAGTCCCACTTTATCAAGAAAGTTGGTGTAGGGGGCCCTTAGTGGTTGATAAAGTGGAGTGTGAAATTGTGAATAAGAGCTGGGCTTTGGAATCAGGCAGTTCTGGGTCTGAAAGTCTGCAACTTCTAGTTTTGTGATGTTGAGCATATCATTCAACTCTTGAACAGAAGTTTGCTCATCGACAAAGCTGGAATAATAATCCCTGCTTCAAATGCTGATTTATGAGGATTATATGTAATAAGATATGCCAAGTCTTCACCACTAAGTACTCAGTGAGTGGTAGGTAGCTAACATCGTTATTTGTTCCTTAAAAACAAAGATGAGGACATGATTAATTCTCTGTGAGAAGCTTAGAGGAAAGTGGTTGGGGGAGGTGGATAACCAAGGCTTTTTGGAGGAGGTGACAGGAGGTAACTAAAGAGAGGAGGCCAAGAGAAGTTGCCACACAGATCTTAATGATAGTAACAGGCACTGCCGCCTCCCCTCTGCCTCAGTGCACTTCAAACCTTTGGAGGCGAGAGGAGGTCAAGGTGGAGAGAGGAACAGTGTCCATCCCCAGCACCCAGCCTCTCCTGTCCATTCTGCTTCTATTCACCCTTCCCTCCTGGGGCTTTCTGCAGCTGAAATCTCAGAGTGGGGCTCAGGAGGACCACTTCTTCCATGTGCTGCCTGCCTGAGCAAGCTCAGGGCAGATCAGCTCTTGCACTGTCCCCTGCAGTACTGACTGACTTGTTGGTCCCATTTCCTTCCTTTATGTGCCCTTCCTGGAGATACTGGTAAGAGCCCCTTCTCTCCTCTCTGGTTTGCTGCACCACCATTGGGTGCTCCTCAATGTGGGCCCAGCCTGAAGTCCTCCCTCAGCTACATTTCTTGCTGTGTGCTTCTTCATTCAGGGCTCACATGTGCTTCTTCCTGGTAGACCAAGAGTCCCAGCCTGGCAGTTGTACCATCAAAAGCACTTGAAAGCATCCCCAGAAACTGGCAGTTATGCTGGGGAATCAGAGAACCTATGTATTTTTAAATTCCCTTAGCTGGCTCTGATTCTATTCAAATTTGGAAACTGCTAGGCTGCATCTTTTCTTTACCTGAATGTTAAGCTCATTATGTTCCAAACCCAATTCTGCCATCTTTCCTTTCAAATAATCAGCCAAGTCCCCTGGATTCCTGTTGTGGTAGAAGCAGGATGGAAAGCTTCTTATCTCATCACTCTTTGGGCAGGATTTCCCCCTCCCCTGTTCCCATTCTAAAGCCTGTTTTCACCTTCAATGGACACAACTGTGCTTTAGGAAACAAGCAAATGACCCAATATCATTTAGAGAAACAAGGTTACTCAGACAGCACTGAGTCCATTTTGACCCAGATCATTGCCAAAGAGATTGCACAGATAGGGGATCAGAAAAGCAAAGCTGAGGAGGGCCTTGGAGTCACATGCACACACCTCCTAGGGTCCTCACAGCACTCTGCTGAATGAGAATGAGAAGACTGCCAACCCCAACCTTAGATTTCTGGAGGTTCAGGCTGCTTTCCTAAACACTGTCTTCCTCCATGGAAGAGTGGAAGTTCTGCAGCCTGTTTATTCATTCACTTGTTCATTCAACAAATGTCGGGGGCCTCTTCTGTTCTGGGTGCCTTGCTAGATGCTAGGGCTGCCACTACTTTCCTCACACAGCTCCTAAAACCTCACTTGGCACAGTGTTGGTATTAAGTTGGTGCCTCCTGCAGCATATTAACCAAAATGAAGAATTTCCCATTCCAGGGGAAGTGAAAGGAATCATAACTTTTTAAAAAATGAGCTCATTTTTATATTCTATGTTATTAACTCAAGTGCTTTATAAAAATAAAATTCATTACACAAGTGTCTATATGCCTTGCCCAATATCTTTGCCAATGATAAATAATATCTTGCATATTTTTACTGCTTCGTTGTTTCTAAAATGCTCTCATATGGCTTACGTCATTTGATCCTAGACAGGCTGGTTTTATTATCCCCATTTATAGGAGGAAATATCTAGGCTTAGATGGGTCAATGACATGTCAAGGGTGTGTGGCTAGTAAATGCCATACAACAACATTTGAGAATAATGGCTATTTCAATTGTTTTGCTATTGAAAGATTAGTTTTTGCGAAGTTGTTGGATAAGAACCAGCGTGGAAGAGATTCCATTTCTTTTCAAGAGAAATTTCATATCTGCTCCTGAAATACTTGGTGACTTTAGGATTTTGTCCATCCCGACCGAACAAGGGAACAGAGGTGGATAGTTGGAAAGATTATGAATCACTCTCTTGGCAAAATTCCCTGTGTTATTCTGAATGTTTCATGACCCTCTCTTCCCAAGAGACTATTATTTAAAATTTAAATAATACTGTTCTTGGCACCCTAATGGCCCTCTGAGTCAGCTGGACTGCAACAAAGTAATAGCAGAGGAAGGTTACAGGCAGGGGAGCAGCAGAGAACAAGGGAAGTAGCCTCTTTCCTCCAGCAACACAACAGCACTTTGATGGACTCAGCTTGGGAGGACTGGGTCAAAAGATGAACTGTGACCAGAAGGAAGAAAACAAACAGACACACTTTGGGAGGGTCTCAGAATAGGCACTGTACATGCATTCCTGGTGCGTGCGAATAAGTGGGCGGGGTGCCAGAACTGGACACGAGACAACCAAGGACAAGCTCATCTGACAGGGCAAGTGTCCAACAGATGGCTGTTAACCTGTTCCAGCCCTAATATGAACCAAATCCTCATTCTCCTGGGCTTCAGTCTCAACTCTGCCACCTTATCAGGTGAACCAGGAAGGAAGTCATTTTGTCCTGAAGAAAGTGGACCATTGTGGTGCACAGGAGATCACAGCGATCAGTCACCCTCTCTGTCTTGACACCAAGAAGCAGGAGTTCCAAAATCCAGAGGCCATTTTGGACTGAATTTGTAACAACTGTTTACACTTCACTGCTTTGTTAGGGTCTACAAAGCAGTTTTATTTGCTATGATAGTAGTTCTGAAACTTTGCTACTCATTAGAACCACTGCCCTATGTGGTAGGCTGTCAAAGTGTCATTCCCATTTTGCAGATAGGAAAGTTGAGGCTGAGAGAGTTCAATGATTTGCCTAAAATCATGGCTCTAGCAAGTTCTAGAAATGAGACTTGAATTTTGAGTTCTATTTCACCTTGTTGGCTCATTAATTCATTCATATTAAATGAATTATTCATTTAACAAGTATGTTTTGAGTACCAGCTCTGTACTAGGCATTAGATATACATTAAGAGACTAAATATATATAGCCCCTGCCTTCACTGAGTTTCAGTCTAATGATCTTTTCATTTGAACCGGTATTCTTTATACCCTTTCATATTTCAGAATTAATTTCAAATTATGTAGGCTGGTTTCGTGCCCAGCAGACTCAATGCTCAGCAGAATAGCACAAGTGGTACATTTACTAGAGCTCAGGTGTGCAGGTCCAAACTTGCCCATGAGAGGCAGTGGGCCACAGAGAAGGGAGATCAGGCCTTGGAGTTGGTGTTCCTGGCTTCAAATAATGTCTCTGCTCCAACTGGCCATGTGATCACAGGGAACTTTCTAAAGTTCTCTCTCTGTTCTCAGTGTCCTCAGTGGGGGACTGAAGATCATAATAGCCAAGCTCCCTGAGTGTCATGTGTCTAGCTACTGGCTGGAACATCTGAGGCTCTCACTAAACACAGCTGTGACCAGGCCATTACCAGATGCTGAGTACTGTGGAGAACAACCGATTCATGAACCTGGTGTTTCTGAGAGGCACAGCAGCCTAGGAATGTCCTTAGAATTTCCTGCCCTGTTTATTCCTCCTCCTTTAATCTCTATCCTCAATCCATTCTATTCATTTTCCTTAATAATTACAGTTTGGGTACCACTTATTTGGAATTTAAGGATAGGTGGTTGATAAATTTTAACTGGTGATAGTGACCTAATGCAGATCTAAAATTAATAGAGAAACTCAAAGGTCAATGGATTCCAAGTTAGAAGTTCAGCTATTGGGAATGCTGTTTGAATGGCATTCCCATTTTTTATTAGACTTATATTAAAAGAAAGTGAAAAGAAAATATGGAACCTTGGAACTTCAAACCTTTTGAGTTTTCCTTCTTTCCAGTGCTTAGCTGATACAATCAACATTGAGTTGTTTTCTTTGTCCCTTTCTGAGATAGAATCTAATTCTTGCACTTATGAATTTGAGAATCTTTAAAAATATTTTCTCATTTCATAAACATGATTAGCTCGAGAATCTATATGTTTAGGGGCTACATGCACCTTGTCAAATTGTTCCTTTCCATTCTTGATTTCCGGAAAGGTCACTGGAATTCCTGCAAGTGTGGCTCTGCTGTTCTAGATTGACATTGTCGACCCTGAAGGAAGCGATGTTGATGTTCACAGAGACCTGCAGAGTGACCTCTCCTCCAAATGCCTCAAAATAAATGATGGCATGCCTGAGACTACATTTAGTGCCATTTGGCTACCAGGCTTTTCTAAAACCTGTATCTTCTGGTAAGTAAAGTTAATATTTAAAGTCTCTTTTTAATTACCAGTAGGTAATAGCTTGTTCTAAATTAATGCTGATTGACTAAATACATGACTGAATGATTGATTGGGTCATCATTGAATAGTATGGAAATTTTAATTTGCTTTTATAGATGAATGCTCAGTTTGTGGGTCTGTATTTTATAACTTAAATTAATAAAGATATTAACACTACTTCAGTCTTAATATCAAATACTCTTGTGGTAGGTATAGAATGAACTAAGGCACTATTTCAGTTTTGTCCTTCTGCCACATCCCTACGAAATAGAAAACCTACCCAAGATTATACAGTTAATAAGTAGCAGAGCTGGAATGTAAACACAGGTCTGTGTGCTGCTGGCCACTGCCATCCATACTGGCCACTGCAGTCCATTTGTGCAAAATAATCATTTTTTTGCACAAATTTTAAGCATTGCATTCTTTGTTGTGATTTTGGACATTTTGCAATCACCTTTGTCAGCCACATTAGAGACAAGGTTTGATCAGTCTACCAAAGTAGGTGTTTCCTGGTCGGCCTTATCCCACAATATCCCAGCTTTTAACCTTGGATACCTTCTCTAGAGGAAAAGGGGGAAGCATACAACAACATTTAAGTGTTCTCTTCCAAAAGGCAGGAATGACAAAGTCTGGGAATTGAAGTGAAATATTCTCCCCAGGGGAATAAAATACAGCAGGGTTTGTCAAATTCAATCCAACTCTGGCCGTGAAATAGTAAGGAGAAACCAACATCTAAAAAAATATATAGATTTCAGTAGAAAATAGCAGGTTGCCTCACATTTAATAAAAGTACTGTTTTGCTAAACTTTTGCTTGTGTGTGTATGTGTGTGTATACACATGCATCCATGTGTAATTGGTATGTATGTGTACTAGCTTGTGGTATAAAGTGTACTTTTAACGATAGGTTGTGATTTAAACATTTTGAGGAATACTGTAGCATAGGATAATGATTATGAGTGATGGATCAGACTGCCAAAGTTTGAATGTCAACTCTGACCCTTACTAGCTGCATGGCCTAGGTATATTTTAACCTTTCAAGTTTCAGTTTTCTCCCCTAGGAAAAAAATAACTCATAATGTGTGTAAAGTGTGCAACAGAGTGCCTGATGCTTAGAAAGGACTCACTAAATTAATGTCAACTATTGCATTTTAAGTGAAGCAGTTTGGGTAAAAAGTTGATGGCAAGCAAGAGCAATGCTTTGCATTATGTCCCCAGAATCATTTTAATTCCAGATGCATACATTCATCTGCTTGCTGGCTATCCCCACATACATGTCTCAGAGGCATGTCAAACACCACATGCCCCAAACCAAGCTCATCTTCCTGCATTCCCTACTCAGCAATGGTACCACCAGCTACCCAGTAACCCAGTAAAAACTGGAGAGTCACCCTGGATTCCTCACCACTCAACCTATATATGCAGTCAAGTCATTAATAAGTTCAGTGATTTTCTATCTCCTGAATAGTTCTAATTTCCTCCTCTGTTATCCATCCTCCTTATAATCCCTGTTCTTTCCAATATTGAAATCACACCTTGTCTGCTATTAAACTAAAATCCTGCAACTCCTGAATTCTAGTCTTCACTCCTACTGTTCTGCCCCTGGAATACACCTTTTAGAACTTCTGCCAGACTGTCATTTTCCAAAAACCAAATCTGATAATTTTCTTGCTAACTTAAAACATCTTTAGCAAAGCCTGCAAGGCTCTTCATAAGCTGTGCATCATTTTTGGCTTTGCCACCAGCCACTCTTCCATGGGTGGCCTTTAATAGAGCAAACTATACCATTCCCAGAAGAAGCAGGCATTTTCATACCTCTTTGTGTGCATGTGGTAGTTCCTCTGTTGGGAATGACCTTCTGTGCCCATCTACTAATCAGTATAGTGGATTAGAGGATGAAGAAGACATTGATTGAAACTTACATTTAAAATTAAAAATTCAGTGTGCATCAGAAGCACCTTAGCTGGTGGGTTAAAATTCAAGTCCTTGGCCCCTACCTGTAAATGTTGATTCCAGGGCTTTTTACCTGCACCCCTGGTGATTATGAGAAACTGCACCAGAAGAAAGATAAAAGTCCTGTACAAATGCTAATCCTTAACACACATTCAGAAGTAGAGGTGACAACCTTGTCCTTGGGAAATATCTCAATAGAAATTCAATTTGGAGCATTTCCTAAGGAGAGTGGATAAGTGCTGACTTATTAGTAAAGATAGGACTTTTTAAATGAGCAGCAATGACAAGAAGGAAAAATACTGCTACTTAATGTAATTATCTATTAATGTTAGTGCCTTAAAATATAAAAACTGCATACTGCTAAAGCACAATGATAGCACTGGTCCGACACTGTTGTAGTGAGATCTCTTTCCCCCTAGAAGAAAACCCCACGGGAGTCCTGCTACTGGGTAAGTTTATAACTAGAGAAAATCAGTTGCCTCACCTGCACACAACACAGAGGCCCAGTTGTTTCCACCGAGTCTGAAACAAAAGGCTTTCTCTGTATTATCCATGGTAAGGAAAAAAAAAAAAAGAAGACAGAACAGAAGCTTCAAGTTAAGTATCTGGGCGTTAGTGGCAGTTAAAACTTGGTGAGAAACCAAGATCAGAGGCTGGCTTTTTATAGGGAACAAATTTCCGAAGCATTTTTATGGCTGAAAGTTTATGCAAACCAGATAACCCAAGGCTTACAGATAAGGATCTTAGAAAGGGTTATGCTGTCTCTTTTGAGCTGTCCACCACCAGACCCACCCTGTTTACTCAGCCTAATCATTCATTCATTCATTCATTCCCTCTTTCATTTAATGAGCACAGACTGTGTGATATACATAGTGCTAGGTATACGTGGAAAGAAAGATGATGAAGCCTAAATCTCACATTCCACTGGGGGAGTTGACACAGCAGATATTAGGTTGATGCAAAAGTAATTGTGGGTTTTGCCATTAAAAGCAAAAACTGCAATTACTTTTGCACCAACCGAATACAAGATGTAGTGATTTGTCATTCAAACGAAAATGGTTATCAAATAAAGTGATGCTATTCATTCCTCAAAAATTTGTAGGGCATCTACTTTGTATAATGAAGTATGTCTGGCAGTGGTTGTTAGCTGGGAAAAACAAAGGTTCATTTTCTAATAGTAAAGACAGCTATTAAATAAATAATCACCCAATTAATTAATTCATTCGAAGAAATACTACAAAGCAGGTGCAGTGGATGCTGTTAAAGGACATAAGGAACCCCAGGAGTCCTGATGTCATTTTCTTTGTGTTGGGAATGGTATGTGATTAGAAGAGACTTCCCTGAGGAAGCAATATCCAAAATGAGATATGACAGATAAATAAAGAGTTAATTGTCTTCAACAATGGTATTGAGAAAACTGTATATCCACATGTAAAATAATGAAATTAACCCTTATCTTATATTGAAAAATGGATTACAGATGTAAAATGTAAGACCTGAAACTATAAAACTCCTAGAAGAAAACATAGGGGAAAAACTTTATGACATTGGACTTGGCAATGATTTTATAGATACAATATCAAAAGCACAGGCAAAAACAGTAAAAATAAACAAGTGGGACTGTATCAAACTAAAATGCCTCTGCACAGCAAAGAAAACAATCCACAGAGTGAAAAGGCAACCTACAGAATGGGAAAAAGTATTTGGAAATCATATATTTGATAAGGAGTTAATTTCCAAAATATATAAGGAACTCTTACAACTCAATGGCAACCCCCTCCAATAACCTGATTGTAAAATGGGCTAAGGACCTGAATAGACATGTTCCCAGAAAAGACACAAATATCCAACAGGTATATGAAAAGATGCTCAACATCACTAATCATTAGGGAAATGCAAATTAAAACCACAATGTGTTATTACCTCACCTCTGTTAGAGTGGATATTATCAAAAAAACAAAAGGTAACAAGTATTGGTGAGGCTATGGAAAAAATGGAACCCTTGTACACTGCTGATGGGAGTGTAAAATGGTGTAACCACCATGGAAAACAGTATGGAGGTTCCTTGAAAATTTAAAAATGGAACTACCATATGATCCAGCAATGCCACTTCTGAGTATTTACCCAGAATAATTAAAATCAAAATCTCAAAGAGGTATTAGCACTATTCACAATAGCCAAGATGTAGAAAGGATCTAAATGTCCCTTGACAGATAAATGGAGGATAAAAGGGCATATACATAAAATGGAATATTATTCAGCCTTAAAAATATGGAATGCCTGCAATATACAACAATATGGATGAATCTTGAGGACATTATGCTAAACACAATGAGCCAGTCACAGAAGGACAAATACTGCCTGATTCCACTTACATGAGGTATCTAAAATAATCCTACTCATAGAAGCAAATAATAAAATGGTGGTTTCCAGGGATTAGAGGTAGGAGGAAATGGGAAGTTTCTAATCAATGGGTATACGATTTCAGTTATGAAAAATGAAGTTCTAGAGATCTGCTATATAACATTGTGTCTGCAGATAACAATACCATATTATACACTTAAAAATGTGTTAAGAGGGTAGAGCTCATGGCAAATGTTCTCACCACAGTGAAAAAAACTGTGATAAAGACTAATAATACATCTTCAAACATAACAACAAAAAAGAGTTAATTAGGCCAAGTGGTGGTGCTCGGGGTAGGGGTGGTGTTGAGCAGCTTTCTAGGCAAAGAAACACCACGTTCAAGGCTTGGAAAAGGGAAGGTGCACAGACAGGACCAAGACTGTGCAGTGTGTAGGTGACTTTGCTGAGGACTTAGGTTTTCAGCTTCAGGGCAATGAGAAACTACTGAAAGTTTTAAACAGAAGAGGCATAATTAAATCTGTGTTCTTTAGAAAAGATCATTTTGGCTGCAGTGAGGAGAATTTTTGGAAGGGTCCAAGAATGTGCTGATAAATTAGAAGTTTCCTGCAATGGTCCAGTTAAGAGGCAATGGTAGCTTGTGCTAGGATGGTGGAATGCAGCTGGAGAGAAGCAGGAGGATAAGAGATACATGGGGGAGAAAAAATGCACAGGATCTGGTGATAGATGAGATTTGGGGGTTGAGTGAGAGAGAGGGGTCAAGGATCACTGCCATCACAACTGGATGAATGGTTGTGGTGTTCACTGAAATGGGACACTAATGATGAAGACCAGGACTGGTTTTGGGTGGGAGTGGAAGGAGAGGAGCTCATCTCAAGTTTTACTTTATATACATTGAGTTTTCCTTTGAGACATTTATCTGGAGGTGTTAGTGGACAGTTCCATATCTATAAGTCTGGGTCTTAGAGGGTAAAGAATTAAGTTGAAAATGATGAGCAAAAAGATGGCAATTGAAACGATAATGGGGTTGTATGTATTACTCTATGGAGAGAGCTTAGAGCAAAAACAGAGCCTGGCTTGAGCTTTGAGAAGCTCCAGCTTTTTAAGGCTGGATAAAGGAGGAGACTGAGATGGGACAGCGGAAAGAAAGAAGGAGAACCACAAGATGGGTTGTCACCAGGTGACAAAGGAGGATGTGTTTCAGGAAGGAAGGCGTGACCAACACTGCTGAGTTTCTCTGAAAGGTCAAATCATTAGGATGACTGAAAACGATCTACTGGATTTGGAAAAGTGGAGGTTCTTCGTAACCCAGTGAAGAGTTGATGGAGTTATACTGGAGTGGTTTGAGGAAAGTTGTGACAAAATGGAAACAGCAAATGCACAAAACTTTTTCAAAAAGCTTGGCTACTAAAGGGGGTGGTTTAAGGTGGAGATATTTGAGCATGTTTAAATGCTGATGGGATGGAATCCTCACTTCCAGGTATAGGGGCAAACAGTTTATGGTGTTGTCAGGAAAAGTGGGAATGATTGCCTGTGGAACCCAAGCTGGGTTGGATTAGGTTAGTGGGTAGGAGCAATGGCTGGAAAAAGTGAATGGAAAAATGTGAAGTGGAGAACTGAGTAGGATTGGAGACTGTGGTGGGGTCCGAGGGGACAGCTGACCCGGCAGCATCTCTGGTTGACAGTGTGTTGTTAGAATCACTGATTTCTGACATGGTGGAATTTCACAAGATGCCGAGGTCCAGGGTGTGACTCTGGGAGAAGCTGAGGACAGGTATTCCAGTTAGCCAAGACTAGGGTGTTGGAGAAGCCAACATATTGATGCTGAAGTCACCCAGGGTTATGGCAAGACTGGGTGGAGAAGGTCTATAAGCTGGTGCCAAAGTCCTCAATAATTGAAAGGTGGTAAATGACAGTGATGAAAAGGACAAAAGTTCAATATCTCTAAATGGCCCAACTCTTCAAATAGGAGCAGAGAAACAGATTTTGTTGTGGTGGTAGCTGTTTTTTTAAATAAAAGGATGGGGGAAAACAGCTCTGAAAATGGTTTTAGGGAAAGAAAGGATACCTAGCTGTGTCCTGACTTGGGAGCCGAAGAGTGAAATAATAAGCAACCTCCATATGAGAGGGGTTTGGATGAAGCAGTCACTCAGGGTAAGGGTAGGTTTTAGTTGATAGACAGAGTTGGATAGAACTTGTGAAAAGAACTGAAGATATAAGGGAAACGTGTTCCTGAAAGCCAAGTAAAATGGGGTGGAGAATGGAAGTGGCAAGGATGTGCAGATCTGAAAGTCTGTCAGAGAAATAGATGAAAATAAAGAATGAGTCAGGAGTGTGAAGAATGGGACTAATGCTTAGGGTTACAAAGGAGGTAGATGGTAAGGTTTTGTAAAGGAGGTCTTAGTTGAGCTGAGATCAAGTAGAAGTTCTGCTGATGGGCAGAGGAGGAGAAAAGCATCCAGGTAGAAGAATCAGCAGGCACAAAGATGCGGAGGCCCAGGAGGCATTTGGCTTGAGGCCAGTGCAGTTTGCTTCAGCATGGCTGCTCTGCAGAATCCCAGAGGACCAGTGGTAAAGGAGGAGGTCTTTCCCTGAGACCATTTTCATCAGGCCTGGGCAGGCATGATGCAGGCAGGCCCAGGTCAAGGAGAGCTTTGGTTTCCAGCTGGGGAGCCTTGTGGCTTAGGGATGGGCTTTTAAGCAGTGGCAAGATGTGATTGTCACTGTTCCAGATGGGTGGGTCTCTTCGCTTTCCTCATGCCCCACCGTGCTGTGCTCACATGGTTGCTGTGATGTCCAACCCTCTGGGTAAATTTTACTCATCCCTGAGGCCTAACTCGAGTCTTGCCCCTGGAGTAAAGCCCTTCATGACTACTGTAGCCCACACCTTCCTCCTTTCCTCCAAATGTTTTTATTTTTCCAGTCAGAATCACACTTCAAAAGAAAGACAGTAGAAAAAGCCGTCATTCACGGTTTGTGTGAGCAAGCATCCTCCCCACCTAGCTAGAGAGAAAACTGGTAGGACATAAAATTACTGTAACTAAGGGAGAATAACCGGTCTCTCTCATTTAAAAAGATAACAGAACAAATTGAGTTACTTTTAGAACAATGGAAAATAAAGGATTTCCTTCTTTTTTCTGTTCCACTGCCAAAAATGAGTGCCTTCTGGCTCAAATATAAATAAGAGTTCTGTTTGAAAGTCCTGGATTAATACTGTCTCAGTTAATGTCTGGATGTATGGCCTTAAGCAAGTTACTCAACTTCTTAGAACCTCAATTTTCTCATCTGTAAAATGGGCTAATAATACTAATTCCACAAGGTCACCAGAAGATCATACAAAGTCCTTTGTGTATTTATGCATCATATTAATTGTATGCCTTACTATGTGCCAGGCATTGTACTAGGAGCTAAGCTGTGGCATGAACAAGATAGGCACAGTCTTGCCCTCCTGGAGCTTACAGACCAGAGGGAGAGAGAGACAAATAGTTTCACAATTAATTGGCAGTATCATAGTGTAGAAAGCCTGGCAACAATGTCTGGTTCAGAATACACCTCTAATACCCATTAGTCCCCTTCTGTTCTTAAGTTCTCTCAGTCAAAGTAATACAACAAGTAATAACAATAATATAACAAGTAATATAACAAGCTGTTTGCTAACACACATTAATTACTTAACTAATTTTCTGGGGCTCTCACACTGTAAGTGGGGACTATCTCAGGCTCACACAAATATAGATGATGCACTGGGGAAACTATGGCAAGGTGACTAAATTCATGTCCTACCAAGGCTCCTAAGTCAAAGGAGACCCCATAGAAAACGCCATATTTCAACCCCAATACGTTTGGCTTACTAGAGCAGAAAGGGCAACACAGCAAGCTGGAGGATGAGCCATTGTTTCAGGACTTAGGCTGTGAAGGAAAAACAGCAGCCTCAAGTGGAGCCTTGGAATGTGGCTACTGAATGGAGAGGCCTAACCCACTCCATAACCTGTCCATCCACTGAAGTATGAAGGGCAGGGGAGGGCCCTTTCCCCTGTTAATGGGCTCAATTCATTTCTAGTGAAAGAAAGCCTGGGTTTCCCTAAGGTTTACTCATGGGTGACAACATTATTTAAAGATCTCTGGGCACAATGCCTTTCCTAACTCCCCAGAGCCTGAGACAAAAGAGTTGTGCTGAGGGGCTGGCCCTGCTCATTGTGAGGTGGCAGCTGTGTGTCCCCAATGCTTGAGAGAGATTTCCTCCCCCTGCCCTCCCTCACCTCCCAGGGCCTGCTCCATGCACTCTGCACCACTGGGGATAACGGCTGAGCTCGAAGGCCCTTAATAGAAAAGCTTCCTCTTTTATTCCTTTAGCAGCAGTGGGGTTGGGAAGAAATCTCATTGGCCTGGGAATCCAGGCAGCCTTATTTTGGGTGCAGACTGGAGAATCAACTGCCCTTTCCTTTCTTGGTAAACTTGCTGCCACCTGCACAGCCCTAGAGCTCTAAAAATATTTGTCAGATTTACTGCAAGTGTTTGTTTACAAGTCTGTCTCCCCATTTAAACTCTTAGGTTTCCTCAGGGCAGGTACTATGTTTCATTTATTTTTACCTTAGTGCCTGGCTTGTAGTAGGAGCTAAATAAATGGGGGTAGGGTTGGGGGAGGGAGAGGGAGAAAGAAAGAGAGAGAATATATGAATGAATGAATGAATGATGAATGAATGAATGAATATCAGTCCCCAACTTGATTAGGAGATAGCAATCAAGGACATTAAGACTCTAGCATATCCTCTGAGATTCCACAGAGGTGTCAAGTGGGGAGTGGGAAAAGGCATGTCAGGAAACAGAGGCCTGTCTTACTTCCCCAACTGTGGTTTAATCCAGCTTTCATGATACTCATCTGTCTTAGACATTGGTCTTCCTATTTTGTATGTTTTAATAAAAGATTCTGTGGCCAAGAGAACTATTTGAAAAAATTATTGGGCTAGATTTTTTTCCCCCACTTAGGTCTCTTCCAACTGGGATGTTTTCTGTGATGGGCAAGTACTTGCATGGCTTCTGCTTTTGACCACTATTGGAAAACGTTTCTGCATCTTATTCTGATGAAGAATGACATAAATAAGGGATCTTACTTGTAAATATCCACAACATGTTCTCCTTGGTCCAGAGCTCCAACAGCCAAGCTGCTGCTACTTGGCACCTGCATGTCCTGGTGTTCTTAAGTGTGTGCTGTTCCACATCACAGTGATGGGGTGTGGGACTTTTGAGGTGAGTAGTGTTTTTAGCCTCTATCCCCAGCTCTGTTTTCTCACATCTAATTTTAATATAACTTACTCAGCACTTTATATCTCTTCTGCTGACTGTCCCAAACCAGGGAAGAGACTTGGCCCACGGAGGACTAAAGCGTTGCCACAGATGAGTTGGTCATAGACAGTATCAAAGGGGAGTTTGTTACTCAAGTTTGCAAAGGACATTATTAGACAACCCAACAATCCCACAGCAGCGTGGCCATGCAGAGACTTCCATGACTTCATCTATCTACTTACGTTGCACCTATCTACTCAGCATCTACTATGTGGGGCTAACTGTGGCACTGAAGATACGGACATGAGAAAGAGAGAGTGCCTTTGTTAAGGAGCTCACATCCCAGTGAGAAAGCAAGGTTAAGAGAATGATACAATTCAAGATAAGAACAGACACAGAAATGTGTCACGTGCTATGGGACTGCAGAGAAAGGAGAGAATAGATCTCCCTGCGGGCTGGGAGGAGCAGTGGGGAAAGCTTCACAGAAAAGTACCTTTTCAATTAGGCTTTAACTTTGGACAGTTGCTTTCAAAGCTGGAGGCAGGAGAAGGGAAGTAGGACAGGCATGGAGGCACCAGCCACAGAGCACCTCAAGGCAGAGGAGATTTGGGTGCTGTGCCACCTGGGAGGTGAGGCTGATAGGACAGCTGTGCATCAGGCAGGGAAGCTGGAGGGGTAGGTCAGACCAGAATGACATGGGTCCTGAAAGCTTTGTTAATTACGTTACTCTGGAGGCAGTGGGGAGCCACTGAAGGTTTTAAAGCATGGCCTCCTGTGCCATGCTAAGAAACAGCTAATTTTACTGAAGGCAATGGCAAAGGACATCAAGCAGGCAAGGATTGTTCCAATTTTCCCTTTGATGAGCCCACTAGCACTATGAGGCAGTAATAAGGCTGCTGCCATAGTTCACGTGAAGGAAGAAGATGCTCTACCAGTGCAAATGGAGTAGAGGTGAAAACATAGATTCAAGGTACATTTCAGAGGGAGAGAAAGCAAGATACTATTCCTTCTTGTGTGTTGGGCGATGGGGGGAAGGCAGAAGACATGCAAGCCTGGATGTTTCAAACCTAGTGAGTGGGCTAGAGCTGCTTCCATTTATGTTCCTAAGCACTGCTTTGGCATTTATACTGGAATCCTAAGGGTCAATAAGATATTTTTCCTTTTGTAGGGGTCAGATTAGCTGCCAAAGCACTGGAGGAGTTGGAGGAGTTGGAGGAGTTGCTGACATCAGCCCTTAGAGTTTGGAATATAGCAATACTGCTTTATCTGGATTTTCCACAGGCCCCTGTTATGGGCTGAATTGGGTCCTCCCAAAATTCATGAGATGAAGTGCTTGCCCCTAGTACCTCACAATATGATTGTATTTAAAGATAAGTCATTTAAAAAGGCAGTGGCATTAAAATGGGGTTGTTAGGGTGGACCCAAATCCAATATGATGGGTGTCATAGCAAGAGGAGATTAGAACACAGACAACACAGACAGAGGGACAAGGATCATGTGAGGTCACAGCAGGAAGGTGGCCATCTGTAAGCGAAGGAGAGAGGTTTCAGGAGAAACCAAACCTGTCAGTATCTTGATCTTGGAGATTGTATTACTCTGTTCTCATGCTGCTAATAAAGATATACCCAAGACTGGGCAATTTACAAAATAAAGAGGTTTAATGGACTTACAGTTCCACATGGCTGGGGAGGCCTCACAAGGCAAAAGGCAAGGAGGAGCAAGTCGCATTTTATGTGGATGGCAACAGGCAAACAGAGTTTCTGTGGGGAAACTCCCCTTTTTTAAAATCATCAGATCTCGTGAGACTTATTTGCTTTCATGAGAACAGCATGGGAAAGACCTGCTCCTGTGACTCAATTACCTCCCACCGAGTCTCTCCCACAACACGTGGGAATTCAAGATGAGATTTGGGTGGGGACACAGCCAAACCATATCAGACATCTAGAGTCCAGAACTGTGAGAAAATAAATTTCTATTGTTTAAGCCACCTAGTCTGCAGTGTTTTGTTATGGGAGCCTGAGCAAACTAATACACTTCCTATGAAGAAAATCTCACGTGAAGTCCAAGCCTGTCTGGTCTAAGAGAAAAAAGTCACCACCTGAGAACTGGGACCACATTCTTTGTTCTAATTGTTCCAGCTAGTCCAGCTTCTCCACTAACCTACTTAATCATTACAGACATGGGCACTGTGACAATGATGGCCAGGTGTGTTGGGAATTCAATCACTTGAACAAGAATGTCCCTGGGTTATAACATCCAGGCTGCTGCTTTTTTTTCTAAAGCACCAGACAATTGCTTCACAAAGTTCCCAATAACTCAGCTCTCACCACTTGCTCAAAGCCAGTTTCTTAGGCCTTGAGGGGGGGAAATAGGCTATTTAAACTCAAATGACTATTGAGCTTTGTTGACAAAATACCACTTGGAAGAATAATGTAAATGGAATCCATCTTCAAGGAAGCAAATGTCAAGGAGCACTTCACAAAACCCATGTTCCTCTAGCCACAGTGACTTCATTACTACATCTGAGGGGAGAGAAGTGTGAGTTTAATTAGGTAAACATAGAGACAGTGTTTGGGAATCTCATTGTAACCAGTGAGAAGGCAAGGTTTTCATAGACAATTGCTGGATGCAACTAGGTCAGTCTCCAGATCTGAAATTAAACCCTTTATCTAAGGGTTACTACTTAAGCCAGCAACAAAGGAGCATTTTACCCAATTCCCACTCAGATTTAGAGATGTCAAGTTTTCCTTGTTTCTGACTAGCAACAACAGAAGAAATTAAAACAGCTCAGTCTGGAATATCCCAGGAACCCCCAAACTTAGCAAGATTTGGGGAATATACCACCTAGTCACTCCTTCAGAAAGGGGCACAGTGATGGGGGAGAGCACAGAACGCAGGCATCAAACACACCTGCATTTGAGTCCTGGCTCCATGGGTTACTAAGTGTGTGACTGTGAGCCAGTTATTTAACCTTCCATAGGCCTCAGCTCCCTTATCTATTAACCTGGTGAAATGCAGACCCCTCTGCATGGGGTTACAAGGTTTCAGCATGACTGGGTATGAAAAGAGAACAAAGAAGCTTCCTGGAGATGACTGTGGCCTTGGCTCACTGCCAGGAAAATGACTCATTTCTGTATGCCAGGGTTATAGTTCACTGTTACCCTGACAAATGAATGTGGAAGACCCATGATTTCCTCCACCCTCCTTCACTCACATAGTAAAAGTTAGCTACTGCCTGCAACATACCAGGCACCGTACAACACGAAACTGTAGGCTCCCCCTCCAGGAAGTGACAATGTCATTCCTAACCTGTTGGAATTTTAACACCTGTCATAAAAGGATCTCATGATGCTTTGAATACTTTCTCGAAAGGTGTCACATGCTGCAAGAATAGTAAGGACAGCAACAGCTATCATTTCCTACTTGGGTTGCATGTTTAATATTTCGTAAAACAATACTTTCACATATATCATATGAGCCCCACAAAGGCTCCAGAACTTCAGCATACAACCAGTAAGTTGCAGAACTGGATCACAAGCCCGACCTCCATCTCCCTAAGTTCAATAGGAATTTTCTGATACATTTTCTCCCAAGTTTGAAAGTAATATTACGCACAGAAAAGTTGGAAAAAAATAACCACACCTTATTTTCATCACCCAGAGATAGCCACTGTATCATTTTGTTCTATTTTCTTCCTATCTTTTTTCT